>NC_000010.11:75370368-76620368 GCF_000001405.40 Homo sapiens | reverse complement strand
AATAGAAAAGAAAAAACAATTTTAAATAATGAGGAGCCAAATGTTAATCCTCAAGACAATGGGGAAAATGTCTCCAGGGCATGTCAGAGGTCTTCATGGCAGCCCCTCCCATCATAGGCCAAGAGACCTAGGATGAACTAACGGTTTTGTGGGCTGGGCCCAGGGCCTTGCTGCTTTGTGCAGTCTCTAGATTTGTTGCCCTGTGTCTCAGCTGTGGCTAAAAGGGGCCAATGTACAGCTCAGGCTGTTGCTTCAGAGGGTGCAAGCCCCAAGCCTTGGTGGCTTACATGTGGTGTTGGGCCTGCAAGTACACAAAAGTCAAGAATTGAGGTTTGGGAACCTCTGTATAGATTTCACAGGATGTATAGAAATGCCTGGATGTCCAGGCAGAGGTGTGCTGCAGGGGCAGAGCCCTTATGAAGAACCTCTGCTAGGGCAGTGCAGAAAGGAAATGTAGGGTTGGAGCCCCCATACACAGTCATCAGTGGGACACTGCCTAAAGGAGCTATGAGAAGAGGGCCACCATTCTGCAGACCCCAAAATGGTAGATCGACCAACAGCTTGCCCTGTGCACCTGGAAAAGCCACACTCATCACTAGCCTGTGAAAACATCCAGGAGGGGGACTGTACCCTGCAAAGCCACAGGAGTGGAGCTGACGAAGACCATGGGAACCTACCTCTTACATCAGCATGACCTGGATATGAGACATGGAGTCAAAGGAGATCATTTTGGAGCTTTAAGATTTGACTGCCCCACTGGATTTTGGACGTGCATGGGGCCTGTAGCCCCTTCATTTTGGCCAATTTCTCCAATTTTGAATGTGTGTATTTACCCAATTCCTGTATCCCCATTGTATCTAGGAAGCAACTAACTTGTTTTTGATTTTACGGGCTCGTAGGTGGAAGGAACTTGCCTTGTTCCAAATGAGACTTTGGACTGTGGACTTTTGACTTAATGCTGAAATGAGTTAAGAGTTTGGGGGACTGTTGGGAAGGCATGATTGGTTTTTAAATGTGATGACATGAGATTTTGGAGGGGCCAGAGGAAGAATGATATGGTTTGGCTGTGTTCCCACCCAAGTCTCATCTTGAATTATAGCTCCCATAATTCCCATGTGTCCTGGGAGGGACTCAGTGAGAGATAATTGAATCATGGGGGTGGGTTTCCCATGCTGTTGTCATGATAGTGAATATGTCTCATGAGATCTAATGGGTTTATAAAGGGGAGTTCCCCTGCAGAAGCTAACTTGCCTGGTGCCATGTAAGACATGACTTTACTTCTCCTTTGCCTTCTGCCAGTATCGTGAGGCCTCCCCTGCCATGTGGAACTGTGAGTCCATTAAACATCTTTCCTTTATAGCTTACCTAGTCTTGTCTACGTCTTTATTAGCAGTGGGAGAACAGACTTATACACTTGCCTTTGCCATTTTCCTATTTCTGAAAATAACTTCCTTCCTCTCCCCATCCCCTAACCTACCTGTCTGATGTGAATTCTCTGAATGTGGTCTTGTTTGCTCATCCAGCACAAGTGATGAATGTGAATCATCCCAGCACATTCTTCTTTACTGCAAGACTAGATCAATTAATGATTAATTTTCTAGCAACAGAGAACTGCAGCAGATCTATGCTTCAGGACTTTTAATTTTTTTTATATAAATTTAAGGGGTACAAATGCAGTTTGTTACACAGATATATTATGTAGTGAAGTCTGGGCTTTTAGTGTAACCATCACCCAAATAATGTACATTGTACACAGTAAGTAAATTCTCACCCCTCAACCCCTTCCCACACTCCACCCTTCCAAGTCTCCAATGTCTATTTTACTCTCTATGTTCTTGTGTGCACATTATTTAGCTTCCAATTATAAATGAAAACTTGCAGCATTTGACTTTGTTTCTGAGTTGTTTCAATTAAGATGGTGGCCTCCAGTTCCACCATGTTCTGCAAAAGGAATGATTTCATTCTCTTTCTTATGGCTGAAGAATATTCTATGGTGTTTGTGTGTGTGTGTGTGTATGTGTTTGTATACACATACAGTCATATGGCATAAGATGATAGTTCACTGTGGCTTTAATTTGCATGTCCCTGATGATTAGTGATGTTGAGTATTTTTTTTCATATGCTGTTGGTCATTTCTATATCTTCTTTTGAGAAATGTCTATTCGTGTACTTTGCCCACTTTTAAACGGAGTTATTTGTTTTCTTTTCATTGAGTTGAGTTCCTTGTAGATTCATTGGATCCATAGTTTGCAAATAGATATATATTATTAATAAATCATTATATTATAATATATTATTAATATATTATTATATTATATTATAATATATTATATTTATATATATTATAATATATTATTAATATGTTATATATATCATAACATATTATTAATATATTATGATATAATATATTATTTATATATTATGATATATTATTAATATATTATGATATTATATTATAATATATTATTAATATATTATAGATATTATATAATATATTATTAATATATTATAGATATTATATAATATATTATTAATATATTATAGATATTATATAATATATTATTAATATATTATAGATATTATATTATTATATATTATATATAATTATTATATATAATATGTTATATTATATTATTATATATAATATATATATAATTATTATATATAATATATTATATTAATTATTATATATATAAAATATTTAATTATTATATATAATATATTATATTATATTATTATATATAAAGTACATATAATTATATATAATATATTATATTTTATTATATATAAAATATATATAATTATTATATATGATATATTATTATATATAAAAAATATATATCATTATTATATATAATGTATTATATTATATTATTTCATATATAAATATATATAATTATTATATACAATTATTATATATAATATATTATATTACATTATTATATATATAAAATATGTATAATTATTATATATATTATATAATATATAATATATATTATATAATATATAATTATTATATATAATATAATCTATATAATATATTACATATATTATATTTATATATTATATAATTATATAAACATTATATATTATGTATTATATTATATTATATTATATTTATAAATATATAAATATAACATAATATATAACACATATTATATAATATATATGTGTTATAATATAACATAATATAATATATATTATAATATATAATGTGTTATAAAATATGTGTTATATATTGTTATATATCATATAATATGTTATATATTATGTTATATATAATATATATGTTATATATTATGTTATATATAATATATAATATGTTATATGTTATATATAATATATATGTTATATGTTATATATATTACATATTATATATGTAATATATTACATATTACATATTATATATGTAATATATTACATATTACATATTATATATGTAATATATTACATATTACATATTATATGTAATATATTACATATTACATATTATATGTAATATATTACATATTACATATATAATATGTAATATATTACATATTATATATGTAATATATTACATATTATATATGTAATATATTACATATTACATATTATATATAATATATATTATACATATTATATATTATTATATGATACATTAGTATATATGATAATATATTATATATTATATTATACATAATTATATGTATAATGTATATATTATACATTATATATCATATATAATTATATATGATATATAATTATATAATTATATTATATAATATATATATCTATTTGCAAACTATGGATCCAATAGTTGACTAATATCAAGAATCTACAAGGAACTCAATTCCATGAAAAGAAAACAAATAACTCCATTTAAAAGTGGGCAAAGTATATATTATATATATATTCATGTATATTATATATATGAATATATATTGAATGAACATATATATGAATGAATATATATATATTATATATATATCATTTTATTTTTTAACTTTTATTTTAGGTTTGGTGGTACAAGTGCAAGTTTGTGCAGTTTTGTCACATAGGTAAACTTGTGTCATGAGGGTGTGTTGTACAAATTATTTCATCATCCAGGTATTAAGCCCAGTACGCAATAGTTATCTTTTCTGCTCCTTTCCCTCCGCCCACCTTCCACCCTCAAGTAGACCCGTGTCTGTTGTTTCCTTCTTTGTGTTCATAAGTTCTTATCATTTAGCTCCCAATTATAAGTGAAAACATGCAGTATTTAGTTTCTTCTTTCTGCATTAGTTTCTAAGGACAATAGCCTCCGGCTCTATCCACGTTCTCACAAAAGACATGACTTCTTTCCTTTTAATGGTTGCATATAACATTTTCTTTATCCAGTAACCTATTTATGAACACAGGTTGATTCCATATGTTGACTATTGTGAATAGTGCTGTGATAAACATACATGTGCAGTATCTTTTTGACATGATAATTTTTTTTCCTTTGGGTAGATACCCAATAGTGGAATTGTTGGATCAAATGGTAGTTCTATTTTTAGTCCTTTGATAAATCTTCATACTGTTTTCCATAGAGGTTGTACTAAATTACATGCCCAAGAACAGTGTGTAAGTGTTCCCTTTTCTCCACATCCATACCAATGTCTGTTTTTTTTTTCTTTTTAATAATAGCCATTCTGATGACATAAGATGATAACTCATTGTGGCTTTAATTTGCATTTCTCTGATGATTAGTGATGTTGAGCATTTTTTTCATATGCTTCTTGGCCATTAGTTTATCTTCTTTTGAGAAATGTCTATTCATGTACCTTGCCCACTTTTCAATGGGGTTGTTTTCTTTTTGTTGAGTTGTTTGTGTTCCTTGTAGATTCTTGATATTAGTCACCTATTGGATCCATAGTTTGTCAATATTTTTTCCCATTATGAGGCTCATCTGTTCATTCTGTTTTTGATGATAATGATGATAATTGTTATTATTATGCTATGCCAAAGTCATCTAGTCTCTGACTTAAAATGAAATATTCTTGCATATTCCTAACTTTATGACCATGGAGCTCATCCTCCCCTCCTCCATCTTGGGGCATTGCCCACAGTTGAAATATCACTGCTGTACTGGGACCTCTCTTATACCACCTGCCAGAGTGGAGTCTGTATGGCATCTGCTACACTGTGTCACAAACTTGTGGGTCAGTCTCACATGGGGGCATCTGACTGGTAGAATCACTCCAAACGCCATCTCTGTCATCATGTGGTGGTCTTCCTGCCTGTATATATTCTTCTCTTATGAAGACACTATTAGAATTAGATCAGAGCTCACTGAACACATTTTTTTAGGAAAACAATTCAAGTCATAATGGTCCATTTTAAAGCTCTGTGGTTAGTTGTATATCTATATGGAATTGTTGTCTTCTTCATAAATTAACCCCTTTCATCATTGTGTATTATTCATCTTTACCCTTGCTAATTTTTATTTGTTCTAAATTTTACTTTGTCTGATATTAATATAGACACTCAAGCTTTATTTTGATTAGTGTTTTCAAGGTACGTTTTAAAAATTTTTGTTTTATGTTTGTGGGTACACAGTAGGTATACATATTTATGGGGTATTTGTGACACAAGCATGCAATGTATAATCATCACATAAGTGTAAATGGGGTATCCATCACCTCAAGCATTTAACCTTTGTTTTACAAACAATCCAATTATACTCTTTTCGTTTTTTTTTTTATACTTTAAGTTCTAGGGTACAGCTGCACAACGTGCAGGTTTGTTACATATGTATACATTTGCCATGTTGGTGTGCTGCACCCATTAACTCGTCATTTACATTAGGTATATCTCCTAATGCTATCCTTCCCCCCTCCCCCCACCCCACAACAGGCCCTGGTGTGATGTTCCCCTTACTGTGTCCAAGTGTTCTCATTGTTCAATTCCCACCTATGAGAGAGAACATGCAGTGTTTGTTTTTTTCTCCTTGATATAGTTTGCTGAGAATGATGGTTTCCAGCTTCATCCATGTCCCTACAAAGGACATGAACTCATCCTTTTTTATGGCCACATAGTATTCCATGGTGTATATGGGCCACATTTTCTTAATCCAGTCTATCATTGTTGGACATTTGAGTTGGTTCCAAGTCTTTGCTATTGGGAGTAGTGCTGCAATAAACATATGTGTGCATGTGTCTTTATAGCAGCATGATTTATATTCTTTTGGATATATAGCCAGTAATGGGATGGCTGGGTCAAATGGTATTTGTAGTTTTAGATCCCTGAGGAATCACCACACTGTCTTCCACAATGGTTGAACTAGTTTACAGTCCCGCCAACAGTGTAAAACTCTTCCTATTTCTCCACATCCTCTCCAGCACCTGCTGTTTCCTGACTTTTTAATGATCGCCATTCTAACTGGTGTGAGATGGTATCTCATTGTGGTTTTGATTTGAATTTCTCTGATGGCCAGTGACGATGAGCATTTTTTCATGTGTCTGTTGGCTGCATAAATGTCTTCTTTTGAGAAGTATCCATTCATATCCTTCACCCACTTTTTGATGGGGTTGTTTGTTTTTTTCTTGTAAATTTGTTGGAGTTCTTTGTAGATTCTGGATATTAGCCCTTTGTCAGATGAGTAGATTGCAAAAATTTTCTCCCATTCTGTAGGTTGCCTGTTCACTCTGATGGTAGTTTCTTTTGCTGTGCAGAAGCTCTTGAGTTTAATGAGATCCCATTTGTCAATTGTGGCTTTTGTTGCCATTGCTTTTGGTGTTTTAGACATGAAGTCCTTGGCCATGCCTCTGTCCTGAATGGTATTGCCTAGGTTTTCTTCTAGGGTTTTTATGGTTTTAGTTCTAACATTTAAGTCTTTAATCCATCTTGAATTAATTTTTGTATAAGGTGTAAGGAAGGGATCCAGTTTCAGCTTTCTACATATGGCTAGCTAGTTTTCCCAGCACCATTTATTAAATAGGGAATCATTTCCTCGTTTCTTGTTTTTGTCGGGTTTGTCAAAGATCAGATGGTTGTAGATGTGTGGTATTATTTCTGAGGGCTCTGTTCTGTTCCATTGGTCTATATCTCTGTTTTGGTACCAGTGCTGTGCTGTTTTGGTTACTGTAGCCTTGTAATATAGTTTGAAGTCAGGTAGCATGATGCCTCCAGCTTTGTTCTTTTGGCTTAGGATTGACTTGGCAATGCAGGCTCTTTTTTGGTTCCGTGTGAACTTTAAAGTAGTTTTTTCCAATTCTGTGAAGAAAGTCATTGGTAGCTTGATGGAGATGGCATTGAATCTATAAATTACCTTGGGCGGTATGGCCATTTTCATGATATTGATTTTTCCTATCCATGAGCGTGGAATGTTCTTCCATTTGTTTGTGTCCTCTTTTATTTCGTTGAGTAGTAGTTTGTAGTTCTCCTTGAAGAAGTCCTTCACATCCCTTGTAAGTTGGATTCCTAGGTATTTTATTCTCTTTGAAGCAATTGTGAATGGGAGTTCACTCATGATTTGGCTCTCTCTTTGTCTGTTATTGGTGTATAAGAATGCCTGTGATTTTTGCACATTGATTTTGTATCTTGAGACTTTGCTGAAGTTGCTTATCAGCTTAAGGAGATTTTGGCCTGAGACAATGGGGTTTTCTAGATATACAATCATGTCATCTGCAAAGAGGGACAATTTGACTTCCTCTTTTCCTAATTGAATACCCTTTATTTCTTTCTCTTGCTTGATTGCCCTGGCCAGAACTTCCAACACTATGTTGAATAGGAGTGGTGAGAGAGGGCATCCCTGTCTTGTGCCCGTTTTCAAAGGGAATGCTTCCAGTTTTTGCCCATTCAGTATGATATTGGCTGTGGGCTTGTCATAAATAGCTCCTATTATTTTGAGGTACATCCCATCAATACCTAATTTATTGAGAGTTTTTAACATGAAGGGCTGTTGAATTTTATGAAAGGCCTTTTCTGCATCTATTGAGATAATCATGTGGTTTTGTCTTTGGTTCTGTTTATATGCTGCATTACGTTTATTGATTTGCGTATGTTGAACCAGCCTTGCATCCCAGGGATGAAGCCCACTTGATCATGGTGGATAAGCTTTTTGATGTGTTGCTGAATTTGGTTTGCCAGTATTTTATTGAGGATTTTTGCATCGAAGTTCATCAGGGATATTGGTCTAAAATTCTCTTTTTTTGTTTTGTGTCTGCCAGGCTTTGGTATCAGGATGATGCTGGCCTCATAAAATGAGTTAGGGAAGATTCTCTCTTTTTCTATTGATTGAAATAGTTTCAGAAGGAATGGTACCAGTTCCTCCTTGTACCTCTGGTAGAATTTGGCTGTGAATCCGTCTGGTCCTGGACTTTTTTTTGTTGGTAAGCTATTAATTATTGCCTCAATTTCAGAGCCTGTATTGGTCTAATCAGAGATTCAATTTCTTCCTGGGTTAGTCTTGGGAGGGTGTATGTGTTGAGGAATTTATCCAGTTTTTCTAGATTTTCTAGTTTATTTGCGTAGAGGTGTTTGTAGTATTCTCTGATGGTAGTTTGTATTTCTGTGGGATGAGTGGTGATATCCCCTTTATCATTTTTTATTGCATCTATTTGATTCTTCTCTCTTTTCTTTTTTATTAGTCTTGCTAGTGGTCTATCAATTTTGTTGATCCTTTCAAAAAACCAGCTTCTGGTTTCATTGCTTTTTTGAAGGGCTTTTTGTGTCTCTATCTCCTTCACTTCTGCTCTGATCTTAGTTATTTCTTGCCTTCTGCTAGGTTTTGAAGCTCTTGCTTCTCTAGTTCTTTTAATTGTGATGTTAGGGTGTCAATTTTAGATCTTTCCTGCTTTTTCTTGTGGGCATTTAGTGCTATAAATTTCCCTCTACACACTGCTTGACATGTGTCCCAGAGATTCTGGTATGTTGTGTCTTTGTTCTCGTTGGTTTCAAAGAACATCTTTATTTCTGCCTTCATTTCGTTATGTACCCAGTAGTCATTCAGGAGCAGGTTGTTCAGTTTCCATGTAGTTGAGCGGTTTTGAGTGAGTTTCTTAATCCTGAGTTCTAGCTTGATTGCACTGTGGTCTGAGAGACAGTTTGTTATAATTTCTGTTCTTTTACATTTGCTGAGGAGTGCTTTACTTCCAACTATGTGGTCAATTTTGGAATAGGTGTGGTGTGGTGCTGAGAACAATGTATATTTTGTTGATTTAGGGTGGAGAGTTCTGTAGACGTCTATTAGGTCCGCTTGGTGCAGAGCTGAATTCAATTCCTGGATATCTTTGTTGACTTTCTGTCTCGTTGATTTGTCTAATGTTGACAGTGGGTTGTTAAGGTCTCGCATTATTATTGTGTGGGAGTCTAAGTCTCTTTGTAGGTCTCCAAGGACTTGCTTTATGAATCTGGGTGCTCCTGTATTGGGTGCATATATATTTAGGATAGTTAGCTCTTCTTGTTGAATTGATCCCTTTACCATTATGTAATGGCCTTCTTTGTCTCTTTTGATCTTTGTTGGTTTAAAGTCTCTTTTATCAGAGACTAGGATTGTAACACTTGCCTTTTTTTGTTTTCCATTTGCTTGGTAGATCTTCCTCCATCCCTTTATTTTGAGCCTATGTGTGTCTCTGTATGTCAGATGGGTTTCCTGAATACAGCACACTGATGGGTCTTGACTCTTTATCAAATTTTCCACTCTGTGTCTTTTAATTGGAGCATTTAGCCCATTTACATTTAAGCTTAATATTGTTATGTGTGAATTTGATTATGTCATCCTGTCATTATGATGATCCTGTCATTATGATGTTAGCTGGTTATTTTGCTCGTTAGTTGATGCAGTTTATTCCTAGCATGGATGGTCTTTACAATTTGGCATGTTTTTGCAGTGGCTGGTACCGTTTGTTCCTTTCCATATTTAGTGCTTCCTTCAGGACCTCTTTTAGGGCAGGGCTGGTGGTGACAAAATCTCTCAGCATTTGCTTGCCTGTAAAGTATTTTATTTCTCCTTCACTTTTGAAGCTTAGTTTGGCTGGATACGAAATTCTGGGTTGAAAATTCTTTTCTTTAAGAATGTTGAATATTGTCCCCCACATTCTTCTGGCTTGTAGAATTTCTGCTGAGAGATCAGCTGTTAGTCTGATGGGCTTTCCTTTGTGGGTAACCCGACCTTTCTCTCTGGCTGCCCTTAACATTTTTTCCTTCATTTCAACTTTGGTGAATCTGACAATTATGTGTCTTGGTGTTGCTCTTCTCAAGGAGTATCTTTGTGGCATTCTCTGTATTTCCTGAATTTGAATGTTCGCCTGCCTTGCTAGGTTGGGGAAGTTCTCCTGGATAATATCCTGAAGGGTGTTTTCCAACTTGGTTCCATTCTCCCTGTCACTTTCAGGTACACCAATCAGATGTAGATTTGGTCTTTTCACATAGTCCCATATTTCTTGGAGGCTTAGTTTGTTTCCTTTTATTCTTTTTTCTCTAAACTTCTCTTCTCACTTCGTTTGATTCATTTGATCTTCCATCACTGATACCCTTTCTTCCAGTTGATCGAATTGGCTACTGAAGCTTGTGCATTCATCACCTAGTTCTCATGCCACAGTTTTCAGCTCCATCAGGTCCTTTAAGGACTTCTCTGCATTGGTTATTCTAGATAGCCATTCGTCTAATCTTTTTTCAAGGTTTTTAACTTCTTTGCGATGAGTTCAAACTTCCTCTTTTAGCTCAGAGAAGTTTGATCGTCTGAAGCCTTCTCCTCTCAACTTGTCAAAGTCATTCTCCATCCAGCTTTGTTCTGTTGCTGGTGAGGAGCTGCATTCCTTTGGAGGAGGAGAGGCACTCTGATTTTTAGAATTTTCAGCTTTTCTGTTCTGTTTTTTCCCCATCTTTGTGGTTTTATCTACCTTTGGTCTTTGATGATGGTGACGTACAAATGGGGTTTTGGTGTGGATGTCCCTTCTGTTTGTTAGTTTTCGTTTTAACAGTAAGTACCCTCAGCTGCAGGTCTGTTGGAGTTTGCTGGAGGTCCACTCCAGACCCTGTTTGTCTGGGTATCAGCAGTGGAGGCTGCAGAACAGCAAATATTGCTGAACAGCAAATGTTGCTCTCTGATCGTTCCTCTGGAGGTTTCATCTCAGAGGGGTACCCCGCTGTGTGAGATGTCAGTCTGCACCTACTGGGGGGTGCCTCCCAGATAGGCTACTTGGGGGTCAGGGACCCACTTGAGGAGGCAGTCTGTCTATTCTCAGATCTCAAACTCCGTGCTGGGAGAACCACTACTCTCTTCAAAGCTGTCAGACAGGGATATTTAAGTCTGCAGAGGTTTCTGCTGCCTTTTGTTCAGCTATGCCCTGCCCCCAGAGGTGGAGTCTACAGAGGCAGGCAGGCCTCCTTGAGCTGTGGTGGGCTTCACCCAGTTTGAGGTTCCCACCACTTTGTTTACCTACTCAAGCCTCGGCAATGGCGGGCGCCCCTCCCCCAGCCTCGCTGCCACCTTGCAGTTTGATCTCAGACTGCTGTGCTAGCAATGAGCGGGGCTCCGTGGTCATGGGACCCTCCGAGCCAGGCACGGGATATAATCTCCTGGTGTGCTGTTTGCTAAGACCATTGGAAAAGCACAGTATTAGGGTGGGAGTGACCCAATTTTCCAGGTGCCATCTGTCACAGCTTTGCTTGGCTATGAAAGGGAATTCCCTGACCCCTTGCACCTCCCGGATGAGGGAATGCCTTGCCCTGCTTCAGCTCATGCTCAGTGCACTGCACCCACTGTCCTGCACCAACTGTCTGACAAGCCCCAGTGAGACGAACCTGGTACCTCAGTTGGAAATGCAGAAATCACCCGTCTTCTGTGTCACTCACGCTGGGGGCTGTAGACTGGAGCTGTTCCTATTTGGCCATCTTGGATCTGCCCCCTCTTTTAGTTATTTAAAATGTAGAATTAAATTATTTTTGACTATAATCACCCTGTTTTTCTAGCAAACACTAGGTATTATTCATTCTTTCTAATTATCTTTTTTGTACCTATTTATCATCCCCACTTCACCCCTTCACATCCACTATCCTTTCTAGCCTCTGGTAACCATACTTCTACTCTTTTTCTTCATGAGTTCAGTTGTTTTAATTTTTAGCTCCCACAAATAAGTGAGAACATGTGAAGTTTGTCTTTCTGTGTCTGGCTTATTTCACTTCCTCCAGTTACATCCATGTTGTTGCAAATGACAGGATTTCATTCTTTCTTACGGCTGAATACTACTTTATTGTGGATATATATCTCATTTTCTTTATCCATTCATCTGTTGATGGACATTTACATTGCTTTCAAATCCTGACTATTGTGAATAGTGCTGCCATAAACAAAGGAGTGAAGATATCTCTTCTATATACTGTTTTCCTTTCTTTTGGGTGTATACCTAGGAGTAGGATTGCTGGATTGTATGGTGGCTCTAGTTTTAGTTTTTTGAGGAACCTACAAACTGTTTTCCATAGTGGTTGTACTAACTTACATTCTCACCAACATTGTTTTTCTTTTATTTTAACTTATCTATATCATTATACTTCCTGTGAGTTTCTATATTTTGTCATATCATATTTTAATCAGTTCTGATGATCTCTGTCTTTTAATTGATGCATTTATACCATTAATAGTTAGTAGAATTGACATGTTTAGGCTCAAGCCTACCATTTTATTAGTTTGTTGTTGTTTTTGTTGTTGTTCTTCCTCTGTTTATTCATTCCTGCCTTCTTTTGGTCATTTGAATATTTTTCAGTATTTGATTTTAATTTATCTGTTCTGTCTTTTATTATATTTCTTTATATAGATTTTTTAGCTGTTGCTCCAGGGATTTCAAAATACAGCCATAACTTTTAACAATCTACTTAGAATCAATATTTTATCACTTAGGTGGAATGTAGAAACTTCTTCTGTTAGTGTTACATTTGTCTTGTATATTACATCTATATACATTGAAAACTCCTTGAGACAATGTATTCATTTTTCATCTTTAATGGACAAATATGAAAGAACTCAATAGGGAATGCATAATATATTATAGTTACCCAGATATTTACCATTTTTGTTACTCTTCCTTTATTCTTGTAGTTATTTAGTGAGAGAGATGGCATGGAGTGTGTTTACTCCATGTAACCTCAAACTGGAAGCTGAATACATAGGCTATTTTCTTTTTTTAATCTGTAGAAGAGAACCCTCATTTTTATGTTATTACATCTTCCAATACTTGAATACAATATATTGCTCCCTTTATTTAAACCTATTTAAATTCTCTCAACTTTTTTATACTTTTCACTGTAGAGAACTTTTATACCACTCCTTAGATTTATTCCTCAGCATTTGATGTTTTATGATGCTGTTTTAAATGATATTTTTAAAATTTCATTTTCTAAATGCTCGTTGCTGTATATTGTAATACAATTTTTAATATCAACTGTTTCTTGCTTTCTTTCTTAATTCACTTATTAATACTGTTTTTCTATAAATACTTGAGACTTTTTTACAAAATGATCATGTCATCTGATATAGTTTTATTTCTTAAGTTCCAATCTTCTTATATATTTCATTTACTCCACTGTTGAATTGGCCAGAGCTTTACCTATCAAATACAAATGGTGATAGCCAGCCTTTGTGTCTTGTTCCTGAACTCAGGGATGAGCCTTTCAACATTTGACCATAATGTTTGGCATTAGCTATATTTTGTTAACAGCTCTTAATATATTCAGAAATTTTCCTTCCACTTATAGAATTGATTTTGAATGCTGACCCAAACTTGCATTCCATGCATAAACCCAAATTGGCTGTGATAAATTATGTTTTTAGATTTCAATTTCATCTTTAGATTCAACTTGCTAATATTTTGTTTAGAGTTTGTATTTTTCTTATGAGATTAATCTGTATTTTTTTTACTTATAAAATCACTGTTACGTTTTTGAGTCAAGATTATGCTTGCAGCATAAAATGAGTTGGAAACCATACTCACTTTTTCTCTTATCTTGAAAAGTTTATGAAAGATCGTTGTTGCTTCTAATTTGCATGTTTATGTAAAAAAACAGTGATTGTATGAGAAGAAATACAGATTAATCTCACTCATAAGAAAAATAAAAACTCTAAACGAAATATTAGCAAGTTGAATGTAAAGATGAAATCTAAAAACATAATTTATCACAGCCAATTTGGGCTCATGCATAGGATGCGATTGGTTCAGCATTCAAAATCAGTTCAGTAAGTGGAAGGGAAATTTTTGAATATATTAAGAGCTTTTAACAAAATATTATAGCTAATGTCAAACGTTATGGTTAAATGTTGAAAGAATTATCCAGTTAAGCCATATGGGCTTAAAGAGTTCTTCTGAAAAGATTTTAATTAAGAATTCAATATCTTTATCAGATATATTAATAATCAGATTTTCTATTTTTGTGTCAGTTGTAGTGAGTTGCTTTTTAAAGAAAAATTGAATGTTTCATCCAACTTTTCAAATTTATTGTCACATTCATAATATCCTCCTTCTAATGGATATAGAATCTGAATTTTTTATCCCCTTATTCATTCCTGATATTTGTAATTTGTGCCATTTTCTTTTCTCTTGATTAGTCTCCTAGAGGTGTCTCAAGAAAAAAAATGCATAAATTACAAACATCATACAAATTAATGATAAATACGGCTCCAAATAGTGATGAATATGTCTTTGCATGAACATATGTTTTCATTACTCTTTGGTAGATTACTAGGAGTACAAATACTGGGTCATATAATAAGTTTATTTTTAAGTTTTTAAGACACCATCAAATTATTTTACAAAATTTCTGTACTATTTTATTCCCTTAAAAAATGCACAAGGGTTTCAGTTTCTCCACATTCTTACCAATACTTTGAATTAACTTTATCTTTGATTATATCCATTCGAGTAGGTGTGTAGTAATAGCGCATTGTGACTTATATGTTCATTTCTCTAATAATTAATGATAGGTATCTTTTTATGTGCTTATTAGCCATTTCTATATATCATTTGAAAAACCAGCTATTCAAATATTTTACCCATATTTTAATTTCACTGTTTATTTTATTATTATTGAGCTGTAGGAGTTACTTGCATATCCTAAATTCAAGACTTTACAAATCCAGAATGTTTTCAGTCTGCCCTGGGTTTTATTGTCCTCCAGTTCCTTTTGAGTCTTATGCCATGTGTGCAGCTACAAAGTAAGCTACTAGTGTGAAACTAGTTTGGAGGTTCTCTGTCTCCAGTGAGGACATGTGGACTCAGCCAGGAGTAAGCTTGTCCCAGTGAGGACTACAAACCTCAGGTTAAAAGAGTGGAGCCATCGGCCTTCCCACTTGTTTGCCTCAGATAAGTCACTTCCATTGAACATGGGCGTTAGTCACTGCCCCAAATAGAGTTAGTTGCTTCCAACTGTGTCAGAGAAGCTGTTGGTCTTCATAGCCTGCCCCACCCTGGGAGAACCTCCACATCAGCAACTGGGAAGGTGGATGATGGGAGAAGCCCCTGACCCAGGCCTAAATACTATAGACTCCCATGTTCTTACACTAAGCTCAGATTGTTTCATGACTTTAGTAGAATTACAGAGTGATGACATATTTTTTGTCAACTTTATGGCTACCTTTTGGGGAGAGGACTTGCGGATCTTACTTGACCATAGCGTTTTAAAAGTCCTGAACTTCATAGACTTGAATCTTAGTCTTGTTTTTTTAATGTATGCCTGTAATTCTACATATTTCCTTCCAAGAACAGCTTAAGCCTTGCTATACAAGTTTTCATGTGTTTTATTTTATAATAATTCTATTTAAAATACTTTATAATTTCCATTTTATTTGCCTCATGAGTCATTTATGTGTGTATTCCTTAATTGCACATTATGGGAAGTTTTTGTTGATTTTTTTAACTGATTACTGGCTTCATTAAACCATTTTAAAGGAACATATTCTAAATCAATGAGTTTGCCCCCCAGATGACATTTGGCGATATCTGGAGACATTCGTTGTCACAACTGTGAAAGAGGAGCTGGTACTGGCATCTGCTGAAGAGAGGCCAGGGGTGCTGCTAAAAGTCCTATAATGCACAAGACACACTCCTGCAACAAAGAGTTATCTAGTCCAAAATGTCAACCGTGCCAAGAATGAGAAACCCTGAGATTTATTGAGACTAACCTTAAGGTTCACTTGTCACAATTTGGTAAATATTCCATGCCTACTGGAAAAGAATGTGATTTTTTTGTCTCTTGTCCTGTTAGTAACTAAGAAAGGTACAGTAAATTCTCCAATTTTTCTTACAGGTTTCCTTATTTCTCCTTTTAATTCTGTTAACTATTGCTTTACATATTTTTGAAGTAATTTTTAGGTCCATACAAACAGGAATCTGCCTGTCTTCCTGGCTAATAGAGCTTTTGTTTGTCATTATGAAATTATTTCTAGTAAAGCTTCATTCCTTATCTGATATTACACCAGGTTTTTTATACTTAATCTTTCCATATTTTTTCCACCCCTTTATTTTTAACTTCTGTATAAGTTTCTTCAGTTGTGTTTTCTAAGCATAATGTAATAAGGTTTTGATTTTTATCCAGCCTAATAATATTTGTTCTTTTTTTTAAATTATACTTTAAGTTCTAGGGTACACGTGCACAATGTGCAGGTTTGTTACATATGTATACATGTGCCATGTTGGTGTGCTGCATCCATTAACTCGTCATTTACATTAGGTATATCTCCTAATGCTATCCCTCCCCCCTCCCCCCACCCCACAACAGGCCCTGGTATGTGATGTTCCCCTTCCTGTGTCCAAGTATTCTCACTGTTCAATTCCCACCTATAAGTAAGACCATGCAGTGTTTGGTTTTTTGTCCTTGCGATAGTTTGCTGAGAATGATGGTTTCCAGCTTCATCCATGTCCCTACAAAGGACATGAACTCATCCTTTTTTATGGCCACATAGTATTCCATGGTGTATATGGGCCACATTTTCTTAATCCAGTCTATCACTGATGGACATTTGGGTTCGTTCCAAGTCTTTGCTATTGTGAGTAGTGCTGCAATAAACATACGTGTGCATGTGTCTGTCTTTATGGCAGCATAATTTATAATCCTTTGGGTATATACCCAGTAACGGGATGGCTGGGTCAAATGGCATTTCTAGTTCTAGATCCTTGAGGAATCGGCACACTGTCTTCCACAATGGTTGAACTAGTTTACAGTCCCACCAACAGTGTAAAAGTGTTCCTATTTCTCCACATCCTCTCTAGCACCTGTTGTTTCCTGACGTTTTAATGATTGCCATTCGAACTGGTGTGAGATGGTATCTCATTGTGGTTTTGATTTGGATTTCTCTGACGGCCAGTGATGATGAGCATTTTTTCATGTGTCTGTTCGCTGCATAAATGTCTTCTTTTGAGAAGTATCTGTTCATATCCTTTGCTCACTTTTACTGAATGGGCAAAAACTGGAAGCATTCCCTTTGAAAACGGGCACAAGACAGGGATGCCCTCTCTCATCACTCCTATTCAACATAGTGTTGGAAGTTCTGGCCAGGGTAATCATGCAGGAGAAAGAAATAAAGAGTATTCAATCAGGAAAAGAGGAAGTCAAATTGTCCCTCTTTGCAGATGACATGACTGTATATCTAGAAACCCTATCATCTCAGCCCAAAATCTCCTTAAGCTGATAAGCAACTTCAGCAAAGTCTCAGGACACAAAATCAATGTGCAAAAATCACAGGCATTCTTATACACCAATAACAGACAAAGAGAGAGCCAAATCCTGAGTGAACTCCCATTCACAATTGCTTCAAAGAGAATAAAATACCTAGGAATCCAACTTACAAGGGATGTGAAGGACCTCTTCAAAGAGAACTACAAACCACTGCTCAACAAAATAAAAGAGGATGCAAACAAATGGAAGAACATTCCACGCGCATGGATAGGAAAAATCAATATCATGAAAATGGCCATACTGCCCAAGGTAATTTATAGATTCAATGCCATCTCCATCAAGCTACCAATGACTTTCTTCACAGAATTGGAAAAAACTACTTTAAAGTTCATATGGAACCAAAAAAGAGCCCGCATCGCCAAGGCAATCCTAAGCCAACAGAACAAAGCTGGAGGCATCATGCTACCTGACTTCAAACTATACTACAAGGCTACAGTAACCAAAACAGCATGGTACTGGTACCAAAACAGACATATAGACCAATGGAACAGAACAGAGCCCTCAGAAATAATGCCACACATCTACAACTATCTGATCTTTGACAAACCTGACAAAAACAAGCAATGGGGAAAGGATTCCCTATTTAATAAATGGTGCTGGGAAAACTAGCTAGCCATATGTAGAAAGCTGAAACTGGATCCCTTCCTTACACCTTATACAAAAATTAATTCAAGATGGATTAAAGACTTAAATGTTAGAACTAAAACCATAAAAACCCTAGAAGAAAACCTAGGCAATACCATTCAGGACAGAGGCATGGCCAAGGACTTCATGTCTAAAACACCAAAAGCAATGGCAACAAAAGCCACAATTGACAAATGGGATCTCATTAAACTCAAGAGCTTCTGCACAGCAAAAGAAACTACCATCAGAGTGAACAGGCAACCTACAGAATGGGAGAAAATTTTTGCAATCTACTCATCTGACAAAGGGCTAATATCCAGAATCTACAAAGAACTCTAACAAATTTACAAGAAACAAACAAACAACCCCATCAATATTTGTTCTTTTAATTGAAATATTCAGGCACATTACAAGTAACATTGTTAGTAATATGTTTGGATTTATGTCTACCATCTTACTATTTTTCATTTATCACCTATTTTTTGTTTCTTTATCTCTTTCTTCAAAGTTTTTTGCTTAATCAAATATTTTTATTATTTTTTCCTCTTTATTTTCTTGTTTATTACAAAGGTTTTTTCCCCCTATTCTTCTGGTGACTGCCCTAAATATCACAAAATGCATCCTTGAGTTATTAGAGTATAATGTAAGTTAGTACTTTAACCTCTTTCCAGATAAATTCTAAGAATTTAGATAACCTCCATCTACTCTTTAGCATCTTTAGTGTTTTTTGGGTTAGCTGTTATCATGCATTTTAAATCTGAATATGTATTGTAACCCACAGAAGACATTATTTTATCAGTCAATAGGCATTTGGCGTTACCCATCTATTTAACTTTTGTGTTGTGCTCTTCATTTTGTCCTGCATTAATCCTGTCTGGGATATTTTTCCTCTTCCAGGATATTTTTTAGTATTTATTTAGCCTAGGTTTACTGGCAGCAAATTCTCTTAGTCATTGTCTAGAAATTGTCCTTATTTTGGTCTTCACTTTTAAAGGATATTTTTGGTAGGTATCAAGTTATAAAGTTGCAGTTGTTTCTTTCAAAACTTTAAATACGTCATTCTGTTGTTTGTGTGTTGCCATTATTTCTCTGTGAACATCAGTTGTCTTTCCTATTAGTTTCTTTTGAAGGTTATGTGTCTTTACACTGGCTGCTTTCAAGCCCAGAAAGTGAGTTCAGAGTGATTTGGGCACACAATGCTAGTGTATTTGGTGATTAGAACATGGTGTAGATGAGAGTATGTGGGTTTGTGGTGGGCACTTCCTTTTGGCCCTTGTAGATTCTTTGCCCCATGAGGAGAGCCACTGTCTTAGTCATCTCAGGTTGCTACAACAAAATACCATAGACTGGTCTGCTTAAACAACGTATATGAGTTTCTCACAGTTTTGGAGGCTTGGAAGTCCAAGATCAAGGACCTGGCAGATTTAGTTCCTGGTGAGGGCTCTCTTCCTGTCTTGCTGATGGCTGCTTCCTCACTGTGTCCTCACATGGTTGAAAGAGAGAGCACTGGTCTCTCTCCCTCTTCTTAAAAGTCACCAAACCTGGGCCGGGCACAGTGGCTCATGCCTGTAATCCCAGCACTTTGGGAGGCCAAGGTGGGCAGATCACGAGGTCAGGAGATCAAGACTATCCTGGCTAACACGGTGAAACCCCGTCTTTACTAAAAATACAAAAAAATTAGCCGGGTGTGGTGGCGGGCACCTGTAGTCCCAGCTACTCGGGACGCTGAGGCAGGAGAAAGGCGTGAACCTGGGAAGAGGAGCTTGTGGTGAACCCAAATCGCGCCACCGCACTCCAGCCTGGGCGACAGAGTGAGACTCCATCTCAAAAAAAAAAAAAAAAGAAGAAGAAAAGTCACCAAACCTATCATGGGGGGGCCTATCATGACCTCATCTGCACGCACTTACCTCCCAAAGGCCTTACTTCCAAATACAATCACATTTGGGTGTACGGCTTCAGTATATGCATTTGTGGAGGACACAAACATTTAGTTCATGACAGGCACAGACAGAGGAAAGCCAGAGCAGGAGTCTCTAAATAGTGGCCAAAGACGTGTACCCATTTGTCTGAGTCTAACAATGATACTAATGCTAAGTATTGAGCCTATAGCAAAGATTAAACTATAAAATTAGGACTAAAAGTAAAACAAGATTGGTGATTAGGGTGATAGTACAAAATGCAAATAATACATGCTCCAAGAATATAAAAATTACACAAAGAAAAAATGAGCAGTGAAGGGAAAAAGAGGTGGTAAAATATGCTGATTTCCTCATCTTTAACAGCTGGAGACCAAAGGGTTCCACTAAAAGCTCACAAATCAAATACAATCATCAATAATGCATATTTCTGTTATAGGAATTAGCTCATATGTGATTTGAAATTAATTAGCAGTGATGATGATGGTATACTTTGGAAGTCACATTGATTCATGTGTGATATTTCTTGGCATGCTAATATTCCAAGCCACCAGGGAATAGTGGATTAATGTTGCAAGCCACAGACATGTACAGGACTGTACACAATGCCAAGCCACTACTTATTTTTCTTCTTGGCTCAGTTTGTCCCTGTGCACTATCTTTGAGGGCCAGCAAATGCAGCACTTGCTTATACCTCCTCTCTTCAAACTAACTTCATTTTTTTGTTTAAAAAATAATATTATAATTACCGCTGGGCATGGTGGCATGTGTCTGTAGTCCCAGCTACTCAGGAGGCTGAGGCAGGAAGATCACTTAAGCCCAGGAGTTTGAGGCTAGCCTGGGCAACATAGCAAGATTCTATCTCTAAAACGTAAAATAAATAAAATATAATACTGTAAGTACTGTTTACTACTTTATTCATTAGAAACTTAATTTTTTTCAATTGGGTGATTTTTTTGTTGGGATTAAAATTGGTTTTGCTCTAATAAAGTAGCATTTTTTTTTAACTGTCTGCTGTTTACTTCTCTAAAAAGTCTGTATACTTAGAAGACAATTTTACAGAAATGAGTTTTTTTTTCAGTACACACTTACACACTCTCTAAACTTTAATAACACTAAGAAGGATACATAATGAAATGCAATATCAGCTAGCACATAAGGAAGAGGGTATAGCAAATTTCTAACTCATTTATTGCCTATTTTAGGGTAACATATACTCAGGGTTACACCAGAGAAACAAACAGCACCAGTGATCTGATATTTAAATTAATTCATTGCAGAGAATTAGCTTATGTGATTGTGGGGCTGTCTTGGGAGGTCCAGAATCTGTAGGAAAATATGGAATCTCTTGGGCAGAAGCTGATGCTGCAGTCCACAGGTGAAATGTCTTCCTCCTTAAAAGAAAACCTCAGGTTTTCTGCTTTTAAGATCTTTCAACTGATTGATTGAATCAGGGCCACTAAAATTATCAAGGACAATCTCCTTTACTTAAAGTCAACTAACTGTAGATGCTAATCACATCTACTAAATAAATACCTCACAGCAACACCTAGGCATTTGTGATTGAATAACGGGGTACTATTGCCTGACCAAGTTGACACTGCAGCTGACCATCACAGAAACTAACACGTATTTTTAAAAAGACATGTTTAATTGTATAGTACATAGTTGTGGATGATATGAAAGTCTCCTTTAGCAGAAGTACAAGCCTGTCTAAATATCAAGAGAATCACAATATCAAAATACAGAGAAAAGAGCACATATTGAAATATTTTATGTAATACAAACAAACAAAAAAACGGAATAATATAGATTAAAAGCAAGCATATATATCAATGTTTTCGAGTGAATTTACTCTGTCTCTTAAGGCATAAAAAATTTCGGATGGGAATTAAAAACAAAACCCATGATTGTTCACTGCAAAAGTCTTTCAACTTTGCTGATTGATTGATTGAAAATTTTCAATAACAAAGTGTTTATACAAAGATATGGATGGCAAAAATAAAACCAAAACACAATTCTGTGCTCTATATGTAAGACATATTAAAAACAAAGTGACTCTGAAAACTCAAAAACAAAAAAAATATATAAACAAGGAAAATACAATAAAAAAGAGTAGTATTAACAAACTTAATAACACATAACTTTGAATTCAGGCCAAAAATCCTTAAAACAAAAACAGGCAGTTTTTATGAGATTAAGGAGTCCAATACACGATGAACACTTAACTGTTTGGATTGTATGCATTAAATAACACAGCATTCACCTTCATAAATCACAACCATGAGAGTAAAATGCATAAACAGAGATACATTAGCCTTAGATTTTATTTCACCTCTCTTTTCCTGTAACCAATAGAAAGCTTAAATAAAATAATTTAAAAGGTATAATAATTGATATATTATTTTGAACTTTAAACCCTAAAAATAAAAACAGTGTACCTTCTTTTCAAGTTATAGAATGTTTATAAAACTTGATCATATATTAGACCACTTTCAAGGTCCCAGTAAATTTCAAAAAGTAAAAATAAAATCCAAAAATGTACCATGCTTACAAGGAAACAACACTAGTACTTAGTAAGAAAATAATGTGGGACCTTTTTAAAAGTCCCACAAGCAGTTCTTATTTCAAATATAAAATTGAAACTAAAATAAAAAAGATCTAGAAAAGAATGAATTGAAAATCCTAAAGATCAAATCCTATACATTCACCTGGTAGAAACATGTATGGGAAGATGTATAATGAGAAGTGTATATGTTTGAGTACATATGCAAATTTTAGGCTTTGTAATATCAATAAATATTTTTAGATAACCCTCTATTTTATTTATATCAATTTTACCCCTATGCCACAAATAAAATTTTCCAGGTAGAAAATTTCATAAAAGAAGCCTGGTAAACCTTTAATAATAATTTAGAAGCTATATAAAAGTTATTTTAGATAATGACTTAAGGGGAAAAATCCAAATTAATTTTATGAAGTAAGTATAACATTGGTATCATAATCCACTGAAGTCTGTACAATAAGAGAAAACTACACAAAAGCTCACTCATGTATATAAATTAAAAACTACAAAATTAAAATAAGTTTAGACCTAATTCACAAGCATATTACAAGAATAATACAGTATAACCAATTTGAATTTTTTTCAGAAATACAAATATGGTTCAATATTTTAAAATAATATAACTTAATATGTTACAGAAATATATATTATGATTATTTTCACAAATGCTGAAAAAGTATTTGGTTATTACATATCTATTCCTGATTCAGTGAAACCAGAATAAATTGGTAATTTACAACTTAAATTTATAATTTAACAATAATATCAAATACATAGAAATAAATCTAGCAAAAATATGGAAGACTTTTATAAAGAAAAATATAATATTTTGAGACATATTTTAAGGAAAGTTAAAATAAATTGAATGATACACCATGATCAGGGATTTGAGGACATAATATTCTAAAGATATCATTTCTTCCCAAATAAATACATAGATTCAATAAAATTCCAATCAAAATCCCAAAGTGTTGTTTTTTTGTAGAAACTGAGAAACTGATTTTTAAGGAATTTTAGAATTTCTGAGCTTACAGAAAAGGATTTTGAATTAACCCAATCAGGCAAAAATACAGAAAAAAGAATTAAAAGAAGTGAACAAAGTTTCTCATAAATATAGGTTTATATAAAATGTCCAAACCTAAGAATTATAGGTTGTTCCTGAGGGAGAAGAAAAAGCAAGAAGTTGGGAAACCTATTTGGGGCAATAATTAATGAAAATGTTACTGGTTTTGCTAGAGATTTAGACATTCAAATACAAGAAACTCAAAGAAGCCCTGGGAGATTCATGCAAAAAAGACATCACCAAGACATAGTCGTCAGGCTATCTAAATTTAATGTGAAGGAAAGAATTCTAAGAGCAGTGAGACAAAAGCATTAGATAACTTACTTACTTATAAAGGAAAACCTATCAGACTAACAGCAGATTCTCAGCAGAAATCTTACAAGCCAGAAGGGATTAGGGTCCTACCTTTAGTCTCCTTAAACATAACTTTCAGCCAAGAATTTTGTAACCAGCAAAACTAAGTTTCATAAGTGAAGGAGAAATTAAGTCTTTCACAGACAAGCAAATGCTGAGAGAATCTGTCAACACTAGACAGGCCTATGAGAAATGCTAAAATAAGTCCTAAATATTGAAACAAAAGATCGATGTGCCCCAGAATAAAAACAATTGAAAGCACAAAACTCACAAGGCTTATAAAACAGTGACACAATAAAGTAAACAAAGTAACTTGGTAAAAAGCGACATAATGACTAGAACAACATCTCACATGTCAACATTAACATTGAATGTAAACAGTCTGAGTGCTACACTTTAAAAATATATATTGGCAGAATGGATTAAAATCACAAACCAAATATCTACTATCTTCAGGACACCTACCTAATGTATGAAGATTCTTAGAGACTCAAGATAAAGACGTGGAAAAAATATTTCACACAAATGAAAACCAAAAGCAAGCAGGAGTAGCTATTCTTATATCAGATAAGACAACTTTAAAGAAACAAGAGGAAAGAAAAAAAAAGAAAGAAAGAAGAAAAAAGAAAAAAGAAAAGAAAGAAGGTCATTATATAATGATAAAGGGATCAATTCAATAAGAAGAATATAACAATCCTAAATGTATATGCATCTAACTCCAGAGCTCCAAGATGCATAAAACAATTACTACTAGACCTAAGAAAAGAGGTAGACAGCAGCACAATAAAGAGACGGGAACTTCAACACCCCATTGACAGCACTAGTCAAATCATCAAGACAGAAAGTCAATAAAGAAACACTGGACTTTAACTGGACTCTAGATGAAGATGACCTGGCCAGGAGTGGTGACTCACGCCTATAATCCCAGCATTTTGGGAGGCTGAGGTGGGCAGATCACGAGGTCAAGAGATCGAGACCATCCTGGCCAACATGGTAAAACCCCATCTCTACTAAAAATACAAAAATTAGCTGGGCCTGGGCATGGTGGCACGCCCTGTAGTCCCAGCTACTCAGGAGGCTGAGGCAGACGAATCACTTGAACCCAGGAGGCGGAGGTTGCAGTGAGCCAAGATCGTGCCATTGCACACCAGCCTGGCAACAGAGAAAGACTCTGTCAAAAAAAGAAAAAACAAAAAAAAAGAGAGAGAGAGAGAGAGAAAGATGGACCTAACAGACATTTACAGAACATTCAACCCCAAAACTTCAGAATATACATTATTCTTATGAGCACATGGAACATTTTCCAAGATACGATAGGCCACAAAACAAGTCTCAATAAATTTTTAAAAATCAAAATTATATTAAGCATCTTCTCAGGCCAGAGTGAAATAAAACTAGAAATCAATTCCAAGAGGAACACTCAAAACTATGCAAATATGTGGAAATTAAACAATCTACTCCTGAATGATTTGGAGGTTAACAATAAAAGCAAAATGTAAAATTTAAAAATGTTTCGAAATGAATGATGGCAGTGATAAAAGTTATCAAAACTTCTAGAATATAGCAAAACCAGTGCTAAGAGGAAAGTATATAGTGTCAAATGCCTACATCAAAAAGACAGAAAAATCACAAATTGACAACCTAATGTCACACCTCAAGGAACAACAACAAAAACAGGAATAAATCGAACTCAACTCTAGCAAAAAAAAAAGAGAGAAATAACAAAGATCCGAAAACAACTAAACAAAATTCAAATAAAAAAAAGAACAAGAGAAAAGATCAATGAAATAAAAAGTCATTTCTTTGAAAAGATAATATTTATAGATAACCATAAATTTTCATATTAACCAAGAAAAAGAAGATTCAAATAAGCTCAAACAGAAATAAAAATGGAGACATTACAACTGATACTACAGAAATACAAAAGTTCATTCAAGACTACTAAGAAAACCTCTATGCACAAAATCCAGAAAATCTTTAGGAAATGGATAAGTTCCTGGAAACACACAACCCCCTAAACTTAAATTAGAAAGACACAGAAATTCTAAACAGACCAATAATAAGCAGTGATATTAAATCAGTGATTTAAAATCTCCCAGCAAATAAGCAGAGCACCAGATGGATTCACAGACAAATTCTACCAGGTATCCAAAGAATGGGTACCAATCCTACTGAAGCTATTACAAAATATTGAGAAGGAAAGAATCCTTCCTAATGCATTCTACAAAGCCAGTATCACCCTGATACCAAAGCCAGGAAAGGATATAACAAAAACAGAAAACTACAGACCAATATCCCTGATGAACATGGATGCAAAAATCCTCAACAAAATACTGGCAAACTAAATCCAATAGCATATCAAAAAGACAGTACATCATGATCTAGTGGGTATCATTCTAGGGTTGCGGGGATGGTTCAACATATGCAGGTCAATAAATATAAATCAGCACATAAACAGAATTTAAAACAAAAACCATATGATCATCTCAATAGACACAGAAAAAGCATTCAATAAAACCCAGCATCCTTTATGATAAAAACCATCAACAATCTAGGCATAGAAGGAACATGCATCAAAATAACAAAAGCCATATATGACACACCCACAGCCAACATAATACTGAATGAGGAAAAAGTTAAAAATATTCCCCATAAGAAATGGAACAAGACAAGGAGGCCCACTTTCACCACTTCTATTCAACACAATAGATGAACAACCTACAGAATGGAAGAAAATATTCTTAAACTATACATCTGACAAAGAACTAATATCCAGAATCTACAAGGAACTCAAACAACTCAACAAAAAGAAAACAAACCCATTGAAAAGTGAGCAAATGAAATCAACACACATTTCTCAAAAGAAGGTATGCAAATGGCCACCCAACATATAAAAAAATGCTCAACATCAAAAATCATCTGGGAAATGCAAATTAAAACGACAATGAGATACCATCTTATCCCAGCTAGAATGGCCATTATTAAAAAATCAAAACACAACAGACGTTGGTGTGGATGTGGTGAAAATCGAATGCTTATAAACTGCTGGGTTATGCACTGAGTTCCTTGTAGATTCTGAATATTAGTCCTTTGTCAGATGTATAGTTTAAAAATATTTTCTTCCATTCTGTAGGTTGTCCATCTATTGTGTTGAATAGAAGTGGTGAAAGCGGGCCTCCTTGTCTTGTTCCATTTCTTATGGGGAATGTAAATTAATATAATCTATGTGGAAAACAGTATGAAGATTTCTCAATGAACTCAAAGTAGATCTACCATTTGATCCAGCAATCCCAATACTGGGTATCTACCCAAAGGAAGTCATTATATCAAAAAGGAACCTGCACACATATGTTTACTACACCACAATTCACAGTTGCAAAGATGTGGAATCAACCTCAGTGTCCATCAACTGATGAGTGAATAAAGAAAAGGTGATATATATATATATATATACACACACACACACACACACACACACATACACACACACACACACACCATGTTATATTATTCAGCCATAAACAAGAACGAAATAATATATTTTGTAGTAACTTGAATGGAACTAGAGGCCATTATCTTAAGTAAAAAAACAGGAACAGAAAACCAAATACCACATGTTCTCACTTATAAGTGGGAGCTAGGCTATGGGTATGCAAAGGAATACAGAGTGGTATAATGTACGCTGGAGACTCAGAAATGGGGATGGTGAGAGGTGGGTGAGAGATAAAAAATTACCTGTGGGGTACAATATACCCTATTTGAGTGAAGGGTACAGTAAAAACCCAGACTTCACCACGATACAATTCATCCATGTAACTAAAAACCACTTGTACCTCTACAGCTAATGAAATTTTTAAAAATTAAATAAATAAAATAAACATGGAATTTCAAAGGGCTATGAATAGTGAAAAGAACATAATTAGAAAACTTGTACTAATGAACATCAAGTATTTATATAGTTACATTAGTTAAGATAATGTGCTTGTATTTAAGGACAGTCAGATAGACTGATGGAACACAATAAAGAGCCCAAGACAGGCCCACACATATATGGGTACTTTGTCTATGGGGAAGATTATATCACAGAATGGTCTTTTTAATAAATGGTGTTGAATTATTGAATATTCATGTGTTAAAAGAAAAAAATACTTGATCACTACCTTATATCATACAAATAGTCTTGATTCTCAAGATAGATTATAGATCTAAATATGAAAGGCAAAACAATCAACCTTTTAGAAAAAAATCACAGAATATATTTGTCAGATTGAGGTAGCACAGATGTTTTAAACAGGAAAGAACACTAATAATAAAAGAAAGGATTAAAAATTTTAGTACATAAAATTAAGTATTTTTTTTTTTTAAATTTACTCTCCCTGTCTCTGTTCCTCTCTCTTTACAGCATTATTTTTTATTTTATTTATTTTTTTTTTTATTATACTCTAAGTTTTAGGGTACATGTGCACATTGTGCAGGTTAGTTACATATGTATACATGTGCCATGCTGGTGCGCTGCACCCACTAACGTGTCATCTAGCATTAGGTATGTCTCCCAATGCTATCCCTCCCCCCTCCCCCGACCCCACCACAGTCCCCAGAGTGTGATATTCCCCTTCCTGTGTCCATGTGATCTCATTGTTCAATTCCCACCTATGAGTGAGAATATGCGGTGTTTGGTTTTTTGTTCTTGCGATAGTTTACTGAGAATGATGGTTTCCAATTTCATCCATGTCCCTACAAAGGACATGAACTCATCATTTTTTATGGCTGCATAGTATTCCATGGTGTATATGTGCCACATTTTCTTAATCCAGTCTATCATTGTTGGACATTTGGGTTGGTTCCAAGTCTTTGCTATTGTGAATAGTGCCGCAATAAACATATGTGTGCATGTGTCTTTATAGCAGCATGATTTATAGTCCTTTGGGTATATACCCAGTAATGGGATGGCTGGGTCAAATGGTATTTCTAGTTCTAGATCCCTGAGGAATCGCCACACTGACTTCCACAATGGTTGAACTAGTTTACAGTCCCACCAACAGTGTAAAAGTGTTCCTATTTCTCCACATCCTCTCCAGCACCTGTTGTTTCCTGACTTTTTAATGATTGCCATTCTAACTGGTGTGAGATGATAGCTCATAGTGGTTTTGATTTGCATTTCTCTGATGGCCAGTGATGATGAGCATTTCTTCATGTGTTTTTTGGCTGCATAAATGTCTTCTTTTGAGAAGTGTCTGTTCATGTCCTTCGCCCACTTTTTGATGGGGTTGTTTGTTTTTTTCTTGTAAATTTGTTTGAGTTCATTGTAGATTCTGGATATTAGCCCTTTGTCAGATGAGTAGGTTGCGAAAATTTTCTCCCATGTTGTAGGTTGCCTGGTCACTCTGATGGTAGTTTCTTTTGCTGTGCAGAAGCTCTTGAGTTTAATTAGATCCCATTTGTCAATTTTGGCTTTTGTTGCCATTGCTTTTGGTGTTTTGGACGTGAAGTCCTTGCCCACGCCTATGTCCTGAATGGTAATGCCTAGGTTTTCTTCTAGGGTTTTTATGGTTTTAGGTCTAACGTTTAAATCTTTAAGCCATCTTGAATTGATTTTTGTATAAGGTGTAAGGAAGGGATCCAGTTTCAGCTTTCTACATATGGCTAGCCAGTTTTCCCAGCACCATTTATTAAATAGGGAATCCTTTCCCCATTGCTTGTTTTTCTCAGGTTTGTCAAAGATCAGATAGTTGTAGATATGCGGCATTATTTCTGAGGGCTCTGTTCTGTTCCATTGATCTATATCTCTGTTTTGGTACCAGTACCATGCTGTTTTGGTTACTGTAGCCTTGTAGTATAGTTTGAAGTCAGGTAGTGTGATGCCTCCAGCTTTGTTCTTTTGGCTTAGGATTGACTTGGTGATGCGGGCTCTTTTTTGGTTCCATATGAACTTTAAAGTAGTTTTTTCCAATTCTGTGAAGAAAGTCATTGGTAGCTTGATGGGGATGGCATTGAATCTATAAATTACCTTGGGCAGTATGGCCATTTTCACAATATTGATTCTTCCTACCCATGAGCATGGAATGTTCTTCCATTTGTTTGTGTCCTCTTTTATTTCCTTGAGCAGTGGTTTGTAGTTCTCCTTGAAGAGGTCCTTCACTTCCCTTGTAAGTTGGATTCCTAGGTATTTTATTCTCTTTGAAGCAATTGTGAATGGGAGTTCACTCATGATTTGGCTCTCTGTTTGTCTGTTGTTGGTGTATAAGAATGCTTGTGATTTTTGTACATTGATTTTGTATCCTGAGACTTTGCTGAAGTTGCTTATCAGCTTAAGGAGATTTTGGGCTGAGACGATGGGGTTTTCTAGATAAACAATCATGTCGTCTGCAAACAGGGACAATTTGACTTCCTCTTTTCCTAATTGAATACCCTTTATTTCCTTCTCCTGCCTGATTGCCCTGGCCAGAACTTCCAACACTATGTTGAATAGGAGCAGTGAGAGAGGGCATCCCTGTCTTGTGCCAGTTTTCAAAGGGAATGCTTCCAGTTTTTGCCCATTCAGTATGATATTGGCTGTGGGTTTGTCATAGATAGCTCTTATTATTTTGAAATACGTCCCATCAATACCTAATTTATTGAGAGTTTTTAGCATGAAGGGTTGTTGAATTTTGTCAAAGGCTTTTTCTGCATCTATTGAGATAATCATGTGGTTTTTGTCTTTGGCTCTGTTTATATGCTGGATTACATTTATTGATTTGCGTATATTGAACCAGCCTTGCATCCCAGGGATGAAGCCCACTTGATCATGGTGGATAAGCTTTTTGATGTGCTGCTGGATTCGGTTTGCCAGTATTTTATTGAGGATTTTTGCATCAATGTTCATCAAGGATATTGGTCTAAAATTCTCTTTTTTGGTTGTGTCTCTGCCCGGCTTTGGTATCAGAATGATGCTGGCCTCATAAAATGAGTTAGGGAGGATTCCCTCTTTTTCTATTGATTGGAATAGTTTCAGAAGGAATGGTACCAGTTCCTCCTTGTACCTCTGGTAGAATTCGGCTGTGAATCCATCTGGTCCTGGACTCTTTTTGTTTGGTAAACTATTGATTATTGCCACAATTTCAGAGCCTGTTATTGGTCTATTCAGAGATTCAACTTCTTCCTGGTTTAGTCTTGGGAGAGTGTATGTGTCGAGGAATGTATCCATTTCTTCTAGATTTTCTAGTTTATTTGCGTAGAGGTGTTTGTAGTATTCTCTGATGGTAGTTTGTATTTCTGTGGGATCGGTGGTGATATCCCCTTTATCATTTTTTACTGTGTCTATTTGATTCTTCTCTCTTTTTTTCTTTATTAGTCTTGCTAGCGGTCTATCAATTTTGTTGATCCTTTCAAAAAACCAGCTCCTGGATTCATTGATTTTTTGAAGGGTCTTTTGTGTCTCTATTTCCTTCAGTTCTGCTCTGATTTTAGTTATTTCTTGCCTTCTGCTAGCTTTTGAATGTGTTTGCTCTTGCTTTTCTAGTTCTTTTAATTGTGATGTTAGGGTGTCAATTTTGGATCTTTCCTGCTTTCTCTTGTAGGCATTTAGTGCTATAAATTTCCCTCTACACACTGCTTTGAATGCGTCCCAGAGATTCTGGTATGTGGTGTCTTTGTTCTCGTTGGTTTCAAAGAACATCTTTATTTCTGCCTTCATTTCGTTATGCACCCAGTAGTCATTCAGGAGCAGGTTGTTCAGTTTCCATGTAGTTGAGCGGCTTTGAGTGAGATTCTTAATCCTGAGTTCTAGTTTGATTGCACTGTGGTCTGAGAGATAGTTTGTTATAATTTCTGTTCTTTTACATTTGCTGAGGAGAGCTTTACTTCCAACTATGTGGTCAATTTTGGAATAGGTGTGGTGTGGTGCTGAAAAAAATGTATATTCTGTTGATTTGGGGTGGAGAGTTCTGTAGATGTCTATTAGGTCTCCTTGGTGCAGAGCTGAGTTCAATTCCTGGGTATCCTTGTTGACTTTCTGTCTCGTTGATCTGTCTAATGTTGACAGTGGGGTGTTAAAGTCTCCCATTATTAATGTGTGGGAGTCTAAGTCTCTTTGTAGGTCACTCAGGACTTTCTTTATGAATCTGGGTGCTCCTGTATTGGGTGCATAAATATTTAGGATAGTTAGCTCCTCTTGTTGAATTGATCCCTTTACCATTATGTAATGGCCTTCTTTGTCTCTTTTGATCTTTGTTGGTTTAAAGTCTGTTTTATCAGAGACTAGGATTGCAACCCCTGCCTTTTTTTGTTTTCCATTGGCTTGGTAGATCTTCCTCCATCCTTTTATTTTGAGCCTATGTGTGTCTCTGCACGTGAGATGGGTTTCCTGAATACAGCACACTGATGGGTCTTGACTCTTTATCCAACTTGCCAGTCTGTGTCTTTTAATCGCAGAATTTAGTCCATTTATATTTAAAGTTAATATTGTTATGTGTGAATTTGATCCTGTCATTATGATGTTAGCTGGTGATTTTGCTCATTAGTTGATGCAGTTTCTTCCTAGTCTCGATGGTCTTTACATTTTGGCATGATTTTGCAGCGGCTGGTACCGGTTGTTGCTTTCCATGTTTAGCGCTTCCTTCAGGAGCTCTTTTAGGGCAGGCCTGGTGGTGACAAAATCTCTCAGCATTTGCTTGTCTATAAAGTATTTTATTTCTCCTTCACTTATGAAGCTTAGTTTGGCTGGATATGAAATTCTGGGTTGAAAATTCTTTCCTTTAAGAATGTTGAATATTGGCCCCCACTCTCTTCTGGCTTGTAGGGTTTCTGCCGAGAGATCCACTGTTAGTCTGATGGGCTTTCCTTTGAGGGTAACCCGACCTTTCTCTCTGGCTGCCCTTAACATTTTTTCCTTCATTTCAACTTTGGTGAATCTGACAATTATGTGTCTTGGAGTTGCTCTTCTCGAGGAGTATCTTTGTGGCGTTCTCTGTATTTCCTGAATCTGAACGTTGGCCTGCCTTGCTAGATTGGGGAAGTTCTCCTGGATAATATCCTGCAGAGTGTTTTCCAACTTGGTTCCATTCTCCCCATCACTTTCAGGTACACCAATAAGACGTAGATTTGGTCTTTTCACATAGTCCCATATTTCTTGGAGGCTTTGCTCATTTCTTTTTATTCTTTTTTCTCTAAACTTCCCTTCTCGCTTCATTTCATTCATTTCATCTTCCATTGCTGATACCCTTTCTTCCAGTTGATCGCATCGGCTCCTGAGGCTTCTGCATTCTTCACGTAGTTCTCGAGCCTTGGTTTTCAGCTCCATCAGCTCCTTTAAGCACTTCTCTGTATTGGTTATTCTAGTTATACATTCTTCTAAATTAAGTATTTTTACTTAACCAGAAACATTCTTAAGAGAGTAAAGGGACAAACCACAGAATGGGAGAAGGTATTTGCATTATATAAGACAAATGACAGCCAAAGTAAATAATAATTAATAGGGTATTGAAAAACAAGTTAGAGATTTGCCCAATTTTATATGAAAACTTAATAAAGTGACAGTAATTAAAACTGCTGGCCCAAGGACCAACAAACAAATAGGACAGAATAAAGAGCCTAGAATTAGTGGGGAAAGAAAGACAGTTTCCACTGTTTTTCCATATTAAAAAAATGCAATCGCTATCTCATGCCAATCTGCCATAATCACATTCATATGATGAGTTAATGACATAAAAGTAAAAAGCATAGTTTTCAAACTTTAAAAGAACATATTAGACTATATTTACCTCTCATGGTTCAAAATGGTTTCTTAAGAAGAATGCAAAAAGCACAGATCACAAAGGGAAATAAAAGATAAATTCAACTGTATTAATAATCTTCTGCCAGGCATGCTGGCTTATGCCTGTAATCCTAGCACTTCGGGAAGCTGAGGAGGGCAAATCGCTTGAACCCAGGAGTTGGACACCAGCCTGGGTAACATGGTGGAAGCCCATCTATACAAAAAAATACAAAAATTAGCTGGGCATGGTGGCACATGCCTGTGGTCCCAGCTACTCAGGAGGCTGAGGTGGAGGCATCCCTTGAGTGCAGGAGGCAGAGGTTGCAGTGAGCAGAGATCATGCCACTGCACTCCAGCCTGGGCAACAGAGTAAGACCCTTTCTCAAATAAATAAATAAATAAATAATCTTCTATGTTACAAAGATAACACACAAAATATTTAAAAATCAGATAGAGAATCAAGAAAGACATTTGCCACACATTAAACTAACAATGAATAGGAATCCAGCACATATAAATTATCCTTAAGAATCAAGGAGAAAAGGATAAAAATCAACCCTGCAGCAAAGTGGGCAATTGATATGATCAGCTAGATTATTAAAGAATAACTTTAGAGGATCACTAGACATTTGAAAAGATTTTCAATCTCAGTACTCAGGAAAATGTTAAAAAAAAAACTAAAAACTAGTATTAAGGTACCATTTAGATGTCTTTTAGATGTGAAAATATGAAAAAGTACGAAAGTACGAAGTGCTGGTGTGAATACGAAATATTGGGAAGTATACGGTCCTGGTGGTGGTATAACATTTTTCTAGATATTTGTCAATGTTAAATAAAATTAAAGACACAAACAGCCCACATATGACTTCAAATCCATCTCTGAATGTATATCATGAAGAAATTCTCACACATATCAAGGACAACAAATGAACAAAATTATTTGCTACAATATTACTTGCTGTAGCAAATAGTAGTGAAAAACTGGAAACAAACTAAATATCCATTCATAGAAGAAAATTGAAAAAATTTGAACTCCAGCTAAATTTGTTAATTGATATTAACACATTTTACAGAGGTAATGCTGGATGAAAAAAGCAAGGTGTGGAATATAAGTTCAATAAGATGGCATTTAAATTAACTTCAAACAGTCTGCAAAATATTACAGTATATATTTCCTGTATATATACATATATAAGAAGGCCATAAAATCATGTTTAGGAATTGCAAACACTAAAATGAGGACAGTAGATTCCTCTGTGGAGGGATATTGGGAAATAAATGAGGGAAGGACACCTAAGATGGTGTACTTATGTACACCTAAGAAGGTACACCGTCTTGAAACCCCATCTCTACTAAAAATACAAAAATTAGATGGGTGTGGTGGCACATGCCTGTAACCCCAGCTACTTGGGAGGCTGAGGCAGGAGAATCACTTGAGCCCAGGAGACGGAGGTTGCAGTGAGCCGAGATTATGCCACAGTACTCCAGCCTAGCCGACAGAGTGAGACTCTGTCCTCCCCGCCCCCCGACCCACCCAAAAAAAGATTAAAAAAAAGAAGGTGCACCATCTTAGGTGACCTTATTATAGGGCCTTTATTTACTTTGTTGTGTTTGTTTTTTATTTTGTTTTGTTTTGTTTACTGAGGCAGAGTCTCACTCTGTCTTCCAGGCTGGAGTGCAATGGCGCAATCTCGGCTCACTGCAACCTCCACCTCCAGGGTTCAAGCGATTCTTGTGCCTCAGCTTCCTGAGTATCTCGGATTACAGGCATGCGTCACCACGCCTGGCTAATTTGGGATTTTTAGTACAGACGTGGTTTCACCATATTGGCCAGGTTGGTCTCGAACTCCTGACCTCAGGTGATCTGCCCACCTTGGCCTCCAAAAGTGCTAGAGATTACAGGTGTGAGCCACCGTGCCCAGCCTCTTTATTTACTTTGAATGTTTTATGGAACAAAGATATTCAAAGTAAATAAATCAAAACACTAAAAGTTGCTAAAGGTGAGTGTTGATTATATCAGGTATGTGATGTGTTTTTCTCTATTTTTGTAATACATCTTGTGGTAAAATATACAAACACATAAATAATGATTGAGGTTAACAAAAGACAAAGGAATCTCTGATTTCTATAATAGATAAAGGAACTATGTCTTTAAACATTGCAGAAAAAAATAAAACATACGAACATAACAATAAGCCAAGCTGTTATTCAAGTAGAGGAGAAACATGAAGACATTTTCAAATATAACTTGACATACACTTTTTAGCTCTTTTTTCGGGGTGGATAGTCTAGGAATAAAATTACCCAATGATGAAATCTAGCCAAATGAAAAAGAATGGCACTATGTAATTTAAAAAGTATGCTGTACCCGACGGTAGAAACCAGTGGTGCAACATCTAAAACTTGCTGAGAGAGTGAAAGTGTGACCCTGGCATGCAAAACACTCAGAGATTACAGGACTGAAATTCCTTCTTAAGAAGAAAAGTACTCCAAGATCAAATCCAACTTAGTGGCAAGAATCAAAACAAAACACTCAGAAATAGAGACACTCCAGAGAAATGACTGTTAGTGAGCAATAAGTTAATGTAAATAAAGAACTAAGACAATTCTACTAGGGACATCATGATTACAGAATGTAGATGTCATAACTCTTGGTAAGTATGCTTGGAATGCGGGGGTAGGTGTCTTGACAGGCATACTTAAAGGATACTTAAAGGGCTACTGACCCATCTCTCTTAGCATGAATTCAATCATCACTATAAAATCAATGTGGAATTTTAAAAAGTATAATACTTCCACAATCTTTTACAGTTGGATGTTCATATTTTTTTAACCATGGATAATTTAGGCATTTATATCTCTTGTGGTAGAGAAACAGCTAAAGTTAAACAGCTCTCTTCATTTTTCTTCTTTTATTCTTGTTAAAATAACATTGTTTTTATTAAAACAACATAGCATAATCCTGTTATATACAATTTTTTCTTTCATCCATCCATTTTTCCATCCATCTGTATTTGTGCATCAAGATAAGTCTAGAAGACTGGCATCTAATTTTATGAAATATTTTTGGACAGTATGATTTGGATATTTTTAAATTATCTGTTTTGGTTGTATATTTTTTCTTTATACTTTGTGAACTGCTTGAAAATTTTGAGGATCATGTGTAATTAAAAAAAAAAAATTGGCCAGGCATGATGGCTCACACCTGTAATTCCAGCATTTTGGGAGGCCGAGGCAGCCAGATCATTTCTGGTCAGGAGTTGGAGACCAGAGTGGCCAACATGGCAAATCCCTGTATCTATTAAAAACACAAAAATTAGCTGGGTGTGATGGTACAGGCTTGTAATCCCTGCTACTTGGGAGGCGGAGGCAGGAGAATTGCTTGAACCCAGGAGGTGGAAGCTGCAGTGAGCCGAGATGGCACCACCACACTCCAGCTTGGGCAGCAGAGAAAGACTCTGTCTCAAAACAAACAAACAATAAATAAATAAATTATAGAAACATTATTGTAAAAATAAAAGTGGAGGACAAATATAAGAGTTCTCATGTAAGAACAGGTCTTGCTGACTGCTGGGTTATGGGGAATGAAGAAAAAGAAGTCAAAGTCATGCTGAGATTTAGAGGCTGGGCCTCCAAGAGAACAGCAGAACCATGGACAGAATAGGGAACCCAGCAGAGAACAGGACTGACGGGAGCAAGCAGCTTCCTTCAGACTAGAATATACACATTCCAGTGGTTACTATCAGTGTATGAGGCAGCACCAGTTAGAAAGACATATTTAGGAGTAAATGCTGTGGAAGTGTGAGCCAGAGTCATGGAAAAGGATGAGATTCCAAGAGTGCTGTGTGCATGGGGAGGGCCCATGGGTCCTGACATAAGTTGACACCATCATTGCATTCAGGCAGGTCCCCCAGAAGGAGATATTCTATTGAAAGGGTCATTTCCAGTCACCAAACACAAAACCAGAGCAGAAAGTGGCTGAAGCCAAGATGGAGCCGCATATGTGGCCCAAACTTATCTCGACATTCCCCAGTGTAGGTTACCACAAAAACACCTACTCTGGGCCCTGTCATTCTCAAATTTCAGGCTCAACTTGGGTCACTGAGACACCAGAATTCTCCTTCCATTTCATCATTGACTCAAGGCGTTTGGAGAGGGAGACCAACACCATAGTTGATTTACCACCCTGCCAGGGACTCCAAGGAATTTTCAGTGGGAAGCATACTCAGAGCCTATATGTGCCATTGACTTCTTTATCAAATAATTTTTGTCAGATATTTTAATGAACGCACTTATCAAGTCTCACGTTATTTGAAAATGCTTAACTACGAGCCAATGTATTAAGAGCCATTAAATGCATATATCTCCCATTAGTAGGCTGGAAGGCTGGATTAAAGATCACATACACCCCCATCATCATACATCATGCCTAATGCCAGTTAACCTTCACTTTTGGGCTGGAGCTAATCAAGCCAGGCTCCCCCACCAGGTGAGCTTCATTACCACCTGTTACTTTCACTGGGCAAGAGGCTTGGCCATGGATTTTTATTTACAAGAAATATTTGACTTTGGCAGACTGTCAAGAGAACTAACATTTCAAAATAATGCCTGAGAGTAATATTTATGAAACTATTTACACAGTGTTACTGAGAAGCTAGCTCTCCTCTCCCATTATAAATCACTCTCAAGCCAAGTCAGAAGAGCAGGTTTGCCAAATACTTAGATCCTGGAGGATCTGCAGCAGAGATCACTATATTAAAAGAATAAGAATCATCAGAAGTTATTGGTGGGGAAAATGCTGGCAGCACAAAAATTACACACAGAAATGTGGGAAAGAACTGGCAGATTGAGAGCCTTGACTTGGAGAGCGATGCAGAGAACAAATAAAGACAGCAGACAAACTCACAGCAAACCAGTGTGGCCAGCCCTGGACCCCCACCTCCCCGACCCTCCCCAGCTGGAGTGCATGCAGTTTGGGTGGCCGACCCTACATTAGCATGGCTTGGCAACATCACTTGATTAGGAATGGATGTTTTTAACTTTCCTGAACACTTCCACTGGCTCTATCCATTTGTAGACACCATTCTGGAGTTGGGGCGTGACAAGGATTGGAATTGACAGCCACCAAACTCTGCATGTCCTGGAGCCAGCCTCGATGGCTCTGCCACTGTCACGTCAAGCTTCATCCCTTGTGGCCACTCAGTGGCTGCGCCCATGACACCTGTCAGAAACTTTCAAGAGCCTGCTTGTTTCTTTATCAGGATTGCCTGAGCAGCCTGAGCAAAGAAGGGATGACATTTGGGATGCGGGAAGGATGGGAAGTGCCTTCCTCTTTCTGCCTCTTCCAACTGTCAATTTGGGTTTTCTCTCAACATATCAAGATTTAGACCCAGTCGCCTTGTCATTTAGAAATGCATTCAGTGGTAACCAGGTTTGAAAACAATGTGGGAGAGACAGAGAACTTGAGCACATCTCCTTGGAGAATGATGCATCTTGAGGAAATTAAACAAAAGAGGCATGACATGAGGCTATCTCTGCCCTTTGGAAACACGCTGCTTTGGGAGATGGGTGGATGCACTCAAGCCATCCACACACATGAATTCCTTTGCATTTTTTTGATCTTTCCATCAAAGTGGAATAATATGGCATACGTGTTATCCAAAACAGCAGAGGTTTTCTTGGTAGGAGGTTTTAGTTGTCTACTATTTTTCTTTTTCTTCCTTTTAATACTGCTGTCATTTTAATAAAGGATTAGGGACAAACATGTGGGTCTTAATTAAAGCTAAACGTTCATAGTGTCACAAACTGAGTATCAGTTCAGGTCTGGAATTCACTCTCCCTATTAACATAATTTGGATAAATATATAGATGAGGAAATGCTGCTTCTGGAAAACTGCAAATAATGGATCGTCCCATAGTTCCTTTGCTGGCCTTTTACCAGGAGAAAGGTGAATGTTTCATCTTTCCTTTAGTCCGCCTAAACTATTATACCATAAAACCTCCAAAGAGGTTTCTCAGTTAAACGGTGTCACTCAACTCTCATTTCCCATCATTTTCCAGTGGGCTGAAACTCTGCTTTTTGCCACCAAAATGCCACCCAAACCTTCTGTGCTGCAGAATGTTAAATTTACATATATATGTCAATTTAAAATATATATACATTTACATTTATATGTGAATGTAAATATATACATACATACAAGTGTGTGTGTGTGTGTGTGTGTGTGTGTGTGTGTGTGTGTGTATGATATGGTTTGTCTGTTTCCCCACCCAAATCTCATCTTGAATTGTAGCTCCCATAATTTCCATGTGTCGTGGGAGAAACCCGGTGGGAATTAATTGAATCATGGGGGCGGTTCCTCCAAACTGTTCTCATGGTAGTGAATAAGTCTCACGAGATCTGATGGTTTGATAAGGGGAATATCTTTTTGCTTGGCTGTCATACTCTCTTGTCTGCCATCATGTAAGACATGCCTTTTCGCCTTCTGCCATGATTGTGGGGCCTCTTCAGCTATGTGGAACCGTGAGTCCACTAAACATCTTTTTCTTGATAAATTACCCAGTCTTGGATATGTCTTTATCAGCAGTTTGAAAACAGACCAATACAGTATATATAGATTTTTTAACTCCACAATTGATAATTCTTTCCATTTTCTCAGGGCATATTTCTTCTCAAGAAGGTACACCCAAGGAGGGCATTCAGCTGGAACTGATTTGTCTGGTTCCTCATGGGACAGCACCTTGTCCACCATACTAGAGTCCTGGTGGTGGCCCAGCTGTCCTGAGGTTTGCACGGCCGTACTCAGTAGAACACACCACAGCTGTGGAGTCCCACATGGAGTATGAGCACAGTTCTGTCCCTAGCTGTCTTCTAAACCTTAGGCAAATGACTTCACCATTTTCTGCCTCCATCTCTGGGTATAAAATGAGAAGATAGAATCATAATTGGCTTTGCTCATGGGATTGGTATGAGGCCCAAATGAGATAATAATTATGAAATTACTTTGAAAGAATAAAGGTATTATTAGTACAAAAAAGGGATGGGTTCATATTAGTACAAATATATCTTCCCAATAATATGAGTGAACTCTGTTACCTGAATTTTCTACAACAACCATACATAAGAAGCAAATGGAGGCCAGAGCCCAGTTTGTCAGGAGGGCTACCCACTAACCCTAGGAAGGTGAGGGAGAAGGAGAGATACATAGCTGAAGTAGTGAAGACTGTAAGAAGTGTCCAGCATCCTTTCATTGTTCTGTGTTGGAACAGGAGATTGTAAAAGCTTGCAAGTTACTTGCACAAGATAGGGGAACTAGTTGCACCCAGAAACGAAAAGATAAGACAATTATACTTGGTAATAGGGCAAAGCATGGAGACTCTCCAGACCTCATCTTAAGACTAAAAAGGAAATTGAGAGAGGAAAGAAACATAAATATGTATTTCTACTCTGCCACAACCCAAGTAGCGGGATCAAGGGGCGTACCAATAGCAATGTTGATCTTCTCCTGCCAGCTCACTCCTCTAGTTCAAATCCCAGGGCAGCACAACTTTGAGGACTGGGGCTTTGCAGACAGGAAAAACCATGGAGTAGGCACCTGCCTCCACATCCAGGTGTCCGACATCAAGTAGCCCTTCCAGAGTGTGAGACTTCAAGGAGAGGGAAGGAAGTGCTGGGGAAGGATGTGAGCAGTTCTCAGGCTGACGTCTGTGTCCTCTGCCCCTCTGATAAAAACTTACAAGGCCGTGAAGAAAGGGGCATGGCCACAGGACCTGTGTGTAAATGAGGACTTGCAGGTTGACTTGGAAGAGGCGCCTGCACCCACACAAGCCAGCCTTCTCCTGCAGCTAACACAGTAACAGGACTCAGCAACTAATTGTGTATGCCCAACCTAAGGGAGGAGTGTATCTGATATGAGATATTAGGACTCTGGCCTTAGTATGTGCCACTCTGGCCCTCTGGGCTATCTGCTGCCCACCTGCCTGCCTGCAGGGTTTTAATTTTACATTTTGTTCTAATTGCCAAAAGGTAGGGTAAGCTCGAAAGTGCAGAGCACCCCCACCATGCAACTGGCAAATGGGCTGCACAGGTTCCACTGGGGCCATACCATGCACTTATCAACAATAAAGATGATATTTGTGTTAATATCTGGCTCCTATATCTTTTTTTAATTGTTTTTTGACTCCTAGAGGGAAGAGTTATTCAAAATCTTAACAGGAGATTCTTGCTGGTAAATCCTTAAGTTGGAGAACATTGACATCATAAATAGAACTGTGGGGAATGATTATAAGTTAATCACAGGTAAGATCTCAGAGGTAATGCATGAGTTATAAACTATGCATTGACCCTTGTATCAGTCTCCCCATGATTCTAGTAGGGACTGAACTACAATGGAAATGACTTCTTCTGTTAGAGGTAGGAGCTTATGCCACCATCTTAAAATAAAATTGAGTAAAACTTAATTGAGAAGTTGTGAACTTAGTTCCAAAAGTCAAATTTCAGAAATATACAATTTCTGGGAGTGTAGTTATAAATAAAGGGAGACATATCATATGTAAAGAAAATTTGAGTTTGGCAGTAATCTCTAGGTTTACAAATGTGAATGCCAGTGAGAACTCTAAACAGGGGCAATTAATTAGAATCCCTTCCTATTCTGCCTTCATGGAACTACTCCTAGAGTTTTGAAATGAGGATGAACGTGACACCCTGAGTAGGACACAGGAAAAACTGGAGCAGGCCCAAAGAGACAAAGTGGCATGGTGAGGGGCAGAACCATGTGATCCAAGGCACAGTGCTCTATCTCCTGGAGAAAGGAGGCACAGGAGGAGGAGACACGATGGCCATCTTTAAATATCCAAGGGGTGGTCCCATGGCAGAGAAAGCTACCTTACTGTGTGTAGCTGGAAGAGAACCAAATGGTGAAGAGAGGGGAGTGTTTTTTTAGCAATTAGGTCTAATTGAAATAGAATATCCCCCTCCCTGCCACATGTAAGTTCTTAGTTATGAGTGTAGTGGAGACAGAATTCATGTGTTAGGTAAGAGTTGAACAAGCTGAAGTATCATATAGGTGTCCAGGTCTGATATCTCTGATTTTAGAAATTACTAATAAGAACCTTATCCAGAAGAGCCTTGAATTATTATGCCAGCCTCATTCCTCCTGTGGATTCTCTTCTCCTTTTGATTTATGAATTCACTCATGAGGGCTCAACTACTGCCTTTCACTTGAGCACTTGAGAAATGTTTACTGAACAATTGAATAGTAGATTCTCAAATATTCTTGATGATGGTGATGATATGCTCAATAGTATTTGACTAGTGGATTAATAAACAAAGATGTTAAATATTAGCAAAGTTGTTTTTCTTTAATACTGTTTATCGATGCAAGTAATTTTTCCTGATTTGGTAACATTTCTCTTTAACAATTCTTTACATAAAAAGGCTGAACACAATAGACTGAACAGCCCTGAGGCATTTCCCAGTTTAAAAAAGAGCAATTTTTTAAAATTTTTATAAAAGATGCTTCCATTCATTATATTTTTATAACCTTCAAAACAAATCTATGAAGTTGAAATTTTCCAAATGAGAAAACTAAGGCCCAGAAATAGGGAAGGACATGTTCAAGGACACAAAGCCAGTAAGTAGCAGAACCTGAACCAGAAACAAGGTCTATTAATTAAGTCACATGACCTTTCTACCACGTGTCAAATGCCTCTGGCAAAGGGCCCATGTGAAAAGAAGAAAGGTTGTGGACTTCCATATGGACAAGTTCGTTGGACTCCCCTATACCTCATTTCATGTGTTTCCCTTCCTAGAGCTCTGCATTCAGTAAAGCTGCTTGTTGTTCACAGAGAAGATGGCTCTAGTTTGCCTGCATGCTGAGCTGACAGTGATGCTATGTGAACATGACCACAACATAACTTGTCTTTATAAATATCCATTCCTTGCAGGCTTGTGAAACTACTCACTTGATGTCTGAGTCTGTTTGGCAGGAAGGCAGGGACAGGGCAGCGGTAGCTTGGCACAATTACCCTAGGCTAGTCCATCACAAGCCACCTCACTTAATGAAGGACTGGAAGCTGGTGCCGTGGTTTCATACCAGGACTGCTGGCAGCTCCCACCTTGTGACCTGGGATTGCAAGGTGATCTGTGAAAAGAGGCCCTGGAATATCATGAGACATGCTCTGAGGGTACGCGTGCTACTGCATAAGTGCTTTGGAGAAGGTTAAGTCTGTTCAGTGTGTTCAGTATTCTCCTCCTCAATCACAAATTCTTTCACTGTTTTCTTTTTCTTCTTCCTTGAAGAAACAGCAAAAGGGGAACAGGTTCTTGTATGTATTGTATGAAGTTTTGTCACATTAATTCATTTAATAAACATGAGTACCTGTGATATGCCTAATGCTGGACTATGTTCTGGGAATACAGAAGTAAAAAATACTGTTTATACAATCAACAAGTCACAGTCTAATGAGAAAGACAAAAATTAGGTAAACAAATAAAATAAAGGACCATTAGTGTTATTATTGAGGTTTGCAAGATGCTATAATTGGTATTCCTGAAGAATTGGTGGAATGTAACAAACCCATTAAAAAGTGGACAAAGGACATGAACAGACATTTCTGAAAAGAAGACATTTATGTGGCCAACAAACAAAAAAAAGCTCAATATCACTGATCATTAGAGCAATGCAAATCAAAACCACAATGAGATATCATCTGATGCCAGTCAGAATGGCGATTGTTTAAAAAGTCAAGAAACAACAGATGCTAGCAAGGCTGTGGAGAAAGAGGAATGCTTTTACACTGTTGGTGGGAGTGTAAATTAGTTCAACCATTGTGGAAGACAGTGTGGCAATTCCTAAAAGACTTAGAACCAGAAACACTATATTTGACCCAGCAATCTAATTACTGGGTATATACCCAAAGGAAGATAAATCATTCTGTTATAAGGATATATGCACACGTATGTTTGCTGCAACATTATTCACAATAGCAAAGACATGGAATCCACCCAAATGCCCATCAACAATAGATTAGATAAAGAAAATGTGGTACATATACACCATGGAATACTATGCAGCCATAAAAAGGAACGAGATCAGGTCCTTTGTAGGGACATGGATGGAGCTAGAAGCAAGTATTCTCAGCAAACTAACACAGAAATAGAAAACCAAACACCAAATGTTCTCACTTATAAGTGGGAGCTGAACAATGTGAGCACATTGACACAGGGAGGGGAACAACACACACTGGGGCTTGTTGGAGCAGTGGGGTGAGGGAGAGCATCAGGATAAATAGCTAATGCATGTGAGGCTTAATACCCAGGTGATGGGTTGATAGGTGCAGCAAACCAATATGGCACACGTTTACCTTTGTAACAAACCTGCACATGCTGCACGTGTATCCCAGAATTTAAAATAAAATAAAATAAAATTACTGTTGGAATATATATGACAATCACAGGTATAATAAGAAACTTTCCTAAGGTGAATAAGAGTGAGCCTACAAAGAACTCACCACATACCAGGTAAATTCATGTAAAGAGGGCAACACTTAAATAAATCCTGAAGAAATTGAAGTTTTTAAGTAATTGTCTTAGTTTGAATAAAAATTCCTAGGAGAAGCAAACACTGATAATTTTTGGAAGAAAGCTTCCCCTCTGAAGGATGCTTATTATTGCTTAAATGAGTTTGATTTTGTAACTATTGCTAATTTTAGAACAAAGTGATAGCATTTTTAAGTGCCTTATGTTTCCCTTGGAGTTTCCAGTTGCTTTTATTTTACTTTTGAAATATGTTTTTATCATCTTCCTTAAGATTTTACACAGAAATCCTCCTGGTTTTTCTTTTGACAACTCTCTTAGGTTAAATCCACTGGTACTTTGAAGCCTCTGTACAAGTATGAAGTGGAAGTCTCCATACTTCCACTACAGATTATTGCCCAGACCATCGTCATTTGGCCAGGTGAATGCAAAAATAAAATAAAATTACTCAGTAATTAATAAATATCCTCAAATAGCTTTCTGTGTCAGTTTGGATTAGGTTCAGCTGCCTATAAGAATAAAAAATAAATGTAACTTAAATAAAATATATATATTTTTTTCTATCACAAAAAGAAATTTGAAGGTAGGCAGTACAAACTTGATATGGTGGATTCATATTGTCATAGGAATGTAGTTTTTTTTAACTTTTTAAAAAATTATTCTCTGCCTATGGCTTTCATTCTCATGGAAACTATGGACCAAAATGAATGTCAGAGCCCCAGTTACCATGTCTACATTTCAGGAAATTAGAAAGAATAATAATAGGAGACTATCAGTTCCTTTTAAAGATATTTCCAAGAAGCCCCCCTCACAACACATCCACTACAAATAATTGGCAAGAACATGGTTATGTAGCCACTCATAGCTGCAAGAGAGGCAGAAAAATATAATATTTAGCTAGCTGGGATGTGTCTCAGTAAAAATTGTTTTCTATTGCTGAGCATGAGAAAAGATGGATCATTCTGGGGAATAGATTTCTAACTCTTTCATGTCTGAAAATATATTTACTTTCGTCTCACATTTATTTCATATTTTGCCAAAGTATAGAATTTCAAGTTGAAATCATTTTCATCAGAACTTTGAAAGCATTTCTATACCATCATCTGGCATCACAATAACAGGTCAGTCCTACAGAGGTACTATATTTATCTGATTTATCAGTTTTTCATTCTCAGAAAGCTTTCAGTTATTTACCTTAATGTTCTAAAATCACAATTATTTTTTCCTTTTATTTATATTTATCATGTCGAATATTTGATGGCCTTCAGCTCTTCAAAACTGTGTCCCATGATTTATTTGAACATTTTCTTTCATTCATTTTCTTTCTTTTCTTTGTGTAACTTCTATCAATTGACTATTAGAGCTCCTGCATTGGTCTTCTGTCACTTACCTTGTCTCTCATATTTTCATGTTTGTCTCCTTTATGTGTTACTTCTAATTCTTCTACAGACTGTTTCATTTTGTCCATAATATTTTGCTCATCAAGATCTCATTCTTATTCTCTGACTCTTCCCTTTTCATTGTATCCTATTACTTTGTGGATGAAATGTTAGCCCACATGTCTCAGAGGATATTAATAAAGGTGTTGCCCCTCTATTCTTCTTGAATATCTCTATTTCCTTTGGCATCACTATTTTTCTCTTTTTTTTGCCTTAGAATTAACCTCATGTCATATTTTATCCTTCAAATATTTAGTGATTCTTGGTTTTCCCATTCATATTTAAGAATGAAGAATTCATATTAGAATTTCAGTTAGTATAGTTTTTGAAGTAAACTCCTATGACGGCAAATATTTTACATATTTAAACACACACACACACACACATACACTTGAGCTTCAAAGTAAGAAAGGAAAATCTGCACCATTCAAAAATAAAAAGGAAACCCAGAGTCACAGTGGGATCCAAAAATACAAGGCAAGTGGCCTGCAGGGAAATCAGATGTGGATATAAGCATAAATGCCTAGGAGAGGAGTTTTAGGATCCTCACCCTTAAGCACAATGAACTGAAACTGATCCCCTGAATAATACTCTGTGCCTGGTAGGATGCAGCTTCGAATCCAAGTAACCAGTCTGAGCAATATATGATAAAAGATTCATCTATAAGACATTGGAAGCCCAAGTCTATGCAGTGGGAGATATGGAGTTTACATTTTTACCCCACTCCTAGGGAAGGACTTATAAGCAGAAAATGAATATAATAGCTGGTCTAGTATTGGTAATGCCTACAGGGTCTTAGGAAAAGTACATTTTAAGTTGCCCAATAGAGCTACCTCAATAGCATAGAGCATCAAATACTGTCTTGGAAAACAACTCTCAAAAAGAAGAATAGGAAGAGGACAAGAGGGAGAAGAAATTGCAACAGTAACAGCAACATAATGAGATTCATCAGGCACAATAAACAGGAGAAGTAAACAGGTAATAAATCAAGTTGAAAGAAAATTTTTTAAAAAGGCAAATCTGAGAAAAAAATTCTAATTTATAAAAATGAAAAACACAGCTAAAAGTTTCCAAATTTAATGAGAACTATAAACCAACAGATTTGAGAAACTCAACAAACCCCAAACAGAATAAACAAAAGGAAACCACACCATGGCACACAATAATCGAATTGCTGAAAACCAGGGATAAAGAGAAAATCTTAAATACTGCCAGAAAAAGAATAGCCACATTCTGAACAGTGAAAGGAGATTAGAATGACCACAAATCAGAAATGATGCAAGACAGAACATAGTGAAATGACATATTTAATGTGCTTAAAAGAAAAAAGTGTCAACCTAAAACTCTATCTCCAGTGAAAACATCCTTCAAAAGTGAAGGTGAAATAAGGTAATTTCTAAGCAAGCAAAAGCTGAGAGAATTTATTACAAGCAAAACCACCCTAAAAAATGTTAAAGGAAAATTTTCATGCTAAAGAACAATGCTTCCAAAATGAAAACTCAGATTTACACAAAGAAATGAATATTGGAAATGGTAACTATGGGAACTAGAAAAATGTGTGTGTGTGTGTGTGTGTGTGTGTGTGTGTGTAAACCTTTTTCCTTATTTTAAAAATTTAGTTAGCAGATACTTAGCAGTTTAAATAATAAACATATATTATGCATTTTATAAGCATGTAGAAATGAAATAGAGGACAGTAATAGCATAGAGGATGTTAGGGAAAATGGAAGCATCCTTGTTGTACAGCAGTACAATGCATGGGAAGTGGATTTTAATTAAAGATATTGATGTGATATGTTAAAAGTGCATATTGTAAACCCTAGAGCAACCACACATACCAAAATAGGTAAACTGGAATACTAAAACAACTAAATTAATCAACAGGAAGCTAGAAAAATAAGACATAAGAATAGGAACCAGACAGGATGAATAGAACACAAACAGCTAGATGGTGGAATTAAACCCAAATGTTAATAATTTTATTACATGCAAATGGTCTAAACCCTCCATTTGAAGGTAGAGATTGTTCAGACGAATTTTTTAAAGGAAAAGCAGCTACATGCTATAAATAGGAAGACAATATTAAATATGAAGATAGGGCTGGGTGCAGTGGCTCACACTTGTAATCCCAGCACTTTAAGAGGCCAAGGTGGGCAGATTGCTTGGGCCCAGGAGTTTAAGACCAGCCCGGGCAACACAACAAGACTCTGACTCTAATAAAAAAAAAATTAAGAAAAGAAATATGAAAATAGGTTAAAGGTAAAAGGATGGAAAAGAATAAATCCTATGAACTCTAAAAGAGTTATATTAATAAACATGTAGATTTCAGAATGGGAAAAATTACTTGAAATATGGAAGGACATTTCATATTTTAAAATGACAAATGCATCAATAATATATAATAATACTAAATGTATAAGTGGCATCTAACAACAAAGCCTAAAAATACATAAAGCTGAAACTTATAGACTAAATGAAAAAATTAAAAAATTCAGAACTACAGTCCGAAATTTTGACACACATCTCTTAGTAATTAATCAAAATGTATACATAGAGTCAATAAGGACATACAAAAACTTGAACAAAAGTAAAAACCAACTTTTGTTAGTTGACACTTATAGGACAATATACCCAACAATGACAGTATACACATGCTTTTCCAGGGCACATTAAACATTCATCAAGCTAAATTGTAAGCTAAACTCACACATCTAGAAAGATCAAAATCATACAGAGTACATTCTCTCACCACACAAACACTAATTTAATAGGAAATAAATACCGCACCCCTCCCTCTCAAATCTGGACAGCTCTCAAATGTTTGGAAATTAAGCAAGACACTTCTAAATAATCCATATATCAAAGTAGACATCGCAAAGGATATTATTAAATATTTTCAACAGAATAACATAGAAATTATTATATATCAAAATGCGTTAGAGAAAGCTAAAGCAATATTTAGAAAGAAATTTATTGCTTTAAATGCTTATATTAGAAGACAGTATAGTAATGAATTTTTAAAGTTCTACTAGCAAACTAGGAAAAGTTACTCAAAGCAAGTGAAAGGGAGGAAATACAAAATAAGAACTGAAATTAATAAAATAGTAAAAACACAAGAGAGAAAAAATGAGTGAAATGAAAACCTGGTTCTCAGAAAAGATAAGAAAAATTAGTGAACTTCTGATAAACTGCTGGATCATGGATTAGCAAAAAAGCACTAGTAGGCCAGTCAATATATTTGAGTAAGTTCTATAGATTAAGAATATTATTCAATATTAATTTTCTAATTTTGATAATTGTTTCAGGTTTAAGATGTTAATATTTTGGGAAGTTGGATTAAAGGTATAAAGAAACTTTGCACTATTTTTGGCAACATTTTTGTAAACCTGAAATTATTTCAAAATTAGAACTTTTTTTAAACAAGAGAAATTTCTAGAATGGGAGAAGAATCTCTGCTCTTTGAAAGACTCTGTTAAGAAATTAAAAAGACAGACCTCCAATCAGGAGGGAATATTTGCAATACATACATCTGACAAAGACTTACATTAAGAATATAGAAAGAATTCTTATGATTCAGTCAGAAGAAGACCTATATACCAACTAAAAATGGAAGGAAGGAAGCAGGAAATGAAGAAGAGAGGGGAGAGGGAGGAAGAAAATTATACGGTTATAGCAATTAGAATAGGGTAATATTGGCACAAGAAAAAAATTATGCAAATTGAGTATAACAGAGAGGCCAGAAATCATTCCACATATATACATAAACTTGACAATGACAGAAATTGCATTGAAAAGGAGAGAAAAGATTAGTAGAACAACAGACTATTATGTAGTCAAGAAGTTTACTTCTATCCCCACATCACACCATAAGTAAGTTCCAGGTGGATCAAACACCTAAGTATGCAGGAAAAGAATTTCACAGCTCTTAGAAGAAAATATAAAATAACTTTATGATTTCAATATACTGAAGAATTTCCAAAGACATCAGTCCCTGCACCTTCCTCATACATGTATGATAAAAATTTAAAAATTTGATCACATCAAAATTGTAAATATCCCCCAAAAGACAATAAATAACCTTAAAAGGTAAACCACAGTCATGCAGAAAATATTTGCTCACACATTAAAGTGGAGATTTAGTATCCAGATTATTCAGGAAGCCCCAACAGTCTAGGTGCACTTTTAAACCTTAATCATTTCAAAGTCTAAGTGCTACTAACTTACATCAAATATATTTGAAAAGTTAACTTCTTATATTTTAAAATATTGATATGTTTCTTATTAAAATTCAACATAAGCGTGGCCTTCTGCTACACATCACTCTAGTTGATTTTCAAACTTCATTAAAACTTTCCTCAGCTGCTGCTCAATTATAAGAATAATTGCATGTACAATCCTGGCCTCAAGACCCTCCAAAGAATGAAGTTTCAGCCACGCACAGTGGCTCATGCCTGTAATCCCAGCACTTTGGGGACTGAGGTGGGTGGATCACTTGAGGTCAGGAGTTCGAGACCAGCCTGGCCAATATGGTGAAACCCCGTCTCTACTAAAAATACAAAAATTAGCCAGGTGTGATGGTGCTCATCTGTAATCCCAGCTACTCAGGAGGCTGAGGCAGGAGAATTGCTTGAACTCAGGAGGTGGAAGTTGCAGTGAGTTGAGACTGCACCACTGCACTCCATCTTGGGCGACAGAGAGAGTCCATCTCAAAAAAAAAAAAAAAAAAAAGAATGAGGTTTCAGTGAACACATGACAGAAACTTTGGACATGACCCCATGCAGAAAAGTTGAGTAGACACAGACCAGGTGACCTAGGCACAGCAACGGGTCTTCCTTCACTGGCTCATCCTCTGAGAAAATGTCATTCAGAAACCAGGGCACGCAAGAAATTAACATTAAAAATTTACTTTCCAAAAACCACAAAGTAAGTGGAAGAGCAGTGTAAATAATTATATGATCAAATGATATTTTTGTAATTTTGTAGCATTTGAAGGTAGAGTCATGAAAGCGTAAAATGTCAGTAAGATTTTGGAACACTCTGCATAATGAATGTCTACAAACTTCCAACTAAAATTGCTTAGTTTTCTTTTTCTCCACACTGTTCTACCAGTTGTTTTATACATATTTGAGCCTACATTGATAGATGTATATGCATTCATAATCATAATATCTTTTTGGTTTAGTATGTCTTCTAGCAATATTATGTTATCCATCTTTGTTCTTTAGGGGGTAAGGGAAAAAAAGAAGATGTGGGCATTGCATAGGCATCCATTTGTATAAAAAGAAGGGATATGGGAATCTCTGTCTTCTGCTGAATTTTGCTGTAACCTAAAACTGCTCTAAAAAATAAAGTCTATTTAAAAAAAAAAACACATATACACACACTATTTGCCAGTTCTTCTAAGGTGGGGAGAAAGACTGCTAGACAAACATGGAACTCATTCTTTTCATATGCAGGGATTGATGAATAGAAGGCATCAGTCTCTGTCAGTTGTCTGCCAAACTGTGTAGAAGAAGAAAACAATGTCCAAGAGAAGAAGTAAAAACCATTGAAAGTTGCTTTAATAGCTAAATGGGAAAAATACAAAGATAAGAGAAACCATCACAGATGGTTAAGGCGAAGGCTTAGTCTTCAGTAAAGAAGCTAGCTACAAACCACAGTTTAAGATTTTTAGCTGTAAATTAAGCCAATGTTGAGTGTTGACAGGCCCAAGGATTTTTAAATATCCATCAAATAAGTAATGTTCAAATTTCCCCCATTTTTCCACAAGGGGTTTGGCCCAGTCAGGGTTGGGCTTACAGTGGCTTGACACAGAGTTTCTTACCCCAGGCAACCGGGGACATCTAAAGATTGAGGAAAGTCTGAGTAAAAGTGTCAAGGCCCAATAGGTCAAGAGGAATGTCTGAAAAATTACTAAAACCAAATGAGAATGAATGGCCAAACTTGGAAACAGCACTAAAGTCAGACATAGAGCAAGGAAGATAGGATCTTTCTGACCCTTCAGCGAGATAAGTACACATAAAACAAGTTGGGAGCAAGAAGGCAAAGGAAGAATTCTGAGTGATTATCATGAAAATATGCTGATATTTTTAGCACACAAGTAGAAACTAACATATGGAAAGTGGGAGAGAGAAGGTGGGATTGTTGACTTTGATGGTTTTGTTTTGTTTTGTTTGTTTATTTTTGAGACAGAGTCTCGCTCTGTCGCCCAGACTGGAGTGCAGTGGCGCGATCTCGGCTCACTGCAAGCTCCGCCTCCCGGGTTCACGCCATTCTCCTGCCTCAGCCTCCCGAGTAACTGGAACTACAGGCGCCCGCCACCACGCCCAGCTAATTTTTTGTATTTTAAGTAGAGACGGGGTTTCACTGTGTTAGCCAGGATGGTCTCGATCTCCTGACCTCGTGATCCACCCGCCTTGAACTCCCAAAGTGCTGGGATTACAGGTGTGAGCCACCGTGCCCGGCCGACTTTGATGCTTTTTAAGGATAGAATTGAACAGGTGAATATGGTGCTGTGTTGACTCATAGTGGATGGAGCCTGGGGCAAAAGGAAAAGTTTTTATTTAACATTTGATATTTTGTTCATCATTAATTATATGCATTAATTTGGGCTTTAAAAATATTTTATTAAAACATTAGTATCCTGGTTAGTGAGATTTGTAGCATCTTACAATTGCTCCCAAGGTGACTGCCTCACTCACCTTACCCTAATCTGGCCCTAATGAATAAATAGAAGCCAGAAGAAGTTTTAAATTCATACTTTCTAATTATGAGGAATACATAAAGTAGGGAAAAAGCCATGAATGATTATCACCAAATGAAAACATGGCATATGAAAAATACCACGCATGAAGTCTAAACACCACTAACGCATATATAACCGAGTATATAAGACTTAGCTATAAAATGGTGACTAATTTTAGAATCCCCCCTCCAGGAATGATGCAAAATGTTGTGGTCTGATCTGCTTCAAAGTAGTCATCTTGAGAGACTATGCCCTAATTCCAAGAAGGAATCTGATCACCTAAAATATTTCTAAAACTTCCTTTTCAAAAATGCCTTCAGAGTTTGCATTCTACCATATAATCATTTATGCTTGGGTAGCACTTTGTTTTGCAGAGCACTTTCATATGCATTATATCTCACAAGTTACTAAACTCCAAGTTTGGAGAGACATTGGTGATTATCCTCAATGGTGTTATCTGCCTTTGGACAGGCTTCCTATCCTTCTTAAACAGCACAGAATTTGAAGACCAGAGAGATGAGTATAGTCAGGGAGAAGCAGAGCAGAAAGAGAGCCAAGCTCTATTGGCTCTGCTGGACCATCCACTAAGATGGAGTTTTTCCATCTTACAACATAACTAATGATTGCCCATTGACCAAATAGCAGAAATCAAGATCAGGATGTCAGATTTCCAAGTTATTGATTCTTTCATCACACTATGTGTTCATAGAAAATCTTCAAAAGTCTTAAACATCAGAAAATATTTTTCATTTGGGAGTAGCTTGGATTTATACAAAGTATGTTGTTTTTGCTTATTTTGTTTGTTTGTTTTTTGGCACTGATTTCAGGGAATGATTGGGGTTGTAGAGTTATATAACACCATTTTTTCCCTTTTGTTAACACGAATCCTCATTTTATGAATGACTGAGTTTTAAAGAGTTGTTCCACCAAAGAAGCTTCAAAAATATCATGCGCACTATCTCCATCATCAGAAAAATATGCAGCTTTACAAATAAGGGATGGCTGTCATAGAGATATTACAATGATAGAGAGTATCAACTCTGGGCCCAGACAGCCTGAGCTAAGATCCGGCTTTCACATCTACTCCTGTGTGTATTCGGTCCATGGTATTGAGCCTTTCAAGGCCTTAGTTTTCTTATCTTTAAAATGGAGACAATAATAGCACTTATTTCATGGAGCTGTAGGATAAGTAAATTAGTTAATGCCTGTAATGAGTTTATAACAGCATTTGCATAAAATTATCATTACTTAATTAGACTAATAAATTCTGTTCCCACAGTGCAGGAAAAAAATTTCATTATCTTACTTCTGATTATCAAATCAGAAGTTTTGAGAAAGTCTGGATGCTAAGTTACCAACTTAAAATGAGCTAGTTCTATTCATATCTTGAGATAAAACCATAATTTAATAATGTCTAAGAAGAGTTTATAAATAATATTATGCTTCCTTTAGATTTCTCCTTAAATCTTGCTTTGTGTATATCTTATCAGTAAAATGGTGTAAAAGAGTTATAATAAAGAATTTACATGTTTGATTAATTTTTAATTGAGTGAAAAGAGCTTCTGCTTCTACAAATATAATCTCTGATCTATATTACTTATAGTGTCCACAACCAATTCCACACAGCCTGCTGGTTGCATGGGAAATAATTGGAAAAGCAACCCTGTAAAGCTTACACTGCATTTCAAATCCATCCAATGTCATGTTGCATATCATCTAGTCATTCTACTTCTTGACATTCATTTTCTTTCCTGTTTCAATCTTAACCCATTTTCATTGTCTCACGCTTCCTCATTGTACATTGTTCTGGAATGGAATGAAGTATTTGTTTGCCTGATTTAGGTTAAAGAAAGGAGCAGAAAACTTTCCATTGAAAACTCATTTGATAAAAGAGACTCATCTTGCTCAATATGCAACAATATGTTTGTAAACACAGCCTAATAGACCTCTGTGAATTAGAACCATTCTTTCATTCATTCATAAAATGATTATTTATTGAGGGCCTGCTATATGTCAAGGCACCCTCAAGGCACCCCTTTGTTTGAATAATAAATGAAAAAGCAAATAAATATCTAATATGTGAAGCAGTGGTAAGTGCAACAGAGAAAAACAAAGCAAAGTAAGTAGAGTGTGATAAGTGGGTGGGTGGTCCAAGAAGGCCTCTCTAGTGAGGTTGCGTTTGAGCAAAAATCTGAATGAATTGAAGTGGCACTTCATGGGGTTGTCTAGGGGAAGAACATTACAGTCAGAGGGAACAGCAAGGGCAAAGTCCTAGAGCCACAATGTGCTCCTTGTAGTCCAGTGTGACTGGAGTGGAGAGCAGTGAGGGGTGGTGTGGGCATTTATTTCTGTTTCACTCTCACAGCTATTGGGTCACTGATTCCCTGATTTCTCTAAAACCAATTATGTAGGGCCATAAAGGGTCTTGAAAGGACTCTAACTTTTACTCCAAGTGAGATGGGAAACCGCTGATGGGAAATGGGTAGTAGAACCACAGGATGTGACTGAGCATTTTTAGGGGATCACACTGGCTTTCCTGCAAAGAATAGGCTGTACAAAGTTAAGAGTACAATCAGGAGACTTGGTAGGGAGGTGGACGTAATCAATAATCCAGGTTAAGAAATGTTGGTGTCTCGGGTCAAGATGCTAACTGCAGATATGGTTGGATTATGGCTACATTTGGAATTAACTTCCCACCATCATTTCTAGCGCCTTAATTCATGTAGTTCTTTAGTGCAATTTCTAACTTAATATCTATCCCAGCATATAATAATTTTTGTATATATATTAGTCTACTCCAGACAGAAATTTGTCAAAAAGCAGGACATCCTCTTATTATCCCCTTGTATTTGTAACTTTCTAGCATACTAAGGGTACCCAATGAATATTTGTGAAATGAGTGCATGGATACGCATCCTTACAGATACAAATTAGCATTGTTTTTTAAAAAGCTTCAAAACCTAAGAGGGCCATGTAAACCATATAAACCAAGAATTACTTGGAAAATATTTCTAAAGAAGTGACCCAACAGTGTGGTGGGAGCAAATCAGAAGTAATGGCAAATGTTAGAGTTTTTAAATATTTATAGCCAATTTGTATTCTTAAGAGTATTTCATCTATTTATATTACTGATCTGCATGAAGTAAACAGATGCTTCCAGTAGCACATACTTCTACAACTAGTTGTTTCTTGACCAACACATTTTAGTAAAATGACAGTTTTAGTGCTTGTTTTAATGATGATATTGCAAAATAATTATAGTAACCATTATTTATGTGTTTATGAGTGTGTGCATTTGTGTATCATGAATGAACTAGAGCAAAGAAGCCCATAATATTGTCCACTAAAGTGGTCCATAGGCCAAACTAGCCAAAATGGAATTGTAAATTCCATTTTAATATTTGATAAACCAATACCCTATATCTATATTATATACACAAATGTTTATAAGTATAAATCTGCAAGATTTATCTAATAAATTAGAGTTGCGATCCTAATTTTTTCAGCTAAATGTAATTTTCCAAGCAATGGTTAAACCTAACTTAACAAAATATCTACACCGAAATATGACCCTTTTCTGGTGATAGTAACCTTCATTATCATCATTTATTCTAGACCTTCAAGGAATGTGTTGACCATTAAGTCCCAATATTTTTATACTCTATTGTGATCCTCTGAAAATGGATCATTCTGAGTGAGCACACCAAATGAAGTTTTTTAAAAGAGGAGGGGAGGTAAGTGTTCTAACTGGAGGCATTTGGACATTTATTGTGTTTGAGAATGTAGCCAATGTGGCTACAGAATATGAATGTTGTGCTATAGCCCTGTAGAAAACAGAGTTATTTTGGGGAAGACAACCTTTCTATGTAAATAAGGAAATATGGCTATTGTGTATGAATGTAAAAATATAGGGGAATATGGACAGTCTATAAATGAAACCTGGTTTCATACAGTAACTTTTGGAGATAACTCATGTAATCTGTTTTTCTTTGAGCATCAAAGATCTCTCTTAATTAAAACAAAATTGCTCTAAGTGACCCTCTGAACAATGATCCTGTGTTTAAAAGGCCAAGAAGGGTAAAAACAAAAACATCATGACACTGTCACACCACAGCCTGAGCACTTTATGACTGATGTCATAAAATGTAGATCAGCAATTCATAGGAAAGGAGGACACAAAGTAGATATTAATTAATCAGGTATGAAATAGATGCATTTTTCTATGTAACATGGTAATGGGATAATTACTGACCTATTTTGGAGTCCATGCAAAACTTAGAAAACGTATGTCAGTAATAGGAATTCTCTACTCAGATCCTAAACTCTCTCATACACATTCTCTCTCTCTCTCTCTCTTTGTCTAATAACCCAAGTAATTAGTTAAAAATTTTAGAAGACTTCGTAGCTGTCATTGTTATTATTCTAATTAAGTTATATTTTGCCCCCAAACGCTGTTTCTATCATAAGCACAGCCTGAAAAACTGAATGTGGGGTGGAAGTCAGAGTACATTTTTTCATAAAAGATTACTTTAAATAGTAATAACATAAAAATTAAAACACCATACTCTACCTGGGTGTTAAATTTTATTTCTATCTCGCTTCAAGGGAAATTTCTTTTATAGTAGCACTTAATTATTATGATTTAGACTATGATTTATTAAATTTAGCCTTTGTAAATAAATAATATACATTAGTTCTTACCTACTTTGATACTCTGTAACTAGAATAGCCTAAATATTGTGCTTAAGCCCACTGGCAGGACTTTTTCCCTCTCATCACAAACACCTAAATTGGAAAGTTCCTGTCTAAAGGAAATTATCCCAGAGTTTTAAAATTCATTCCTATTTATAACATTGAGAGAACTATTCCAATACAAAGAAGGAAAAGTTGACTTAAAGTAATTGATGTGACAAAATATAAACATTATTTCTAGAATATTCTGCATGTTAATCCAGGTAATCCACTTGAACTAAGATGTTATTCACACTTCCTATGAGCTAAGTTCTCATTCGCTGCCTGCATGCCAATAACAGTTAAATCCTATTGCCAGCATCTTCTGCCCCATATACAGGCACTCGTCTTTTTCTTTAAATATTTTTGTTTTTTTTATGTTATCTTGTCAAGGTGTCCATCTACCTCTGAACTTGATGAATATACGAAGACTTCCCATGACCACAGAACTATTTTCTCTTTCATATGACTGCCCAGATCATAAGTTTACCTTGTATTTTTTAGCCACTCCAGAGCTGAGGCACTTGCCTTAGGATGCTGAGTTTGTAGAATATTAGGTACCAGCCACAGTCATCTCTGTCCATATGCAGCCACCACGATCATTTGTTCCCACAGTGCTCCATGAACCATCTTTTCCACACTGTTTCATTGTGTTGGGCAGAAAATCTTGTAAAACATTAAATTGGTGGACACTCATTTACATGAAAGATGACTCAATTTTGAGGATAAAATATCCCTAAACATCACTGTAGTGCTGAATATCAGCAAACCTTTTAACTGGCAGAAAACTATCTTTTCCCTTTCCTTCTCAACTTACTCCTATCCATGAAGATGCCACATTTTAATTCTGCTGCATTCTGTCTCTTGGCATAATCCCATTTATTGCCATTTATATCATTCCTACTATAGCAACTCTCCCCCATACACATTCCATACTTAGAATTTCCCCTACTGTTTCTTAGCAAAATTCCCTTGTCCCAGGTTGGTTGTTCTCTGGGCCACATTCCAAGATACTCTAGAAGAATTAGCATGTGCTTATATGATAATATGCACAAATAACACAATTTATGACCTATCCCAACCACAAAGTGACAAATTAACACTTAGCATTATAATTACCCAAAGGATGGGAACTCCCAATGCTGGGAAATTTCAGGTAGACTTGTAGGAAGACAATATTTTGAACAGTGGTTGTGGCTTTCAATGTTCTTTGGGTCATTTGAGGGGTTGCTGATGCATTAGAAGAAGTAATACACAACACTGTACCACAAGCCGATGGTCCAGTTGTCATATAAACAGGTAATCAACATTCTTTGTGCTTCTCTGGTGTCATTTTCCTTTCCAGGTCTTACTCATAACAGTCAGTTTCCTGCATGGTATTTGAACAACTTAGAGAGAATCGAGTAATGGTAGCGCCCTTCTTCAGTGAAGGTTTCTTCCTGGAAACAGAACCGGAAGAAGCAAGTGGTCAAAGGTCACATTGGATCAGCTACAATGATGGACAGCAGGGAAGAGTCTCAATGGGTACTATTGTGTCCACGCTGGGCATTACCTGTGTTGCAGCCACACAGACCTGATTTAGGCTGCCCTTGCAAGTAGCAAGTACTAAACACCATTATTGTTTTGATGAAAAGGGTCCTGTGGATTGTTTTTGGTCTGCATGTTAACAAAGAAAAGAAGAAAGACAGCCAGGTTATTTCTTGAAAACAGCAAGAAAGACATTTTTCCCTTGAAAATGTACAAGATACATCTCCGCTGGAAACACACACATGCACACACACACACACACACACACAAACAAATGAAAAATCCTTTCATCCAGAATCTGTGGTTTGCTTTCTTTTATTCCTTAGTATACATGAGTATGTGAAAACACACAACACTCAGACATGCAGCCTGATCAAGTGATAATCTCTTATAATGTGCTTCTATTTAAAGCAACAAACAGATGGAGGGTTTATGAGTGAGGCTGGTAAAAGTAAAAGCAAATGACTGCAATAGTTGTACTTTTAATAGGATTCCCCACAATCCAAGACATTATTCCCTGAGGAACAAATTGTTCTTTAAAATTATGTTACTTAGGAAAGAGACAGTCGTCCTGACATTGCTGAGGCAACAGAGAGCTGCAGGACAGCCTTGAATTGCCGAGGTCTCTCCACTCAAGTCAGTGTCCTAGGGGAGGAAAGACAGTGATGTCAGGCACCACAATCCCCAAAGAACAAGCTCAGTGGAATAGGATAAAAGGAAGAAAGACCAAAGGGTAAAGGGGGTACAAAACATGTCTGGGCCCTGATTGAATTTATTACTTTCTACTTCTCAACTTTGAAAAACAAGGTTTGGGAAATTCCTACAGATTTAGGATAAACATGCAACATGGGTTCTACCTCTGCCAATTCAGACCAAAGTCTAGCTCTAGCACAGCAAATTTTGGTTAACACACAGTGGAACTGTAACCAACCCAGCACTTCATTATCACTATCCCTGCTTAAGAGAAACAAAGCTGACTATAATTCTATCAATAAGATGAATATACCTTAGTGATGGCCTTTAGGTAATTTATAATTAAAGCTAATCTTAATTAAAGTTATTACACCATTCTGGAAGAAAATAAACAACCCAAAGAGAGGGAAACAATGTGGTCAATAACTCACTCCAAAAATATGTTTTGCCTCCAAAGCTCACATTGAGGGAGACATTCCTGCGCATGATACAAATGGTTCTGACATTAAAAAAAGTAAACAAGTAAGAAAAATAAAGATGGAAAAATTCTGTGGTCAGTTCACAAGTGCTTTTTTATTGTTTGAGGCAGGGTTAAAGCCTTTTATAAAGACAAGGATATATGTGTGGCTAGATTGGATATGACATCTGACTCGTCTAGCTGCCCTTGCACAGAATTCTGGCTGCCCATATTATGCCAGGGAGAAAACATGTGTTGATGCTTCTAAACAATGACCCAGGGTGGGACCAAATGCAGATAATTTAAAGCATTTTTCCAGTGCTGTTTTGTAGATCAAACAGAGAAAAGGTACTCAAATCCAGTTACTAATGGATTTGAGAGATAAATGCAAACATTCAACATTCTCCAATTTTTCATGGTTTTGAGGATTTTAATGTTAACTTGTCTAAAGAACTGATTAACAAAGGTTGTGTAATCTCAAACAGGGACTCCTGCCAGCCTCAATACATGTCATTCAAGGCCTGTGTTGACTCAGTGGGCCAGAGGCTATGTAAACGGGCTAGAGCTGAGAAAGTAGGTTCTCCTTGGGCAGCTTAGGGATTCTGAGTCCCCATAGTTTTACAATAGCAGCTCCTAGTCCCTCAGTATCTATAACTTGGAGGGATTCTCTTTCAGGTTTTGCTGTCATCAAACTGACCTAATACTGGGAGGACAATGAACACTTGGTCTAAATGGAAGAAGCAGAAAAATAAACACTATCGTGTCAAGAACAATCAATCAACCTTTTGAACATCTTCTAGAGTGATTTGACTGGTGCACCAGCAAGTTAGATAAACTTTGAGTCACCCAACTAGCAATGATCACACTTATGTTCCTTGTGACATTAGTGCTAGTGCACAGCCAAGCATACAGGAAGACAGAGCACTGTCTCACAACCTGTGGATTTGATTTCTGAGAGGTCATGACAAAGATGCAAAATCCAAAAGGTTTGTGCCTTCTATAAAAACTCTTTGGTCTGGTGGGTGTTTTCAACAGTCTTAATTTTGTTTTTTAACCTCCTGACCCTTCACTCTATCTTTCATCACCTCACTCCCTTTAAATAGCACCCAAAGGAGCAAGCCAGCCCCACGCACAAGTATGGCCACAGGCATCACTGGAAGTGTGTACGGTTAAAAATAAATTAATAAATAAGAGTCCCTGGTGCAACCAAACCCTCATGCTGAGAAAGATGCCTTATGCCTTACACTGCATCATATTCAGGGCAAGAAGTGGATTTAGAGTTGAATGAAACAAGATAAAAGTCCACGCTTTTGTAGTCAGGGATTTAGGGAAAGCTATTTACGCCAATAAAGGGATTGTAGCAACATGAAGCCAGCCATAAATGTATGACCTGGCTGGGAAGTTATACCTTGTTCTCCGAAAAACTGCAAACTGAAATGCACCACCTGTCATAAAATCGATGCTAAAGGAAGGTGGAGGGGAAGAGACGGGAGCTATGTATATGCAGAATACAGGACGTTAAGATTTAAAAGGAGTGAGGGAGAATGGCCATCCCCTAAACTGTGACTATTTCACTAAAAATAAGCCCACAGCACGATGGTATCAGAGGGATTTCAATTCAATAGGCGAGCTGAGGACAGTCTTTCTCACTTGACTGCAGCCACTGAGCATGTCCAGGGAGGCCCCAGGTGTGACCTCTGCTCCCCTGTGAGCAGTGGCAGGACCAGGCAATCTATCATGGTGTTCATGCTGTCAGCCCTGTTGCTTTGCCACCGCTGTCTGTCACCCTGGTGGATGAGACCTGCTTAAGGGCAATCATGTCAATCTCTATGTGACCACTCAGTCTAAGGCAGAAGGATCATCTTGACAGGCCTGGCAAAGTCAGCGGAAGGTACCAAAAGCTGAAGTCATAGCTTTTCCCAAAGAGAGGCAATGTGGGCTATTGTTTTTTCTTTAGCGTTTTCTTTATTTTTGATTTCCCTTTTGATTTTATTTTCATGAAATGGGTGAAGGTATACAGAAGTTGGCTTCAGAGCTGGTCATCTCGGATAAACCTGTTGCCCTCTGAGTTTTTCCCATAGTAAACGTAGCGACACTTCCCCAGGACACCTGCAAATAAAAAGACACACATCATTACAGGTGGCACACTTAGCATAGCAGGGAAACACAGGTGCTGAAAAGCAGACATGCAAGATAATCATAGATCCAATGGGCAGCAGAAAGTGGATGAAGCTCCAGAAGGGAAGAACTCTCCCTTTTTGTCCTCACAGACAAGAAGATTCTGTCAACCTCAGAGTTGACATTGAAATAAAATGTCACTACAAGTATAGGCTCCTAGGAATATCACTTTCTGCATGACTTCTCTTCCACATGCTAGGTACTTTTCTAATTTGGCCAATTACTCCCCAGAATGTAGCCTCTCCTCACGCCAGTTTCCCTTAGTAGAGTTTCAAAGAATGGAAAATTAAGAGTTTAAAGATGAACCCAGCCCAAGTAAAAGATGTAGAACAATCTTCCCAGAATGTGACTATTTTGATACCCTTTATCATGAAGCAATGTTGTTGACTTCCAGAGAGAATATTCCAAATTCTGGCAGGCACCAGGCATTGAGCACATATGGGATGATTAAGGAAGAGAGGTGGTGTTGACAAAATACCATATGAATGGCCGGGCGTGGTGGCTCACGCCTGTAATCCCAGCACTTTGGGAGGCCGAGGCAGGTGGATCACAAGGTCAGGAGATCGAGACCATCTTGTCTAACATGATGAAACTCCGTCTCTACTAAAAATATTAAAAAAATTAGCTGGGCGTGGTGGCAGGTGCCTGTAGTCCCAGCTACTCGGGAGGCTGAGGCAGGAGAATGGCGTGAACCCGGGAGGTGGAGCTTGCAGTGAGCCGAGATCGCGCCAGTGCACTCCAGCCTGGGCGACAGGGAGAGACACCGTCTCAAAAAAACAAAAAAACAAAAACAAAAAAAAACACCACATGGACAGGAACAAGAGCCTCCCATTAAATGGCTTCTTACAGGAATCCTGAACTCTCTTTCTCTGGTCAGAATGCATTTGATTTCCATTTTCAGTTTTACTTTAAGTAACTCTGTGGCTCCGTATAAGGCTCTCCTCTCATTCAAGGAGATTGTAGGAGACTTAACAATGAAAAATGCCCCTACAATAGGGTTGAACTTTTTAATCAACTCATTATTTATTCTAAATGCCCATAAGAAATCACTTCCATAGTTATTATGAAAGCTCTGTAGGATTATCAAGGAAAAATCTGTTTTGTTTTTGCCACCTGCATTTTTATTTTCTTCTATTTTTAGAAAAACCTATTTTAAATTCAGTTGGACAGAGTTGTCTTAGCGCTAATCGGACTTGAGTCTCTGAACTGTACACAACTAGAAAAAAACAAAGAAAGGAAATGTCCATAAGACAGTCATTCAATAGCCACAAATCTGCCTGTGAAAATAGCTACCTAGGGACATGATGATTTTTTTTTCCATCAGTGTGATAGTGTGAAACCAACAAGCCCATTTTTTTTTTTTTTTTTTTTTTGGTTAATTTGTGATAAATTAGCACTTGAAATTAACCAGGTTCTTCACATCAGAAGTTCTAAGTAGTAAATATTTTTGCAACTGTAAAAGAGATGTTTCTCCACTACAAAACTTCAAACCTTATTCTTACATAAGGATCAAAATGACTTTTAGAAACTTTTAAGGACAGAGCAGATGCTCCCTGGTTTGGATGGCTTGGAACAAAGCTAGAAATTGCTGGGGTCAAATAGTCTATCAGAGTTGGCAATGGAGAGAGGGTGACATTGTTCCACGGCCTCAAAGCTGGCCTTGGGCTCACTCTCATTAGTTTTACTTCCTGCCATGTTCCCATGAGTAAGTTTACTGTGGCTCATTCCTCCTCCTTGGTCATGCTTTCTCCTTGGCCCCTAATCCCCAATTTCTGGTTTTCAGTATTGGTCTGGTGCCTGGAAACTTTGAGCTTGGATGGAACCTCACTGAGACCCTTCTTGGGACCTAAATTATTCTTTTAGTTGTTGGCATTGAGCTGTTTCCTTTATCGTGCTGAATTATGTAGCCATCAGCATTGTACTAATATTGTCACCCATGCCAGGATCCTGCTGGTCTGTGGGCTTGGCTGATCAGGCTCTGCTCCAGGAATAGCATCCACTACAGGCCTGGGTGGGAGTGCCTCAGTTCTGCCAGGTATCCACAGAGGGCTTCCTTAAACATAATTGATTCAAATAAACCCTGAAGAATGTGGAAGCATGGGGCCAAAGGATGCTAATTTATTTCTATGGCACTAGGATAACATGAATTTTAATAAAAAGGAACAGATAGGTCTGTCGGATGTCATAAAGAACACAATCTTTCTCTTAAGCAAAAGGATGAAAGGCAAACACACACACACACCACACACACACACACACACACACACACCACCCACCATGAGTGCCCTCTCTCCAGTAAACTCTCCAGTACATTCACGGATTCAACTGCTTTTTTTTTCTTCCCTTTCTCCAGGGTAAACTTCGACTCCAGATCTCACTTACATGCAACTTGAATGGCAAGTGCCGCCCTAGAAACAGGCTGGATGCTCCTGGAACGTGGGCTGGGATGTGTTCTGTGCCACATTCCCGAGCCTTCTTTCTGGCTGGCATTGATAAAAGTCCTTTTTAAGGCCTACCCTGTTTCTTTGGGCCTGGAAGCAAGAATGTTTATAGACATCCTGGTGAGAGAAGGCTGTTTGATGAATGCAGGAGACTGCGGCTAGGTGTCAGCACTTGGAAAATGAGGCAAGGACATGAGGTATTAATATTGTCAATGATCTCTTGACAGGAAAACAGATACTGCATTCACTGTCAGATTTAAATAGACATCAAGTGCATTAACGACAAAAGGGCAGACTTCAAACAAAGGGGCTGTGTGGTGAAGAGCCGAGCTAGTCTCTGTGCTGGCAACAGCCTGATCTGAAAAGACACCATCAGGGTTGCAGACAGGCCCAGGATTGTGTGCGGTGACAGAAAACAGAGATACTGACAGAGATACCAGCGCCATATTATGCCAAGGATATTCTAACGCTGCCTGCGGCTCTAACGAAAGCTGACATCACTCCCCATCACTTGGGGTCGTCTCTGCCTGCCCCTGCAGAACATCTCTCCCCAGACATCATTACAAAACTCACTGTGGCTGCAAAGGTCCTGGCAGTTCTGTTCTGCTGGAGTGGTGGGGTCAAGGGGCCTAAGGATAACCTCAGTCAATCTAAATTTGGAATTTGCAGGAGGAGCACGCCCGACCCCACTGATATCTTGGCTACTTGAGGTGATCAGAAGGCCATTGTGTGAGGAGCTGTCACCTTGAATAAACTCCCAGAAAGGACGGCACTCAGTCTGTGGGCTGCTCCAGGAAGGCGTGGGGACGGCCTGGCAGTTGAAAATGAGATCCAGCTGCTGGTGCTCGCCCGGGGAGAAAGGTGCTCTGGCTAGCAATGCTAAGAATCGGCTGAAATTGTCAAACTCAAACCATCTCCAGCAGCTGAAATTAAGCGAGAATTGCCTCTGTGAGTCTCCTCCCAGAGCTCAGAGTTGGGATGTGATTACCCCCAATATGTGACTTTTGTGTTCAAAAATAAATAAATAAAATTAACCAGGAAAAGCAAACATGCACGAAACAGCACAGTCCCATGTGTGGCCACAGGCCTTTATTTATCATGAAGGTTATTTGTAAAATATGAGGCTCTGCTCGTAAATTAAGTGAGGTGGCATTGTGTTTCTCTCTCCCTCGTCCTCCCCACAGCCCTTCTTCTCCCGCCATGGCAACTGCCATCAACTGTGAAAATTACGGAGGGAACAGTTTGCTTGCAAAGAACATTTTGATGGGGAGGCACTCCGAGGCTGGAATTTGGGAACCCGCTGGTTTGTGACTCAGTAGGCAATGGTTTCTCTACACATCTGCAACGGATTCATTTGTTTCTATCTCTTCAAACTACAACTTCTTGGGACTGGAGGGGGAACAACACATTTAATGGCATATGCAGTGTTTTTAATTAAAAGATCTGGCTTTGGCCATAGTAAGTAAAGCAGGCTTGCCCTGTGTCAGGCTGACGTGCAGCTGTCTGTGTGGGGTTTCTTTTCGAAAGACCCTGAAAAATGACAGGGCAACATCCCCTGGGGAATTCTCTCCTGCCAAATGAGACTCCTAATTTTTCTTAAGTAGCCAGCTTTCCCATCACCATAAGCTGTTAAAGCTATAATTATGAAAAAAAAGTATCAGGAAGAATCTGTTTTAAAGAGGCCCTTTATCTTTTCCATGTTTTTCCCCTCTGGAATGGACATCCTAATTATGCAGGTTAAGTTATAACCTTGGGGCTGCCTAAGTGGGTGGGAATCAGCCTCCTTTCTTGGATGTGAGGCTGGGACTGCAGGGTCAGTACCAGAGATTTTGCTGGGGGAGGCCCTGAGAGCCCAGTCCAGGGAAGGGAATTCTTGCACATCCATTCATCCAGCATCCTGGACTCCCTGATTCCTGGATGGCCTCACACTTCCAGCTGCAGTTCAATAGTCTATTTAGTAAGGGGAAGTGGGGGAAGACCTGCATTTAGATCCAGCCCTGCCCCAACAGTCATGTGACCATGTACACATCCCTTTCTCTCACTGGGCAGGTTTCCCCATTTGTAAAACAAGGGCAAGGGGCCAGATAATCTCAGAGGTTCATTTTAGCTCTGAAATAGGTGATTTGGCATTTTCCAATGTTTTCCTTATGAAGATGAGAACACCAGGTCCAATATTGCCTGATGCAGGAGACAAATTCAACAGGTCAGTCAATAAAAAAATTGATTTGGACTAAGTCAGCCCTTGAAACCCATCCAGCCTGTAACCCCACAGTATAACCTGGATAGAAGGGGGCCTCTGGGGGACCCCAAAATCCTTGAGGAAAGGGTTTTCATTAACTTTCCTGCAATCTGCATTTCATACAGCTAGAAGTGCTGACCACTAACTAAGCTGTATCCCACTGGCTTTGGCATAAGCCCAAGTCTCATAACTCCGTATTCAACAGAACTAAAGCCCAGCCATCAAAGCAAGTGGTCTGTCATTAATATTTTAGTGGTGAAAAACAATCTGCATATAAAAATACAAAAATGCATTTGACATTGGAGTGCAGGTTGGACCAACACATTTATATTTGTAAAATAGAATAATTATCACTATTGTTAGTTTTGGTAGTCATCACTTTAGGGATCATTATTTTAAATGCATTTCATATGAGTTTATAAATGTAGCTATGAAATCACAAACATATCTTGATCCCATTGTGATACTAGGAGTTTATAATTACCCCTAGGATGGAGGCAGGGGATGAAGGGTTCCCCCACAGAACTCCTGTTCTCTCATCTGTATGAGAAACGAAGGAACTAGGTACCTCCTGACCCCTGCAAAAGGTGATAACAATGTTGTGAAGAGGTAGATGGGCCCAGTGACAGAGAGGAAAAGGTGATCAGGAGCGTCTTGGTCCACTGCAGAAGGCTCTAGAACAATGTTTCCATGGGACTCTATACATGTCCATAAATGTGTCATCCCCTATAATATTCTCCCTCCTCCCCAATTTCTAACACCCGGTACCTAAAACCATACAGAAGCATCTTGTTTACCATGGAGCTACATCCCAATAAACCTATTGTAAGTTGAAATTATTGTAAATCAAAAATGCATCATTACTTGAAACTATCTGAAGTTGTAAGCCCTTCAACTTACAATGGGGTTACATCTTCTATCAAATGTGTACGGCTTTGTAAGGTTAAACAATTATAGGTTGAACCTTCGTAAGTTGGAGAGCATCTGCACTTGGTACAGATGAGATGTTCAATAAATATTTGTTAAATAAATTAATACCATTAAAATAATCATGTACATAAAATTTACACAGAATCCACAAAGTAAGGAATGTCAATTGCTGGACACTCATCTTTTAACCTCTGGTATGACTTCAGACATTTGAAACACTCTGAAAATATATACGGATTAAATATTTGCCCCATTGAACAACAAAGAGTAATAGGAGGCAACAGCCACAGTTCCTAAATCGTGGTGGTGTTTTTACCCCAAACACTTTCCTCCCACAAAAACAAAGCAATCACAACATCTAGTTGAAAAGAGAGAAGTGCAGTGAACATTATCATCTGGCCTAAAGAGCTGTAAACATCATACAGTGGGAAGGGACATTCCCCAGAAAGCACATTCCTCAGTCTTTGTTAAGTGCAGGCCGTGAATACATGGGGAACTGGAAAGGAATAAACACCCATGTTTTATGATCTTGAGAAGTAGCTGGAGCAATACCCTGAGGTCAGCCCATGTGATGTGCTATCAGCTCTGCTGTGGCTATCACACAGGATTTAGTGGAGCCTGAGAAATGACAGGCTCCTAGCACAACATCCTACTTCAGTGTAAGCTACTTAAATACTAAGACAGAATAAAGAAGAGAGACTTTAAAAGGTCTTAGGGGAAGGGATTGTGTGGAAGCAGTTTTTGAGGAAGGAGGACAAAGACCTTCTTCTCCACCCAGTATATTTTCCCTTCATCTGCCGCACATCTGAGATGCCTTAGGTTGGAGATGAAATGAAGAAAGGCTCTACACCTTACCCAGGGGAGGGTGGAGAAGGAAAAAAAAAGTGTGAGACTTGTTTCCCAACCTAGCTGAGCAGGACTTCAGGCAAGTGTCTCGGTTTATCATCTGCATATTGGGTGGGAATGGGGTACTGCATCGCAACAGTGCATGCTATAACCCCCAAAACCTCTGTTAGGGCTCTTGCACCATGGGGGCCGGGGGTGGGGGGTTGGGGGCGGGGATACTGCACACTGTCCTTGCTAAATACCGCAGTGACCACTTCAAACCATGCTTCCTGTTTCACCTTCACTGTACAAAAACAACACCACAAGGGGTATTCCTACCCTGCTACACTGACCCTGATGTCTTGCATTGGTAGACATTTGAATTCTCCAAATTTGAGTCCAGGAATGCTTTGACTTCAGGTTTATAAATACAAACATGTAAACTAGTCTGGTAATTTGTCTTTGAGAAAGCATTAATTATTCACAGCAAACTCCATTTAGCCAATTTAATTCCTTAATCAATTTTTAAATACAAAAAACCATTTCTATTTTTAACATTTTCATTTCTATTTTATTGAGTTTATTTTCAATGGGATCAATTCTTTATCACGTAATTTTTACAGTAAGGTTAAATTCCTCAATCAGCTCTGGCCAAATATTAAATTGTGCTGATTACATCTTCTAAATCTCTTTTAGAGTCATTTATTTTTACAAAGTCCCATTTTCTTGAGTAAAATATTGCAGATCTAAATTGCGACAAGAAGACTTGAGTCTGCTCTTAAACTTTAGTCAACAAATTTTATTGTGTGTAGTTTTAGCTCATTTCAATTTTATTTTGTTTTCATTATTTCTACCAAGGTTAATTCCTCCCCATGTATTTGTGTGGTTTTCAATATATCAACAAGATATAAATCTTTGGTCAGTTTTTCATTCATCATAAATTATATTACGTGCAGGATTAGTTGCTGTCCTTTTTTTCCCAGGTTGATTATTTCTACCAACATTGTTATCATAAAGTAGAGTAAACACTAGTTTTTATTCATTTCTTAGCACAAAGAGTATGAAGGACAAAGGTGAATACCAAGTGCATGATAGGGTCTAAACTGTGGGGTTCTGATATGCTGTCTTCTACCAAATGCCAGACAAAATATTAGAGTGTGGAGCACCAATTCAAGGGTTAGGATGCACCATACCTGGAAAGAAAGCTAGCAAAAATGCCAGGCAACCTATCCTTTTGACAAGAGGGCATTTGACTCCAATGCTCAGACCCGTCCAGTGCAGCTTTCCACTGGGAGAGGACAGATTATACAGCCTGCTCAGACAAATGCTGGGCCTTGTCAAGTCTCACCCACTTGTTTGTAGGGAAGGAAAAACAGGGGAAGGAAGTCAGTCAGCAGGGAAGGGATACTGGCAAAATTTGTCGTGAAGGTGATCAGCAGGCAAGGCTGTGGGGCTAGCCTCCCAGACCAGGGAGGCTACACAGGTAGTCACAGAGTGGGCAGGCTCATTGTCGTGTGACAAACCAGAGCCTCAAGAAAACATACCCTGGGCTCCCAGGGCAGCTGAAATGAGGCTTGTCATCTTAGAAGAAGAAGGGGAGGTGGGGAAGGAAAGAGAGGAGAAAAAAATGCAGGGCAAGTTCCTCATATAGTCTGTCATATAATCTGTCAGTGGAAAATGGAAAAGCTGGTCCAAGTCTGAGAAATTACTGCATCTTTGAGCAGATCCTTAGTGACATTCTCTACTCTCCCATCTTGGGTCCTGGACCCCACACTCAGGTTACAGGCGTTGTGGCTCTATCCAGACTGAGTGGGCCATTCAGTCCTTTCCACATGAAAGAAATATTAGGCTAACAGATTAAACATTATCTGGCAGGGAATATTTCCATTATGTGAATCCTGGAAAGGAAACAGACAATGTACTTTTGCTTAGATGTCAATGCCTTTTAATTTCCTATTTTTTTGGATTGGGGGTAGTAACAAGTGAGTACCAACTGACAGAAAGATTCTCAGATTGGAGGGTGGGCTCACTAGCCCCCTTTATTGGGAGCTCCCTTTTTTGGCTCCTACCTCTATACACATTGTATTTCAATCAAACAGAAATGTATTATAAATATGAGAGGTCAAACTCCATGGTAAATATTTCCTTACTCCAACAACCCCTCTCCTCCCCAGCCCCCAAATAAACTGCTAAATCTTCTTAGCAGTCCAAATTTTGTTTTTTAGCCTCAGGTTACATTTTTTTTTTTTTTTTTGGTCCAAGCCAAAGATGAAGCCTGAAACAGTTTTTATTCTTGACTTCCTAAACAATGAATTGCTTATACTGTCCTATAAGGATTCTCTGTGATTTGCTGTACTGCCTAGTATGCTTCAATACAGAATGGTAAACTTTTCTTTGTAAGTATTTCTTTAACTGTATTGGAGGATTCTCAAGCTGAGAAAGAATTTAAAGAACCTCATTTTAGGTAAATTCTTTCATTTTACAGCGGAGAAAAATAAGGTTCCAACTGGCTTTTGGAAAGTGACAGAACCGGACCAGGCACCCATACAACTCTATCTAGCCCAGAAATATCCCTGAATTATAAGATACTGCCTTGGCGACAGGAATATAAATTTTGCTTTTCCGCTTACTTTTCAAATTCATTATTTATTTGTTCAGTCCTGTTCACAGGAACCAGGGGTCTCCGGAGAACATCAAAGATCACCCACACCCTTACTTAGCAGGCTCATTCTTACTTGCTTTTTCTTAGAGAGAAACTTGAACTGCAAGACTAGTTTGGTGTGAGTGTATTTCCCTTCTCTCCTATGTCTGTATTCTAGGTAGGGCTTAATGGATTTGAGATGGGCTGGATTCCAAAGTGCATGCCGAGATGGGATGCGAATCCCTTCAGATTTGTGAAGTGCCCTTCAGTGCGGGTCCGTGATGGATGTCACATCAACCAGGCTGTCAGTCAAAGCGGACAGTGGTCAAGTGCTCTGGCCTCACGTTTCTTTCTCAATGTTTGAGTGAGAAACTCAGACATCTTTCAGACAGGAGAGAAAAAAGAAAGAAAGGAAAAAGCCACCCCGTCACCACCTCCTCCATTCCCGCCATTATCTCTACATTCATCCTTTCCACCTTCTAGCTGAAGTCGGGAGCATCACCACTAGAGGGCAGCATGAAGTTAGGAAAGCAGCCGCTTGCTTAAAATAAATAAATAAATAAATAAATGGCGGCAACTATTCAGGGAGAGCCATTATAGCCACACTGTGCTTTTGGTCACCAATTATAGGTTCCTTAATGATCAGTATGTCATGTTTGGTCAATCTGTGCTGAAGGTTTTCAGGAATGGGGCTATCAGACACTCCTTGCCCCCCATTTTGGGGTTCTTCTTGCCTCAATTTCAGGGACTGAATTTCTTTACCATCAATTGTTCTAATTAATCTTCCAGGCTCAGAGATTGGGGATTTTTGCATATCACCTCCACAAATGTAAAGAAGCATTCAAAATACTAAAGATTTCCTGCATTTCTTAGGTGGAAAACATCATTTTTACCATGAAAGTTCAAAAAGATATGCCATCATTTGACAGTCAAAAAAGTAAAAAACGTAAAAATAAATAAAAATGAAAAATGGATCAATACACACAAAGTTATCCTCTTTTAATGCTCCCCCTCCCCACAAATCTACCTAGCATTGTCTTCCCTCTCAGGGTACCTGGTCTCAGTGTCATCAAAAAAGAGAGGCAGAAGCTACTCAGATAAAAATATGACAATAATTCCAGCTGCTGTTTGATCCTCATCTGATCCCCATCATTGGTCTCTGGTACATGGGTCAAGTAACTATTTTCATACCTGGAACAACAGATGATCACCTCCCTTTAGGAGAAAGAGGTATTTGTGGGCTTCTAGATATTTCAAACATATCATTATTAAAAAACAAACAAACAAACAAACAGCAATAAAGGTATAACATTCTAGGGAATGGCATTTTAAATTAGAATTTTATAGGATAAAAATACATGAGTGGATTCAATCAGGGAAGGAGTAAACACAAATTGGAGTTACTGGCCTTCTAGGCAGGGGAAACCAGAGCTGGGTCCAGGTGTTATTCTCCATTTCAGCCGAGAGGCCTCTCAAGTGGTCAGTGAGGCAAGTATAAAATGGCCCTCACACATCTTCTTAGCTTTCCTAATATAACAGTCATGTGACTAACTAGCCACTCGGAGAATGTTGGGTCCTTGTTAATTAAATTATCTCATTAACTCATGGTTAGCTAGAAACCTTTTTGAATTTTCACACATAAGACACTAAAAGCAAAGTCAGTTTCACTGTCTTACTAGGTAATCATAGTGACCACAACTGAGTATTTCTGGAGTGCCTTTAGTGAGGATAGTACAGTTAGGAGATTAGCTGGGGTGGGAAGACTGCAGATTGAACATTTCTCAAGATCTTAGGATCTCCTGCTCATATGAGCTCCAAAAAATCGAAAACAATAGACTTTCGCCCATGCATCATAAAGCCAAGGGCACAGTAGGTATGCAGTACATTGTTTTTAAATTGTGGAATAGATGAAAAGATCTCAGCATACTTATTCTGAACCCCAGCATTTATTATACATCCCTGGACAGTTATAGGTAGAAATGTATGGGTTGGCCCTGGGACAGTGGTTCTATGACTTGCCCATGCATCAGAATCACTGAGAAGGCCTGTTAAAACACAGCTTGCCAAGCCCCGTTCCCCAGAGTTTCTGATTCCATGGATCTGAGTTGGGGCCAAGAGTATGCATTTTTGCAAGTTCCCAGGTGATGCCGATGCTGAGGGACCAACTTTAAGAAACACTGTTTTAGGACAACCTACAGAGGGGCCCTTATTTCTTTTTAAAAAGTAAAACTCGTGACATTGCTTTTTACTCTTGTAAAATCAAGACTGTCTAAAATCAGAGATCCAAAAATCTGGTTAACTGAGGGTTCTAGTGTCTTGAGTTTTGGTAAATGGAGGTTTTATTTTATCCCCAATAGCAGTCTGAAAGCTAATGATACCTAAATAATAACAATAATAATAATAATAATAATAATAATAATAATAAAAGGTTGTTCCAGCTCTTTATCTAAAACAAAAACCATAAACATTCAAATTTTAGTAATGTGCAATTACATTAACAGGAAAAAAGAAGAAAACAGTTTCTTTGGATATGTAGAATAGATCTGAACCATCATTTATGGAGTATAATCAAAAAATAACTTGCAGGAAAAATTTCACAGAAAGACTTTGGACTTCCCCAAAACTGACAGAATCTTGTATGAAGAAATCTGAGCAGTGGGGGTCCTCCTGCAGAGTCTGAATGGGAATTTTGGCTTTGCTCTCAAGCAGAAATTTGCTTTTGGGCTTCAGATCTGTTCCTATTAGAGAGCTTACATCAAAAGCAGGGAACATCCACAGTTCTGTCTGGTTCTGCAGGCTGAAATTTCTCAAGAGAGTCACTGAAAATAAAGACAATTTGCTTTCTTGTTTTCCTAATTCTTCAAGCTACAAAAAAAAAAAAACAAAATAAAAAACAAAAAAAAAGAAACCTTTCAAATAAAATTAAGCAGACCCTGTAACAACTGGGTTTGTCATAATTCAAACCCTGCAAGGATTGGGGAAAAGGCCTTCCTTACTTGGGCCCATTGGTCCAGCCTCCACCTGCTCTTCATTAGAATCCAAACAAACTCTTCCTGTACTGATATCACCATAATCTTTCCTAATTCCAGCACACCCTAAATTGCTTTCTCTGAAAAGAAAACAAAGGGAATCTGATGATATATAATCTAACCGAAAGAAGTTTGCTTTACAAAAAATGACCCAGTCTGTTGTTGCAGAAAGCACAGCATAATTCTTGGACACTAGCTCATCCCAGTGCCAAATGGTAAAATATGTTCATAATTTCCTGATCTTCAACTTCCCATCCTCTAACCTGCTTTGGGAAAAAGCTGTGTGTGTGTGTGTGTGTGTGTGTGTGTGTGTGTGTGTGTGTGCATGTATATATGTAAATGTATATGTGTATGTATATGTTAATGCAAGAAACTGTAGGTTAAGGAAGAATTAATAGTAGAAAGCAGGTTATAAGAGTTATATGAACCTCTGTACATTTTTTTCTACCCAAGATAAAGACAAGGAAAATAGTAGAAGAGCATGTTATAAGGGCTTTCATTAGGGTCAGGCTCATTAAAACTTAATGAAGGCACCAGAGCCTCTCCAGCAATATTAAGATGGGTGTGTTTTTTGCCTATCAATAGAATGCCCCAGTCAGACAGACACTGCTGACAGTGGGTGGTACCAGGTGTTATCTGTCCCTAGAATGTACTACTTTGATGGCTTGGGATATTACCCCTTTTATTTGGCTGGCTTGAATTTGTCAGGATTCACCCTGTGGTAAGTTAACATGCTTCCATATTGGGGGGAAAAAATTGCCCATGGGCCAATGTGAGCCTCGCACCTAATAGAATACATCTGGCTCCGACAGTTTGATGCCCAGCTCTAAGCCACATTCGGCAACACAAATTAACAGCGTAGACATTGCCCACGCTGAGCAGGAAGTAATAACCTGCTACCTGCTACTTGGCCAAAATCTCATTATAAGCCATTACGGTAATTGAGGGCCAAGACTCTATGGATATTAGACTCCCTGAGCACCAGTGGTGAGTTCAGGAGAAGAAAGACTCATAATGCAGGCGGTGGGGCAGCCTGAGGAGAAACTGTGCTTAGCATCACACAGAGAATTCCGTCTACAGGGTGCTCTGTGGTGCAGGGAGAAGCCCACATGACCTCTCCTGGGGGGGGCTCAGGACTCCAGGAAGCTGATGTAACTATTGGTAGGCCTCCAGCAATGCTATACAATTGAAATTTTATTTGAATGAACATTGGGCACAGCCACAAAGGAAAGAAGAGGGCAAAATAAGCCAGAATGTTCCATGAGTAATAAGCATGGAAGCTGGCGAGGGGGTGGCAGAAGTAGCAATCCGTTCTCCCTAGAAGATGAGGCTCTCTAGGAGTACTGCATGTATAAGAGCTTGCATTCTTCCAGAGGGGCAACTTCTTTGCCCATAAATTCAGCCCACTGAGTCTCTGTGCAGGGTTGGGCAGTTGCGAATGAAGTGGTGTGAGTTGAGGGGAGGGAAACAGGACAGAAGTCCTATTAATCAATCAGTAAACCAACTGATCAATCAACCTGATTTTTGCTACCATGAAGATGGCCCTGGACTCAGAAAAAATGATGATGGCTTTCAATAAACTTTTCTAAGAAAGTGTCATATAAGGCCAGGGAGAGGAGTAATTGACAATATAAGAAACTGTCTGCAGAAATCCCTTCTTATCATCACTCTCTACACACACACACACACACACACACACACACACACACACACACACAGGCACACCCCAATAACAACTAAATTCTCCAATCATGGGGGCAATCTCATGCAGGGTTTTACCTAATGTATAATAAAAGCTCCTGAGTGCCATGTCTCTCCCGACACCACTGGACTGGTGAACACCTTCCTGAGAATCTCCAAGTGACAGTTTCATCCTACACCAGGTCTCAGTGAAGGGTTCCTTGCTATTGGCATTTTAAAGAATCAATAATTTAAGGAAAATCAGCACTATGGTGAAGGACATAGAGTGTTCCCGAGCATGGAGACACCTTGTGAGCCTTAAGCACACACCCTGCGCACCCTAAGATAATCTTCCCGTCTCAGGCAAGCCAGCCTCCTCACTTCCCTTCACCTAGAGGGTTAAGCACAGTCTGGAACCTGGAAAATGGCTGTGGTTGGTACAAGTGAGGCCTTCCCTATAACTAGATCCTTCAGGAAAAAACAAATTAATCAACAGTGAGCTGAAGTGGGTTTAATGATTGCATTCTGCATACAATCAGCTTTTCCCTTTTCAGGGGCCATCAATATGTCAAGGGAAGACATATCTGAAGGATATAGCTCTTAACATCAAGGTTATCTATTCTCCACAAGGCTCCCACTCCTTGCCTGGCTGATACTCCACGCTGCCTGTGTCTAACATTTTCATCAACTCTGCAATCAATCAAGGTAATAATGTTGTGCAAAAAATCAATTAACAACGCAATTAAACTTTCCTTATTATCTCAAAGGGCTGAAATAATACCTAAAGGGAAGATAGACTCACTGAACGCAGACATCCATAATCCAATGTGAAAGTGAATTATGAGGTTAGACAGATGCAGGCATGTGCGGGTGCTGTTATTTTCCAGGGGTTATATCTCATCACGGCAGTGTATCAGTCAGCCCCAATCCCAGACCCTAAAATTCCAAATTACTTTTAAGAAATATATGATGTGCAATATCCATTTCATATTCTCTTTTAAAGATAACCCCCTCCCCTCCAAAAAAAATTGAGCGGCCATATTATTCAAAGACAAAATGATCTTTCAACAAGAACATAAAATATAAAAGCTATAATAACATTTACATCTGTATAGCACACATCTCTGTAAATGCAGGTCATCTATTATACATAATCCGCAGCACCTAAAAGCCCAGGATGTGGCACAACATTTAAAACCCAAATGTGAAAATGTGCAAACTCCTATGAGATGGCTGTGACTTCCCCCAAGGGGAGGCCTCACTCATGCCTGCCTACACACACACACACACACACACACACGTGCACACACCTACATGCATGCATGTATACATGCACACACATGCATGCAGGAGCATCTGGAACAACGCAAGTATGACTCATTTAAAAAGAGAATTACTATATTATTTAGCAATTACACTCAACTTGCCCTGAAACACTATCCTTAGGAATTGAGCATTTACAGTACATAAAAAAAAGATGACTATTAACCTTTTGCGGCGTAAGGACAGGGAAGTGCTTGAAATTTTACACTGAAATGAGACACATAGGGGAGGCAGAGGCAGGGGTTCCATGACATTTACAGAGCTCGTTTTAAACTACTCTGGACTGGCATGCCGTGTTCTGACACCATCAGAAGGAAGCCTAGCAGTAGAAGGGGAAATAGTGAGCAGAGGAAGAAGGAGAAATAAATGCCAAAACAAAAGCCTGCAAACAAAATGTGCTAATCTAACATTAGCATTATGTGAACATCTTCTTACCCCTGGAAACAAAAACACAATACTGACTTAAAGAATAAATATGAACTCACCCAAAAATCATCAGTTCAATTTTCCCTGAACTTATCCTTCTCTTTTTTAAGATGGAATCTCATCCTGTCGCCCTGGCTGGAGCGGTGGGGCGATCTGGGCTCACTGCAGCCTCCACTTCCTGGGTTCAAGTGATTCTCCTGCCTTGGCCTCCCAAGTAGCTGGGATCACAGGCATGTGCCCCCATGCCTGGCTAATTTTGGTATTTTTAGTAGAGATGAGGTTTTGGCATGTTGGCTAGGCTGGACTCGACCTCCTGACCTCAAGTAACCCACCCAACTCGGCCTCCCAAAGTGCTTGGATTACAGGCGTGAGCCAGCATTCCCGGCTTCACCCTTCTCTATTAGGGCACTAGAGGTTGCCTCCTAGCAGAGTTTGATGATCTCTCACCAGCCTAGAAGATCCCTGGATACCCTGGATATACATAGGAGCCAAATGAATGGACCTAGGAACATACAATTCCAAATTTGGGCCACGGACAGTTATCCAAATCAGACTAAGGAATGATTTCCTTCATGGTCAAACATGTTGCTCCATGGGTGCTAGGACTGGATACTATATGACTCATTTCATAGCAGCAAGAATTTCCACATATACCACTGGGACTTGTGCAGGTATTGTCAAGCATTTAAAACAAGTAATTTTTCTGCAAGTTATTCACTCGTAACAAAGATCCATCTTCCCAAGCCAACTTTCTTCCATTTTCAGTACAACAATGAGGCAAGTCTGAGCCCCAAGTGCAGACTCGAATAAACAGTAAAACAAAACAAATACACATGCTCATTCTGCAGTTTCTTAGGAAAAATAAAGAGGCAACCCAGGATGTACTCTTTGGTACAAATTTTCAACAGAGAAGTTAGAAAGGTTTAGTGAATCCTGCTATTTCTCTCCTAACCTTAAGGAACATAATTAATATGTTTTCATTTCCAATGACTCTATTGTGTGTGTAGCAACTGGAACTGCCCCTGCTGTGTATTTGATTCCACCGACGATGGGGTGGGTTGGATTTTAAATGATGTGTGAGCACTTCTGTTCTTTCCGTGCTCTGGTTTATGTGTTATTCATGACTCGCATTACAGACATGGCTGATACACAGATGTAAATGTTATTAAATCTTTTGTATTTTAGAGGCTTTGTGAAAGGCTTCTTTGTTTTCAAATAATTCTCTTCACCACCAAAAATAACCAGTAATACGTGACAATGTCTTGGGAATTTTTTCACTGTATTTTCTGATGAAGAGATTTCCCCCTCTACTGCTATCTTTTCATCAAAATAAAAATGTAGAATGAATTGGGAGATGGAAAAGTTACATCTTTATTGTGTTGCTCAATGTGTGCACATGTGCACATGTGTGCAGGCACTAATGTGTGTTGCATGTTTTGCGTGCATGTGTGTTGAATATGGGCATGTAGGTGTTTGTATGTGTGTTGTGTGTGTCTTCTGTGTGTCTTTATGTAAGTTGTGTTATACAATACACATACTACATGTTGTGTGTCTACTTCGTGTGTGTATCTTGTATGTGTGTTATGTGTATACAAGGAATGTGTGTGTGTGTGTGTGTGTGAACATGTTGATATCATTACGCCAAATCAGAACTCAGAGTCACCCAATTCTTGATTACCTGTCAGAGATGCAGTTGCTTTACTGCATTTGGGTATCTGACATAATTTTTAATGTGTTTTCACTTTGCTCCATCCTATTCATGTTTCACAGGCTTTCAACAGAAATGTGGCAGAGGATAAACCTCTTCATATAGACAGCACTTAATCAGTCTGTGCCTCTCGCTGGCACACTTTTCTCTATTGATTTTAAATTTAAACAATGCTCTGAGACTGAACAATGCACCTCCACAAATACAGCTGACTTGACTGAAGGAGGTCAGGAAAGATGGAGATGGCACATTCCAATCTTGAGATGAGTGGCCCAGCTGCAAAGTGCTCTAAAAGGAGGGATTGCTCAGGCCCTCTGCCCACCCCTGGGGAAGTAGGGGTGCCTGCTTGATTTCAAAGGTTCCCTCTCAGGATCATAAGAAAGATCACCTCAACTCAGGGTGGATATGGTGGACTCAAAAGTTTGCAGCTCCAGTTCCTAGTGCTATTGCCCTGGGAAACCTGTTCCATCTCTCTGGGCCTCAGCTTCTTAGCATGTAAAGAAAAAACTCCTTGGGGCTATTTCTTTCCTAATGAACATCACTCCTATTATCATCTAGGCAGATTTCCTGTGCTGTGAGTACCTCACATAGTGGACATCATGATACAGACCTTCTCTTTCTGTCTCCTCTTTTCCTTTCCTTGATTCATCCTCTCTTCTTCCTAGAGTATCTACAACCCTTGTACTCTTCCTTGCCTTCCTTGGGGTTTCTATCAGAGACAGAATCCAAACACCACTGTCCTTTTTTCTCATCTGACCTTTCATAGCTTTTCTAAGAAGTGGCTAGTCTCTGATAAGTTAATACATATTAGGATGTTATACCTTTTTTAAAATAGACGCTATTATAAAAATAGACCAACTGACTAAATCTCTAATGGAATTTCAGGCAAAATAAGTAAATGGAGAAACACCATATGCCAGGCATAATCATTGCTACTCACTCCCACCTCTAAAAAGAAAGAAAAAAGAAAAGGAAAGAGAGAAATTCTTTGTACATTTGTGGAACTAGCAGGCCAGAAAGGGAGATGGTTTGTCAAATAAAAATAACTATAATAAAAGTTGCTATAATACTTTAATATACAAAATGTTATGCAAACACAGGAAAAAAATTAGCTCTGCCTCAGGGAGGGAAGAGGTGGGCAGAAGGCATACAAGACATTTTCTTTCAATGCCTGCCTTTTTATAGTTGTGTTAAGTCACAAATATTATACAGAGTTGTAACAAGTTAAACAATCCAGAAGACGTATTTAAGAATTTAATAATTACTCCTTTCAAGATTTCCATGACTACCTAATATAGAGTGATTCCCAGGATATACTGTATATGTGTGTGTGTGTGTGTGTATATATATATACATATATATAACTGTATATAAATATGTATATACATATATATATACATATATAACTATATAAATATGTATATACATATATATATACATATATATGCAAGATATCCTGTTAAGTAAAAATGCAACAAGCAAAAATAAAATCAATAAACTCAGCTACTTTTTGGTAAGAAAGAAGTAAAAACAAGGTTAAAAAAAAACCCATATACACATGTCCATCTATGCTTTCCAAAAAGAATGTGGGAAGGATAAACCAGAGACTAAGAATGACAATGTGTAGCTGGTGGGTAGAAATAGGGTAAAGGGGATATGGATGGGACAGGGACTTCTCTGAATATGTCTCTTTATCATCATATAGTTTACACACTCAAAATATAAAATAAATTGGAAAGGATGGAAAATGTGAACCCTAAGTCTGAATACAAACAGAAAAAAATGAACCTAATTGTATATTAAATCTATAGTACAACTATACAAAGAAATTAATTAAAGTAATTTTGGAACACAGTACTTCAACTACATGCCTGAATATATTCTAAGTAACAGAAAACTACAAAGAAATCTTGAGCTTTAACTTAGTAGGCTTATTGTTGTTGGTGTTATTGCTATTATCCTTCTCAAATTATTTTGTGTATATTGTAGAACAGAGAAAATGTGTAAATATACTGAGGTTGTTAAAAGTCAGGATTTTCAGAGAGAAGAGAAATAAAACTAAGAATGAGGGAAGATGAGGTAGGTAGGCAGAATAACTCAAGATGTCCACACTTGAATCCCTGGAACCTGTGAATACGTTATGTGACATGGCAAGAGAGGCTTTGCAGATGGGGGTATTATCCTGGACTATCTGGGTGGGCTCAATCTAATCACATCACTCCTTTAAAAAAAAGAAGCTTTTAAGACTGTCATCAGAGAGGCAGATGTGACGATGGAAAAGCCGTCAGAGCGGTGCAGTGTCACTGGCTCTGAAAATGGAGGAAGGGGCCAGGAGCAAGGAATATGTATGGCCTTTAGAAGCTGGAAAAGGCAAGAAAACAAAATTTTCCTTTGGGCCTCCAGAAAGAAGTACAACCCCATTGGCACCTGAATTTTAGCTCAATGAAGACCAAGGTCAGACTTCTGACCTACAGAGAGAAAGGATAAGCATAAGAAGAAGGTGACAATAGCTCTGCAAATTTGAATTGGAGGGATCTGTAAGAAATTATGATTAAAATATACACATATGACTGTGTGTGTGCACACATGTGCTCAAGTCATGCACGTGTGTAGGGCATCTAGCATCCACATACTGGTTTCCAAAATAACAAGGGCTACTGGAAGAAATGGCTGATTCATGTTGTGGGGCAGGGAATGTACACAGTAAGCCTAGAACATTTTGTTGTGCCAGAAAGCAGGGAAAGAGCACAGAAAGAAGTTTGAAGAAGCTCTCTCGTGAACAAATTTGGCACTATTTGAATATCGGAAATAATGATGATAGTAATTATTTGATACATTTGATTTTTTAATAAGTATGAGTCCATCATAATATTTAAGCAAATATAAATACAAATAGATGCAAGGGAAGAAAGAAAGCTCTTATTTAAAGAATGACAGCTAATTAATATAGAAGGAGTGACAAAATTAGAAAAATTACCATGCACCAACATAGTAATTCAGGCAAGTATTATCAATGGCTGTTACAACTATTGGGTGAAAGTTTATTGGGGAAGAAAATATTCACACAGTCTTTAGGTCACTTATTAATTATAAAGGGGAACATAGCCTTTAGAGGGGATCCATCTGGCGGTAACCACGTTAGCCAAATGATCAATCTTAGCATCACTAAGAAGGGGAAAAGGGATCATTAAATAACACGTGCCTCATAACATGATGCAGTAAATATGCCAATATCACCTATGCTTGCCAAAATGTTAAACTTGAATCAAACCATGAGGGAATGTTCAGAAAAATTCAGAATGTGGGACATTCTAAAATGAAATTGACCTGGGCTTTTGATAAAAATGAAATGTCATGAAAAGTAGGAAAGGTGGGAACATGCTCTAGATCAATCGCTCTTCAGTTTCATCAGAATCACCTGGAGAGCTTCTTTCAACAAAGATTGCTGGATCGACCCCCGGAGACCCCAGTGATGTGACACTGCCGGTCTGGGGCCCACCCTTGAGAACCATCACCCTAGATTGGAAAAGACTTAAAAGCCTTAACCATCAAATGCAAAGTATAAACTTTGATTAAATACTGGATTAAAACAAAAAGAGTTACAAGAGACACCATTGGGAAAATTGGGGAAATGTTACTATGGACTGCACATATTAGGTAACAATGGTGACTTAACATTAATTTTCTTAGGTATGATAATGGTATTATTGTTTCACAGGAAAATGCCCTTACGTATAGGAGACCCATGCCGAAGTATTGAGGGATGAAGTGTGATGGTGTCTGTAATTTATTTAAATGTCTCATTTAAAATGGTATCTATATGCCAGGTGCAGTGACTCATGCCTGTAATCCGAGCACTTTGGGAGGCCAAGGCAGGTGGATCACCTGAGGTCAGGAATTTGAGACCAACCTGGCCAACATGAAGAAACTCCATCTTTACTAAAAATACAAAATTAGCTGGGCATGGTGGCACATGCCTGTATTTCCAGCTACTTGGGAGGCTGAGACAGGAGAATCGCTTGAGCCGGGGAGGCGGAGGTTGCAGTGAGCCGAGAACGCACCACTGCACTCCAGCCTGGGCGACAAGAATGAAACTTCATCTGAAAGATAAAATAAAATAGAATAAAATAAAATGGTATATATAATACACAGGCAGACTCAGAGATATAGGGAAATGGCAAATATGGCCCAATATTAACAGTGAACTGAGGTAGAGAATATATGTATGTTTAATGTACTATTTTTCCAACTTTTCTGTAGGCTTGAAAATTTTCACAGTAATAATTTAGGAGGAAGAGGCTTGTTTTTCTTGGCATATGAACTTTTAATTGGAGATAACTGACCCCATGAGCAGTTTTCAAGTCTCTATCAATTTTTATTAATCTGTATAATGGGCTTCTCTTCTATTAGAAGAGTCCTATTTAAGTGACCTATTTAAGCATTATAAGCTAACAAAAGATTATGATCATTTTAGGCCAACGCATCTTCTGCAAACAGCAATCAGTTGTTTAAAAAATTAGTTAAGAATGGGAAATTATTTGTCCCTCCCCACCTCAATGCCTTCATCCTCTGCCTTCCTCTTCTTCCAACCCCCTCAAGAGCATATATTCCACATATATAATGCATCCTTCTTTTATTCCTTCCTTCCCTCCTTCTTTCACAAAAATGCATAAGACCCATGTTTAATTTGCATTACAAAATGCCTGACTTGAAAAGTTATTTTCTGGTCATGGACTCATGCTTTCTTACATGACACAACTATTTACTGAGAGTCTACGATGTGCTGGGCAATATCCTGGTAGCTAGGGATACGGCAGTGTATCCCTGTGTGAGGATATGCAAGGCTATTGCCTGGCACATAGCAAAGTCTTAGGTCACAGACACTATAATCTGCTGGTGGAAGACAGGCAAGGAAAGCAAGCAGACAAAATTTAGAAACAAACAACTATAATAATTTTAGACATAAATATCATGGAGGTAGTATAATGGGGTGGGTGGATAGAACTAAGAAACAGAATACCTAGATGCTGGTACTAGCTCCTCTGTAGTTCAGGTTTGCAAATTTTGGCAGGTCACATGACTTATGTGAGATCCAGTGTTCATATTTTGAATGGCAATAATAATCTTTGTCAATATACCCCCGCAAGGTGACAATGAGAAACTTCAGCTTCTGAATGACATGTATTATCATTGCCAAATGATAATATTTTTTGGAATATGCCTTGATAATCTGTCATAATTTTTATAATGAGCCATCTTATAACTATCCTGTTACTGCATTAACAAGGATTATACAAGCTGCTGTAACAAATAAGTCCCAAAATTTCAGTGGCCCAACACAATAGAAGTTTACATCTTTCTTACTCAAAAGGCCAATACAGGCAATTTCCTCCAGGTGTAATTTTTGTGGCTCTGCCTTCTCCTATTGAGTCCTCTCATTTGCATCAGGCCAGTGGAAAGGGAAAGAATGTGGAAGAGGCACAGCCATTTCTCAAAAGCCTTGGTCATGAACTGCCACGCATCCCTTCCACGAACATTTCATTGGCTAAAATACACACATGTGGCCATATCTTTCACGAGTGTGACACACTCATGTGACCTCTCCTAACTGCAAAGGAGAATGAAATGAAGTCTAGCTTGGTACCCCAAAAGCAGGAGAAAATGTGGATTTTTGTGAGCAAAAAGCAATCTCTGATATTATGATTACATTTTTTCACATTCTTCCTTAATATGTAATAATGTAATATGTTAAAGAGAATGGAAAGGTTAATTTTACTGTGAGTTATGGGCCAACTATGTACCAAACATAATACTATATTAGTGCCTTGACCTGTGGGGCAAAGCACAGGATCTATCACAGTGTCTGGCACATAACACAGTACGTATTCATAGGTCAATGAATGAGCATCCCACTAGATTCCAAGCTTCATGAGAACAAGAAGTCTGATCTGTCTACAGTCTACTGCAGTCACTTAAGAGCCTGGCACTGTGCCCAGCATGTAGTAACCAGTAAATATGTTAAGGATTTATGCTTTGAAACCTAAAATTATAATATATTTTGTTTCTCAAGTTGAGCATATACATTACAGGATACTCTTGGAGCAAAACATTGATGACATATTTTGCCATGTTAGAGTAGTTCCAAGCCATCCAGCCTTTACCTAAATACTCAGGAATACTTAAATAACTGGCAATGCTGCAGAACCATTATAGCTGTATTTTAGTATCAAAGTATAATAAGCAAGTAAAGTAGACAGTGTCTATTCTTAAAATAGAAATCCATAGGTGCCTTTAACTGAAAATTAAAAACAAATGACCCTAACTTCCAAAGAGCCTCCGTTAATTAATTAAAGCAATGAGTTTGCAAGCTCCTGAATGACAGCAAGTTGTTCTTGGAGGCCAGCATGGGTGTGTAAGAGCAAAAGAAACCAGCAACAATTTCAACAATGAACATAAAGTCAGGTCTTATATGATAAAGATCTAAACACAGTTAACCAAGAAGGGAAAGAAGTGCTCATGACTTTACACAAAGGCATTGTTTTTCATGGTAGAATCAAAGTGCAATGAATCCAGTTGAATCCGGATATAGGAACTGAAGTTGGCCTGTCATGGTCAATATACTCAAGGTAAAATTTAGAATAATCACAATCAACTGGTTTTAGGACAGATTCAATAATATCCTATTTGAAACTAATAGTTACACTTTACAGGTGTTTGTGATTCATTCTCTCTCTCGCTCTCTCTCACTCTCGCTCTCGCTCTCCATCTACAAGTGGTTATTTTTGTTTTGTTACTGGAATGTCAACATTCAAATTAAGATCCATTTCAAAGGCTGCATCTTCTTTGAATAAGAAATTTATTTGTTATTACAACTATGAAAATAATTTAAATAAAAATGGGATATAAAACTCTGAGAATCACCAGGAAGCCATAATTTAACATAAAATCCACTCTGTAGCAAGATCGTAAGAGGCATGTCATATTCATCTGAGAAACACACAATTAGAAGAACTGTGATAACTAAAGCAATGTAACTTTTAAATTTACCATTCAGATTTTGGTTTTCCCAATCAAAAGAAGAAAACAATGCATTCCTAAAGTAAAGGTTCTAACCCTAGGAAAAGCTGAAATGGCTTGTTCCTCCAAACCTCCCATGATGATTCACATGACAAGACTCCTCTTTGCCAAATAAAACTCTCCTTATCATTCAAGGCCCAAATAAAATGCCATTTCTTCTTAGAAGACTTCTCTGATTTCCCCTTGGCAGAATTAATGGTTCCTTGTTTTCTCTTTCTGTGCACTACCCATCACACAACCACTACACATATCCCACTGCAGCACAGTCAAGCATTTGATTGCTATTACTCCCTCTTAAAAGAAATTTACTTGAACCCAAGGATACTGTCTGACTCATCTTTGAAACCACAACCTGTATTGCATGTCCTACAATTCAAAATATGGTTCCAATCTTTGCTGAATGAATGAATAAATAAATGTATAAAGGAACTAACTTTCTCTGTTTACCAAACAGAAGGCCCAGAAGGTTATGAGAAGAATTCATAGTCAAGCCGTGAATTAACACTTTGGTTATGTGATGGCCACAATGATTAAAAGTAGAGGTTTGTGCATGTTCTCACTCATAAGTGGAAGTTGAATAATGAGAACACATGGACACAGGGAGGGGAACATCACACACCAGGGCCTGTCGGGGGGTATGGGAGTAGGGGAGGGATAGCATTAGGAGAAATACCTAATGTAGGTGACGGGTTGATGGGTGCAGCAAAACACCATGGCACGCGTATACCTATGTAACAAACCTCCATGTTCTGCACATGTACCCCAGAACTTAAAGTAGAGGTTTGAAGGAGGTGTAATGTATCTTTTCAAAAAAAGAGCTTAGGACTAAAGAAGAAGTGAATAACCTGAAGGCCTGTATGTCTATTAAAGAAATTGAATGCAGAGTTCACTATTGGCCCATGAAGATAACTCCAGGCCCAAATGGTTTTAATGACAAATTTAACCAATGACTTAATAAAGAATGATAGCAATTCTACACACACTTTTCCAGAAAATTGAAGGGGTAGGAATACTTGCCATGAAACCAGCATTACACTGATACCAAAAACAGGCAAATACATTACAAGAAAAGGAAGGAAAAGTACTGGACAATATTCCTCATGAATGTGCATGCAAAAATCCATAATACACATAGCAAATAAGATTCAGCAATATATAAAAAGTAGAATACATCATGACCAAGTACACTTTATCCTAGAGATGCAAGGTTGGTTCAATATTCAAAAATAAATATAACTGATATATTTATATCAACCAATTTAAAAAAATAAAATCATTTCAATTGATGCAGAAAAAAATGACAAAATTCAGCACTCATAAATTTACGATAAAACTCTCAGCAACACAGGAAAAAAGGGGAAGCTCCTCAAACTGATAAAAGTTATCTACAAACAAAAACTATAGCTAACATCATATTTAGTATCAAAAGACTTAATGCATTTCCTCCACTAGAAAAAAGATGGGAAATTTACTCTCACCCATGTCATTCAATTCACATATTCTCATCTTCCCATCTTGAATTTCCGAGTCTCTTGTACCATAGGGACTGTGTGGCATGATCCTAACGATCCATTACTGGGTATTAAGGTAATTACAGTCCCTGACTGCTTCAGCACAGGGGCTGGTCTCTCCCATATTAGAGAAGCAGTAGGCAGATTCCCAAGGACAGGAAGTGCTAAAGACACATTGAGCAGTGCTTTATTACTGTGACAGTGGCGGGGTAGGGGTGGGGATTTTCTTTCTAACAGTAACAGGAAAGGCATAGCAAAATATCTGCCCCCAAACCTAGAATGATAAGTCCTCTGGCTATCTAAACATTAACATGGAAAAAACAGAAGTTCTCAGTTCTGAGGATCTTTTCATAGAATTATCTTCTACATCAGCATTGAGACCATAGCAGAAAGCCAATTGTCCCCAGAAGCATGGCACATTCTGAAAATCTCCTTTAGCCCTTCACAGAATCAGTTATTTATTTGATCACCTTCTATGTGCAGAACACCACGTGGAGTACGGTCTAGCTCTTTTATGGAATTCTTTCATGGAATGAAAAACATTTTGTGTTTCATTCCATGATACAATTTTCAAACTGCATCTTCTAGTTATAAAGACAAAGCTTCTCTGTTTCAATGAGAATTTTCAACTGAAAGACATTTCATGGAGCAAAACCTTAGCAGATTTCTTGCCTCTCTCGTTCTCTTTCTCCCTTTCCTCCTCCTGCTCCTCCTCGTCATTACAGTCATCATCATAGCTAACTTTATCGAGCTTCCTATGTGTAGGCACTGTGATAAGTATTTTAAATAGATTATTCTCATCACTTGATTTTTAAACAACTTTATGAGATAACTAATATTATTTTTGCCCTTTTTTCCTTTTACAGATTGCCTATAAAATGGATCTAAACAAAAGTCAAATCCCTGAGTCCTTGGGCATAGTGTTTATGTTCTCCTTGGGGCCCACCAAATCAATTTATGATGCAGTTTATGAAAATCCTTGCCCATAGTTTTTACTTTCTCTTCCTATATTCCTCAGTGCATAAATCTATCACAACCTGTGGTTTGTTCTATTGGTTCTGATCCATTTCAAGAAAGAGTAGTCTTAAAAATAACTAGCAGTGTTTCCAAATTTCAGTTACTCTTAGACTCTTCCTGCATTCCAGTTGGAAATCAATCTCCTGGGACCTTTAAATGGCATGTCCATGCTTTCTGTTTTGGGAGCCTATCCATTGCCAAATGAAGATCTCCTCATTGCACCTCTGCTATTAGTGGGCTAAGAGGAAAGTTCAAAAGTCAGGTGTGTGGTAGACACTCTTGATCTTACTGGAAACTAAGTCCCATTGGCAAATCAGCCCTTATGCTTGGCCTCAAAGACTTTCTCTTTGGAAAATAATGAAAATCCAACCAACAAAGTCAAACCTATTGGCCCAAGTCTTCTTACCTCTGAGGATTCTCATACTACTGTACAGGAGGTAGCTTCAGAAATTAGTGACCTTTTTCCATGTAAGAAGACAAAGCCTCCCAAATAACTGGCAAGTTTTTCTTGCCAAAAGGGCATTTTCTACCCAAAAGAGCTATAGTCTCCCTACCAGAGAAGATCAAGGAAAAGTCAGAGTAGAATTCAGGAGCCCGAAGAGCTCTGTCTGAGGAACATGTTCTTTGCCACATTGCTGGATAATTAAGAGTTTAGAGTAGGTAGAACTGAGCCATTAATTGTAGTTTGCAGGCCACCTGCAGCAGAATCTAATTTCTGATCCTAGACATCTACATTTTTAACAGGCTTACTATGATTCTTAAGCACACTTAAGATTGAGAACAAATGTCATGGAATCAAGAGGCAGATAACTTGGGTGCAAATTTCTTTGTCTCTCAATATCTGTACCTGTAAAATGGGGACACTCATAATGTCTCATTCCCCAAATTAAATGAAATTCTGCACATAAGGAGTTCAGCAGTGACTATTAATAGCATTTAGTGAGCCCTTAATTCCCATTGGCTGCCATGAGTCTTGTAAAAATTACATTTGCATAGCATACTAAGCCTTTCCAAAAGACCTTCACAACTATAAAATCATATTATCCTCACCACAATCATAAAAGGCAGTGAATTTTCAATATGCCTATTTTAAAGAGGAGGAAACAAAAGCACAGGAGGTAACAGAGGCTTGGAATGGCAAATGAGATTCATCACCAAGCACAGGTGATGACAGTGGTTGCATACGGCACTGTATTCAGAAGGTTCTGGAGGCCTCCTTGGTGTCATTGACATGCGAGATTTTCTTAACGTCAACCTGCTGTTGAATGGCAGAGTTATTATTAAAATCTGAAAGTAAGGCCGGCTACCCAGTATCTATATTCCTCTTTCATCTTATACACAGAGCCCCTATGCTGTTGAGCATAGCAGTGCTCACCTTGCCTTTTCTTCCTTCCTGCTACTTGGAACTTGGAAAGAAGAGCTAGTGCAACAGCAATAATATGGTGACCATAAATCAAACTTGAGGATGGGAGCCAGTCTGTTGGAAGATAGAACCAAAATCAAAGAAGCCTGTGTTCCTAGTGATATCATAACAGCTATGGACTGCCTACATCTGAAATTCATGTTATAGGACAGTATTTTCTTAAAGCTACTGGTATTTGGGGCTAGTTGTAGCTGAATACAATTCTTAACTAACTCACATAAACTCTTTTTGTTATTATCACTCCCCTTCTCTCTGAAACTATTTTCATAAAGACTATATTGTTGTTTGGGGAGTTATTTTAATTGTTTTCTTATTATATTTAAATGTTCATTGTAAAAAAATTAAGTGTAAATTTAAAAAATAAAAATCATATATAATTCCACTGTCCAGAACTAACCACAGTTAGTATTTGGATGTTTTGCCTTCTGGCCTTTTTTCTGTCCATATGTTGTATGGATGCATTCATATATATCCATCTTCATTTATTTTATTACTTAAATATTTGCCTATCGTATTAAATCTGATGTAACCATCACTTGAATACTATATAACATTGTGTTCTGTGAATGTGCCATAATTTATTTAGCTTTCTTATCTAGTTGGATAATGACTTTTTGTGTGTTTTGATGTTACAAACATTACTATAGTGAATATTTTAGTGTATAAAGATCCTGTGTTTATGCATCTTGGATTCTTGTCTTGGAATAGATTCCTAAGTGAATGCATCTAGCCTCAATGCACAGGGCCAAAATGCTTTTCAAAAACATATTAATATGCACCCAATCCACTCCATAGCACCAGGCATGCCTATTTAAACATCTTTGCTAGTTTAATAAGTGGAAATATTATATCCAAGAGTTGCTTTACTTTTTAAGCATTTGGTTATTATCGAGAGTGAATATTGCTCATGGTGTTCATTACCACATGTTTCTCACTGTGTTTTATGCATTTTTGTATCTCCAACATATACCACACTCCCTGGATTGCAGGAGATGCTCAATATGGCTTCACCAGAAGGATATGGTTATTCTTTATAATAGTGTACCTGAGATGGCCTAAGAAAAATTGCTTTTGGATACATTACAGATTATATTATATCCCATGGAGTTTTAGAGTTTGAATACTGGCAATCCATGAATGATTATAATAATTATAGCTAACACTGAGCTTTTTCTATGCATCACACACTGTTCTAAAAACTTTAAGTAGGTACATTATCTCATTCAACGATTACAACAACCCTATGAAGTAGATGTATTCTTGTCCCCATTTTAGGATTCAGAAGCTAAGGCAAAAAGATGTTAAATCAATGAAACAAAGATTCAAAGTGATTCTAGAATGAGTTTTTACTCAGTGGCTCTAATGTGAAATAGAATCTTGTCAGTGTTTTAGGAGATATCAAGAGGGGAAAAAAAATCATGTCCCTGGTCTCCAAAAGTTCAATCTGCAGAGAGGTTATGTAATTTGCATGAGATTACACTGATAGTAACTTATAGAGCCAAGATCTGGATCTAGACAGTGAGTCTCTGACCCACCTTCTTAAACACTCTGTACAGAATACACAAAAATGGAAGCTGGCACATGGTAGTGCATACTTAATTATCAAAGAGGCAGACCCAACTGTTAAGTGCCCTCAGAAGACAGCACATTCACCATGAGCTGGAACAACTGGGAATGGCCTTCACTATGAAATCATCCTTCACTATGACATCAAAATGGTGGCCAAAGAAACATGGCATTAGAGAGAAGACCTATGATAGAAACAGACAAATGTAGCTCTAAATCCCAGCTCCACCTCTTCTTTTTTTTTTTTTTTTTTTGTCAGACCTGATAATTTAGGGCATTTTTATTTATTTATTTATTTATTTATTTATTTATTTATTTATTTATTTTATTATACTTTACGTTTTAGGGTACACGTGCACATTGTGCAGGTTACATATGTATACATGTGCCATGCTGGTGCGCTGCACCCACTAACTCGTCATCTAGCATTAGGTATATCTCCCAATCTATCCCTCCCCCCTCCCCCCACCCCACAACAGTCCCCAGAGTGTGATATTCCCCTTCAAACACCGCATATTCTCACTCATAGGTGGGAATTGAACAATGAGATCACCTCTTCTTAGTGTAATGGGAATAAATACTCTTCTGTAACAAGGTGGTTGTAAACATGATATAAGTTGATGTGCATATGGCATCTAGCAAAGTTTCAAGTCTTTATTAGGTATACAAAAAATGCGATTTATCTTACATAGGAGACACTATGCATTGGCTCCCTTTTATCCTGCCTTCCTCTACTATAACAGCATGAAAACTGAAACATTTGACTTTCCAGCCTCCCAATGACATGATCTGGGTAATGAGAAAGAGACAGACATCTTTAGGAAGCTGTCTATCCACAAATGAAAAGCGAATGCCTCATAAGGGAAAGACATCCTTCTTCATCTTGCTTTGGGTGAGGAAATGATGCCAGGAGCAGTAGCAACCATTTTGAGACCATGAGGCTAAAATGCACATGCTGAAAAGGTAGTAGGACAGAAAGACAGAAAGGACCTGGGTGCCTACTGATCTGCTCTTTCAGCCACTATCACTGTCCTGGGCTGCCTACCTCCATTCTCACTTCTGAGTGAAGAAATTAATGCCTATGCATTTCAGTCACTATTTGTTAGATTTCTGTTGCTGAACACTTTTCTCATGATTTGAGAGAGTTCCTTGTATTTCCCTAGACCACAGAACACACATATTTGAGTGACATATCACCCATCATCAAATAGCCAATGTGCTACTTTTGTACAGTCAAAGATTGCTTTCTATAGGTAGGACTCAGGACACCAGGTTTAGGTTGCAAATTGTGAATCTAATACTTCTGTTCATTATCAGCCAGTTGGGGAGCTGGCTGGTTATAGTCTAGAATTAAATGTTGTGGTCACTTAATGAGATTTTAATCCCCAGGGACAAGATGAGTGACAGGAATTTGGGGAGTACTGTATAGCTGATACAGAGACAAACAGGTCAGGATTCAAATTCTGGAATTGCTACATACTAACAGTAACCACAAATAATTAGCTTCAATTCTCTTGACATCAGTTTTTGCCTCTATAAAATGAAGATAATAACTCTTATCTTCTAGAGTTAACAACTAAGATCAAGTATTGTATTATATGTAAAACAACTAACACAGTGACTAGAAATCATACTGACTAACAAAAAAAATAGCCGGAGTTATAAATTACTAAAGACCATAAGAAATGTAGTCCGCCATTCACTTACCTGCCATTTACAAGAACCTATTATAGGCCAGGCCCCAGGACACTAGAAGCAAAGAAGAAAATCAGGTTCTTGCCTCCTACCCCCTACTGTGGAGCTTATATTCACACGGCGGAAACACAAAGTGAACAAACAGGTAAAGGACTCAATCCTCTAAGAGGGTAGAAAGAGGTAGGAAGAAAAATAGAGTTTAGGACTTCAGGAGCAGTAGTGGGTGAGATGTCATCATGGTTAACAGTGAGCCATGCTTCGGTTTTCATAACAGAAAGTTTCTCCCCATTTTGCTTAAGGGATGATGAAGGACCAATGAACCCATCAGTTTGGTTTACTAATTTAGTATCACATAATACTGATTACCTATGAAACTTAGGCCCATTAGAAACACAAATTCTTGTGATTTTAACAAAATTATTTAACACATAAAAAGGTGCAATTCATATCTTTTGCAAGATCTGAACACTGGATAAGTATCACAACCCCTGTCCCTTTTTCTCATCCTTCAGCCTCATCTTGCTATCTACTGAATAATTTTCTTCCAAGCCCTGCCATTGAATGTGCCCTCAGACACTGAAGAGGACCTGAGACAATTGGTTGCAGAAGGGACATTAAAAACACGATATCCTTTGTCTAAAACGTTTCTAATTATTTTTATAAAGTGTGTGTTATTTTCTAAGACCCCATGCTCCACTGACATATTTAGTTTATTTTATATGTGGAGGAAAAAAAATGAAAAGCTGAACTAAGTCTGTATTTTTCTGTTCAAGTGAAGCCATTGCTCTCCTGTGTCTCAGCCTGTTTTTGTCCAGCGAGATGGCACTGCCACTGGCAATTTCCTTTCTCTTTTAGCTACCCTGGTCCTTCCAGACTCACGGCAGAGGTACAAAATATTGACTTGAAAAGTAATTAAGATATAAGTATTCCAAAAGAGAACACATGGTTATTCGAAGTCATTGGACACCGTTCAAAAGGAAAGATCTATGGAATACAAGAGCTGAGAGCCATCACGCTGTTTCTCCTCCACTTCTCACATTAAGGAAAAAGACTAATTATAAATCTCCAGCAAATATGACCTGGTAAAGAGTTTTCAAACAAAAGCCTGCACTGAAAAGGATATCTGGCAGATCTGGGTACTTGTTTTCACTAATAACCATTAAAGTTGTTCCTAGTAAACCATTTTACAGCAACATTAGAAATATCAGAGTTTACGTTTTCGTTAATGAATTGCTGCAGAATGTAAGCGCTGCACCACGTCTCCAAACGGCTCCCATCCTCGCTTTGTCTCCGTTGTGCTTTTTTTCTCCCTTAACATTTCATTTCCAATGACACGTCAGCCGTCTTTCACCAACCTCAAAGGAAAGTTGAATGCGGGGCTCACAAAGTTAAGCTGACATTTGCTCCCTTCCAATAAAAAATATTTAGTCCATTAAACATAAATACCTGTCATTATGATACATGGACTGGGTGCAAACCTCCCGGTTCCCTCTGATGTTTATTACATCCAAACAACTGCAGTGCCTGCATGTTTTCAACTTTAGTGTATTGATTAAACTTTTAAATGGCTGCCATATAACCCAGGGACAGCGGGAAGATTAATTTGCGTCAATGTTCATCTGTAATTCATTAGCCATTTATTCTTTACAACCACATGGGCTATCAAGAAAATGCAGGCCATTTTTCACTCGGCACAGGCTGAGAACAGATTCTGAAATTTGTGCTGCATACAAATAAGTTCCCTGGGCCTGGCCAGCCAAACTGCTTGGCTTTTCAAAAGTTAAAGTTGGGAAATGGCAGCAGGGAAGGAACGTCAAAAACCAGAAATAGGGAAAAACACACATCCTCAGGGTGCTCAAGATTTAACTGAGTTTGTCCACCATCTTTTCATCCATGGATTATGGTTTCTTATTTCAGCCGGATTAAAATAACAGAAACTTGTGCCTGAACGAGGACCATAAATAACAAGAGTTGCTTTTTCCCATCCCTCCCTTCCCACCCCCCTTTCTAATATCTCCTAAAAGGCTGTTTCTGGCAGAAAACTCCAGCAAGTGGCAGAGAAGTAGAAAAGTGCATAGCCTAGAGGAACTTGGAGCTGTGATCTCAGGGACAGTGGCATTTGAACCAACTCTCTCTCCAACAGTGGAATCTCACCCCGCCTTGAGTTGGGAAGGTGCCCAGCTAAATAGCGGCGTGTTTCCTGAGGGAAGAGGTAAGCCATCTGGCTTCTCCATGTGCCCTCCTGACCCCCTTGGCAGAACACAAAATGCATACTAAAGGCATAAATGGAATAAGCACCCCAGTGGAAAGCCCTTCGACACACAAGCCACTTTGGGGAGGGAAAGAAGGAAGAGTCTGCGTGAGCTCAGGTCGGGGCTGGAGGACAATAAAGCACACGGGGGAAATTTTTCTTCATAAGGATGAATAATTAAAGTGGAGAGCTAAGTGCCCAGGCCTCACTGTAGTTAATAACTGCAATAGCAAGCAGAAAAAAAAAAAAATCAATGGTCAGTATGACATCTGGGGAAGATGGCTGGCAGGTACCCATTTGCAGGACATGTGAAAGCCAGTGTGCAGCTGTACAAGGCAGCAACTCTTTTTCTCTGGTCTGCAGTGCCCACAAATATCAAAGGCACCAGGCATATTGGTAACTTTTGGTAACAGTGTCCATGAAAGAGCCCACAGAAGAGGCCTTGGGGATGAGGCGGTAAATTACCCATTTATAATATAACTGCTCAGGCGGCTTACAACTAAGGATAAAAGGGAGCCCTCCACAAAGGCATCCATCCATCTGGAGCCATCCTTGTCCCTGCCCAGGAGTTGCCCGCACCAGAAATCAGCAGCATACAACTTTTCAGGCCCTCAGGGAGAGGTGGCGGGGGATCATCCTAGAAATGCAGCTTGAGGAGTTTTATTCGGCTTGTGGATGTGACGTGTAAGTTTCAAAAGAAATGCACATGAGTTGTAGAAAAATGCACTGGATGAAACCTCAAGGTCATTAAATCCAGCCCACTGCCACGTATAAGATCCATCAACTTTATCTGTTTTTCTAGTAACCAGTACACTGGGCTTTGCATCTTGCGAGAGCTCAATACATATTTGCAGAGTGATTGATTCATTCAACCTATGCACACAGATTCATTCAACCACTCAACAAATATTTATTGACTGTTTATCATATCCCTGGCACCGTTCTAGAACTAGGATAAAGTGGGGAACAAGTGTAGCTGAAAACACATGGCAATAGGGTACTTCAATTATAGTTGCCTTTTGCTTTCCTGTGGAGGCAAGGGACTTTCTAGCATCCTAGGACACCAGTTTTAGAGGACTAGGGCTATGTTCTTTGGTCTTCCTATGAGCAATCTCTGAAAATGGTGGTGGTTAAATAGCTTATGTTTTGTGAATTAATTGGATAAGAACTAGGATAAAATGAGTCTGAAATTCAAGAAAAACTCAATATACACATGTTTATTGAAAATTTCAGTTAATCTTGATTCCAAGCATAAGTTTAACCCCTACAAGTGAGGTTTGGGTAAGGGTTTATTTTTGGAGCTGAGACTCCACAAATATGCTACTTGCCAAATTTTCTATCATAATTGGCCTTGAGTTTGAGGAACAAAAAGGAATTTTGTGAAGGTTTCAATCACTTAAGAAGCAAATACTGAAGACAACTGTGTCTGCCACACTTTTGGGGAGATATTGTGGGGTATAAAGAATAAATATAAGTCATTATCTCTAGTCTCATGCAAGGACCTTACAGTCTCTTTGGGGAAACAAAATTAATACATGAGAGCTAACTAATACACAATAACAGAGAATTGGGGCAAAATGCTTAACATGCTTTTTTCCTCTTAAATAATAACGAAAAAATATTTATATCTGAGGGAATCAAGTCAACTGGAGTACTAGAACTCTCATACATAAAACTGGTGAATGAAAGCCACCTGAAAAAACATTTCAAGAGCCTGAAAATGCTTTTCGCTTCTCTCCCCTAAATTCCAATTCTTGATGTTTATTCTAAGGAACTAATTCCCCAAAGAAAGGAAAGCTACACAACAAAGATTTTCTCTGCAGAGCTTTTTATGATAAGGGACAGGTAGTAAAGCAAAGATTATTTAAATAATTATGTATTGACTCTATGGACCATTGGATAGTCATTAAAATGGTAATAATGGGGCTGGGCGCGGTGGCTCACGCCTGTAATCCCAGCACTTTGGGAGGTCGAGGCGGGCAGATCACAAGGTCAGGAGATTGAGACTATCCTGGTTAACACGGTGAAACCCCGTCTCTACTAAAAATACAAAAAAATTAGCCGGGCGTGGTGGCAGGCGCCTGTAGTCCCAGCTACTCTGGAGGCTGAGGCAGGAGAATGGCATGAACCCGGGAGGTGGAGCTTGCAGTGAGCCGAGATCGCGCCACGGCACTCCAGCCTGGGCGACAGAGCGAGACTCCGTCTCAAAAAAAAAAAAAAAAAAATGGTAATAATGAATAGAATGGAGCAACAGAGAAAAGCATGAAACCATGCTAACATAGAACATGAAATTGTAAGTTCACTAGAGTTACAACTATGTATTCATATGAAATACTGCAAGGAAATATATATAATTCATAATAGGGAGTTAATATTATAGAAAATATGTCTCTATTTTTTATCAAATGTTCTATGAGTTTATTTTCTTGCTTTTATAATTAGAAAAAGTTCTAAAATGTTTAAACTCTGTGGAACATATACTAAAAGAAGCTTCATGATGAAGGAGCTAGAGTTTGGCCTTAAAGAAACAAATTTTAATAAACAGAAAGAAAGAGAAAAAATATCCCTGGCAAAGAACATTCTCAGCAAAGCCTGAGAATTTGAAATGTGCATGGCCTGAAGCAGGAATAATGAAGAGATTTGTCTGGCTGGAGTTGATGAGGCACTTTAGAGAAATAATGTCAGATAAATGACACTAGATAATTTTTTAAAACTTTGGTTACGTGAGAATGTAACTATTTCCTTTCTACCTTTCCAAACAAACAGGTATATTTCTTACTTTAGAATCCTACTTCAGATGTCCCTAATTTTATGGGTCAAACACTATTAAAAAAATATATCAGAGATTGGACAAGTTTTTATTTTTAACTTTAGAAAATGATTCTGCATTCCTCTTAGTTAATACATTTAAAAAGAATAGTTGACGTCATCTTGAAATAGAAGAGGGTGGATAATGTTTGTAATTTTTAAAACAGTATCCAATAAAAAGGAGCAAAAAAGAAAAAAGAATAATCAGGGTGAGTAATAAGAATTATCATGATCTCAGAAATAATGCTGCAATAGTTAAACAACATGGAACTTGTAAAAAAAAAAACTGAAAGATTAGTGTTACAAAATAGAAGGAAAAGAACAAGATTCTATCACAAAATAATATATACTATGATAAAGTTGATATTTTCTATCAGTGAGGAAATGAAGCACTGTTTAATAAATATTAGGACTAAATGAATTTGCAATCCTAACCAGATACTCCAACACAAGAAAAGTAACTATTAGACAACGATCACCACAAACGATTAGAGACTCTCCAATCTCTAGGGATATACAATAAAAGCAAAGGAAGAAAAAATACAAGAAAATATTGTTAGGTCTAACCATGTAAAAAGTTTTCCTCTGCCATGGTAAAACACCATAAAAAAGTAAAACCCAAATTACAAACTTAAAAAAAGTATGCTTTTTATCATCTATGACAGCTGAAGGATTATTACCTACTTTAGTAAACATTTCTTACAAATAAAAGCAAACATTATTAACAGCTCCATAAGAAGAGCTGTTTATAACATAAAAATAAAAATAGTCAATAAACTCATTGAGCAAGTTGAGTCCCACAAGGCATCATATAAATTTTTTAAAGAGGCATTTTGCTATTTTTTAAAATGGTAGTACGTAATGTTTGTGATCATGTAGTGAAATGAATGCTCTCACACTCTGTTGGTAGAAGTTTCAATTAGTACAGTTTTGTGGGAAAGCTGTCACCGTATATCAAACATTTAAAAAAATCTTAAAACAAGCCAAACCAAAACAAAATCTTTCTCTTTATGTCCTTCTCCCTGCCAAACATATATGAATATGTTTTTGTCTCTGCAGGACAGTCTGGATGGAAGGGAAAATTTACTTTTCTTTGAATATACTTTTGACTTTACAAGAAATGCTTCTAACTTTTTACCATTAAGAACAAAGTATGCTATAGGTTTTGTTTGTTTTAGGTAGATACTCTTTATTTAGCTAAAAAGTTCCATTCAACTCCTTGTTCCTTGACAGATTTTCATTATAAATGAATGCATGCCACTTTTTCAATATACGGTATTTTCATAAATGTTCAACTCTAGGGATTTTTAATTTCCATTATTTTTTATGAGCCATGTGTTTCAATTTCAAAAAAAAATTTTTTTTGAGGCTGGGTTATGAGACTGGCTAATTTTTGTATTTTTGGTAGAGATGGGGTTTCACCACGTTGCCCAGGCTGGTCTCGAACTCCTTTCCTCCAGCAATCCACCCTTCTCAGCCTCCCAAAGTGCTGGGATTACACATGTAAACCACCACACCTGGCCAACAGATGGGGTTTTTCTAGTTAACTTTTTAGTATAAATTTCTAAATTAAAATTTTATTGTAGTCAGAGAACATGTGATACTTAGTTTTTGAAATTTGTTAACATTTGCTTTTATAGCTTAAGATGTGGTCAAATTAAAAAATGTTCCATATATGCTTAAGAATGTGTGTTCTCTGTGCACAGTTCTACATATGTCCATTAAAATCAGCTTGTTATTCATCTCTTATATCTTTTTTTGTTCTGTTTGAGCTATCACAATTGAAAGAAATATTTTGAAATCTTTTACTGTTATGTAGATTTTTATATATTTTTCTCTTACATAAATAGTTGCTTTAAGTGGTGTGAAGCTATCATACTTCATTAATTCTAAGACAGTTTTTTTCATATTTAACATCTCAAAATGAAGATCTCTTATAATTGACATAATATGAAACCATTATTTCATAGTTTAGTTGCAGGAGTTTTTTACTGTTGACAGTGGTAGATAAAATAACAGCACGTCTTACAAATGTCGGTATCTTAGGTATGATGAAATATAATATTTTAACAGGTACATACAAACTTAGATTTTAAAAAATCTTTTTGGTGAATCGAAAGGTCTATCATTACATGAGGTCCTCTTCGTCCCCAGTAATACTTTTTGTCTTGAATTCTATATATGAGAGATATATTCTATTCGACAGAGATACAGATAGAGATGATAGATAGATAGATAGATAGATAGATAGATAGATAGATAGATAGATGATAGATAAATGGATAGATGGATAGGTAGGTAGGTAGGTAGATAGACAGATATATAGATAGATATTCTCATTTTGTTTTGGTTGCCATTGCCTGGTATATCTTCAAACATGTGTGTCCTTATATTTTCATACATATATTTTAAAGGATATATAGTTGGGTTTATTTATTTTTTCATCTAATAGGACAATGTCGGTAGTTCACTTGTGAGTTCAGTCCATTTAGTGATTGTGATGGTTGATCCCTTTAGACATGTTTCTAGCATATTACTTCGGAATTTGTATTTGTTCCACTTCTAAGCTTCTTTTTCTCTTTTCTTGATTACATATATATATATATATATGTTTATATATATATATTTCTCTGCTTCACTAGGTTGGGATTTAAACACTCTTTTTTTTGGCGGTGATTCGTGAAAATATATCACAAATTGCTGATCTAAAAAATCTTATATTAATATCTTAAATCCTTTGCCTGAACATTTAAACTCTGATCACTTCCTCCTGACTTAGATGTTACATTTGACAGTGATTTCCTTCTGTCCTTTTGTGAAAATCTACAAATTATGTTTTAATAAAGAAAGTGTTGGTTTAGATTTACTTATATGTTTGCCATTTTTTTCTCATGATTCCTTTAAATCATTTCACACTTTTCTTCCAGGATAATTTATACCTTTTCTCATGTACCTGCTTTAGAAGTTCTTTTAGTTGAATATACAGTTAGTAAATTCTTTCCATTTTGTCCATACCAATATTTCTTATTTTGCACTCCTTCTTGAGAGATAGATTTACTTCTAACACAATTCCAAGCTGATATTTATTTTTCTCTCAGCACTCTGAAAATATAATTCCACTGCTTCCCTGCTTCCATTTTGATGCCAAGAAATCTGCCTTGTGCCTTCTAATTGTCATTTCTTTATAGGTAACTTTTGTCTTCTGGCTACTCATAAAATCTTCTCTTTGTTTTTGGTGCTCTGCAGTTTTAATATTTTTGGTTAGGTGGGGCTTTTAAGTTTATCTGCATGCTTTGCCATATGTATCGTATATATTTTCATGGTTTTCATCATTTTGAAGAATTCTCAGCTGCCACCTGTTCAAGTATGGCTCTCCTATCTTTTTCCTATTCTCTCTTCCTGGAACTTTGATTTGTTGAATGAAAAACTTTCTCATTCAAGCCTCTATATCATCTAACCTCTTAGACTTTCCATTTCTGGTTATTTCAGTGTTGCATTCTGTATATATTAATATCTTTAGAGCAACTTACTAGTTTACTAATATTCTCTCTTCAATGATAGTCTATTTAACTGTGGGTTTTAAAGTATATACAATAATATTTTTATACTGAAAGTTTTACTTGGATATTTTTCAAACTGGTTACTTGTTAAAAAGGACTAGAAATATCATTTGACCCAGCCATCCCATTACTGGGTATATACCCAAAGGATTATAAATCATGCTGCTATAAAGACACATGCACACGTATGTTTATTGTGGCACTATTCGCAATAGCAAAGACTTGGAACCAACCCAAATGTCCAACAACGATAGACTGGATTAAGAAAATGTGGCACATATACACCATAGAATACTATGCAGCCATAAAAAATGAAGAGTTCGTGTCCTTTGTAGGGACATGGATGAAACTGGAAACCATCATTCTCAGCAAACTATCACAAGGACAAAAAAAAACACTGCATGTTCTCACTCATAGGTGGGAATTGAACAGTGAGAACACATGGACACAAGAAGGGGAACATCACACTCTGGGGACTGTTGTGGGGTGGGGGTAGTGGGGAGGGATAGCATTAGGAGATATACCTAATGCTAAATGACGAGTTAATGGGTGCAGCACACCAACATGGCACATGTATACATATGTAACAAACCTGCACATTGTGCACATGTACCCTAAAACTTAAAGTATAATAATAATAAAATAATTTTAAAAAAAACTTATTGCTTTCTCTGTTTTAACCCACCTTTATTTGTTTAATCATTTCATACAAATTTGCTTTATGTTCTGATTGTGATAATTTTAATATCTGATACCATTTTGGCATTCAAATCTGTTTCTTTTGCTAACTCTTATGTGAGATTTCCTTAAGTGTTTGCTAATTTCTGATCATGAGCTCATATTTGCCTTTTATCAACCTGTGGAAATCTTGACAGCCTAAGCTTATGAAACTTTCTTTTAGGAAGGATCTGTGCTACAAATAAGAAACCACTTGATTAAACTTCAAGGATCCAGATCTAACAAAGGAGTTTTTTATTCATATCCCCCAGTGTATGGTGGGTCCAAGGCTTTGTCTCTATATTTCAATGTCTGAATTTGGGGAAAACACGTACTTCTTTCTCTGATTTCAGCTTGGCATTTTTCTTAAGTTTTCTCCTGTTTGGTGATAGCTCCTATTTCTAGCTGACCCAGAAATGCACTAACAATAATTATTTATCTAGAAATAAGATCTGTTTAAGAGGATGGGGGCTGGGCATGGTGCCTCACGGCTGAAATCCCAACACTTTGGGAGGCCGAGGCGGCAGATTGCTTGAGTCCAGGAGTTCAAGACCAGCCTGGGCAACAGGAAAAACTATGTCTCTACAAAAAATACAAAAATTTGCTGGGTGTGGTGGTACAAGCCTGTAGTCCCAAGTACTCAGGAGGCTGAGGTGGGAGGATTGCTTGAGCCTGAGAGGCAGAGGTTGCAGTAAACCAAGATCATGCCACTGTACTCCAGCCCGGGTGACAGAGTGAAACCCTGTCTCAAAAAAAAGAGAAAAAAAGACGTGTATTCAGAGTGTCTAATCTACCATACTTTCTAATATACATTCATTATTTTTTAATGGCTTAAATACTTAAGTTAGTGAAATTACACCACTAAATTCGAGGTTCAATTTGCCCCAAATAATCATATTTAACTAATGAAAGTTTCCAAAACCTTTTTTTGATAGATACACTGGCCTTTAAATTTATTTTCTAGACATTTAGCTGAAGAACATTTAGCTAATTCAGAAATGCTTTACACTTAATTTCAATGAACTATGGAGTTACAAGAACAAACATTTCCACATACTCCCACATTTTAGGATTAGATTAAGTCCCATAAGTGAAGTGGCCACACAGAACAGAAGCAGAAACAGCACATCACAGCATACCATGGTATTTCTTAGTTCTCAGAGTCCCTGAAAGGCATGTTTAGTAGGTTGGGACATGTCTTTGCAAGGTAATAGACAGCTCATTTTTTTTCAATACAACTGCCCTTTACACTCAAAGCTTGCATAATCATGCCAGAAGAATATATTACAATAATTTATGCACATCCATTTATTAGCAGTTTTATAGGCAAGAACTTTCTTCGTTCTTGTGCAGGTAGAGGTAGTAGTCAGTACCAATTGTACTTGAACAAAAGCACTATCTTCATATTTCTAGCTTTCCAGGAAGCCCATTTCTTCATGGATCCCATGAAGACGTGTGCACCAGCATGCTACAATGGCATTACTTTAAATGGCGTAATAAAGTATGTGATTCCAGTTTTGATATTTGACCATTGACAGTTTTCAGGCTGCACTCCTTCACTTTTCCCCCAGCCTCACATCTGGGCAGGCTGGTAAGAAAGCCAGTGTGCTCCCTCGCTTGGCACAAGGAGGGAAGTTCAAATAATGCAAAAATTGGCACACATGTGGGAACTCTCTCCCCAACACTACTCCCTAAGCACAATAAAAAACCAAAGGCTTTTGCTCCTTCCTTCACTCAAGCCAAACAAACTGACTTGGATGCCTGCCCTGCTCTCTCCAGAAAGCCTCATGATGTAATGAATATTTTCACACCTTCCTGGTGCTTTTGTGGCATTGTCCGTCTTGACATCTGAACCAATTTTGGGAGGGGGTGATTGATTCCACTTCTCTGCTAAGCAACCACCTGACAACTGGCCCTTTGATGAGGATGATCTAGGTGATGGCCACTATCACCTGGGGAGCTTTTGTCCTTTGCTTTTGGTGGGCTAACAGGCTCTGCTTCTGGCAGGCAAGTAGACACTTTGGAAGGCTGCAGGTTAGCATGTATTTTGAGCTGCATTTGCTGAGTCCTACTGTGCCTCTTCTATAGACTTAATCAACCTAAGTTGAAGTTTCAATATTGGCATTTAGGGACGAGAGTATGGGATTGGGGTGCTACTTAAAGTTGCCCTAGGTCATATGTCTCAGCCTGGGCCTATCTTTGTGCCTCAGATTAAATCTCTATTCTAGCATAAGCTGTGGTTTATGATAGGTTCAGGGAAACAATTCTTACCCTAATACTATTTGTTCTGTGTCTCAACCAGGAAAGAATCCTATTCAATAATGACAGAAAAGACTGATACTGATAAGCTATGTAATACATGGACCCTTTGGGTGCCATTGTGTCACAAACAGTCACCCTGTGGCATACTGAGGTCTACACTCCTAGGAACAGTTCATTCACACATACCTGACCTGCCTATCCCTCTGCCACCAAAAGAAAACCTGATCCTCAAAGTTAAAGGGAAAGAGTATCCATGGCTGCCAAAGCACAGACCTTTATGAGAAGTAGACTTGAATGCATTATCCCTGCCCCACTTAAAGGGCCAGAGGACACTAACAGACAACTATTATATATAAAATTGACCAACAAAGACACGGTGTTCATTGAGTGATGTGGCTTATCAACATGTTAAAGGGCTAATTCAAACTCTACTTAAGCCAGTACCCTATCCAATAAAACAACTGCCATGGGAGAGGTCCCTCAGCTTGATGATAATGAGTTGGTACTCTCTGAAGGGAAAATGTGTATATATACATCTGAACAAAGAAGACACAACCCCTTTAAAGTGTATCCAGCAACCGTCAAATTTAAAAGCAAGTAAATAAAAGTGAGTGGTGGGGGAAACTAAAACAGAGATCCATAATTTGATCCAATTAGAAATCTAAAATGTACTAAAAATATATAATAAAAATTGAAAAGTAAAAAGGATGCCAATTAGCTTTTGTATTTTAAAACACAGGGTTTGAAACTAACTCTAAAATCTGCTAAGCTGAAAAGAATTGGCAAACCTTCATGGTCTTAACTAATTCTGTGGCTCAAATTACAGTTATGTTTGGGGATCTCACCAAATTTAAACTGTCCTCTATTTTGCATGTGGTAACTCCCCTAAGAGTTTAAACATAAATTTATTACATTGATCTATATGTAATAAAGAGTTACCATACTCTTAGGGTGCTTACCAAATGCAAAGTAGAGGGCAAACAGGTATGCCTCACCTTGACTACTGGTACACTTTCCTTCTCTAAATTCTCCATGGCCTTAGCACCTGTTGCCTTAACATATATCACGTAGTAGATATGACCTAACCCAATGAGTAATAAATTGAAATAAAATTAAATCTTTGACATTGAAAATCAGCTTAAAAAAATGGAATACCACGAACCTAAAATAGAATAATCCATCTCTGGTTAAAATAGTTAATATGTCCCAATACAGATTAAAAAAACAAGGCCTATAGAAATTAAGGCCCATAATACAAGGGGTACTATCTTCCTATTTAATGGTGATTCTAAGGGTCACTATTTTTTCTTTGGTTGCTTTGCTTTTGGTATCATTGCTAAGAAGTTTAGCCCAAGGTCATGAAGACTTACTCCTATGTTTTCTTCTAAAAATTTTATCATTTTAGCTGTTACATTTAGTCTATGATCCATTTTGAGTTAATTTTTGTATATTGTATAAGGAAGGGGTGAAACTTTATTTATGAGTACAGGCATATTCTGTTGCCTCATCATCATTTGTCGAAAAGGTTGTTCTTTTCCCATTGAAATGTCTTGGCACCACTGTCAAAAATTAATTGACCTTAAATGTAAGGCTTTATTTCTGAATTTTTAACTTTATTACATTGATCTATACATTTATCCTCATACTAGTACTATACTTTCTTCATAACTGTTTTTGAAGTTTTGAAATTGGGAAGTGTGAGTGTATTAGTCCGTTTTCACACTGCTGATAAAGACATACCCGATACTGGGAAGAAAAAGAGGTTTAATTGGACTTACAGTTGCACATGGCTGGGGAGGCCTCAGAATCATGGCAGGAGATGAAAGGCACTTCTTACATAGTGGCAGCAGGAGAAAATGAGGAAGATGCAAAAGCAGAAACCCCTGATAAAACCATCAGATCTCGTGAGACTTATTCACTACCACGAGAACAGTATGGGCGAAACTATCCCCATGATTCAAATCATCTCCCACTGGGTCCCTCCCATAACATATGGGAATTACAAGATTACAATTTAAGAGGAGACCTGTGTGGGGACACAGAACCAAACCATACCAGCAAGTCATCCTACTTTGTCTTCTTTTTCAAGATTATTTTTGTTATTCTGGATCCCTTGCTTTTCAATATGAATTTTAAAATTAGCTGGTCAATTTCTGCAAAAAAAAAAAAGCCAGCTGAGATTTTGATAGGAATTGTGCTGAATCTAGATAAATTTGAGAAATATTGTCATTTTGATAATATTAAGACTTTTAATTCATGAATATGGACTTTCTATTATTTTGCTCTTCTTTAATTTTTTAATGTTTTGAGTTTTCACCATGTAAGTTTTACACATTATATTAAATTTATTCCTATATATTTAATATATTTATATACTATTGTGAATGAAATTATTCTCTTAATTTCATTTTTGGATAGTTCTTTGTAAATGTATAGAAAGAAAATTGATTTTTCACATATTGATCTTGTATCTTGCAATCTTGCTAACTCATGTATTAGTTCTAATAGGTTTTTAGTGGTTTCCTTGGAATTTTCTAATATGTAAGATCATCTGACTCCATTATCTGGCTGCTGACAGCTTTCAGACCCCTTTTCTCCCACTTCTCTTTTCCCCTCACACATGAGCAAGCCAATTAAAAAAAAATCCCAGGCCCTCCTTTCCTTGGCACTAGCATAGAAGTCAAACCACGTAAACTTGAGCCTGTACACGGGAGCCCTAATGCCAGCCCACACCCACACACAGTAGAAACCAAAGCCACTTGTGCCTTCCTCACTCAAATCTAATAGAAAAGCTTGGGTGTTTCCTCTGCTCTCCCTAGAAAGCCTCATGATGTAAATAATAAATGTTTCCATACACTCTTCATGCATGTGTGGCATCATTAGTCTTGACTCTGAACCAATAGGATGGGGGATATTGATCCCACCTTCTTAGGACAACTTGAAGACAAATAGCAAAAAATAGAGACAATTCAAATATCCCACAATAAGGATAAGGTTACAGACTTCCCATCCCTGCTTTATCAAGTGTAGTTTCATTTTTATTTACTTTGCAACCTGGTCTTCAAAGGAAGAATCCTTTGCAAGATGAAGTTTAATAGTTATAAGAAACTTAAACTTCACACAGCTTACCCTGAAGAAGACTGCATAGGTGCAGCATATGAGCTGTGAAAGGCGATACAGTAGAGACACAGGGGCAGGAATTGTCTAACAGGTGAGAAGGTGGCTAAAGCTCTGGCAAGATGATCAATCACATCTGGGATCACAGGCTCTGGAAGACCTCATCTCAACAGCGATCACGAGGCATCTATTTGTGCAGTAGAATTTCAGAGCTCCAAGGAATTATACAATTATCTAATTCATCTTGTTCGCTGTACAAGTGAAGAAGTGATCCCCAGATAAATTGACTGGCTGGCTTAGGTTACCTGGCATTACACATTTTGTGGCAGTCCGAGGTTCTTCTGATCTCCCTGTCTGTGCTCTTCCCAGCTATGCTTTCCCAGTCTACCTATAAGATCAGGAAGGATTCCAATCATCATGGCTCATTTTTCTGCTTTTTGATAGGAAAAAGTGATTTCTGAATCATGTTCCCAAAAAAAAGCATGCCACAGGTTTATGTCTCAAACTTGTAAAACATTAGGGCGGCTGGGGGTGGTGGCTCACGCCTGTAATCCCAGCACTTTGGGAGGCCAAGGTGGGTGGATTCCCTGAGGTCAGGAGTTCGAGAACAGCCTGGCTAACTTGGTGAAACCCCGTTTCTACTAAAAATACAAAAATTAGCCAAGCGTGGTGGCACACGCTTGTAGTCTCAGCTACTCAGGAGGTTGAGGCAGGAGAATCGCTTGAATCCGGGAGGCGGAGGTTGCAGTGAGCCGAGATCGTGCCACTCCACTCCAGCCTAGACAACAAAGCCAGACTCTGTCTCAGAAAAAACAACAAACAAACAACAACAAAAATGGAAAAACAAAAAATAAAACAAAACAAAAATAAACATTAGGTGATCTGAGGCACTCAGCTACTTTAGTTACTTTCACAGCCTGGTTGGAGCATACTAGTTTTAAACCTCAGCTTTGAGCTGTCCTTTACATATACCTGCTTGGCAGCCCAGGCTCTCAGCTTAAAGTCTGAGCTTCAGATAATCCAGACTAAAATCCCTTCCCCCAACCCAATACACACATATTTTCACTCATTGTGGCTTAAGCTTGCCTGCCCTGCGCTTACAGTGACCTGAGTGTTGTACTTACCACGAGGCTGAAAGGGAACCATCCCAACAATGAGATAGTTCATGAAATTCAGCCTTCACACAGACAGCCTCTCAGATCTCTACTGTCAGATCTTTCCCACGCAGTGATCCTGCAAACCACTGTTCAGTGCCAGCAGGGGAAGAACAAACTGATTCTCATTTCCCCAAATTAAGCAAGGCTGGAATTTTGTGGCTGTTACATTTATTACTGTCTGGCATATTCCAAGAAGTTGGGATGCTGATCCTCTATGTCATTTGTGTATTAGCATGTACACCCAGTCTTCTATGTTGCCTGGAAGTCCTTATATTAGCATAATTTCAAGGACTGTTAGAAAATGGTTAGAAACTTAAGTTGCAAGGTGTTTTGAAATGTGAGCCTGGATTATCTGCCTGTTTTTGGTAGAGTCACGCCTGTTCTCCCAACCCTTCATCACTCATGTCTAGGGCAGCAAATACGTTTCATTTGTTCAGTAGTGTCTGCCTAAATTCTATCTTGGAAAGGATTCTGGTATCCTATATTGGATGCACAGGAAGGAGTGACATTAGAAATTATTGCCAGGAAATATGAGCTCTTACCAGGAAATATGCATGTACCTGCATATTTTCTACCTCAGTGCTGCGAACAAAGTGGGTGTTTATGAATACTGAGTGAATATAGCTCAAATTCAACGTATATTTGAGTATCCACTATGGAACAAATAATGTATAGACAATTTCCGATGTGTCCTTTCATTTAGCCATCACAACAACACTGAGAGGCAAATAGTACTAGACTCATTGCTAAGACAAGGAAAAGAAGACTCAGAGACACTGGAAAAGCTTTCCAATCCCAGAGAGAAATTAAATTTAAGTATGGACACTGGAGACCAAACTTTAGACTGGGTTCAAATAGTAGTTCTATCACCTTCAGTTGTGTGGCATCAGATGTATTATTTAACTTCTTGAGTTCTCAGTTATTTCATTAAAAATGTAGGATTGCTAATTGTGCCTAACTCATAGGGAGAAGATAAAATAGAACACGGTCCAGATCATGATTTCTAAGTACCTTCCTCCAGTAAAAGTCATCAGATTTCCTTGGAGAAATGGCTAATTCCAGACAAAGAAAAGTATAAGATCAACTTATAAAAGAAAATAAGGAATAGCACAATAAATAACAAGGGCATGTAAAAAAAAAAAGTCAAGAGTCAAATGGAACAGTCTCCCAATGGGCAAATCTTAAAACAGTTTGATCAACAACATAAATAACAACAGTAATGGATTATAACCCATAGAATAAAGTAAGAATCCATGAGACCACAATGTTATAAATAAGTAAATATATAAATAGGAGAGCATGGTAAACTCTTTCTCACAGCAGTATTTGGAGAAATAAATGTATAAGAAGTGATGAGAGTAGAAAATCACCATTTGGCAAACACCACGGTAATAACTGTTGTAGGTAAGTACCAACAGGTGCTAAACTTAGTGAAGGAGATTATCATGTGGAACAGGATACTTACACAGTCTCAAAATATCTCCCCACAAGATACTTATTAAATACAAAGGAAAACAGGAACTCTTTTCAGAAACCTGACAGATTTCCCCTTAACCAAGTGATCAAAGCTGGTATCACCACAACTGGGAGAAATTGATATCACATACCTCCTGATACAATGCACTGAGAAGGATGCAGTATGCTATTCTGGCCAAATATGCATCATCTAAATTTACTCATGAAGAAGCATCTAAAAATTCTAAATTGAGGGATATTGCATAAAATAATTGGCTAGTATTCTTCAAAAATGTCATTCTCCTGGAATACCCAAAGCAGTCTTGAGCAAAAAGAACAAAGCTGGAGGCATTACACTGCCTGATTTGAAAATGTACTATAAAGCTATAGTAACCAGAGTTACATGGTACTGGCACAAAAACAGATACATAGACCAATGGAAAAAAATAGAGAACCCAGAAATAAACCCAGGCATTTATAGCCAACTCATTTTTGACAGAGGCATCAAGAACATACACTGGGGAAAGGATAGTCTCTTCAATGATTGGTGTGGGAAAAACTGGACACCCATATGCAGAACAATAAAATTAGACCCCTATCTCTTAGCCCATACAAAAATAAAATAAAAATGGATTAAAAACTTAATATAAGAACCAAAACTATGAAACTACTAGGGGAAAACAATGAGGAAATACTTTAGGATAACAATCTTAGCAAATATTTTTTGAGTAAGACCTCAAAAGCACAGCCAACAACACAGACAGACAAATAGTATTAGATTCATTTCTAAGATAAGGATAAGAAGACTCAGAGACAAATAGGATTACATCACACTAAAAAGTTTTGCATAGCAAAAAACAAAAACAATAAACAAATGAATGCATAACCTACAAAATAGGAGAAAATATGTGCAAATTATACATGTGCCAAGGGATTAACAACCAAAATACATAAGGAAATCAATAGCAAAAATAATATTAATAACAATCTGATTTTTTTTTAATGGGCAAAAGATCTGAATAGACATTTCTCAAAAGAAGACATACAAATGGCCAATAGGTATATGAAAAAAAAAATGTTCAACATTGCTAATCATCAAGGAACTGCAAATCAAAACTACAATGAATTATTAACTCACCTCAGTTAAAATGGCTATTATCAAAAAGACACAAAATAACAGATGCTGGTAAAGATGCAGAGAAAGGGGAACATTCATATACTTACGGTGGGAATTAGAATTAGCACAGCCAGTACAAAAAATTTATAAACAGTAGAACTACCATATGATCCAGAAATCCCACTGCTGGGTATATGTCCAAAAGAAAGTAAATAAATATATTGCAGAGGTATCTGTACTCCTATATTTGTTGCAACACTATTCACCATAGCCAAGATATGGAATCAAGCTAAATGTCCACCAACAGATAAATGGATAATGTGTTATATACGCACAATGGAATATTCAGCCATAAAAAGAATGAAATCCTGTCATTCTGCAGCAACATAGATGGAACTGGAGGATATTATGTTAAATAAGCCAGGCACAAAAAGAAAAATATTGTATGTTATAATTCATATGTGGGAACTAAAAAATACTTATGCCATGGAGCTAAAAAGTAGAATAGTGGTTAACAGAGGTTGAGAAAAGTAGAGGGGAGAGAGGGATGAAGAAAAGTTGGTTGATAGCTACAAAAATACAGTGAGAAAGAATAACTTCTAGTGTTTGATAGCAGATAGCTGCAAATACAAGTCAAATTTTGGTGAAAAAATGTATGAAAAGAAAATAAGGGGAGATCCACCATCTTGTCGCCCCAGCCTCCTGGGATACAGATATGGCTTCTGTTCTTTCAGGAATTAGGAACCTGGTGAAGTGTTCAGCTATGAATGGAGCTGGTGTATACTGAATATGCAAAGGTAATATTTAGGACCTGAATGTCTAAGTGTAGACTGAAGACATGAAGGCTAACTTATAAAGGGAAAAAAGGACATTATATTAAATTGGCCAAGAGTGCTACAACAAAGCTTCATTTTAAAAATAATCACCAGGGGTTCTGGACAAGACGTCCAACTGGACACAGTCAGGAAGCACTGCTGTCACCAAGAAAGACCAAAAATTGGGTAAGCTAACATATTTTGAACAGATTTTCAAAGAGAAAATACCAAGAGTCAAAAGAGAGGTGAGGCAGACCCCAAGGCTGAAGAGGGAGGAAGCTGGGAACCCTGCATAGATTTGTCAAATGTCAGGGACAGTTCCTGGCCCCAAATAGCTCCTAGAGAAGGGGCAAAAATCCAGCTTTAAGTACAGATCCTGTACAGAGCATTGGCACCCTGAAAGCGCCCAGAAACAAAGCCAATTGATTATACTCAACTTATGCTACAGCTAAAGAAACACCAGTCCTCTCAAATGAGAAAGAATCCATGCAAGAAACCTGAGAATTCAAAAAGTCAGAGTGTTCCTTTCCCTCCAAATAAGCACCCTAGCTCATAAGCAATGGTATCCAATCAGTTTGAAATGACTAAAATGACACACATAGAATTCATTGTGGATGGCAAGGAAGCTCATTGAGATCAAGAAGAACATTCAAACCCAATCCAGAAATTCACGGAATCCAGTAAAATGATCCAAGAGCTAAAAGACAAAATAGCCATTTCAAAAAAGAACCAAACTGAACTTCTGGAATTGAAAAAATTCACTATGAGAATTTCATAATACAATAAGAAGCATTAACAGCAGAATAGACCAAGCCACAGAAAGAATCTCAGAGCTTGAAGACCAGTTATTTGAGTAAACTCAGATAAAAATTTTTTAAAAAATAATTTTTAAAAAATGAACAAAACATCTGAGAAATATATGGTTATATAAAGAGACCAAACCTACAAGTCATTGACATTATTATTAATCCATGAACATTTCTCCAATCTTGCTAGACAGGCTGGCATGCAAATTCAAGAAATACCAAGAACCCCTGCAAAATACTATACAAGATGACAATCCCCAAGGAACATAGTTACCAGAATCATCAAGGTAAATGCAAAAGAGAACATCATAAAGGTAGCTAGAGAGAAGGATCCGTTCATTTACAAAGGGAATCCCATCAAGCTAGCAGTGGACTTCTCAGCAGAATTCTTACAAGGCAGAAGACATAGGGAGCCTGTTTCCAGTATCCTTAAAAAAAAAAAAAGAAATTTCATACCAACAGTTTCATATTCTGCCAAACTAAGCTTCAAAAGCAAAAGAGAAATAAAATCCTTCTCAGACAAGCAAATACTGAGGGAATTTATTACCACTAGACCAACCTTACAAGAGGTCCTTAACAGAGTGCTATACATGGAAACAAAAGAATGATACCTGCTACCACAAAAACACACTTAAGCACATAGCCCACAGACACTATAAAGAAACTACACAATCAATTCTACAAAACAACCAGCTAACAATATGATGACAGGGTCAAAATCTCAGATATCAATAATAACCCTGAATGTAAACAGTCTAAACACCCCACTTAAAAGGCATAGAGTGGCCAACTGGATAAAAAGACAAGATCAAACTCTCTGCCATCATTTAGAGATCCATCTCATACGTAATGACATCCACAGGCTAAAAGTAGCAGGATCTACCGTGCAAACAGGAAGGAAAAAAGAGCACTACTCACTATTCTTATATCAGATAAAACAAACTTTAAAACATCAACAAACAAAAAGCAGAAAGAAGGACATTACATAATGAAAGGTTTTGATTTAACAAGAAGATTTAACTATCATAAACATATATGTACCCAACATTGGAGCATCCAGATTCATAAAACAACTACAAGAAGACCCACACAATAATAATGGAAAACTTCAACACTCCACTGACAGACTTTACTGACATATCATTGAGGCAGAAATGAACAAAAAAATTATGGATTTAAACATGACACTCAGCCAATTGGACCCAATAGACATTTAAAGAATACTATACCCAACTGCAACAGAATATATATTCTTCTCATCTGCACATGGAACATATTCTAATATCAACCATATGCTCAATCATTAAGGAAGTCTCAATAAATTCAAAAAAGTTGATATCATACTGTGCACACTCTTGGACCACACCATAATAAAAATGGAAATCAATACCAAGAAGATCTCTCAAAACTATACAAATACAGAGAAATTAAACAACTTGCTCCTCAGTAACTCTTGCATGAACAAAATAATTAAGGCAGAAATAAAAAAAATTCTTTGAAATTAATGAAAATATAGACACAACTTACCAAAATCTTTGGGATGCAGCTAAAACAGTGTTAAAAGGAGATAGTTTATAGTGCTAAACACCTTCATCAAGAAGTTAGAAAGACCTCAAGTTAACAATCCAACACCATACTTAGAGGAACTTAAAAAAAAAAAAGAACCAACCCCAAAGATAACAGAGAAATAAATAATTAAAATTAGAGAACAACTAAATGAAATTGAAATGCAAAAATCCATGCAAAAGATCAATGAAACCAAGACCTAGATCTTCAAAAGAATAAACAAAATTCATAGATCTCTAGCTAGACTAATAATGAAAAAAACCCAGAAGATCTAAATAAGCAAAATCAGAAGTGACAAAGATGACATTACAATTGATACCACAGAAATACAAAAGATCCTCAGAGACTATTATGAACAACTTGATGCACAGAAATTAGAAAATCTACAGGAAATGGATAAATTCGTGGAAACATACAATCTCCCAAGATTGATCCAGGAAGAAAGTGAAAACCTGAACGGAACAATAACACATTCAAAATTGAATCAACAATTGAAAAAAAAAAACTACCAATCAAAGAAAGCCCCAGACCAGATAGATTCTCAGCCAAATTTTACCAGACATGCAAAGAAAAATGGGTACCAATCCTACTGAAACTATTCTAAAAAATCAGGGATGAGGGGCTCCTCCCTTACTCATTCTACAATGTCAGCGCCAGTCCGTAGGCTCCAGAATAAATTCTACTTGATCTTGGTGAATCAACATTAAAAAGTTAATTTGCCAAGATCAAATAGGCTTTATTCCTGTGATGTGAGGTTGGTTCAATATATACAAATCAATAAATGTGATCCATCACATAAACAGAATTAAAACCAAAAGCCATAGGATCATCTCAATAGATGCAGAAAAAGCTTTAGATAAAATCCAACATCCCTTCATGATAAAAACACTCAACAGACTATGTGTTAAAAGAACATACTTCAAAATAATAAGAGCCATCTATGACAAACCCATAGCCAATGTCATACTGAAGAGACAAAAGCTGAAAGCATTATTCCCTGGGAGAACTGTAACAAGACAAATATGTCCACTCTCCCCACTCCTATTCAAAATAGTATTGGAAGCCCTAGCCAGAGCAATCAGTCAAGAGAAAGAAATAAAAGGCATCCAAATAGGCAAAGAAGAAATCAAACTATCTTCTCTGACAAAATGATTCTATACCTAGAAAACCCTAAAGACTCTGCCAAAAGGCTCCCAAAATTCATAAACCACTTTAGCAAAAAAAAAAGAAAGAAAAAAAAGGAAAAATTGTAGTAAAGTTTCAGGATGCAAAGATCAATGTACAAAAATCAGCAGCATTTCTATAAACCAACAATGTCCAGGCTGAGAGTGAAATCAAGAAAACAATCCCACTTACAATCACTACAAAGAAATTAAAATACTTAGGAACACAGCTAACCAAGAGGGTGAAATATCTCCACAAGGAGAACTCCAAAACACTGTTGAAAGAAATCAGAGACAACATGAATAAATGGAAAAACATTCCATGGTCATGGATTAGAAGAAGCAATATAAAAATGGCCATACTGCCCAAAGAAATTTATAGATTCAAGGTTACTTCTATCAAACTGCCAATGTCATTCTTCACAGAATTAGAAGAAACTATTTTAAAATTCATATGAAACAAAAAAAGAGCTCAAATAGCCAAAACAATCCTAAGCAAAAAGAACAAAACTGGAGGCACCACACTACCAGACCTTAATCTATATTGTAAAGCCACAGTACCCAAAACAGCTTGCTACTGGTATGAAAACATACACATAGACAAATGGAAGAGAAAAGAAAACACAGAAATAAAGTGGCAAAACTACAACCATCTGATTTTTGACATGGCTGACAAAAATAGGCAATGGGAAAAGGACTCCCTTTTCAATAAATGATGCTGGGATAACTGGCTAGCCATATACAGAAGATTGAAGCTGGACCACTACCCTTCACCACATGTAAAAAATTAACTCAAAATGGATTAAAGATTTAAATGTAAGACCTCACACTATAAAAATCCTGGAAGACAACATAGGAAATACTCTTCATGACAGAGGCCTTGGCAAAGAATTTTGGGCTAAATCCCCAAAAGCAATTGTAACTAAAACAAAAATAGACAAGTGAGCCCTAATTAAACGAAAGAACTTCTGTACAACAAAAGAAACTATCAATAGAGCAAACAAACTACCTAAAGAATGGGAGCAGATATTCACAAACTATGCATCCAACAAAGACCTAATATCCAGAATCTATAGGGAACTTAAAAAAATCAACAAGCAATAAAGAAATAATCCCATCAAAAATGGGAAAAGGACATGAACAGACACATCTCAAAAGAAAACATACAACAAACATGAAAAAATCCTCATCATCACTAATCATTAGAGAAATTCAAATGAAAACCACAATGGAAAACCATCTCACACCAGTCAGAATTGCTATATTAAAAAGTCAAAAAATGACATATGCTGGTGAGGCCATGGAGAAAAGCAAATGCTTACACACTGTCAGAATGAAAATTAGTCCAGCCACTGTGGAAGGCAGTCTGTAAATTTCTCAAAGAACATAAAACGGAGCTACCATTCAACCAGTAACCCAATTACTGGGTATACACCCAGAAGAAAATAAATTGTTCTACCAAAAAGACACATGTACTTGAATGTTCATTGCTGCACCATTCACAATACCAAAGACATGGAATCAACCCAAGTGCCCATCAGTAGTAGACTGAATAAGGAAACTGTGGTATATGTTCACCTTAGAATGCTGCACAGCTATACAAATAATGAAATGTCATTTGCAGCAACATGGATACAGCGGCAGGCTAATCCTAAACAAAATAATGCAGGACCAGAAAACCAAATACCACATGCTTTCACTTATAAGTGGGAGCTAAGAACTGAGTACACATAGACATACAAATGGAAACAACGATCAACACTGGAGACTACTAGAGAGGAGAAGGAGAAAGGGAGTGTGGGCTGAAAAACTACCTCTTAGGTACTATGCTCACTACCTACATGATGGGATCATCCATATCCCAAACCTCAGCATCACGCAATAGACCCATGTAACAAGCCTGCACATGTACCCCTCTGAATCTAAAATAAATGTTGAAGTTACTTTTATTTTTTTTTTAAAAAAAGGCAGAAAATAAGCATAGTGTGTAAAGCATACCTTTTCCTTGATTTCTTTTATAATTAAAAAATTATATTTTGCATACAAAGAGACAATTCACCAAAGAAAATACACAAATTGATAACTGTTTTTAAAAGTTAATATCACTAATAAGGAAATGCAAACTAAAGGCACAGTGGAATTTAATTTTTCAAACATTGGAAAAAGATGAATTTCCCCAGTGCTGAGGATGGTGTGGTGAAACAGGCTTTCACAGAGTCCTAAGGGAATTTATATTGATATCATCATTTTGGAAGTCATTTTAGCAATACAAATTAGTAACCTTAAAACAGTTCATACACATTGACTAATTTCATTTTGTTTCACCAGAGAAAACCTAAATGTTTAATATCACAGATATGCTGGAGGGCAGTATGTATTAACCACAAGATGGACCATTATGAAACTATTATGTTTTTTAAGAGTTCTTAATGCATGGAAAATGGTCATGATATAATGCTGGTTTAAAAGAGAATATAAATTATATTTTCAATAATATGAATAGAAGGACAGAAATAGATCAAATTGTCAATAGTGACCATCTAATGGTAATGAAATAAGGGTGATTTCTATTCATTCTGTCTTACATGTTTTATATATTCTTCTGCAGTAAGCGTGCTTAGCTTTTAAAATATAAAACTAAGGCCAGGCCCAGTGGCTGATACTTGTAATTCCAGCATTTTGGGAGGCTGGGACAGAAGGATTGCTTAAAGCCAGGAGTTTGATATCAGCCTTGGCAACAAAACAAAATCCTGTCTCTAAACAAAAAAATCTTAAATATTAGCCAGGTACAGTATCACATGCCTGTAGTCCTAGCTACTCAGAAGGCTGAGGCAGGAGGATCACTTGAACCAAGGAGTTTGGGGCTGTAGTAAGCTACAATCATGCCAGTGCCCTCAGTCTAGGTTACAGAGTGAGACCCTATTTCTAAAAAATATATAACATAAAAATAATATATATTTAAAGTTAAAAATGTAAAGTCTCAAAGTTAAAAAATGATGAAATGTTCCAGATTTAAAAAGACTAAGGAGACATGATAATTAAATGCAATATGTGATCCTGGGTTGGATCCTGTGCTAGAAAAAGAATGTTAGTACAACAGAGGGAGAAATTTGAATAAGGTCTTTAGATGAGATAATAGTATTGTATCGATGTTTGATCATTGTACTGTGATTATATAAGCTGTTAATAACTGGGAAATCTGGGAGAAGGGTGTATAAGAAATAATTTTACTAATTTTTCAACAGTGTGAAATTAATTCAAAATGAAAGGTTAAAAATAAAAGTATAATGCCTGAATTCTAGTCAAAATATTCATCAGCTGATGGTAATTAACAAAATGTGGCATGTCTGTACCTAGACAATAGAATATTATTCATCTCTAAAAAGAACTGAAGTACTGACATGGGCTATAATATGATGAACCTTGAAAACATGCTACGTGAAAGACACCAGGCACAAAAGATCACACTATATGATTGCATTTATGTGAAATGTCCAGAATGCGCAAATACATATATAGAGAAAGTAGATTAGTACTTGACAGGGGTTGGGGGCTCAAGAGGAATGGAGAGTGACAGCTCATGATATAGGGCAGCTTATGGGGGTGACAAAAATGTTCTAAGATTAGATAGTGGTGACAGTTGCACAACTCTGTAAATATATTAAAAACTTCTGAACTGTTATACTTCAAGTGAATGAATTTTATTGAATGTGTATTATATCTCAGTAAAGTTATTTTTCTTTTCAACAGTGCCTGGTACATAGCAAATTCTCTAAAAATGCGGCCAATGATGATGATGATGATCATGCTTATTACTACTACTACTACTGTTGTTTTATTTTTCTTCTCATTGGCCTTTCCAGCATTAACTTGTAAGGCTTATAAATAGACTATGGAAGAAAGAGTGACTTATTTGTTAGCTGTCTTCTTTTGTCCGCTGGAGAACCAAAGAGTCTCCCTCACCCTTAACTAAGGAAAGACCAAGAGTCAAAAGAAGACCCATTTCAGTTGCAAGCACCGATGAAGATGCTAGAAAACAAAGGCAAATTGTGACCCTGAAAAGAGATATGAATCTAACTTTTATAGATTGGTTTTGATTTATCTTTCTACTTACTAAACAACCAATTTTTATTTTTGCACTCTTCAAAGGGTTTCACCCCTGACATGCATCCTTGTTCAGCCCTTAATTCATCAAGGAAGAAATGCTCCAGGTGTATTGGAAAGGCAATGGATTGACCCAGCTGACAAAACCTGAGAGTTTTCATAGGAAAAGGCTTGAGGAAAACTCTAAAGTTCTTTGCGTGCCAGGCAGGAAGAGCTCATCATGTATACAGGTGGTACCTTTTGCAGGCCCACATTCTATCTCTTGTTGCCTGCAGATCATCCTGTACCTCCAGGTTTGGCTTTGAACTACAAGTAGAAATGCTGAAGCCGAGTGAACATTACCTTCTCTCAGATCTCAACACAGCCTCAGAGAACCAGGGCTGCCATTAATCTAAGGAACCTCCTAACACAGTGTTTGGCTTGGATTTATGAGAGGCCTTTGAGGCTTGCTAATGCTGGTAATGAACCCAAGTCCTTGATTATCGTGAATGAAGCAAAGCCAAAGAAAACAATGCTGAATGCTTAGCACAGGTGGAGTTAGCCCTGCAGTGTCACAATCAAAACTTACAACTGTTCCAATTTGCAAGACCATTAAGTAGCTTCCATGAAATTAATCAATGTCCATAAAGGTCTCTTCAACAGGAAGCTCCAATATTTGGGAAGAGGATGGGGCAGGGAGAAGACCAAATGAAATTGCACTCTGGTGTTGCATTCTTAACTAATTTGTTCTGAATATCCTCCAGTCATACATGTGAGATATGACATCTGAGGGCAAAGGGTTACAGTTCAGAGATAAAACAAGTTGAAGGTATTTAAAGTACTTGCCAAGGAAAAGTGCTCATCTGATAAAAATTTAGACAGGAAGGATGCCAAAAACCAGGAAAGACACAACTGAGAGATATGATGAGGTGACTGCTGCTCCAGCTGTCAGATTTGTCAATGGTGTGGAGATGCCAGATTTTAATTCAAATGCAATGTCAGCCCAAAAGCTGACCCTATTTACATGCATAGCTTTTATTAAGAAAGCACTAGGACTTAGTCTCAGCTGCAAATATCCCACAGATAGTAATTTCAAGATATAAACTTGGTTGGTTGGTTTCCTCTTCAAAAAGAGAACTGAAATAGGGGGAAGAGAATACAATTTCACACTTTTGCCATCTCTCTACTGAATAGAGTCAGTGGGGTATACTTGAGTTGAAGTGGTGGGCATGGTGGCAGACATTACCTGAAGAAGAGGGGGTGTTGAATTGTCTTGAGAAGGGCAAATGTTTTAATATTAGTCTTTAAGGGTCCTACAAGAAAACAAGGGTGCAAAGAGTGGTACTTTCTCTCCTCCATAATTTTGGAATGTCAAAGCAGATCATGATTCTGTGTTATCAAAACACTAGTCATATAGGCCTGGGCACACATAAACTACACAAATGCAGACAACATTGGGTTTCTTCTACTTGCCTAAAATATATAAGAGAAATGTATGAAAAGAAAGTTTGAAATATCTTTTAAAAGAGGGGAAAAAAAAGATGAAAGCCATGGAAGCACATCTCCCAGTGAAGAGATAACAAGGAAGTAAGTGAAGGGAAAACAGATATTTGAAAGCTAATACAATTCTCATTATTAAATACCTTTTAACTTTCCTTCGAATCATCATTTTCCCTATTATAATCCACAAAAGTGACCATAATGTATCTGTTCATTGCCTTGGCAGACAAGAAACCTACACAACACCCTACCACCAATGCACAGTTAAAGAATAGAGGGAATCTTTCCTTAGACCATTAAAAAGTCACTATTACCATATCAATGCCACTTTCTCCTTGTTATGCCTGCCAATCCAGTGCTTTTTCACTTTTAAGCAGAGTATAGCCAGGCCTCTTGAAATGCTGACTTATTAGTCACACATGCAGATTCTCTTTGGCATGACAAACACTCCAACACCCATATGATCATGAAGGCAATGTCCCCAAAGGAAGCATCAGCCAGGTAAGTCAGGAAATTCTTATGAGTTCTTTACAAGGATAACTTGGCCTATGTCTCTTTTGCTTACAGATAGTAGAGTTTGAAATGTAATAATCAAGACCCAATAAGCTTCAAAAACACACTGAGTCAACATAGAGTTTTATGATACTTTCAATTCCAACCAGATAAACTAACAGGAATCACTTTCATACCCACCCTCCACCCACCTGAAGCAACTAAAATACTGAACAAAATATACGAAAGACATTGGATATAGAGCAACGTAGGACAGTGTGTCCTAATAGAGGGAAAACAAATGAGGTATTTTCAAGCATTGCTTCAGTTTGCTGAGATGGAGCTGGGAGGGTAAGATGACTAGATCTCAATAGGCAGATTACTGCAGCAGATAGAGCTGTATCAAAAAAGCTCTGGAAAGTTGCAGAGAGTTACCTGCAAGTCTTCAGCTGAATACTAGTCAGGGGATATGTGGGAGGCAACTACATGAGTTTTTAGAAAAGAGCTAGAAGAAAACTACCTGAAAGGACCAGAGGAAACAATCTTCAGACATTACACAGAGCTGGGATAGTTCATGTTCCCACCAACTAGAGTGGAAAATCTAGTAAACCATGGTGCACTGGGTACAAGACCCAGAAAGGCATTGGCTCTATATAGTGGGGGCAAAATTAGCTGTAGATTAAGGCTGTTTTTATCCCAACTAACAAGTCTTGAAAGGCAATATGTTAAAAAGTAAATAAGTAAAATAAAAGGCAGGTAAACTGGAAAAGAAAAAAAAAGTCTCTGTTACAAGACAGCATAATTGTCTATATAAAACACTTCAAGGAGTCTATAAAAGAACTCCTGAAATTAATAAGCAAGTTCAATAAGGTGTCAGGACACAAGATTAATACAAACAAATCAATTGCATTTTCTATATACTGAAAATGGACAGGTGGAATCTGAAATAACTAATGTAATACCATTTACAATTACCCAAATACATGAAATACTTAGGTATAAATCTAATAAAGTATATATACAATTTGTATAAAAAAATTACAAAATTCTGAAATTTTATAATTTCAGGTGAAAGTAATTTTAAAAGACCTAAATACAAGAAGAGGTATACCATGTTCATGAATTGGAAGACTCAATATACTGTGGAATTGTTGAATAAAAATATTTTTTCCTATAAGATCTATAGGTTTAATGCAATGCCTATCAAATTGTCAATAAGATTCTTTATAGACATAAAGAAACATATTCTTGAATTTATATGGGAAAGAAAAGGAAGAATAAAGTGGGAGAAATCTCTCTCCTCAATGTCATGGTTTATTATATATGTCTAATAATCAAGATAGTATAGTATTGGTGGCAAGATAGATACATTAATCAATGAAACAGTATACAGAACCCAAAAAAGTTCTACACAAATATGATCAATTATTTTTTAATAAAGGAACAAACAATTCAATGGAAGAGAAAGATAGTTTACAATAAATTATGATGGGCAGCTGGACATTCATCAGCAAAACAAAACAAAATATAAGAAATGAAAAGAACCTCCATCGAAACCTCACAATTTATACAATTTTAGCACAATAGATTATGCACTTAAATGTAAAGTATAAAACACTAAAACTTCCAGAATATAAAATCCCCATGATCCAGGACTAGGAAAAGAGTTCTTAGAGTTGATAGCAAAAAATACAATTCATCAGAGGAAAATGTGACATACTAGAGCTCAGGAAAATTTTTTTAAAAATTTGCTATATGAAAGACATTGTGACATTGTTAAGAAAGATACAAAGACAAAGAATATTTTCTGGCCAAAATAATGTTAGAAGTCAGTGACAGAAAAGTAACTGTAAAACCCCAAAATATTTAGAAACAAAATATTAAATAGAGATATGAGTCCAAAATACTTAGAGAATATTTTAAACAAATTGCAAATTAAAATACAACATACCAAAATTGTGGGATGCAACAAAAATTACTCAGAGCAAAATTTTTACCATTAGAGGTCATATTAGAAAAAAAGAAAGATCTCAAATCAATGACTTCCATTTCCACATTTATAAACTTGTAAAAGAAGAAATTAAACACTAAGTAAGCAGTAGAGAAATAATAATAAAGAACAAAGATCCATAATAGTGAGAACAACAAAAAAGAAAGATCTATGAAACCAAAGTTGGCCTTGAGAAAGACTACAAACACCATGTAACTTTAGCCAGACTCAGTCAGGAAAAATAAGAAAATAGATAAATTATCAATATCAGGAATGAATGAGGTGACATCATGCTATGGAAATTTAAGGGATAATAAGGGGACATTGTAAACAATTTCATGTCAATAATTTTAACAACTAAGAAAAAATTGAAAATTTTTTTAAATTACAAAACATTAACAGTCATTTAAAAAAAAAAAAAAAGCTATGTAGCCTGAGTAGTATCGTGTATTTTAAAAACTAAATTTTTAGTTAAAAACTCTACCTACGATCAGAAAGTTGACAAGGATGGCCACTTCCCCACTTCTGTTAGACATATGACTGGAGGTTTAAACCAGTGCAATAAGGAAAGAAACAGAAACAAGTGCAATAACAGTCCAACTACATTGGAAAGAAAGAAAGAAAACTGTTATTATTTGCAAAAGACATGATCAGCTATACAGAAAATCACACCAAATGTACAAAAGAATCTTCTGGGACTATAAAATGAGTTTATGTAAGTAACATAATACAAGATCAACACATAAAAATCAATTAAAGGTACATATAAAAGCAATAAACTGTCAGAAATCAAAGAATAGCACAGAAATATGAAATTAAGGGATCAATTTATAAACAAAGCTATAAGATGTTGCTGAGAGAAATAAATCTAAAAACAAGAGAAATATAATATGTGCATGGATTGAAACAATATTTTAATATTACTCAAATTTTTCTATAGATTTAAGACAATCCCAATCAAAATTCTAGCAGGATTTTTTTTAGACATTGGCAAACTGATTCTAAAATTGCCATAGAAATGCAAGGGACCTAAAATAGCTAAAACAACTTCAAAAACGGTGAACAACTTGGAGAACTTACCCTGATTTATTTAAGACTAAATATAAAGCTATATAAATGAAGACTATGTGATATTGGCATTAAGATAGAAATATAGGTTAATGAAAGAAAACAGAACGTCTAGAAATATACTCACATGTATACGTACATAATTGAATACCGTTTTACAAAGATGCCAAGGCAATTCAATAAGCAAAGGATAATCTTCTTAAAAATGGGATCATCCCTGATTCCAGGCCTTGGCTCTTTGATGGCATTTCTGGACCTACCCTGAGCCAGAGTGGGAACCCATTGCCCTGAAGAATGGGTCCCAGGCCTGGCAGCATTCACCACAAGCTGACCCAAGAGCCCTTGAGTCTTAAGCGAACATTGGTGGTAAACTGGCAGTACTCCTCATGGGCCTGTGGTAATGGTGACAATAGGGAGCGGCTCATCTACCCGTGGAAAGGGAAGGGAAGAGTGGAAACAACTTTGTTTCATGGTTTGAGTGCCAGCTTAGGTGCAATAAATAAAGCATCAGGTAGATTTCTAAGGTTTTTCACTCCAATCTCTGACTCCCAGATGGCATCTCTGGACCCATCTGTGTCCTAGAGGAACACGAGTCTGGCTGGATTTATACCTGCTGATTGTAGAGCCCTGGGGCCTTGAACAATCACATGTGGTAACCAGGTAGTGGTTACAGTGGACCTTGGGTGAGACTCAGTGCTGTGCTGGCTTCAGGTCTGATATGGTTTGGCTCTGTGTCCCCATCCAAATCTCACCTTGAATTGTAATAATTCCCACATGTCAAGGCAGGACCCTTGAATCATGATTGAAGAATTGAATCATGGAGGTGGTTTCCCCCATGCTGTGTCTCATGATAGTGAATTAGTTCTCAGGAGATCTGATGGTTTTATAAAGGGCTTCCTTCTTCGTCAGCACTCATTCTCTCTCCTTCTGCCCTGTGAAGAGGCACCTTCTGCCATGATTGTAAGTTTCCTGAGGCCTCCCCAGCCATGCAGAACTGTGAGTCAATTAAACCTCTTTCCTTTGTAAATTACCCAGTCTCAGGTATTTCTTCATAGCAGTATGAAAACGAATTAATACAAGGTCTAACCCAACAGAGTCCCAGTTTTGATGGCAGCTCAGCACACAGAGGGAAACTCCATTTGTTTGGGAGAAAGTAAGGGAAGAGAACAAGAGTCTTTGCCTAGTAAACCAGAAAATTCTTCCAGCTCTTACTGAAGACCACCAAGGTGGTATCTCTATGAGTCTGCAAGAAGCATAGTGTTATGGGTTTGGCGTGTTCCTTAATGTAGATATGGCTTAGATTACAACACTCAAATCTCATCAAACACTTGGAAAGACTATCCAAGAAGGATGGGTACCAACAAGCCCAGACTATGAAGACTATAATAAATATCTACTACTTGAATGCCCAGACAGTGACTAACACCCACAAGCATTGAGACAATCCAGGAAAACATGACCTCACAAAGTGAACTTAAAAAACCACCAGGGACCAATTCTGGAGAAACAGAGCTATGTGACCTTTCAGACAGAGAATTCAAAATAGCTGTTTCGAGGAAGCTCAAAGAAATTCAAGATAACGAAGAGAAGGAATTCAGAATTTTATCAGATAAATTTAACAAAGAGATTCAAGTACTTTAAAAGAAACAAGCAGAAATTCTGGAGTTGAAAAATGCAATTGACATAAGGAAGAATGCATCAGAGTCTCCTATCAGCAGAGCTGATAAGCAGAAGAAAGAATCAGTGAGATTGAAGACAGGCCATTTAGAAATATACAGTCAGAGAATATAAAAGAAAAAAGATTAACAAAGAATAAAAAATAATGAAGCACACCTATAAAATCTAGAAAATAGCCTCAAAAGAGCAAATCTAAGAGTAATTGGCCTTAAAGAGGAGGTAGAGAAAGAGACAAGAGTAGAAAGTTTATTCAAAGGGATAATAACAGAGGACTTTCCTAAACTAGAGAAAGCTATCAATATTCAAGTATAAGAAGGTTATAGAACACTAAGAAGGTTTAACCCAAAGAAGACTACCTCAAGACATTTAATAATCAAACCCCCAAAGGCCAAGGATAAAGAAAGGATCCTAAAAGTAGCAAGAGAAAAAAATAACACACCATGGATCTGCAACACATCTGGCAGGAGACTTTTCAGAGGAAACCTTTACAGGTCAGGAAAGAGTGGCATAACATTAATTTAAAGTGCCAAAGGAAAAAAAACTTTTATGCTAGAATAGCTTATCTGGTGAAAATGTCCTTCACATGAAGGAGAATTGAAGACTTTCCAAAACAAACAAAAGCTGAGGGATTTCATCAACACCAGACTGCCCTACAAGAAATGCTAAAAGCAGTTCTTTAATCAGGAAGAAAAGGCTGTTAAAGAACAGTAAGATATCATCTTAAGGTATAAAACTCACTGGTCTTACTAAGTACACAGAAAAACACAGAATATTATAACACTGCAATTGTGGTATGTAAACTATTCTTATTCTAAGTAGGAAGACGAAAGATGAATGAACCAAAAATAATAACTACAACAACTTTTCAAGACATAGAGATTATAATACAATATACATAGAAACAAAAAAAAATTAAAAAGCAGGAGGAAAAAGTTAATGTGCTGATTTTTTATTAGTTTTCCTTTTGTTTGTTGATGCAATTAGTGTTGTCATCAGTTTCAAATGATGAGTTATAAGATATTATTTGCAAGCCTCATATTATTTGTAACCTCAAATAAAAAAATATACAATAGAAACAAAAAACAAAGCAAGACGTTAAATCATACCACAAGAGAAAATCACCTTCACTAAAAGACAGCAAGGAAGGAAAGAAGGAAGAGATGACCGCAAAACAACTAGAAAACAAATCACAAAATGCCAGAAACAAGTCCCTATTTATCAATAATAATACATGTAAATGGACTGAATTCTCCAATCAAAGGACACAGAGTGGCTGAATGGATTAAAAAATAATAATAATCTGTTGTCTATAGGAAATACACTTCACCTATAAAGACATACATAGACTGAAAATTAAGGGATGGAAAAAGATATCCTATGTCAATGGAAACCAAAAATGAGCAGGAGTAGCTATGCTTATATTAGACAAAATAGATTTCAAGACAAAGACTATAGGAAGAGACAAAGAAGATCACTGTATAATGAAAAAGGGTCAATTCAGCAAGAGAATATAACAATTTTAAATACATATGCACTGAACACTGGAGTACCCAGATATATGAAGCAAATATTAGAGCTAAAGAGAGAGAGAGAGAGAGAGACCCTAATACAATAATAGCTGGAGACTTTAGCACCTCACTTTCATCATTGGACAGATCTTCCAGCCAAAAAAATAACAAAGAAACACTGGACTATAGACCAAATGGATCTAACAGATATTTACAGAATATTTCATCTAACGGCTGCAGAACACACATTCTTCTCAGAACACATATTCTCAAGGACAAATCTTATGTTAGGTGACAAAACAAGTCTTAAAACACTCAAAATATTGAACTAATATCAAGCATCTTCTCTGACACAATGGAATAAAACTAGAAATCAATAACAAGAAGAATTATAGAAACTATATAAACACTGGAAATTAAACAATATGCTCCTGAATGACCAGTGGGTCAATGAATAAATTAATGAATAAATTTATTTTTATTTTCATTTTATTATGAATACCTGAGACTGGGTAATTTATAAAGGAAAGAGGTTTAACTGACTCACAGATCTGCATGGCTGAGGAGGCCTCAGGAAACTTACAATCATGGCAGAAGGCACCTCTTCACAGGGCAGCAGGAGAGAGAATGAGTGTCAAGTGAAGAGGGAAGCTATATATATACATATAATTGGGGAACAGATAGTGTTTGTTTACATGAGTACATTCTTTAGTGATGATTTGTGAGATTTTGGTGTACCTATCACCCAAGCAGTATAATCTAAATATTTTTTGAAATGACTGATAATGTAAGCACAACATACCAAAACCTAGGAGATACCATGACAGCAGTACTAACAAGGGAGTGTATAAGCTCCTATATCAGAAAAGAAGAAAAACTTCAAATGAATAACCTAAGGATGCGTCTTAAAGAAGCTAGAAGAGCAAGAGCAACAAAACTCAAAATTAGGAGAAGAAAATAAATAATAAAGATCAGAGCAGAAATAAATAAAATTGAAATGCAAAAACAATACAAAAGATCAATGAAATTAAAGCTTGTTTTTTTGAAAAGGTAAACAAAATTGACAAACCTTTAGCTAGATTAAGAAAAAAAGAGCGATGACCAAAATAAATAAAAATCAGAGATGAAAAATGAGACATTACTATTGATATTGCAGTAACGTAAAGGATAATTAGTGGCTACTATGAGCAATTATATGCCAATAAATTGGAAAATCTAAAAGTAATGGACAAATTTCTAGACATATACCACCTACCAAAATTGAACCATGAAGAAATAAAAAATCTGAAAAGACCAATAACAAGTAACAAAATCGAAGCTGTAATAAAAAGTCTCCCAGCAAAGAAAAGCCTGGGACCTGATGGATTCACTGCTGAATTCTATCAAATATTTAAAGAAGAAATACCAATCCTATTCAAACTATTACAAAAAATAGAGGAAGAGGGAATACTTCTAAACTCGTGCTATGCTAATTCTGGTATCAATTCTGATACCAAAACCAGATGAAGACACATCAAAACCAGATGAAGACACATCAAAAACAGAAAACTATAGGCCAATATCCCTGATGAATATTGATGCAAAAATCCCCAAGAAAATACTAGTAAACCAAACTCAACCACATATGGAAAACTTCATTCATCATGATCAAATAGGATCTATCTCGCAAATTCAAGGATGGTTCAACATACACAAACCAATATGATAATTAAAAAGACTCACCATACCAAGTGTTGGTGAGGATTTGGAGCAACTGCAACTCTTAGACACTGCTGGTAGAAATGTAAAATGGTACAGTTCCTTTAGAAAATAGTTTAGCAGTTTCTTAAAAAGTTAAATGTAAATGTACCATGTGAAAGCATGCATACACTAATATTCATGGCTGCTTTATTTTTAATAAAGTTAAAAATTGGACTGACATAAATGCCCATCAAAATGTGAAGAAACAAACTATTGTATATCTACACAATGAAATATTTGTCAGCAATAATATTTTTAAATGAACTATTGATACACACATGGTTGAATCTCAAAATAATTATACTGAAAGAAGCCAGAAAAAACAGTACATATTGTATTTTTTATATAATAGTCTAGAAAATGTGAAATAATCTATAACAAGATAAGTCATTTAGTGATTTCTCAGAGGCAGAGGCAGACAGGGAAGGAGTAAGGAATTTCAAAGGTCATTAGGGAAATTTAGGGATGATAATTTCTCATATATATAAGTCCAAATTTATTCAATTGTATGCTGTAAATATGTGTAGTTTATTGTCTTTCAATAATAGTTCTACAAAGCTATAGAAAAGGAAAAGAAAAACAGATAATTTTTTTCTTCTAGTGTTATAAAATTTTTATTGAAGCACCATGAAGATCTCCAAAAATAAGTGAAAGTTTAGAAAACTGGTCTTGTAGTTACAGATACAGTATTTTCAAACAGCATTTTAAAAAATCTGAACCACTTAAAAAAATGAGAACTAAATCATGCAATTTGAACACCTACTATTTCTAGGTTCTGTATATGGTGTCATTTTGTTATCACACACATTCTACCAGATTATTATCCTTAATTTAGAAATAAGGAAACTGATGGCTAGAGAGGTCAAATTGCCATAAATTTGGTAATATTAATTGTATAGACATTAAAAGCATAGAGTCTAGAACACAGGGTTTTAAATCTCAGCTCTTTCACTTAGTAGCTGTGTGATCTTGGGCAAGTTGCGTAACCTATCTATGTAAAATGTTTAGAACATCATTTGTGTTTGGCATATAGAAAGAGCTCAATCCAAGTTAGCTTTAGTTGTTTTTTTCCTTATTTCTCAATCCCACTAACAGATTGTAAATTCTTGGAAGGTGTGTCTTATACTAACCCTACCTTAAACAGAGTCTCAAAAACCCCATACAGACATGCCAGAATTACTCAAATCCCCATACTCAAATCCAGTCTAATTAAATCATCTAGAGTTTACTTTGACATTCCCTTATCTTATTATGGTATCATCATTCTCACATGCATCCAAAATACTTCCTCTGAGTCATCTTTTAACATACCCCTTCTTTACCTTCAAGGGTTAATCAGTTCCCAGGTGTCCTCCTTACCTCAATAATATCTCTTCTATTTTCCCTGTATTTTTCATTTCTGTTGCCTAGGCCCAACTTCAAGCCCCTGATATCTTCCGCATACAATAATATAATCATCTACTGGTCTCTTAAACTTCAATGACTTAGGGGTTCATCACCATCTAAAAGTAATGTCTTAAATCTTTAGTGTGTACAGGAATACAGAATGCAAATCTAGGAATCAAGATTCAAGAGCCAAAGTTAAGGCCTAGAAATATGCACATTCAACATCCTTCATAGAGGGACTTCATGCAGCTGGATCATGAACCACACTTTCATCATCACCGTTCTTAATGTTGTTACTGCCCAAGAAAAAAAATTTCCATCTTATCTAAAGTTTAAGTAAGAGTAGATTGCCCTTAATCTACATATCTAGCAACACAATAATAACCTGTTCATCTTTAGCATCTTTATTAGTTGTCCAAGTAGAAGTAGTTAAAACTGTATCTGGGAGCCCCCCAAGACCAAAGAATATTCACTTTTCCCTTCTCTTCTTTTCCCTTCTAGACCTCTCCCAAGGCCAGTGTCATCCAGAGACCTGAGCTTCCATGGCAGCTGTGGCAGTGGCAGCAGCATAATGGCATAAAACCCAGAAAGAGGACTTGTTTCCTGAGACAGTTACTAGGAAAGTAGCCTCTGTTGTCCAAAGAGTGGGGAGGTGGTATCCATCAGTTTTCTCTTTTTTAAAATTCCCACTACATCTCTCCAAACAAAGTCCCAGTAAGAACCTAAAGAAGGTCCCCACTGTGTGACAGTGTAGAGTAATAAAACCCTGAAAGAAACCCAAATTTTTAGCCAAAATAATCAGGAAAAGGGACTCTTCAGAGTCCTAAATTGTAGGAAAAACCTAAGAGACAGCTAGATAACAGAGTCCTCTAATTTTGTGTATGATATGGCATAAGATGCAGAATCAAACTTGACCTATGTACGTGCAGCACAGAGCCAAAAAACAAAACAAATCTAAACAAAAACCACCGCAGTGAAGGTATCCAGAATGATCCACAATATAATCCATGGCCCAAGTCCTAGATGAAGCCTTGACTAATGCATGCACTGGGCAGCTTCAGGGAATATAGAAAAGGCTGTGCAAACTTAATTGACATTGGAATTACCACCTACAGAAGGCAAAACAGAACTTGCGGTATGGATATCACTGGGTGGATTGCCGGCTTTAAAAAATTTTCTATGTATCAGAGGATATTAACAAGAAACTTAGCCTCACACACATAGTATTAAAAATGTCACTTCTGGTTTCAAACAACATAGAGTAAGCATATGTCACTCTATTTCCTCCATATCTGTAACCAAAAACTCTGGAGTAAAATGCATAATGAAGCATCTATTAGAATATTCTGAAAGGGATCACAACAGGATAACTGAATAAGGATCTCAGTACTCAAAGAAAGATTCAGTGAGCCCCTGTTTGGCTTTTTCTGTTTGTATAGTTTCATTTTTGCCTTTTATATATCCTAGCCTGGGAGCTATAGCAGTCCCAAACTAAAGCTTCTAATAGACACAGTAGTAAAAAACCCCGAGAGAGAAACAGAATAAGAATTAAAGTAGATGTCTTATCAGAAACTATGCAAGCAAAAAGAGGTACTTCTATATTTCAGTGGAGTTATCCTTCAATAGTAAGGAAGAAATAAAGACTCCCACAAACAAATCTGAAAAATTCATTGCCAGTAAACTTATTCTATGAGAAATGTTAAAATAATTATTGAAGGAAAAAGAAAGTGACAAATGTCAGAAATCCAGATAGATATGAAGAAAGGAAGAGTGTTGGGGAAAGAATAAACAAAGGTAAAATAAAATATTTTTTAAAAAATTTTAATTGATCTAAAAGATAACTCCTTGGTTAATGTAATAATAGTAGCACTGTATTCGGTGATAACACTATATGAATAAGTGAAATGAATGACAGCAATTTCATAGAGGATAAGTGAAATAATTATGAATACTCTGTTATGTGGTACCCACACTATCCATAATGTGGTATAGTGCTATTTGAAGTCAAACTTAGAATAGCTGTAAACGTGTATTACAAACTTTAAGTCAACCACTACAAAAATTTTTAAAGAAATATAGTTGATATGATAAAAGAGGAGAGATATAGAATCATATAAAATGCTCAGTCAAAAATAGGGCAGGCAGAAAAAGAGGGGGAAAAGAAACAACGAACAAGTTCAATAAGTGGAAAAGTTACAAACATGGTAGATGTTAATCCAACTATGTCGGTAATCACTGTAAATGAAAATAGTCTAAATATACCTATTATAGGAAAGAGATTGTTGAAGCAGATAAAAAACAAGACCCAATTACATGTGGTCTATAGAAAAACTATTTTAAGTATAAATACAGAAACAGGTTGAAAATGGGATATGTAAAGATACACTAATACTAACGAAAGAAAGCTGTACTAGATACCTTAATTTCAGACAAAGCTGACTTTAGTAAAGGAAAATTATCGGAGATAAAGAGGGACATTATACAATGGTAAAAGAGTGAATTCTCCGAGAAAGTGTAGGAGTACTTATCAGGTATGCACCTGACAACAGAGCATCAAAATACATGAGGCAAAAAAGTACTAGGACTGCAAGGAGAAATAAATAAACAGAAATAAACAAATCCAATTAAGTTAGATATAATATGTCTCTATCTGTGTATGACATGATTGTCTATATAGATAACCTAATAGAATTTACAGAAAACTACATAAAACTAAAATGATTTTATCAGGATCACAGATTAAAGATCATTATACAAAAATCAGTTTTATCTGTACAACAGTAGAAATTAAATAAAAGCAATACCATTTAAATGGCTCAAAAATATTGAAGTATAAATCTAACAAAATACATACAGGATTCTATGTTGAAAACTACCAAGCACCAAAGGAGAAAATCAAAGATGACCAAATCAATAGAAAGCCATATCATGTTCATGGAATGAAAGACTCATATTATAAAGATGTCATTTCTTCCCCTGAACTGCTCTATTGTTTCATTGCTACCCTAATTAAAATGTTGGGATTTTGAGAAATGTCCTTTAAGATTTCTATAGAAAGGCAAAGAACTTCTAAATAATTTCTAAAACAGTTAAGGAAAAATTGGAGGAAAAGAAGAATGACAAGTAGAAGGAGAAGGAGGAGAAGATGGAGGAGGAGGAAGTAAAGGAGAAAAAGAGAAAGAGAAGAAGGAGAATGAGAGGAAGAAGAAGGAGGATGGGACAAGAAAAAGTAAGAAAAGGGAGAAAGAGGAGGAAGAAGAAGGGAAAGGGAATGGGGATGAGGGAAAAGAAGGAGGAAGAGCATATGACAATGAAAACGGCAAATGTACAACAGCAGCTGAAAGAGTAACATGAGCAGATGTTAAGACATCAAGATCCCTACAGATGCTGTAGTTATAAAGCTATAGTAATTACTATGGCATGGTATTAGTAGAAAGAGAGGTAAATAAACAGCTGCATCATGGTTGCAAATGGAACTTTTTTCCAATAAATTGTGATGAATCAAGTAGCTATCCATGTGGACAATAATGAATCTTGCACCCAGTTCACATAAAAAAGTTAACTTCAGATTAACTCTAGACCTAAATATGGAAAATAAAGCAATGCTTCTTATGGTAGTCTGTACATTTGCTTTTTTTTTTTTTTTAATGGTTTCTTGACCCAGTCCTGAAGCCCTGGCTAGAGGACAATCAGTTTTCCTTTCTGAGCAGCTGATTAAAGCCACACTTCAACTATTTCTACTATTTTGATCTCACACACTAAGGCCACTGTGCGCCTGCCCCTATTGCCCCAGAACCAGGTAGGAAACAATTAAGGATAGTCCCTATACACTGGAGCCCCGGAGATCATTCAGATTAGGCAATCCGTGAGAAGCTTGGAAGACCTAGCTAAACACATCCTGCTTACCATAAGCTGCCCCGTGTAGCTCCAGCTTGTTGTTACCATGGTCTTGGGTGAAATCCCCTATGGGGCCCTGCCTGGCAGCCTTCTCTGATTTGGAGCTGCCAGTAACAAAGAGTTCTGCCTTTTACCCATCAGAGTGTCATTGTCTGTATACTACCATCAAATGAGTTTTTAAATGTTGTAAAACATAGCTAATATTTCTTAAATAGATAATTAAAAACACTCATCATTAAGGGAGCAATGATAAATTGTGCTACATTAAAATTAAGAACTTCTGTTCATCAAAATACACCATTAAGGGAATGAAAAATGCAAACTACAATGTGGGAAGGAAAAACTGCAATTCATAATCTGATGCAGAACTTGAAACTAGGACATAATAAGATAATTCAATTTTAAAAAATGAACAAAGACTGAAAATCCATTTCACAATAGAGGAAATTTAAATGGTCAAGAAATGTATGAAAGAGTGTTCAACTTCATCAGCCAACAGGGAAAATGCAAATGAGAACTATATGATGAGCTACCACTTCATATGGAACATTATGCCAAAAATGAGCAAGGCTCATAATACCCAGTATTAGTGAGCATGTGGAGAAACCGAAAATTCTCATATGCTGCTGAATTGGTATTGAACAACATGCTGTATGGAACAACTGCTGAATTGAACTGAATAATGTGAGCTGGTACAACCACTTTAAAAAACTATCTGGCAACATCTGCTAATGCTGAACAAATGCACATTCTATTCACAGCAAGACCTTGTGTTTTCTCAGCAGGGATATATAAATATGTGAACTAAATGACAGGTATGAGAATGCTCATTGCAACATGACTATAGCCCCAAACTGGAAGCAAATCAAATGTCCATCATCAACAGTAGAATGACTCAATGAACTGTGAAATATTCATCCAGCACATACTAGACAATCAGAATGAACAAAGTTCTGCTACATGCAACAACATGGATGAATTTTATAAACATAATTTTGGCCCGAAGTATCCAGACAAAAAGAATACATACAGTATGGTTCCACTTATCTTAAGTTCAAAAACAGGCCAACTATTCTATTTTATTAAATGCTAAGTAAGAAGTACCCCTGATGGGCAGAGATAATGAAGACAGTGGGGTAAAAGGGGGATTTAAGTGTGCGAATAATTTAGTTACTGGTTGCAGGTCTGTTCACTTTGTGAACATTCAATGAACTGCACACTTAAAATTTGTAAATACTTATAAATGTATGTTAATACTTCAATAAAAAGTGCCCAAAAGGCATATTTAATGACCTATAAAATGGGTGGCAAGAGAGAAGAGCTGAGGATTTATCTAAGTTACTTCAATTGCCCAAACTGGATAAGATTATCATGTTATGAACCAAGAAGGAAAATATATGAAGAGAAAAAATTGGACAGGCAGAGACGGGTGGTGTTGACACAAGAATGATAATGATTTCTGTTTAACTGGGAGGTTCCTGAAGGAAATCTAGGTGGAAACATCTAACAGTCAGTTGAAAACATAGTTTGCAGATCAAGCAATACATGGAGGTCATGAAATACACATTTGCGAGTCAATGAGGTATATAATGTTTGGGGTCATGAAATGAATGTATTACCCAAGGAGTATGAATGCAATAAGAAGTAAGGATGGCTGATGGTCAGCACCTTAGGAAATATTAGAGAAGCCCAGTATAGAGAAGGGCTTGTTATTGGAAAGGACTTATGAACTGGGATGCAGGGTCTTATGAGTTAATCTGACCCTACATTTTCTGTAAGTTGAATTAAGAAAGAAAAACATTAATCTGTTTTCCTATTGCACAAAGAAAGTTGGAGATAAAAAATAAGAGCTAAATGTATACCTGAGACCTTTGCCCAATTAGTTAGACCACTCCCCATAATTAGCTATTTCTTTTAAATGCTGATAAACATGCGCAGTGATCCTTGTGAGACCCTGCAAGACTAGAAGGAGGAAAGTTTTCTCATTTTGGAAGCATGAAGTTTGGTTTATAAACAGTATGCAGCTCCAAAGCAGCAAGAGATTTATATCTCCCTAAAGAAGGCCTTAAAAAAGCCAGCCTTCATCTCTGTCAAAAATGTGCTGAGTTCATTCATCAAAGGAACCAGGCCAATAAAAGGTCATTTCAGGCCCATTGCAGAGGCCTGAGAAGGAGAAGGCTGAGCATATCAAGGCTACAATCTAAAAATCAAACACTGGGTCTGAGATGTATCTTGAAGAGTTTTATTTTCTTTTAAGTCTACAGTTGAATAAAGAAAATATACGTAAGCTTTATCTCCTTGGTTTAAATATCATTTAATAGAATTGTAGAAAGCAGGAGGAAATCTAGAAGTCCTCATGATCCACATTAATTTATAAAATTGACCATCTTTACATCTTAATGGACCCAAAAAGTGAATATCAATAAGCTACAAATAAGTGCTTCTGAATTCTAAATTGATCCAAAAATATAAATTAGAATATCCCTTCTAACCTCCCTAAATGCCTCAATTTCTTTTTCATCCTATTATTCATACCATTGAGTCGCTGTCCCAATGGCAGGACTTACTGTTTCTCAATACATATGATTACCTTTAAGGTATTCTTCGAACTTACTGGGAAATTATTTTTCGCTGGGTTATTCATAGAGTCAAACCTAAGTTGAAGTCCTTTTGAAAGAGGACACCTCTATGTTGAGTTAAACATGCTCCAAAATGTTACAACTCCCATATTACAGGAAATCCACAGACTATCTAAACTCCATGCAAGTTATTTCCATTGAAGAAGAAATCTGTCAAACCATCAAATTGGTTGTTTTATTTCATCTAGATAAAACTGACCAAAGGGAGGCAAGGAAATGTTTGGGAAGAGTGATGAGCCAATAATTCACTTTAACTCATAAATTATATTCCTGGCTTTGTCACTAAAGCCATACATCTATTATGTGAATACAGAAAAAATATTAAACCTATCTTAACCTCAGTTTCAACATCTGTGAAATGTATGGATTGGCACAGGAGTGCTTTAAAATTTCTTCCAGCTCTACTATTCTATGACTTCAGAAATGATTAAATCTTGCACTTCCTAATTCAGTATATTTTTATCATGTACAGTATTATATTCTCAACCAAGTAGATAATAAATTTTGGTGCAACATGAAAATATCACCAACTTAGGGGCTTACTACAGTATAAGTATATAACAGTAACATATATCAGTAGATTCCAACATTAATTCTTCCAGTGAGGCCTAATACATCTGGGGGAAAATTCAAGGAATGAAAGAAACTCACGGATTTCAGGTTTCATCTAATAGCAGTTGAGAAGTCAAAAAAGAAGACACATCATTTTCATCTAATCTTTCTTAAGCCCTCTGAGACTCAGTTTCCTTATCTATAAAGTTAGGATAATAATGATCAACCTAAAAGATTGATGGGAAAATTAAATGAAATAATGTAAGTAAAATGCTCAGCTTAGAACGTTATTATTCATCAGAGATTCTCCAGGAATCATAATTGTTTTTGCCACAGAGCCTACTGAGTTGGCAATTTCTTAACAAATCTAATAACCAGAAATAAAATAAGTTAAGGCTATAATCATCTAAACTTCAACAGCTCAGTTAATGGATGAGAAGCAAGGTCAAAGCATATAAGGCTCATATAGGGTATATTATCAGTCTCAGGAAAAAAAATGAGGAACTAAATGTTCAGTCGCCTTCGACCCGTCATACTCTTTTTAGGTACATGAAATAAATCAAAGCAAATTTTTTGAAAAACACACACTATTCTTGAACATTTCAGATTAGGTTCTAGTAAGCTAGTTAAAAATTGCAGCCCTTCAGAGTTCAACCATGACTTAGCATTTGGTGTTTCTCATCAGGGCATTTTGGACAGGGCAATTATTCACTGCACAGGGCTGCCCTGTGCTCTGCAGGACATTAAAGGCTCCCTAGCCCCTTCTCACTATCAGTAGGATCAGAATTGGTTACATTCTTCATAGGACCCCCCAAAATGAAAATGCAGGAACCCTTGTTCAAAACATACAGCAGAGAATTAAACCAAGCCTGGGCCCTTCTGAGCATGGCGTGGGGTGTGACTGCACAGGTTACACACCATGAAGCTGGCTTTGTGAGAGGAGCCCTCTTTGGTCACTGTAACCACTAATAAAGTCGCTCTCCCTTGCCCCACATTGCCTAGTACCTCCTCTAAGACCTTGCTGGTGCAAACATTATCATAAGATAAGAAAGCTAAGGTCCACAAATAAGAAAATTTTCCAAAGTCATATTGGTAGGAAAAAGCAAATATAGGATTGCATCCAATGTTTCCAACTTCTATTTTAGTCTTTTTTTATTATGAAACCTTTCATTCTAATTTATTTTATAAGCTCAATATTTAGTTTGTGATCTTTTTTTATTTATATATATATTTTTATTATACTTTAAGTTCTAGGATACATGTGTACAACGTGCAGGTTTGTTACATCTGTATACATGTGCCATGTTGGTGTGCTGCACCCATTAACTAGTCATTTACATTAGGTATATCTCCTAATGCTATCCCTCCCCCCTCCCCCACACCCCACAACAGGCCTTGGTGTGTGATGTTCCCCTTCCTGTGTCGAAGTGTTCTCATTGTTCAATTCCCACCTATAAGTGAGAACATGCAGTGTTTGTTTTTTTCTCCTTGATATAGTTTGCTGAGAATGACGGTTTCCAGCTTCATCCATGTCCCTACAAAGGACATGAACTCATCATTTTTTATGGCTGCATAGTATTCCATGGTGTATATGTGCCACATTTTCTTAATCCAGTCTATCATTGTTGGACATTTGGGTTGCTTCCAAGTCTTTGCTATTGTGAATAGTGCTGTAATAAACATACGTGTACATGTGTCTTTATAGCAGCATCATTTATAATCCTTTGGGTATATACCCAGTAATGGGATGGCTGGGTCAAATGATATTTCTAGTTCTAGATCCCTGAGGAATTGCCACACTGACTTCCACAATGGTTGAACTAGTTTACAGTCCCATCAACAGTGTAAAACTCTTCCTATTTCTCCACATCCTCTCCAGCACCTGTTGTTTCCTGACTTTTTAATGATCGACATTCGAACTGGTGTGAGATGGTATCTCATTGGGTTTTGATTTGCATTTCTCTGATGGCCAGTGAAGATGAGCATTTTTTCACGTGTCTGTTGGCTGCATAAATGTCTTCTTTTGAGAAGTGTCTGTTCATATCCTTCGCCTACTTTTTGATGGGGTTGTTTTTTTCTTGTAAATTTGTTGGAGTTCATTGTAGATTCTGGATATTAGCCCTTTGTCAGATGAGTAGATTGCAAAAATTTTTTCCCATCTGTAGGTTGCCTATTCACTCTGATGGTAGTTTCTTTTGCTGTGCAGAAGCTCTTGAGTTTAATTAGATCCCATTTCTCAATTTTGGCTTTTGTTGCCATTGCTTTTGGTGTTTTAGACATGAAGTCCTTGCCCGTGCCTATGTCCTCAATGGTATTGCCTAGGTTTTCTTCTAGGGTTTTTATGGTTTTAGGTCTAACATTTAACTCTTTAATCCATCTTGATTTAATTTTTCTATAAGGTGTAAGGAAAGGATCCAGTTTCAGCTTTCTACATATGGCTAGCCAGTTTTCCCAGCACCATTTGTTAAATAGGGAATCCTTTCCCCATTTCTTGTTTTTGTCAAGTTTGTCAAAGATCAGAGAGTTGTACATGTGTGGTATTATTTCTGAGGGCTCTGTTCTGTTCCATTGGTCTATATCTCTGCTTTGGTACCAGTACCATGCTGTTTTGGTTACTGTAGCCTTGTAGTATAGTTTGAAGTCAGGTAGTGTGATGCCTCCAGCTTTGTTCTTTCGGCTTAGGATTGCCTTGGCGATGCGGGCTCTTTTTCGGTTCCATATGAACTTTAAAGTAGTTTTTTCCAATTCTGTGAAGAAAGTCATTGGTAGCTTGATGGGGATGGCATTGAATCTATAAATTACCTTGGGCAGTATGGCCATTTTCACGATATTGATTCTTCCTATCCATGAGCATGGAATATTCTTCCATTTGTTTGTCTCCTCTTTTATTTTGTTGAGCAGTGGTTTGTAGTTCTCCTTGAAGAGGTCCTTCACATCCCTTGTAAGCTGGATTCCTAGGTATTTTATTCTCTTTGAAGCAATTGTGAATGGGAGTTCACTCATGATTTGGCTCTCTGTTTGTCTGTTATTGGTGTATAAGAATGCTTGTGATTTTTGCACATTGATTTTGTATCCTGAGACTTTGCTGAAGTTGCTTATCAGCTTAAGGAGATTTTGGGCTGAGACGATGGGGTTTTCTAGATATACAATGATGTCATCTGCAAACAGGGACAATTAGACTTCCTCTTTTCCTAATTGAATGCCCTTTATTTATTTATCCTGCCTGATTGCCCTGGCCAGAACTTCCAACACTATGTTGAATAGGAGTGGTGAGAGAGGGCATCCCTGTCTTGTGCCCATTTTCAAAGGGAATGCTTCCAGTTTTTGCCCATTCAGTATGATAATGGCTGTGGGTTTGTCATAAATAGCTCTTATTATTTTGAGATACGTCCCATCAATAACTAATTTATTGAGAGTTTTTAGCATGAAGGGCTGTTGAATTTTGTCAAAGGCCTTTTCTGCATCTATTGAGATAATCATGTGGTGTTTGTCTTTGGTTCTGTTTATATGCTGGATTACATTTATTGATTTGCATATGTTGAACCAGCCTTGCATCCCAGGAATGAAGCCCACTTGATCATGGTGGATAAGGTTTTTGATGTGCTGCTGGATTCAGTTTGCTAGTATTTTATTGAGGATTTTTGCATCGATGCTTATCAGGGATATTGGTCTAAAATTCTCTTTTTTTATTGTGTCTCTGCCAGGCTTTGGTATCAGGATGATGCTGGCCTCATAAAATGAGTTAGTGAGGATTCCCTCTTTTTCTATTGATTGGAATAGTTTCTGAAGGAATGGTACCAGCTCCTCCTTGTAACTCTGGTAGAATTCGGCTGTGAATCCGTCTGGTTCTGGACTTTTTTTGGTTGGTAAGCTATTAATTATTGCCTCAATTTCAGAGCCTGTTTTTGGTCTATTAAGTGATTTTGCTTCTTCCTGGTTTAGTCTTGGGAGTGTGTATGTGCTGAGGAATTTATCCAGTTCTTCTAGATTTTCTAGTTTATTTGCGTAGAGGTGTTTATAGTATTCTCTGATAGTAGTTTGTATTTCTGTGGGATCGGTGGTGATATCCCCTTTGTCATTTTTTATTGCGTCTATTTGATTCTTCTCTCTTTTATTCTTTATTAGTCTTGCTAGCGGTCTATCAGTTTTGTTGATCTTTTCAAAAAACCAGCTCCTGGATTCATTGATTTTTTGAAGGGTTTTTTGTGTCTCTATCTCCTTCAGTTCTGCTCTGATCTTAGTTATTTCTTGCCTTCTGCTAGCTTTTGAATGTGTTTCCTCTTGCTTCTCTACTTCTTTTAATTGTGATGTTAGGGTGTCACTTTTAGATCTTTCCTGCTTTCTCTTGTGGGCATTTAGTGCTATAAATTTCCCTCTACACACTGCTTGACATGTGTCCCAGAGATTCTGGTATGTTGTGTCTTTGTTCTCGTTGGTTTCAAAGAACATCTTTATTTCTGCCTTCATTTCGTTATGTACCAAGTAGTCATTCAGGAGCAGGTTGTTCAGTTTCCATGTAGTTGAGCGGTTTTGAGTGAGTTTCTTAATCCTGAGTTCTAGTTTGATTGCACTGTGGTCTGAGAGACAGGTTGTTATAATTTCTGTTCTTTTACATTTGCTGAGGAGTGCTTTACTTCCAACTATGTGGTTAATTTTGGAATAAGTGTGGTGTGGTGCTGAGAAGAATGTATATTCTGTTGATTTGGGGTGGAGAGTTCTGTAGATGTCTATTAGGTCTGCTTGGTGCAGAGCTGAATTCAATTCCTGGATATCCTTGTTAACTTTCTGTCTCATTGATCTGTCCAATGTTAACAGTGGGGTGTTAAAGTCTTGCATTATTATTGTGTGGGAGTCTAAGTCTCTTTGTAGGTCTCTAAGGACTTGCTTTATAAATCTGGGTGCTCCTGTATTCATCTTTTCTTAAATAAAAGTTTTATTGAGATATAATAAACATAGCGTAAAATTTACTACGTTAAAATATATATTCAAAACTTTATGCATATTCACAGAATTGTGCAATCATCACCACAATCTGAAAACATTTTCATCAATCCCAAAAGAAATCCCATGCCCACCATCAGTAATGTCTGACTCTTTTCCCTAGCCTCCTCATCCCTAAGCAACCACTATTCTTTTGGTCTCTATGAATTTACCTTAAGCTATATATGTTCATTGGTAACTGGGTTTTTTTACTTAGCATAATGTTTTCAAGGTTTACCCACATTGTAGCATATATCAGTACTTCATTTCTTTTAATTGCCAAATATTCTACTGTAAGAATATACTGCATTTTATTTATGCACTCATCAATTGATGAACATTTAGATTATTTCCACTCTTTGACTATTATGAATAATGCTGCTATAGATATTAATGACCAAATTTTGTTTGCATTTGTGTATGTATGTTTTCGCCTCTCCTGGGTATATACCTAGGAGTGGAATTGCTCAATATTTAACCTTTTAAGAAACTGCCAAGCTGTTTTCCAAAGCAGCTTCATCATTTTACAGTCTCAACAGCAATGTATGAGGGTTCCAGTTCTCCACACCCTACACTTGTTATTATTTATCTTTTTTGATTATAGCCATTCTAGTGGATGTGAAGTGATATTTCTGTGATTTTGATTTGCATTTTCCTAATGGCTAATGATGTTGAGCCTCTGGTGGTGTGTTTATTGGCTATTTCTATATCTTCTTTGGAGACAAATATATTCAATTCCTTTGACCATTTTTAAAATGAGATAATAATTGACTTTTTATTATTGAGTTATAGGTGTTCTTTATATATTTTGGATACCTTATCAGATATATGACTTATAAAAATTTCTCCAGTTCTAGAGGTTATCTTTTCACACTCCTGATGATGTTCTTTGAGGCACCCAAGTTTTAAATTTTGAGGAAGTCCAATTTACTTATTTTTTCTTTTGTCCCTTGTGATTTTGATATCATATTTAAGACACTGCTGCCTTAACCCAAAGTCACACAGATTTATGTCTATGTTTTCTTCTAAGAGTTTTATGCTTTTAGTGGTGATATTAGGGCTTTGATTTACTAATATATTAAGTTAACTTTGTAGATGGTGTGAGGTGTATATGGCACGAGGTTCCTAATGCATTCTATTGCAAGTGACTATCCAGTTACCTGAGCGCCATTTGTTGAAATTACTATGCTTTCCCCCAGTGAATTATCTTTGTACTCTCAGCAAAAATCAATTCACTGTAAATGCAATGACTTTTTTCTGGACTCCTAGTTCTATTCCTTTGATCTATGTGTGTATTCCAATGCCAGTACCACACTGTCTTGATTATTGTAGCTTTTAATAAGTTTTGAAATTGGGGCTAGAGAGTCAATTGTGTTGAACCTGTAGATCAAATGTGGGTGGAGTACTGTTGTCTTTACATCCAGGAACATAGGATGTATTTCTATTTATTTAGGTTATTTTCATTGTATTTCAGGAATGTTTTTGTTGTTCTTCAGGGCATAGATTTTGTACTTCTTTTGTTGGGTTTATTTCTAAGTCTTTTACTCTTTTGATGCTATTATAAATGGAATTGTTTTCTTAATTTCACAATTACGATGGATGTTTCTACATTGGTCTTGTATTCTGCAACATTACTGAACTCATTTATTTGTTTTAGCAGTTTTTCTTTTTTCTTTTTTTTTTTAGCAGAATCCTTAGAATTTCCTGTATACAAGATCTGCAAGTAAATACTATTACTTCTTTCTTTCCAATCTGCATCCAGTTGATTTTGTTTTCTTGTCTAATTTCTGGGCTAACACTTTAACTGTAATGTTAAATAAAAGTGGAGATAGTGGATTTCTTGGTCTTGTTCCTGATCATAGGGGGGAAAACATTCAATCTTTTCCCATTAAGTACGATGGTAACCAAGAGTTTTTCACAGATGTCCTTTATCGCGTTGGGGAAGCTTTCTTTTCCTAGTTTGTTGAATGTTTTTACCATGAATGTGTGTGGATGTGGACTTTTGTCAAATACTTTTTTTTTAATGGTGTGGAGATAGTCATGTGGTTTTTGTCCTTTATTCTTCTGATATGGTGTATTATGTTAATTGGTTTTGTAATGTTAAATTAATCTTGCATTACCGAAATAAATCCTACTTGGTCATTGTGTGTAATATTTGTACACATTGCTAGATGGGATGTGCTAATAATTTGTTAAGGATTTTTCATTTCACGAAATATCATATTTTTCTTTCTTATGATGCCTTTTTCTGGTTTAGGAATCAGAATGATGGTGGGCTCAGAGAATAAATTGGGAAGTATTCCCTTCTCTATTTTGGGAAGACTTTGTGAAGAATTAACATTTACTTTCTTTAAATGCTTGATAGAATTTACCAGTGAAGTAAATTCTGGGCCCGGGGTCTTTTTTTGTAGACGGTTGTTTTTTGTTTGTTTGTTTACAAACTCAATCAATTAACTTTCTATAGGTCCATTCAAATGTTCTATTTCTTCTTGAGTCTGTCTTTAGAAATTTGTCCATTTCATCCAAGTTATCTAATTCATTGGCATTTAATTGATCATAGTACTGCCTTACAATCCTTTATTTCTGTCAGGTTGATAGTAATGCTCCCTCTTTCATTCCTGATTTTAATCATTTGAGTCTTCTTGGTCAATCTAGCTAACTACTTGGCATTTTTGTTGATCCTTTTAAAGAAAAACTTTTGGGTTTATTAATTTTTTCATTGCTTTTTATTCTTTATTTCATTAACTTCTGCTCTTTATGGTTTCTATCTTCTTTGAGTTTAGTTTTCTCTTGTTTTTCTACTGTCTTAAGGTGGAAAATCAAGTTATTGAATAGATAACTCTTTTCTCAGTTTGTAGTAGCATTTACAACCACAAATTTCCCTCTGTTTACTTTAGCTTTAGCTGCACCCTGTAACTTTTGGTATGTTGTGTGTCTTTTTCATTCATCTCAAAGTGTTTTTCAACTTTCTTTATTGCTTCTTCTTTGACTAATGGCAATTCAGCAATGTGTTATATTCTACATATTTGAGAATTCCCCAAATTTATTAATTTTTATTTTCACTCTATTGTTATCAGAGAACACACTCTGCATGATTTACCCAGTTAAATTTATTGAGGCTTGTTTTATGGCCTAATATATGGTCTATCCTAGAGACTATTCCATGTTCTTGAGAAGAGTGTGCATTCTGATGTTGCTGGGTGGAAGGTCTACAGATGTCTGGTAGGTCAAGTTGGTTTATAGTGTTGTCCAAGTCTTCTATTTCCTTGATATTTTGTCTAGTTGTTCTATCTGTTATTAAGAGTGGGGTATTGAACACTACAACTATTATTGTTGAAAGCTTATTTTTCCCTTCTGGTCTGTCAGTTTTTCCTTCGTGTATTTTGGGGCTCTGTGGCTATGTAGCCATGTCTATATGTTTATGATTGTTTTACATACCTGACAAATTGACACTTTTATCATCACAAAATGTCCTCTTTTACTCTAGTAACTTTTTCTGTCTTAAAGTCTATTTTTTTCTGCTATTCGTATAGCCACTCCAATTTTCTTATTGTTGTTGTTTGCATGATACATCTTTTCAATTCTTTTACTTTCAAACTATCTGTATCTTTGAATCTAAAGTGTGTGTTTTATAAACAACCTATAGTTGGATTTTGTTTTTTTATCCATTCTGAAAATCTCTGACTATTGATTCAGTTGCTTAATCCATTTATATTTGATATTATTATTTATATAGGATTTACATATTCCATTTCAGTTGTTTCCTATATGCCCCATGTGTGTTTGCTTCCCTGTTCCTTCTTTACTGCTTCCTTTTGCTTTAAGTGAATATTTCTAGTGTAATATAATTTCTTTAATAATTTTTCGCTATATTTTGAGTTATTTTATTAGATTTTATTAGTGGTTAACTCATCAGAATCTCTTTCAGATATATGCTAACTTAATTTCACAAAAAATTTTAAAATTGCACCTATATAGCTCTGTTCCATCTTCCTCCTTTTGTGCTAATATTGTTATACACATTATATTTAAATATATTACAAACCTACCAATACATTTTATTATTTATATAATTTTATGTCTATTAAAGAAGCTAAGAGAATAGAAGAGAGTAAGCATATATTCATAGAGCTTGTTATATTTCCCTTTCTATTTATCATTTCTGATTCTTTTCATTTGTTCCTATAGATTTGGGTTACCATCTGGCGCCATTTCCTTACACCAATACAGGTTTCCTCCCACCCATCTCCATTGTGCTGTTACTGTCAAATATATTACATTTACATATAAGCCCAATAATATAATTACATACATATTATTTTATATAATTGCTTTTTTAGAGTTAATTATTTTTATTGTGGTTAACGTGCATAACAAAATTTACCATTTTTGTCATTATTGTGCATAATTCAGTGGTGTTAGGTACATTTAAAATTTTGTGTAACCATTACCAGTATACATTTCCAGAATATTTTTATTTTCCCAAAAGCAATTCTGTACCTATTAAACTATAACTGCCTACTCTTCTCTCCCTGGCAAGTCCTCACTCTTCCCTTCTGCTACCAGTCCTTGTTAACCTCTATTCTATTCTGCTTTCTGTCTCTATGTATTTGCCTATTTTAGATACCTCAATTAAGTGGATTCCTATAATATTTATCCTTTTGAGTCTAGCTTATTTCACTTAGAATAATCTTTTCCCAACTATATTGTATTATATATCAGTACATCATTCCTTTTTATGGCTGAATACTATTACATTGTACGTATATCCAACATTTTTTATCCATTAATCCCTTGATGGACATTTGGGTTGTTTCTACCTTTTGTCCATGTGAATAAGGCTGCTATGAACATAGGTGTACAAGTATCTGTTTGAGTTCTTGTTTTCAGTTCTTTGGGGTGTATACCTAGAAGTAAAAAATGCTAGATTATATGGTAATTCCATGCTTACGTACAATTGCTTTTTAAATTAGTTAAGGGCAGAAAGGAGAATATGTATTTATACTATCTTTTTATTATTATATAATTACCTTTACTGGTGCTTTTTGTTTATTCGTGTGGTTTTGAATTAATGTCTGGGGTGTACTGCTTTCAGCCTGTATTACTTCCCTTAGTATTTCTTGTAAAGGAAGTCTGCTAGCAAATAAAGCTTCTCAGTTTTTGTTTACTTAGAAATGTCTTTATTTCACCTTCATATTTGAAAGAGAGTTTTGCTGGATATAAGATTGTTGCTTGATAGTTTTTTTATTTTTTTTCCAGCACTTTGATTATGCCATCCTATTGGTTTCTGGTCTCCATTGTTTCTAATGAAAGCTAATTGTTAATCCATGATCATAGGGGAGAAGGGATGGGAAGTTGTTGGTTTAATCATTCTAGAGTTTCTTCTTGGGATGATGACAGTGTTTTGGAAAGAGATAGTGGTGATGATTGCACAATACTGTGAATGTTATAGATGCCACTGAATTGTACATGGGTAGGGGAAGTTTTTGAGGCTAGTCCTTTAGGTTTTTTGTGAACCCAGGAGAGTTCTTAGCTATCTGTTTCCATGGTTCTCTCTAGTAAACTTGCTTGCCTCTGGTGTAAGTTTTTGCTCTCATGGAGTTATTAGTCTCCTCTTAATTACCACCAAAATCTTCATTATGGAAGAAAGTACCCTTAGCCTTGAACTTCCCTCACTCTGTTTCAAAGACAGTTCCCCTAAGGAGAGCTTCAGAGCTTCAGAGCTCTATGTATTTATGGACTGCTCTCCCACTGAGAAAAACCTCCAAGCCACTGCTCCAGAGACTGAGGCAGATATGACACTCTCCAGTCTTCTCAGCTTGCCTCTCCCAGTGTGGACCCTCCACCCCATCATTCTTGAGCAAGAATGATGAGGGCCCAAGTGTTCTCAGTTAGCTTCACCTGTGGTAGAACTGCCACATTTGAGTTGGGGGGAGTGGGCAGAGAACAGTAGTCTCTGACTTCTTGGCTGACCTCACCAGGAACTTAACTTCTGCATCTCAGAGTCGGAGGGAATAAGAAATGTTGGCAGCCTGCTCTTCTGGGTAAGATGCCATATCCCTTGATTGGGAGATGAGGGGCAAGGGAGCCCCACCTTCTTAGCCACACCTACCTGTAATAGAGAGCTTCCTTCAAAGTAAGCTGCGGGGAGGAGGAAAGGAACAGGTCATGGTTTAAGTGCCACAGAATCCCATTGTTCCTTTTGAGTTTTAGTAGTTGCTCTTAAATAACTGTTTCTTCATTTGCTGTATTCTCCTAGTACAATATCCAGAGACTCCGAATGGTTGGATATTTTTTCATTATCTTCACCAGTTACATTTGCTTCACTGGGGAGCAGGTCACAGAGCTCCTCGCACTTTGCCTTTCTAGAAATGGATCTTTCCCTCTCCCTCTCTTTCCCTCTCTTTCTCACTTCCTCTCTCTTCTCCCTCTCCATGCCTCTTAATGTTTTAGTGCCTTGAGGTTTCTGTTGATGAGCAAAGGGAATTTGTTACAGGTGCTACTATCGTATCTTCAGGATGCATTTCAGAGTTGGGCAAGTCTTCTGTGTATTTATGTGTTCTGTGAGAAGTTTAACTTTTAAATCCCTACAGTTTTTTCCAAACACATGCCTTACTTAAAGGATAGCTATTGTCAGATGTGTATACCTGAAAATGATTAAAAAGTAGGAAAAACAACTAAAGTGCCTAATTACAAACTCCCTGCTGAATCATCCCTCATGTGAAAAAAATGTTTTCTTTGTGGTAAATTCATCTTTCCTGTTCTATGCAAGGTTTACAGCTTCTCTAAGACTATTCAGAAAGAGCCCAGTCTACTCTGTTTAAAAGCATACAATAGCTTAAATAAAACAGAAATATCCTCCAACACTCCCCCTAAAGGGGTCAGCAATTATTAATGAAAAGCAAGCCTCAAAACTTGCCAGCCAGTGATTAAACGACATTTGTTCCAGAACAGTCTTGCTCTCTCGAATAAAAGAGATGAAGAAGGAAATTAAATTCCTGAAGAAATAAATTTTGACTGAAGTGAGAAATCACACTAAGAAGCTAATTTAAGGGAGATGAAATTAATTTTGGTGACATATATTCTATTTAGCAAAAATGGTGACAAAACATATAGTGGCTCTGTTAGCCAGAGATAAGAGGCGAGTAATTTAAGACTGGGCATAGCTACAGTCTACAGCGATTTAATCCTGCTGCTACACTTCCCTTGTGACCTATCATTAAAGGTTTAAAGTAAAACTGACAATTATTATTAGCTAGTAATTGGATTTTGGAGATTCAGTATAAAGTTAGGATAATTTAAATGACTGTTGACATTGGAAAGATTATGTAAACGCTCTGAATCAGCTGAATTTATCAATTTATTTAGTCTTACAAAAGCAAGTATATACCCAGCACCAGAAACCAGTACAAGGGATAGTAACTTTCTCAGAATTGTCCTCAGGGAGCCAGTAAAAGCTTGGACTCGGATCTTCCAAGGGTAGCACCCAAGCTGGCATGCCAAATATCTGTCATGAGGATGGGCTCCAAACACCCAGCTCAAAATCCCCCAGACCTTTAGCCTCCATGAAGGACCGAGCAAGGCATGCCTCAGAAAAATCATAGCATCCCAGGAGAAAAATAAAATTGTCACAGGCCAAAATTTTATGATATGGATTTTTAATTACAAAGGCTGAAATTCAGAAACTAAAGATGGAATCAAAAACACAACCATCATTATAGATTTATAGCAATGTCCTCTGGCCAGAGTAATTCCTACAAGGCTACACTCCATAAATACTGATACAAAACCTGCCTGCTCCTTTGTCCAACCATAAGCACCAAGTAAAATTGGATTATTTAGAGAAATGCTTTACAAAATTAGTTCTGCTAAGAATGCAACTGCATTAAAATCAGTAACAACATGGCGTTTCCACCAGCTGGGGCAGATGCTACTGTTAACTGTCCCCTCACCTTTAAATGCTTTCATAAAGAGTAGGCCTAGTTTCACTCTGAAATCATTACATCCTATTACTCAGTTTCGGCCAATAGTATTTAAATCCTTGCCTCAACCCCATGTTCTAGTACATTGTAATCTCACCCTACTGTACTACAGGACAGAAGAAGCCACACTTAATTCACGTTTTCCATAGCTGAGAAAAGTGAGTTTTTATCCTGAAAAATCCTCATACTTTTTGATTTAGTAATTCCACTTCAAAAATTAATCCTAAGGGATTACTTAAGGATGTGTGCTTAGATTTATTGAGTTGCAGTCCTATTTATAAGAGTGGCAAAATTTTAAAACACCGAATGGCTAAGAATAGGAAGTTGGTTAAGTAAGTGATGATACATCCTTATGATGGAATATACTCTGCAGCCATTAGAATTCATGTGCTGGAAGAGGATGGACACTGGAGACTTTTTCGTATGTGCTGCTAAGTAATAAAAGCAAGGCTGCAGAGCAAGATACGACTTTTTAAAAGAAGCTGAAGGAATCTGTGCTGCTTATTTTCTTTTTTCTTTTCTTTTCTTTGAGACAGGGTTTCACTCTGTCACCCAGGCTGGAGTGCAGTGGTGTGATCATAGCTCACTGCAGTCTCGAACTCCCAGGCTCAATTCTCTTGCCTCTGCCTTGTGAGTAGCTGGGACTACAGGCACACACCACCATGCCCGGATAACTTTTGTCCTTTTTGTAGAGTAGGGGTTTTACCATGTTGCCCAGGCTGGTCTCAAACTCCTGGTCTCAAACAATCCACCTACGTCAGCCTCTCAAAGTGCTAGGATTACAGGTGTGAGCCACCACGCCCAGCCTGTGTTGGTTATTAAAGTTATTGTGTCTTAGTAAAAATCCATCCTTCAATAACATGGCCTGTCATGCTGTAGGCTGCAGATTACACTTCTTTTTTGCCAGCGGACACCTGTTAGGTCCTGCCTACGAGGGGCACAAAAGCAAGATCTGAAGATGAAAGGGGAGAGAAAGGAAACGCTCCTCTCCATTTATCCCATGCTCCCGGCATCTGTCTGTTTGTCTACCCCTCATACTTGCCAGTACCAGCTGCTCATACCCTCTGCCCCTCAGAGTTCTGGGCACCAGTCCTGTAAGACTCCTTCTCCAAGCTGCTAAGTTCTCATGACTCCAGCCTCTTCCTTTTATTCCTCTAGTCCTAAGGTTATGGTAGTTGCTTCTTGCAATTACTATGTTTGTTATTTCAATGTTTCCCCCTTGCCTTGCCTTTTCAGTCCTCCTATATCTGTTTGTTACAGGCTGAACTGTGCCCCACCAAAAATTCACAGGTTGAAGTTCTAAACCCCCAGAACCTCAGAAAGTGACTGATGATTGGAGATAGTGTATATAAAGAATTAAGTTAAAATGAGGTCATTGGGGTGGGCCCTAATCCCATATAACTGGTGTCCTTGTAAGAAAAGATTGGGGCACAGACAGGCACAGAGGGAAGACCATGTGAAGACACAGGGAGAAGACAGCCACCTACAAGGGGAGGGGAGAGGCCACAAACAACTCCTCCCCTCATGGTTCTCGGAGGAAATCAACCCCACCAACATCTTGATCTTAGGCTTCCAGCCTCCCGAACTGGGAGAAAATAAATGTCTGTTGTTTAAGTCACCCAGCGAGTGGCATTTCTTATGGAAGCCCTAGAAATCTCATACCCTACTTAAACAATTCTCTTAAATTATCTCAGAAAAATAACTCATACGCTAGTGTCCAGGAGTGGTCGTACAAAACAGATCCTCAAAGATGGGGTTCCAGGGTTGTTTTAGACACATCCTTCACTTTCCTTTTTCATAGGTAGTTGTATTGAAATTAACTTTATTGCTATGGGTCACTGTGGATAGTGCACCAAGTGTCTCGGGAACAAATAGCTACTGTCCTTGGTTCTTATGGCAGTAGTGATAGCTCCAAAGGCAGTGGAGCAGGAGGCTGCTCCTGGGAGGACTAGAGTACTTACAGAAAGGAAATGACACACACAGGTCTTACAATTTCAGCTCAAGTCACAAAAGAACCAGAAAATCTCTATGGCAGCCCTTAATGAATCTTTTATTTCTTGGAGCTCATATGCCCATGGCCACAAATATTCCTGGTGACCCCTTAGTGTCATAGGAGTGGTATCAGAGGAGCTGACCACTTGAGCACTTGAAATCACAAACATCAACTAAGTGGTGTGATAGTAGGAACATTCTAGCACTGAATGGAGAGGCCACCAAGAGTTCTTGTCTGCCAAAATATAGACTTACCTCAATCCTGTCCATCCTCTTATCTGTGGCCTTGAGAAGCAGTTATGTCTATAAGCACAGCCTCTGCAGTGCGGTCTGCTTCTTCTGTGTGCCCACATGTCCATAAAGCCATAGTGAAACAGGGAGGAGAGAGAAGCTACTCTTACCTTAGATCAAAGAGCATATCATGTGCCCTATTGTCTTCCCGTGTCACATGTCCTCCACGAGATGATCATATAATCAAGCATATGTATATGAGCACACAGAGATTCACACCCATTACCTACACGGTGATGAAGATATGAGGGAAACTTGAATAATGGAAACTCATGAATCATTTGGAAGCCTTGTTTTGTTTCAGATTTCTAACTCAAAAAATGTTTCAGACATTTTAAGCAGCTGCTCAAAAAACAAAATTAAGGAGGTATTTGAGGTTACCCCATTCTTCTGGCTTTTTGCTTATTTTTACTCAAAGGGGTAAACAACAAGGTGGCCAACAGATGAGCTGGAAGAGAGGAAGTAACAGCTGGAAAGATAACCCTTTGTAAAGACACATGAATTGTTCTTAGTTAAATTGTCCAGTGTGTACATCTGTACTAGAGTTCACCTAACTGCCCTGGCCATTCTCATGTCTGAGAAATTGTCCTCACCTAGGAGCTCTTTTCCCAGCCCCGTCTGTTGTAGGCATGTTGACTGGGTACCAGGCCATTCTAGTCTCTCGCCACTCGTCCACTCATACCTTACAATTGCAGTTCCCAACACACCAGGTTCTCTTGCCTCTATGCATCATAATCCTCATCTCTCTTCCGGGAATACCCTTCTCTGCCAGCTTAGCCCAGAGTCAATTCCTATTCCTCCTTCAAGATTCAGAATATCTGCCGGGCGCAGCGGCTTACACCTGTAATCCCAGCACTTTGGGAGGCCGAGGCGGGCGGATGACCTGAGGAGGGGAGTTTGAGACCACCCTGATCAACATGGAGAAACCCTGTCTCTACTAAAAATACAAAATTAGCTGGGCGTGGTGGTTCGTGCCTGTAATCCCAGCTACTCAGGAGGCTGAGGCATGATAATCGCTTGAACCGGGAGGTGGATGATGTGCAGTGAACCGAGATCACGCCAATGCATGCCAGCCTGGGTGACACAGAAAGACTCCATCTCACAAAAAAAAAAAAAAAAATTTATTTTGCACCTACTGTGTGCCAGGCACTGGACTGACTAGTTTTGAAGATCCAGCTCTGCACAAGTTAGATAAGAGTCTAGCTCTTGCAGCGTTCACATCCTATTTGGGGAGATACATAATACACAAGCGGACAAACTCATAGACAAGATAATTTCAGTTATGACCAAGGCTATGAAGAGAACAAAGCAGTGAAGCAGAAGAGACTGAGTGAATCTGCAGCTGTCCTTTCTCCTCAGTTCTGTTTCTTTAAAGCCCTTCCCCCCTCCCCTGCCACCGCCCAACATCCAGCAATCCTCTTCACTGGGTCTCTTAGGCACATTCACTCATCTGCTCAAACACTCTAAAACTTGCAGTGAAAGCCATGTTGCTTTGCCCTGGAAGAAGTAAATTACAAAGCTAGCCTGTCATCACACTGAATCCTGTTGCCAATCCACCTGCTGCTACAAGGGAGTCTATCTTCTTCACTTTGGGCAGCCAGTGCCCCACAAGATCCTAGTGGTAACCAAAGCACCCCATAAACTTCAGCAGCAGGAAGAGGTCTGTTTAGAATGATAGCTTTTCCTTTTGATTTATTGTCACTTCCCTTTCCTGAATTTCAAACAAAATCCATAGGTCCCACTTGCATCTCATTTCACTGTTGTTGGCTGTTTTCCCCTGGGGAAGCATCTGGCCCACAATTACAGTATTGAAGTTGTGGTTTAAGGTTTTCTGGCTCCTGCAGCTCTAGAGCTCTTCCACGGGACTGCCTTGGATACAGAGAAGTGCTGATCAAAGAAGGGCAGTTTGGAGAAAGTAGGCCCACTACCCATCCCTGAGCCTCCCTGAAGCTGCAGTCTAGCAAAATGCCACCAGACTAACCAAGGGACCCCATGGACTAGTAACAAATCAATCCTAAGAGATCTTTTAAGGGGCCCTGAACTAATAACTTGCCAGCTTTATGCATTGTGGCTCTGTGCACTGCCTCGGTTGGGTAGAAGGAATGAGGCACTTGTAAGGTTATTGAGCACAGCATTTGCACAGGGGAACAGCGGGAAGTGATTTAGCAGCTACACAGGTGTTTTCTTTAATTATGCACTATAGGAAACACTCGCTGAGCTCAACAACCCCCACTGTTCCCTGTGTGCTTTCCCAGTTGTCCAATGTGGGAGGCACTGAGTAGCTGGAGAGGGCTGTTGTCTGGCTGGAGTGCTTCCTAGCAGCCAAGAGACAGGTCCTCTCCTCACATGTACTGCTGGAAACGGCTCCCTTGAAGGCCAGACCACACACCACTCAGCACAGGCAAAGATGGTGCGGGATGCCAGAAGAACTGTGTACCTATGGGAGAATTTCAACTTCTCATAATGGGAATTGGAAGCTGCTGAGACATCTAGCTATAGCGGCCAAACCCCAAAGCAGCTGGAAGTGAGATTGGGCATCGAAGAATGTTAACAAAAAGGAGCTGGGTGAAGAGGAAGAGGATGGTTCTTCTGGACCTTAGACTTCTAAATCTTTTCTATGGGGATTCTTTTACTACCAATTCCTGTCAACTGATGGGAAGGAACTTATTCTACTTATCTGTTTTTTTCATATGGAGAAACTGAGGTGAAGATGGAACTAAAAGAATACCAAGTCAGGTGTCTTAATTCCCAGTCTAGTTCTAAGAGACTCTTCTATCTTTCTCCTCAAACATTTAAGTGTATACAAATTGCCTGGGACTCCTGAAAAAAAAAATGCAGATTCTGATTCAGAAGGTCTAGGGTATTGTCTGAGTGTTTGAGTTCACATTCTGGTTTTTTTGGTGGTTGTTGTTCACATTCTGGTTTTTTTGGTTGTTGTTGTTTTTGTGTGTGTGTGTGTGGTTTTTTTTTTTTTTTTTGAGACAGAGTTCCCTCTGTGGTCCTCACTCTGGCACAATTGCAGTTCACTGCAGCCTTGACCTCCCTGGTTCAAGGGAGTTCAAGCCACACCAAGTAGCTGGGACTACAGGTGCATGCCATCACACCTGGCTGATTTTTGTATTTTTCGTAGAGATGGGGTTTCTCTATGTTGCCCAGGCTAGCCTTGGACTCCTGGACTCAAAGGACCTGCCCGCCTCGGCCTCCCAAAGTTCTGGAATTATAGGTGTGTGCCCCTGTACCCGGCCTGAGTCCACATTCTTAACAAAAGCCCAGGTGATTCTGTGTAAAACACCCTTTGAGTATCAAGGAAATTTCTTAAGACAGCACTTCTCTTCTCAGAGGGCAGAGCCTCCCATAATAGTTTGATGAGGATTCCTGGCTCTCCCAGTTCACCATCTCCCCCTCCTATCTTTAACACTCTGTCAGGAGCTTTATTACACAACTATGCAATCTTGTTGCATTCTGAAAACAAATTTATGGTTCTAGAGTTAAGGCACTCTACCTACGGGGAAGAACATTTGCTAAGAACCAGTAAGTACAATGCTAGATCTCTTTATTTCATGGGAATCATTCTGGAAGCAATGCACTAAAGGCACCAACAGGTTGCTGTGGAAATCTCAGTGCTCATAGCCTGCTCCCTGACTGATAGGCTATGCGAATACAGGACTGACATTTTAGTAGAGTTCACTGGCAGTGAAGTTCAACAGAGGCTTGTCTCCATCATCATGACAGGCTCACTGGAGATTTTCTGTTACACAGGACTTTGGTTCTTGATGGCATACCTAGACATTTCACACCATGCATGGCGAGGTCAGGATGAGGCACAAATATTTGCTCATCTCCCCTTGCTACTTCCCATAACCCAAGAGCACTCCCATTATGTTTCCAGGAAAAATGTGTGTTTGCTACAATGTGGTTATAAACAAAAGGCCTACTGTGCCTTTTGTGTTTTATATTGTCCTTAGAAGTGTTTTAAGCACAAACTCGTTTAATTTCCAGAAGTCTGTGAAAGAGATGTTCTTATACGTATTTTATTTATGAATAAATGGGGACTTGAAAATGTTAAGTAGTGTCACCAAGATCATATAAGAAGAAACATCAGAGCCAGGATGTGAATGCAGTTTTTATCTATGAATACAGTACTCTTTGCAGTTGCTTTCTTTAAAAGTAAATGCTGAAAATGCACCCTCCCCTATGGAGGGAAGAGGAGAGAGAAAGTAGCTCTGCAATGCATCTTAGAGTCCACAAATAGAGGGAAAGAACTTTCCTTAGAGGTTTTGGAGAGTAGGGAAATGAAGAGTGCTGGTGGTATCTGCAATGCTTCCCATCCACCCTTCTACGTTTCCTTGGTTAACACTATTCAAGTTACACTTCTGTGTGACCACCCTGGGCTGGGCACCCTGAGAGAATCAAGAAAAGGTAAAGATACACAGTTCTTGCTATTACGACTTTTACTGTCTAGTCAGAGAAAAATAGCTAAATCATGGAAAATAATCAGAGGCATTCACGATATGTGATCATCTGTCTCCACCACATGCATTAAAGAATGTGTGGAACACAGATCTCCATCTTGGCTGCATGCTGGAATCATCAGACACACAGCAATTCTGATTTAATTGATGAAGGCCAATCCTCCTCAAGTGTGATTTTGGACTAGCAGCATTAGCAATAACTTCTAGAAATACAAATTTTTAGAGCCCTCTACCTGCTGACTTAGAAATGCTGGGTGTGAAGCCCAGAAATGTGTGTTTCCACATATCCTCTGGGTGATCCTGATGCAGGTTAAAGATCTCAAAGCACTGATAGAGGGTGCAGTGTGAACACTGGGGCTTTTTCAAAGCTCTCCTGACAGTTCTACTGTGCAGCGAAGTCTCACAACCACTGACCAACATATAAGACAATAAAGACCAGCCTCTAGGAGAGATGTCACAGGCCAGTCACTAAATAGGGGACACATTATGAAAGGCTTTGAACACCAGACTGACGGTCTATCTTGAAAATAGGATATTATGTGTTCTATCTTCCCCATAGGGACATAAGCTCTCCAGAGGCAATGGCCACACCTTCTAATTCCCATGTCCCATTCAGGGCTCATCACCCAGTGAGCACTCAGTGCACATCTGTCACTCACAATTTCTCATTGTTCTGAGTGTAGACAATTGTGGGTTGAGCCTTTGGAGACGATGTCTGGGAGCACATGTATACATATTAACAAACCTGCACGTTGTACCCCAAAACTTAAAGTATAATAATAATAAAATTAAAAAAACAAAAGCCCAAAAGGAAAATAACAGGCTAGCCAAAAGGAGGAAAATTCGGGTGAAAACATGAAGCACCTGAGTTATAAACACGCATCTCTGATGCTCATCCTATAGTGCTTGACATTGGTAGGAAGCATTTACAGCAACCATTTCCTCTCCCTATTCCCACCCTCACTCAACCACACATTTCGCAGTGGCACCAAAGCACGTAAAGCATTTATTAAACAGCATGAAATCCATTTAACGCTTCTCTGGATGCACTAATTAGGTTTTGTATTTTGGGGCAGAGCAATACAAAACAGAGGGCAAAATCCTGGGCTTATTAACATTCTGTGCGTCTATTTTGGATTGCTCCATGAGGTGTTGAACTCCACCCCCATTTTCAGTCCCAAGTGACGGAGAAAGTTCCTTTTAGGGAGGATAGGAGGAAAAGCTTTCAAAACCTGCAGTCAAAAATAATAAACACTAGTAACAGGCTATCAATCTCTGGGACTTCACCCTGGTCCACAAAGTTCCCCATTTCCATTAATAAACATCTCCAGGAACATTACAGTTCCTTTGGAAAATCCAAAGTGCTTGGCAAGGAGGTTTTGATTTCCAGCCAGCCCTTATTTGGTGCCGTGTGTGGAGGATCTGTTAAGCTTCATGCAATTAGCAGGCATAGACAAGCTTTGAGCAGGGGATATTTTTTAGTTCATTGAATCATACCAAATCTGAATCTATTTACCAAAAGGAATAAGAAATGTGCATCTGGCTAGGCTCTTAGTAGACGCTTGAGAAAAACCGTCACATTTTACTGATTTCTTAGTGCTATTTTGTCTTGACACTTGGAATTCACAATCAGAAGAGAGAAAGGTTGCAAAGTCTCAGACTGGGCTTGCAGGCTGAGGAAAATGGCCTTATTTGTATCTGTGCATCAAATGCCGAATCTTCTTAATATATTTTCAAAGTTTCCTAAGATGCCTACTAGGGACCTCCTTAAAAAATCAGAATAAAACAAAATAATGCACTGTAGCCAGAAGTGTCACATAGAGGAGATTTCTGTGGCCCCTGTGAAGCTGGGCTTCCCACATGAATGATACAACAGTGCAATGGCCTGTGGGGTCTTCCAAACTGTGTCTGATGTGAAACAGAGTTGAGGTCATTCCTTAAAGAAAGGAGCTCCACTGATCAGGCTCTGATAGTGCTCTCATCCAAGAGACAGAGCTCAAGCTTCCCCATATCCCATTCACCCTCAGGTACCACTGCCAGGAAATAAAAATGTCATATTGGTTCTATTCCATATCCATAGCAGTACGATGGCCAAATCAATCAATCAAACAGAATTTGACAAAAGTATCAATAAACTTGCCTGCATGTAAGCTATCAATAAGCCATTTTATATTCATCTAAATGTTTACATGTAACTAAAAAATAACAGCACATTCTTCCAGGATTGATTAGTATTGGAAATGAAAACAGTATTAAATATCCAGTGCAGGCTGGTTCAGGTTCAGAGATTTATTGCAATGTCAAGATTTCACATAAAATTCAACAACCCACCCTTGTCTGGAGGAGAGGGGTGACTCCCCTCTATGGGTGCTCAGACTGCAAATATATACAAAACAGGCCAAATTTTTTTTAATTAAACAGCCAAGTTTTTTTTTTTTTTGAAAGCACTAGGAGTGTGAAAGAAAACAAGCTTCGATCCAAGTGAAATGGCCTAAAAAATGATGCATTTCTATCTGGCTTGTTAGAGGAGTTCCAGGTTGAGGGGGACACCTCCTATTTCCCTTACTGTAACATGTCCATAGAGCATATGAGGCACGCACATCCCTCCTGGCATATTAAGTCTAGAATATTTATCTTCACCATTACAGCTGATACTTAGTAAATGATTACAGTTGATTCTTGTCATTTGCAGCAGCTACACCCTATAAAGTCTCTGCAAACACTGAATTAGCAAATACTGAACGATTGCTCCTAAGGAAGATACAGAGTTAGGTTCCTGAAAGCCTCTGGTCACAACATTTCTGTCAACTGATTGAGACGTAACCTTGTTGTTTCTATATTTCTGTTTAAGGAAACTTATTTAAGATATTTTGTTGATTCATTAATGTCGAACTTATGGCCCATAGCACTATAACTTATGCCTGAAGAAAGCTTATCTAACACATGGATTTTCTCTACAGGGCACATCATGGCCTTCTTGGGCTTAGGAATACCATACAGAACTTCAGCACAATACTTGGCAGCCACTTTAAACTGCAAAATCACCAAAAAAAACACAAACACATGAAAAGCATAGCACTAAATAGACCATTGGAAAGACATTTGCATACAGTCTGAGAGCTGCAACGAAAAAGCAGTGTCACCTTGTTCAACCTCAGCTGGAAACATGCACATCGGGCAACTCAACATTTCACTGCTTTGTGCATGACTATGAATGACTGAGAAAGTGTGTCATGAATATTGATTTGGGGGCTACAGATTTTAGTGGGCAGGCAAATTTGCAAACACAGAATCAGGGAATACTGAAGATCAACTATACGTTACTTGTCCCATGGCTGACGCGGAGAAAAGAAAATGGAAAAGCATTAAACTTCGAAAAGTTGAAACTAAAACCCTGAATGCTCTCTCCTAATGGGAGACTGTTGCCAAGTACTTTCTTGATCTGTAGTAAAGAGAAGCCTGAAGGAATGCTAAAGACAGGGTCATGACAGTTCTTGGAGACAATGAAATGTGACTCTGACCATCCGCAGACATCCATGGAACTGCCGAAAATGTTCAAAGTCGGAGTTACGGCTAAGACCACAATTTGAAAAAACCAACACTCAACTTCCTATCTTCAACTTAACCTCAGTAAATTAAGGCAAGGATTAAAACAGTCAGAATTCCAAACAAGTTCTGTGTTGCAGGATTACTATTTCAGACCCCAAAAAATAAAAAAGAAGGGAAGAAGGAGGTGACATGGTAAGAATGAAAGTCTTCCTTCAAGAGCTAGAAAAGAACACCTCTTAACAACGGGAAGGTAGAAAGGACAGGCTGGGCACATCAGAGTGCTGACTTTTACTTCAAGTTTTAAGATCTCAAATCTGCATCTCAGGCTTTCATCTGAAATAGTGCCTTTTTTTTTTTTTTTTTAATAAGAGTGCAACTTTCTCAGAAGGCCTACTCCTTGGTCTGCACAAAGAAAATGAACACTTATTTTCAGTAACTACCTTATGAAAATGGAAGGATTATCTCACTTCAAAACAAGACTCTTTTCTTAAAGGGCATAAGACATTTTTCTTAGCCATCACCCTGAGCAAATACAGCTTTTCAATGGACATCTGAGTCATGTGCTCTGGAGCCACATCACGTGGTCCTCTGCAATTGCTTTTGTAGTCACCAGGGAAGCTCCAGCTCAGGGCCTGCCCTCCCACTACTATTTCCTTTGAGAACTTGGCAGACATTGAACATGCTCTTTGGCCTCCATGATAAAACTTCAGAGTGGAACATTTTGCTGGGTCATGCCCAATTACAGAATATATTTGGTGAGTTAAATAAAAATAGTGGGAAAACCATCTCAACACACCCCACTCTAGAAGCCAGGCCCTTGCTCAAACCATAATGCTGAAATTGAATCTGGCTATTTGTTGTTCCTTATTTTAGATGACACCAGGAACAAAATGGAGACCGAACGACTATTTTCGGGTAGAGATGCTATGCAAGGGGATGTTCTCTGAGGGATATTCATACCCTTTCCCAAGCCCAACAACCCAGCCCCTAAGGAGGAAGAGGAGAAATACTAGCAGGGTTGGCCAGCATAGAATACCTTTTCTTCACTGTGGTGCATACAGTTGGAATCACTGGGCCTATACAAGTTGATGTGGCCCTTCTAGATTCCTTACTACCCGACTCTGCCACACAGCCAGAGTAACAACAGGATATATCCCTTGGGACATTCCCTTCCATTATTCAGGGGCTTTCTCCTCTCCCACATAACTAAGTAGGATGGTCCCAGAAGATAACACTTGCCCTTGTCATATACCCTCTGATCCCCTGCCACTTCCCCTACACATCTATGCCAGACAATGGGCCACAAACTCTAATTTTTATGCTTTCATCTGCTGCTAACCGGTGTGTAAGGCCTTGTCTCCCAGAGAAGTGATAAGATTTGCAACTTGAATTTGAGTTTAGAGGTGACCACAAGGAGAACAGACCTTTTGGCCTGCTTTTGTTCTAGCATAGACCCTTAAGTTACCCTAAGCTGACTAAGGTAAGGAGCCTCCTGTGACATTCATCCTAGCCCATCAGTGTTTTTACTGGGGTGTATTCCTAAAGGCCCTGGCTAATATCAAAGTCTCATCCCATCAGGGATTAGCATCGATGCATACTCTTACCTCAGGACCTTGCAGGAAGAGGTGACCAGCCGAGCCTAGGATTCACTTATTTTGGTCTTGGGGATAAACAGCATTTTAAAACCTTCAGAATTTCATACCAATTCAATACCATCAATATATCTTATATTTTCCATTTCTAATCAAGGGATTTGGGCGTTGGGTGACGAGTTGAACTAATGTCCTTTAACACCATCCCACACTTTCTTTCTATAATATTCACCAATTCTGGGTGGCCATAGATGTTGATCCAATGGGCAACAGACAGTTTTAGATTCTAGGAGACAATTTCTTCTATAAACAGAGGCTCTCTTACTCTCTCCTGCAGACTTCATCTAAAATTAATTTTATGGGAAGTTGGACAACATGACCTTTAATGGCCTCTCCGACTCTGGCATTCTAGGATGAGGAAGTCATGCTCCAAACTAAAACTCTGTACTCATGTGGTTGCTCTCTCAAGTCACATGGAATAAAGAGAGCAGAAATACAACTTGGCCCCAGTCAAACCAGATCCCTGCCCTGGATTCTCCATCAAAGAGAAACATATGTGAAAACTCCACCCAAATTGTCCTTCTCTCAACATCCCTAACCCTCTTCCTGTTGCTGTGAAACATCAGAATTTGTCCTTCTCAGCATATGAGACCTCTGTAAAGTCAGGAGATTACAAATAGTCCTGGCAGTTTCCAGAAAAGTCTACTCTGTCATTGGGCACAACAGGGGAATCCACACATCTGGCCCAGGGAAAGGAAATGGAAGATACAAATAAAAAGGAAGTCAAAGTCGGGCGGGGTGGGGGGTGGCGGTGAGAACAGCTTGGTCTAGCTGAGCGAATGCAGACCCAAATCACCTCCAATTCTCACTGGGTCATTTTTTTTCTTTATGTTTAAAGGAACATGTGGGTTTTAAGAATGTTTATTTACTATGTCTCGATTCTCTGCTTGCTTGTTTTGCTCGTTTTAGGATAGCCAAGTTGGTACAAAGAATAATGCAGCCTCGGAGTGACCAAAATCTGCCTTTTTAGGGAGTCTGCATTAAACAACAAAAGAGCATACAATGCAGACACTGCTACTTTCACTATGGAAGTAATATGATTAGTGACTCTTTTTAGTTCAATTCCAACATTTAGCACGTCAGTAGAGATTAGAATCCTCAATGCAATCACCCAAAGATCAACGTTTTGTCTATCTTTCTCCTCCATCTATGTGATTCATCCTAAGAACTATTTATGTGTACCAGACCAAAGAATTCAAAATGAATGTTGTTCTAGATTTAGCTTCATACTACATGTGAGTGATGGCCCCCAAATGTGATTTCAAAATAACTTATCAATGAAACGGTTGTCGTGGTAAGCCAGGAAAACTAGATTATGCCTGAGAAGATGTGATTCTCAGTTCAGACTCTGCTACTAATTGCCTATGTGACTTTAAGAGGTTCCTGAACTTTTGTAAACGTTCACGACATGAACTTTGAAATGAGTTTTGAGGATTAAATGTAATGTCTCATACAAACATGGAATATGTACATAGATATGCATTTTATGTTCTCATAAAACACTATATTTTTATCTTTGGCTCACTTATCTTAATGCATCAAATGGTACAATTATGAACATTAGAACCCTAATCAGCCAACTGGGCTCTAATTTAATAAAGGAATTTCTGGAATCTACATCCAACTGCTGAGCTACATCAAAATCCATGTGATCTTCTATTTAAAACATAAATTTTTTAGTGTCTACAGGAAAAATATATGAATGCATAAATTAATGTCTTAAATGCAGTATGAAACATGCTGTTGTGGTTACCGGTTTATCCATCCTGCATGATTTATTCATTAACAATGTAAGACTAGATAATCTATAGCATGGCAAACAAATGTGCCCTGGTTTTGTTCAGATCATTCCTCTAAGCAGATGCTTATCATAGCCCCCTCAAAGTAAAACAGATGTTGCACTGTTGAAAGTCTTGGGAATACATGTTTCAAGAAGACTCTGTATGTCATATAACCCACAGTAGAGGTGAAGGGCTTGGCTCCTATTTGAATTCATATACACTTTGCCATGAGATTTCATTACACCTTAGTTGGCAACTAAATAGACAAATCCTTACTCTTTCATATCAACATGGCCAAACTAGTACTGGCATGGCAGAATCCCAGCAAATATATGCATAGAAGGGACAGCATATTTAGCCTGATTAAAAGAGTCAATGGATCCAACCCACTGATCAGTCCTTACAAGAGCTTTATGGAACTGTGCCCTGCAGGGAATCCTGGTCACTGCTAATGATGACTATCTTTAACTGTGCTTTAGAAATATTCTTCTATTTCAGAGACCTCTGTGAACATTATAGAATATTACTTATCATTCATCTATCAAGTATATTTATTTAGGGGCTACCATAAGTCAGGTACTCCTATGACTGTTGAAGTCTTAGGAGATTCAAATATATAGAAGTCCAGACCCTGTTCACACAAAGTTTACTGTCCAGTAGAGAAGTTGCATGGCATAATAGAAATACCCCTTATACTAGGAATTTGGAATCCTAGGATATAACTCCATCACATGTAGTGGTTATTTGATAAATATGAGTTTACTTATTGAATGAAAGAATATACAAGTGTATGAGTGAATAAAACAAATACATAAACATTTTGCTGTTAACTGATCATATTAGGTTACTTAACTTTTTAAACCATCCTCCCCCAGGGCCTTCCAATAACACTTTAATTAAATCCAAACTCCTTACCCCAACATAAAAATATCTTCTTCCTGGACACTGCTTTCCATTTTCTTGCTAGCCCACTATACGTCAACTATTCCTGGCTTTCTTTTAGACCCTCTACTTCACATCTTTGTACCAGCTTTCTAGCCATCTGCATCCTCTGTTCTCATCTTTACCTGATGGATATCTTTTTTTTTTTCATTCAGTTCCCATCTTAAATTTCACACCATCTGCCTGTTAAAGGAGTTGGAGTAGGTAAGTTTTAATTTCATTCCATTTCAGTGATTTTCTAAAATTCTGAGGGCAGCAGAAACAGGTGAGTGATTAGGTGTTTCATTTAAAAGAGAGTTAAGTGTTCTGGACCCCACATGGCCTTCCCACATCCCTGCTGCAATCAGATGGACCTTGAGGCCCTGACCCAGATCCCAGAGCTTCTTACCATATATTATTGTCTACATCCAAATTGAATGCTCCCTCACACTTAGGTGTATTTGAAGAAGCAAAATAAGAGCATAGGACATAGGCATACACAATCTAGTTGACTTAAAGCATGTCAAGATGCCACCCACTTCCTGTCCACACTGATGAGCCATCTGATAAGTGACCTCAGAGCCATAGAGGGCTAGAATTCTCTTCATACTTCCTCAATCAAGCAATGAAGAAAATACAGGAAGATTTTAGGGATAGGTCATTCCTTTGAAGAAAATAATTATAAATGGGTAAAGACAAAGCATCGGGCCAGGCATGGTGGCTCACGCCTGTAATCCCAGCATTTTGGGAGGCCGAGGTGGGCAGATCACCTGAGGTCGGGAGATCGAGACCAGCCTGACCAACATGGAGAAACCCCATCTCAACTAAAAATACAAAATTTGCTGGGTGTGGTGGCACATGCCTGTAATCCCAGCTACTCGGGAGGCTGAGGCAGGAGAATCACTTGTACCCAAGAGGTGGAGGTTGTGTTGAGACAAGAGCACACCATTGCACTCCAGCCAGGGCAACAAGATTGAAACTCTGTCCACCACCCTCCTCCACAAAAAAAAAAAAAAAAAAGCATTGGAGAAGCACTTCCTGAAGAACATAGTCTTCACATGCAGCACCGTTCAAAGGAAAATGGAAAAGTATATCTGGCTCCCTAGCTTGCTCAAAATATCCAGCTGTCAATAAAAGTCTATAAAAATGCAAATCAGAGGCCGGGTGCAGTGGCTCACGCCTGTAATCCCAGCACTTTGGGAGGCCGAGGCGGGCGGATCACGAGGTCAGGAGATCAAGCCCATCCTGGCAAACACGGTGAAACCCCGTCTGTACTGAAAATATAACAAAAAAATTAGCCAGGCATGGTGGCAGGCACCTGTAGTCCCAGCTACTTGGGAGGCTTAGGCAGGAGAATGGCATGAACCTGGGAGGCAGAGCTTGCAGTGAGCCGAGATCACACCACTGCACTCCAGCCTGGGCGATAGAGCGAGACTCTGTCTCAAAAAAAAAAAAATGCAAATCAGAAACACACAGAAGAATGCTTCCTAGACATCCCAAATTAAGTACATCACTTCAAACTTCAAGAGTAGAATCCTACCAAATTAGAGTGACATAGAAGCAAGGAACATGCCACAGAACCTGCTTGTTGGTCTTAGAGCACAACAATCCCTATTCAAAAATGAGCATAGAAAAACATATGTATACATCTGCCACTATGGATTCTACAAAAAAAGACAACAATATCATCTAGAATAGGAGCTCTTCCATGTTGACTCAGATGAGGAGGATATATTTGAAATTTTATTTTTACATGAGACAAAAGCAAGATTTAGAACTCATCTGTTTGCTATCCTCAAAAACTCTGTAAAACAGACTCTGTAAAAGAGAATCAGAGTGTCAAAGGAAAAATTATTCTGAGATGAATGAAGAGATAATTAGTAAACTGGCCGAATTAAGAAATTAACCTAGGAAACCCAAAATCCAATGGTAAAATGAAAGTCCATATTTGAGGCAATATAAACAGAAGTAAAACTGAAACAATGTAAAATAATAATGTGGAAGAAAATTTAAAGAATATTTCTCAATATTCCGAGGAAAAATATAGAAGAGAAGATGACAGACGTGGAGGACAATTTAGATCCAGATGAAGTGTTACTGAGGAAGGAACAGAAAATTTATCACAAAAGAATTAATAAAATAGAAATTGCCCCAGAGAAAGACTTTATAAGTTTTATATGCTTATAAGGCTTTAAATAAAATGGCTTAGTGAGAACCAAATGAAATGAACTTTTTTAGTGACTAGAAATATTAGGGAAGTTCTATTGTGTTTTAAATCTCAATGATAAATTTAAAATCCTACAAAAATGAAAAGAGGAATGAGAGCTTATCTCTAAAGTAGCAAAAATAAGGCTGGCCTCACCCTTCTTTGCAAAATCAAATAAATGTCAGAAGACAATGAAACGATTTGTCCAGAGCAATGACTAGAAAAGTCTATAACTTAAGAGGTTTATGTCCAAGTTGTTCATGTAAAAAGGTTGCAGGAAGACATTTTACTAAGCTTAAAATCATAAAAACATTAATCATTTTTATTCTCTTCCTGAGAAAGCACACGAAAAATGAATGTCTGTCAACTAATAAAGAAAAAGAGAAATCAAGAACTCAAGACTGTGAAATCAAGACTGCAATAGCTAAACTATAAAGAAAATGGCAAGGAACTTTGAAATCAATTAACTTTTTAGGAAAACATATGAAGAACTGTTGTAACATGGGCACAAAATTAAATTCAAAGTCTGGAAAAGTCATATATTTTTAAAAATCAGGATTTTATCATAAAATGTTGATAGCATAACACCAGGTAAAAGGAATAAACACTGATAAATACAGAGAAGTAGAAAGTCAGGAAAAGTCCAGATAATTTACATTTCTCATTAGAAACTGGTACTTGAATTTGACAGAGGAATATAGGATTTAGTATATAGTTTATAAACAAAAGGATTATCACTAGTACAATTAATGAAAATATTTTGATCTTCCAAACCTCTACATAAGATGAAAACAGACAAAACCCAGAATAAAAAGGAAAAAGCAAGAAAGCATTAAACAAAGTTATAAAATTAAGCCCAAATATATGCTATAGCAACAGATATGAATGCCTTAAGTTTTCCTAATAGGTGTTACAAAATCAAGTACATACAGCTCACCAAAAATATTTAAATAAAATGTAAAAGATGGTTTTATTGAAACAATAGTATACGAGAAAGTCTTGCAAAAAACAATGATAGCAACAATATATAAGTCAGAAAGCAATATCTGGGAAAAGAAGATAATATTTTGTGCTGAGAAAAGGAATCCTCTGCAATGAAGATATAAAGGACATATAACTTATGACACATATAATATATTCATCAAACACCAAAATCTATTTAGCAAAAACTACCAGAAGTGAAGAGCTGAAAAATATTATACAATTGTCAGCCAGATTAAACAAATATTAAAAGGAATGAAATCTTTGAATAACATAATTATAAATAAATACATAAACTCATATATATACATATATTTCCTTATACCCTTCAAAAAGAAAATGTAAGTTCTTTTCAAATACCCCTGAGGCATTTTAAAATTTGTCAATTCATTTAGTATATTTGATAAAGTTCTTGAAAGAAAAAAACTGTATTCTCAAACTTCAATTTAATAAAATTATAATGTCAGAAATCTAAGTTAAAAGATGAAATAAATCTGGGGATTTCCTCAATAAACATTAGATCACAAAGTAAATAAACATCTGCTATACCTACTTTGGAAATAAATGAAAATAAGCAAATTCATATCAAGACTTACAGAATATAGACTCAGAAGTTAACAAAGCATGTAAGCCTGTGAATTGACAGGAGATTACTAAAATTAATTAATTAAACAATCAGCCTAAAGAGTCATAAAATAAGAATGCTTGCACAACAAAAGGCTAAAGAAGAAAAAATGCATGTAAGCAAAAATCATGAAAAATGGAAAATATTAAAACAGGTTCTCTGGGAAAACCAGAAAAGGAGAGGAATCTAGAGTCTCATTTAGAAAAAAATACAGCTAAAGAATTAGAATTTAAGAAATAATATCAAAAGAGATATCGGAATATTTCAGAGCACTAACATGTCAACAGACGGCACTTTTCATCTATCCTACTGGTAAAATTGGAGAGAAAATACCTAGTACTGGCTAGAGAATGATTACGCTACCATTGGAATGTAAATTGGAAATAGCGTATTTGGATCAAAATGTTTCATTATGTATCAAGTGCCTTACAAATATTCATACTCTTTTACTAAGTAATTACTTGTTAATTTATGCTAAGAGAGATATTAAAATTTGGATGATTTATGTTTTTATAGTACCTCCATATGTTGGGACATTAAGGGGCTGTTAAAAAAATTGCTTTTGAAGATTATTTTATGGCATGGTAAATCCACCCTATAATGGCTGGTATAAAAGAGAAGGATATAAAACGAAATATATAGTGTGAATTCTATTCAGTGAAAAGCAAAATATAGATGACAACACACTGACATGTTAACTGTAATTATTTTATGCAGTTATATTTTTGGTTATTTAAATATTTTCTATATGCTTTTCAAGATGTTAATGAACATCTATTCTTTTACTATCAAAATAAACTCTTTAAAATAAATGTAAAAGATTTCTAGTCAAGATAACATTGTAAACTTAAACATTCAATACATTTTCCTTGCTACACCACAAAAAGCAATTCTAGCTGAAATTTCAAAAATTAGAAGTTGTATCTATACCCAATACAAGATGAATATCTCTTATACACTGGAAAAGTACTGAAACAGACATCAAGGAAAAAATGCTGGAACCATGGGGTTGTTGAACTCTAGGTTAGAAACAGACAAAGGCAAAGAGAAGGCTGTCACTGAACACTGATTTAGGGACACAAGCCTGACTCACAGCATAAAACTCGTAGGGTCTCCAACCTGAATGGGTAAAATGAGAAAAATTAAGGCTGTGAACTATATCACCATGTACATGTGAGACAGGAATGAACAGAGCAAGTCACACAGACCAGATATGTGACAAGCTGCTAAGTACTGGATCTGCAATATCCCCAATACCACTATGAGACAGGAATCCTAGTCCACTAACATAGAAGTTGTTTCTGGCCTGAGATTCTCAGGGAGCCACATGGAAACTACTGAAAATCTGCAAAACATGATGGATATTTAAAGGTTTATTTTTAAAGATAATTTTCACTCTAGATGAGCAAGCAACCTAAAATTCAAAACCAATAAGGAAAAACAGAACCAAGAAGATATCCACAGAACTCAACAATCAGAGGAAAATTTGACTACAGAAAAAAGTGCACATAATTGTCTCTGAAAAACCTTAAAAAATACTTAAAGTAAAAGATAATATCCTTTTGAATAAGAAAGCACTATGTAAACTAATAGATATAAAATGAGAAAAATGACTAACAAAATAATCAATATAGAAACTAGAAGACAGAAATAATATAATTGAAATCTCCAAACTCTATAAATGAAATTAACGCAAGAGTTTCCATGGTTAAAGAGAACACTAGTGAACTGGAAGGCAGTAGTGAGGAAATAATTCTGAGTGCAGCACTGAGACATAATGAGGTTAAAAAAAAAAAAGAAAGAAATCAAGTAGTATGGAGTCTCCAACATATACCGAACACAATTTCCAGAATTTAGGCCACAGCAGGACTACTGAGAAGCAATTTAAACAGCTAACAATAGAGAACTTTTCCATAACTAAGGAAAACTCTAAATTCTCACACTAAAGGCACACACCAACTCAGCTGAGCATAATAAATAAAGACCACTCTGCACCTAGAAATACAAGGCAGGTCTGCCCAAAGGGCTCTGAGTGGAATTAACATGTGCCACTTCCCAGCCAAAGCATAAGTAAGTGGGTGTAAGTTTTCCACGCAACGTGGCAGCTCCAACCTGCTTTTTCTTGAGATGAAAACCTGGATCTGTGAGTCACCAAGTGGACTGCAGGAATCACACAATTACATAGCTCACTTTGTACAAGATTTTTGTTGTGTTAACCTACTAGATTTTGGAAGTACTAGTTACTAGCTTAACTTCATTAATAAAACACCTTTATGAGAAACACATAAACATGGTTACAAAATATTAAGAAAAAATTAAATTTAGAAGAAAAAGCAGCATGATTAGCAATCTTGACATAGAAGATATCTGTAGAACTCATTATTAGGGAATAATGACAAGAAAATAAGTCTGTTTCATGTTCAGTACAGACACAATTATTTTTCAAATATTTTCAATCCACAGTTAAATCCACAGATGAAAAACCATGGATATGGAGGGTTGACTATATATGGGTGTGCATTGCAGCTTTGCTCACAATAGCAAAAATTTGGAAATGATCATCTGTGTAGGAATGAATAAATAAGCTGCATCAAATTTATATGATGGAGTACTGTATAGCAGTTAAAATGAGTGAACACAATGTATATACCTCAACACAGATAATTCTGAAAAACGCAATGTTGATAAAATAAAAACACATTGTTAAAAGGTATAGTATAACACTGTGATAATAATTTTTAAAAGTACTAAAACAATGCCGTATACTATTTATAGCTGTATACAGATCTACGCAATAAAAGGATAAAAGGACTAGCTACACACCAAATGCATGACAATATTTGCTTTGGGGAAGCTGGGACTAGGGAGAGGAATGTGAGGGACTTCAGTTATTTCTAAATATTTTATTTCTTAATAATAAAAATGATCTGAAGTCCATATGACAAAATGTTAGCACTTTTTCATATTCAGTTGAATTGGGAAAACATGAGTAACATTATATTTTTCTCCATTACTTCTTAATTTTTAAAAATGTTTAATGAAAAAGCAAACAAACAGAACCTTTTCTTGTTTCCCTCCACTCCAAGTTGTCACTAGTCTATTTTTTTGGAATGCAGCAAGTCTTAAATTTGATCCTTGGCAGGAATGGAATAAGATATTACCCAAGGAGGGACTCCAACTCAAACCTCTCCCTCTGTGTAGTCTCACCAATCTGGTTTGTTGAACTTATTTGCTGGAGAACAAATCCCATCTATATTTTCAAGGCTTTCCCAATGGGCAGTGGGAATGATATAAGCTATAGCATGGCTGTGATTAACTCTGGCAAATGAAGAATTTACTGCTGTGCATGTGTCCTGAGTTTAGGTAACAGACAAATAAACATCCGTGATGCCCTGCATCTGCAGGGTCAGAAGCAAACAGACCTCTGAGGGGAGTCAGAGCCCTGAAGAATGTTAATGCTTCAGAATCAGAACCTGCTCTTGCCAAGACCCTGAAGCAAAGAGGGACTGTGCTGGTTGGATAGCAGCAGAGACCTTTTCTAAAAGCAGGCAGTACAACTAGAAAATGTGATTACTGCCTTTCAGGAGAGAGGAGAGAAACTGACCACAGCAAGTGTTGTGATACCAGCCTTCTGTTCTTTATTATTCACAAAATCCAGGGGCAAATTATCCTATATCAGCTACCAAATCATGGAGAAGGGTAGGCATTCCTGGGATAGTTAACAGCTTTTAATAACTACATGCCCTCTAGATCCTTGAGAGGAAGACCTGTGTCTTAATCTACCAAGTATTCCCCACAGTGCTTTGCACCGCGCTTTGTCCTTCATAGGCACACTATACATGCACATACGATGGGAATACCTATATACACATATGAATATAAATATATATGGATATAAATATACATATATATGTACACATGAACATATATGTATATATGTACATGAATACAATTATAGATATAATTTTTACATATTACAAATATATGCACATATGTATACACTATGCACACACATATAGTACACATACAGATACACACACACATATACATACTGATCCAAACTTTTTTTCCCCATTGTCCTTCTTCCTGGCCTAAGCATTTTAGAGAGTTTGGCCTTTGTTTAGTATTACTCACCATCTTGGGTTCCAGTGTCTCTAACAGGCTCTTGCATTCGTCAACGTGTGATAGGGTGAGTTCTGAGTTGAGAGCAACCTAAGGCTGTGCTTGGCTGGTTGTGTAACCACACCATCAGAACAGATTCTTTGGGACTTGGAGTACCAGAGAGAATAGAAGGGATTTCTAAACAAGCTGGGCTGCAGGCCATCAAATGAGCTACAAGTTACTGATGCACTTTTAAAATAAAATTGAGATTTGAACCCAGTATCGAATTCTCTTGCCTCTTAAGAATGGTCGCCTTTAAACATCCACACTGAACTCAGACCAGGGCTCGAGCCCAGCTCTCATTACTCACTTCTACCATAGCCTTTGTGATTCCCATTGAACACCACCTCCTCTTTCAGCTGTGTTCTGAGCAAGCACTGTGTACTCCTTTGCTGGGCTGAGCCTGGGTGGGTCCTTGAAATAAATAGGTCAAAGTCATTGTCCTCTGAATCAGCAGAGGCTTTCTATGAGGTTCAGATTAGATGAAAGTGATCTATGCCAGAGGAAAACCGCACCCCTCAACTCCCTTTTCTATAATGCCAGCATATTTTCTCAGAGGAAAGGCAAACACCCCACCCAGGGAATAGCTGAACAAAGCTTTGGTTTTGTGGAATGGGAAGCAGAGGCCTGAGAAGTGAAGACCTATCCATTCTGTAGTCATGTTAAATACCAAGGTGAGTCGGCGCTCATCCACTCAGCCTTCCATGGGGCTTTCTTTCATCCAAGTAGAAGGTTTCCTTGTCCATACACCCAACCTTACCAGGACTTAGAAAGGTGCTTAATAAAATAAAAATCAGGAGAAGAAACCAATATAAACCCAGAAGGGTAATATTAAGTTAATTTTAACTCATAAGCTCTCACAGAACCAATTACTTGTTTATTCCAAAAGATTTCAAATATTCTGGCATCCAATGAGGACAGCTTCTGAAATGCCAAAATATAACCTTACAACCCATGGTAAGTTACAAATCTATATAGCTGGTGGTGATAGGCATATGAAAAATCTCACCTACCATGTCTAGAGGGAACAAGGCTGTGGTTGAAATGTAAATGTGGATAAAGCACTTTAAACTCTACACTATGCTGTATTGATAGCTAGCAAAGTGATATTAAAGATGGTTTCATCTGGTGAGACCCCTTAGTTTTTCTCAATATAACACTAGCTACTACAAATATCATGGCCCATGTGCTTGCCATCCCAGAGTCTCAGAAAGCTAACTACCATTATCTAATCCGCAAAGTACTAGTCAGCAAAGTGCTAAACTAAAACTGTGAATTCTAGATGACAGCCAAACTCTAGCTCGGATTATCTCGAAGATGTGATGCCAGAGTCAAGAGCCGGTAGTGGATGATCAGTCAATGGAAGGATGGCTATTACCCAACTTGAACGGTAAGCATTTTGGAAAACAGCATTTGCAAGAGAATGCAAAATAGAAAGCCCCCTTAAACCAAACAAATATGTTCATGTTGGGTTTTGCATTTGAAACTGTACACATCTGTTTGTCTTAAAGCTGTTTGATCTAAGTTCAGGTACCAGGTACCTTATGGCTTTCATGATTCTAGGAGGTACAGGTGAAGAAACACTGTGCTAGGAATGAAGGCACCCCAATCCTATTCCTGACTCCATAGCTAATTCATCCTTGGCCGTGTTTTTGCCTCAGTTTCCTCATCAGTTAAATAAGATTAGTCCACTATTATGTTTTTGTATACCGTAAAATTGAACAATTTTTTGAGACCTAGGTGGAGTAAATCTTCACTTATGTCCATCCAAATAAAGAAATCACACAAATGGAAGAATGATTGCATCTTCCCTCAGAAATTAAAATGTTCTATATTAGAAGACAACTGAACACCAGAGTTTATTCATTACGTAAGACTTGTCGCAGAAGCTCAGCAAACAAATATTTCTATGCACGCCTAAAAAGAGAAATCAACTGATTTTTAAGATAAAATACTTGACTATACATATGATTTATGTATTGGTTTTTATGGGGGTTTTTGAGATAGGGTCTCACTCTGTGACTCCACCCAGTGCAGTGGTGTGTTCACAGCTCACTGCAGCCTTCACCTCCCCACTCAAGCAATCTTCTAACCCCAGCCTCCTGAGTAGCTGGGACCACAGGCACATGTCACCATGCCCAGATAATTTTTTATGTTTTATTTGTAGAGACAGGGTCTCACTATGTGCCCAGGCTGGTCTCGAACTCCTGGGCTCAAGCAGTCTTCTGCCTAAGCCTCCCAAAGCGCTAGGATTATAGGTGTAAGCCACCACATCTGGCCTATGATTTAGTTTTACCTTCTCATTTTAAGCTAAGAACCTAAACCTCTGAGAGGAGAAGCAAGGTTGTGAGAAAATATGCAAATGTCTGGGATTAAAGCCACATGATAAGTGTTCCATCAATCTCAGTCACAGGACCCCATGTTCAGGCATTTTTTCCGTCAGTTACTTCATTCTACTAAACATTTTTGCTTTGATGGATAATGATAATTTTCTTGCGTAAAACCAAGGGTTAGCAATAATCACGTATTTACCCTGTGTGCCAAACTAGACATATTTTCAGGGCAATAACCTTACACTAATCTTTAAGAATTACATGATTATGAGGGTTTTCATCAGAGCAATTAAATTAAAAAGAAATGCTCATCAAAATTAGTACTTTCTATGAGCAAACTTTGTCCATTTAAATGTGGGAATAATACACCAAAGTGTTTCTGGATATTCCAGGCAGAGAGACGAGGTGGCAGATGGGAGGTGGCTGCTATGACTAGGAAAATACTGCTTCAGTGAGCACGGTGCCACAGAAACCCAGCCTCTGGCTTTTGCAGGTTAGCCTAGGAGAGGCAGTCATACTTAATACCTATGATTATTGGAGCCACAAAATAAAAATTGGAAATCTTCCTCAGGCTAGGTAAGAATCTCATGTGTATGCCAAGTGTAATGAGTCTTTGAAAGAAGAACAAGAGGAGGTACACAGCTGGGGAGAGGAGAGGGGGGCAGAGCCTCGCACATCCACATCCTGCTGGATGGGGGCTGGAAAGGCTGCCACTCCCCCTGTGCAATTCCAAACACATTCTGGTACAGGAACATTTTAGGGGGCTCTCTATTGATGAATGGGGAACATGAATGACCGTACTTTATGTGTGCCTTGGCCTAGGTGTATTTGTTGTTGTTCTTAGTTTGGGTTTAGCCCTTTATGTGCATTACTTGTTTAACAGTCCCAACATTCCTATGGGTTAGATACTATCAGTATCCCCATTTTACAGATGACATAACCGTGGCACATAGAAGGTCAGTAATTTTCTCGAGGTTTCACAGATAGTAAGTGAAAACATGAGGATAAAAAATGAAATTGCCCATGCAACTATTAGTGTCACCCCACATTGTCTCCTGAAGCTCAGAGAAATGGAGAAGTGTATTCTGTTTGCTTTAGAAACTAAGTCCAATTGACTTGATTTCTCTCACCCTTAATTACCACAGCAAAATCTTAAGTCAGAGAGAAAGAGAGAGAAGAGAGAGAGGCCTTCCCAAGATGAAAGAGTCACCCTACAATATCACTCATGCACCATCTGGTGTGTGTTCCCTCCTCTGTAAATAATGAAGAAGGTGTTGATGGAAGGAAGGAATGCAAGCGGAAGATTTACCAGTAAGAAGGAATATGAGAAGAAAAGATTCTTAGGTTGGTTTATTATGAGCCCAGTCAATTATAAGCAGCACATTTTGACACCACTGTAAATAATACACTCTGTCAGAGTCAGCTGATGGAGATTTTCTGTTCAATATATTGTCATAGACACATGATGAAGGGGAGACGTGGGGTGGCATATGCGGTACACAGGAATAAATATGTGAATAATCTCACCAGCTTTGAGTCTTCCAAATACTAACTATGACAGATATGAACTATAGTGCATTCCCATTATGAGACTACGGGACTAATGATGATAAGTTGAGCAGTCTAATATCCATCTTTACCGTGTACAGCCGGATCTGATGGTTCTGCTTGAAGGGGCATCATTTGACCTGGCCTATTTCCAGTCATGTAATAATGAGAAGCATTTAACTGGGTCAAATGGAATGCTAGAGTGAAAGGGATCTGAAATCATCCACCACAACCCTCCCATTATACAAACGAGGGAAGATCAGACTAAGTGAAGTTAATTGCCTTGTACAAGATCAGTTGCAAAGCTAGTTACAGACAGTTCTACTGAACTCAGCGAAACTAAAAGAGGGCTGACCTTATTTCAGGTCTAGATGGGGTATTAGGGAAATGGAGGCCATTTTGGGGTGAGAAGTAATACCCTCAATATTTTACCCACCCTGAACCATGACTATGAAGATTATTTATTTGGCCATTTGAAATTATGTGCATTGTGATTGTTTAGTCAATTTGTCCACAAATGATAGGACTCATCCCATTCACTATTGCCTGATATTATCTAAATCTTACATGGCCAATGAGCTTTGCTCAAGTTCCAAACCTTTCCAGAGGCCTTCCCAGACTGCACCACTCTCTTTGCCCTCATTGCCTCCCATACCCTTGGTATCACTGACTTACAGATTATGCTGGATTCTTAATCGCTCTTGTATCTTTAACTTAACGATCTATGTACAGTGTCAGTTACTTAAGCTTGAGGAATGTAGCTCATGAGATGCAACCAAGAGTGAGGTGAGCTCCTACACTTTACTCCCAACCTTGGGAATCAGAACTTCTGGTGAGTGATGGGTAAGATTTTTAAAGACTTCCCCAAGGGGTCGTTCTATACCCTACAGTTCGAAAACTCTGCCGTAAAGAACCTTCCTGATCAGCATTGGTTCAGAAGACATGATGCTGACTGTTCTTCTGTTTCTGAGATTTCAGATATGACACTATTTAGAGGGAAACCCCAAAAGATATTCCCCACCCATACGCCTGCATTTAGCACAGGGGACTACCACTGTTACCATCCATCCCTGCTGGCACCTCTCAGAAGCACTGGGTGCAGGCGCAGTGGCACTTTGAGAGCCTGCAGCCAGCAGTGAGGATCAAGGAGCACTCCTGATCTTCTTGTCTAATCCTGAGATCACTCAGCCAGCTTGGTCCTGTGGTTCAAACTCACTTGAGTGAGGTTAGGAGCTCACTGAATTCTTTCTAAACTTCAGAGACAACACCTTTCCTTTGTGTTAGTTTAGGCACATCTTCTAACTGGGCGCTTTCCCTGCTAAGGATCAAGCAGTGCAAGGAGAGAATGGTGTTTTTGAATCAGAAGAACAGATTGTGCATGAACCACCATGCACCCTCAACCCAACCACAACCCAGGCAAGCATTAAGTAATTGGCCCTAATTAGCAAAACTAATGGCAATATTAGGAAACAAGCTGATGGTAGACATTTAAATGTCACAGATATGTCTTTGAGCTTTCCTGTCTCATAAAACCTTCCCTGAAATTTAAAAAAATTCTCTTTGGGGCTTGCTACTGCATTTCTTTTAGAGTCTGAACTCTCCCTCTGTGCTTTTGTGTCACAGAGATAATAATAGACCTGGAGAGAAATGTGTATGTTTGTCTTTGTTAGATTCAAATTTAATTTAGGTAAAATATTAATGGACTAAGCAGCCAAAAATTAATTTCACTCATGTTTATATTTTACAAATCAAATACTGAGTTCAACTACTAAGTATTCATCATAAGCTTACTTATTTTAAATTTTCATCATAGTTCACTTAGGCTCAATTTTGACAACACAGTGTATGTACATATGGCAGGTATGCACATATACATTGTCTAAACATGTATCTCTAAATTGCCAGAAATTTGACAAACTTTATTAAAAAAAAGAGTCTGCATGTTTGAATCATCCAAAAGCCATCTGAATACACATTAACATATACATTTGGATTCAAATTTATGAAACGGCATGAGAAATAGCTTTCTTAACTCCACAGTAATAAAGAATCGAGAAACAGATATTTTTTCAATTTCTTCCCATTACATTTTATGTCCACATTTAGATGTATCTGGGAAGATCTCTAAACTGACACCACTGTGAGAGGCCCCTGGGATTCACAAATATCATTTCCATGACACTCAGAAAACGGGGGAAAAGAGGAAAATGTGAGCGGTGATAAATTGGAGCTAATCTCTTTCTGCCACAACCTGAAATGATACTTGGCCAGGTAATCTCCCCATCCTCCATGCTGTAATAAGAGCTTGTCTATCTCTCCCAGATGCCCAACCCGAGTACTAGTATCTCCCACAAATGCTTGTACTAGAAATTTCCTAATGGGATTCCAAGGCTCTGAAAGAAAGAGAGAAATGAAAAATAATTCTGTCATGCAATGAGTATTGTAAGTTTAAAGAATAACCAAAGCCCAGTGTTTGAGGCCTGCTATAAAGAAAACAAATAACGGATTCTTTGGGGTCATAAAGCTCAATCAACCATAAAACACACAGAGAGCCTCTGATGAGGGTCCTGTGAGCCTCCTGGAGCTCTATTCAGTGTGATGCTGGGCCCTGACCCGCTGCTTATATCCCCTCATGTCCAAGCAATGAGATTCTTCCTTCTACATGTGAAAAGCACAGATGCCAAGGGTTCTCAGGCTTCCTGCATCACCACACGTCTGTGTTTTGATAATGTCTTTGGGCATATGTGATCTCAAGGACACTTCTGTTTCACACTAAGGGTAAGTGAAGCCCCATCAATAACAGAGAGTTGCCGCTGACTAGGTGAGTGACTTGCGATAAGTCACTAGCTTCCCTGCTCTTCAGTTTCCTCATCTGAAAATCAGTGATACAACCTACCTTATGGTTGTTATGAGGACCAAATAAAATAAACAGGTAAAGCCACTTGGCGAAGGACTGGCTCAGAGGAAGCTTTAGCAATGACCATCATCCCTTAGGTTGGTGGAAGAAGCAGGACTGACCCAAAGGCCTTGTTTGTTACAAATTCAATCAAATGAGCATCCCAAAGTAGGTGAGGAGAGGTGGTGAATGCACCCATTCTGCTCTTCCCAGGGCTCCTTCCGGAAAGGTTTTCCTGGTTCCTCTGCTGTCACATTTTCTGTTGCACTTTAAGCCTTGGTGTGAATGTCACTGGATTCTGGGCATTGTCTTCTCTTGCCTGACTGTCTTATTTTACTCTTGTTTACTGTTTTCCTCACCAGATGTACACACCTGAATTCAGGATTTACCCAGAGAAGCCTGCCCAGAACTTTGAGCACAGTAGGTCCTCAATAAACATTTCCTAGGGGGCTAACTGAAAGGAAAACAATCAAAACAAAACAATAAAATTAAGGTGTTGGAAGAAGCTGTGCTCTTATCTTGGCTCTGGCAACAGATATCTCTTTAACCTTGGAAAATTTCTTTGGACATCAGATTCTTCATCTATAAAGATAATCTCCAGTTTCCTTTGTGGCTCTAAAATTCTCTAACTTGAAGAAAAACAGCTGCAAAAGGATTCTTTGTTATCTGGTCTGCTAAGCTGTTCAGGCAGAGGAATGAGACCAGCTGAGCCTGGATCCATCGCTGTGTCCAACTTTTTAAACTCAAGTTCCTTCTATTTCTTCCAGCTGTTCTTGCTGGTCCTGTTTTATTTATTTATTTTTTTAGACTATGCAAGTTCAAAGCAATGAGCCCATTGCTATGATTAAAAGACCACTGGGTCTGTGCCATCACTATCTGACAGGGCTGGAACCAAAAGCTCTGCACACCAAGAGGAGAAAATGTGTTCACAAACCAGAGAAGTCCTGTTTGAGGAGTGGGAAGGGACTGGCAGCTCAGGTAGGTGGAGGGAGAAGGAAGGTGGGCGACACTGGCTCTGGCTGCAGTCTCCCCTAACAAAGCCCCATCCACCTGACCAATTGAAGGCTTGGCCAGAGTTATGAGTTTTCTAAACTCAATCAGAACACAGCCTGCTCTGACCTATAGAAGGTCACTCAACCGTACTGAATACTTGTCAGCATTCCATGGCTAAAGATAAAGTGAATGGACGTCCAAGACAGATTTAGAAATGTCCCTGTATATCCCTGGAACCTGTGAGCATCTGTCTGGGTGTGAAGAGCACAGGGGTGGATTTCCCTTCCCTGAGCACCGATGCTCTCCGCATAGGAACCTGTAGTGCCTGCTCCAAAGCCAGCATCTTGTCACTGTCACTCAGCAGCTTGAGAAGCAAAGGCACAGGGAGTGCCACACCTCCCTGCACAAGGGTTCACTTTGAAACCCGTAGAGAAGGTGAGGGCAACAGCATGAACAGCCTGACCTGCAGGTGGCCCAGCCCACATTCCACAGGGCTCATGTGGAACCCCAAGTGGCCTGGGTCATCACAGCCATCCTAGGAGGGCAACACAAGCCTGGTTTCATTTTCCACCCTTTCACCATTTACAGTCCAATGACAATGGAGTCTTTTCTTCACACACTTATTTTTCACTCACAGAAAGCATTAATGACTCTGCATTTATTAATATACTCCACATTTGTCCCTGAGCACTGTGGGAAGCGGGAGCCAGCCTCTATTTCACTAACTCTGCCACCAACCTCTACTCATCTGCTTCTCACATGAGAACATCAGAGACATGGTTCCAAGGCCCATCACCACAGAGCTGGGCTCTCAACCCACCTCTGGCTCCTCTCAGCATACAGAACCAATATCATGTTTTCATATAACTAAAGCCTAGCGTGTCCTTTTATTTCTGGAGCAACAGATTTAAAGTAAAAACTGGGGAAATAACCAATATCCCAAAAATTAAAGCATTTTGCTTCAGCCCAGTTTCTCCCTAACCCTCACAATCCATCTGGAATGTAGGCTTTCTTTTTGTCATCTGTTCGGTCTTTTTATCATTATCCTTTGCCAGAAAGATAAGTGTTAGCAGGACCTATGAGAGACCGAATCTTCATTCCTGAACTTTGCTTCTAGATAATGGCTTTTTGCTTCTGGATAATGTCTTCTGAGAACTGCTATGGCCTAAGGTACTGATGACCCAAGCACCAACCCCTCTATGAGCATGGCACTTGGGACATTTGTGTGAAGAGTATTCACCAAGAATAAGATGAGCGGGGGTGATTCTATGAAGTCTTTCAACTTCTCCCAACCCAGAAGGCAGTGTGACATCAAAAATGTAATCAGTTGCTGACCCAGACATTGTCTCCTTTTGGTTATTTCTTGTTTTAGCTTCTCTGAAGAGCAGGAAGACAAAGTGCTTGACTTATAAAACCACTCTTGATTCAGAGTCATGGGTAGCCTTCTCAGTCCCCTCCACAGAGGGAAGCCTCTCCCTTCTGCTCTGAGAGGTAACATGCCATGGCCTCAGATGACTGCATCAGCCTCTAGTGGCCTGTCTGAATCTAAGCAGCTTCTGGGGCCTCATGAAAGAGAAACTTGGGGTGAGAACATTGGGAAGGACTGAAAGGCCACATCTTGGCAAGGCCAAGTTATAGTTCTGCCAATGCCTTCCTGTGTGGCCTGGAGAAGTCACTTCATCTCCTCCAGAGCCTCAGTGTTCTCATTCACAAAGAGATGTGCTTGGGCCGATAATCTCTAAGCTCCTTTGCAAGTGATATATTCAATGATACTTTCCCTTCCTTAAGTACTGGGAAGGACTATGTCATATAGATTATTCTTAGTTTATCTAAAAAACTAAGTAGATTACCAGAGAATGGTCTAGTTTATGGGGCAGAAACGTGGCAGGGTGGGAGGGAAGGATAATCCAGGCTGTGTTTCATGAGAAACTTAAGAATAAGAAGGGTCTGTATCTTAATTACCTCTGTAAACCCAACTCCTAACACAGTGCCTGGCTACTGGCATTAATGAAGAGTTGTTTGATTAATCTACAAATGAATACAACTCAAAAGCCAAGCAGACACTTAATGGTTGGGTGGCAGTGTGTGCGTGTACAGGTAGGTATACACATTCACACACACATACATATATCCATACCATTTATCACAGATCACTTACCATCCAGCACTGGTTTTATTTTTCTAGATGGTGAGCTCTTTGAAGATGGAAAGCTCATTTATTGTTGTATCCTGAGCATCTTGCCAGAGCCTGGCCAATGGTAAATGCTCAGTGGCACTTATTGGATGGATGGATGAATGAATGGATGGATGGACAGATGGATGAGTGGATGGCCTAAGGTACTCATGGATGGATGAACTGATGGGTGGGTAGGTAAGTGGGTGGATTTATGGGTTAGCTAAGTGGTGATATCCAGTTTGTGACACATTCTGTGTAACCTCAGTTCCCATTGCTCCTTACATAAGAAAGAAAGAAGCAATCATGTTTCAGCATTTTTTAGCTTTGGGAAGGGGAGTGGGAGAAAAAGGGGAGAGAAAGAGGGAGTGAAGAGATAGGAGGGGAGAGAAAGGAAGAAAATTAAAGAGAGAGAGAGAGAGTAAATAAGAAAGAGAGAGAGAAAAAAAGAGATTAAAACTTAACAAAACCCAAGAAAAGTCAGAACTCATTTTCCATGGGCAGGAGGAGATGTCTGTTCAAGGTTCACTATAATCAGGACATTGATGTTTTGGAAAAATAAGATATTAAAGTTCTTGAATACAAAAAAGAAAGAAAGAAGAGGATATGAGAAGGCAACAGTTACCAAGAAAATGAATTAGGAGAGAAAACGAATTATATTTTTTATTCTTCTGTTACTAACCCTTTTGGATTTTAATGTTTATATTTTTAAAGAGCCTTTAAAAAAGCAAAGGTGAGGTGGAGTGGGATAAGAAGAAGCCTAAGCGTCAACCATGCATTTGGATTTGGGAATTTGTCAAAGGTGTGGGAATTTGTCAAAGGTGAGAGACTGAATTTCCACCTTGACATGCAAATGCATTCTTATTTCCTATGCTGTCGCCCAAGTCACCCTGGTTACATCAGTGTTCAGCTGAGTCAGAGCATTTGGATGGGCTCACTCTAAGAGGGTTAGAATTTGATCCCATGACAAATAAGAATGGTTACCTGGCACTGCAGGTGAAGAACAGGCTGGAGCAATCTCAGGGCTGGGGCTAGAGGAAAACACAAACCAGCAACATGATCCATGGCTTCAGTCAATACTCAGGAAAGCCTATTTCTGTTTCCCCAGTGCGTTCCTGAGAGCAGTGTTGATTACCAGATAACCAGAGTCTTTGGTCTTTCACAGAATCAACAGCTTGGCAGCCACAAAGTGACAGGCATCAATACTAATCGCACAAGCCTGTCTGTAGCTGGACCCCAGGACAGGCCGTGCTCCACCTGCCTGTCCAAGAAATGCACGCCAGGTCCTCCCCATGGAAACCACTAACAACACTTATTAGCTGTTTCCTTGCCTGCTAAGTGGTCTGTGCCTCGTTCTGGCTCCCATTATTATATTCATTTCAGCCTGTGTCCTGAAACCTGATACCTTTGTACTTGGGGGGTGTGGTGTCTGCCACCTGACAATGATTTGACATGACACAGTGACAGAAAACAAGGAGACAGGATGGAAATAAAAGAATAAGAAATCCAAGCAGCTACACTGGCGGCTCCAGGCAGGGGTGCCCATTAACACAGATACCTGTGAGAAGGAACACAGGCCCCACTGCCACCCTGGCCAGATCACTTAATTCAGCTGCACTGGACTGGGAGACAGCAATCTTCCTTTGCTGAACAAGGCCCCATGCAACATTATAGTGGGTTCTTCACTTATACTTCTGAGTTCAATGTGGCTCCACTTCTGCCCATTCCCTCCCCTCCCAATTCATCCGCCAGCAGTCCATTCTGTCCTTCTTCCTGGGCCTCTGTGCTGATAATCACAGCTGCCATTAGGGTGGTGGCACTGGTGGCACACATGGCCACCACATGCTAGTGCTATAGTCATTCAAGAGACCAGCTAGGGCATGTGGGGAGGGGGCAATGAGGTGAGCCCTCGGCCCGTGGAAGCCACTATGCAGACACAATACTGGAAACAGTGGGGTTTCCAAAGAGCAATTTCAAGGCTAGGGTCCATGACTAACTGGCAGTGACATGAGCCAGTGATAAGCCTATTCTGCGCCTCATCTGTAAAATGAACAAGATGGACTAGATCACTGATGCTTGAACCTTCTGTTGTTACATTAGACAATAAAATTTTTTCATTAAATGATATTTTCCTTTAGACCCCAGTGTATTGAATGGATAAAAATGGATTTGGAAGCCAGCTTTGGGAGCCCTGTTAGCTCCACCCTGATGGGTCACCACTTGTTCCCCCTGCACCTCTGACAAGTCTCATTGGAATGCTAGAATTCCGCATAGCTCAGTGTGAAAGGCATGGGGCCAGATCATCTCAAAGTTCCCTTCTAGGCCAAATGTTGCTTTGGGTGAGGCATGGGAGACAGAGAAATTGTAGGGAAGGTTTGGGGATTTGCACCGTGTTAGAATGATCTTTCCTCTAGCATTTTATGTTCTCTTTTTGTCATCAACAGCCCTACAGCTCAGGGCTCTGTGGAGATCTATGGCAAGACAGAGCCAGTAAAGGAGCACCACACCAGCAGCACCCCCAGGCCCACACCCACGACATTTCAGAAAGTTCAGCTTTCACTTTTATACACACTGGAACTAAAATACAGGGAAAGAAGTCAAGGGAAAGTTTGGAGATAATCAGCCAGGACTCAAGTTTTACAAAGGGAAATTAAGCACCAGTACACTTGCTATATTTAGGATCTGTATTAGTCCATTTTCACACTGCTGATAAAGACATACCTGAGACTGGACAATTTACAAAATAAAGAGGTTTATTGGACTTACAGTTTCACGTGGCTGGGGAGGCCTCACAATCATGGCAGAAGGTGAAAGGCATGTCTCACATGGCAGCAGACAAGAGAAGGGAGCTTGTACAGGGAAATTCCCGTTTTTTAAAGCCATAAAATCTTGTGAAACTTATTCGCTATCATGTGAACAGCACGGGAGACCACCCCCATTATTCAATTACCTCCCACCAGGTTCCTCCCACAACATGTGGGAATTCAAGTTGAGAATTAGGTGGGGACACAACCAAACCATATCAGGATCTATCATCTCTTTATCATCCACAGCACCACCACCATCACCAATGACAACGAATCCAGCATAGGTCTAAGTTATCATCCACTGGGATAATAACAACAGGCAGCACTGATTATACTCTTATTATTGGTTATTATGAGGATGTTACATTTATAACTGCCCTAGAGCAAGGCACCATTATTGTCACTTTTAAAAATGAGAAAACTGAGCTACATACAGGAGACTAGTGACTTTCTCAAGCCCCAGAATTTGCAAGTAGTAGAGAAGTGATTTGAACTTATGCAGTCTAACTCTGAAGTCTGTGCTTTTAACACTGTCGTCACCCAGGGAAGCAGGCTGATGTGAGGAGAGAACTGAGCTGTAGGAGGGCTCACACAAACTGTGCAGTCAGCAAAGTTGCTTTTCAACAGCAAAAAGCTCCTAGTTATGGGCCCGTTCGCATCCATGCTCCTCTCTGCATCAGCCCGCCTCAAACACGTAAATTCACTCCCCAAGCACCTAGTTATTATCTTGCTTGTTCTCTACTTAAAGCATTCAGAAAATATTTAGATCTTTTTTTTCCACCCAGATGTAAATAACTGATAATAGGTTAATCTGCTTCTTCCTCCCAGGGAGAGACATATTTTTCACCAGAAACCAAAGCCTTGAACTGTAGAGATAAAGCTCCACTTGTAAAATTTCAATGTCAGCATAGAATAAGGATTATGAATTCTTGAAATCATCAGAGTCTTCCTAGTGTCCCTGAAGTCTATTAGGTGGTTTTTAATTCATTAGGAAAAAACTATCCAGATGGAGAAATGGATATAATCTCTACTCCAGATACTATTCAATGGAAAAAATACTCAGAAAGCTTTGGCCTTGAATTTGTGGAGGCAGAGGAGGGGGTTGTGGGACAATTAGGAGGTTGAAATCACTCACTGACCCTATCTGAAACTCTATATTCTATACTGCCACCCTTGGACCACCCTTGGGTTAACATTTCCTCTGAACATTCTAGCTCCCTTAGGTTATTTATTTACTTACATTTGATATTTTCTTTTACAGAGCAGAGAAAATGGAAGGAAAACAATATTCCTATCCCTAAAAACACTCACTGTGGTTCCCTAGGAGGAAACAGTAGAGCTCCAGGAGACAAAAATCCAGCTCTCAATTCCCTCCTGCCTGCCTGGAGAAATCACTCAGCACCCGTAATGAGAGGATGCAGTGGCTAATTTTGTACCATAAATCACAAGGTTAATACTATGACTAAAAAGTGATACCATCAGCTCCTTTCCTTCAAGGCTGTTAGATCTTAGTCAATTACTTATGAACAAAGATTTAAAGACTTCAGAAGCCCCTCTGCCAACAAAAGATGCTTTTACTGTTAGCTTTCTTTCCCCTTGAAAAGATTCTTGAACTCCTCTGGAAGGGGCTCCAGTGTGTTCTCAGCATTTATAGGAAGAGGTTTGCAAGGGAGCAGCAATTAACAATGCCAGGCTAATAAAAATCCTGGAGCCTCAGTATCTTCTGAATGATACTGCCGACACTCCTAAGGTAGCCTAATACGAGAGGAGAAAACACACAGAGATGGGGGAAAATATACCTTGTTTCCGACATATTTCTCAAGCTGTTTAAATATGAAACAAAATCCTACCAGGCTACAAGTTTCCAGCTGTTATGATATCATAAGATAAATTTACAGCTAGAGAAACAGCATGTTTGCTTTTATAAAGTATGGAAATATAAATGTTCCAAGTGTTAAAACTGTCCAAACAAATTAATTCAAGTAAAAATAGTTGTCTCGGATCTGGTTCTCTCACATTTGCTTTCTTTTTATAGAGCTCACCAGCACACTTCTCTCAACGCAGAGAGGAGAGGAAGTGCAATTCCATCTCGGCAGGCGCCTTTTCTGCATTTGGAAACCCAAGGAGCCCTACAGCAGGGAAGCTGGGTGGCCCCTGCCCAGGCCCCCATGGCTGATCTATTAATTAAAATCTTAATTTAGCCTCTTTGCAACAGAAGAAAGACACTGTGAAAGGGGACTGAGGCTAAAAATCTTACGATGTGCTCCCATTTGGGGATGTTCATTGTAGCTACAATGAAAAAAGAGTTTCTTTCCTCAGTGACTTTGAAAAGAATAGAGTGGTGATTAACAGCAATTTTTTTTTTAATGAAACGCAACCCGTCATCCCTGTCATCTTCTGGCCATCCTCGCTTGTACGCGCCTCCCTGACAAGAGGAATAATAATCATCATACATCACTGCTCTCCACGTCCAATCACCTAAATCTTCCCTCGCTGCAGCCTCTGAGACTCAATTACTTTATTGACATGCAATCTTCATAAGGGGAGAAATATTGTGCATGTAAGGTCACTTGGTTATGAAGACATATTATCATATTATCTGCATGAGGGTTGCAGGGCTAAGACCTGACAGAGCTAATTATAATGGTACATGATAGAAAGCTCAGTACACATTATTCGCATGGCTGCACTAAAGGTGAGCTAAGTCCATGACATCATGAGTTTTTGAGAAAATAATGCAACATTGGCTTGGCGGCTGTAACTTTTTTTTTTTTGTTAATTCTCCAACATTTTTACTTTGGGGTTTTTCATGCATGATGAAATAACTAGTTAAGGGATTCCTCCTATCTTGAAAAAGGCAGTGGCATGCCAGTGTGGGGAATGTGTGTGTGTGTGTGTTTGTGTGTGTGTGTGTGTATAATTGGCAGGGTTATTTCCTCATCTAACAGCAAGGTTTCAGTCCACTTCTCAGCAACTGAAATGACAATGACTCAAAGGAGAAAGGCAAATGGATACAAATTGGTCAACATGATAACAGAGTAAAACTTCTTTACCTCACCCTCAATTAACCCCTTCTCAAATCCTTCCCCTTTCTTTCTCTTGCTTTGCCTGGCAGAGCCTTAAGTTGCTGGGATTTAGCAGTCCTGAATATGGTTTCTTTGTTCAGATATACAGTTATTTGAGCTTTTGCCAGCAGCCACGTGCTAGAAGTTCCATGCCTTGCTAAGATGCACAGCTAGTGAGTCATTCTCTTTTTTGCATCCTCAGCCGGTTTACCCTCCTCATTCACCCCCACTGTATCTCATAGGGAGAGGCCAAGATGCTGAGCTCCAGTGGCAATCTCACAAGAAAGGAGTATCCAAGAAAAAAGTCTAGGCCAAGTCTCTGTGTTTTCTGGTCTTGGCACAGTTAATGTGGGGCCTGGAAGGAAAACTGGATCGATGGATCTATGATGGGTCTATAGCTCATGAAGTTAAATGATGAAATTAACTTCATCATGAAGTTAAAAGATGAAATTAACTTCATCATGAAGTTAAAGCCATGTCAATCTCCACAGATGGGCCTGAGCCAGCATCAAGGATGAAGGTCTGGACACCTAGTCTACTTAACAGGGGTTTATGAGCTTTCAAAAACAAGTAAAGGAACCATTCAAAATATCACTACAATCCAAGACAGGCTGGCTCCTCCTAGATATGCTCTCTCTCTCTCAATGAAGAACTAATTCAATAAAGTAGAAGAAAGCACTAAAGACTTCTAAACTCCAGAAACTGATTTAGTCTTGTAGCATGAGTGTTTTGGCTCAGCCACAAGAAGTAGTGAGCATAATAAGAAATTAAGGTTGTCCAAAGCCTGGCAGAGACACAACAAAAAAAAAGAGAATTTTAGACCAATATCCCTGATGAACATTGATGCAAAAATCCTCAATAAAATACTGGCAAACCGAATCCAGGAGCACATCAAAAAGCGTATCCACCATGATCAACTGGGCTTCATCCCTGGGATGCAAGGCTGGTTCAACATATGCAAATCAATAGACATAATCCAGCATATAAACAGAACCAAAGACAAACACCACATGATTATCTCAATAGATGCAGAAAAGGCCTTTGACAAAATTCAACAGTCCTTCATACTAAAAACTCTCAATAAATTAGGTATTGATGGGACTTATCTCAAAATAATAAGAGCTATTTATGACAAACCCACAGCCAATATCATACTGAATGGGCAAAAACTGGAAGCATTCCCTTTGAAAACGGGCACAAGACAGGGATGCCCTCTCTCACCACTCCTATTCAACATAGTGTTGGAGGTTCTGGCCAGGGCAATCAGGCAGGAGAAGGAAATAAAGGGCATTCAATTAGGAAAAGAGGAAGTCTAATTGTCCCTGTTTGCAGATGACATCATTGTATATCTAGAAAACCCCATCGTCTCAGCCCAAAATCTCATTAAGCTGATAAGCAACTTCAGCAAAGTCTCAAGATACAAAATCAATGTGCAAAAATCACAAGCATTCTTATACACCAATAACAGACAAACAGAGAGCCAAATCATGAGTGAACTCCCATTCACAATTGCTTCAAAGAGAATAAAATACCTAGGAATCCAACTTACAAGGGATGTGAAGGACCTCTTCAAGGAGAACTACAAACCACTGCTCAATGAAATAAAAGAGGATACAAACAAATGGAAGAATATTCCATGCTCATGGATAGGAAGAATAAAATTGTGAAAATGGCCATACTGCCCAAGGTAATTTATAAATTCAATGCCATCCCCATCAAGCTACCAATGACTTTCTTCACAGAATTGGAAAAAACTACTTTAAAGTTCATATGGAACCAAAAAAGAGTCCGCATCGCCAAGTCAATCCTAAGCCAAAAGAACAAAGCAGGAGGCATCAGGCTACCTGACTTCAAACTATACTACAAGGCTACAGTAACCAAAACAGCATGGTACTGGTACCAAAACAGAGACACAGACCAATGGAACAGAACACAGCCCTCAGAAATAATACCACACATCTACAACTCTCTGATCTTTGACAAACCTGACAAAAAACAAGAAATGGGGAAAGGATTCCCTATTTAACAAATGGTCCTGGGAAAACTGGCTAGCCATATGTAGAAAGCTGAAACTAGATCCCTTCCTTACACCTTATGCAAAAATTAATTCAAGATGGATTAAAGACTTAAATGTTAGACCTAAAACCATAAAAACCCTAGAAGAAAACCCAGGTAATACCATTCAGGACATAGGTATGGCCAAGGACTTCATGTCTAAAACACCAAAAGCAATGGCAACAAAAGCCAAAATTGACAAATGGGATCTAATTAAACTCAAGAGCTTCTGCACAGCAAAACAAACTACCATCAGAGTGAACAGGCAACCTACAGAATGGGAGAAAATTTTTGCAATCTACTCATCTGACAAAGGGCTAATATCCAGAATCTACAATGAACTCCAACAAATTTACAAGAAAAAAACAAACAACTCCATCAAAAAGTGGGTGAAGGATATGAACAGACACTTCTCAAAAGAAGACATTTATGCAGCCAACAGACACATGAAAAAATGCTCATCATCACTGGCCATCAGAGAAATGCAAATCAAAACCACAATGAGATATCATCTCACACCAGTTAGAATAGCGATCATTAAAAAGTCAGGAAACAACAGGTGCTGGAGAGGATGTGGAGAAATAGGAACACTTTAAACTGTTGATGGGACTGAAAACTAGTTCAACCATTGTGGAAGTCAGTGTGGTGATTCTGCAGGGATCTAGAACTAGAAATACCATTTGACCCAGCCATCCCATTACTGGCTATATACCCAAAGGAATATAAATCATGCTGCTATAAAGACACATGCACACGTATGTTTATTTGCGGCACTACTCACAATAGCAAAGACTTGGAACCAACCCAAATGTCCAACAATGATAGACTGGATTAAGAAAACGTGGCACATATACACCATGGAATACTATGCAGCCATAAAAATGATGAGTTCATGTCCTTTGTAGGGACATGGATGAAGCTGGAAACCATCATTCTCAGCAAAATATCACAAGGACAAAAAACCAAACACTGCATGTTCTCACTCATAGGTGGGAACTGAACAATGAGAACACTTGGACACAGGAAGGGGAACATCACACACCAGCGCCCGTTGTGGGGTGGAGGGAGGGGGAAGGGATAGCATTAGGAGATACACCTAATGTAAATGACAAGTTAATGGGTGCAGCACACCAACATGACACATGTATACATATGTAACAAACTTGAACATTGTGCACATGTACCCTAGAACTTAAAGTATAATAAAAAATATATATGAAAAATAAATAAATAAATAAAATAATAATTATTATTAGTAAGTTATAGCTTTTGCATGCCAAGTACTGCCTACAAATAACCTTTCTTCCTTATAATCCTTCAAGGTAGATTTTATCTCCATTTTAAAAGTTAAGAAATTGAGACGCAGAGGTTAAGCAACTTGGCCAAGTCCACACAATCAATAAATGACTGAGTTGGGATTTGAACTTGAGTCTGTCTCATGACAATGGTTAAAAAAGAAAAAAAAAGAAAAAAAATTAAGGTTGTCTAAATTCTCTCTTATTTAATACTCTAGGAACTCAAACATCTGAACTCCTTATACTAATGGCTCAAAAATAATGGTGACATTGGTAATAAAGCCACAAACAGATCTAGACCTTTTTTTCTGAGTTGGAAATTAAAGTGTACATAATGTGATATTGACATTAAGTAAATTTGATGGCGATCTGTTATAGTGGAAATGGTAACTCTTTAGACACCAAAATTTTGGATTGGCTATTTTGGATTGTTGAGTTCACTGCATTGCATCTCCACGTTCCAGCATCTCAAATACAACAACTGAGATGCAATGCAATGGGGAGGTTCACAAAATGTCCATTTCTAAAAGCTGAGATGCTAATGGGGAGAAAAGTGTATGGTCAATAGAAAGAGAGATGGGTTAAGGTTTAGAAGATTAAAACTCTACTCCTGACTCAACCACCCATCATAAACTTGCTGGCGCTTTTTAGTCAAGGCACAATCTCTCTGTACAGGTTGGAGAAATAACTTGGGAAAGACAGTAAGGTGCCGTGAAAAGACTACTGTTTTGCCTAATCAACAAACTGGGTTGAAAATCTCTCTACATCACTTACTGGCTTTATGATCCTGAGCACATTCTTTGCCTTCTGAGCTGCAATTGCCATTTTATTAAATGGGTAATGATATCACCCACTTTGAAGGATTAGCATATGAATTAAATAAGAAATGAAAGTGAAGATATTTTTGCAAACAAAATACACTTGATGAATGGCAGTTATTGTTACTGTTGTGGTCCTACCTGTTTTTGTTTTTGTTTTTGTTTTTTGAGATGGAGTCTTGCTCTGTGGCCCAGGCTGGAGTGCAGTGGCACGATCTTGGCTCACTGCAAGCTCAGCCTCCCAGGTTCACGCAATTCTCCTGCCTCAGCCTCCCAAGTAGCTGGGACTACAGGTGCCTGCCACCACGCCTGACTAATTTTTTTGTTTTTTTTGTATTTTTAGTAGAGACAGGGTTTCACCATATTTGTCAGGATGGTCTCAATCTCCTGACCTCGTGGTCCTACCTGTTTTAAACTGTTACGCAGGTCAATCATGTAAGTAAACATCAACTGTAAAGGGAAAATCCCAGTACTAAGTAAGGTGTGATTGTTATTCATGAGGGTCACTAGATCAGACTCTCAAATATGAGCACTTAGATCCTTAATGTCAAAAATCACTTTTATCAGACAATTGTTCAATATCCACAGCCATTGATATTGTCTTAGAAAACAGAAAGGAAAGTTTTGATGGCAGAAAGTGATGGAATGGAAGGGTAAGTCCCTTAAGACCAGAACACAACTCCATATAGAAGGTGAACCAGAACTTGGGATCACAAAGGAGCCCCTCTGGCCCTCTAGGAATCAGAGCATACTCTGTGATATTTTCCCTCGCAGCCTAGAAGTCAGGAGACCCCCAGGTCTAGTAACCATGGACACCTCCCCTCACCCCTTGGGGCCTCATATTCTGTATCTGAGAAGGTGATTCCTAGTCATTGGTTTTCTATAACAAACACCTCCTCGGTTGATTAGGGTCCACCGTTTAACAAAAATAGACACATGGGCAATGGGAAAACTCATTCTAGCTGAGTTAGGGCATCAGATTTTGATCGAAGTCAAAAGGGGACTAGAATTTATTACCAAACAGCAGCAATAGCAGCAGCTAAGTTTGAAACAGTGCCATTCCCTTTATAACAAAATTTATTAATTTTTAATTATTTTATTTCAAACTCTTGTGAAATCTGAAAAATCACTCAATTAATCAATAATCACATGAATGACTTCATACAACCCAGCCAACAACCTTATGAAAGGGTATGATTGCTATGCCCATTTTGTCAGAGAAGAAATCAAGGCTATGGTAAGTTAAATGAATTTATGTCTAGGTCAAACAACTAATAAGCAGCTTTATTTTATTTTATTTTATTACTATTTTTGAGACAGAGTCTCACTCTGTTGCCTAGGCTGGAGTGTAGAGGCACAATCATGGCTCACTGCAGCCTCGATCTCCTGGGCTGAAGCGATCCTCCCACCTCAGCCTCACAAGTAGCTGGGACTGAGGTGTGCACCATCACACTCGGCTAATTTTTACATTTTTTGTAGAGGCAGGGTTTTGCCATGTTACTCAGTCTGGCTTCAAACTCCTGGACTCAAGCGATCTGCCTGCGTCAGCCTCCCAAAGTGCTGGGATTACAGGCATGTGCCACTACGCCTGGCCTCAATTTTGTTTTTTAAATACACTCATCTTCGTGGAGTTTTTTGTCCTTGCTATAAAAGAGGACATTCACGTCTTTTGCATCTTGACCATTATTAGATAAAATAGGATATAACTTTCTCAAAGGGTTTTGTTGGTTTGCCCACTTGTGGGCAGGATTGAGTTGTACAGTTAGCTTCTTCAGTTCATTGCAGAGATTCAGGAATGCAAGTTCTTTTTTCATGAGGAAGTAAATTGCTATAAATCCATTGGAAAGAACAAAGACTTCAGATGGAGAGGGGAGATTCAAAGGCAAAGTTGGCTGTATGTGTAGGGGTAGATGCCCCAGGGGTATTACTGAGACCCAAGCAAACAACAGCAAACCTTTCACTTCTATTCTTCCAAAATAGTTATTTCCATCAAAGGCTGTAGGCCTTCAAAACAGCTCTATTAATAAAATGCAGTTATCCATGAGGAAGAGCTTCCCCTTAAGAATTAATACTTTCTTATCAAGATTTCTTTGACAACTGACCCTAGAATGAGACATGAAATAGGGGCCTGAGTAGAAAGAGGCTTAGCTTTTTATGTCTTATGATTAGACAGACTGAGGAGAGCATGGCGGGGCTGGGTTTCTGTCTTTGTAATGTGGATGATTTAGCCTCAAATTCAAGATCTGTAAAGTGTGAATAAAATAATTTGATGAGAGTGAGAGTGAAGTAGATAGACTAGCTGGCTGAAGACCAATGCTCCCACTGAGAAAAACTAAAAATGCTGAGCTAAATATGTGTAGAAAATCTTACGTCAGGGCCTCAGTGAGTTACTAAGGCAGTGACGACCTGAGAGGATAAGATCTTGGGGAGAGTGAGCGTGTGGAGACCTGAGTCCCACATTCAGTGCTACTGTCTCTCATGAAGCAATTTTCAATTCTCAACCTGCAATGAAGAGGCTGAGTAGCTGAACCAAACTTCACAGTCTTATAAGTCTTGGTGGACAAAATTAGACTGAAGATATGCCAAGGAGAAGGGGTCCAGGTAGACATCCCAGACTTTCAGCGAGGACCCTGAAAAACTACATCACAGGTGGAAGGGCAACTGGAAATAGATCTGTCCTCACCAAGTCTGCAGCCCAGTTTCCCATGGAATAAATCCCTAACTGGACTAAGGCAATCTTCCCCCACCAGACCTTCCTCCCAGAAACAAAATATGTCTTCTCTGAAGGAATATAACATTATTCAGAGCCTCAAGTTTTTTCCTATAATTTTTGTACTCAGTGTCAAGTATGAAATATCATGTGGCATACGAAGAGACAAAACCAAATGCCCAAAGATCCAAACCATCAATCAATAAGAGATAACAAGCTACAAAAGAAATGGATATTGGAGTTATTAGCCACGGACTGGAACATATCAATCACATATATTCTAAAGATGCAAAACAGCAAATGAAGGAATTTAGAAAAGAAATGACAACTATACAACAGAGTCAAATAAAAATTCAAGGCCGAAACATACGATAGCTTAAACTAATAATTTAATTGGTATATTTAACAAATGAGACATAATTGAGACTATTAGAAAAAGGGCGGCTGTGTCACAAGGAAGCTATATTAAATGTTAGTTAAGATGTCACTATATTAATTGTTAAATAGTCTATATATCACCATTAAAAGGAAGGTTTTCATAATGGATTTCAAAGTAATATACTGCTTACAAGAAACATATTTTAAATAAAAGCCTTCAGAGAATTTGAGAGTAGAGAAGTGAAAAGAAACTACACAAAGCAAATACTAGCCATAAGAGAAAGTGTATGTTTACAAATACCAAATAAACTAAACTTTAAGACAAGGACCATAACTAAAAATAAAGGGAAAATATTTCATAATGACAAAAGAGGTGGTTGTTCAGGAAGATGTAGAAATTCTAAATGTATAAGTTCAAAAACACATGAAACAAAAATCAACAGAACTATAGGGGACAAAAAGGAGAATTTCACAATCATAGTGGGAGGTTTTAGCATACTTCTCTCAGTAAGTAAAAGAAGCAGATAACAAAAAGGAATTAAATAAAAGATTTGAAAAATATAATTAACAATCTTCAAACTTGATCATACGCACATGTATATACACACACGCAAATGAAGAATACTGCACGTGAGGACTAAAGACATTGCACAACAGAGAACATTCACCCAAATTAAACATATTCCAGGCTATAAAGCAAGTATCAGGAAATTTGAAAAGGCAGAAATTGTGCCAAGTATATTCTCTGACCGGAATGAAATTACCTGTAAATTATTAACAAAAGATAACTAAGAAACACTTAAGTGCTGGGAAATTAAGCTACATACTTCTAAATATCTCAACAGTCAAAAAAATCAGCATAGAAATTAGAAAAGATCTTGAATTGAATGACTATGAAAGTATGTCATAAAAAAATGTAGGATACAGCTAAAGCCACGCTTAGAGACATATATATCAATAAATGCATATATTAGAAAAGAAGAAAGCCTAACATCAGTGATCTAATTATTCATCCTAAGAAATTAAGGAACAGAAAATAAAACCAACAAACTGGAATGAAGGAAACAGTAAAAACAGAAAATAAATGAAATTAATAAATGTACATTAAAACAGCCAACAAAGCCAAAACTTTTTTAAGACTTATAAAATTATAATTTCTGGGATGGGGGTAGGAATGAGACTGCTCAAGAGTAAAATAGAAAAGGTACCAAATTACAATATCAGAAAAGAAATGGGGAGTATCAATATAGTACCTGAAAAATAGATAAAAGGATACTAGGAACAATTTTATGCAAATAAATTTGACATTTAAATCAATTTTTAAAAATCTTTTAAAAATACAACAAAACAGGTATAATAAAGAATAGAATAGTCATATATCTTAAAGAAATTAAATCTGTAATTAAATGCCTTACCACAAAGAAAACTCCAGGCCTAGACAGTTTAGCCATGAATTTTTCCAAATACATAAGAAAGAAATAACACCAATATTAAATGAACTCTTCCAAAGAATAGAAAAAACAAGAAAATTCCTCAACTTCTTTTATGAGGGTAGTAAAATTTTATACTGACATTTAATAAGAGCATTACCAGAAAGAAAAATTCTAGGACAATCTTTGTCATAAACACAGATTCAAAATCCATAAACAAAATATTAACAGTTCAATTTTGTGTTCATATATGTGGCAATGTGTATTCACATAACACAATAAAGTTGGGTAAGTTTCAGGACTGCAAGTTGCTTTAATGTTTAAAAGACTGGGAGAAAATATTTCCAAACAATAGATAAAAGACTGTTATCGAAAATATACAAAACACTTAAAACTCAATAATAACCAAATGAACAACCCAATTTTAAAAATGGATAAAAGACCTGAACAGACACTTTATCAAAGAAGATATACAGGTGGAAAATAAGTAAGGAATGCTCAATAACTGCTGGTGGGAATGCAAAATGGTACAGCCATTATGGAAAATAATCTGGCAGTTTCTTACAAGAGATACTCTTTCCATACCATCCAGCAACCACACTCCCTGGTATTCACCCAATGAATTGAAAACTTACATCCACACAAAAACCTGCACACAGATGTTTACGGCAGATTTATAAACAATTGTCAAAATTGAAGTAGGTGAATGGATAAATATATTGTGGTACATCCAGACAATGAATGTTATTCAGCACTAAAAGGAAACATGCTATCAAGTGATAACATGACATGGAGGAAACTTAAATGCATATTACCAACTGAAAAAAAGCTAATTTGAAAAGGATACATGCTGTATGATTCCATTTATATTACATTATGGAAAAGGAAAAACTATGGAGACAATAAAAAGATCAGTGGTTACCAGGGAATAGTTAGGAGGGAGGGATAGAATAGGTGAAGCAAAAAAGATTTTCAGGGCAGTGAAACTATTCTGTATGATGCTCTAATAGTGGAAACATGTAATTTCATATCTATGAAAACCCATAGAATATACACCACTAAGAGTGAACCCTGATGTCAACCATGGACTTTGGGTGATAATAATGTGTTAATGTAGATTAATCAATTGTAACAAATGTACCACTTTGGTGTGAGATGCTGATCGTGTGAAAGGCTGTCCAAGTGTCAAGGCAGGGAGTATCTGGGAAGTTACTCTATTTTCTGTCCAAATTTGCTTTGAACCTGAAACTTCTTCCTAAAATAAAGTCTATTTTAAAAAATGATCAATGTAATTCATCACATTAATATAATAAAGGAGAAAAGCAAATGATCACCTCTACAGAGGCACAAAATATTTAATATTTGACAAAATTCAATACCCATTGATGTTGAAAACTCATAACAAAAGAAAAGATGCCTTTTCTAATTGATAAAGGATAATGATAACAGTTCTATAGCACTCATTAGACATAATAAAATTAAAAGCTGAGATTGAAAATGAGACAAGGGTATCTTTCAAGACCATTTATGTTCAATATTGTACTAGAGGTCATGGCCAATTCTATAAGATAAGAAATGAAATAAAAGGAATAGGTATAAAGAAAAAAATTATTACAGGGAGATTTGTGTACAGAAAACCAAAAACTCTAGAAACTCTTAGAATAAATAAGTGAATTTAGCAAGGTTTCTGGCTTCAAAATAAACATATGAGAATTATTTCAATCTTTATATACTAGCATCAAAAAATAAGTAAATCATATTACCATACTATTTTGAAAAATCATATACATATAAATATAATGAAATATGTACAAGACTGCCACACACATGCATGCATACACACACACACACACACACACAAGAAAAACTAAAAATTATTATTGAGTTAACTAAAGAAGACCTAAATAAGTGGAAGAACATTCCCATGGTCATGAATTAGAAGATGTCACATTGCAAACATATCAATCCTTCACAAATTGGCCTATAAATTCAAAATAATCCCAATCAAAATATCATCTTTTTTCATTGTTGTTGTTATTATTAGGACACATATGATTCTAAAACTTGTATGGAGATTCAAAGAGCCAAGGATAGCCAATATGGTTTTGATACATGACTAGATATTAGACATTATTATAAAACTGTAGTCATTGACAGATAAGGGCATTGACCCAGAAGAGACAAGAATACTAATGGGACAGAATAGAGAGTCCAAGACAACTTCACATATATGAAGACAATTGATTTATGAAAAAAGCAGTGAGGAATGTCAGGTCTTTTCAGATATCCTTATGAAAAAATAATTACTGACCCCCTTACTACACACCATATAAAAATGTTAGGTGTACTGTAGTTCTAAATGTGAATGTAAAATACAACACTTCTAAAGGATAACACAGGATAATACCGTCATGACCTTTGAGTAGACAAATGTTGCTTAGACAGGACTTCAAAAATACTAACCATAAGGAAAAAGACTAATACATTGAACTCCAATATTTTGGAATACTGTTTAACATTGAACAACAACAACAAAAATCCCCAAATATACATACTTCACTCTTCCATTTATAGAAAATTTAAAAGTAATCAAAACTAATCCATAGAATATGATGTCTGAATGTTGGCTACCTTTATGGAGGAAGAAGTAGTGCCTAGGGTGCGATATGAGAGAGTTTGTGGGGGGCAGGGGCCATTGCCAGTATTTTTTTTTTTGTCTGGGTGGTGACAGCTCATGATAATTCATAAAGTTGTATACTATGATTTGTGCATATTGTATAGATACGTCATAGTTCACTTTAAAAGTTTATTTTAAAATAAGTTGGCAATTGCCAAGTGAATACAAAGGCTGTAGCACAATATAAGAACTCTTTCCATTTTCTTTGGAAGATTAAGGAGCACTTGAAAGACATGCTAATAAAACAGATATAAAAGAGAAATTTCAGCATATTGCCTTGTGCTGATCAGAAAGAATGATCTAGAGAGGAATCAGTTTAAAAATATATATCAACAGGTGTGACCCAGGCTGTGACTGAAACAGACCAAATTGTATCCAGGCAGACCAAATTGTTGATGCAATCTGTAATTTCCCACCTAATCCCACCAAGCCAGAGTAAAATATGATATGTTACCAAAATTAACCTGCATAAGGGAGTCAGGAAAGTTAAATTCACAGAGTAGAATTGTCCAGCTCATTAGTGAGTGAAACATTTCCGGCCTAGGAGATGCACTATGCCTCGTCCATCATAGATAGTGCTTATACATCCATAACAGTTAAAAGATAGAAATGCAAGAATGGGCAGTGCAGACACACCTATACAACATACAAGCACACACAGGCACACGCACATTTCCTTAATCATTCACTAACTACAAACCAACAGGGTGTATGTGTGAGCACTGGGGAGATGAAGTGGAATAGGAGAAACAGATATGCAGCCTCTGCCATGAAGGCAGTGATATTATTACGACTACTTGATCTCTATTTCATGGATTGTCAAATTCTGACACATGAGCCTGTTAAGCAGACCCTTAGAAGTTACATGTCAAAATTGCCTATATATCCATGGAGGTGGTTTTTGTTTTGATTTGTTTTTATTTGGAGTGAAAGGCTCCACAGTGTTGAGCACATAACCACTGGTTAATTTATTGTTTACAAATTGCTTTTACAAACATCATCTTCTTTGAATTTCATAACTAACCTGGGAAAAAAGGCAGCATAGTAGGTAATATATTATTCTAAAGATTAGGACAAAAAAGCTTAAAGAAGTTAGATGGCCTGTCCGAGGCCGCATTATAAGTGATAGATCTGAGGGTTGAATCAAGTGTTAATTTTAATTTCTTTAAAATCTCTGAAAAATATTTGACACATATCCACACGAACCTCAGCAGGACAGGGGAAGCATGATTCCAGGTGGCACTCCATTTCCCTCCACAGCAAGGGTCATGTGAACCACCTTCAGAGAGTCACAAATCTTTCCTTTCCGAAACTTCCATCCCAGTCCTGCCTTGTAGAGTTCTGCCATATTAGTTGAATGCTTTGTCCTCAGGTTCTGCCACGATTTGGATGGTTGGAAGTACAGTATGCTTCTTCCTAAGTCTCAGTATTTATCTGGCACTATCAGTGTTTCCATATGATACAAAGTGTAGGCTTGATCCCACAACATGATGCAGTGAATAGCGGCTTCACAAAGCCCTCTCAGACCTTGCCTCACAAAATATGTGTGAGCTGATTAAAAGCCTACTCTTACATTTCCCCTTCTACAAAGCCATGCAAGTGTGGAGGTTGCAGCTGGATTTAGGATTCCTCAAGAAGCAGCGAGGAGAACAAGACATGGAGTCAGCCTTCACAAAGCCTGTGTCAGTGCATCTCGTGCGCACAGGAACATGTGGCAGGCTGAGCTATGATGGGCAATAAAGGACAGCCAGGCTGACAAAGTGTGGGGAGCATATGGCATGGGTGGGGCCCATAGCCATGTCAGGAATGCACGCACATATGGTGATGATAGTGTGTATGGGATCGTATCCTTAATCTTTCTTTTCCAGAAAAATCTGTATACACACACGCACACACACACACACACACATACACGCCCCAGCCAAAGATGAGAGAATGTTAATATGGAAACTGGTGTTAGATACCATTTAGTCCAACTCCTACTTTTTATGGAAGAAACTGAAGCCTAGAACGTATGGGACAGAACATATTCCAGGTCACACAAACAAACCCAGGAGCTAGAATCCAAGACTCCTTATTCTCAGAGTACAGCTCTTGTGTCCATACTAAGCTACTTCTCAAAAAAAAATGACAGCACCCAGCTTTATCTACCTTTCCCCAAATGGAACTAAAGCTCTTCTGGACAGAAAGCCCTTGTAGCAGGTCTTAAACAAGGCAGGAGAAGATTCAGACTCTGGACTGATGTCTTTATGTCAACCCTTAACTGTAAAACTTAAATGGAACCTTAGGAAGTCCAAAAAGGAGCAGAAATCTGTCAGCTTTAGAGAACCAGAAGGTCCCCAGACCAATGTATTGAAGACATGCTCAACTGATCCCTCCAGCAAAGAAGCCAAGTTACCACAAAGGCAGAGACACATGGAGCCACTTGCTTTTCCCCTCTGACAGGCTCCCAAGAGGGAAGGGCCTGGATGTGGGCAAAGAGTTGTGGCGGATGCCACATGTCTTGGAGGATTTCTTCAGACCCTCAGCCAAAGAACCAAGTGCTTATGAAGCCTCGCTCTCCTTTTCTTCTTACTCTGCTGCATAACTGCAGATGCCTCTGCCTGACTATCCTGACATCTCCAATTCAAATATGAGTCTCCTTTCCTAGCCACTTTCCCATTCCCCTGGTTCTTATCTAGGCTGGTGATCTAGCAGTCACCTTTAAAGCCCTCTCTGGCATCCATGGGGACCTAAGTGAAGATTTTAAGGGGCCCATGACTCGGGCAGCCAGCTAAGCCATGGCTCAACCAGTTTTCTCAGGGTTACAAATCTTACACACAGAAGAGGAGAACACAGAGGAATATAGTTCTTCCATTTTTCTCTGTTGCTTGAGTCTTCTAAACTCCTTTTCCAGGCCCTCTCATGACAGCGTTCCACAAGAACTCCAGTCAACATTATTCTTTCCCTTATCAGAAGTATAAATCAATCTCTTAATCTCAACTAATTACTAATTCTTAATCTCAACTAATTATTTTTATCCTTTTATCTCTAGCCCAGGCCCAGCACTTGTAGGGTTGCAATAAATATTTGAGAGAGGGAAGGAAGGGAGGGAAAAAGAAAGGATGGGCATTCCTTGAAGTATAGCACCATAACTTCATAATTTGTGGTTTGTTGTTTTTGTTGCTGTTTGGTTGGTTTCTGGTTTGTTTTGTGGCTCTGTAAGTCCTAATAGAGTTTGTATGTAATTTTTCTCATAAATATTAGTGATACCTTATTTGAGGAATAACATTAATGCTGTATTTTACTGTTTGCAAAGTTCTTAGATATAACACTGTTAAGTCAGAGGTAATGTCCTTTCACTAGATGAGGAAGCTGAAGCTCAGATAACTTAAAAAGCATGTCCAAGTTCATATAGCTAGTCAATGGCAGAGATCAATCACCTCCAAGTACAACCTAGTGCTTGAAAGCTTGGGCTTAGGTCATTCTGCCTGGGTTTGAAGTCTACATTCTGCCTCTCACCAGCCATATGGCCTTATGGCCTCAGGAGAGTTGCCTTCTTGGTGTTTCACAGTCCTTGTTTGCAAAATTGTATTATGAATGGGCTAACCTCATAGGATTTTGTCAGGATGATGTGAGATAATCATCTTATTAGAAATTTTCTTTACCAGGCAAGTGCTCAATAAATGTAGGTAACATTCATTCATTAGTTCAACACATATTTGGTGAGCCAATACTGTGTGCCAAGCTCTAGTTTAGGCCCCTGGGATAGAACAGCAACACAGACAGACATCCCTGCCTTTGGGGAGCTTTCTTCTAAAAAGGAACACCATGCAATAAATAAAATAGATAAATTTTATACTATTTTTTAGTTTGAGAATCAGATGGTGATATGGTTTGGCTGTGTCCTCACCCAAATCTCATCTTGAACTGTAACTCCCATCATTCCCATGTGTTGTGGGAGGGACCCGGTGGGAGATAATTGAGTCATGGGGTCAGTTTCCCCCATACTGTTCTCATGGTAGTGAGTAAGTCTCAGGGGATCTGATGGTTTTGTAAGGGATTACCCCTTTCACTTGGCTTTCATTCTTTCTTGCTTGCTGCCATGTAAGATGTGCCTTTTGCCCTCCTCAATGATTATGAGGTCTCCCCAGCCAGGTAGAACGGTGACTCCATTAAACCTCTTTTTCTGTGTGCATTACCTGGTCTTGGGTATGTCTTTATTAGCAGTGTGAGAACAGACTAATACAGATGTGATGTGGCTCATGCAAAAGTCAGAGCTGGAAAGCTAAAAATGGAGGCATCTATGTAGGAGAGATGCTAAAGATCCCATGGTGGCTAGGAGTGTCGAAAAGAAAGAAAGGGCTCAAAGACAGAATCTTGAAAAAAGGTCACAATTAAGGGATGTGAGAAGAAGAGAAAGGGAGCAGATAGAGATATGTGAGAAGCATCGAGAGAGTGGCATAAAAGCTCAGAGACAGAGGGTTCTGGAATCACCAGGACTCATCCAAAGAGTCAGTAAGGCAAAGAATGTGAAGAGGAGGTTGGATTGCTGACCAGGAGAACAGCTGTAATCCAGAGAGGAGGAAGGAAGTCAGGGGACTAGGAGTGAAGAAGTGGAGAAGGAAGGGAGAGCAGGAAAGAGAGAGAGGAAAGGCAACAAGTCTAAATTATTCTTTTAGCATTTAGCAGCAAAACAAAGAAGGTGGCATGAGAGCAAGAGAGAGGGAAAGGAGGAAGATTGCAGGAATGGTGTTTTCAGGCTGAGATGATGGGAGGATGTTTGTGGGCATAGGGGCATCACAGAAGAATCAAAACTACTTACTGAATATTGTATAGGTTCAACATCTTAGAGACTAAGAATGCAGAATCATTCCTCATTCAATTCCCCTGTATCTTTCCCCTAGACAGCGAATCATACTGCTTTGTATGTAAGGACACTTATCTATATTCCTAGAGTCATACACCATCATCTCACCTAGAAAGGGCAGAGTCCCCCAGAGAAAGGAGATGAACTCTTTTTTGTGTCCTTCCTTCTCACCACAAGATGTTGAATATAGAGCTATGTTCAAACTGCATGTGCTACAAAAAGCCACAGTATGGTTAACCCTTTATCCATGAATCAGAAGAACAAATAAGGTTGTGTGCCTTCCTTTCTGAAGTCTTACATCAGAAGAGTCCACCATCTTTCCGAAATACTTTGGGGAGGCAGAGCCCTCCCTCCCTATGTAGAAGCAGGAGAAAATACAAAATGACAACTCAAGATTTGTTCCAGGCTAAGAATTACACAATGTGGGGAGCCAACCACAAGCTAGGCAGCTACAAGCACCTTTTCTTAACCATTCCTCCAAAATAAGGCAAGATTTCACTTATTTTTCTCAGGCACTCATGCTGGATTTTTAATTCCAAGCCTCCAGCTGGTGAGTCAAACAAAATTTGGGAAATGTTCAAAATTTCGAGAGAATTCAAAGGGTAATTTGGTCTCATCAAAACCAAACTAAACCATTGGCAAACAGAGGCTGGCGCCTTGTAAATGCACTAAGAGGTGTCCCAATAGCACTCGGAGATTTTGCAAACATTCTCCATTCCCTCAGTGGATTTCTCACCAAGTGAAGGCCAGCGCCTCCATCTGTTTTCCATCACTGTCCCCGCTGTTGCTTTCTGGCAGAGCTCTACCCTGGTTATATTTGTTATGTCTCCAAAGTGGCCTGCCCCAAAAGAGCACAGGGAGGCCCCGGCAAAGCTTCCCAGCCTGGTGCTGAGTTCAGAGACTGTGCCCCCTGTCAGGGGCGTGGCTCCATCCCCCACTGCTGGCACCGTTGCATTCACTTCTCTCTACCTCCATTTTCCACTCCTGCAGAACAGCCGTCAGCACATGATAATGAATGTGCTTTGAGATCCCACAATGGGCAACACTATGCCATAAGCAGAATTTTGGCCAAGAAAGTGGAATCATATAAACTGGAGCACTTGAAAAATAGTGAGGAATTTATCTGAAGTCCAACAATAGGACTGTCCCTTTAGGGAAATAATGTCGTTGACCTTAGGCAAATGCATTCCACCCAGGGAGTCCATGAAACATGGCTGTAAGGTGTATATAATCATCCTAATTATGTTGGATTTTTAAAAATCATTTGTACAGAACTGGCACTAGGCTTAGAGTGGAAGTTGAGATCCCAGCAAATGATGCAGCATAAATCTGGATGAAATCTGGTCTGAACCACGTATACTATGGAGAGCCATCCTCAAGAAGGTGCCCTTTACGCATCTCCAACAGGTACTACTGAAATGACTTGGTAGGTGGGCATGAGAACAAACTCAGCCTGCAAGTGACGCTGACAAGTTGTAACACTAAGATCAGCTCGCATTTTCCTTTTATTCTTTTCTAATAAAATAGTACTCAAGATAGCTATGCATAAAAATTTCCTCTCATGGTTATTATGATGGTGAAATAAAAACAACAACAGGTAAATGACAAACATCTCTTGCATGAATTGCATCTCTTGCTCCAACCCCCTCTATGGTCTCCCTGCATATATCTGTGGATGGCAGCCAGAATGATCTTTCTGGTGTTTTGTTTTGTTTTGGAGATGGAGTCTCGCTCTGTTGCCCAGGCTGGAGTGCAATGGTGCGATCTCGGCTCACTGCAGCCTCTGCCTCCAGGGTTCAAGCAATTATCCTACCTCAGCCTGCTGGGATTACAGGCGCTCACCACCATGCCTGGATAATTTTTGTACATTTAGTAGAGACAGGGTTTCACCATGTTGGCCAGGCTGGTCTCAAACTCCTGACTTCAAGTGATCCACCCCCCTTGGCCTCCCAAAGTGCTGGGATTATAGGTGTGAGCCACTCCCAGCCAGAATGATCTTTGTAATAAGCCAATGTAATCTTTCAGCTTCTCCAGCCTAAAGCTTCTTGATGGGGGCTGGGCCACGGTGGCTCATGCCTATAATCCCAGCACTTTGGGAAGCCAAGGCAGGAGGATTGCTTAAGCCTAGGAGTTCAAGACTAGCCTGGGCAACATGGCAAAACTCTGTCTCTACAAAAAATTTGAAACCTAGCCAGGCATGTTGGTATGTGCCTATAGTCCCAGCTACTTAGGATGCTGAGATGGGAGGATCACTTGAGACCAAGAGGTTGATACTGCAGCGAGCCATGGTTGCACCACTGCACTCCAGCCTGGGTCACAGAGTGAGACCCTATCTCAAAAAAAAAAAAAAAAAAAAAAAAAAAAGAAAGAAAGTGATTTTTCCAAGCCTCTATGACATAATCCCTACTCTTTAAATTTGCATGTAAAGTTCTTCATGATCTTACCCCATGCACCTCCGCTATTAGCTCCTCGATCACCTCCTTACTCTCCTTTTTCTCTCTCTATCCCCTCCCACAATGATCTCTGGCCAAACTACAATTCCGTGCCTTCAACATTCCATGCCTCTGCCCTCTGGCCCATTATACATGCTGTTCCCCCAAGGTGAACTCTTCTCACATTTCTCCCTGGTCAGTTGTGATACGGTTGTCGAGGCTTCAATGTTACCTCTTCCAGGAAGACTTCCCTAATCCTTGCTTAAAATTGGATTCTACATTCCTTCAAATGTTCCCATAACTCTGCATGTTCACTATAAAGCTGTTACCATATTGAGTCGCTAGCATAAATTTGTTTTTGTAGATTCTATCCTCTGGGAGAGCAGAAGTTCATTTTGCCTACCAGTTTATTCTGGACACTGCCCAGTAAGTAGCAAGCATTTAATAAATGCTCACTTTAGTGTTGCTATTACATATTGGGAAATGCTAAAGTTGACCATGCACTTGATATTAATATTTAAAAAGACTAGCATGCAGTCAATAAAAGTGAAATTCATGGAGATATATAACATAAAACCACTTTATACATGTTCATTGAAAAAGTAAAATAAAAATGTCAATTTTCAACAGGATCACAACTACATATCAAAATGTATGCACTAAAAAAAGGCTAGAAGTAAAGTGAACGGGTTAGCAATGGATTGTGGGTATCAGAATTATGGGTAGTTTTTTTCTCCCAATATTACTAATTGTCTAAATTTTATAAAATAAACATTTTTAGAATACAAAATATAATTTTAAAAATCTAATGTTAACTCATTTGTGCCAGAGGTTGCTATTTTTGTATACAAAAAATCAGACCTTGGCAATGACCTTGAGTAGTAGGATATAAATAACTCCCACAAGCTTAGCATTCCAATAATGGAACACTGGGCATAAAAGGGCTAATACTTTTGAACTACAAAATAAAATATTCTCATTGCAGAAAAATGTCAAACTACCAAAAAGCTCAAAGGAAAAGAGTACGAAAATCACTGACAATCTCACCATTATTGAGTGTGGTACGTGTCCATCCTCTTGTAGAGAGAGACAGAATGAATGAATGAATGTTTATTTAAAATCACCTGGACAAGTGACACAAAGTGGTAAACTGAAAGAAAGTAGACTGAACCATAGGGCCTCCTTGGAGTCTCCAGATGGTAGTAATGAGAGGCAAATATTCCTTCTTTGTTTGCTTCCATCATTCATTCATTCCTAAAATATTTTTTGAGCTCCTACCAGGTGCTAAATGCCTTGTACCACAATAGGGAGAAAATAAGCCCAGGGTTCCGAAGCCATCTGTGCATGTTTATAATGTGACTACTACATGAGGGGAGTATGCAAACCACCAAAGGAAAGCTGTCAAGAGGAGAATTATTTCTTCCCGGGAGTGAGGAAGGAAGAAATTGCCCAGCAGTGGAGGTGGAAAGTAGAATTGAGCAATGTAGCAGGAGTCCTGCGGCTTTGGAGGAGAAAGAAGAAACCAGCAGAAAAACAAAAGGGAAAATGAAAAAGGCAAACTTCAGAGGAAATTTCAAAAAGCAGCTAATTTCAAAAACTGGACAGTTTGATCCTCAAACATTACAGCTCTTATTTAGTGAAAATCACATCAATATAAATGAGCAATCTCTGCCCTGGCACCTGAAGGACCAAGTCTGGTTTTTGGTTAAATATTGACAGGAGTAATTTATATTTCTAGAACCATGTGCATAGGACATTTCCTTACAGAATCAATGAGAATTATGAGAACATAATTCTCGGTACATAATCAATGAGAATTATGCTTTTAAGTAAACTCCACAGAGGTCAGAATTATGACTAGAGAGCAGACCTAATCAAAGGTGAGTGTTTTATATAGTTAGATGACCATTCAAGGCCCTCTGTCTAGTTCTACTTGGGCTCCACCAAATCCAGCTAGTACCTGGTGCTCTCTGTTGACCACAGACATTACCACAGTTGTGCGCTGGTGTCCTCATCCCAACACTCAAATAACCACGGAATGAGAAATTTCATTGTATGTTCCAAACCCTTCTGAAGCTCAGACTCTCATCAAAACCCAATTGTTCTGCATTTTCCTTTCTTTGGGTTATGATCCTTACAGGTGCTGAATATAATAAAAAGCAGTAAGTGTTAGTTGAGATAACACTGGGAGGAGTAGGGAAACTTGCGTTCTTGGCTATGATTTTAAAACTGTGTTCTCTCTCATCTGTAATATGGCAGAAAATGACATAATTGTATTGAGAGTTATTATCTCCTTGTACAAGGTCCAGCTCTGATAATCTAAAACTCTATGTTTAACATACTGCCCTTCTTAATAGGAATGTCTTAAAGATCATATTTTAATTCAAAACAAATGTTCTAATTTGGTCTCCTATTAAGTGTAGTTAAATGAAGAAATTGCCCTACCTATATGAAGTCATTTATTGAGTTCAACTATATATAAGCAACACAAAGTAATGCAAAAGAAATAACCTAGGATTTAAGGATAGCAGACAGTTTTGGCTCTCATGTGGTCACCCTTTGGCTATGAAATCTTGTGCATATTTCTTAACCCCTCCTGTGTCTCTTTTTACTTACCTATAAAACTGACAGTGATCATAAAATCTATTTTACAGGGTTGTTGTGAGTTGCATGAGATAACGAGACAAAGGTTCGTTATTCTAATTCATCAAATCTCAAGGTTGAGAAGAACTTAGAAGTTATTCTTGCATTGGATGAAAACTGGTCCCAGTAACTTCTAGAACATTAATTTATTCATTATTTTGCAAGTCCCCACGTGAGTACAGATTGTGTGTTCCAACTCCTCTGGGTATCTCAGGCCCTCAAATTTTGAGTGAATGAGAGAATCAATGAAACAATAGAAATTTTGTTTGTTATTATTATTTAAAAGCAAATAGAAATAGGATAGGACAGAGTCTTCCCACATATGGAGCACCTGGCAAACAACTATTTTTCTCTTAAGACATATCCGCAACTTTGAGTATCACTCCCTGCCTTCCTCCACTCTCCACCACAGAGCCCAGGCTGATGTGCACACTCCCTGTTCTGTGCACCCTTCAGCTGCCACATCTCTGCGTAACACCTAGTCCACAGCCCTACATTCCCATCCTTCCTGTGCATATGAGCTTTTTGAGGCATGGACTGGATCTTATTTATGGGCATTCAACAAATGTTTGTGGGTGGATGGAGGGATCAAAGGTTGCACGAATGGGCAGATTCTGAAGTGGGAAAGATGACTGAGTGAACTGTAGCTCAACTGTACTGAGATCTGGAACAATTATTCCAGCCTTTCTGAGTTTTTTTAAAACTTTGAAGTTTTTCTACCTTAAAATATGAGTAGGATCAAAGACCATCTCAAGGGCCTCTCGGGCTCATTCTATGGACCAATAATAAGGTTTCATGTTTTGCTTCACAAATCTGCTCCAGGGAAGGCCCCTTTTTTCACCATGTATGCCTCCTTTCAGAAGGGACATACTCAGGGTCATGATGAATGAAAGGACACCTGACAACCCACCCTGAATCAGCCTTGTGTATCAATGCAGGGCAGATGTCATAGCCAACTCTACTCCCATGACAGCCACAGAGGCAGAGCAAAGTGAGAAGGACCACTGTGGTCACCTTTTCACCTCTTCAGGAGGAAACATTTTGTGCCACCAAAAGACCATGAGAGGCTGGAACATTTGTCTTTAGAACATAGAGGCTCAACGGGTATCTCCAACTGCCTATACATCTTACTGCTATTTTGTTAATAAAACCCAAATGTGTACCTATCCCAACATCTCTGTTCCATGTATTTAGAGTATAAGAAAATACGATAGTTCATCAGAAGCCCTTTTAGGATATTCACACCTCTCTCCCTACTGCCTTTGATATGTTAACAGTTTGTGGGTCATGTTGGGATCTAATGAAGATGCCACAGAACAGACATTAAAAGATGGCACGGAAACATAAATGCCATGATGTTCCCTTTCCGCCTGTTAGTACAGGATGTGTGGACTTGTGCACAGCCACCCTTTCCGGAATGCCGGCCATATTTCCCAAACCCATCCACTCAGCACTTCCCCTGGTTTTAAATAAAGAACATATGCAGATGTAAATGAGCTCCATCACCGCTTCCTGTTGTTCCTCTTGTTTGGCAATTTGTGGGTTTTCCTCGCTGGCCAGTTAAATAAGAGGACATTTGGAGCAGAGAATACTTTTGGATTTTCAGACTGCCTGATAAAATGGTCATCTTTTTAAAATAAAGCTGGAAAAAGTTTCAAGCACTAAGGTTACCCTCACAAATACAGACAATTTTCAGGAAATGGAAGGTCAGGGAAAAGTATGACACAGAGAGAGAAAGATAAAACAAGAGACACAGAAAAGGAAAAAGGAACGCACGGGGGCTGAGGAGAGTATAGGAATAAATTATTCTTTAATGTTTTAATCCTCCAGAATTAAAACAGGAAGAACTCTATGAATGAATAACTAGCAAAAGGCCACAATGTGATTGTCTCCACTGCTCTTTCTTCCCTATTTAGAGGTCCAGTTCTTACCAGGTCCAATTACAAACACATCCCGTCAGTTGTGAGCTCTGACTTCTGAAGTTCAATCTGCTGCATAACCATGAAAAGATACCACCAGTCAATCACATCCTTAGACAGGCGAGAACTGTCTACTTGGGTTAAAATAATGACAAGTCTGGTCCTTTACCCTGTTGTATAAACAGCAGCGCACTGTTCCTGGCAGGGCTGCATTTGCTTCTCCCCAGCTCCCCTGTCCCTCATCTGAACTGTGTTGAAACACACCTGGGCACCATACCTCCCATCAAAATCTAATGCAGCGTTTATTGCACCTAGTGACGAAAGCTGGCCTCAGGTACAAAAGGAGACCAGAATGCATGTACTGCAAAGGTTTCTTTCCTCTGTCTTCAAGTCAGAAAGGAAATCCTGACAGAAAATAGAAACTTTGAATATTGCACAGAAGAACCGGGGACCAAGATGGTCAAATTCTTTGGGGTCTTATGAGTCTGGGTCCTGCCAATTGTATTAGTTTTTTATTGCTGTTGTAACAAATTAAACTCAGTGGCTTAAAACAACACAGATTTATTATCTTACAGTCTGGAGATCAGAAGTCCAAAAAGGGTCTCACCGAGCTAATAACATCTAGGTGTCAACTGCTCTGGTTACTGCTGAAGGCCCCAGAAAAAAATCATTTCCTTTTGCCTTTCCAGTTTCTAGAGGCTGCCTGCATTTCTTGGCTTGTGGACCCTTCCTTCATCTTCAACTTACATCACTCCAACTTCTATTTCTGTTGTAACATCTCCTTTCCCTGTTTGTATCCCTGCTGTTTCCTTTTTATAAGGATTTTTGTTTTCATACCGGGCCCACCCACATGGTCCAGGATAATCTCTCCATCTCAAGTTCCTTAACTTAATCACATCTGCAAAGTCCCTTTAAGAGTGTCAAAAGTGGGAAGTTGAGGTTTTATACAGCATGGCAAGGGAACGCTTCAATGAGAAGGAGACTTTGGAGGAAACAGCTCAAGGAAAGAAACGATTGAGCCATTCATATACCCAGGAAAGAGCATCCAGGCTGGGAATATAGCAAGGGAACAGACTGAGCAGGGAACACACCCAGTGTGTCCCTGAACAGCTAGCGAGCCAGTGTGGCTATAGTGGAATGAGCCAGGGAAGATAAAGGGGCAGATGAGGGCAGAGAGATCTCATGGGGGCCTCATACACCATTGTAAGACCTTGGCTTTTATTGTAAGTAAAAGCCAGCCATCAAGTAAGCACATTTAGGGTTGGAGATTTTTTAGGGATTTATTTTATTTTATTTCATTTTATTTAGCTTGCTCACACACAGACATTTAAAAATTACTGCTAAATGTTTCTTTTGGGGAATGTGAAACACTCATAATAATAATAAAAAAGTGCCTTGGGCTTTCTTACAACTGGATACATCAAAGGGTTTTCACTAGTAATTTGGGGAGTGTCCGCCTCTGGGTGCCACTGCTGTGATTTCAAAATAGAATTATCTCGTGCTATGTGATTTCTTGAATCATTAGTTTTCCATTTTCTCTTCCTCTTTTCTTTTGGTTCAATTTTTTTAGTCCAGTGCTAGTATATGCAAGACATTTTTTTTTAAGGTGACTCATGGGCAATTGGGTGAAGGGGGCAGTTGCGAAAGAGGGAAAGGAACTGAGCCTCTTCCCTGGGCTCAGGCAGGACCCAGGCATCCTGCATCTGTTTCACTAGTGGAGAGCGGGCACCATTGAGGGTGTCCAGCTTTGCTAAGACAATGGGAAGATCTTAAGGAAGAGATGGAAGGCCAGGGGGGAAACTAGGAAAAGAGAACTCTTCACAACCCAGTGGATTACTTTACTTGATTTAATTAACCCTTTCACTGCACCATGTGACTAGAATGAGGGCATTTTTGCCACACAGAGAGAGTTCTTACCAGAAGCATAACCATCATGAACAAAATAGAACCCTGGTCCCACCCCTTTAATTACTTGGCTGACAGCAAGCTGAAACTCTTCAAAATTATAATTATCAACAATTCGAACTCATTATGCACTGAACAGTACTTATCTCTGAAGATTAATAATTTTAGCTTTATGAAGGAAAAAATAACAAAATTACTTAATTTTCTTCTCAGTTAAAGCCCCAAATTTTTAAAGGAACAGTCTGTAGGAAGGGAGCCAGCCATGCACCACTGGCCCTGAGGGGTTTCCTGGGTTAGCATCTACATATAGGGAGTCCACAGAATGGGCATGCAAGACGGGAAGACGGGTGGGCCCAGGCATGCATGAATTAGGACTTTGACTTCTTGGCCCTCTTACCTGCCTTTTCCCACCTCTAACTTCCAAGATCAGTGACAAGAGGTGCTTGGCGAAGAAGATGAGGAGGAAGCATCTCAGGGACTCTGAATCTTCTGCTGGGTTTTTGGTACAGGGTCTATCCACATGCCAACATTTCCACGTCTGCACTATACAGTGGAGTATAATTTTTTTAATGAGAAACAATTAAAAAGAGTTCAGGCATAAAGGGAAGAAGCACAAGCAGGAGACTATAGGAGAGATTAGGACAGAGCTATCTGGGGAGCACAGGGCCATTGCTGGGGCACTCCTGTTTGATGAAGGGCAACATGCAGAACAAATAAAACACTTCTGGGGCTCCAGTTTGGGCCATAAGGTGCCCATTTGTGACCTCTGAAACAAATCCAACAGTCCTTGAGGTTCTGTGGGAAAGGAACCAATCTCATTTGCAAAGCTCTCCCTAGGAACTACACATTCCTTGGCCCACCTATGATTATTTACATCCTTGTAAGTTACATGTCTCTGAAAAAATCTCTATTTTAAAGAATGCAGAATAGCTATGTTGACAAAGAAAAAGGAATTAAATTAAGGTAGAAAATGCAGGGAGCGCATTGCTGTAAAATCCCTCCTTAGTAATTCTTAGGTGTGAAAATACTGGACTACAGACCTAGACAAGCCCAGAGGCAAGCTGTGTCCTCACTATGGCCAGTATGGTGTTGGTGTTAAAGAACCAGCTGGACCATGCACAGTGGCTCCTGCCTGTAATCCCAGCACTTATGGTGATCAAGGCGGGAGGATTGCCTGGGGCCAGAAGTTGGAGACCAGCCAGTGCAACATACCTAGACCCTACCTCTACAAAAAAAGATTAAAAATTAGCCAGGAGTGGTGACACACGCCTGTAGTCCCAGCTACTCAGAAGGCTAAAGTGGGAGGATTGCTTGATCCAGGAGTTTGAGGCTGCAGTGAGCCATGATCCCACCACTGCACTCTAGCCTGGGTGACACAGCAAGAACCTAATTCTAAAAAAAGAACAATAAAATAAAATAAAGGATCAGCTTCATCTTACCTTAGTAAATGCCCCAAGCCTCCTCTCTTCCACAGTCTCTAGGCTACTGCAGCACTGGCTTTTGTGTCTAGCTCTTGGCTATTTCAAGCTTGTTCCAGCCCCAAGGATTTTGACCTAGCACATTATTCTGCCTAGAAACTGCCCCATATTCCTGGAACGGCCTAACCTCTTTACCTCCTGCAGATGTCCACTCAAATGCCACCTTCTCAGCAACGGTTCCCTCATCATCTTTCTTTAAGGTAACATGCTTCCTGCACCATACTCAGGGACTCACCAGCATATCACCTCATTTGATTCTCAGAAAGTCATAGTACTTATGACTTTCTGAAATCATCTTGTTTATTGTCTGTTGTTTGCTGTTTCCCCCGACCCCACCTCTGCTGCCACAGCTGTATCCCTGCCCCTTTGGTTTCCCACTATACCCCTAGTCAGGGCCAGCTACATAATTTCCAGGGTCCAGTACAAATGAAAATGCAGGCACTTGTTCAAAAGGCAAGAGAAAAGCTTTTCCTGTTTGTCTGTAAGCTCACTAATGCTCTCCTCTCTTTCTCTCAACCTGTCATAGTATTTCTTATTTAATATGATACTTACATAGTTACTTCCTGACTATGCAGCAAGTACAGATCCTCCCAGGTACCCAGGGTCCTTACTCTGTGACCTGGAATACAGGGCATGTGTACCCAACCCCAACTCTCCCTGTGGTTGTGCCCAGGCCTCTGCCATGGTGGGAGGGTGAGGAGAACAAGTGGGTTAGAATCTATGTCAGGGAGGCAGAAGGCACTGGCAAATTCTCTGAGCCCCTAGCATATACCCCACTACCTTCTGGGACTTCACTCAGAAAACACAGATTCAAAAATAAAATGATTAAGAGTCTCAAGAAGATGGTGATGCTTAAACATAAAACCCCAAGAACAAGGTCCCTTTCTAAGCATGATGCCCATGAGTCCACATCAGCCCCTAGGACAATGCCAGGTATGCGGTAAAGGAAGGAATAAAAGAATAAGCAAGTAAATAAACGAATAGTTCCACAAACCACTTCTGTTTTGCTGTCCTGTGGGCACACTGGCTTGCTCTTCATGAACAAGAACATACCATCCATTGAGTCACTGGAGCATACCATCCATTGAGTCTCATCCACTGAGAGCATACCATCCATTAAGTCATTATATTGGAAGCTCAAGGGCATGGAAAGATGAATCAGAAGAAGCCTCCTTCATATAATTTGCAGCCTAGCACAGGTTGAGTATCCCTAAGCTGAAAATCCAAAATCCAAAATGCTCCGAAACCCAAAATGTTTTATGTACCAACATGACCCTCAAAGGAAATGCTCAAATGAGCATTTTGGATTTTCAGACTGGGGATGCTCAACAGGTAAGCATATAATGCAGATATTCCAAAATCTCCCCCAAAACCCCAAATTCTCAACACTTCTGACCTGAAGTATTTTTGATAAGGGGTATTCAACCTGTAGTACAGATACAGCAATGTTCTCAAACCAGTCCCCTATGAGGTAGAAAATGAATAGGAACCTGAGGTATAGAACGATGGCAGCTCAGAGATCTATATAGCTTCAGAGATCAAAAAAGCTTTTATGAAAGAGGTGACATTTAAGTGGGCCTTTAAAAAAGATGTGAGATTTAGTCATAAAGAAAATCCAGGAAATGGTAACGATGTCAGCAAAAGGTAAAAGGCAGAAAGCCAGAAATATGAACAGTACAGAGGTAATTGTGCTCAGGAAGGAGAATTGGAAAACAGCTTGAATAGGGAGTTCAAGGCCAAAGACAAAGAATCATGAAGACACTGAGTATTTCTGAGCAAAAGACTGATATTGTCAGGCAGTAATCTAGCTGCTCTAGGATACAGCTGTCTAATATTAGGTAACAAATTACCACAAATCTAACAGCTTAAAATAATACATATTTGTTGTCTCACACTTTCTGTGGGTCAGGAATCTGGATACAGCTTAGCTGTGTCCTCTGTTTTAGGCATCTCACAAGACTGTTATCAAGGTACAGACCAGGGCTGGGGTCTCATCTGAGGCTTAACTGGGGAAGCTTCCAAGCTCAAAAGATTGTTGACAGGATTCAGTTTCTTGTGGGGTCTTGGGTAGAGGGCCATAGTTCCTTACTGGCTGTTGGCCAGAGGCCACCCTCTGCTGCTGCCGTGTGGGCCTCTCCAACATAGCTTCTTACTTCATCAAGATCAGCAGGAAAAAAGTTTTCTACTAAGGCAGAAGTCACAATCCTATGTCACTTAATCATGAAAGTGACATCCCATTACTTTTTTCGATAATCTGCTGGTTACAAGCAAATCACAGGTCCCATCCACACATAAGGGGAGGAGATCTCACAAGGGTATGAACACCAGATAACAGATATTATAAGGACCATCTTAGAAGCTGCTGCCACATCATGGTAGGATGACTGGATTGGTGGAAAGACTAAATTACACAGGCCATGAAGGAAATGATTAGACTCAATGAAAAAGCACTAACTTTAGGAAGAACAGATATTTTCAAGTGGTATAATTCACAGGACTTGGCAACTAGTTCTATGTGGGAAGTAAAGACAAGGGAGAAAATAAAAGTTCCAAGGTTTTGAACTCTAGTAACTGGAACTACAGGAGCAGTTAAGAGAAAGAGAGAACAGAGGAGAGGCTGGTTGCCATTGTTTTGGGGGGAAAAAGAGAACGTACTGAATTCGAGATCCTAGAATACTATTCAAGGTGACCATATACTTAGCAATGCTAAATTTCAGGAATGCTATGAAGGCTGGAAATCTATATTTGAGAGACATCTGTACACAAATGACAGCTCATGGCATGTGATTGGATAAAGAAAATGGAGCTATCTCCAGTGATTTTATAGCTTGGAATGAGGATGCCCTGGCAACTCTCTTCTTGTGGGAATTCTAGCCTGACTTTTAGGTTAAAGTTATTCAGAAGGGCCGGAAGAGGACCTTCAAGTCAAAACAAAAACTTTAGTATGTCTGCGAGTCTGCCAAGAGCCAACTACTTCGAAAACTGATCCCACCAGGATTTTTCCAGAGACAGAGAGGTCTAGATGCAGGCAAAGGCCCCTCAAAAACACAAGCACATACACTGACATGTAAATAATAATAACAATATTATATTGTTTCTTAGTATTTTCAAATCAACTTTATTAGAAATTAAACCTTGGGATCACCTTTATTTCATTTTGCAGATGAGAAAACTGAGCCTTGCTCTAAATCACACAGACAACATCTATGACCAGAATTAGTGATGATCACTTTCTTCCATGATACAAAATTTTAGACCTGGAATCTGAATCTAAGATGCATTCTCCTAGATTTTCATGCACAAAGTCAAGGACCTACTTTATTAACATAAACACAAATGAGCACACATTTCCCAAAGCTATCAGAGGTTAATTAAATTTGGAAGCCCCAAAGACCCAAATTTTCCAAGTGAAGAAATGATCTTGGAATACTGCATCAAGTGGGAATAAGGAACTCCTGGCCTCCCAAGAGAAACCATCCTTTTCTGAGAAACTCATGGAAAAGGTTAAGGAAACTCAGCTGGCTTCCCAGTTGTTATCTGGTACGAAACTCAGCAAACTTTCAAGCCAGACCAAAAACCCAAGGCATTCCCTGTTGCCAATCCATATCATAATCAATGTTGATTGAATGTCTGAATGTAATTTGAATGAAAAGCATTTCAAAGCACAGAGGTTCTGTTCCCAATAAGTTTAGTCTATATAATCAAATGCATTCTTTCTGGCCCAATCAGCAGAGGCTTGGCAGAATAAAGGACTTTGGTATGAGCAAAAAAATCCAAGCTTAAATCTTACAATTGCCCCTTTGAGGGTCGTTGACTAGGCAAGTTTTACAGTGGTGTACTGAAATGAATACTGCCTCTATGCAAAGCAACAGGAGGTCACATTATAATTAGAATGCAATCAGTGGAATTGGTTATGGCTTGGTTTTCTTCCTGAAATGACAATCTATGCCACATCTGCCATTACATTAATATTTTCTGCATTACTAGAAGAACAGAGGGAGGGAGCTGGGGGGAGGGGGACGTCAGTGTCTTTCCACTGAGCAGCTGATAGAGTTGTCTTTAGCTAGAAGTCCGCATGAGCTAATCAAGGCCCAAACAGTTCACCTTTAAAATACCCAAACCATCTGGCAGGCTGTCCCATGATAAATCTCAATGATAAATGTCTCCGTTTTGATGTTACAAAGGAGCCGCAGACCTGCTCGGTTCTGGCACAGCTGAAAACATACTGGCAACAGTAGAATAGAACTCAGATGTCCCAAAATAGAGAAGTAAATCATTTTGACCTGCAGGGCATAATATATTTAGAGAAAGCCTGATTGTAATAAAAGGGTTGGACTCATCACAGTTTGTGCTCTAGGAGTGGCAATATATTTTTTGGTAATACTTTTCGGTTAGTGAAAACTCCAGCATGTACAATTTAAAAGCACTCATTCTTTTTCTGTTGTTCACCCCCTTGTTTTTGTGAGTCTTCAGGCATTTCCCTATGCCCCTTGTGAACTACAGCAGTCCCCTCTCTCCGGTTCTCCGACATCCTGCAGGGGAACTGTTGAGGCGAGCATGCCTTCAAAATGATTAATCTGCTCGCCTTTCAGAGGTCTGTTTTGCTGGGCCCATGGCCACTGCCAAGAAAGGACACACTGTGACCACCAGCACCAGGAAGCGAAGGCACAGCCTCCAAACTCAAGGTTAGCCCAGACCTGGTGCCGAGAGGGAATCGTAAAATAAATTATGCCGTGTGGTTTTGGAAGGGAGACTTTTATGTCCAGCCAAGCTTCAGAAACAAATTATGAAGTGGTCAGTTGGCCTTATTTATTTCATCTTTTTCCCCCACAAAGTTAGGAAATTAATTAAACAGGGATATGGAGTGTTAAGGGCAAAGTACGAAAGCTTCCCAATGCTAGTGGCCCCTGCCCCCTTCCCTGGCTGGCCTGAAGCTCAGAGTGAAGGAAGTCAGCCTACCACAGGCATGGCCAATAAAAACAGGGCCTCATCAGTTCCAAGGCTCCTGGGGAGCCGCCTGGGACCTTGTGACAACTGAGCAAAGCCCGGCCTCCTTCTCCACCCTGGTCTGGTTGGTAGCAATGGCTTGACCGATTCCCTCCACAGCTGCTGGGGTCACTTTCTGCTAACTAATGGGAAAGACAGACTTCCCATCTGCCCCCTGACAAATGGTTTAATAAAATGATTTTGCTCACACACCGAAAAGAGAAGCCAGAAACCAGCAAGGGAGGGGACGTGTCTCTAAGAAAAGGGGTTTCAATCTCATCCTTTTCATCTCCAGACAAGTTGAGGGAAAAGAGGGAAGGCAATTTCTCTGGGTGAGTAGAGTTGCGTGGCGTGGCAGAGGCTGTTTCAAAACTTCTGGGGGCCTGCAGCAATGAGAATGTGATTCCTCAGACTCTCAGGAAAATAAGTGCAAGTAAATTTGAGGTAACTATTTTCAATAAAACTTGAAAATATATATATGTATACTGACAGTCCATTTGGAGAGGAAAAGACACAATAATTCATTGGCTGTTGGCAACTCCATTGGAGACAAGTTACCCCATACCTTCCTTCTTGTCTGCCCTGGGCCAAACAACACATATCTAGTTATTTGACTATCTTCCCATAAGTCAGTTCTAGTGGTGCGGAGAGGAGACACCCACTGGATCATCGGCATCACCGGCTCTTTAATCATTTCTCTGGCTCTCACCTGAGTCCTTTCCAGGTCACTGACATCTTGGCTGATTCAGAAATGTGTAGAAAAGAGCAAGGTATTTCAGCTGACATTCCTGCAGGTTCACTGGGGAAGTAGAAAAGAAACAGTGGAAAGGGGCCCCTCTCTCTACTGGGTAAGAGAGTGCACGTGAGTGGCTATAGCTGAAAGAATCGCATCGTCACTTTCTTTCTGCACCATATGGTCTCTCCCTCTCATATCTGATTTATGACTCCCGATCACCACAGATCCTTTGGCTAGGCCACTTTCCACATGTCAACCTACTGTTGAATATTTGGATGCCAACATTTCCCCCAGGGAAAAGAAGAGACAAAGAATAATGATGTCTTTTCTTCTGTCCCCCACTGCCTCCCTACCATGTAGCGTTTCTAGTTTCTAGTTTGTATCATCTGACACAGGAAACCCAGGCTCTTTCTCTAGCCCTTCAAACGTGGCAGCTTCCAGCCATCATCTTCAATCAAAACATGCCCATAGGTTCAGGGGGAAAAACCACAGCCCATGGTAGGATGCTAAAGCCCTTAACTAACTCATCAATTCCAATCTACTAATTGGATTCCAATCTTCTCTTTTCACAAGGAACTTTTTGTATCAGGCAGCCCCAGAAAATAAATAAAATAAAATAAAGCAAAACAAAATGTCATCAGCACTATTGTATAGTACTATCTCTTACAGTTATGCAGTTTATATTCTATTCTCGCCAATTCAATTCAATTCATCGTGTTTTCACACTGTTTTAGAAATACAATTATTTCTTGATTGCCAGTAAGTGTTGAAAAATATCCATTCATTTGATAAATAATTATTGACTACCAGGTACTACCCTAGATTTAGAGCTACAAAGAGAGTTCTCAAATAATTTGACAGTCTGGCTAGAGTCATCTAATGTAAGTCTTAGATTAAGGAAAACTAATATGGGAATCTGAATACACAACAGAGAAAAGAAAAAGAACACATAAGCAAAATAACACAAATGGCTCTAATTCATGTGGTGTGGAGGCAATGCACTTTTGGGAATGGGTTCAAATGTGCTCATCAGTGACTACTGTCAGTGTTATGAGGTGACAATGTTTGTGGCATACAAGTGAAGCCAAGCTGCCCTCTGATGAGCCAAGTCTGCGTTTCATTTCCATCCAGATCCCCCATGTTGTATGGGCTGAGGGGCAATGACTACAATTGTCTGCTAAACAAACTACAGAGGAGAACCAGCTGAGATTGTTGGGCTATGAATCCAAAGATGCATATTATATAGAAAATATAATAATGAGGCAATTATGAGAGTCAGCCAAGGATACAATGGGGTGGAGTCATTGAGCAAAAGCTCTGAAAAGTTTGGAGCTGAGGGAGGACTAGAAATATGGTTTAATTCAGGTTGGTCACACTTCATACAAGAGGGTATTGCACTTACTTGCTCCTCCTGTAGTTATTCTTCTGTGGTGCCTTATTTAATCTCAGCAGTGTGTATCTATTCACCTTTTCAAGGTCAGGTGAATGTGCTAGCTTTAAGTGAAGAGTTTAGAAGTAGTATGCCTGGAACTCAAAAGCCTACTCTTCTTAGATATGTTCTACTTATGAGAATTAAGCCTAAAAGAAGGCACAAAAGAGAGGGATCACATCTCTTTTGCTGTTTTGATTTGAATTTTATTTTGTATGCCACTTGAGTAATGGCAAGCATGTTTCAGGAAATAACAATGGGAAAAACCCCTTTGGAAGATTAAACCCTGGTGCCCTTCCAGTGATTAAAGCATGCCTGGGCACATTCTCATCCAATCAATTACTAAAATACAAAAGCAGAGCAGATCAAGGTTGATAATGACATTGTATGTTTTTAAAATTAATAATAACAGTAGCACTGTAGGAATAGTAGTAATCCGCCTTGCATTCTGTTGTGAAGAGCCACACATTCAGCCCCCACTGCTTGATCACATAGACAAGTATTTTCATGGAATCAACTGCCCTCCAGAAAGCTGAGTGAGCTGACTCAAAAACAACACAGGGCCTTCATCCAAGGAGCCATAACTGGACACAGTGTAACCCCAGAGTCAACAAACCAAGGCAAGATTCTTCAGTCAGGAACACAACCTTCTCAAATGTGATACATGTGAAGAATCTTTATAAGGTCAATTTTCATCTTTGTAGAGTATTTTTTCACAAGTTGACAAAATATATGATTGCCAGTGAAAAGCAGAAGAATTTGGTCATTCACAGAAAGATGAGAGTAATACAGAACATTTGGACTCTTACCTCCCACGTACTTGATTACCTTATGCCCTCTGAAGGCAAAGATTCCAGAAAATGGACTGGAATCCCAATAGCCCAGACCTTTGTGCCTTCTAGTGTCCACATTAAAGCCATTAAACAAATGGTTTATTTAAACTTCAGTTTCTGAGAATGCCTTTTTAAATTAAAATAAAATTATCACTCCCTTGTTGTTGCATCACATTCTGTAACACCTTGTTCATTCTGGCTGCACTGGGCTATTAATGGCAAGTGTGAAGAGGGTGTATCCTGTGTTCTTCTGTCTCACAATATTTGAAAGCCATAAAGACACATAGACTAATGGAACAGAATAGAAAGCCCAGAAATAAATCCACACATTTACAGTCAACTGGTTTTCCACAAAGGTACCAAGAACACACAATGCAGAAAGGACGGTCTCCTCAATAAACAATGTTGGGAAAACTGAATATCCACAACAGAAGAAAAAAATTAGACCCTTATCTCATACCATATAATAAAATCAACTCAAAGTGGATTAAAGACTTCAACATAAGACCTGAAGCAGCGAAACCACTAGAAGGAAACATAGGGGAAAACTCCATGTCATTAGTCTGGGCAATGACTTTTTGGATGTCACCCCAAAAGCATAGGCAACAAAAGCAAAAATAAATAATTGGGATTACATCAAACTAAAAAGCTTCTGCTCATCAAAAGAAACAGTCAACAGAGTGAAAAGATAACCTACAGAATGGGAGAAAATATTTGCAAACCATGCATCTGATAAGGGGTTAATATAAAAAAATGTATAAGGACTCAAACAACTCATTATTAAGCAAACAACCCAATTAAAATATGGGCAAAGGACCTGAACAGACATATTTCAAAAGAAGACATACAAATGATCAACAGGTGTATAAAAAATGTTTAACACCATTAATCATCAGGGAATGCAAATTAAAACCAAAATGAGATATCACTTCACATCTGTTAAAATGGCTATTATCAAAAAGCTAGAAGGTAAGTATTCATAAGGATGTGGGAAAAAGGGAACCCATGTACATTACCAGTGGGAATGTAAGTTAAAAAACAGTATGGAGATTCCTCAATTAAAAATACAGTTATTATACATATAACCTAGCAATCCCACCAAAAGAAATGAATGTATCCAAAAGAAATGAAATCAGTATGTAGGAGAGATATCTGCACTCCTATGCAGCAATTATTCACAATAACCAAAGTATGGAATCAGTCTACGGTTCCATCAATGAATGAATGGATTAAGAAAGTGTGGTGTACTTGTACACAATGAACTACTATTTAGCCTTAATAAAGGACATCTTGTCATTTGCAACAACATGGATGAACCTGGAGATTATGTTTAGTAAAATATGCCTGGCAAAGAAAGACAAATACCACATGATCTCACTTATATGTGGATCCTAAAAAAGTTAAACTCATTGAAGCAGAGAGGAGAATGGTGGTTACTGGGGACTGCTGGGAGTATAAGTAAGTTGGGAAGATATTGGTCAAAGGATACAAAATTTCAATTAAATAGGAGAAATAAGTTCAAGAAACCTATTGTACAACAGGGTGACTATAGATTATAACAATATGTTGTATTCTTGAAAATTACTAAGAGTATATTTTGAGCATTCTCACTACAAAAAAAAATAATAAACTATGTGACACAATGCACATACAGGTTAAGCACCCCAATCTGAGAATCTGATATCCTAAATACTCAAAAATCTGAAACTTGTTGGACACCAATGTGACACTCAAAAAAAATGCTCACTGGAGCATTTTGGATTTTTGATTTTCAGATCTGGGATGCTCAGCTGGTAAGTATAATACAAATATTCTAAAATCCCAAAAAATGTGAAATCCAAAATACTTCCAGTGCCATTTCAGATAAGGGATACTCAATCTGTATTATTTAACCCCTTTCAGCCATTCCACAGTGTATTCATAATTCAAAACATTTGTACATGACAAACATATACAATTTTTGTCTGTTGATTTAAAAACATATTTTAAAAGAAAAGAATCTGAGAGCCAGCAGATAGAACAAGTTTGTTACGTTGACCTACAAGCCTTCCAACTCTGTCTTTTCTGTTCCACTGTGAATGAAGATGGGATTACCGAGATAATATTGGAGACTAAGCTACATAAACTGAATATATTAATGCAAATTATCATCAGAAAATAGAATTAGCTGTACTAAGCAATCAATGAGATTATTCCTAACTTATGGTCAACATTATTAAAGCTTGGCTTTTCTCCTTATTTAGCTCTGTCAAAACTACTGCTCAGCTTGTCAGCAATCAGACACTATTCCAACATAAGACTAAAGTTTGGTAGCCCAGACAATGGGTAAATATTTTTAAAATATCATTTATGTTAACAGATCAAGACTCTGTGGTGATACAGTCTCCATAAATCCATAGACAGATATAATTTGCATAGACTTCAAAGTAGACTAAGAACAGTTACCTTAAATAAGGCATTTTACTACCTAATCTCTAACCTATTCATGCAAAAAAGCTTCTTATGACCATAAAAGATTAGGCTCCATGAAAGACAAGAGCTATGAGAATCAGGAGCTGGGCTATCCAAAGCTTTCATTATTTTGATTAAAGAAAGAGTGGACTGCATGAATAGCTTTCTGGTTGTTTTATTTCATGCTGAATAAGGTCACCAAGGGAGAATAATTTTCACTACCAAAAATTAGCCTAAACCTTAGTTTAATTTGCATGGCTTTCCACCCTAAGTGTGTATTCTGTCAAGCATAAACTATATTTACCAGACATAATGGATCTTGGCAGGTCAGAAAATTGCAGTTTGGTCTCTATTACACATAAACCACCAATGGAGAAAATGCTATCAGGATTGCCAATAAAATACATAGTAGGTTATCTTTACTTATCCTGCAGGCAGCAACACTGAGATCCCTTCTGGTTTTCCACAAAACGAAACAAAACCAAAATAAGCCTCATCAGCTTCTGGTAACATTGTAGGCTATCTGTCAGGGACATGATGCCAAATGATCATCACGAATCCCACTCTCTTTGTCTGCAGCTAAGGGCACTCCAGGAGGGAGTGAACAACCACCTTCAAATAAGCTTAAGTTGCTATACAGAAAGAGGAAGACTCCTTCCTGGATTCCTGGCTTCCTAAAATCTGGGAATGTGACTACATTCTGCCAACATGCATTTTAGGCACAGCTGACCTCTTTGGAATATTGGTTAGAGGTTTTATTCCTGTTCATAGTTGCTAAATTGTGAATAATTTTATGAAAGAATGGTGTCACTGCAGAGGGAAAATATTTCCATTGGATGGTAAGTTCTTGGGTTCTATGACTATCATATGTTGAAAATTCCTAAATCTTTTTCTCTAGAACCAAGAATGCTAACTCTCTCCACGTGAATACACAAACAGGCCCCAAATAAAACTTATCACCTTTGGTGAACTCCCTTCATACCTTCCAAAAATCTTTTCCACATCAGTACATGTGTCAAGAAATGGTACTGCTATCCAGGAGTAAATCAGAGGGGAAGGGGGCTGACAAATCTGAATGGACCCTGGCTACTGAGCTGGAGCAGAGTCCAAGGTTCCCCTACCCCCTACTGTACCCAGCATTCATTATTATTTAGGGAATTATGGGGGCATACAGGCAGTTTAAGGATTTTGAAGACCTGGATGGGAGGGGCAATGAAGGGGCACTCTTGGGGGAGCTGCCATGGAAGTATTTCAGCCAGAATGGCTACACAGGTACATACTGACTGAATACCAGTCATGGTGCCATCATCCACTTAACATTGAGTTTTCTTGTTTTTTTTTTTTTTGTTCTGCTTAATTTGCAAAACAATCTTTCAATGCTATCTACCACCACCACTGCCCCATACAATTTCATTAGTTGCATCATGGAAGCCTTATCACATCTTGGCTAGTTTAGTGCAACTTCCTACCTGATCTCCCTGCCTCCATTCTGACCCTCCTTCTACCCTTTTACTTCTCCCCAGAGGGATCATTCTAAAAAGTCAATTCTTAGACATTGCCCCAAAGAAAGTATACAAATGGCTAATGAGCACATGAAAAGATGGGGAAAGGCAAATCAAAACCACAATGAGATACCACCTTATATCCATTAGGATAGCTATTTTTAAAAGCGAGCAAACAAGCAAAAATCAGAAAATAATAAATGTTGATGAGCCTGTGGAATAATTGGAATCATGTGCATTGTTGGTAGGATTGTAAAATGGTACAGCTGCTATGGAAAACAGTATGGTAACTCTTTAAGAAATTAAAAATAAAATTACTACATAATCTGGCCATTTTAAATCTGTATATATACTCAGAAGAATCGGAAACAAGGTCTCAAAGATTTATCTATAGGTCTTAAGAAGCATTTGTACATCCATGTACAGAGCTATTCATAATAGATAAAAGGCAGAAGCAGCCCAAATGACCATCAACAAGATGAATGAATAAACAAAATGTGGCATATAGATACAATTGGATATTATTCAGCCTAAAAAAGAAAGGAAATTTTGACACATGCTGCTGCATGGATGAATTTTGAGGACATTATGCTAAGCGAAATAAGTAAGCACAAAAGTCCACATAATATTAATTTCATTTATATGAGGTACTTAGAGTAGTGAAGTTCACAGATATAGAAAGTAGAATGGTGGATTCTAGAGGGGAGGAGTGAATGGGAAGTTAGTGTTTAATGAGTATGGAGTTTCAGTTTTGCAGGATGAAAAGATTCTGGAGATGGATGGTGGTCATCGTGGTACCACAATGTGAAGGTACTTAACGCCACTGAACTGTACACTTAAAAATGATTTAAATGGTGAATTTTAAGTTTTATATATTTTACTACAATAAAAAAGGCAAATGCTAATAAATACATGGCTAATTGCTAGGAGGAAAACAGAAGAGTCAATTCAGTAACATCACCATCCTGGTGATCTCTCAGTATGGTGATCAAGCAATCATTGGATTGCTTGGGCCCTTCTAATTTTATTCCTGTCAATCTCTCCAGCCTCACCATTCGAAACTTGCCACCACAGCTCTGAATTCTAGCACTGAGGAGCAACTTGCAATTGCCTGAATATGCCGTACTCACTTGCCTGGGGGCTTTCTACATGCCGTTCTCCCTTCATGAGGCATTTTCCCATTCCAACCATCTACCCACAGCCCAGCTAACTACTGTCCATTTTATTAGTCCTTCAAGTCTCAAACTAGGGTCTGTTAATCCTTCATAACTCAGTTTAGGTATCACTTCTTCAAGGGAGCCTTCCTTTATCTACTCCCTGCTCCCTGTCCTGTGTCAGGGTTAGGCAGGTCTTCTGCATATGTCCCTAGTAACCTGATCACCTCCACTGATTAAGAGCATAAACACTGGAGCCAGACTGCCTGAGTTTGAAGTCCAGCTTTGCCACTTATTATGTGACCTTAGGCAAGCTACTTAGCTCCATGACTTCAGATTCTTGTTTAAAGGAGGCAATGCTAATACTACTTACCTCATGAATTGTAGTGAGGATTAAATGAACTACTTGCTAGAAAGCAGTATGAATAATGTCTAGCACATAATGAAGTCACATACAATATCTCCAATTCCATTTGATCTTCAACATGACTATCCTCCCACCAGAAGGTGGTATCCGTGTCCCCTTCCCTTGAATCAGTGTGTACGTGTGACTTCCAAGAATAAGTCAGAAAAACTTCTGATGCAGCTTCTGCTTTGCTGACTAGAATGCATGGGCATGAAACCTTGCACTTTCATGTAAATCCAACTACCCTGAGGCTGCCAAACCACAAGCAAGCCAGGCCACAAGGAGTATGTAGGCATTTCAGTTAGAAATCCTCATCTGTGGGTCCTCCTAGCCCAAACAGATGAATGTATGAACATGAGTCTTCAGATCATTCCCATTTCCAGTCAAGTCAGCCCTAGCATTCATGTCTTCCCAGCTGAGGGTGAAGACATTGTGATGTAGAGAAAAAGCTATTACCTTATGCTTTCTGAATCCCTGACCCACAGAAACCATGAGCTGAATACAACGGTGGTTTTAGTTACTAAACTTTTGGTATAACTTGTTACACAGCAACAGAAACTAGAAGATCTACATAAGTGGTCTCTATGGCATCATCATTATCATCCTCATTACTATATTATCCAAGCACTTAATACAATAATACTTAGAACATAGATATCTACTGACCTAGCTGTATCGCACATTTCATTCTAAGCTCCTTGTTACAGGATCTAGCATGGTACCAGACTCATAATACATACTACATTTTTCGTTCAAAGAATGAATGAATTCCTTCAAACTAACTATATCTACAGTGTTCTGACACTTAGCCTCTCAGTCACACAAAGATGACAGGACAATGATGTTTGACCCAGTCAAAAAAATCACTCACAGTCTGTTTTATTGTGCAATGAGAACCACTGCTGATATTTCAGTGAACTTCTTCAAAGTCTTGTGTGGGTCCATTAAATTGAGATGCTCTATGTAGCTTTTAGTACTTTTCCCCACTTGTTATTATAAGCACAATCTCATGGTACTCTTTTAAAACTTATTTTTGTGCTCTGCCTATGGAATAACCATTCTTTATTCCTTTACTTTCTTAATAATCTTGCTTTCACTTAAAAAATTTAAATTTAAGTTTAAAAAGACTTATTTTTGTGGGTTAAATAATATATGATCATCTGAATATACCACTTTTTTTTTTTTTGAAACAGTGTTTCATTCTGTCCCCCAGGCTGGAGTGCAGCGGCATGATCATACCTCGCTGCAGCTTCTACCTCCTGGTCTCAATCTAGCCTCCTGCCTCAGCCTTCCAAGTAGCTGGGATTACACGCACGTGCACCACCATGCCCAGCTAATTTTTATAGTTTTTGCAGAGACAGGGTTTTGCCATATTGCCCGGGCTGGTCTCAAACTCCTGGGCTCAAGAGATTTGCCCACCTCAGCCTCCCAAAATGCTGGGTTATAGGCATGAGCCACTATGCCTGCTCTGAATATACCACATTTCTAATCATTTCACCTATTGTTAAATATTTAGGCTGTTTTCAGTTTTCCTTCATATAAACAAGGCTATGAAGAATTACTTTCAGTCTTTTATATACATCTTTGACTGCATTTTTGTGTTCTAAAAAATTGTTGAGCCAAAGGGTAGCTACCATATTTTTGTAGTAATATAAAAATTATCAAATTGCTTTCCAGAAACATTGAAATAAGTTACTTCTAAAAAGAAAGATGTAAGAAAGATAGCATCATTGTGCCCTAACATTTATTAAGTATTACCATTTCATTTTAACCCAAAATTTTATAGGCCCTCAGTAATAGTTTTATTTACGAATATTTCATTTTAAGTTTTTAAGTAAGTTTGAGCTTTTTATGTTTACTTGCATTTCTAGTTTTGTATAATCACATCTTTTGTCCAACATTTCTACTGGATTTTTTGTTGTTGTTCAGTAGAACTCGTAAAAGCTCTTCCTATAATAAAGGAATAAAATATTTAATTATATTTTAAAATATTATCTCCTAGCTTATTTTCCTTAATTTTGCTTATAATGCTACAGATATATAAAAATACACATTTTTATGTTATAAAATCTGTCAATAATTTATTTTATAGAATTGCAATATTAGTTTAACATTTTTGACAAATTAGGACATTGGCCCTATTCACAGTTTTTCATAAAACTCAAATATGGGGTGTGATATTGTAATGTTTAAACAATCCTGTTATCTTGTAGGTGTTAAGAACATGTTCCTCCACCAAGATCAAGGCTGACAAATAAAACTGAAAAGAAACTACATTGTATCCTCTCAACAGCTATTCCCAAACCAGCCAATGCAAAGGCATCAACTTATGGTCCCTATTATCACATTTTAGTCCAACAAACTTCCCCATGTAGAAGACAGACTATTAGTATTAACCGAAAATGGGTGAGCAGCATTAGTAACTTGCAACTTTGAGAGATAGAGGGTCTAAATCTTTTCTTTAACAGAATTTCTAGCTTTGGATTTGAAGGTTATTCATTCATTTATGCATTTAATAAATATTTTTTCAGCTCTCTACTCACTTGGTAATCCAAATAAAGCCAAGGACATATAAAATATATAGACTTTGTGCTTAAGAAGACCCTATCCTTGTCAAGTTTAGGAGAGATTAACACATAAACAAACACTTGTAATAATAGCCAGATATGTCAAGTTGATAAAATCATTCAAAATAATTTTTATATTACTGACCAACACTGAAAGAATTTCTCCCTTTTAGAGTTCTAATCAAGTGTTCAAAGTCCCTCTAGATTTTCTTTGTCCTCTTTTAAGTTATATCATTATATTGCTACTTGTTACAGTAAAATTTACCAGAAACAAGATGAGTCAACTAAGATATATCATTAGCAGCAAATATTTATTGAGCATTTACTATGGGCACTCTGGAGATATTAAGAAGTATGAGACAAAGTTCCTGCCAAACAATAGGTTAAAGTCAACTTAAGAAAACAAGATGCATACACATTAAATGGCAATTTTAATAAGCAGCAAATGAATGAAGAAGCACCTGAGTGCTATAGAGAGTCAAAGAAGAAAGAGTTCACTCCAGGAAATGAGGATAAGGTGGGATATGAAGGAGCTAGAAAACTTCAACAGAAGGAAGACCAAAGGACTTCCAGAAATGTAGAGCATGATGAGGAAAATCAGGCCAAACAGAAGCAGCAAGATGGCATGTTAGTAAAGAGATTCGGGACACAAGACTACTACACTCTGCCTGCTTCTTTTACTACTACTAGATTTTGAAAAACCAGAATAATTGAGTTCAGAGATCACAGACAGACCATTCATACTGCAAACTATACCTCCTTCACTAAGGCCCCTCTCTGAAAGTATCATACCTTTTGGGGTCTCCCAGGATACCGACCTGTGATGAGGCATTCTGTAAACAACGCTATGAACATTACTGTATAAATTGGTTGGTACTTATTTTTAGAGCTCCCTTAGACTGTTTAGGAAGCACCAACAGAAATAGAGTACACTCGATTGGTACATAAAAGTAAAAGCAAAATAAAAGTTTCAGGTAAAGTAGAGCCATAAATCTAGGAATTTAAGCTCCTCTCCTCGGGCAACTGAAAGCCAATTCCGTATTTCCTCTCACTCACTGACAGCCTCTTGGGCATTCAAATGGGAAAGAGTTGAAAACCAGGATTTCCGGTCCAATCTAATACTGGACAACACTTAATGCCTTAAGTAGATTAATAATACTCTTGCTATTGGAATTTTGCCTTTCACCACCTTTTGCCATAAGCTTTGCCTGTACTTGATCTACAGGGAGGCTGAATGCTGAAGAGGCTTTTCCCAGACCTGCTCTCATTCAGCATGCCGTCTGGAACTGACAACCCAATTTCGACACCAATCAATCAGTAAGAATTTATTGACTGCTATTATGTTCCCTATACTACCTGTGATATTGGCAGAGACCTAGAAGAATTATAAAACATGGCTGCTTTCTCAAAGAAGATAGAATTGAGTTGGGTTTTCAATATTAACACATGTGGAAGAAATACAAATCCAAGCAAAATCATCATCAGTACAAAGCTCTAAATTTTTGAAGGGTCTAGACTTTACGTACTAAAGAGAACAGCTCAGGGGACAAATGGGAGCTCACAGAGTTGTGGAAACCTTCCTGGGACGGAAAGTCCTGAACTGGCCTCAAAGAAAACAGCAGAGAGAAGACAGTCTAGAATAAAGTAATAACATAAGTGAAGATGAGGTCCAATTGTGGGGTAATGAAGAAAGAGCCTTACTGGAGAGCAGACAGTTGGAGCAGAAAGATAGCAGTTTAGCTAGAAAAAGAAAATTGGATATTAGACAGACAGGTCTGGATATAACATTCGGTATAAAATATGAAATTTTGTTTTCACATGTGTCTCTCTCCATTTCTTTATATCATTTCCCTGGCCGAAACTTCTCTGACATCTGTAACATCTCGCCAAGGTATCTGGCATATAGTAGATAACAAATATCAATTGAATGAATAAATGAATACATTGGTTAATAGATAAATGTATAAGAGTGAATTCTACCTAAAAGATGTTGATCCAAGCATGTTTTTTAATATGAAAAATGACATAAACTTTACTGTAAATGTCATGCTACCCTCAGTCAAACACCCAAAGAACAGGGAAACCATTCATTCAGCAAGAATGACTGAACACATCCTATGGACATAGCACAGTGAACAGGACAGATTAAGGACCATGCTCTTTGGGAGTTTACTATTTCATAGAGGTAGAAGTGGGATGGAAAGGGGGAGAGAGAGAGAAAGAGGGCTGGAGAGAGAAAGAGAAGAGAGAGAGAAAAAAAAATGGCAGGTATCAGTAAATGTCACAAGGAAAGTGACACACTGACAAATGATGGAAAGTGACTGGTGGGTAGCTGGTTGTGGCTCCTTTAAACTGAGTGGTCTCAGAAGACCTCTCTGAGGAGATGACATTCAAGCTGAAACCTCAATGTCAAAAGAAGCCAATATCACAAAGATTGTACGGCAGGGCCTTCTAGTCAGGGTGGATAGTTCTATGTAGAAAAGACATTGGTGGGCCGGGCGCGGTGGCTCACGCCTGTAATCCCAGCACTTTGGGAGGCCGAGTCGGGTGGATCATGAGGTCAGGAGATCGAGACCATCCTGGCTAACAAGGTGAAACCCCGTCTCTACTAAAAATACAAAAAATTAGCCGGGCGTGGTGGCGGGCGCCTGTAGTCCCAGCTACTCGGGAGGCTGAGGCAGGAGAATGGCGTGAACCCGGGAAGCGGAGCTTGCAGTGAGCCGAGATTGCGCCACTGCAGTCCGCAGTCCGGCCTGGGCGACAGAGCGAGACTCCGTCTCAAAAAAAAAAAAAAAAAAAAAAAAAAGAAAAGACATTGGTGTACTCAAAAAACTGAAAGGTAACCACTGTGTCTGGAGTGTGGTGCAGAGCTGGAGGACAGAGGACCAGGAGCCTGTAGAGAAAACACGGCCAGTTCACTTAAGGACTGGAAGGTTCAGGAGAAACCTCCAGCTAAGAGACCAAGGCATTGGCAGGTGCCTGTTACTGAAGGGGCAAAAGATGAGCCCAGCACCCAAGGCTATGTTCTTCATAGTAATGCCCGCTGTCTTCAGATCATGTATTTGTCACTGGGCCTGGAGACACACTTGTAAATTCAGATTAGACCCCAAGATTCCAAAACCATTGCCCAATTTATGTGCAGATGATTGAGACATGTAGCTTGAGAATTCTGCTCATTTTTCACAATGGTTAGTGCAGTGACTGTGGCTCCTATAAAACCCACTAAAAACAGTAATTGTCCTTTCTCTGTGCTGAACTGTAATGGGAAAAAGGCACTTACAAACAGTGTGCTGGCTGTATTTCTCTTCCTTCTCTTCGTCTGACAGTCTGGGTAGAGTGATCAGAAAAGTGAGGTACAAGTACATGCTTCATGAAGATGGCAGCTCTTTCAGGCCCTGCCTTGGCTTGGGGGAGAGTGGGAGCAGAAACTCCCCTTCCAGATGTGCAATGAGGGAAGAAAGTCACTCTGTCCCCAGGGGACAAAGCTGTTCTTTGAATTTCAAAGGCAGATGCCCCAGAGGCCCCACCAGACTCACCCCACAAAAATGTCTGATGAATTACCATGGCAGGCATCAACTTTGCAGATTAATGGCCAAAAGGAGTTTAGTTTATGTCTCAGTGGAAGAGGATAAATTTTCTCCTGGCTTTGAGAATCTGAGGAATTGAGCAACCCAGCTAACCACAGCACCTCTCCCTTCATTCACAATGCTTTACCATGGGTCGTTTACTTTCTACATTCCCTTTCAGCAGGTTCTCATAAATTTAAGTGAAACAGACAGCATGTCTGTGCTCTGCTTCTTTTGCAATACGATGGCCACCAAGTGATTGTCTTTGGGTTGGTGTTGTTGGTGGAAAATCATCGAGGTTTGTTGTGAAATTCATTCTCAACTCATAACTCAACTAGACACTGAATTCCTATTTTTCCAACTTTAGACCATGCTGTTAAAAAGTACTGGTATCAAATTCTAAAAGTATGTCAAGGCCAAACCCCCATTCTTTGTGTGCTTGTGTGTGTACATGTGCGTAAGAATGTGTGCATGTGAGTGTGTCTATGTGTTTTAAATAATCTAGAGTCTCTACCCAGAAGTAGTACGGTATTAACTAAAATCTTAGCCCAGGAGTCAGGGTTACTATGGTCATTTTTTCCTGTCTTCACTTATTTTTCCATTGCAACAATGTGCTTTCACGTGCTGTTAAACATGATGGACAACGTTTCTATGAGAAGATATATTATTATTTGCCTACTTCCATGTCATGTGTTGCAGGACTCATCATTTATAAAAACCAATTGATGGTCTTTTTTGAACAATTACAACCTGCCTAGCCTTGTTCTAGTATTCTGGGTGGATACAAGGGAAGAATAAGCCATGATCTCTACTTCTCAATCCATCCAAGAAGAGAACAGATGAGACTTCACAGGACAATACAAGATGGTAGCTGAGTAGTAAGGCATGTGGTACACAGGAGTGTAGGTTAGAAAAATGGTCTGAAGAAAGTTTTGTAAAGTGGAGGGCATTTTCAAGGGGCTTTGAAGTATAGGTAGGAATAAGAAAGGAGCCAAAGAGCTAAAGGAGTGGGATATTCTTTTGTAAGCACGGAGATGCTTACCGGATATGAGGGTATATGTCTACTTCCATGTGAGGAGAGGGTAGTTAGTGATAAGAAAGGGACACTCCACAAGGGCTTGGAATACCAGAAAACTCTTATGGATTATTGCGAGATGGTAAATACAGGGCACAATTATGAAAATATAAGCATCATTTTCTAACTACTGGATTTAAAAGAAGTTTCAGTCCCCAGCCAATTACCAGATATGTACAGGTATTGGTGATATATATGGACTATTGTCAATTCTCCTTTTTTCAATTAGCACCAACAAAAAATTGAAGATACCAAATATCAAATAAATTACATTTTAAAGTAAATGTAATTTACTTTAAAAAGAGTCCTAAATGACGTACAAATGTTTTGAGAATTACTGGCTCCACTGTCACAGATAATTGATAAGGATAATGTAATAGTAACTCCTTTTACAGTCAGTGTCCAATGTGAGAGGTTACTTATACCAGGTAAGAGGCAATTAATGAGAATTAGATTTGCTTGCTTGTCTTAAAACATTACGGGCTTGGGAAAAGTACCCTGGTGACCATTAGAGTAACCTAGGGTACAGCCATTCCAAGCCAAAAAAAAAAAAAAAAAAGCAAAGATAAAAATTTACAATAATTAATTACTAATACATACATACATTAGTATTTTAACACAAAAATGTTAAAAATAAGGTTTTATTTGAAATTATTTATTATTCTATAGTATTTACCTTTCAGCTACATGCATTTTATTATTTAAATAAAAATAGGTTGTTAACAGTGGCAATTAACATTAATTAATAGTAGGACTAACTAAACAAATAATATGTGTGAGAAAAATATTACAGTAATGTTTCTGTCCTCTGATAAAGCAATTTGTTTTAACACTTTTTAAGCACTTTATTGGATATTTAAATTTATAGGCTATATTATGTATATTCCTCTTTTTTTTTTTTTTTTTTTTTATGAAGTGGAGTCTTGCTCTGTCGCCCAGGCTGGAGTGCAGTGGTGCAATCTCGGCTCACTGCAAGCTCCACCTCCTGGGTTTACACCATTCTCCTGCCTCAGCAACCTGAGTAGCTGAGACTACAGGCGCCCGCCACCACGCCCGACTAATTTTTTGTATTTTTAGTAGAGATGGGGTTTCACCATGTTAGCCAGGATGGTCTCGATCTCCTGACCTTGTGATCCGCCTGCCTCGGCCTCCCAAAGTGCTGGGATTACAGGTGTGAGCCATCATGCCTGGCCTATATTATGTATATTCTTAAGATACACAAACATAAGACTTTTTAAAAAGAAAATGAAAATAACATTAGAAACAGATATTACCTATAAATAATGAAAAATAACAATGACATGGAGGCAGAAAATCAACAAAGAAACTTTGAACTTAAATTGAACTCTAGATCAAATCAACCTAACAGATATTTACAGAACATTCTACCCAACAACCACAGAATATACATTCTTCTCATCTACGCATGGAATATTCTCCAAAATAGACATTTTAGGCCATAAAACAAGTCTCAATAAGTTTTAAAAACTCAAATTCATACCAAGTATTTTATTGGACCACAGTAGAATAAAACTATAAGTCGATACCAAGAGAAACTCTCAAAATTATACAAGTATGTGGAAATGAAACAACTTGCTTCTGAATGATCTTTGGATCAATGACAAAATTAAGGCAAGAATTAAAAAATTTTTTGAAACAAATGAAAACAGTGACACAACAAACCAAAACCTCTAGAATACAGCAAACGTGGTGCTAAGAGGAAAGTTTATGGCATTAAATGCCTATATTCAAAAGATAGATCAAAAATTAACAGTCTAAGGTCACGCATCAAGAAACTACAAAAACAAGAACAAACCAAACCCAAAGCTAGCAGAAGAAAATACATAACAAAGATCAGAGCAGAACGAAATAAAATTAAAATCAAAAAACAACACAAAGTATCGATAAAACAAAAAGTCGTTTTTTTGAAAAGATAAACAAAATTGATAAACTGCTAGCTAAACAAGAAAAAAGAGAGAAAAGTCAAATAAGCACAATCAGAAGTGATAAAGAACACATTACAATTGAAACCACAGAAATACAAAAGCTCATAAAAGACTACTATGGGCATTTCTATGCATACAAATTAGAAAACCTATAGGAAATCGATAAATATATAACCCCCAAAATTGAACCAGGAAAAAATAGAAACCCTGAATAAACCAATAACAAGTAGTGAGATTGAATCAGTAGTAAAAAATCTCCTAACAATCACAAAAAATGCCCACGACCAGACAGATTCACAGCAGAATTCTACCACACATTCTAGGAACTGGCACCAATCGTAGTGAAAGTATTCCAAAAAATTGAGGAGGAAGGACTCCTCCCTAACTCATTCTATAAAGCCAATATCACCCTGATACCAAAGCCAGGCAAGGACACACACACACACACACACACACACACACACACACACACAAAGAAGGCCAGGCACAGTGGCTCACGCCTGTAATCTCAGCACTTTGGGAGGCCGAGGTGGGTGGATCACCTGAGGTCAGGAGTCTGAGACCAGCCTGGCCAACATGGTGAAACCCAATCTCTACTAAAAATATAAAAAGTAGCTGAGCGTGGTGGCGCATGCCTGTAATACCAGCTACCCGGGAGACTGAGGCAGAAGAATTGTTTGAACCGGGGAAGCAGAGGTTGCAGTGAGCCAAAATGGCGCCACTGCACTCCAGCGTGGGAGACAGAGCAAGACATCGTCTCAAAAAAAAAAAAAAAAGAAAAAAAAAGAAAAAGAGAGAAAAGAAAAGACACACCAATACTCCTGATGTACATAGATGCAAAAATCCTTAACAAAATAGCAGCAAATTGAATTAAGTAGCACATCAAAAACATAATATATCATAATCAAGTGGGTTTTATTCCAGGGATTTGCAACATATGCAAATCAATAAATGTGATTCACCACATAAGCACAAATAAAAACAAAAGCCATATGATTATCTCAATAGACGTAGAAAAAAAACAGTCAATAAAATTCAGCATCTCTTCATGATTAAAACCCTCAACAAACTAGAAATAGAAGGAACATACCTCAAAATAATAAAAGACATATACAACAAACTTACAGCCATCATCATACTGAATGAGGAGAAATTGAAAGCATTCCCCCTAAGAACTGGGACTAAACAAGGATGCCACTTTCACCACTCCTATTCTAGTACTGGAAGTCCTAGCTAGAGTAATCAGGCAAAAGAAATAAATAAAAGGCATCCAAATTGGGAAAGAGGAAGTCAAATTATCTCTGTTTTCTGATGATATGATCTGATACCTAGAAAACTTTAACGACTCCTCCAAAAGACTCCTAGATTTGATAACTGACTTCAGTAAAGTTCAGAATAAAAATTCAACCTACAAAAATCAGTAGCATTTCTATACACCAAAAATAATCAAACTCAGAACAAAATACAAAAGTCAATCCCATTTACAATAGCTATAAAAAAGTAAAATACCTAGAAATACATTTAACCAAGAAGGTAAAAGATCTCTAACAAAAAGAACTACAAAACACTGATGAAAAAAATCACAGATGACACAAACAAATAGAAAAAACATCCCATGCCCATGGATTAAAAAGTCAAATATTGTTAAAATGACCAAACTACCCAAAGGAATATTCAGATTCAATGCAATTCCTATCGAATCCGAATCACCAATATTATTTTCCCCAGAAATAGAGAAAATAATCCTAAAATTCAGATGGAACCAAAAAAGAAACTGAATAGCTAAAGCAATCCTAAGCAAAAAGAAAAAAGCTGGAGGCATCACATTACCTGACTTCAAATTATACTACAAAACAATTGAAACCAAAACAGTCTGATATTGGTATAAAAATAGACACATCAATCAATGCAACAGAACAGAAAACCCAGACATAGTGCCACATATCTACAAGCAACTGATCTCCAACAAAGTTGACAAAACATATACTGGAGAAAGGACATCATATTTAATAAATGGTGCTGGGAAAATTGGGTAGCCATATGCGAAAGAATGAAACTGGACCCATATGTCTCACCAGATACAAAAATTAACTCAAGATGGAATAAAGACCTCAAACTATTAAAACCCTAGAAGAAAACTTAGCAAAAACTCTTCTGACATTGGCCTAGGCAAAGAATTTGTAACTAAGAGCCCCAAATCAAATGCAACAAAAACAAAAACAGACTAATGGGATTTAATTAAAAAGCTTCTGCATAGCAAAGAAATAATCAACAAAGTAAACAGATAATCTACAGAATGGAGGAAAATATCTGTAAACTATGCATCCAACAAAGGGCTAATATCCAGAATCTGCAAGGAACTCAAACAACTCAACAAGAAAAACAAAATAAATAACCCCATTAAAAGGTAGGCAAAGGATATGAACAGACATTCTCAAAAGAAGACATACGGCTGGGTGTGGTGGCTCACACCTGTAATCCCAGCACTTTGGGAGGCCGAGGTGGGCAGATCATGAGGTCAGGAGATTGAGACCATATTGGCTAACACGGTGAAACCCTGTCTCTACTAAACATACAAAAAATTAGCCAGGTGTGGTGGCAGGCACTTGTAGTCCCAGCTACTCAGGAGGCTGAGGCAGGAGAATGGTGTGAACCCAGGTGGTGGAGCTTCCAGTGAGCGGAGATCGCGCCATTGCACTCCAGCCTGGGCAACAGAGCGAGACTACGTCTCAAAAAAAAAAAAAAAAAAAAAAAAAAAAAAAAAAAAAAGACTTCCAAGTGCCCAACAAACATTTGAAAAAATGCTCAACATTACTAACCATCAGAGAAATGTAAATTAAAACCACAATGAGATGCCATCATATACCAGTCAGAATGGCTATTATTAAAAAGTCAAAATACAACAGATGTTGGCAAGAATGTGGAGAAACAGGAATGTGAATGCTTATACCCTACTGGTGGGAATGAAAGTACAACCTTTATGGAAAATAGTATGGCTATTTCTTAAAGAATTAAAAATAGAACTACCATTAAATCCAGCAATTCCACTCCTGCATATCTACCCAAAGGAAAAAAAATTATATTAAAAAGTTGCCTGCACTTGTATGTTTATCACAGTACTATTCACAATAGTAAAGTTATAAAATCAATCTAGGTGTCCATCCACAGATGACTGGATAAAGAAAATGTGCTGTGTGTGTGTATCTATAGTAGTGTGTGTGTATGTTTGTATGTATGTATAGATAGGTAGATAGAGAGGCATGATATATATGTATATATTATGGAATACTACTTAGCCCTAAAATGAATGAAATTATGTTTTCTGCAGCAACACGGGTGAAACTAGATGCCATTATCTAAAGTTAAATAACTCAGAATGTCAAATGCTGCATGTTTTCACTCATAAGTGGGAGCTAAATAATGTATACGCATAGATATACAAAATGGAATAATAGACACTGGAGGCTCCAAAAGGTGGAGGGGTGGCTGAGGGGTAAGGGATGAGAAATTACCTATTGGGAATGATATACACTATTTGGGTGTTGGTTACACTAAAAGCCCACTCTTCATCACTATTCAATAAAACCATGTAATAATAATGTACTTGTACCCTCATGTCTATTAAAAAAAACCCAAAAACTATGACACGTTTCCATCTGTCCTGTGATACAGCATGATACAGCAGGATATTCTTACTCTCTGTTTCCTTTTCCAGTAATAGTTCTTTAAACTGCTTTCAACCATTACAACACACTTCTATTCTTTTCTGTAGTGTTAAAACTAAATGAATATAGTCAAATGTAAAACTTGATTTAACTTTAGACTATGCTCTTTATCAAGCCCACTTTACACTGTATTGGTATGACTCCACCAAGTCAAATATCCTCTCCCCCCGAAAAAAAAAAAAAAAATTCAGCATGGAACACTTAGAAGTTTACTTACTAGTAACATCAGGATTTAAGACTTGTAGGGATTAATTTCTAGCTCTCCAAAAATGTTCATCCACTTTGTATCCACATGCCTGCTTTGATGGACCAGCAGTTTGTCAGTCAGATCCACTGCATCTATAAACTAGTCATATAGGTTATCCATGTCCAATATGTTGATCATTTTTAAAACACTACGAAGCATTTTGGATGTCATCATAAGCAAAACTTTTCTTTGGCAGGTAAAATGGTTTTAAAGCACAGAAGTAATTCAAACTTGTGAAATCAAAGCCAGATTCCAAGTAAGTGACAGTTTTATTAAAGAAATTGAAAAACTGAGAAAGATTGGCCTAACCTGGCAGTCCTCTGGTAACATATTTTTTTTTTTCATTTGAAACAGGCTTATTTCCAAAACATAAGTCCTTTTTTTCTGTATGAGTTTCTGTCACATCCTACACATAACATCCAACAACTTGGGTATAGTCAGTTGTCCTTTTCTAGGCTCCTTATGGCTTCTTCAAAGATCATCAGAGAGTTTTAGAAAAAGCCTCAATATCACAGGTAAGCAAATCCCATTTTTTTTAGCATCCTTGCAGAAAAAGTATACTGAACTTTTAGCAGTTGAAATCTTTTTCTTTTCTTTGTTAAGAAATTTACACACTGAATGAAGTTTACCAAAATTTACATTTGCACTGCCTGCCACACATGCAGATAGATGAGCTAAATCTAGCTTGTTTTTAGACAAGTTATCAGTAATCTTTTGTTTTATGTTTCTACAGTTTCATTAAAATCTTTATAAAAATCCAAAAGACATTCTGAATCTCCATTTATCAAGTTCAAGTACTAAAGAGCTAAAGGGAACATTATCTTATTGCCATGATTCAAGAATTTCTTGATATACTAGAGTTGTTGTTCAAATCTAACAGAATTAACTCTGCTACATAGAGGGCCAGCACATGTTACCCAAAACTTCCCCTGCTGTTCATGCCTAGGGCACTTTAACTGCAACCTGTGAATCAGGAAATATAATTTTAATCAGTTTCAGAAAGCAATCAAGGGAATAATGCAATGACGCTGCTTATTTGTGTCGTATACTCAAGATAATTCAGTGGCTGCTATATTCAACTGAGCGTTGGTGTCTTCTTGGGAGACAAGAAACTTTTGATTGACTCAGAAGTACTTGTCTACCTCATGCCAAAATTGTGGGATTCAGTCTCCCTATGCACTTTTATATCTTCTTTTCTGCATCTTGTGCAGTATGCTCTGTTTTGATTATTTATCTGCCCAATCCAGACGTATGAGTCCTTTCATCTGCCATTAAAATAGCAACCATCTAACCTTCTTTTTCTAGGATGCTGGCATTGGTATAATAATCATCTTCATTTTCACTATCTGAACTCTTAGAGAATATGGTCACAATATTCATAAAGTTAAAAATTAAACTGGCATTATCTTGATACAAAGCACAACAAGTTAATATAAAGACAAAGTCAAAGACAGATGGACTTTTAACACTCAACTTACAATGTAGTTATGGTGTACACTTGAGTTTCATCAATTGGAGTGAAACAATAATGAATGATCCGTTAGTGTGAACTGCAAATCATGATTGTCAACATGGGAGGGGTGAATAGTAACAATAACTATGGAAGATAGATAATCTATGCTGTACCTATTTGACACTAAAACAGCATTGCTTTCAGCACCTATATTTTGGGCTGACATATGGGCTTTGTATTTTTCCAAGCTTTGCCATCCACTATTGAAAACCAAGACATTTTGCATTTTGGAGAGAGGATTCCAGAATGTGGGACTCTGAGTACTAAAGCCAGGACAGTCCCAGGCAAACCAGGACAGTTTTTCATGCTAGTGAGACTCTAATGTTATTCAGAATAAATACTTGCAAAGTTTGAAACAGAAAAGAACTATAAAGCCCATCATCTTATCATTGAAACACAATGAGGGGATAGATGGGATAGGCTATGCTAGGATAGCCTGGGAAGTTATGATCCATATGTGAAAATGAGCTGTGTACATAAAAAAAAACTGTCTAGGAACTGGCCAATTGGGCCTTCCCAAAGGTAGACACATTTGGGAAGACTCAAAACCAATGCAACTGATGGTAGTGACTTAAAAAACACAGGAGATAACAATATCTTGTCCAGGTGAGAATAATTAACTATGACTTTCCCTTTATAGTTCATTGAAGCTAAGCTCTCAAAGTCCAGACAGAATACCAGGATACTACAAACTCCTATTATAATGAGTTGTATCATAATAATCAATATTACTATGATACATATAAATATTATTATAATCTTATCTTTTATTTTTTGCTGTTTGCAATAAGCAAGGCAACAAGCCTACTCATTACTCTTTTTTTCCTCACATCGCCAATGCTGATGGACTATTTCCAAAACAGATACTCATCTTAAAATGAGCCCATTTCTACTAAGAAGGAATTAAGCTTTTTTATTTAGGAAAACTTTGGAAGAATGTATGGACATTCTTAGCTAAACCCAATGGAAGCATCACCAGCAACCATCTACAGCAGCATCTCCCAAAATGCAAACAAAGAGACACCATGTTAATAAATTGTGTGGTTAAATATATTTGAGAAACACTGGGTTTGGAAAGGGTCAAACACCACTCCTCATGCTAGATTCCACATGGTCTTCGATAGGCTTATATGCAATGAGCACCTGAAGAGCTGGAAATCTTACATATATTTCCCAAATACACTTGATAAGGACCCTTTTTAAAAAAAATGGAACCCTTTTCTGAAGCAGTGTTCCATAGACTACAGTTTGGGGTAAGCTGATATAAATATAACACAATGTTAAAATGGGACCCTTCAAGTTCAGCTGAAGCCACAAAATAATAGGAATCAACTGGTCCCATATTGCAAGATGAGGTACTGTATCACCCCAGCAGGACCTGCAAAGGAGATGTCTAAGACCCAGGTCTGCACCCCTTAGCTGAGTACATCTCTGCATAGCATAAAAAAGATGCTGAATATACTATCAGAGGAGCTTAGAATTGGGAATTAAGGATTTCTTTTTATTTTATTTTATTTTTTATTTTATTTTATTTTTGAGATGAAGTCTGTCTCTGTCACCCAGGCTGGAGTGCAATGATGTGATCTCGGCTCACTGCATTCCTCTGCCTCCTCGGTTCAAGTGATTCTCCTGCCTCAGCCTCCCAAGTAGCTGGTATTTCAGGCACCTGCCACCATGCCTGGCTAATTTTTGTATTTTTAGTAGAGATGGGGTTTCACCATGTTGGCCAAGCTGGTCTCAAACTCCTGATCTCAGATGATCTGCCCCGCTCAGCCTCCCAAAGTGCTGGGATTACAGGTGTGAGCCACTGTGCCCGGCAAGGATTTCTTCAAAGAGAATTTTCAAGTGTACTTGCAATGCTTCCCTCCAGTGGAAAAGTATCAGGGCTATGGTACTCCCTTTATTTCTAGCAAATGAGAGGGACTTTGGTAGTGTACTCAGATGGCTTGGTAGGTGCCCCTGCATTTTAAGGGTCACAGTGAACTGATACCCATCTTACATAAGTCTAAGAAAGTTAATGAGTGAAAGAAAGACTATGGCTAAAGCTGCTCACTAGGTGGCTAAACAAAACAGATTCAATTTGGGGACATAACTATACAACACTTTTAGGTCAAAGATCCATATTTCCAGGGAGGAGGTAAGTGCCAAGTACAAGACAAAGCACCCTGAGCTAGTCTTGGACCTTGCCTTGTTAGAGGCAAGGAGACCTCAGCAGAGAGAAGTCCCTAGATGATTCATTTATCATCAAAAGAGAATCACCCACAAAAAAGAGGACCCTAGTGATAAGCGTCCAAATCATGAAACAGCTTTCAGAGAAGAAAGGCCAGTCTTAAGCATCTGCCAGTAGAAAAGCAAATCAATACCAGGTTGGGACCAGCCAAGCAAATTTGATCCTGGCTCCTACTTCTCTTCTCTTCCCCTATCCAACTCACCTAGCATATGGAAGAATAAAGGAGAAAGAAGTTACTCAGCCCACTTCTCCCCCTGTAGCAAGCTCTTGATGGTGCCAGAAGATGCATTACCCATGGATGAATTTCAGAGTTTTGATTATTACCCTAGACTATACTTATTTATAGCATAACCAACACTGTTTGGAAACTCAGGTAACCAATGAGAGGAGTTATTACTACCAAAGAGTGAGTGGCAGGCTCTGAGCACTAGCTAGGATATGATTCCAGGGCAGAAGATCTAGCCCTGCAAGTAGATTCACAGAAGCAGTTGTGAGAAAAAAAAATAAAGTGTGTTTGACTCCAAAATGAAACACTAAACTCATACTGTGTTAACAGCACCAATGGCTTTCTATAAAGTATCTGAGGACAATCCTGTCATTTTGTGACCCAAAACCCCACTGCAAGAAGGAGAAAGAGAACCACTACCTCGAATTTTCATGGCATCTTCAGGTCCAGCATCTCAATTGACACATCCCTACAAGGTCACTGGGTAGCAATAACTGTTCCCACTTGACAAAGGAAAAAACTAAGGATCAAATCTGACTTGACTTATCTAATGTCTGAAAGCTCAGGCAATGACACGATCCAAATTTTAGAACTCTTGCAGGTCCTGCTGGGGTGATCTAGCATCTCATCTTGGAATGTGCGACCAGTTGATTCCTATTAATTGTGGCTTCAGCTGAACTTGAAGAGTCCCATTTTAATATTTTATCACATTTGAAACTCCTTGTTCAGTGGTTTTACAAACTTACAGTAGTCCCCCTTTGTCTGTAGAGGACACATCAGGACCACTAATGGATGCCTGAAACCACATGTAATACTGAACCCTATAGACAGACCTTCCATCCTCAACTTATAATGGGTTGACCTACAATTTTTCAAATTTACTACAGTACAAAAATGATATACATTTGGTGTGCTCTCCACTTACTATATATAGTATGTATACTATGTTTTTCCTATACATTCAGACCTATGTTAAGTTTAATTTATAAATTAGGCACGGTAAGAGATTTACAATAATAATAATAAAATAGAACAATGATAACAATATACTATAATAAAAGTTATACGAATATAGTCTTTCTCTCTCTCACAAAATATCTTATTTTTGGACTGCAGTTGATCGTGGGTAACTGAAACTGTGGAAAGCAAAAATGCAGATAAGGGGAGCCTACAATATATGCTATTTTCTTTAAAAGACAGGATAAGGGGTCACTTGCAAACACTGGAATCCATTTCTCTAACATGATTGGAAAGGACTTCATAGTGAATACAAATGAAATAATTATAGCTGTTAGGTAAGGTTTGTAGATAGCAACATCAGCTTTGAAATAGAGTCAAAAGCAAGATAAAAACAATATGACCCCAGGCACAGAGGATTAAAGCCATGCTCCAAACCCAGGCTGGCAGCTCTTTATAGCTGGATGGGTTTTTTGTTTGTTTGTTTTGTTTTTTTTTACCCTTATATAATTTTAGGGGGAGGGTCTCTTTGATTACACTAAAGCAAATAAAATCTTGTGTACGAGGAATTCTTTTGGCATAAAGCACAAGCCCTATTACTACTTTTTTTGCTGGCATAAAATCTAAGAAAAGCCTCAAGGTGCAAATGATCTGCAGTCTATTTAACATCATGGTTTTTTATTTTTATGGGACCTCATTATTGCTCCTTACCCTAAATTATAGGTACAGTCTTGGCTCCATTTCCCACTGTGCTGCAAGCTCCAGATACTGTTATTTGTCTACATTTCCAAATACTCTTCAATACTTCTTCAATCAAACATTTGTCATCTCGTAGATGGGATATGTTGAACCAAGGCAAGGATCTATGGAACCCTTAAGTTAAGCCACTGCTATAGGCCCAGTTCTCAACCAGAAGTGCCATATGTCTATCAAAATTATGAAAGGAAATTCCCAGGTTGCAGCATTTTACAAAAATGGAGTCCTCTGCTCCATGTTAAACTAGCATTTAAATGTCCAGGTTTTCCCTGGAAAACAGATTTAGGGGAATAATCAAAGCAAACTCTCCCGGCCTTGCAAGAGACCTAGACAGCCAAATACAAGAAGCAAAAGAACACCTGGGAAATTAATCACAAAAAGATCTCTGCCTAAGAACATTGTCATCAGGTTATCCAAATTTAAGATGAAGGAAAGAATCTTAAGAGCTATGAGACAGAAGCACCAGGTAACCTATAAAGGAAAACCTATCAGATTAACAGCAGATTTCTCAGCAGAAACCCTACAAGCTAGAAGGGATTGGGGACCTATCTTCAGGCTCCTCAAACAAAACAATTATCAGGCAAGAATTTTGTATCTAGTGAAACTAAGCATCATATATGAAGGAAAGATACAGTTGTTTTCAAACAAATGCTGAGAGAACTCACCATTACCAAACTACCACAACAAGAACTGATAAAAGGAGCTCAAAATCTTGAACCAAATCCTGGAAGCACATCAAAACAGAACTTCTTTAAAGCATAAATCACACAGGACCTATAAAACAAAAATACAAGTTAAAAAGCAAAAACAAAAAACCAAGTACATGGGCAACAAAGAGCATGATAAAAGCAACAGCACCTCACATTTCAATACTAACATTGAATGTAAATGGCCTAAATGCTCCACTTAAAAGATACAGAACAGCAGAATGGATAAGAACCCAGCAACCAACTATCTGCTGCCTTCAGGAGACTCACCCAACACATAAGAACTCACATAAACTTAAAGTGAAGGAGTGGAAAAAGGCATTTCATGCAAACGGACACCAAAAACAAGTAGGGGTAGCTATTCTTATATCAGACAAAACAAACTATAAAGCAACAGCATTAAAAGAGACAAAGAGGAACAGTATATAATGGTAAAGACCTTGTCCAACAGGAAAATATCACAATCCTAAACATACATGCACCTAACACTGGAGCTCCCAAATTTATAAAACAATTACTAATAGACCTAAGAAATGAGATAGACAGCAACACAATAATAGTGGGAGACTTCAATACTCCACTGACAGCACTAGACAGGTCATCAAGACAGAAAGTCAACAAAGAAACAATGAATTTAAACTATACCTTGGAACAAATGGACTCAACAAATATATACAAAACATTTCACCCAACAACCACACAATACGCATTCTATTCAACAATGCATGGAACTTTCTCCAAGATAGACCATATGACAGACCATAAAACGAGCCTCAATACATTTAAGAAAATTGAAATTATATCAAGTACTCTCTCAGACCACAGTGGAATAAAACTGGAAATCAAATCCAAAAGGAATCTTCAAAACCATGCAAATACATGGAAATTAAATAACCTGCTCCTGAATGAACATTGGGTCAAAAACGAAATCAAAATGGAAATTAAAAAAATGCTTCAAACTGAATGACAATAGTGACACAACCTATTGAAACCTCTGGGATACAGCAAAGGCAGTGCTAAAAGGAAAGTTCACAGCCCTAAACGCCTACATCAAAAAGTCTGAAAGAGCACAGAAGAACAATTTACAGTAACACCTCAAAAAACTAGAGAAACAAGAACAAACCAAATCCAAATCCAGCAGAAGAAAAGAAATAACCAAGATCGCAGCAGAAGTAAATGAAATTGAAACAAAAATAATACAAAAGATAAATGAAACAAAAGGCAGGTTCTTTGAGAAGAAAAATAAAATTGATAGACCATTAACAAGATTAACCAAGAAAAGAAGACAGAAGATCCAAATAACCTCACTAAGAAATGAAAAAGGAGATATTACAACTGAGACCACTGAAATACAAAAGATCATTCAAGGCTACTATGAACACCTTTATGTACATAAAGGAAAACCTACAAGAGATGGATAAATTCCTGGAAAAATACAACACTCTTAGCTTAAATCAGGAAGAATTAGATACCCTGAACAGACAAATAACAAGCAGCAAGATTGAAATGGTCATTTAAAAATTACCAGCCAGGCGCGGTGGCTCACACCTGTAATCCCAGCACTTTGGGAGGCCGAGGCAGGTGGATCACCTAAGATCGGGGCAGGTGGATCACCTGAGGTCTGGAGTTCAAGACCAGCCTGATGAACATGGAGAAACCCCATCTCTAATAAAAATACAAAATTAGCCGGGCATGGTGGCACATGCCTGTAATCCCAGCTACTTGCGAGGCTGAGGCAGGAGAGTCACTTGAACCTGGGAGGCAGAGGTTACGGTGAGCTGAGATCATGCCATTGCACTCCAGCCAGGGCAACAAGAGCAAAACTCCACCTCAAAAAAAAAAATTAAAAATTAAAAAAATTAAAACAACAACAACAACAACAAAAAGTCCAGGACCAGACAGGTTCACAACAGAATTCTACCAGACATTCAAATAAGAGTTAGTACCAATCCTTTTGACACTATTCCACAAGATAGAGAAAGAAGGAACCCTCTCAAATTCATTCTATGAATCCAGCATCACCCTAATACCAAAACCAGGAAAGCACATAGCCAAAAAAGAAAACTACAGATTGATATCCTTGATGAACATAGATGCTAAAATAGTTAACAAAATACTAGCTAGCGAAATCCAACAACATACCAAGAAGAAAATCCACTATGATCAAGTAGATTTCATACCAGGGATGCAGGGATGGTTTAACATACGCAAGTCAATAAATGTGATACCCCACATAAACAGAATTAAAAACAAAAATCACATGATCATCTTAACAGATGCAGAAAAAGCACTCAACAAAACCCAGCATCGCTTTATGATTAAAACTCTTAGCAAAATGGGCACACAAGAGACATACCTTAATGTAATAAAAGCCATCTATGACAAACTGACAGCCAACATAATACTGAATAAGGAAAAGTTGAAAGCATTCCCTCTGAGAACTGGAACAAGACAAGGATGCCCATTCTCACTGCTCCTCTTCAACATAGTACTGGAAGTCCTAGCCAGAGCAATCAGACAAGAGAAAGAAATAAAGGGCATCCAAATCGGTAAAGAGGAAGTCAAACTGTCACTGTTTGCTGACGATACAATCATTTACCTTGAAAACCCTAAGGACTCCTCCAGAAAACTTGTAGAACTGATAAAATAATTCAGCAAAGTTTCTGGATACAAGATTAATGTACATAAATCAATAGCTCTTCTATACACCAACAGCAAGCAAGCCAAGAATCAAATCAAGAACTCAACCTCTTTTACAATAGCTGCAATAAAAATAAAATACTTAGGAATACACCTAACAAAGGAGTTGAAAGACCTCTACAAGGAAAACTACAAAACACTGCTGAAAGAAATCACAGATTTCTAAACATAGACACAAACAAATGGAAACACATCCCATGCTCATGGATGGGTAGAATCAATATTGTGAAAATGACCATACTGCCAAAAGAAATCTACAAATTCAACACAATCCCCATCAGAATACCACCATCATTCTTCACAGAATTAGAAAAAACAATTCTAAAATGCTTATGGAACCAAAAAAGAGTCTGCATAGCCAAAGCAAGTCTAAGTCAAAAGAACAAATCTGGGGGCATCACACTACCTGTTTTCAAACTATAGTATAAGGCCATAGTCATCAAAACAGCGTGGTACTGGTATAAAAATAGGCACTCAGACCAATGGAACAGAATAGAGAGCCCAGAAATAAACCCAAATACTTACAGCCAACTGATCTTCAACAAAGTAAACAAAAACATAAAGTGGGGAAAGGACACCCTTTTCAACAAATGGTGCTGGGATAACTGGCTAGCCACATGTAGGAGAACTGTATCCTCATCTCTTACCTTATACAAAAATCAACTCAAGATGGATTAAGGACTTAAACCTAAGACCTGAAACTATAAAAATTCTAGAAGATAACATTGGAAAAACCCTTCTAGACATTGACTTAGGCAAGGATTTTATGACCAAGAACCCAAAAGCAAATGCAATAAAAACAAAGATAAATAGCTGAGACCTAACTAAACTAAAGAGCTTTTGCACAGCAAAAGGAACAGTCAGCAGAGTAAACAGACAACCCGCAGAGCGGGAGAAAATCTTCACAATCTATACATCTGACAAAGGACTAATATCCAGAATCTACAACGAACTCAAACAAATCAGTAAGAAAAAAACAATCCAAGCAAAAAGTGGGCTAAGGACATAAATAGACAAGTCTCAAAAGAAGATATACAAATGGCCAACAAACATATGAACAAATGCTCAACATTACTAATGATTAGGGAGATGCAAATCAAAACCACAATGCAATACCACCTTACTTTTGCAAGAATGGCCATAATAAAAAAATCAAAAAACAGTAGATGTTGGAATGGATGCAGTGAACAGGGAACACTTCTACACTGCGGGTGGAAATGTAAACTAGTACAGCCACTATGAAAAACAGTGTGGAGATTCCTTAAAGAACTAAAAGTAGAACTACCATTTGATCCAGCAACCCCACTACTGGGTATCTAGCCACAGGAAAAGAAGTCATTATTTGAAGACATGCACATGCATGTTTACAGGAGCACAATTCACAATTTCAAAATTGTGGAACCAACCCAAAAGTCCACCAGTCAATGAGTGGATAAAGAAACTGTGGTGTGTATGTGTGTGTGTGTATATATATATATATATATATATGTGTGTGTGTGTGTATATATATACGATGGAATACTATGCAGCCATAAAAAGGAATGAATTAACAGCATTTGCAGTGACCTGGATGAGATTGGAGACTATTATTCTAAGTGATGTAACTCAGGAATGGAAAACCAAACATTGTATGTTCTCACTGATATACGGGAGCTAAGCTATGAAGATGCAAAGGTATAAGAATAATACAATGGACTTTGGGGACTTGGGGGGAAGGATGGGAGGAGGGTGAGGGATAAAAGACTACAAATGTGGTGCAGTGTATACATGGGTGATGGGTGCACCAAAATCTCACAAATCACCACTAAAGGACTTACTCATGTACCAAATACCACCTGTACCCCAATAACTTATGGGGAAAAAAGTTAAACATCCAGGTTTTCATATTATTGCATCTTTACTCAGCAAGTTATGCCATAATTACAAAATGAGCCATCTTTTTGCAAAGATTTAATTAATATCCTTTTTCCCTCTTCCCATGCCCCTCCCCTAATCCTTGACACCCCACCAAGCTCCTAAGGCTCCTGGTTCCCCCAACATGGAAAAATTCCCTGGAAATTTTACATAAACTTTTCTAAATTGTTACAATTTGGGGTCAAAATTTCCCCAGCCTTATCAAACAAGTAGTTTAAAGTAATAACCACCCCTAGGATAGCAATAATAATCCCTAACGTCCATATAGTTTTTAGATCACTCTAATTTATGTCAAGTAAAATGGTAAAGTGCTAAACAAACAAAAGATATTATTCCCATTATCATGTTAAAGTTGTCCCTTTCTCTGTCAAAAATCTCACTTAAGCTGTGAGCTTGGCTTTAGATATCAACTCAGCGAAATTTTTCCCAACCCCACAAGCAGAGTTAATTAATCCCTTCTTTGCACTCTCCTAGGCCCTTATGTATACTACTCTGAATAGCCTATCCTATGCCACTGGAGTTAGTTCTACACATATTTTCACTAAATATTCCCTGAGGGGAGTGATTCCCTATCTCCAGCTCTTAGAGTTTCTAAGAACTAGAAAAATTTTGTTGGAGTAAGCCATCAACAACCCTATAAATATGGAAATCATGCAATCATTATCCCTTTTTTAAGACAAAGCAAACTGGGCCTTAAAAGGTGAAGTGATCTTCCCAAAGTTATTAGAGCTAGTTAAGAGGAAATCAGAACTTGAATCCTGATACCCTATGTTCCAGTGATTGCTTGCTGACATTTCACTCCTTGTCTTTGGGAACATTTTATATATAACAGAACATTAACTGTAAGCTCAAAACAACGTAGTTACGGTCATTTTGTTTGACTTAACCCAAAGAATAAATAACTTCGCCTTTAAGAAAGAAGTTCTACCCTTCTTTTATGGAAAAAGGTTGTTATACCAAGAAACTAGAAAGGAAAAAGAAAGAAAGGAGGTGGGGGAGGGGAAAAGGAATGAAGGAAGGCAGAGAAAGAGTAAGCAAAAGTATTCCATGTTATCTAGATCTGCCTTTCTAATTTTACATACCACACTACCCCTCACTCATCCTATGCTCCAGTTAAACTGGTCTACTTGTGGCTGTCTTAAGTTTAAGGAACTAAAACAATTGACTTGCATATTAATCTTGCATCCCGTAACTTGCTAAATTCTCCTGTTGCTTCTAACAGCTTTATGTACATTCCACTGAATTTTCTATAGAGATGATAATTTCATCTGCAAATAAAGACAGTTTTACTTCTTCCTTTCCAATCTGGATGCTTCTTTTTTCTTTTCTTTTCTTTTCTTTTTCCTTCCTCCCTTCCTCCCTTCCTTCCTTCCTTCCTTCCTTTCCTTCCTTCCTTCCTTCCTTCTTTCTTTCTTTCTTTCTTTCTTTCTTTCTTTCTTTCTCTTCCTTCCCTCCCTCCCTCCCTCCCTCCCTCCCTCCCTCCTTTCTTTCTTTCTTTCTTTCTTTCTTTCTTTCTTTCTTTCTTTCTTTCTTTCTTTCTTTCCTTACTCCACAGGCTGAAACCTCTAGCACAATGCTAGGTCGATGTTAGCAAGCACATTTGTACACTTTTTAATAACAAAAATGATTGAGTATTTTGCAGGCATTGAGTAAAGCTCATGGAAGTTAAAGGTAGGAATTAATCCCCACCCTAATGATATCATGACTTTGTGGAGGAGCTCTGTCTGCTGGTAAAATAGAAAATCAGATAAGTCAGGAAAAATAAGATTAGGACAGGTCATTCAATAAAAGCAACAACAGTAGCAAGAAAAGACTTAATACTTATAGAAGGATCAATATAGGCCAAGCACTATTGAAAGTTCCTGATATGTATTAACTCATCTAAGTCTTCCAACTTACCCCCATTTTCTAGGTAGAAATCAAAGACAAAAGAAAGATTGCTCTAAAAGGCGGGAGGGTGGAAGGAGGGTAAGGGTTGAAAAATTAACCTTTGGGTGCAATGTTCAATATTTGGATGATAGGTACATTTGAAGCCCAACCCCACCAGGGGGGTACAAACAAGCACATGTACCCCCTGAATCTAAAACAAAAATAAATAAATAAAAAAGATTACTAATTTTTGTCTCCATAGTGAATGTTCTTAAATGCTAGAATAAATTGCCTCTGGTAACCATCTCTTCCTTAATGGGTATTGAATGTTCACTCTTTGCTAAGTACTATGTTACTTTCAATTAATTTAACTATTGAAATAATCCTATTTTATAAGTGAAGGAACTGAGATTCAGAGTGATCAAGTGACTGGCCCAAGGTCACCCAGTTAACAAGATTGAAACCAAAGTGTTCTGACTTCAAATTCAATACTCTCTCCACCACCTGTTTATACAGCACTTGACACCTTACAAAAATCACGATCACATTTGTGCCTTGAATGTCAGCTAAAGGAATTGAGATTTTATTCACTAGCCCGTGGATAACCTTTGTCAGTTTTTGAAAGGAAGAAAATGGAAGAGAAAGGTGTTTTTGAGAGGCTATGGCAGTGTCGTGTTATGTGGGTTTGCTGGAGCAAGCCTTCAAGCACAGGGTTAGGAGCCTCTCCGGTCCCCTCTGAACTCGTGAGTCCTTCCCTTCAAACTCATTTGCCAGTCGGGAGAAGTACTGCTTTAAATAATGTTTCTGGAGGGAACTCCCAGAAGAACAGAGATAATAAAAGTACTTCTTATGTCACTTCTTCTCCCTGCATTTAACTTTTGGGAATATTTTTGTTAACTGAGAAGAGCACACCAAGGAACCATTATCACTGGTACAAGGAGAAAATGGATGGTAGATTTCCTCAGCCACGTCCTGTCAGTGTCAACAATTTAACTAAACATATAATAGTCATAACCTCATCAGTGTTAAATTTTCTAGGTTTCTGGCACATATCTCTTCATCTCCCTCATTAAGTTTATATAGTGTTCTTTGGTGCATTTGCTCAGTGTGAGGATTTCACTTTCAACTGGCACATATTGGAGTAGAATAGGGGAATGATTTTTCTGCCTTAAGTAGTTAGCAAAATAAGAGAGTATATAAAATGGATCAATGCCCTAAGCCAGGTACTTGGCATGTAATGGTAGATAAGCTTGACCCCATCCATCACAATCCTGCCCACTCACCAGGGGTCGATCCAGCACAAATAAGCCAACCAAGTCTGAAATATAAAGAGTTGCTCTGTTTCCATTATCTTCTTGCTCCGTGTCCCATACTATCCCTTAGATGGGGACTTCCTTCATTCAGAACTGGAGTCCTGGGGTCACCATTGTTATACCCCTATCAGATAGCTACTCCTAAACAAGCTCCCCAAACCCAAATCTATCCTGGTCCCCCTTCATTTAATCCTGATTTTTCTTTTCTTTTTTTTTTTTGAGACAGTCTCGCTCTGTCATCCAGGCTGGAGTGCAATGGTGCAATCTCGACTCACTGCAACCACCGCCTCCCAGGCTCAAGCAGCTCTCCTGCCTCAGCCTCCTGAGTAGCTGGGACTACAGGCACACAACACAGCATCCAACTAATTTTTATATTTTCAGTAGAGACGGGGTTTCACCTTGTTGCCCAGGCTGGTCTTGAACTCCTGACGTCCAGCGATCCACCTGCCTCAGCCTCCCAAAGTGCTCAGATTACAGGCATAAGCCACCACACCCAGCCCATTTAATCCTGATTTTAATATGTTAGCATGCTGTCCTCAACTATCTTAGATGAAAATGATTGTAAAACATTATTCAGGCAATTATTTAAGCAATAAGAAATTTGGTCTGACCTCTCTTCCAGGGGTATCTGCATTTTAAAAGAGTACCCAGAATCAGAAATGTCTTAACTTACAGAAAAAGTTCAACTGTAGCAGGTGAGGGAGGGAGGGGGTTTTGGAGTTTCAGGAGAGTAGCTCTTCCCAGCATCCACCAAATATGTCCTGTGAGAAATTTCCAACCCCACAAATACATTTGTACCTCAATATCCTCACTTACAATGTAAGAATATAATACTGACTTCACAGAACTGTGGGGATTAAACAAGTTGGTTAGAAATTGTTATAAACCTTTCAGGAAGCTATATAGTACTACACAGAAGTGAGAATGTTCATGACTTCTGTGCTTTGCCTTTTATGTAGGTAAGTTACTTGATCTGCCTACACAGGGTCTGAAGAGATTGGAAGCCACAATTAATCTGTCCAACTACAGATTAATCATCCTGTCTCTACTTTTTAAAGATATAGCCCCTGTATCTTAGATGAGCTAAAGAGAAGCCACCTTGAACACTGGCAGCAGAGCTCCTCAGGTACCCATTCATAGGGCTGTCATACCAAGACCATGTGAACCAAGGAAGTCAGAAATGCCACTAGGGCTGGGCATGGTGGCTCACACCTGTAATCCCAGCACTTTGGGAGGCCGAGGCAGGCAGACCACCTGAGGTCAGGAGTTCAAGACCAGCCTGACCAACATGGAGAAACCCCGTCTCTCCTAAAAATACAAAATTAGCTAGGCATGGTAGCACATGCCTGTAATCCCAGCTACTCAGGAGGCTGAGGCAGGAGAATCACTTGAACCCGGGAGGTTGCGATGAGCCAAGATCGTGTGATTGCACTCCAGCCTGGGCAACAAGAGCGAAACTGCGTCTCAAAAAAATAAAAAAAAACAAAAGAAAAAGAAATGCCACTGGACCGATCCAAGGGCAACAAGTTGCTCTTGGTCCTGAGATTAATAACTAATTCAAGAATGATGGTACATGAGCAAAGGTAAAACTTGCTGCTATTTCACTTTGAAGCAAAGCTCTACTCCCAGCCTTAACGAATTTTTCTATTATTATCCAAAATTGATTTTCATAGACTTTCAAAAGCCGCTATTCTAACCAAGATATTAAGGCATCAGTGTATGCCTTCTTTCACTACCTTTCATTCATGTGTCCTTTGACTATTAGAAGTCTACCTGATTACTTACGAAAGTGGTCAGTCCAAGGTCTTCAGGGAAAATTAAACCACGGGAATATGGGGATCTCTTCAATTCTTGATCAGAGCAAACTGAAGGATAGTACTGAAAGGCATAGAAAGCATCTTAGTGCATCTCCTTTATTTTACAGAGGAAACCGGAGGCCTGGGTTTACAGCCACACGCTGGTGTTATGAGAGAGATTCAAGATACAGACTTGGATCTAGTGTACTATCTATCCACTCTACCAACTAGCTTCCCCTCCCCTCTGCTGTGAATGTCATCAGCACTAATGTAACCAGTCTTATCATTCCCTAGAAGTTAATGAATGTCTCATATTCTCACTCACAGTGCAACCTTCTCCATCTCCTACCAAGGGTCTTCTCCTATGTCTTCTTCAGGTTTCAGGGAAGTGCTGTGGACTAATAAGCCTTTACTCAATATTTTTTCAATGACCAATGGAATGAATGATGAAATAACCACTCAAGTACTTGTTACCAGCATTAGTCTGGTCTGTTAGCTGAGGCTCCAATGTTCTCTGCCTTTGGATAAAACCACAATGACAAAATGGTGTGGTGGACAGTTTCTGCACCTAGCTCCATGGGTGACCTGCACTGTGTTCTGTGGCTGACTGTCACAGGAGCCCTAGTGGATGGGCTGGGAGAACAGAGAAGAGGCCTCACAATGAAGACTAGAGGAATGCTGTCCCTTGCCGAACATCTGTGTGCTGATGAGACTGATGACAGGAGGCAGAGCACACAGTTCCAGCGGGACGCCAAACATCTGGGCTCAAAACCAAGCAACAGAGTTATTCAAATCAATGAAAATATAATTATGGATATTTCCAATGCCTACTATGTGCATCCAGACAGCTGCGATTAGATGGATAACATGTAAGTCCTACTCAACCCCCAACATTCCACGCTCTCTGCTCTAGATGCCTGATTTTATATTAATCAAATATTCATGTTTTGCACTGAGCATCTGTTGGCATATGTTGATGTGCAGATAAAATCAAGGTTATGAATTATTTCACCAGCATTTTAATGGGACTCTTGTTCAGCTCCTCTGATAGAGGCCAAAGACAGTGTACCCCAACCCTTAGCCATTTCTAAGACTGCCATGCCTCCTGGCTCCTGCTCTATCAGAATGCAGGGAAGCTAGGAGGCCCATGCTCTCTCCCATAGTACCAAGGAGATATTCAGGTGAGAAAACCATCAGAAACATCATCTTTCTGAAGTCAGTGTTTGGTTGCTGTTAGGCTCACAAGCACTTAATGCCAAGAGGAAACGCTGTGCATAATTTGACACCAGTGGTGCTCCAAGAACAAAGGATGTAATATCCCTTTGTTTCTGGACATCCTAAGGTTAAAATGACATCTTGGCTGACAATTATGATTCTGTATTCTTTTATAAATCATGTTATTTCCAAAAGAACATAAAGCAGGTGAATGAACGTTCCATTGCCTCATTACTGGCATTTCTCCTACGAGGACTGCCAGAGCCTTTTCTAATACTACCACCAAGTATTGCAGTCAGGAAATGAATAAAGCTGAGGGATCTGCTTTTAGCTTGCTTGAGGCCATTTACCATTTTCATTCTTCAGTGAGAGAAAAACAGCCCCTGAGGTGAGGGTGGAAGGACCTCTCCATATGGGATGGCGGTCTCTGATTTTTCAAGGTCCTCTAGAGAGGACTTTGTTGTCAAACAGGCTTTGTACACACTTCATTTACCAGGATTGTGCTTGTCTTTCCTGTTTTCACAATGGCCTCCAAGCTCCTCAAAGTCAAGAGTTTCTTCCGGAGGCCTCACAGTCCCATGGTACCTAGCATAAGGAACTGCATAATAATTACAGGGAGTTTACAGACGGAAGAAAGAACCACGAAGGCCAGGTTTGCTCACAGCCTTCCTAAAGGGAGACTGGAGACGAGAGAAGCTGGAAATGTGGGTCTCTAGGCACTTGGCTTTGTGGCTGACTTCTCAAGAGAGTGAAATCAAGGACCCCTTTAGTCATTTTCATTTTACACCTACTTTGTTCATTGGATAAGTTGGTCTCTGCAGCTAGTTCACTCTGTGAGCCACCATGCTTCCCTGCTGTCTGTGCTTAACTACCCAAGAGAACAAACAATATAGAGTGCCTTGCTTAGAAACTCCGGCTCTAAAAATATGCAGATAGGATTGGAAAACTTAGAAGGAAGTTTAAAATTCCCCCATCCAGGGACTAGTCTCTTCTACACAGTGCTTTGGATAAATATGAAAAAGGTACCCCTCTGATGTGTACCTCCACACACATAGTTTGGTGAGTAAAAACTGGATCAGATTTCCATGCTGCCAACCTGAACTCCGTGGTTTATGGAAACCCTGTAATACTTTCTCATCTTTAAACCCAGAATCTGGATCGAGTTCCAAATGGCCTTTCTCCTCTCTTCTGAGTCCCACTCAGATCCCCCAGCTCTATTCAAGAAGAAAGCTTCCAAAACAGTTTCATCAAAAACAAGAGTTACAACTGCAAAGTCCAAGCTCCTTTATATACTCTCCTGATCGCACCCCCACCTCAGCAATGGCTTCACAGAGGAGCAGGGTTGGAAGAGAGGGGAAAAGTATCCATGCCTCCTCTTCTCTCTTTCTATGCCTTGCCAATTTTTTGTTTTGCACTTGCCAATTTTTTGGTTTGCACTCACATCTTGTTGTACCTTTCTTATTTGACTATATTTTCCTAGTTCTCCACCAACCAACTTTCTTTGTTACCAACATTGCCCACCTGCCACAGGATGGAAAGATAAAAATTCCAAAGTCATTGTTTATATCCCTCCCACCCACTGCCAACTCCTCCATGAAATTATGTGACCCAAAGATGACCCTGGAAGACACGCTGAAATTCCTTTACCATAGAAGAATTATTTCTGCAAAGAATTTTCAAGTTGTCATTTTCATTTAAAAACATAAGATGATAAAAAACACACGCACACACAAGCCATTATTTGTAAAATGCCTACAGATGATGAAGAGGAATGCATATCAACAGATGTACACGCATACATAGGAGTGAGTGACCACAAGTGGATGTGTCACCCATAGAGGCCAAGACGAAGCTTTCCAATGAAGAGAGTAATTGAACATTAAGGAAAATGTCAGGAACCAAGATTCCAAATTTCTTCTTGCTTTTCCTTCCACCAATCCCTCCAGTTTAAAAAAAAATACGGTTTTCTCAAAATTCCATTTTTTATTTGATAACTAAATTAGCTTCAGAAAGCAGTCACATGGGTGGCAGAAACACAGGGGTTACTAAGCAGGGGTCTCATTGTTGTATGCAAATGACAGCCAGCTAGGAAGCAGGATTTTCTAGTTCTCTTCTGGTATTGCTTCGCTAAATAAACTTTGACACCTCTGTGCCTCCATGCCTGATATCTTAGATTCTTTCTAGCATTTACTAGCGTTCTATGGTTATATTATTTTAAAATTATCTGGATATTTGGAATAATAACTACCATCTCCATGACGATGACCACTACCACCACTATCATCCTGACATTGTTTTCTTTCTAAAACACTTTGCAATTGTCCAGTTATACCTGTCCTCAAAGAAATGAACACATAATGGCTTTCCTTATTTTACAAGGAGGAATACAGATCAATTCTAGATTTTAGTGAGTTATCCAATATATCTGGGTGTAGCCAATTTTAAACTTCTCAAATAACAAAGCTCAGTGCAAGACTGCCTCACCTCTAATGATGGGAGGCCCTTCTAATTGGGTTTCCAAATCAGCTGTCAAGGGGAACAATACAAGTTCCAAGAAAAGCTTGATCTATAGAGAACTTGGGCTTCACTTATAGCCCTGAATGTGGGCCAGGTTCAGGCTTTTCTAATGCTACTCCAAATACTCCCTAACCCAATAATTTGGGCCCACATTCAATGCTAATTCAACGTCCCTTTCTTTCACAATCGGCATGCATGCAACTCTTTACACTTCATACAACTTATGCAGTTAGACATGCCATTTTTCCACCACACAAAAAATTAGACTCAGCCCCTCAACCAAATATATCTTGGATGACAAAGTCTTTTTGAGAGGTTGAATGGTAAATGATAAAAATCACAGACTTTGGAATCAACAGACCAGCAATAACTTTAAATACCTATGTGAGAGAAGTTAGCATCTGAGAATAACACACACGTGTCCTTTGTACTCATTATTCTTCCTTGATCACATCAGGTATAGTTGTTGGCACATTGCATGTACTCAATAAATATTTATGGAACTAAATTAATCCATTCTCATATTGAACAAATTACTTTCACTTAAAAGGGCTCCATAATTTCTTGGTAACCTGATGCTGTGCTTCTTACAATTTCTTTAACGGAGAGTTCTGGGTTTAGGATATTTGTGTCTTTGTCCCACCTCATCCATAAGAGCTTCTCTGACAGTTCCAGTACAACCTACTCTCATTTTTCTGACTCTCTGTTGCACTTATTCCCGATTCTAGTCACTTTGGCACATACACGATAGCTTATCTTGCCATGTAAAATGTGTTTCATAAACACATCATCCTTCCTATGAGCTCATAAGCTTTTCAAGGGCAAAGGTCATGTTTGATACTTATTTTATAGGTCCCAGGGCACACAACACAATATAAAGCCCATAGGAGGCTCTGAACAAGTACCTGTTGAGTTGAGTTGAATTTGAAGGACAGCACTGCCAGTGAAAATTTCGTTTCAGAGAATTATCAAAAGGTAGAATTGGTGCAGTGCAGGGGGATGAAGAGAGGCTGGTTACGGGCACAAACATTTAGTTAGATAGAAGACATCATGTTCGACAGCACAATTATGACTATAGTTAAAAATAATTTATTTTATATCTCAAAACAGCTAGAAGATTTGAAATGTTCCTAACACGCAGAAATGATAAATGTTGGAGGTGATAAATATCACAAATACCCTGGTTTAATAATTACACATTATATGCGTGTATCAAAATACCACATGCACCGCATAGATATGTACAATGATTATATATCAATTTTTTAAAAGTATAGACAGGTTTTTTATAAGATTGAATTGCTATTTTTACCACTCATTTCACCTAAATCAGGGCCATGGGCCTTTAACATAAAGTACTAGTTAGGAAGCAGAGGACCAGGAAGCAGCTGGCTACTGTCAACGAACAGAAGATTGTATTTCAGCAATGGGTTATGGGATTTGATGTATAAGTCACTAATGACTCTTGGCCAATACCAAGTGACTCTTGGTATTATCTGGAATAAAAAGTAACCCAGAGATATGCCAAATATCAATTTCCAATTACTTTGCTGTGACACATTTCTATCCTCCTGGGAAAACTCCCAAGGGATCTGTTGCCCCATATCAACTCAGATCTGGTTTACCTTTCAGTCAAACAGCTAACACTTGGCAGCACCCTGTTCAGCCTCCATATCACAATGTCCTCCTTTGACACTCAGATTCTCCTTTGAAATCTTCAATATTGGCTTACACTGTCACCAGAGACCTAGCCCAAGTGTGGAAGTCCTTTAATATTATACCCTGAGCCATATGTATTCGGGTGGGACGGGGATATCTCCAACACCTGCAGTCAGTTGCTGTCACTAGGGCTTCCCAAGCCTTAATTTGCATTGGGATGTTGAAGGCAGGAACACAGTTTCCTGCCCATCCCTTGCAACTTCAACTCCAGCTCAAGGGGAAAGAAATGAGTCCCTAAAGTCTTAACTTTGATACTCAAAATACAGAACAGCATTTCTATTCTCCAGATCACAGAAAGCAGACCACAGACTAATTTTAAAAATCTTTGGTATTAGGGATGTTAAAACTGAGGATCTGCAAAAAGCCAGAAATCACATGTCCCCCCTTATTACAAAGTAATGGAACAGAATTTGGAAAAACCAGAAAACATCTCCAGGTCCATAAATCAGCCTAGTTGGAGGAAAACACAAATGGCCAGCACCTGGAATGAGCTTTCATCTGGAGCAGGAAAGCAGCCTAAAGAATCGAACTTCAGAGCCAAGACTCCAGACTGTGCACTGTGATTAATGACTTGAGTGAAAGGTCTCAGTTGAGGCTGAACAATTAACTTGTTCTCTTCACATCTCAGAACTCTCCACGGCATAGCTATGTCTCCCCTGATTGTACACATTTACTAAGATGCAAGCCAGTCTGCGGAGCTTCGAACGTGTCATCATCAGACTGTTCCTGACAATGTGGAGAGCCCTGGTATTTGTCAGGACTACTTCAGTCGAATAATCTGCATTGACTCTGCATGCATGTGTCAACCTTTCAGTTCAAGTTTAAGAACCATTGTAAATGAGGCAATGACATTGGCCTCAATCTATCTCACACACACACACACACACACACACACACACAACTCCACAGCTCAGAGAATTGCAAATGGACAGCACATGGCCTGGCATGCTTCTGGCCATTCCCAAAAAAAGTTCTTAGGGAATGTAATGTCCATGAGATTAATGGCTCCCTCTTGTCCTGCCTTTATCCTCTGGAATAGGTTTCTCTAATCTCTTTCAGACCCTCTAAAGCATTTACAGTATAGCAATCACTCCTCTTCAGTCTACACTGAGACTCTGATAAGACCTGCTAGAACCAAAGGAAGTCTCCAAACTTCTTTCCTTCTCTCCTAGAGGTGAATCTGTAGACAGGAAAGAAAGGCATTTTGAACATGGAAGTACTCAAGCTGGATATACTCAAAGAATCCAGTTTTCTTGTTTGATCTTCAAAAGCTGCTTCATTTGGGGCAAATGAGTTTACCAAAAGTGGATATGGCCCACACCAAAGTAGGATTTCAAGGGTACCGAGTGGCATGTCTAAGAACATCCTCCCATCTGACCTGCCACAGGGGCTGGTCCTTCCACCTCCCCTGTCCCTGATTCCATCCACAACCACTTCTTTCAGTGAAGGCACTCTACTTTCAGGGATATATTTTTTAAGACAAAAATAACAACACTATTGATAATAATAATAATAGAAACAGCAGCAGCAACAATATGTATACAGTAGTCCCTCCTTATCCACTTTCTGCATGGTTTTAGTTACCCACAGTCAACTAGAGTCTGAAAATATTGAATAGAAAATTCCAGAAATCAACAATCCATAAGTTTGAAATTGCATGCCATTCTGAGTAGCATGATAAAATCTCACACCATCCTGTTCCATCCTGCCCAGGATGTGAGTCATCGCTATGTCCAGTGTGTCCATTCTGTATATAGAATCGGCCGCTTAGTCACCTAGAAGCTGTCTCAGCTATTGGATTGGCTGTTGTGGTATGGCAGTGGTTGTGTTGAAGTAACCCTATTTTACTTAATAATGGCCCCAAAGTGCAAGCGTAGTGATGCTGGAATATTCTTATAATTGTTCTATTTTATTATCAGTTATCGTTATCTCTTACCATGCCTAATAATTATACTAAACTTTACCACAGTTATAAATGTACACACAAAAAAATAATACAGTATACATAGGGTTCAGTACTCTCCATGGTTTCAGGCATCCACTGGGATCTTGAATGCATCCCCTAGAGGTAAGGGGACTACCATTCAGCACTTCCACAGTAACTATTTGAAACTATTCATAGCAACTTACATAATCCTCACAACAACCTTAGTAAGGCAGGTGTTATTATTGTCCCTATTTTATGGAGAGGGAGATGCAGAGTGGTCAAGTACCTTCTCCAGAGTCACAGAGTCAATAAGTGGCAAAGCCAGGATTCAAACCCAGACTTCAGCCTGATGCTCTTGACACTATACTATCCTGTACTCTGTCCCCTAGAGGTACTGGCACCCACCTTTTACTGTTGATGAAGTTAGAGAACCAACACTTCTTACATAGCGCCTGCTCCTATACAGGAGTCCGGCCTAGTGAGTTCTGTTTCTGTGGCACCTCAAATGAGCTCTAAGTCTCTTAGCCCTAGTTGTCCTTATGTGTAAAATCAACATGCTGATAAGACCTATCTCACAGGGGCTTTTTTTTTTTTTCAGACTAGAGTTCTAAGAATCACCGGGGCTTGTTGAGGATTAGTGAGAGAATGTATATGCAGGGCCTAGCACAGTGCCTGGAAAGGGGTGGGTGCATAACATTGGTAGCTGTGTTCATTACTGAGCAAATCTGCTAATATTGGTGAATGGGAAACCAAAGGGGTGAAGAAGATGAGGCAGAAACCCTCACAGCTTGGAGATGGATGTAAAAAAGCAGATAAATGTAGCAGCCCCAGAGAAACTAGAATAGTAGGATACTCAGAAGTACCAGCAAGTTTTACTTACCCTCCTGGTCTGACCCAATTTACACAGTCTCCATGTTAGCTTATCTCCATGAAAGAAAGAATTCTACTTTAAAACATAAACTATATCAAGAACAAAAGAACAGAAAATGTCCATCCTAGGGGAATTCGAATATTCTCCCTGAAATTCCTGATAGAAAAGCAAGGAAGGTAGCTGAAGCATCCTCTGCAGCCATGTATGGCTGTTTCGGAGTCAATGCGTGGAGCTGCATCCTTCATTCTGCATTTCCTACATGCTCTTGCCAACCCCTGACATATCACATTCTTTGCATCAATAAGTGCTGGTGCCAGAACACACTAAATTGCCTTTGACTACATTTAACTGATCTAGTATTTTTTTATGATTCTTTCTTGTTGTACCATTTTTCACGTTTGACTTTATAATTCTCTGCTGACTTTAAATAAAGCTTTGCCAGACTACCCAAGGTGGTTTTTAATAGAGATTTAGGGGCTAGGTTGTGTTGTGGTTTGGATTCAGATTCTACTTCAGCAACAAGGGGAAATTAACGAGGTGGTTTCATCTCAAGTGCCCATTTATACTCGGAATGGACAGAGAGTTTATCTTCTTCCAAGCCTTGTAATCATGACACTACAAAGTGATATTCAAGAAATAAAAAATTATGTAGCAATAGCTTCCACACCGCAAAACCACTACACAGTGTTCCTGCAACCCCAGATGACTAGGATAATATTAAGACAGCAATGGAATTACTTTCTGAGTGACAGAGAGGATTCTGACCACATTCTGTCCTATGCCAAAGACAATGCTTGTTCTCCTAGAGATACAGGAACTCAAATGACCCTACACCAGCAACGTTAGCTCCTTCCTGATATTCCTCCCTCTTCTATGCTATCCATAATCCCCGACTCCTGCCTAGCTGAAACACTGGAAGCCAGCTGACCCTCTGTCATGGGGAGAGGTGACATGACTGGAAAGAAACAGAGCCAGACCAAAAAAAAAAAAAATCGGTCCCCATAATGAACGTTTCTTTTGAACAAAAGAATAAACTTGACTTAATTATTTTTTGAAAATATAAAATTGATAACTTAATAAGATTTTGGTTTTGCCTTTTCATTATCATGCAAGACTTGCTTGATGTTAAGGAACAAATATAACATATGTAAAATAATAAGAGCTATCATTTTAAAAATATCTGTCTACCCATTACCAAGCTTAGAAATAAATAAATCCCATTGGTCGTTCCTATCAGGTCAGAATTTATTTATTTTTTTTTTTGTTTTTTGCCTCCACCTACCTGCATTTTGAGTTTTTCATTTTCATGGTTTTCATCCTAGTTTTGCCAAAAATGTAAGGACCCTTTTACAACAGTGTTTTGTTTGGCACTTTCAAGCTTTATATAAAGGATATTATATGGTATCATTCAGTCGGTTTCTTTTTCTTTTGATTTTTAGATTTGTCCATATTGAATGTTATTTCACTTTATTTAATGAATCATTTTGGGTTGTTTCCGGCTTCTGTTTTTTTGTTTTGTTATGCTATGAGTATAGTTCATATTGATCTGAGCATGTATAATAGTTTTTCCTGTGGTAGAGTCCCAGGAGTGAGATTTCTGGAACTTAGGATTGGCATATATATTCAAATTCACTAGAAAATAATCAATTGTTTTCCAATAGAGATACATTAATTCACAACTCCCATTGAAATAGCTTTTCAGTTTTTGTTGCTCTACAACCTTGGTAACACTTGGTATCACCAGATTTTTAAATTTTGCTGAACCACTGAGTACAAAATGTATTTTGTTGTTTTAATTTATATTTTCATATTTAATTGTTTCTTTATAGACAATTATTAGGTGACTTTTGGATAGTTTGAAAAAACTGTTTATCCCAAATAACCAGGAAGTGCAGCGTTTATATCAAATAGGTATGATTATAAGTCTACATAGAAAGATACTAGGTAAATATATATAATATATATATGTATGTATGTGAGTCAACATAGCTACATTTATATTTTTATCTTCAGATCATACCTATACATATAGCAGGAGTGGCAAGCTAGCTCCCATGGGCCAAATCTGGCCCACTGCCTGTTTTTCTAAATAGTCTTATTGGAACACAGCCAACCCCATTGGCTTCCATATTGCCTATGACTACCTGCACACTAGAATGCTAGAGTTGAGTGGTCATGGCAAAGACTGACCTGCAATGCCTAAAATGCCTACTATGTGGCCATTTGTGATAAAAGTTTGCTGACCCACAAATTAGAACATCTCCATTTACAGACTATGAATACTTCATATTCAACATTCTCTTCAAATCCAGTTCTTCCAAATGCTGATCCTCACAATGGCTTCACCTGCCACAAAGACACTCATGCCAGAAAAACCTGGGAGTTATTTCATGCTCTTCCCTCCTACACACATTTACAACCAACATGTGGCTACTACCCAAGTATTTGACCTCCTCAACACGGCTCCTGTGATGTCCTCATCTGCCACTCCTTTGTGCAAGCCTTATGCTGACCTAGGCAACCCTTCAGCTAATGACCAAACCCCATTTGTCCCCATTATCCAATACAAATGGCTTTTCACAGCAAATGTCACAGTTTGCTGCATTTATTTGTCTGAGTTTCTGTCTGCTAGGTCCTCCTAAACTGTAAGTTCCTTGAGGCAGGGACCTTTGCCATTTCTACACATGTACAGTGTCTTGCATAGCAAATACCTAATCATAGATTAGCCTCCTGAAGGCTGTTCAATCTTTCTCAGAAACCATTGAGAGCCTGACATGGCAAGACATTTGTGGCTGCCACTATTCAGTAGGGTTTGGAAATAGTTGCTATTCTCCTAAACCACATGGTGGAAAGGACTAGGGGAAAGAGACTCCTTGTCAATATCATTTAATGCAATCGTCTTCACATGTTTACATGCAGAGGTGTTACCAGAACAACTCATTAAAAACAGTAGATGCCAGGGTGTTACCCAGTTCCCTTGAATTAGAATCCTTGGAAATACGTGCTTAAGCACTTTTACTTTATGGTTGTTCCCTAGGAGATTCTTATGTAGGCTTGAGAAGCACATTTCTAATAATGGCAGCTTCCTGAATACATCCTTCTAGCTCTACCCCACTCTACCACATTGCCCGTGATGGATAGCTATCAATGCACAGGAGCCCCCAGGCCCTTTGCTTGGGTACCAGAGGTTCCCTAAGATCGTTCACCCTTTCTCAGTGGCCCAGAAGAAGCCTGATTTGAGGGGATAACTGTGTACTTTCCTCGGGGCTACATTTTGATTTCTAATCTCTGTTTTTCATTGAATTGGTTGCATTCCTGGTTAATGATGGGGTCTATCCCCTGCACTGAGCATCTTCACTGCTCAGCATATCTAAAATCAAAATCTCCTGCTCTATCCTAGCACCACTCCCATGCATGTACCACACCTCCTAGTACTCGCCTGAGGGAAGAAGCATGCAAACATTTGTACAATGCATATATTATTAGAATGCCTGTTTTAATTTTTACTATCCTCTTCATTTTCAACATATTACAGATCATTTAATATGTAAAAAAACAAATGTTAATAGAAGGGTTAAACCAATGATGATACCAATAAGATGCTGTTAGTATTTATTAGAGATTTTTCTTATTAGACTTAATTTTTTCTTAAATTGCATGTGACCCATTATCATTATGCTTGGTGGATAATATAACAAAACAAAATTACCAGTCCATTTTACTCAAGAAGAACATCTAAGGTTCCTTGGGTTTTATAACACCAAGCATAGCACAAATTTAAGGAATTTTTCCAGTGCTGCACTCGGTGATTTTTAGGGGTCTATTTTCCCCAGAGGCATGTAAGTACTAAAATTGCATCGGATTATGTTTTGCTCTCAGCGGGTGAGAAAGTGCATAGTCAATGGGTTATTTGCCATTCTTTATTTCCATTTCATGCAGTCACACGGAGGTATCTCTCAGGTGGTTGTTGAAGTTTACTAGACACTCAGGAGCCATCCTGTGCTTTCTCTAAATGGCATTTATAATCTATAACCAAAGGGACTGTCCATGAAGCTATTGGCGTAGTATACCTAAATTCTGCTCATGTTAATTCAGGCTACAGAGATAAGACCTTTCGTTATCAGATTCCAATGTGGAGAGAAGCTGCATCATGTATTTAAGCAATATTTTTAGGATGACAAATAGAGATACAAGGTTTTATATAAAAGGACTAATAAAGACAGAACATTTGGAATCAGTATATAGGGAATAACGGCCTTCAGAACATGCAGATCAATTAATAAAGGGGATATGCAAGAATCACACCAGTGATTTTGCCATACCTTTATCTATCTGTAATAAAAGCACTAAATTCTGTCGATGCAGTATTACTCTGCTTTCTTTTAACCAGATATCTCCAATTAGACATTATTTCCATGCTTCACTAGTATTCTGATAATTGACGCTCATAAAGGGATTCCAAAACATTCAAAAAAGCCAGAAGTGCTCTCCTAATCATCAAGAAACATTAAAATGTATTCAGTGTAGTTGTATTGTTGTGTATTGTATTGGGGAGGGGGCAGAATGGAACAGAGGAAAGAACACAGGCTTCAGGTGTTAGAGAAACCTGGTTTTGCGTCTCATGGAGGACACTTATTAGCACTGGGACCTTGGGTAAACAAGGAAATATCTTTCTAAGCTTCAATTTCCTCATATATAAAATGGGGATAATATCCAACTTTATGAGATGTTTCCCGGATTAAATGAGATCACAAACATATGTAAAGATTCCAGTACAGTGCCTGGATCTAAAGAATTCACTCAATAAAGAATATTTTTAATGCTGATGTCTTCCTCTCCATTCTCAGTAGATTATAAGCCATACAATATATGCACGTACCTCTATATTTTTCTCCATATTTCTTTATTTACCAGCATATTTGATTCATGTGAATGTCCCATTCCTCAACAGTGACAGAGTACAGCAAGTTTACTGTGGATTCTCAACACTGGAATATTTAAATCTGAAGAAGAAAAGGGATGTTTTCACAGAAACAATTTATCACTTGGCCTTGGGGAAACAAATTTGCAAAGTCTCCAAAACAGTTATAAATCACCCAAAGTTATCACCTTCTTTGAGACTTTTTATTATTATTATTGCATGAGTAAAATATTAGCATATTTTAATAAAAACTCCAATACTGAAAAATCTGAAGTCCTTTTTCACCCTCTTCCACTCTCTTCCACTCCAAACAAAGTCCTCTCGTAGAAGTAACTATTGTTAGGAGTTTTGTGTCTACACTTTCAAAACTATTTCCAATTATTTATAGATTTCTGTGTGTGTCTGCATGTGTGTATACTTTTGTGCTTTTAAACACAAAAAGGTGTATAGCACTGTACTCTTAAATAAATAAGTTCTGCCAACACCATACAAATCTTTTGCACTCAAACATGTTTTTGCTCAAAAATATGTCTTGGAGATCTTTCTGTTATATTAGTATTTTGCTTACCTTAACCTTTTTTAAGTGCTGCATAGCCTTCAATATTACAAATTTACCATATTTTAATCATTTCTTTCCTGACAGACATATAATTTTTGTATGTATTTTACTACTAGAAAAATGCTTCAATGAATATCATTCTGTGTATTTCCCTTTAGCCATGTGTAATTGTTAGGTTATTGGCAGTATGAATTTTATTTTGCTCTTTGAAAATTCAATTTGTTTATTCTTGAACATGGTCCAAAGCTTTAAAGTAAATGCACGTGTAAGGTTAAGTCTTTTCCCCACCATACTCTTTTTCCATGCCTAGGTTTCCCATCCATAAATTGTCACTATTATCATGCATCTTTCAGAGTTTTTTCATAAATATAGATTCTTATTGTCCCACCTTTTATGCATAAGTAGCAGTATAATATACATACTATTCTACACCTTGTTTTATTCCCTTTTATTTATATATATAAATTTATAAATATATATAAAATAAATATATATCTAAATTTATCATGGTCTGTAATACAATTGCCAAATAATTTTTTAAGTTCAATATTCATTTTTGACTTTGCTTAAAAGGTTTTGTGGGCCGGGCGCGGTGGCTCACGCCTGTAATCCCAGCACTTTGGGAGGCCGAGGCGGGCGGATCACGAGGTCAGGAGATCGAGACCATCCTGGCTAACAAGGTGAAACCCCGTCTCTACTAAAAAAAAAAATACAAAAAATTAGCCGGGCGTGGTAGCGGGCGCCTGTAGTCCCAGCTACTCGGGAGGCTGAGGCAGGAGAATGGCGTGAACCCGGGAGGCGGAGCTTGCAGCGAGCCGAGATCGCGCCACTGCACTCCAGCCTGGGCGACAGAGCGAGACTCCGTCTCAAAAAAAAAAAAAAAAAAAAAAAAGGTTTTGTGTTCCTGTGTAAAAGGTTTTTTTTAAATAAAATCAAGAGTATTTCTAATAAAGTCAAATTTGTCCATTTTTGCTTTTTATATCTGGGTTTCTGAATTATGAGTTATCTTATGCTTTTTTTTCAGTACTTGTATGATTTCTTTTTTTTTTTCACTTAAAATTTTAATCCATTTGCAACGTATCCTGCTGTAAGGTGTAAGGTATGTATCTAAATTTTTTTCCAAATACCTATTATATGTCCCCCAAACTTATACTGAATGGCCCATCTTTTCCCTACCTATTTAAGATACTACTTTACCATATACAAATTTCTACATGTAACTGAGTCTAGTTCTAGACTACCTATTCTATTCCATTATTCTGGGGAGTCCTGTGCCAGTACCACATTGTTTTAATTATTAACATTCCATAATATATTTGATATCCAATAGGGCTGATTTTCCCTCATTATAATTCTTTTTAAAAATAATCCCAGCTATTATCTTTGCATATTTTCCACATGACCTTTAGATTCAGTTTTTCTAGTTTAAAACGGAAGAAAAAAAGCTTTGTTACATGATTTCATAATGAATTTATAAATTTACAAAGAGGTAAATGACATATTTATGATCTTGAGTTTTCCTTAAAAATAATACGAATGTCTGTTCTTAATGTCAAGAATTCTTGTGCACACCCTTCTAGAAGGTTTTTGTGGGTTTTTTTTCTTGGAGATATTGTATATTTTTGTTAATGTTTGATTATAATATTCCCAATTTATTATCTTTTATGTTGCTTTTGTAAATGAAGTTTTTCATTCAAAATACTAACAGGCTTTCATTTCAATATAAAAAGTCTAAAGATTTTGCATATTCACTGTATATTTTACTTTCTCACTGAATTATTTTTTTAGATTTTTAGTTGTTTCCCTTAAATTCCAAGTGCAAAAATCACCTGGCCAGGTGCAGTGGCTCACATCTATAATCCCAGCACTTTGGGAGGCTGAGGAGGGTGGATTGCCTGAGGTCAGGAGTTCAAGACCAGCTTGGCCAACATGGTGAAACCTCATCTCTACTAAAAATACCAAAAAAAATTAGCCAGGCGTGGTGGCACGGGTCTGTAATCCCAGCTACTCAGGAGACTGAGGCAGGGGAATTTCTTGAACCTGGGAGGCTGAGGTTGAGGTGAGCCAAGATCATACCACTGCACTCCAGCCCAGGCAACAGAGCAAGATTCCATCTCACAAAAAAAAAAAAAAAAAAAATCACCTGTAAACATGAAACTTTTATAATAGGCTTTCCACTTTGATGCCTGTAATCTCTTCTCATATCTAATTGCTTTGGTTAGTATTTCTAGTAAAACATTAAATAATAGGTAGTAACAGATATCTTGTTTTGTCCTTACTTTCACAGGAACGCCTCTAAGTTTGATGTTGGCTTTTGGACTGAGATGGATGTGTTTTTTCATATTAAGGAAGTACACATCTATTTTTGAATGCTTTTTATCAAGAATGGCTATAAAATTTTTGGCCAAAGCCTTTTTGGCATCCATATAATTATGGGTTTCATCATCAGATCTACTAAAAAAAGTAAATAAATGAGTATCCTAATATTGAAATTTCATTGAATACTTGGAATAAATGTTACTTGGACATGATGTTTTACTCTGCTTTTATGCTGCTAGATTCTGTTTGTAATTCTTTCAATTAGCATTTTTGCACCTATAGTTAACATTGGAGTGAGTATGCAGTTATTTTCTCTGTAATCCTTATCAGTGTTTCTATAAAGCCCTTATCAGTGTTTCTGTAAAGGCCTTATGTACTTCACAAAAGAAATTTGGAAGTACTTCTTCACTCTGTAAATATACTTCTGTAAGAGTAAAGTAGTACTTCCATACCCTGCAACAGTTTAAATAGCATTGGGATCAGCTCCATGTTATGCAAAAGCCAGCTTGTACTGACTCACAACAGCCTATCTGCACATCTCTTCTCATCTTCACTTTAAGTGATGTCACACAGGTAGCTTGAAATAAATTATGACAGAAATATTTATGCTTAGAAATCAGCAAACAGTACAGATCAGGGTTTTTTTTACTCCCTGCTCCAGCCCCCAGACCCGGTTGTTAAACATTTAGCAGAATACTATAAGTATCTACTCTTCTAATGTTTGGTAAAATTTCCTTGTAAAACCACCTGGACTTGGTGTTTTTGTGGGAGAAGTGATAGGTCTTTATGAACTTTATTTTGCCTGTGGAAATCAAACTGTTTCAATCTTCTATCTCTTCTGGGGTCAGCTTTGGGAAATTATATTTTCCTACAAAATTATCCACTTGATGTAGATTTTCAGATATTTGCACAGAATTAAACACAGTTTCTTCTTAGGATTATTTTAGTTTTCTCTTGTTTCTATGGCTTTTTATTTTTTTATTTTGTATATTTGCATTTTCTTTATTTTTCCTTGATTGGGATAGTTAATAATTTAGTTTTTCAAAAAAATTAACTTTTGGTCTATTATACTTTTTGTATTCTATCTTATTAATATTTATTTTTAACTTTAAAACTTCCTCCCTTCCACTTTCCTTTGATTTATGAGGCTGATATTGTTTTTGAGTCAGATGCTTAATATATCTTTTACAATTTTTGCTTATTTTTTCAAGTTAATATATGTACTTCAAGCTATCTATTTTCCTCTAATAATTATCTTAAATCTATCTATACATTCTCATAGGTAATGGTTTCATTAATATACTTCTCTAGCTATTCTACAGTTTAGGCTTATATGTTATCTTTTTTTTGTTTGTTTTTAATCCCCCAGGAATTCTTAACCATATATGTTATCTCTGACTTGAAATGTAAGAGTACTAGAAAATTTCTGGGTAGAGGGCTTTTTTGCAATCTAATTTTGTTATTTCTGGTTTTATTATATTATGATCTCAGTGTTATTGTACTACCTCTATCTACTGAAATTTATTGAAATTTTGTTTGTGATCCAGTCAGTATATTACCGGGGAATACTGTATTTGCCAAAATCAGTCAGAGCAATACTTCTGGTCCCACATGCTCTTCCAGAATTTTGCCACTCCCCATGAACAGGCAGAGTCTATTTGCCCTTCCCTTGAACATGAGCAGCAGGACTTTTGTAACTACCGTAATGAACAGAATATGGCCAAAGTAATGCTGTATGACTTCTGAGGTCATAAAAGATTCTATTATTTCTGCCTGGGTCTTCCTGTCTCTTGGGACTCTCACCCTTAGAACTCTGCTACTAGGCTATGAAAAGCCCAAATGAGCCAACAAAAGGAAACCACATGGAGAGGCCCACATGCAGGGAAAGGGGGGCCCTTAGCCAACAGCCAGCATCAACAACCAAACATGAACATATGAATCTTCTGATAATTCTAGCTCCCAGGCTTCAAGTCTTTTATTGAGGCCCCAGGCATTACAGAGATAAGCCATTCCTACTATCCTTTCTTGAAATACCTGACCCACAGAATCTGAATATAATAAGTCATTCTTTCATAGAATTAAATTTGAGGGTAATTTGTTACACAGCCGTACTAACTGGAATAACAATGAGTGTTTATGTTGACTTGAAAAGAAGCATATCCTATATTGTTAGGGTACAGAGTTTGATATGTTTTAATCAAATCTACCTTAATAATTTTGCTATTTTTGTCTTTCATATCCTTATTTTTTCCCCACTTAATCTGTCAGTAAATGAGACAGGTGAAGGAGAATCCCCTAAGACTAGTATATTTTTCAATTTCTCCTTTCATAGCCTATGATTTTTCCATCATGAATATTGGCACTTTATTTTGCTATATAGCTATTCGTAATAGTTATTTCTAATATGAATTTCAACCTTCAGTACCAGGCATCTTTCTTTGCCTCATTTACTGTTCTGCTTGAATTCTACCTTGTAAAACACTATAACGACTACAACACCTGCTTTCTTTTTATTCACATTTGTCCATCCTTTTATTTTAACTTTCCTGAGTCAGTTTGTTTCTGTTTCTCTTCCACAACACAGAGCATTAGGTTTTGCCTTATAATTCACTCTGAAAATCTTTAAAATACATGAATTAAGCATATTTATATATTTTACTACAGATATAATGGATCTTAGTTCTGTTATGTTATTAGGGCAAAACTGAGTAATTGTCACAGATGTCTTCTGGCCTACAATCCCTAAAATACTTATTATCTGCTCCTTAACAGAAAAAGTTTGCCTACTCCTGGTCTAAGTCATAATATTGACTGCAAATAATGCTGAATTTACCCCAATCTTTATTGCGCTCTGTGTTGTTGTTGTATATCTCATTGCTTTGGCTAGCACATCCAAGGGAATGTAGAATAGTCCTTCTCTGCTTGTTCTGAGACTTTGATGGAAATTTTTTAAATCCCTCTTTCATATGCAGGTTGCTATAGGTTTCTGGTAGATACACTTTATCAAGTTAGGGAAGTTCCTATCTATTCTGTGTTTACTGAGAGATTTTAGCAGAAATGGTTGTTAAATTTCATAGGTTTCTCCCTCTCTCTCTCTTTTTTTTTTTTTTTTTTTTTTGATACAGGTTCTCACTCTGTCACCTAGTCTGGAGTGCAGTGACACGATCTTGGCTCACTGCAACCTCCGCCTCCTGGGCTCCAGAGAGCCTCATGCCTCAGCCTCCCAAGTAGCTGGGACTACAGGCATGCATCACCATGCCCAGCTATTTTTTGTATTTTTAGTAGAGACAAGGTTTTGCCATATTGGCCAGGCCGATCTCAAACTCCTGAGCTCAAACAATCCACCCTGCTTGGCCTCCGAAAGTGTTGGGGTTACAGGCGTGAGCCACCATGCCTGGCCTCCCTCTCTTTTTATAACTAGTAACATCATCCTTATATATAATCCCATTTTCTTTTTTAATATGCCAATATGACACATTTACTGATAAATTCTAAAAGTAAACTAACCTTTCAATATTGAGATAAACCCTACTTGGTCAGGAAGTACTATTTTTTAAATGCATTACTAAGTCTTATTGTTAATTTCTCATGGAGGATTCCTTTATTCATATTTGAAAAAGAGACTGACCTAGAGTTTCATTTTCATGTTTTCTCACATTGCTTAGGGTCAGTTATGGATTCCTAGTAAGAGAAAAAGAGTAATTTTCCATATTTTTTATTTTCTGGAATAAATTATAAAAGATGAGATGCTACTTCTCTTTGAGGGCTATATGGTTATTTTTAAAGTTTCTTTTATCATCTTATTTTTTTCTCTGTTTAGACTTATATTTCTTCTTGAGACAGCACTGGTAACTATAATTGCCTTAAAATTACTTGTTTTACTTAGATTTTCAGATTTATCAATATGAAGCTCAATAGCTTTGTGGGGTTTTTTTTGTCTCATTATTCCTAATGTTAAATGTCAATCTCTATTTTTTCTTACTTTGATCTGCTAGGCTCACCTTTTTCTTAAATATCTGTTGGTATTGTTGATAAAGTATATTGTACATTGTTTTTATTTTATTAAGTCCTTCCATGTGTCATTAGGTTTGCTTGGTTTTTTAATTAGGATATATGAAAACATAGTTCATATATTTTTATCTTCTATTCCTTGTTTTACAGTTTATGTTTCTAAGGAGGAAAAATCCTTTAATTAGACTTTTGGTATATCCCACAGTTTTTAATATACTACAGTGTTATCACTTCCATTTACTCTTAAAGTATACTGTATACTATTTCCTCATAAACCCAAAACTTCATTTATTTCTAATTCTGTAGTCTATAGTTCTTTTTCTTACCTCTTTTACTTTTTTTTTTTTTTTTGGAAGGAGGGGGAAGGAAGTCTTCCTTTTTTAATATAATTTCTAATTTGACTTAGTTATGGTCAGTTAATTTGAAAGAAGCATGTTACACTTTTCTTTATGAGCCAGTTTGTGGATATGAGCCAATTTGTGACTGTTTCATACAGGTTTTTAAAGAATATCACCTTATTTTCCATGTAACAAAAGGAAGGTATTGTAAAAAGTCCATTCATTTAGCTGTCATTTTCATAGGAGATGTGCTAAAGTCTTCATGATGGTGACTTTGTTAGTTTTTTCTGGTATTTCTAGAAGTTTCTGCTTTATGAATTTCAAAGCCATGTCATTGGGTACATTAAGATTCATGATTGTTTTAGATTCCCATTATATCTTCATAGTTATACAAAATAACCCTCTTTGTCATTTCAGTAATCATCTTGAGTCTTATTTTGTCTAATATTAACATTGCTCTTCCTGGATTTTGTGTTAGCAGGTATCCAGTATTTCTGTCCTTTAATTCCAGTATTTTCAAGTTTTCTATGTCATTTTATTACATGCACCTCTTGAAAAAGTATTTTATTTTACATTTTTTTTTAACCAAATCTGGTAGTGCTCTGTCTTTTAGTCTAGTTCATTCTCATTTATTATGACTTAATACATTTGTACCAACTCTTGCCATCTTATTTTTCTGATCCAATCACTCATACTTACTGCCCTGGCTTAGAGATAGCTCTGTTACTTGATGCCTAAACTAAGGATGGAGAGAAGTATACAGACAATGTGACCCATGTGGCTGTACCCACTGAGGAAGCCCAAATTATTGCCTGCTATGAGGCCCCCAGTAGCTTTCTCTGTGCTTAGAGAACTCCTGAAGCTAGTTCTACATCCATTTATTTATTATTTATTTATTTATTTATTTATTTATTTATTTATGAGACTGTGTCTCACTATGCTGCCCCGGCTGGAATACAATGGCTATTCACAGGCTCAATCACTCAACACTACAGTCTCAAACTCCTGGATTCAAGCAGTCCTCCTACGTCAGGTATATCTGAGCTTGTAGGTATATGCCACCCTGCTGGGTCTTGGTTCTGCATTTTGAAACTCTGTTGCATTTGTTTTGGGCTGTGATCTTGCAGGAAATCTATAGTTTCTGATCAAAAGCAGTACCCTTTCTTTCTTTTCCAGTTAGTTATTCATTTGGGAATTGTTTTTTTTTTTTTCTATAAGGAGAAGGGTAACAGCATTTCTATTATTTCTTCTGCCTTGAAATAGCTTCCTGTCTTAGTCACAGTAAACAGTGTTAAAATAATCTATCAGGAAGCCATTAGGCTGAGATGGTTCCAGCACTTTGGATTCCTACATAAGCAAACCAAAACCCAAGTCAATGTAAGCAGTAAAATGAAACTTAAGCTTAACCAACAAGAAACCACTAACTAACTTCTAACTGGGACTTTCCACTTTAACCAATCAAATAATTTCTTTGTCTTGGCTTCCACAAACACCTTATAAAAAATATTCCCTCACACCCTCTTGGTGGAGCCCTGAACCACGTGCAATCTAGTGCTGCCTGATTCATGAATCACCATCTGCTCAAATAAATTCTTTAAAATTTTAATGCTCCTGGGTTTAACATTTAACAATGGGCTACAAGTTCTAGCCCCTGGTATTGTTCTGGCTTCATCTACCACTCTCCCCCTAGATTACTAACTCCAGCCACACTGACCTCTTGGTTGTGCTTCATGTATGCCAGGAGCACGCTCCCACCTCAGGGCCTTGCACTTGCTCCTTCCTCAGCCTGGACCACTTTTCTCTCAGACATTCTCAGGGTTCCATGCCTCACCTCCCCAGGTCTTTACTCCACCATCATCTTCTCAGTGGTGACTTCTCTGGCTGTCAGATCTTAAATTGCCAACACATACTCTCTCATGCCCTTGATCTGCTGTCGTTTTCATCTTAGTACCGATATACCATGTGGTGGTTTTATTTTTATCTTAGTTATAGATCCTCTCTCTGACTAGAACATAAGCTCTTTGAAGGCAGAAATGTTTGCCCACTTTATGCACAGCTCTATCTCTAATGTTTTGAACAGGGCTTGACACATAGAACATGCTCTATAGATATCTCTTGAATGAATTAATAAACTTCCAGGGATTTGGAAGAAGAAATGGAGGCTATGGAATATGTTAAGTCTGCTATCCTAGTTCCCCTTGTACTTTAGAATCATGCAGACATGCCAACATTCACTGCCCTATCTAACCTGTCTCTGGAGGAGTTTCATTTTCTGATTTGAACATTATATGAAATAAAAGTTCCAGAGAGTTTCCAAGGAGGCAGATTAAAAAAAGGGGGGTGGGGAGAAATTAGACATAACAAGGAAAGCTATCTCTTGAGAAAAGAAATTTGTGTAGGAGGATGGTTGTATGGGTTTCCTTAATCAAAAACAAAAAAGGGACTGCATCTTATCCTCTTTGACTCTCCTTGATTTAGGATAAACTGATGAGGTATAGCAAGATAAATAAAGGAATAAAGAGCTAATCCACAAGGGAGAAGACTGTTTTATTGCTCTCACACAGATGTCTGTCCTAACAACACAGGATATTTTTTTTTCCTTTGGGGGAGGGTGGGAATAGAGTTGGGGAAGCAGCAATTTAAATTGGGACCTCTGGGCAGTCTGTGTTTGGGAATTAGCACTGCATTATTTCCCTGGCTCCCCACCCCCTCTTGTCATTTAGTTGAGAAACATTTGCCCTGGAACAGCACACAGAGTTTGCATTAGCATCCCTGAGGACAGAACTTTGACCCCACAGACTAAGGAAGCTACAAATGGAAAATTCCAAGTTGCTGTACTCTTTTATTTTCATGCTAATGCTTCTGCAGAGAGTATTTAAGGAAACAGATGCACAAGAATAATAAAGAGCTGAGGACTAAGAACTCCTCTGGCAACTGAAGTTATGCTCCGTCCAGCATGATCCTGTATCTCCCTGTGCTTGCACAAGTCCAGGAGGGTCAAGGTGAAACCCTGATTTCATTTTATGAAAAAGCTGAACCAGCACTGACATAGAGAACCCAGGATTACATCCAGTCAGGATTTGAAAATTGTTTAAGTTTCATTTCACTTCCTTCAGGCTACCTCAAAGAGAGATGAGCATGTCCTTCAGTAAAAGGCCTTGGGGAATGGTGATTTCTCTATCTCCCTTGCCAATCCACACCCTAGTTCAAAACAATACTCATCCTTCTGTAAACCAAAAATAAAATTCTAAGCCTCCCTCAACTATCTTAATAGACTCCCTCCTGTTGGCCAGGGCACTCCAAAGTTAACCTGAAAAACTGATTCAGGCTATGATGGAAAGTCGGGGGTGGGTTGGACATGCCTCATTATGCCCTCCTCCCTGTTGGAATTCAGGAAAAGCCAACCAGCATTTAACATCAACATAGACCTTAAGTCTGATAAGAAATATTTACAATCTATTCTCTCTGAAGCCTGCTACCTGTAGGCTTCATCTGCATGATAATGCCTTGGTTTCTACAACCTCTTATATCACCCAGCTGTTCCTTTCTATTGACAACTCTTTCAACCAATTGCCAATCAGAAAAATTTTAAATCTACCTATAACCTGGAAGCTCCCCCCACTTAAAGTTATCTGCCTTTCTGGACCAAACCAATGTATATCTTACATGTATTTGATTGATGTCTCATGTCTTCCTAAAATGTATAAAACCATGCCATACCCAGACCACCTTGGGCACATGTCATTAGGACCTCCTGAGGCTGTGTCACAGGCGCATCCTTAAGTCTTTGCAAAATAAACTTTCTAAATTTATTGTGAGACATGTCTCAGATACCTATGGGTTCATACTTCCTTTGGATCTAACCTAAACAGTGCTTACTATATTTGCAGCACCTGGCTACTTCCCTTGTATTCTGTGCAACAAGAAAAACTTCTCACTTTGTCCTAAGAATAATCTCATCCTCGGTATAAATCCTCATGTGGGAGACATATGAGAGCACTACACTCTGCAAAGCCAGATCATCTTAATGTTTTATCCTAATTTGCAAACAAAACTTAAATTTTACTTCACCCTAGCTATGTCTTGCAAAGGAGAAGCTAACTGGAAATGTAGAATAATCATATCTAATTCTTGCTTTAAATGATCCACCCCCTACTTTCACCTAGATTATGACCAGAAACTAGACAAGAATCCACAACTTGATCTCTTCCTAAATCCTTTCACACTTGGAACTCACGCAGGGAAAGTTCTTTCAACTCAGTTCTCACCTTCATCCAAGGCCACCTCCCAATCTTTCTATCATCACAGATCCCTCCCTTCTCTGCACTCTTCCATCTAGCTTGGCCTCTGCTTTCTCTGCATAGGACCTTGTCTCCAATTAGACTGTAGGATTCCTGAAGGCAGAGCCCACAGCTTCTTTTTCATCTCCTACATGCCCTGGTGCAGGGTTCCACATGTTACGGCTCTCATGAAAACCATGGTTGAGTGACTGATTGAAGAAACAGCAACAGGCCCCTGCAGTGACCTGAAGCATATGGAATTCTGAGCAAGGGAAATGAAAAGCCCAAAAAGCCCAATACCACACCCTTTATAAAGTACACACATCACAACAAATCCAAGGTTATTGGAAAAGTAACAGCCCTCTCCCCAGACCAGCCCCAACCAAAAAATTTCATTAGAATGGATAAAGAAACTGCTGTAAATATTAATGGCTGGAGGAGGAAGCTGGAGGACGGCAGGCCGAGCTGAGCAGGTGTTCACTTCCCTCAATTTCAGTCCGTTTGCAGCCAACAACGTCATCATTTGGCCTTCTTGAGCTCACCGACAGGCCATTTTTCATGATTTTACCATTTCTGGCCAAATGCAAACTTTTTAATTAAATGTGCCACATGATTCCAGATGTTTGTTTATTTGTTCCAAAAAAGGTTGTAAAATCACTACATGAGGAAAAACCTGGGGCAGGGGTAAAGTTTTCTACAAGAGACAGGGAAATAAAAAGAGTCAGAAGAACTGGGACTAGGAAGTTAATACTGGGCCGAGCTCACGGCTGAACAATTTAGACCAAAAGCATTGGCTTCAAATCACTCTCCTTCCAGGAGCCCAAGATTCAGAAATAAAACACCCTGGACATTTATTAGTTCTTAAGAGAATGAAGCTCATCTTTAAGCCAAAGGCTAGAATGAGAACAAATGTTTGTGGCTGCTCTGCCTGCTTTTTGTACGTTTGTTCCTGCTGCCACAGCTCCACTACATTAACTCCACCGGTCTTCCATTTAACAGGCCAGATTAGAGTTCATGCATGAATGGTGGGAGAGAATCCTGTGATGAGGATGAACCGACAGAGGGGCAACAGGCAGAGACCACAGCCTCCCACACACCATGCTGGCTTCCTTATAGCTTTCTGGTCCTCTGTTTCTCTCTACCCTGAAATATAATCAGTATTCGGTCTATTGTGTTTGCAACAGAATGTTTCTCATATTCCTTCCTTTATTTTTTGTACTCCCAGTCAGCCAGCCAGCCACTCCAGGCCTTGATCATCGAATGCTGGATTATTGTAACATTATCCTGGGCCCTGTGTTTTAGTTTCAAAAGCCAACATCAGAAATATTCTGAATAACATGCGGAGGAAAAACACTGACTGTCCAGTTTCTCTGATGCCTGAGCCCTCGTGACCAAACCATCAGCAACCTCATACAACAACTCCATAGTGGCCATAAGGTTCCCTGTGCATGGCCCCCACTCCTGCTCTCCTGGCAGTATCTATCCAGGCCCCAGCTGTCTTCCCCATCTGTTACCAAGTTGTTTTCTAAATTACCTTTGCTAGAAACCTGCTCTTTGGAGGCATCACAGTCTATGGGCACAGAACCTGGTTATCTGGAAATCTAAGGCTTCTAAGACTGAAACAATTTCCTTCCAATCCCATCCCACCATGGCCTCCTTGAATCCAGGCTCTCTCCTTTCCAATTACCCCTGGATACTGCTTGCAGATTAATAATCCTACAGCATGGTTTTAAATAAAATATAAACCCTTCTGTCTGTCCAAGGCCTGCCATAATGTGGACCTATCCTACATAAGGAACCTTATTTCTGACCTTTTCAAAACAGGGTCCCTTTCTCTCATCAGTTCTACCTGTTCTTGTCCTTGTGCTTTATCTTTACCCATTTATCTTTCTGGAATGCCCTTCTTTTGCTCTCCACTTAACATGTTCTTCAAAGCTCAGTGCCAACATCCTCCAAAGAGTCATGCCTGAGTAGTCTCACCTACATTGCACGCTATCTTTTCTAAACGTTGAGAGCATTTGCAGCTTTTACCAACTAATAGAGCTCTTATTTATGTAATATATAATATATTGTTTGGTTGGTATTACTTCATTTTTGGGATCTCCTCAATCAAACCATAAATTCCTAGAAGATAGAGATAATATTCTCTATTTCTGAATTCTCCACAAATCCTAACAATACACTCAGTACACAATAGGTACTAAATGAAGACATGTTGGGGAGATTCTTGAATGACTGTGCTCATAGCAATCTTTGTCTTACTGACCATATCATACTTTTTTCTTTATAAAAAGGGGCAAGAAACAGCCCAGGACTCTAAAACATAAGCACATTTAGAACCTTCCACCCTGTACATTCTAGGCTTCCATTTTGTTAAGATAAAGGGAGCATGTTTTTACTATCATTTTTTATTGGGACTGTCTGTTGGGGGAAGAGTTGTCATTCTGACCTCTCATTTTACAGAAGTAGGGTTTGCTACTATTTGAGGGGCAGGGGAAAACTGAAATCCATTTTTTCCTCCTTGCTTTGCTCTGGGAGAGAAAAACCAGATTCGTAGCCCTTCTCTGTCTACAAGTATACCACAATTCTGCCCAAAGAATAGAAATAAAGCAATCTCAGAGACTGCAAATGAAAAATCATCCTTGGAGGAAAAGGAGAGGAAATGGACCCCTATGGATTTCAAATGTTTAAAGGAGGTTGCTTAAAGTTCCTGGCTAAACTCCATGCCAGTCTTGGTAATAGTCTAACAGATTCATCCATCTTCAATTCCACTTGGCTTGCTCTTCCATCACTGCCACCCTCGCAGACAGCGAGTGCACACATGCACATCTATCTATATATATGCGGAAGTTTTAATCTACACTACCCTCCATTCCAATCCACCCAGCCCGGCTCTGTACAGAGTGAAGCTATTGACCCTGCAAAGTAGCAAGGAGATGAATTTGATGACCCAGACCGGAGTTTTTAAACCATTTCAGCAAGGTCTAGAATCAAAGGAAAGTACAATTTATTCAGCACTTAGTAAAGTCCTTTTACTTTGGAACAGAGTGCACACACTGAAAATAGACTCCTACTGCCACGCAGATAAAATAAACCTGTCAACCACTACTGTCAAATCACTAGTCACCTCGATTAAATAAAGGAAACTTTAGCATCTCTCAGCATCTGAGAATTCCACCAAGATTATAAGCCCATAAAAGCATTATGAAGGAAAGAAAACTAAAGTAATGGGTTCTGTTGAAAATGTCATCAGAGGAAATCATTTTACATAATTAGCAAATGCTAATAATAGTTCTGCACGAGGAACCAACACACTCTTCCCCCACACAGTCAAGGCACAGTGGTGGCAAGAAGTCTAAAAGATACAAGCCAAGGCCATACTCTTATTTGACAGGACCCCTGGACAAAAACATATTCTTGTCTCTAAGGAGGTTTTTTTCTTTTTTCTTTTCTCTCTCTTTCCTTTTGCCACTTTTCAATACATTATCCACAGGAGAAATTTGGATCTGTTGTGCTTCTATGAACTTTCAATGAGTCATTGACAATTTTTTGAGAAATTATTTGATGCTTAGCTCTCTTGAAAGACTAATAAAAATATTCTGGAAGGCAGAAGGCAATATATAAGCAGGCTGTCTCACTCATAGGGCCTGACCTTAGGTGAGACCTATGTGGCAAAGGCTCCAGAACCATCAGGTTGTTCATCCCATCTTTTTGTTAGTTTGCTTGTTTTGTTTGAGACGGACTCTCACTTGGTCGCCCAGGCTGGAGTGCAGTGGCACGATCTCCACTCACTGCAACCTTCGCCTCCTGGGTTCAAGCAATTCTCCTGTCTCTGCCTCCCAAGTAGCTAGGATTACAGGTGCCTGCCACTGCACCCAACTAATTTTTGTATTGTTAGTAGAGATGGGGTTTCATCATGTTGGCCAGGCTGGTCTCGAACTCCTGACCTCAAGTGATCCACCTGCATCAGCCTCCCAAAGTGCTGGGATTACAGGCGTGAGCCACGGCACCTGGCCTCATGTTTATAAATGGTCAGTGATAACCAAGAGGCAGTAGGCAAAAGATTCCTTGATGCTAAGCTATTAAGCTGGCCTAAATAAATGCATCTATTTTCCTGAGTCTTTGCTATTGTTTTCTGTAGATTTTGTTTATAATGATCAGACCTACTTAGCTTTCACATTCCCTGTGGCTGACATGAAAAGATAGTAGAAATCTAAAAATGAAAAACTAAAAGTTGGCTAAAAGAGACATACTGCCTCTGACAGGGCTCAAAACACAATACCCGAAATTGTGGCACCTTGACGTGCTGAGTGCTTTGAAACAAAAGACACTGGAAGGGCCTCAGAAGCAAGGTCTCTCTGGCCTTCTCTTACCTGCTCCCTCATCCCTCTGTCTCTGCCCTGCAGTGAGTTATAGAAACCAGAATTCCTCTTCCCTAAGTGGGGTCATCGAAACTAGAATCCTATCCCTTAAAGCCAGCCATAAAACCTAGAAAATTCACACTCTCTCTTCTCCTTTGAAGACTCTCATTTCAGAGGGTTCTGTCCTATAACCAGGGGAAGGAATGCTACATAGAGAGGCCAAGAAGAATCTGAACAGACAGGCCTTGCTAGGTTTCCCCTCAATCTATTCCCATTAGATCATACCCTTTGTCTAACCATGTTTCTACACAGCTGTCCATTCTTCATCAACATAAGCATAAAACTAGTTTTCCCTTTCATTTCTAAAGGCCCCCCCATCTCAGAAAACTTTGATTAAGTAAATTTCTTATCCTCTTCTCTTGTTAACCTGTCTTTTGTTATGGGCTGTGACCCTTATAATAGATGAGGAAAAGTATCGCATCATTCTGCCCCTGCACCTCCGAATCCTATAAGCCCAAAACAAATTGTGAGCAATAGTTTAGTCATCAAGTAACTTCCTTTTGAGCCCTCCTGAAAGCATTATGCTTGTTGGCATGAAGTTTTTCTGGCCAACATCTCCCCATCCCAAACATTTTTGTCTACATTGCTACCTCTTCACATACAGACATTTAAATTTCCTTTTATTCACTTTCACTTTGGCGATTTAATGAGTTGAAGCAAAACACTCTGTATTTATGTCTTCTGTGGAAACGTATTTTATGATATCTCAGGCTAAAAATGTTTTAAATAATTTAAAAAAACACAGTTTTTCTTTCGGTCTTTTTCTTCTTTTTTGGATGGCATACATTGAGCTGCTTCATGGAGATATACAGAAAAATCAATTGCTAAGCATAAAATGCAACTCACATTTAGGAAACTGCAAATGATAACTAATTATAATAAGTTGCTATATAAATTACTTTGTGACAGTCCCAGCAATCAATTTCAAACACAAATAGACCAAGCCCCTGGTTGGAGAGGAAGATGAGTACCTAACAACTGTGTCAATAAAAATAATGGCAAGATTGCCAACAATAGTCAAAGTAGAAAGGTTATCATCTCTAAGCAAGTTTCACAGCAAATTTCCTCTTCATTTTTTTTCTTTTTGCTTTCTTTCTTTTACACATTTCAAGTTCAATGTTTAATATGGCAAGCTAACTATGGCATATCTTCAAGACTATAGTATAAGCATCAGGAAATAAATAATTCAGGGACATTCACTAGGCTTGCAATTATCTTGCAAAATGTGCGTGCAGACAAGTTGAAATGAGATCCTCCACATGATAGCTATTGGCAAGGCAGGGTTATGGTAGATGTGCTGGATTATCTGTTTTACCATTACCACCATCTGCTTTCTTCTAAGGTTTTCTCTGTAGCTTCGAGGGAGAACTGAAAACTACATCGGAGAATCGCCTTCAGTGAATCAGCCTAGGTTAGAGTTGGGCCAAAGAGAGATGCTGGAGTATGATTTGGAAATCTAGAGAGATGGAGGAGCAGGGCAACGCATGGATAACAGCAATGACTGAAACAGTCTCCAGGTGAACGTGAGAATCCCCTCACTGGTGCTTCAGATAGAGAAAGTCAGTGGGAGACACCCAGATGTTCCTGTGATCCACAGAAACTTTCCAGCAAGCTCCTGAGAATCACTGGTTCAGTGCTGAGGTTGTGACTCTGGGTGGTGGCAGCACCTCTAATTCCTTCCATTAAAACTCTTCATTACTGGAATACATACAGTGCCTTCTATTTTCCCTGTCTGAATCCAGACTGACATGGAGCATTCACCCTTTTTGTTTTCAAATTTTCTCCACTCCTGATTTTATTGTTCTGTAATTTAAAAATACAGAATGGCAGGGCAGGAGTAATGCAATTCTTTTGACAGAGGCAGGCAAGTGGGATGCTGTAGCTCCTAGCAGCCTTAGCACAGGCTTTGGAAACGCATGGCAGTGGTGAACATTTCCAGGCCATGCCTCTCCCTCTACTTTTTTGACTCTTCCTTCCAGCTCAAGGCCACAGTTAGTCCTACCTACACTTGCTTCATACGCACTGGGTAAAGGACAAAGGTCAGGGGGACCTGAGAATTAAGGGCACAGGGCTTTGATTTTGTTTCCCTTGCCTGTTGTTGAGTTGCTCCATCATCCCCAGCAATTCTTGATGTCTCCCTCTGTTAAATGGGAAAAATATTTGCACTCCTCACTTTACAGGGTTACCCTGAGGATGATATAGTTTACATTCTAAATAGAAATGTTTTCCCCAAAAGACATAATGCCCTGTACAAATGTGAATTCTACTTCTAAGAGCTACCAGATAAAGAACGGCAATACCTGGCACGCTGGGGCATGTCCTGTACTCGTAATATATTTAAAGGGACATTTCTCCAACAGATATTTTAGCGCTCCTCATAACATGGACACAGCCAAGGATACAATATGTAGATTGCCACGAGGGAACAACTGAGATTACTGACACATTCCCATGTCCTCCTCATTCCAAAGATATGCTCCAACCCAGGGCAGCATTCTCAGAAAGAATTCAGGTGGACCATTCTAAATCCATGTGTGTACCACAATCTGTATCTTACTGAGAGTCTGACCCCTTCCTTGAGAGTTTCTGTTCTAGTAAAATAATTCCATCAGTTACTTCAATTCATCCTATTCCCTTCCCTACCGTCAAACCGCCAATGCTTGAAAACTACAACATTAAAATAATCAACTATCTAGAAGTTAGGCTTTGTGACTAAATGCTTTCTGGTAATGAATGAACACATATGACACCCATCCCTGATGGTTTGGGTTTATGAAAGCAACAGAATTGAGGTCTGAGGTCCACACAGCTGGACCTTTCCCTTTAGTGTGTTCACCCCCAAAGGAAGCAGGGTCTCCTTTCTCACATGCAATCAAGTTACCTCGCAGAGGTGACTAAGATACTCACCCTTCCCCTGGGTTCCTATTACTCAGCCTTTACTGAACAAATATATGTGGAGCGCCATTTAGGTAGGAGGCCCTGTGCCAGGCATTGCAGATAAAGTGGTGAACATATGTAATCACAACCACTCTTCCCAACAGCTTATGGCCTTTCTAGGAAGATAATCCCTGAACAGGGAACACTGGCCTAATATAAGTGTGTAGGGGGTATCAGGCAAGTTTCCTTTGGAGCTGTGATATGTAAGCTGATACCTGAAGAATGGGCAGTGTCACTGATGTCAAAGAGAAGATGAGGCTGGGCGTGGTGGCTCACACCTGTAGTCCCAGCACTTTGGGAGGCCGAGGCAGGTGAATCACAAGGTCAGGAGTTCGAGACCAGCCTGGTCAACATGGTGAAACCCTGTCTCTACTAAAGATACAAAAAATTAGCCAGGCATGGTGGCACACACCTGTAATCCCAGCTACTCAGGAGGCTGAGGCAGGAGAATCGCTTGAACCCAGGAGGCGGAGGTTGCAGTGAGCTAAGATTGTGCCATTGCACTCCAGCCTGGGTGACAGGGTGAGGCTCCATCTCAAAAAAAAAAAAAAAAAGATGATTTGGACTTACTGCTGCCTCTCAGGGAGTTTTCATTTATGAGGAGTTTAAGATACACATAACCTGACCTCTATCATACAAAGTAGAATATGAACAATTGCACCTAGAAGATAGAAACAAATATCAGACATACCTATAGAAAGAAGAAAATCAACATAACTCAGATCAGTAAAAGTTTCATGCAGGAAGCAAAATACGACATGTTACTATCCCTGTGATATATGGATTATCTACAAGCAACAGATGGAAAAATTGAGTCCCAGGTCTCCTGATCATTATTCTAAGCCCGGACTTCCTTTGCATTTGAATCTACAGTTTTTAGGACATGAATCTTGGACCTATCATAGTTGACATTGGAAGTTACATAAAAGGACAAGTAAAGGGAAAATGGCATGTACAGAAAAATAGCAATTTGCACATGAACTACTGCCCGCCAGTTTTTGTAGTTGTTGGTGTGGAAGGAAAAGAGATTGGGAACTCGATGAATAAAAAATTATTTGCAAATAGAACTTCCACTGAGGATTGTATAGACAAAAGTTTCAGACATCATGGAGAATTTCACTTGAGAAAGAATTGATGTAATTTGTCCTCACACCATGAAATGTCCCCTTCTGCATAAATGTTTGTAAGCTGTTTGCATGAAGGTATTAACAAATGACATTCAAATGTTTTCGTGATGTACATGATCAGAAACTTGAAATAATTCTTTTAAATACTAAAAAAATGAGATAGTATTAAGTGGTTTCATTTTAGTGCCAAAAAATAATGGCTTTCTCACTTGGGGAAAGCCAAGTTGGTTCAAGCCAAATTGGTTTATGCTAAGCTGAAATATATTAGTCTCACCTTTCTCCTACATAGATCAGTTCAATAATCCAGCTTTAATGAACTTCTTCGGTCTTCTCTCTATTGGTCTCCTTATGGCCATCAGCCCAAAGAACGTCATTTTATGATATGGACTTGCTTTTATCAACAACCAAGTCAGCACTGGTCAGGCAACCAACATGTTAAATGTGTAGGGATTTTCTTCAGTAAAATTGAGATGTCTGTGTTGGCTCTCTTTAAATAACGTCTTTACATTTCTCTCATTGATGTTAAGCCCTGATGTCATCCAAGAGCACTTATTTGAACTCTAACTACTTTAGGCATTTTTCCATATTCCAAATATTACTCCAAATATTTTAAAACTATATTGTGTTATATTTCCTTTCTTCAAGTCTCAGATTTTTTATATTACTGTTAAAAATGACAGATGATATTTGCCCTATTCCTAATGATTATCATCTATCTGATCATATCTCTCCATAGTGAAATCTCAATTTCAGGGCCAGATAAACTTTACAAGTGGCTGTGAGGTTTCTGAGACTTCAGTTTCTATGCAACTTATTCAATGACTCTAAAGTAAAAATACCCTTATTCAAATACAAGAAACCAATAAATAAACACATGAGGATATGAGGCTAATTTAAGGGTTAATTTGTTGCTCCATCTAGATGTGGTGTTATTTTAGGGAAATTCCCCCAAAAACAGTCTCGAAAGGGATGTATGCTTAAGACCTTCAAAAGGACATTCAGTGAAAGAGACCTGTTCATGCCCCTCAAAACATAGCAGGTTGGCAGCTGCTTATTCTCCCTGACTTTGAGCAAAATTGATTTTTCACAAAATTAACTAAAGTATATTTAAATGTAGAAAAGTTCTATTGATGCCCAAACACCAAACAGGCAACACAGGTCCAAGCCACAGACATCGGAAATCCTGCACTACTCTCTTCTTCGTTTCCTGCAGAATACAAGTATCCCATTTGCCCAGAGCCCAGACGGTGACTTGGAGGGTCAGATTCACTACTTTCTGAGCATCACCACAGCCTGTTCTTCCACCTGCTCATCCTGCAATGCTGCTGGGATGACAATGCTAGAATAGCCCCTGTTCACTTTCACCTTTACGTGTACAAGTGGAATTTCCTTCTTGGGGAAACAATATTTAAAACAGCCAACTTAGGGATAAGACATTTTCAAATGATATTTCATGTCAGTGTTCTGTCTGCTTTTGAAGCTGAAGACTCTAGAGATGGCAACAGACATGCAAGGCTTTGGAAAAACTGAGTAAACCAAATTAATATTTTGAAAATAAGAGAATTCAGCAAAAACTGCACATGGCTTCTCTCAATGTTGCCAGGCAAATTGGAATTCCTTTTAGTTATAACATAGAGTTCATTCATTTTGAAATTATAGCTGTTAATTGTTATATTCTCAAACAACGATACTTTTATAAATGTTAGTGAGTTTCCCAATTTCTCTCCATCACTAATACTGGAGTTAACATCTCCTTGATAATTTTTAAGTACTCTAATCTCTTTATTTAAAGAAAAAAAAATCACAAAATTATATTATACCGTAGATTTATTTGCCTCCTGAATAGACTGCTACTAAATTCTGTTTAATATGGGTTAAAATCACTACGTGTGACAGGTATGGTTTTCTCATCAAGGACTTAAAAAGCACTGTGTTCTTTCTAAAGTGCCGAGGCAGCAGTAATGAGCCAGAGCTCTGCACAGCCAAGTGTCCCTCCCTGCACCCACTGAGAGCAATAAAAAGCTGAGTTCCAACCTTGGTGACTGGTGAGTTCCCTGGAAGCAGAAGGCAAGGGCGTGTAGTGGCGCTCCGGGGAGCTGGCAACGTCCTCACTAGAAGCCTGTGTGACAAAAGCAAAGTCAACATGAAGCAACACCAAACACCAAATACCAAATACCCTCATTTACCAGACCTGTCTCCTTGGGATCTGAGCTTGGAGAAAATATTATTCACCAAGATACTTCTTAGGAAGCAAGAGCTGTTTTTGTTGAGATAATATTCTGGTAAGTGTTGGGTAAGATCCAAAGCTTTGAGGGGCCTCAGTACATATGGAATAGCTCTAAGAAAAGGGGGCAGTTTATGTGCTGAAATGAAAGGAGGGAGGAGGAAAAAGAGAGAGGCAGAAGACAGGAAAAGTTAAAGGCTTAGATTTCTATCAGGCCTTCACCCAGTAATTCCCACAAAGTAAAGGCTGGCTATGAGCAGATTTCTTTGGATACTAGTGAAGAGGTTAAGCTCTGCCCCCAGGATAAATGGGGAAAACCAGGGCTGACTTCCATGAGCCCAGTGGCATGAAAGACTTGGCAGAATGAAGTCACCATAGGAAAGGATATAAATTGTCTTGTGCTGTGTACTGGGGATTCTGGCTCAGTTTAACAACAGCAGTGAGAAATACGTCTGAAATTTGGATTTGGGATGTAGTGGTTATCAACAAATGTGTCACTCCAAGGCCTAAAAGAAAATAACATAACATACATCTAGGATGATGCTTTTTCACTGTACGCAGACAACTCTTTAACCATAGAACTGTGTCCAAGATGGCCCAGGCTGCTAAGGCTCTCTTTTCAGAACCCAACATCCTTGTGAGCTAAAGCCAAAAGAAAGTACTTCAGCTTGGGGTCAGCTATCACTCAGAACCAATGGCCAGTATGCCACACTCACAGTGTAGCTGCTAGTAGCAAGAAGCATTACCGCTGTAACTCTTAACTGAGATTCCTAAATCAAATGTAGCTTTTTTTTTTAATATCCCAAAAAGAACATCTGCTAGGATCAAAATCCGAAGCTAACAATCTTTCCAAGCTTCATGAAAAAGTAAATTTCATTAATGCTACATTTTTCTTTCCGGAGCGGGAAATACATTCTATGGGATATATTTGCCCTTCTAAAAGCAGGCCTTTTCTCCAAAGAGATTACCTATATTATAGGAATCAAAACTAAGTAGGAGATTAGACCTACTTGCTAGAAAAACCCTTTAAATTTCATTTCTGACATTTGAGACGTTTGACTAAGCGGCTTTCAGTGGAGACTTACAGGAAGAGTGTGAGTGGAGCAAAATCAGAAGCTCTGTCCCTAGGTAGAAAACAGTTTTCAGGTAGCATTTCTTCACTCCAGCTCCAAGGCAAATATATGGTGTTTAAATTTGGATCCAAGGCTATTGGGTCCACAAAAATAAAAGCTTAACCACCAAGAAAAACGTGTTTTAAAGTAGGTAAGACTTTTCCACTTTTTAGCACACTGCAAGAATGTAGAGCCCAAAATTATTAAAAATCAAATACTACAGTCACCAAGTGTCTCTCTATTGGGTATTCAAGGTCTCCTGTAATTTCTACCTGATGAATGAAACATGAGGATAGTGTCCTAAATAGGGCATCTATTTAATGCTTGAGGCAGGACATATGGGGTGAGGGTACAGGGGTCATCCTCCCTAGATCTATCATACTTCCTCCATAGGAAGCCATAGCTGTCAATATTTCTGCTCCATCTCATTGCTAAAAAAAAGACCCAAAAATCCAACATGAGTTTTAGTTTGTTGTGTAGTGATATTTCTTAGAACTTTTAATCTCAATTTGGGCTGTTGACAATTTGATGACAGCTTTTTTCTACAATTACTGGAACAAATGCTACCTTTTCAGAAACATCTCTGACTGTGCTACACATTAGAATTCTGTAACCAAGCGTAAAAGAGATATTTAGTTTTGTTTCGTACTGTAGGTAGAGCAAAAAATGGTGTGGCTTCTGTTGTTTTGCAGTCATCATTCTATGACCAGCACTTAATTACTTTCCTGCTCAGTGTCCATTGATAAACTCACATCATGGAAAATAATCCAGGAAAGAATGATTTTGCAAACTATGCCTTTTGGTGGGACTTCTATGGCTGGATGTTTAGGAAAACAACTACAAATCAATGATCCAACTACCAGCTCTTTGACTTGGCTTTTTTCAAAATGAAGCCCTTGTGATCCTTTCAACAGTGATGTTCACACTGGTTCTCTGAACCTTAGGATTAGATGTACAATTCAGAAAGACACAATTATCATAGGAAAGAAGTGGACAAGAAAATGTCTTAAATTTATACTGTATCTGCCAAAGAATAAAGAACTTGCCTTGAAACTGAGGCAGTACACCCATCGTATATTGAGTATGCAGTAATAGAAAATTTAAATAATGTTTTCTTTTACCTGGGTTAAGAAGATATGCCTAAAATGAGAATAAGCAAATTTGAGTAAATATGAATCTTCAAGACTATAAAGACTCTTAAATCTTTGAATCCTTGGCAAATGTGTTGTTGTTGTTGTTGAGACAGAATCTCACTCTCTTGCCCAGGCTGGAATACAGTGGCACGATCTCAACTCACTGCAACCGCTGCCTCCCTGGTTCAAGCAATTCTCATGCCTCAGCCTCCCGAGTAGCTGGGATTACAGGCACGTGCCATCATATCCAGCTAATTTTTGCATTTTTAGTAGAGATGGGGTTTTGCCATGTTGCCCAGGCTGGTCTCCAACTCCTGGCCTCAGGTGATCCACCTGCCTCGACCTCCAAAAGGGCTGGGATTACAGGCATGAGCCACCGCGCCTGGCTCTTGCCACATTTTCTAAATGCCTATGGCAAGGAATTATAGTTTTACATTTTACTTTTTAAATTCTCCTGTCAGGAAATATTTGCAACATCTACAATAAATTATTAGTATCCAAATTTAAAAAAAAAAAAAGAATGTCTTTAAATCAATAGAAAAATAGACAAAGGAAATGTCTGGAAATTCAAAGATGAGAAAACCTGAACAGTCAATAAACATAAGAGAAGTTGCTGAAATTTACTAGGACTAAGGGCAATGCAAATTAAAACAAGATACGATTTTTCCACTCATCATACTGACAAACTTTTAAGTCTCACAATAGCAGGTACTAGTGAGAACAAAGGAAAAAGAAACTGTTGTCTTCTCATTCCTTGCTGGTGGGAATGTACATTCGTTCAACTACTTTAAAGAGTAACTTAGCAATCTCTAATAAAATTGAAAATTGGTGCAGCAATTTCACTTAAAATATATACTCTACGGAAAATCTCACACAGGTCTGCAAATTGAGACATAAAACAATGTTTATTGCAGCATTATTTATAACAGAAGAAATTGGAATTAACTCAAATGTCTGTCGATGAGGAAAATAAATAAAAATAATGTTGTATATCAGTAAGACAGAATAATATTTAGTATTTAAGAGAAAAAAACCTGATTTCTATATCTTGCTTTGAATAGGTCTAAAAATTTAATACAGAGTGAAAATGCAAGTTGCAAAATGATAAATGTAATATAATATTTATGGAAATATAAAATTTGTTGATTTCATGTATGCAGGGAAACACCTAAAAATTATTTTAAAATGTACACTAAATTCATGAAAATGTTTGCTTCTGCCAAGGGGCAGTGTAGTAGGACTGGGGCTAGTGTGATGTGGAGAGAAAGGAACTTCAGCTGTATATATGATGTTCTTTCTTTCATTTAAAGAAGACTTAAAACAAATGTCAAAATATTAGAAACCACAAATTCTGGATGATCTCTACATGTGTTCATTATTTTTAAAAGTTTTCTACATTTTGGAATTTCTCAGACTTAAGCCTGAAATTTTTTTAAAAACACCAAAAGGCCCTATTTCTTTTCTAATCCATGCACTCCTATATTGACATGAACCCACAATGAGAGAAAAATTCCTGTAACAATTCTCTAGTACTTGTATAACATGGATGAATGCCACCTCTGATTGACTTTTTGTGATGAAATATCCCATTTCTGTTTCTTCTAGAGCTACTGAGAGTGAGCTCTAGAATAGAAAAAAGCAGATGATGGTAAATATGTATCCCCTTCCCCCGCAAGGCTTGAAACACTCATTCTGGCCTTATAAATCCTTCTGCTGAAGATACATCAAAGCATTCTGAAGGTTACTTGATTCTTCTCCTGCTCACGATCAAAGAGTTACTAATAATTTTTAAAACTCACATCAATAAAGGCAGTAGCCACTAATATACTGCACTCTGCAATATCCATAATGGAAAGAAGGAAGGTAGAACTTTGGCAACCCGCTTGGAAAAGATTCAATGCACATACAGTGTATTCTACAACAGACGTGCAAAGCGAGAATTTCACTCGGTGATTACCAAAACTGATAAATGCATAAAATTCAAGCCCCTTTCCAATAGGTGCATTCAATGAAAAACTACAGTCCGGTGGATATCTCTGAATGTCCTGGATGCACTGAAAGAACCTGATACAGACCACAGGAGGAGAGATTTGGCAGACTTCGAAACAAGAAGGGGGCAGCTACAAAGTTGTTTAATAGCCATAAATCTCCCACTGTTTTTCACAAAATACCATCTAAGACCACAGCTCTACAACTCATTCCCCATCACTCAGCTCAAGTGGAGCGCTTTGGCATGCTCGCTCACCCTTAAATCATACACCACAGAAAGTGATCCTGGGTCTGGGAAATAGTCAGCCTCTTTCAAGCAAAAGCAATCTTCACTTTTCATCACAATTCATCCCCTGAAACCATGGTATAAAGCTGACTCTTCTAAAAACATTTATTTTCTCTCATAAGAAAAAGCATCACTCATTTAGTTATCAAGTATTTAATAACCACCTACTATATGCCAGGCCCTGTGCTAAGAATACCAAGAAAAATAAAATGAGAACATTGGTTGCATTGCTGGGTCATAAAAAAAAACATACTATGATTAATAGTGGTTATGAAGAGCCACCAACTCATAGTGTGTCCCTCACACTCCCATACTCTGGATCATTACAGAATGTTGTCCCTGACTTTGATTATGACATCTAAACACCTATAACAGTAGTTACGCCCTTACTCATTTCTCACTCATACTAACAGAGAGCTTTGGAGATTAACTATATTAACTTTCTGAAATTAATTATACAATTAACCCTTGTGCTCAACATACTGCCAAAAAATACAGGAAGAAGTCAATTCATGATAATAGGATGGGTAAAACATTTTAAAGTCAAAGATAAAACTACATACCATGGGCTGGGCGCAGTGGCTCACGCCTGTAATCCCAGCACTTTGGGAGGCCGAGACGGGTGGATCACGAGGTCAGGAGATCGAGACCATCCTGGTTAACATGGTGAAACCCTGTCTCCACTAAAAATACAAAAACTTCTCCAGGCATGGTGGCGGGTGCCTGTAGTCCCAGCTATTCTGGAGGCTAAGGCAGGAGAATGGCGTGAGCCCAGGAGGCGGAGCTTGCAGTGAGCCGAGATCGTGCCACTCCACTCCAGCCTGGGCGACAGAGCCAGACTCTGTCTCAAACAAACAAAAAAAAAACTACATACCATGACTGTAATTCAACACGAAAGTGTGGGCCACATTGCCAGAATCCAAAAGTAAAGACTTGCCATCTTCTGAAGGATTAAGTTAGAGAAACTAAAGAACCAGGTAGAAGGCTGAAGCTTCCCACCCCTCTCACAGATTAAGGTGCCATGCCTTTCAGTAAAGCAAGAGAGAAGGTGTCACTGACAGACAGATTAAGTTGGGAATAATAGACAGGTTTGAAAGCAGGAACAGCCATATCCTGTCTAGAGCCAGAAGCCAAGAAATTGGGAGGAAAACAAAAGGCAAGGTAGGGATGAGGGTGAGTCTGGAACCAAGAGACCAAGAAAAAGATCCCAATGGAGAAGAGGTCAGAGTCTGGGCAAATGCTGAGCATGAAGCTGAGCGAGGGAGCTGAAGGGTAATTCAAGTAAGAAGCTGGTCACAGCAGAGGCTGGTGGGGAGGGGAGGATTATGTCAAAAACCTCTCTGGAATAAGAAAGCCTTTTGAAGGCAATGGCCCAGAGCTTCCCATTTGTTTCTATCTGATCTACAGGGGGCCCAGTTCTGCCAGTGCCCACAGTGGCATCTGGCCCAGAGTAGCAGTTCACAAATATTTATGAAAGGCAGGGAAGGAAAAAGAAAAGGAGGGAGGGAGGAGGAGAACTACGAAAGGAAAAAAGGAAGGAAGGGCTGTGGCTTGGGCATTTTATGGGCTATTACATAACTAATTCAATCACAGAATGTAAGAGTTGTTAAAGATCTTACAAATCATCTAGAGCAGTGGTTCCAAAATATTTTTAGCAGACACTTATATAACAGAAGACAAAAATAAAACCATCTAAATATTGGACATTATAGAAGTGATCATAATTTCTTTTGGTAACCTAATACAACTGTAAGTACAAAGGAGAGAGAAATATGCAAAGATATTAATTACCTAGCATTAAGTCAACATGGTAAACATTAAAATAATACATAGGTTGTGGTTTTTAACTACATAAAATTAGGAATAAGTAGTAGTTAATAAGTAAAGATAGAAAGATTTTTGGGCCAGGCACAGTAGCTCACATCCGTAATCCCAGCACTTTGGGAGGCTGAGGCAGGTGGATCACCTGAGGTCAGGAGTCTGAGATCCACCTGACCAATATGGTGAAACCTTGTCTCTACTAAAAGTACAAAAATTAGCTGGGTGTGGTGGCGGGCACCTGTAGTTCCAGTTACTTGGTAGGCTAAGACAGGAGAATTGCCTGAACCCGGGAGGCAGAGGTTGCAGTGAGCTGAGAATGTGCCACTGCACTCCAGCCTGGGTGACAGAGAGAGACTCCATCTCAAAAACTAAATCAATAAATTTTTGCTAGCAATGTGATTAAGGATGTTTGGAGTTGTAAACTTTATTTAACATATAATTACTTCTTATAATTTACAATATTTAGAATTTAAAACACTACTCATATACAATGGCTGATACGAAATAATGCCTAGTCCATCAAATATTTTTCAATCTGTCCTATCAGAGGTTGAGGAGAGATGAAAAAAGGGAGGAAAAATACGAGTTGAGGAAAAAGAAGGAGATGGTAAAGAAAGGAGGCAAAGTGTGTGACAGGATTTAATATTTCTTGAATATATGGTAAACGCTAATGGTTATCCAATGTATGAGATATGTCCTATATTCCTCTCATTTGAAAAATGAAAAAAACTGACACTTAGGAAAGATCAGTAACATGTACAAGGCTATCCAGTTCTAAAGTCCAGAGTGTGATTAGAAACCAAATCAGCCTGACTCCTAAAGCCCAAACTGTTTCCGTAGCCCCACACTCTCTCTGCATTGGAGCCCTCAGGTTTTCATGATGCCCTTCTCCTGACCATTACTCTATTCTCCCCTGCTTCACTGTCCACTGGGCACCTGTCTCTTTTGCAAGATGGTAGGGGCCAGTCCTAATTTGACAGTGAATGCCTTGCAGCACCTAACAGGACAACTTCTCAAAGCATTGAGACAAGATTATCAAATGAGAAGGAATTTACTAATAGCATGGGTAGTTTTAATAAGGGCAGAATATCCTATCTACAAACAAATAATTATCTTTATCCAAAGAAGTATGATGGAGCACAAATTAATAGTTTGCTGCTAATTAATTCTTGCTGAAGATTTAGTTTGTGTCATATATTCAAACATAGAACATAATCAGAATGTAATGTAATATAACCTCCAAGTAATGTGGGTGTGTGTACATCACATTTCTGGCATTAATTATATGCAGGCATTTTATAAACATTGTTTCATTTAACCCTCTCAATAGCCTTATAATGCAAGTGTCACAGGATCCTTAGGGTGTCAGTTTTCTAGTCAGAAATGTCTGTGGCCCGTGGCGCCTTTGCCTGAGTTTTGCTTAGCCTCACTGGGCTCATTCCACACACTTGGCCCAGCAGGCTGCGCTCAGCTGGCACTACCGGCCCAGATCCCACATCTGTCAAGGGTGAGCCAGGCATGGAGTGGCAAGGGGTGTGTGAGTGAGCACGGGGTTCGGCCACAGCGCACGGCCAGGTGTGCTGGCTGCGGTGGGGCAGGCAGCTCCAAGTGCCAGTATAGGCGCTGGCTCCAAGAGAGGCTGCATCTGGACCAGGCGTCCTGCAAGTAGCTTCCACCATGGGCACCAGGGAATGCTGTGGTGCCTGGAAGCTGGGAGACGCCAGGAACCACAGAGCCCTAAAGAGGGCGTCACAGCCCTGACTTGGAGAGCCCCTAGGTCTGGGCTCCCTGAAGGGCCACAGCTCTTCTCCTTCTCATTACCTGCAACGTGTTAGGCGGAGAGGCGTGTTTCAGCCCTGTTTGTGTTAAATCTCTTTTAGTCTGGCCATTGGCGGATCTTGAGTTCCTGTCCTGCATCCAGGAAGAATGAGGTACGTGGACAACTGGAAGGTGAGCAAGGCAGGGAGGAGCTTCACTGAGCAACAGAATAGCTCTCAGAAGACCCACAGTGTGTATGTAGCTCCTTTCTGCAGGCAGGTCATTGGAGTGGGGAGGGTGTCTATGGGCTCAAAGGGAGGAAGTGAGTGCTGATTGGTCCATGGGCTGCCATGGGCCAGCCGGAAAAAGCATCATAAATTCTCACTCCAGGAGGGGGACTCCACCCGGCACTGGCAGCCCGGCCCCCAGGCTTCAAGCCATCCCTGGCTTGAAGGTGGGGTTTCACTGGGCACCCACCCCCTTCCGCCCAGGGACCTGTCTGCCTTCCACGTTGCCCAGGCTGTTCACGTTGAGGGGTGTCTACAGGCCCGCAGGGAGCTGCCCTCAGCACCCCCTGGGCTGCTGCTTCCTGCGCTCACTGACGCCCAAAGTCTGGAGGGGGCCAAGGCAGCAGGGGGCGCTAGCGTGTGAGTGCTGCCCTGAGTGCACGCAAACGCAGCTGAGTCACGACAGCCCTCGGGCTTGGCCACAACTTTGCTCTGCACTGGAGTGGGCACCGGGAGCAGGGAGAGGCCCGGGAGCAGGAGCAGGCACTTCCAAGCCCGCTGGGGCAGGGGCTTCCCAGGCCCCTGAGAGCACAGGGATGCCAGGGTCCAGAGTGCGGCTGGGAAGCTGCAGCTGCACCAAGGAGTGCGGGCTCCCGCCCCTTCAACTGGTTAGGGGGTGGGGCTCTTGTCTGTTCCTGGCTCCCACCAGCCCTTCCTGCCCCACTGAAGCTAATCTTCGAAGCGGCTGCTCCAGACAGGCCGCCGCTGCCATCACAAGTACCATTAACATTACCACTTTATAGGTAAGGCAGTTGAGATTTAGAGAGAGGTTATAGTACTAGTCCAAGAAAACCCAGCTAGTATGTGGAGACCGGAATTGAGAAATAACACAGCTCGATTCCATAGCCTGAATCCTAAGCACTGTACAATGAACTTGATGTTCAAAGGTGCCTGGCAAAGAAAACCCTCCTAGGCTTATTTAGTGCACATACAAAGGTAGGTAATATATTGGTAGTGAGATATGAATCAACTCATGGTAATATGCAACACGTTTTGTGGCGTGCTAAGTAAATAAAACTATCAACTTATTTAATAATACATGAAAGAATTAGCTGTGCGATGTAGACAAATTAGTGTTTCAGATCTCTTTGGCCTTTTGGGTTCAAATAACCAGTGGTGTGTAAGTGTTAACCTGTACTGGCTTACAAGAAGTAATTATTAAGGTTTCAGCAACTTTGGTCAGTTGTTAAACACAGGTATTATTTAAAATTATATACACTTAAACTTGAATAAATTACCTTATTTAACAAGACTCCTCACTTCTTAATTATTTTACAAAATTTTACTGTTATTTATGCTCTTGAAATTGAGTCTACTGAATTTGTATGATAAAAATACTATATAATGATGTGCAGTCACTTTCCAACTCTTCAGTGATGGCACTTTGTAGTTTGACATTGGCCACTGTGGGAGTATTTGCAGCAGAAACTGGCAAATGCTGCAAGTGAGAGCTTGATTCATTGGTGTGCTTATTTGCTAAACTTAAAGTGATGGAGAAAATGTTAATGTTGCAGATAGAACCTAAAAGAATGTTGTGTGACTGGGCACGATGGCTCACACCTGTAATCCTAGTACTTTGGGAGGCCAAGGTAGGCAGATCACTTGAGCCCAGGAGTTGGAGACCAACCATGAGCAACATGGCAAAATTCCATTTCTTAAAAACAACAACAAAAAAAGGATGTTGTGTCGTAGCCTAATGGTAGCAAAATATTAACTTGTGCTCCATACCTCTTTGGCTAAATATAATTGCTTATTTATAGATAGGATGTTCTGCCTTTATAAAAATTACCTGTGGTATTAGTATATTCCTTCTCATTTAATAATCTTTTCTTAATTCTTTGAGAAGTTGCTTTGTTGGGTATTGCAAGGCATTGTGAATAGCACAAAAAAATTGAAAAAATATTCTTCCAATATTCAAAAACTATTATCCAGTTCAGCAAAGTAGTTTCTTATGTCATTAACAAATGAGTAAAGTTCTGACATACTCATTAAGATAAAGGAATATCAAGTGGGAACTACAGTTGTTCATCAGTTGCAACCACAGATACGAGATACAAGAGTTTGGCCAAAATCATTGAAAGTATCTGTGACAATTAAGTGATTGTATGGAATTTTTTAGAAACAGTATTATATATTCAATTGTTATTTACTTTTAATTGTGTTCTACACATCATTTATATAACTAAAAAATGCAATATATTATATATGCATGTGTATACACACACACTTTTTTTCCCAGAGACTTGGCTGTTAAGCATTTACCTACACACCACTACATATAACACTTTTCAACTAGCTTCTAAAGTATGTTTCAGGCAATGGAGAAAGGGCTATTTTATAGTCTAGGAATGGAAAGAACAGTAAGAAAAATAACTAAGCTTCAAGGATTCTGTTCTTGACTAATTCACAATTTGTATATTGTTTAACTCTCTGTTTTCTGTGCTCTGATGCCTTATTGATCAAGATTTAGAGCCAGGCTCCATCTTGGGCAATTGACTTAAACTCTTTAAGCCACATTTTGACTAACAGTGATAATGGTAATAATAGTCACAATCATGATAATGATAGTTTAAAAATGCTAACGTTTATTAGCATTTTTAATTAGTACTTACTTTGTGTCGAGAACTGCGTTAAACACTTTCCATGTATTGATTTATTCAATCTTCACAAAGTTTCACGAGGAGTCACAACTCCTAGTTCTGTTTTACAGATGAGGAAGCCGAGGACCAGAGAAATTAAGTCCCCTGACAAAGCTCTCACTTAAGTTCTTGGGTAACTACTCCTTGGCAGAGCTGGGACACAAATCCAGGCAGTTTGCCTCCAGTTGCTGCTGTCTTGGCAATTACAATGTTATGCTGCCTCCCTTCCCAATAAAGGTAAATGTTAAATAAGGGTAAGAAACAACCATCTTAGCCACTGCTCATGGATGTTAGCTATGATTTATTCTTACTTCACTCTAATTTTGTTTAATATCTTATCTCTTCAACTGGACTTTAAGTTTCTTGAGAGGTAAAGCTCATGTTGTATAGCTTTTTCTGCCCTTCACAGTAGCCATGACAGAGACATGCCCATATTTCATAATTAAATAGGCATTATATGAATTAATTTTGCTTCTCACTTGTCAAGCAGAAGAGCACTACTGAGATCCCTTCTGGGAGCAAAAATTGTGAGATCCCTAGCTTCATTATAATCCGAATTCATCCATCAATTCACTGCATTATTGTGATGCTCTAACAACATTTAGATGGTCTCATCTAACTCAGACGAGAAGGCTACACGTGGCATATCTCAACTGGGTTTGTAGGACTGTCTTAAAAATGATATTATGTCATGGTAGTCCTAAGGGCTTGATTTATTTTGGCTTAAAAGAAGGAACTTGCCTCATGTGTCTCTTTTCCTCTCACGGAGGTTTTTTTTAATCTTGAGGGCTACGGGTCAAGTTCTGTCCTTGGAACCAAAGTACTTTTCCAAAATGAGTTGAAGCCAGCTCTGTCAGGCTAGGCCAGATCTGCTGTCAGTGCCTTTCCCAAATACATCAGACCCTCTGCTTGTAAAAATAAATTGATACCAATGCAAGAAATTTATTAGGAGATGACAGCCCAGTTCATAATGGAAATATGGAGAAAATATCATCCTTCAAAACTGACAGTTTATCCATCATGCCTCAGATTCCTGAGATATAAGCAGACACTGTCACATGCAATCAGCTGAGGACACATCTTGGATTTCCTTATGACAGGAAACTCTGATATAATCCAGAAGTAGGGAAGGACTCGCACTGCCCTTAATGTGCTCAGCCATAAATTTTTAGCATTAGCAGGAGAAACATGTAGCCAAGGAAATGAATGATGGGGGAAATCAGGAGGCCTGGGATTCTCAAAGGCCTCTTCTTTTCTCTTGGGGATGATGAACTAGGGATAGGGGTCAGAGAGGGTTACTGCACCACCATGAGGGACATCAATACCCTGTTATGTGTAAGCAGAGCCAACAGGTGGCAGGGCACCACTGCATACATACCACAGTCTGCTCTGTGTGAGGTTTGGGGACCTGGTCATCTTGCCCTGCTAACTGTTCAACTGTGGCTATTTTGCTTAGCTTCTTATTTATATTAATGAACTTGAGACAATTTAAGAGGGCCATTTTAATTAGGAGTAAATGCAAGTATATTTGTGGGGATCACAAGAGGCCTGATCTTTGCAGGCTTAATGAGGCGACCTACCCAACCCCATATGAAATAATTGTGTATTGTATTAAAAGCCGCTTTGGAAAATATAATCGTGGTAGTAAATTGGAATGAAATGAACATGGTATTAAAGGGGGAAAAATATTTACTGCCAATTTTATGGGGCCTTAAAATATTTATGTTTTAAACTTGCATTCTTTGGAGATTTGCTGAGTGTTGCTAGAGCTGGGAAACTTTTTTAATGAGATACGTGCATATTTTTCAAATTTACAGATCTTTTTTCACAAAAATAGAAAGTCATAAATGTGAAATGGAAACCTAAACAAGGCAAGTGCAGCCTTAATGGCCTTAGATTCTTAATTGACTCTTCATATTAGAAAAAATTAAAAGCACAGGAAATTTCATTTAAATGTGTGAATAATATGCAAGGAACTTTTGTTTTATGTCAGTTTCTATCCGATTAAAGTACAGAGCATTAGCATAAATGTGATAACCCAAATAAACTTGAGTTTTGCTGCATTTATGTTAAGTGGGCATGAATAGGATACGTGTGCATTCTTGGGTTACTTAAAAACAGAGTCAAATACTGGCTTTTGTTCTGCTTCCCAAATGAATCTCTAAGAACAGCAGGGAAATAAATTACATGTTGATCAAGTCTTTATTTCTTTATTCATAGGTACCAGGGGTTGAAAAAAAAATGCAAGTGAGTCTATAGTTCTCAGACACTGAATCCCTCTTTAAATGCTCTCACTCTTTGCAAGAGGCAAATGAACTTCTAATTGTTCACATTTGTTTCAGCCAATCTTCCTGATTCCCTTTCTCATGAAAGACCTAAAACTCTGTTGACTTTACATGTCCAAATTAAATATATCTGTGTTTTCCTTTTGCTTTCAATAAGAGTGCATGCCAGCATGACTTAACATTCATCCAGAGTTTATTTCAATATTAGTGGAAAACAAGCCATTTTTCAGTTTAATGAATAGCATCAGTGTCTCCCTTTTAACCAAAAATATGGCCTTAAACTTGATGGATCTCACCAGAAGGCACATTTTCAAATTATTTTTCTATTGGAGGTTATGAATATCGTTTCCCAAATTATTGTGACAGCTGTGAGGGGAAAGCCTGCATCACAGATACAGCAGCTTAGAAACAAAACTCAGACCTAACAAAATGGTAGTTTCCTTTGTGAAATGAGAAAAGGGGAATGGAAAAGGAAGCATGAACCGCATGGGAGGGAAAAAATACCTCTTTTGAGACTTATGCAACAGGAGAAGAGTCATGTAAAGGCCCTGAAATTCCCATACTTTTTTTGTTACTACCATTTTTGTTTCCCAATCATTCTAAATTGGGAAGGTAAAGGCTGAGCATTACTGATTCAAAAAACCTCCAAGAGGACATCTGATATTTCTTCCTTATTAAGGATGATGGAGTGTAATTGATGTGCCTGGAGCCTGGCCAATTCCAACTTTTTTGAGAATGCCGCTTAATGTGCGGACATTATTTTTGGACTACTGAACGCCAGAAAATAATGAGCTGGCATTCAGCTTTGGTGAATAAGACCCTGAATTTTCATCTAAAAGCAGTTTTGAGTTATTGCTGTAGATAAGGTGTAACTGTGCAAGGGAATTTTATCCATGTTTCTCCCATGAATCATAAATGAGGAAAAAAATTACAGTCTAAATTGCACTTAAAAGGAATAAAGTCTTTTCATGTCATACATGATTTATCAAAATGATCTCATTTTAAGGGTACTGTGGTGTATCTTGATTAATCGCATTAGGAAGCGTGATGAATGGCCTCTTTAATGGTAACACAGGATTTATTGGCAGCATCCAGACTTGAACCAGAAGGGTAAGAAGTAAAACATACAACAGATAGCTAATGCAGATAGGATGTCAGTAATGCGCTGGCTTGTTGTAAAATTATACCAGGAGCCTTAGTTTCAGGAGCTTCTGAAACTGCCAGAGGGTGGACAGCAAACAAGTTTTGTACAGGACCTTGGGTGCCACCTCAAATCCAGTCTGACCCTCCCCTAACTTGTTGCAATGCAAGTAAAATCTCTCTGCTGGACTGTAAAAATAAGGTGTCTGTGAAATCTGGGCAAAACTTGGAAATTCCTAGTAATAAGAGGGAGACACCCGCCTTTCAAGATCAGCGCTCCTTGCCCTTTTGCCCTATTTTAATATCCTCTTCACATTTCGCTTTAATATCCTAAATGCCTTTTTTTAAGCCTGCTCGAGTCTGCTCCCACTAATTTCCTCTAAGGCTGACAGATCAGAGGCTTTCCTCGAACTGTTCCTTTTGGAGCTGAGAAGCCCTCCTCGTAATCCTGCTGCTTGTCCGCAATTAATCCTTCCAGTTGCCTCATTATTACCTCCACCACCCACAGACAGAGGAAGCTCTGACCCACTGGACACTGGCTCCTGACTGAAGCTTCAAAGGTGCCAATCACACCCTCATCAGAAAGGTGCCTGCTGTCAGCATCAGAGGTTTTCATCCCCTCCTCCCCGCTGATCAAACATTCTTCCTCAGAAGATTAATTCAGAGTCCCCGCCCATTTCCTCCCATATCCTCTTTCCCTTTTTGGTTTACCCAATGATCCATCTTTGCCTCGAAAAGGGAAGCCACGGATAATAGAAGTCCTTTCAAAACAAAAGCTGGGCAAAGGCAAATTTAAATCCCAGCTGTTATCAACTTTTTTTTTTTTAACCCATTTAAACATCTTAAGGCAGTGAGGATTAGGGACTGGCCTGAAATGCCATTCTTTGATCAAAGACCCCAAGACTTTACACAAACATAATCACAAGGCAATGGATGCCCCTCTGAAGGCTGAATTGATTTGTTTGACTGCAGCGCCTGGGATGGTAGAGAAGCCGCACACTGACTTTCCTAACTCCCAACATATATGTCACCAGGCCAAGTGACTTAGAAATTATATTTCTTTTCTTCCTGTGTCTTAATTGGAGCCGTCACTTTCAGATTCAGACAGAACTATGGGGAGAGGTTTTGAGGAGAAGAAAATGTGAGCCATATGGGTGCTTGCTATGGCTTCTCCATCCCCAGGCTGGGAGGAGAGAGGTGAGAGCAGGAGAGAGATTGGTGAGAAAGCAGCAGCCCCATGGTCTCTGATGTGTAGCAAAGGTGACTTCACAGAGAAGGACCTGGGTTTAGATTGGCTGGTTCTACTGGAATCTTCTCCATCTCCTCCAGTCACTGGGTAACTGCAGTTACCTGTCTCGGTCCATGGAAGTAGTCTTGGGAGGGGAAACAAGCACGGCCTTTCCTGGGGCCAGTGAACAGCCACCATGTGGCTCCCTATCCATCTTCGTCTTTCAGGACCAGATGCCAGGATGAAACCACAGGAAAACCTTCAAGATATGCTTGTGAGATCGCTGCTATGACAAATTCTCATGGCTCACTAGTGTTGACACTTGCCATACATATCTACAGGTAGATCATTTCAAAGTTGCATAATAAAGACAGTATTTAAAGAGAAGGTTGAAGGGACCATTGAAAATTGATGTTCAAGTAGATGAAGGTGTCTTTGGAAGGAGTAGACTAATCAAAATTTTGTTCCTGGGTTTGAGGATTTTTTGATTTGGGGAGAGGGCAAGTAGGGTTGGTTTGTTATTTACATTACAGAGAGACTGTCAGAAAATGAAATTTAAGTCACACACAATTAAGAATTCTTGACCAAAATGACTCTATGGGGACCACTTGCTACATTTCCAGGGTAAGTTGTAGAATCTCCCTTGTTGAACAGTTCAGGAAAATAAGATTATCCTTTTGATGGTAAGTCATGAAATCCACCTCAAAGTGCTTTAAGTTTAAAAAGAGGAGCAGGGGGCTTTAATGAGCTCAAGGTATATGGTTTCATATACGGTTAGATCCAGGTGTTCAAACTTCTCATCAGAAATTTCTATCTCAGCTTTGTTTCTTGGTTTCTCCACGTGGTGGCCTCCCAGGAGCCCCCCACATCTGTACCTCACCATCTTCAAAGACAAAAGAAAGAGTTTCTCTTTCCTGTAAGTTCCAACAAAATCTGGGAATCCGTGGCCTGCTTTGGGTTATGTGCCTATCCTGGAAAGAATCTCCTCACCCATGAGAAAGAACCCTCTACCTGATTGAGCCTGGCTCCTGTGCCACTCCTAGTGCTGAGAGAGCAGCTGGCCCCATCAGACCACTATTGATTAAGGGTGGTCACATGGTGGTTCCACAGAGTTAGGTCTATCCCAGAATACAGTGTAGTGGACACCAAAGAGGCCAAAAGGGCAAATTCCCCTTCGAAAGCAGACGACCTCCTGTGTAAGTCTTCAGGAGCCCCTCACTGCATCCCAGACATTCAAAACATCTCATCATTATCTTTAGGCCAAACTGAACTCATTATGCAGTGGCTCAATCCTGACATCAACATCAACAAAAGGCCTCCACCTCCAGAAAACCCTCCCCACGAGGTCTTGCAGATATCATAAAGTTTATACCTTTCAGGATCTTAGTTGACATCAGGCAGGTTTATCATACAATTTTATTCTTCTAAGCTTTGGTATCCCACAGAAGATTAAAAACAGCCACAGGCATCTAAATAGAGCAACATGAGGGGTGGGCAAGGGTAGCTGCTGGGGTCACAGTATGACATGGAAAAAGAAACAACCACAAAAAGCTAGACTAAGAGCTGAACCACAAGATGCTGCAACAGACCTCTGAAATGATGACACCCCAGGCTTCCTCCACTCCTCCACACATATATATGTCAACAGGATAAAGTTAAACTCAGTGTGGTATGTTCTGTTTAAGTGAGGAGTAATACAGTATATTTAATTACTAATTAGCATGTGTCAAGCAACTACTGGTATCAATTCTGGGAATGAGACATCATACACATTTTGTCCACACATTAAACAGATAATACCACAAGAGAATATGTGACCAGTACAAAAGAGTAGCACGAGGAAGTCCTCTGGGAACAACAGTCTAAAAAGTTTTAATTTTGACATATGCAAACCTCAAAGGTATGGGAAAATTAATTCTAATGTGCATCTCTCATTTTCCAAAAGCATTTCCCCATTACTCTATCACTCGGCCCTCTTTATCTTTCAGGCCTATTTCTAAAAGAGATGCCAAGGATGTTTGCCTTGAATATATCCAAGCCTCCAGGTTCATTGTGTTGAGGATGAGGACAATGTGTCCTGGACAGCTTAGGTAAGCCCCTGAAGATCCATGCCCCGTGTCATGTGTGACTTAGGATGTGGAACTGAAGACCTACAGACTTAGGACTAGCTGCTACACTTGAGTTTCATTTCCCCCAAGAGACCCAAAGAAAGTAGGCAGGATTCTCTGCTTAGCAATTCAACAGCACCCACTATAGCAACCAAAGGGGGATATGTACAAATGCTCTGCTAGGCTGCTAAAACTCTTCTGGGCTAGAGCCCACATGCTCTCAGTGTCTATATCAGGATAGCTAAAATCTGAAGAAGAACCATGAAGCTTGGATGCTAACATTTGGAATTCCAAAAGGGCTGCAGTATGCAAAAGTATGTGTGTATGTGTTGATTGCAGAGGAGAGGATAAGGATATAAAAAAACTCTGAGTTCCAAACCCAATCTTTCTTTGTAAAGTTAATACTAATCCTCAGCCTGTGTACCTTTCTAGATAAGAACTTAACTTTTCTAGATAAGGACTCTACATTATTAAATATTAATTTTCACAATACTAATGTGTTTATTATAAAATATAGTTAATATAGTAGATTGGAGCCAAGGGAAATGGTGGAAAATAGTTTAATAGATGGAAAGTCATTTGAGAAATAACCCCCAAAAATCTTTTCTCCTTTATTTTCTTTTTTCAAAATTTTCTGTAAATTATTCACAGAGCCGTTCTTGAAAGAGGCCTTTTTTATTTGCTTTATACTATCAATAACTGTTAACATCAAAAGTTTCATTCATCTAAACGTATACATATGTGTGAAGCTATTTCCTTGAGAGATTCCAGACCCAAATATATGATTACTACAAGAAAAATGACTAATCAAGTATCATAATCAGTAAGTCTGATGTCCTGTGCAATATTTCTAACCATTCTAGCAGCCTTATTCTCCCTGAAGCCAAAGGAAATGCAAAATTTAAGTTTATTTTCTAAAGAAACACTACCCTGTGCCCATCTTAGTCTTCAACTCTCAAACACATTGTGGTCTAGAGGGACTCAGTCACTGACAAAGTATGCATGAACCTACCCTGGGTGGGAGATCCCATTCTAGGTATATGTTTTGCTCAGGACAGTCCAATGTCCTGACCATGAAAGAAAGAAAGAGGAAGGGAGGGAGAAAAGAAAAAGAAAAAAGATGTTTTGAGGTTACTTTCCAAATGAGTTTTCATCCATTAAAACATTTTCCAACATTTTTCCTGACTCCGTTCTACCATCTACTGTCTTTTGTACCAATTATAAGATAGAAAGGGCCCAAGAAAGGGCCCACACATGCTACAAGCCCTCTTTTCTCTTATTCCATATCCAGGATTCCTAGGTTTTGAAAGGTAAACACGGCCACAGAAACTCCTCTGCTTTCTCCAGCTCCTGGGTTTATCCTGCAAGTGCACTTGCACAGACAGATTACAGAAGGGTAAGGCATGGTAGTGAGACACACAAAGAAGACCTGTAACCCAGATGGTTACAGAGCTCAAAGGACTCCACGAAGATTCACAAGGAAACTGGGGCCTCTCTGCTTAAAAACGTAGTGATTCACCTTGCTCTTGGGGTAAGCAAAGAGCACCATCCATTTCCTAGAAGGCCCTCTGCCCCAGCCCCTGCCTTCTCAGCCTCTCTTTTGCCTTCACTCCTCACCCTGAGAGTCATCACGTGGTGTTCTCCTGCTCCCGCAGGGCACTGTGCCCCATCCTGCTGGAGATCTTTGCAAAGCCTAGTCTTCCTTCCTAACTCCCTCCCAACATGCTTTGCCTGAGTTGTCCCCCTACTAGACACTTTGCTCCTTGAGGGCAGCGCCCTACTCCACCTGGGTGGCCCATAGTATCTTCTCGATAAATACTAAATGGTAAATTAAATGAACTTAAAATATTGAACAAATAGCATTCCCTGGCCTCCAAGGGTGGAGGATAACAATAAGTCCACATCTTCCCAGGCTAAGTCAGCCTCTGCACTGTCCTCTGATGGGAGCTCTCTACCCCATACCCCAACCCCTGCAAACAGGGCTTCTCAGTGTTGGACAGGTGGCATGCATAGTTCCTCCCTCCAAAATTCCCCATGTGGACACCCCTTTCTAGCAGAGCCCAGTTGATTTCTCGTATGTGAAAGGACTACAAGTTTAAGGTGCGCTTCTGCCAAATGGAGTCATCCAAAAGGTGTTTAGAACAAACAAAGGAAAACCTCCTTCCTGTACTTCAGACTGGGCTACAAATGGGAAACACAAAACCAAGCCTGTAGTTTCTAAGATGCATTCAGTGGCGTCTGTCTGGGATTTGGGATCTGGCAGGAGGGACCCCAGCCAGGAGTGATCTAAGGTAGCACCTGCTTGGCTCAGCTTTCTTTTTGTTATACCCATCTTTCTGTCTCCTTCAATGGATGGTTTTTGTTCCTTTCCTCTGATGAATGAGTAATTAAAAGTATAATCCAAATGAAGCCCCCAGGAGTGCAGGTACGCACACCATTAGTCACTGTTGTGCTCCTCCAGGGACCAAAGGGGAAGGCTAGAAAGGTTAGAGAAAGCCGTGAAAGGGCCTTCAGGGCTGTCATCAGGGGAGAAAACTGAGTTGTAGTGAGGCCTTCTTGTCACACAGCTCAGTCGGCAGAAGGGGGTGCTGTAGTGTAACCTATTTAGGATGCAAATAGAGTGTCTCCCGAGCTGCAGATGAAAGCGAGCGTGTTAGCCGCTGCCTGGCAGGTCCTCAGCAGTACTGAATGTCATATTCCTGCTTGTCACTGCTCACTGCAGGTCATTAATAGAACTCAGAATGGTGTTACTAAATGTGCACATTAAAAAACTGATCACCAAAAAAAAAAAAAAAGAGTGGCAATCCCATTCCCAGGGAATTCAACTCATCCAGCTCGGTGAAGATTTGTTTATTCAAGATCACTGGAGTTCAACAATTTTATTAGCTTAGATTGACAACTATCTATCACAGATGTACTACCCACTAAATGATAGTGGAAGAAGGGAGTTAAGGCCTCATGTGCGCGCCTGTGTGCAGTAAGAAAGAAGAGATCACTGAGAGCTAGAGGTTTCACAGATAGTGCCCAGCAAGTGAGCGCTGGACGGGCACCTCTCCCTTCTTCTTGGTTGGACTTCCACAGAAGTGGAACAAAAGACTCAGAACAAAACCTCCAGCTTCACAGAACCACGCCAGCTGGTACTTATGCTTTATTTTTTGACGCAGTCAGGTGTTCATTCTGCCAAGCAAGTTTTCATTCTTCCCTTTACTCCAGCCAATTCCTGTTTTCTTCAACTGGAGCTCCCCAAGACTCATCAAAAACACGATTTAATTACATCTCCAAAAAAAAAAAAAAAAAAGGGAGGAGTGTAAACATGACTCCTTTTTATCTCCTGATACATCTGGACAAGTAGACAATGTGCTAAAACAAAATAAATCTGCCCTGACAGTCACATCAAAGAGTTCAGCAAGGGGCTTGCAGCTACTTAAAGCACAGGAATGCTGTTGCTAAGCATCGGCCTACAACTTATCAGTCCCTGGAAGAAATGCTTTTTTCTTTCTTTCAGGGGGAGATGAGGAAAGTTAGAGTGGGAACCAGACTGCAAAAGGAGATTGGGGATTTTCAGGGATTTTGAAGCTTAAAATGAATTGTGTGAAGAAAAGGGGTTTTGTTGCGTTGTGTTTTCCTTTTAACAAACTGTCTATATTTTTATAAAGGTATTACATGGAAACCTTCTAGAAAGGGCTACTTAGGACTTGCAGAAATAAGTGGTCACACAAAACACTTCTATACAAATTTGTGCCATATCTCATTTTTGTGGATTTCTCTGTATGAGAAGAATCAAGTGTTAGTTCAGGGTCTGAGGAAATATCTCACAATCACCAAAGTCAACAGTGAAAAATCCTTAGGTTGCCATAATAAGAAATAAATCATCCAATATCACAAACCACAAACATTTTCTCTAAAAGGCAAGAAACAAGAGTATCCACTCCAGCAATCACAATACAAAAGAAAACAGAATCCCCACCACCACCCCCCAAAAAAAAGAAACCAAGCGTGAACTGCCATGTGCAATGAAATAAATCTAGCCAGATGACCCCAAATACATGGCACAGTCTCACAACTAAAGTGTTCACAGTAAACACAAAATGGAAGTGACCCTGAAACATGGCCAACACCTTCAGCCTTTTCTCCTTACCACCCCCCAGGGAAGATAGTGAAACACATGCTGTGGAAATTCAGTCTGATCTTCATCCCATATGCTGGTTCTCAAGATGGAGCAACAGGGAGATTTTTCTCTTCCCATGAACACATCCTCAGGTAGGTAGCTCTGCTCCACTTCCTCCCTCCAGCAAGGCTACTAAATTTAGTTGTGCTGGAAAATCTGAACTGAACATGAAATGGCATTGCTGAGAAGTATGTTCCATGAGCACCTGAGGGCGCTCTGGAAAAAAAAAATAGAGCCAGTTCAAAATAACGCACCAGTTCTCAATATGCATCAGACAACGCCACAGAGATTCTGTCCTCAAAACTGAGGGGCTAAAAATATGCAGATACTTTACTCCAGCCTAGGGAGGCCATGAACATTTTAAGCAAACAACTTGCTATTTCCTTTTCTTAGATCAAAGGAAACAAATTCTAAAACTACTGTGATCTCCACACAGGAAAATGCTCAACAACATGAACAATTACCAAGTCTGTGATATTGCACAAATAAATAACACTTCCCATTATCTCTAGCGCGATCGTATTTATTAAACAGTGACAGAGGGCATCAGTAACCATTTTTATTATCCCATATAGCTCCTATTTTCTAATTAAACAAAAGGTTATTTCTACTGTTAACAGCCATTTGTCTACTTGGGTCTTACATAATACTTTTTGCCAAGCATGACAGAATATAAGAAATTATGCTCTGTGGTGGGTTTTTTTGTTTTAAATTTTGCATGCTGAGTTGCTACTTAGAGAGATCCGTCAGTTCATAATCAAAGCAAGAGGCCATTGTGTGGTGAATTCATAAATATACTTTGGCAATTTTTCCTAAAACGTGATGAAGCAAGCACTTGGTCCTACCCTTTAGCCTCAATCCAAGGGCAATGATCTGTATTATTAAAGATATAGGTCAAGCCAGCTTGCGCTTCTTCGTCCTGTGGGATGTTTTAGAAGCTGCTGTCACATTACCAAGATCTGTTCTGTGGTTCCTAATTATTCCTCTTGGCAGCTTTGGATTCCAAGTGATTCCTCTCACATGTATGTAAAAATTTATAAGCTGTTTCATATAACAGCATGAGTTATTTCCTTGTTGTCTGTAATTGCTGAAGATACTGATTAGAAACATGCTCTAATTTCACTGACAAGGATAATGGTAACTTAATAAAATTTGCATTGTGTCTTCTGCAGACCTCAAAAATACTTTGTATCAACAATTGAAATGGTAATTTTTTAAATTTTTAATATAACTGAGGGCAGGGCTATTTCTCTCCTGAACATCTTAACCAGAAGGAAAAAAAACAAATAGCATGGATTTCCTCCTCATTGTCAAAATTTGATTGGTCCAAAAGCATATATTAAGTTGCCACTATGAGCAAAGAACTAAGGGAAGGAGCCTAATGGTTACTAAGCATGTACTATGTACTTGGCATGTTCCCATAAGCCCTCCTGTTTAACTCCCAAAAACAAGATGGTGGGGCAGATAGAACAATCCTACAATGGTATTCTTGGGGAAACCAAGTGCCTGGATTCCATCACAGAATTCCATTCTGATTCTATATTCCTAGGGCTTCCTGATGCAAGTGCTGTGCTCTTTGCACCATGTTGAGAGGAGTAAACTGTTGCAAATTAAGGTAACTTACACTGTTGTAGGAGGAAATGAGATAAGTCAATAACTACCATAGAAAAAGGGATTGGGGCAAATGCCCATAGAAGAGAGTCCAAACAAAACAGCCTAGCGTCTGAATGATGGAAGAGATTTCATCTGTTCCAGGAGAGAAAGACAGAGAACCTGTTACACTGTCTGATTTTCACATGTGAAGTATGTTGGAAAGGTATTAACTTCTCTATTAGACAGATGAGAACACAGAGACGGAAATAAAGGGCCTTCCCCAGGCATTGATGGCTTGCCCAGGATAGAACACAGCTTTCTTGCCTGCTTTCCTACCATGATCAATGGATAATATCTCGACTTTGTGAAATGCCTTCCCACTGAGGAATTTCCTGATAGCCTGAGTTTAAATTTTGTGCCAACAACCCAGAGTGTCCCCAAATGTAGCTGCACAACTTTTCTTGATTTCAAATAAAACAAAGTTCTACCTCCACAAGTGGCAATCCCACCTTTGATGACTACAGATCTCACAGTCTATTTTTAATGAGAAATATTTACAACTCTTTAAATACCACCAATCAAATATGTTCATAGGTACATGGTTAGTCATATATCAGTTTCTACTGAAAACACTCAATTGTTTGGTTTATTCTCAATTCTGCCACTATATATCTGCCCCTATACAAGGAAGAGATAAGAACAGATCTTTCATACCTATTATGCCATGACTACCCCTAGTTTTAGAACAGATTTAGAGTTTCTCTCATTTCTTTAGAGATTGGGTTGAAGTTAGGGGAGGTATGAGGAAGTATTATTTCCTTTACAAAGATGTAAAGCAGAAAGCTGAGCAAATTGTCCGATTTTATCTGAATCTTAATCCTACAAAGCTTGAGTCTCAGGCCTCCATTTCTTTGTACAATGAAGACGGACATCTTTCTAGAGGACAAAACTCATTCATTCCTACAACCAGCCAAAGGTTAGCTCTTACTGGTGTTGAAAATGAAGACAGCAGATTGCGAAGATTCCTCCAACCCTCTAATTAGCAAGTTTTGGCCCCCAGGCAGTAGTCCTGAGAGGAATGAGAAAGTTATTCTGCAGGAAACAACTGTCCTTGCAGGAATGAGTCCCATAAAAAAAAAAAAAAAGAAAGGAAGGGGGGTGGTTCAAAGGCATTCTAACTGACCATTCATTGTACAAGCAGAGCAGAGCAAGTATAAAAAGGGAAGGGAGCACGGATTCCACATCTGACCTCTTCCCAAAGTTTAGCTTCTGTATGAACTTCTGGGTCCAGGTAAAACCTTTTGAGAAGCAAAAGAAGGTATTTAAGGGCTATGATTAACTGGAAGACAGTGGTGTATCTAGATAAAGTAAAATGGCATAGTCTCACATCTAAAGGAATGAACATTTTATTAAACCTACTCTCCAGAGCCTCTGGAAGTCCAAGTCATTTTTAAAGGTTGTATCAGCCATGCAAACTGCAGGACTCCTGAGAAACCTCAATATCCCAGAACATATGGACACACACAATATACTTAAAACATATTGCGCGTGCGTGCATGCACACACACACACACACACACACACACACACACGGCTCTTCTCTAACAGCAGATGTTCCTGACGTATATGCAGGAGGAACATCTATCTGGTATGTTCTGTCTCATTGCCTTAGTTAAAAGTGAAAGCAACTAATTTCTAATTTAATAATTTCTTATTTTCTAAGGAAAATAAGTCAAAGAAAATATTTCTAATCAAGAAAATGGAAGAAGGTGGCCAACCAACAATACCCACTCCCCAAGTTTTTGGAGCTGTAAGGAAAATCAAGAATACTGAAGAGATACAGTCCCATCCCAGAAGGGTTTATATAGCTGAGTAACATGATGCCAGAAACAATTAGACCCACATGATGGAGAGAAGAGAGGATCCATTGGACCTTCCATCATACAGTCACAAAACAATTTGTTAAAACCTATAAGAAACTGAGTAGAATGGTATGCTTCATGGAAGAAAGAATTCTAGAAAGTAACTTTTTAAGGCACAGCCCATGTTGTTCCTTTAACTACATGCTTCCTTGATGAAATTCTATTCACTCTTCAAGGTTCAGCTTAAGCATCATCTCTTTGGCTACCCCAGGCCTCTTAGGGTTGCACGGCACGTCATGGGTGCCTATGTGAAAGTACTTGGTGGTGACTGAGTTCTTGACAGACTTTGAGAGTCTCTAAGTCAGAGTTCATTTCCTCTCCTACCTTTGTAATTTAGGCACTAGTACCAGGCCTGACACAGAAGGCCCTTTGCACAGGCTCAGTTAATGAGTAAGTAAAGGACAAGGAGAGAGGATGGCAGCCACTCCAGATTATTTCTGTCTTCCTGCCTTCCTCTCCAATGCTGCTTGGAAGCAGCTGACAATCTCTCACCACGTCCAGCTCAGCCAACTGGATTTCTCCAATATGCAGCTGGTACCAGCTCCTTCCCTATGCTGCTAACTGGTTGGGGGTGGGAGGCAGAGATGTTAGCATGATGTTTTACTCAGCAGGCATAGCATCAAGGCGCATTTTTAATGATTTACCAGTTCTACTTGACTGAGCCTGCACCCTGTAAGTGGATCATATGATCAGTGATCACAAGTTAAACTGCTTTTGTTGCTCGCAAGGCATGCATGGTGGGCTGGCTGCATGGCACCAGCAGCTCGCACGCAGCTGTGTGTAAGACAAGGAGAGGTTACGTACAACAGGCAGTTAATGGCTCATACCAGCAAGCCCTCGACTTCAGTCGGCACATGCGGCTGCATTTTAAAAAGGTAAATGACCTTGCAGCTGGAAGCTTTAACTATGTGCTTTTACCTATTTGTACCTGGATAAGTAAACATTTGCAGCACGCCAAAAGGCCCTGAAAGCTCTATTGTAGCCATAGGCTAATCCTTTTCTCTCTGGATGAAAGACTCCAAAACAAACCGGGGGAGGGGGAAATCATTTTCTGCCTCAAGTAGCACAAAGGTAAAGGGGGGCAATGGTGATAATGACTTCCATTTGTTATAACTTTCAGAAGTCACCAAGGTTTCAGTCCAAACCAGCTGCCCATATTTAGGATTCTACTTTCCAGGAAGAATGACAGAAACGACAGGCCCCCAGACACAGAATGATTCCAACCAGAGTCGAACAGAACGACCTCCTACTTAACAGTGACTCTGACACAAGGAAGCTGGAATGAACAACTCCAAGCTTGTTCTACTACCCCAAAGGGTTGCTTCTGCCAACTGCTGTCACTCAGGGCCAAAAAAGTAGGCCCATCTTAGTTCTCTTCTGCTTTAACTTCAAATCCACAGGGCAGTCAGTATTTGTGTTGCGGAATCTAGGCCTTTACTACAAATTCCCTGTATCCCACTCTAAGTTATCTGATAACCATTTAGCTCCTTCTGGTAAAAGCCCCTTCAGATACCTCTTACAAGAGTGGGGCTGCCCAAGCCATATCTGAAATAGTGGTTAGCCACCCTGAATGCTTTCCAAAGAGTGGAATATTTGCGATTTACAATGTGAGTGGGAACTTTGGTAATGCTGTTATTTTAAGAACTCATCAATCAATTGAGATTAAGATAACATTTATTGCAACATAAACTGGGATTGCCATGAGAACAGGCAGAAGGTATCTGCGGATCATTTAAGACATTTCACAGGCAGTGAATCAAGGGAGGGCCATTGTGTGAGTGATAGGAGCACTGGACTGAGAGCTCAGAGCTCCAGGCTCTTCCATGGCTCTGCCCATCAACAGCTGTGTGACTCTCAGCATCTCACGCCACTTCTTTGCACTTGAGATCACAATCCCCTCTGTGACAACTCTATCAACTTCCTGCTATGTGCTAGAAAGCACACTAGGCACTAAAATCAAGCATGTTGGGATCACTAGGTATCCATCAAATATGTTCATGCAAATGAATTAACAAACAAGAAAAACTATACTCTGATGCTAGTCACCATCTGTTGAACCAAAATAATCTTTAAATGACCAGAAATACTTTCTTCCCTGCAATTCTGTTACTATGGGTTGGTCTAATGAGGTTGGTTTATATCCATGAGAGAAAACAGCACTCCTTGGTCCAATATACTGTTTTAATAAACTTTATTAAATTTCCATTGATCCATATGCAAAAATAATTTGTTTACAATTTGAACTCAGCCTACTAAATGGTGTCTAACTCAATAAAGGAAGAGGCTGAGAAACAACAGCTGTATGGCTATTAACACATTATGCCGTTAAAAACATTAAATAGTTGGGTTTGGTGAAGGAGTCAAAGTTAACCCTTTGAGTAGCTCTAAACCAGAGATCATTTTACTTTGCAATGGGAAGCCAGGGACTTGGAAGAGAATTTTTCTCCACCTCGTGAATAAGCCTGCAGGAGTGGCAGCACATCTGCCTATGGCTCTGCAGCTTAGCCTTCCAGAAACCTATTCTAAACGTGCAACCTTGGCCTCATAACAGAGATGACAAGGGGTTATTAGGGTTTAGAAGAATGTCTAAATAATAAGCAAACTAGGCTTATTTGATAGTTAATATAATTCACATGATGCCCTATCCTTTAGATACTTAAATAAATTGGTTAGTTTTGACCTTGTGCTGATGAAGCCAAAGTCAGGGCACAATTCTTTTCAGCCAGTTGGTTCTGTGTGGTGATCATATTTGTAATCAAATCAGTAAATCAATAAAATGTATTCATGCAGTACTCAGTAAGGCAAAGTCCCTAATCCCAAATTACGTACTATGGAGATTGGGAGATAAAATTAAGAGACAGGAAAATGTGAAAACAATTAAGCACTATGCTAGATAATTCCAAAGATGTATCAGTCCCAAAGAAAGGGATGAGTGAAGATTAGCATGAGTGAAGATTAGCAAAGAGGTGACTTTAGGAAGGAAATGGAATTGAGCTGAGCCTTGGAAAAAATGGTAGGATTTCCATTGCAAGGAGAAAATGAAGGGTCAAGGGAGAATCTGAAAGTGGAACTGAAGAGGGCTAGAGGAGGTGGGGCAGAGATAGCTTAAGCAAGAGTTAGAGGGCAGTGAAAGGCAATAGGGATACTATAGTCCTTTTAGCACTTATTGGTTATAAGGGTTACCAGAGAGGAGAGCTAGAATCAGCCAGTGCATGTCCGTGACACTACCACAAAAGCAAAGCAGAGGGCACACCCAAAGAGGTGGCGGCAGCAGTGTCCATGAAAGCTCATTCAACTTTTAGAAACTCAAACTGTGCCTGGTATCCAGGTTTAGTGACCATGTGATATTTCTAACTGAGAATGCTATATAATAACCTGAATACAAACAAGGAAATGACTGAAAATGTATAGGCAAACTTTGAAATTCTCAGTATAACAATGAATTTGAATTCAAATGAGTCCTTGCATCCTGCAAGGTTGACCTGTCCAGCTTCCCACACAGACGTAGACATCTCTTCTACAATGCCTTACAAAAATGGTCTTCCAGCTCTGCTCTTAGCTCTTCCAGAACAATCAGCACCCACATCTTTGTAAGGAAGAATATCATTTTGTTTAATAAGATCCTTTAATAAAACTTTCTTCTTACATTGTGCCAAAACTTCCCTCCTTATACCATTAAACCATAGTCCTAGGTTTCTCCTTTACAAATGCTACATCCTCATCCCCACAATAATGTTTCAACTATTTGAGATAATGTTCTATGTACCATCTTAATCTCCTCTATTCTATGCCAAATATTTCCGTAACACTCAACAGCCTAGTGCCTCTCCTGAAGATCCCCATTAGTTTTTCTGGTTTTCCTAAAACATGAACCTCTGACCTGAACCTAGTCCTCTAGATGATGGGTGAACTGTATGAATCCCAAGAAGACAATGTGACCCAAAGCCTCCATCACATCCAAGTTGGCAATACCTTCCCAAGCTATAGTCTACGCTGGTATATATCAAACCTCAGTCAAATAAAATATCCCAATGCCTTTGATTTGAAACACTGCCAAGCCAGACCTTTCAAGCACATACTTCAATAATAGATTTTTGAAAATATAAAGCTAGGACTTCTAACTTACAATCCTATTAAATTTTGTCTGATAGGTGTCAGGCAGTGTTTTAGCTTGCTGGGACCACTTGGAACCATGATCTAAAACCTGTGGAATGTTCTGACCTCTCCAACTTTATACTTTGAAAGTTAATAAAAAAGGCCTTTTTCCAGCTCCTTACATGTTCTTGATAAAAATGTTTACTAGGTCAGGGACAAGGACAAATTCAAGTCTGAAGTTAAAATATATGGATAAGGCCTCAGACTTAGGAAAGGAAATAAGATGTGTTTTATACGTTCTTTGGGAAATATGAAGATAGACACCAAGAGATGACTTCACCAGTATAAAGGTAAATACTTAGATGAGCCATGTTGCTTTTCCCCTGAAGATCTACTTGTATTAGGTCTGGAGCAATCAGCAAAGCAAAGAGTTTCCAGTGTGAACTCTCTCAGCTTAATCAAGAAATTTAAAAAGAGAAACTAAGAACTATCCAAGTGAACCTATTGCTCTTGGAAGGATTAACACAAACACACACACACAAAATGAGTTCACTCTGGTCATAGGCCCAAAAACTTAATACCAAGTTTAGAACGTATTTTCCGCAAGAGATTGCTGGATGAATTTATGAGCAAACATCAGCACAGCCAATATCAGAACACCCAGCTTGTCAACTCCTCTCCTATCCAGTGGAGTGGGAAAGTGTATTTACTGTAGAAGTTCAAGAAAGCATTATTAAAAACAAGCACCAAAACAACCTCCAAGTGCACACTGTGGCTAAAGAATGGCTACTAAATCCAATAATGGAGAATATGAATGTGAACTGTTTAATTATGACTGAGTGACATGAAGCTAAATATTACAATGTTACAACAAACCAGAGAGTAAACAGATTTAAGGGTCTTGAGTTATTTCTCAGAGATAAATGGGAGGAATAGATGGTGGTTTGAGCCATTTTTCATAGCCCAGCTGGAATCCTATATATAAGAGATAAGGTAACATGAGAATTTTATAATGTTTACAGAAATCATAGATAACTCTGCCACATGTGGCCTTTGGCTCATTAATTTGACTAATTACAAAGACCCCTAACTCCTCATAGTTATCTCCCTAAGGCTTGAACTTAAAGAACCAAACCACATGTTTATGGGAACTCTTAGTCTTTTGTAAAAGCTAAACTATGGCTACCAACCTAGGCCAAATCACCTGTATGATGCCACTAGGAAGATACTTAGAAGCAAAAATCTGAAATGACATCAATGCAAACATGAGACATCATTTGTATCACTCTTCTTCACATTTTTCTAAATGTTTCAACAAAATTACCATTTTGGGTAGTCTAATCAACACATGAGCATCATAAGGCAAACATTACCCTCTCGTTTTACAGACATGGGGCTAAAGAGATAACATATTTGCCTAAAGATATACAATGATTAAGGCACACAGACTAGGCTGGGCATGGTGGGTCAGACCTGTAATTCCAGCACTTTGGGAGGCCGAGGTGGGCAGATCACTTGAGGCCAGGAGTTTAAAAACAGCTTGGCCAACATGGCAAAACAATGACTTTACTAAAAACACAAAAATTAGCCAGGTGTGGTGGCACATGCCTGTAGTCCCAGCTACTTGGGAAGCTGAGGCAAGAGAATTGCATGAACCTGGGAGGCGGGAGGTGGAGCTTGCAGTGAGCCGAGCCGAGATTGTGCTGCTGCATTACAGACTGGGTGACAGAGCAAGAATCCATCATAAATAAATAAATAATTAAATACACACACTGTTTCCCCATTTTGCAAATTTGCAAGCACAGCAGTCCTAGTTATTTGGTTTCTGACATTTCAGAGTGGCCTTTTGTTCACAGATGGAGCCACCCTGTTTAGCCATGTCTATGGCATCTTAATGCCCAATTGGGATAGTATGACACTTCTCTATATTAACTGTCCAATCTACAAGCCAATTGTCACACGGCTTTCTGGTGTCAGTCAAAGCAGGCCTGTGTAACATCAGCCCAATCTATCTAGAATGCAGGAGCGACACAAGCGTGTGCATAAAGAGTCATAAAGTAGTATCATGGGGACTTGTCACCAGAAACACCATTAGTTGATAAAAATGGAAGTAAAGCCTATCATTATTTCATCAGTGTAGTCAATCTTCATTGGAAACAAATATACAGAGATTTGCCATTATATTCCTGGCTACAACATGAGCAAAGATGCTGCACATCCAGCTACATTTCAAGCAAATTGCCCATTCAAGGCAACAATTTAGCCTAAAGAGACTCTGCTAGAAACCCTGTGAACTGGAAGCAACATGGTGGGGTAAAAAAGCAGACTAGGGTCCCAAGGATGTGGAGTCCAGGCTCTGCTCCGTCACCACCCAGCTCTGTGAGCTTGGTTGTGCAAGTGATCTGATGGCTCTAAGCCTTTATTTTCCCTTCTGCCAAACTGTGGATATACACCTCGAATTCCTTCAGTGGATTACTATGGAAATTAAGTGGGATGTTGCATTGGAAGGCTATATATTAATATATGTTGTACAGATAGGAGGAACTAAAATGCATCTTTATCTCAGTGATTGTTTAATGCAGGCCTCTGGGCAACCTTGTACTGACCTCTCTTGGCCTGCACCAGATAATTTAGTGCCACTATCATCATTAGTAAACATCCACCGGGGGCCTGCTATGGGCTTAATTATACATTGACTTGTATGGTTCACTGACATTTTCATGTGTATATGTCTGGTCTTCTTTAAGCAACTGTATGCTCATCCAGGGACAAGAATTTGTGTGTGTGTGTGTGTGTGTGCACGTGTGTGTGTGTGTGTGCACGTGTGGGTGTATATATAATCTGTATATACATATTAGCCCAGCAAAATGAAAATATACACTAAATTCTCAATAAAGAGGTAACTTGATTGTCTTAGAAACCAAAGATAGAAAACTAAAAAGTAGTGAAAACAATAGAGTTAGAAAATAAAACACTTAAGAAAAATCTAAGATCTTTTTTAAGGGATGGGCATAATAGCAGCATTTCCCTCTGTAATCTCACATAGAAGGATGTTTAAAGAAAAAAAAAATCCTACCAAGGGTCTTAATCAAGCTATTCCACTTAAGAGCATTAATGCTAAGTATGCAAACGTTCACCTGACTGATCATTAAGGTATCAAGAACTAATTTTCCTCCTTTTAAGAGCTTATATGTCACATCCCACCCCTTGGGCCTTCCAGAAATGCATTTAAATGCCTAACTAGGAGAAAGAAAAGCATTCCAGACAGCCAGGTGTTAGTGATTCAGCCATTAAAACTTCAGTTATAAAATATCCCCCACAATTGTAAAACATTTCAGTCATTAGAAGATCATAAATAGATTGAGATGACATTTTAAATTATTATGACATCATGTGTATGAAATGTACATTGTTCATCACAATATCCCAGATGATTGTGACTCTGATTATCTGAAGTTAAAGATGAAGTGTCTGTGTTATTTATTTTGAGACCCAACAGTGAAAGACAGGGAGGAGGGAGGGTGAAGACAGCAGACAGACAAGTAGAAATTGTGAATGTTGCATCCCTCCTAAGACAGAGAAAAACTTCAGATTCATTTTGCAGTAACACTCATTGACCGCTCCTTGAGCAAAAATAAATCCTTGTTTCCTTTTTGGAGGATCAGGCTGAAGTACCAAAGAAAAGTGCTCCCAAAACCCGTCATTTTGAAACCATCATCTAAAGTGTCATGGTACTCGCTCTTCTTTGAGCTATTATATATAAATTGAAAGATTTTAATTAGAGGTCAACATTAATTTACATCTGAAACTAGCAAAGTAGTTCATGACTCTTTTTCACATCACACATACCCATACTACTTCTCAGAGTCAACTGGTCTCTCATCTCTTCATTATATACTAAATAAGCAAGGTATGTCTCCACCTTGAAGGTATAGCACCTCCTTATAAGAAGTAAGACAGGTTTCTCTAGAAATGTCCACCTAACCACCACCATTGGAATAGAGGACAGAGTCTGAGGGCAGTGGCTCAGGCCTGTAATCCCAGCACTTTGGAAGGCTGAGGCTGGTGGATCACCTAAGGTTAAGAGTTCGAGACCAGCCTGGCCAACATGGTGAAATCCTGTCTCTACTAAAAATATAAAATTAGCCAGCTGTGGTGGCATACGCCTGTAATCCCAGCTACTGGGGAGGCTGAGGCACAAGAATCCCCTGAACCCAGGAGGCAGAGGTTACAATGAGCTGAAATCGCACCACTGCACGCCAGCCAGCCTGGGCAACAGAGTGAGACTCTGTCTCAAAAAAAAAAAAAAAAAAAAAAAAAGAGAAAATAAACCTAAATTGTACAGTTACTTATAAGATTGTCATAAGAAATCACTAATATAAATAATTCAGTCTTGCTGCAGACCCATGCTTTTCAACTCAGTCTTAACAAGGAAATAAATTCCTTTCAGAATTGAGCATTTTGGGAAATATGTTTAAGGGCTAATGTACCTTACATAACTCTTTAAACCAGCTGACTCACCTGAAGGATAAGGCCCATTAAAGAGATTGTAACAATAAAGTTTGGGAGTATTTAGGATACCCTAAAAGTCTGTTTTATTCTGCTACATACACTGGTAACTCATTCTGCCAAAGTAGGCAGGGATAGGTATGCATGAATATGGACCTAGGCACACAGTTAATAGTGGTTACAATTTAATCTTGTCCTAAAAATTTTGAAGAATTTGTTGGGACTAGAAATGCAGAAGCCTTGCAGGCATTGGAGAACCTGATGTAAATGCTCCCCCTCAAAATTCTTCTCTCAGAATCAACAGTGAAACTTCCTCTGTTTTCCTCTAGATGATCGTGGTTCTTCGGAATAATCCTGCCCAAAAAGTGTCCAAACCTAAAGACATGAAGTCAATAACCTGGCACCATCAGATGCTCGAAAAGGATTGGTTTGAAAGAGGGTAATTAAAGGGCAATTCATCAGGACAATTACTGATCCATTTTGCCTGGTCAGTTATGAGGCACATTTGAGAAACAGCCACCAGGTTTTTGCTACATGTATGGAATTGGAAGACACCAAGCCCAATGCCTCACCGTACACATAAATGTATTCCTGAAAATGCCAGACTATAGTTAACCAGGATCTATCCAAATATCGCCTGTAATAGGGAGATTAGACAATGCGTTTTATTAGATAACTCTTCCTAATATTGAACTCCTTATAAACTACTTCCTGTAATACTGCATAGGGTAATGGAAATGCTCCATGTCTGTGGAGCACTTTAAGTGTTCTCTGCATTACAAACACTAAGGAGGAGATGTTGAAAAAAATAACATTGGAAATAGTCATAAAAGAAGGCGACCTCACATTCTCAGAGGCCAATTCTGCCACTCTGATGATTTGGCAGGTACAACTTAGGGTGTCAAAAAGAGACTGTCTATTTTTCTGTCTGTACATATTAAAAACTTGGGAATGGGAAACAATTCAGTAAAGTCCAAGTCCACTTTTTGTTTCTTTTCTCCGAATTTCCCCCTCATTGAGGAAGGCTCTGGAAATATCTGCTTCAGCACCACACAGGCCAAGTTTGTCCTTCCTAGAGAAAGATACCATCAATGTTCTCTAATCTTATGCAAATCCAACATCCCACCTCCACCTTCCACTGTAATATGTCCTTGCCCTTGGTTTGGGCAAACCATTAATAAATTATTCATTCATTAAATTATTGAATAAACCCTTGTGGAATGAACATATTAAATATCTTTTATGTTTGTTTGTTTCCATAACTACTACTTTATTGGAGGAAACTGTTCTTGTAACATAATCTTTATCATCATGGGCAGAGAGCAAGGCTTCATTTGATTTGCAAGGGGCTGGCCCTCCATCATGTTTTCTGATTGACTGATTGGCTCTGGCTTTGTACATCCCAAGCAATTTTCCAAGAATCTCTTCCTTTCTCCTACGGAAACCACAGTTTCTCCTTATATTGTAGTAACTAACATTGAGGGGTTTGGGGTTGGAGGTGCAAATCTGGTCATAGCATTTAAAAAGAATTGTAGTAGTACTGAAGAATTCTACTGTTAAATAAAATTTATGGGAAGCCATGCTTTTAGACTGAGCTCCTGCACTAGGCCCCAACAGAACAGACCAAACCAAAATGGAGTCACTCTGATGATAGTTTCTTTTGCTGTGAAGAAGCTCTTTAGTTTAATTATATCCCATTTGTCAATTTTTGCTTTTGTTTCAATTGCTTTTGGCGTCTTCACCATGAAATCTTTGCCCATGCCTGTGGCTGCATAGTATTCCATAGTGGGTATGTGCCACATTTTCTTTATCCAGTCTACTGTTGATGGGCATTTAGGTTCCATTCCATATCTTTGCTATTATGAAATGTGCTGAGATGAACACACACGTGCATGTGTCTTTTATAGTAGAATGATTTATATTCCTTTAGGTATATACCCAATAATGGGATTGTTGGGTCAAATGGTAATTCTGTTTTAAGTTTTTTCAGAAATTGCCGAACTGCTTTCAACAATGGCTGAACTAATTTACAAGCAGTGTATAAGCATTCCCTTTCCTCCACAACCTCATCAGCATCTGTTATTTTTCAAAAACTGACTTTTTTCCATTTCCAACAAAGCACTTCTATTTTTAGATTAAGATGCTGCCTAGTTCATGAATCACTAATAAAAGGCCATTATATTGTTAACCTAAATATGTTGAAATTTTGGTTTTTGACAGTACTCAAATAAATGAACTGGAAATTAAACGAAGAAGCTGAGCTCTTTGAAACCAGTCCTGACTCAGTGCTTGTTTTCTGGGTCTTTGTCATTTCTCTAATGCAAAATGAATCCCAAACCACGTAGTGCAGCACAACAAAGATATTCAAATGGAATTAAGGTTCTTATTAGATCTGAAGGGCCTGGTGTGGCTGTGGTTCCTCCAGAGGAGACTTGTTTGTTTGCTGGTCTTTTTACAGAGTTTATGGAACAGAATTTTATTTTTAGCAAGAACTTTTTTTCCTCTTGGAAATGAATTAATGATGGTGTTGCCAGAGAGTGTTTATGAATACAATGTTAAAAAGTGGACCAAACAAAACACACCTTATTTCCACTCACTAAGAATGCATTGCCTTTCCTAACAGGAGCAGGCTGGCATAAATATTATTTTATTATAATAAATACTTTTGTTATTATGTTAAATATCTACCACTACAGAAGATACCAAAGAATTGCAGGATCTCTGTCCTCAAATTGCTTAGAGTCAAGTTAGATTAAGAAAAATAAACCAATAATGAATAGTATAAGACACTGTGTTATACAGTAGGAGCATTTTTGGTCCCAATTAGGTTCTGAAGGAATTCAGAACAGGATCTTTGTGGAATCTAGAGTGGCTGGGCAGGAATTCCTATAAGGATGAAATCTGGTCTGGCCCTTGACAAATGGGATGTTTAGATAGAAACAAAACTAAGATTACATGAATAAAGATAGTCCACAGCCACCTGTATGCTGAGAGTGGGGCAGGCAGATGGCAAATAAAGAAGAAGCCACAACCAGATTCACCACCAAAATGTAGAGATAAGTGAAACAGGAGGTTTCAGATAAAAGAAATCCCTTAGGGATAAGAGGGGACATTTAGTATATGTTATATCTTCTAGTTTCAGAAGATCTCTATCCAATAAATTCAAAAGCATGAGTTCCAGCATAAATAATTATATCATTGTCTCTGCCATTAATAATAGAGGACATAATAATAAAGTTTGAGGTACATAAAATAATAGTAAAGAGAGTGCTAGACATTTGAGAAGAGGATGCCAGCCTGCTTTTACCACTATAGATCCCCCATGTCAAGATGCGCAGAGCTGCTATGACATTATGGGCTGGCAAAGCTAGGATTTGGAGAAACAAATTTGGAAAAACATTAAAACTCTGGACAAATCAGCAAATCTGAATAAACAAATCCTTTAAGTTATTTCTACTCCCAAAAGAATGGATGACTCAATTCATTGTGCTTGATCCAACATCTGCCTTGACAAACTTTAGGGAGAAATTGCCCCAAATATCTTAGACACCTAAAGTGTTTGGCAGAATCTTTGAAGCTTTCCTAGGCCATGGTGGGTTGATTTTTGCTATTGAAGTGAGCTACTCTGCACAAAGGGGTGGGAGTCTGAGAGCCTGAAGCCCATCAGCTGGTCTCATCCTTAACTGCTGCTCACCCCATCCCCTCTCTGGTCACTCAGCAGAGCTGCTAAGATACAGTGACAAAATATTCGTACCTCTTGAAATGCAGTTTGAAAACCACTGTTCTTTCACAACCCTCTCACTTTAAAAATGTGGAACAATGAAGGCCCCAAGACTAGAAAAGCCCGGGGTCACCGGGTTGGTTAATGGACAGGCAGGGGTTAGAATCCAGGTCATCTGATTTCCAGCCCAATGTGCTTTCTCCACTCCTTACAGCCCTTTAATGCATCGGTGACAAACTGCCCATTTTAAAATATGGTAAAGTAGGGCATCTAATGAAGAATCTCCAGCGGGAAGATCTTCATTGTCTTTTTCACCTTCCATACTGTGTCAAATATTGATATTTATAAAATAATGGAAGAACTGGCATCAGAAAATGTATGCTACAGCGACTCTTTGAATGAGGGCCAGAAAGAGAATAAAAAGCCCAGAGTGACCTGCTGTACACCCACACTGCTTCCCCAATTAACTCCAAACAGACTTTGTCTGGGATGAAATGATTTAGCCTCAACGCAAGGTCAGTCCCACATATCCAGAATAAAGATTGCCGAATATGCTTATTTGAGCTGAATTACATTTGGTAGTTTAATAATATGAATTTACTGCCTTTTCAAGAGGGACTCTAGCACTGGGGAGAACTTTAAAATGCATCACACTTAAAACATAAAATTAAATTCAATTAACTTTTATTGGGAGGCTAATACACTAGTACTCTAGAGGGAGAAACGAAGCTCTCAGCTTTCCCAGGATTTTCAAACCAGGTCTCTAGAATCCAGGCCAAAGATACTGGCCTGTCTCCATCCCTCATAAAGAGCTTCATTGGCAACTTTAACATCTGTACTCAGTGGAGTGGACTATGCCTATAAGTCTCCAGCTAAAAGACCCTCAGGGGCATAAAACCTGGAATAATACATAGGTAGAAAACACTCCCTACCTACCTATCACATAAAAGACAAAAAGCCAATGCGGGCATGAAAACATGTGAGGGTCTCAGAGACAATATGCTTTTTATTAAACCCTCCTACCTTCCTGCTATCAGGATAAAGGGTTACATCTATTTTTTTTTTTTTAATATTTAGCACAATTAGCCACTCACATTGACTTATTAGAGATTCTTCAGCCAGCCTCGGCTTTCCTAAGGCCTTACTGCCCCCTCCCTCCACTGAGATATCCAAGTTTGCAGACAACTGTAAGTAGAGTGCCTGACTACTCCCTTTGTGACTTCATAAAGAGCAAGCTATGACATTTGCTGGTTGAGTTGTGGAAAAAACTGAATTCCAGACAGATTGGCCAACTATATCCTGGAAATAGGATGAAGTAATCTCCTTGACTCATTTAACAAATATTTAATGAGTGCCTACTGCATACCATATACCATACTAGGCATCAGAGATTCATGAGTGAATGAAACAGACATGATCACTTCCCTTATGGCTACAAAAGAGGGGAGAATGGGGAAACATGGAAATCAAAAAGCATCCCTGTATTATCTATTCTCATACTGCTAACAAAGACATACTTGAGACTGGGTAATTTATAAAGAAAAAGAGGTTTGATGGACTCACATTTCCACATGGATGGGGAGGCCTCACAATCATGGTGGAAGGTGAAGGAGGAGCAAAGGCATGTCTTACATGGTGGCAGGCAAGAAAGCATGTGCAGGGGAACTGCCCTTTATAAAACCAGCAGATCTCATGAGAGTTATTCACTATCATGAGAACAATATGGGAAAAATCCACCCTCAAGATTCAATTACCTCCCGCTGGGTCCCTACCACAACACCTGGGGATTATGGGAGCCACAATTCAAGATGAGATTTGGGTGGGACACAGTCAAACCATATCAGTCCCTATCTTAAACAAATAATACAAAAAAAACCCAAGATTTCAAAATCAGGGTTAAACTCTCTGTCAAGCTGGTTGGAATTTGCAAGACAGAATCAGTTTCCCAGTGCTGCTGTAACAAGTTCACATGAACTTAGCAGCTTCAAACAACACAAGTTCATTGTCTTAGAGTTCTGGAGGTCAGATGTCTGAAAAAGGCCCTATAGAGGCAAAATTGAGGTGAGGGGAGAACACGTTTCCTTGCCTTTCCCAGCTCCTAGTGGCTGCCTGTGTTCCCTGTCTTGCACCCCTGGCTCCATTTTCAAAAGCACATTGCTCCAATCTCTGCTTGCTTCATCACATCTCCTTCTCCCCTGACTCTGACTTCCCTGAGTCCTCTTCGGAACCGTTGTGCTTACCTCAGGCCCACCTGGATAATGCAGAATAACCTCCACAATTTATGATTTTTTAATCACACCTGCAAAGTCCCTTTTGCCATATAAGGTAATCCCAGTTTCTAAGAATTAGGACATGGACATATTCGGATGATTGTTATTCAGCCTATCACAAAGACCAAAAATAACATCCCAAACTTTAGGTACTTTCGTGGAAAAAGAAATGACCTGAGCTCTTGAAGATGTGACCAGGATGCAGAACAGTGGAATTGCCTCCCTAATTACATTCATATTCTCTGTCTAACAGCAGTAAAACAAGAAAGGTGTGGTGGTGGTGCATGCCTGTAGTCCCAACTGTTTGGGAGGCTGAGGCTGGCAGATCACTTGAACCAAGGAGTTCAAGATCAGCCTGGGCAATAGAGTGAGACCTCCTCTCCATTTAAAAAGAAAAAGAAAAGCAGTGAAACACAGTGGCAAAGAACACAGGCTGTGGGGTGAAATACACCAGGGTATTGGTTGAACCAGCTCAACCAAACACCTGGATGAACATGATCAAATTACTTAACCTCTCTGAACCTCAATTTCCTGTTCCCCAAATGGAGATCACAATAATACTCCCTTTCTGGGGTTGTTATGAGGATTAATGAGATAATACCTATATAGCACTCTTTGTTGTATATAGTAAGCATTCAATCGATGTTATTATTATGTTATTATTATAATTATTCAATCACTGGCCACCCAGCCTGGACTTGAACTCACACCTGAGTATTTTAGAGGCCTCCTTCAGTACAGATCACTGAAATTTCCAGAACTTCCTCTTCCCCTTACTTGAAATCCGATCTGTCCCTCAAGCACTTGTCTCATTCATGCTCCTTCATGCTTCCCCAGTGGGAAGAACTCTATCTCCCTTTCCTTCTGACCTCCAACAACAGGTGCACCACTCGTGTAAGGCTATCACTGATCTTGCTGCTTCCAATCTTATTTTTATGTTTTAGCACCATATGTAGATTACAAACTGCCTGAGGGCAAATACTGCTGTACTAGTACTCAGTGAAGACATGTGGCCACAGTAGATAATCAATAAACTGGTTAAATAAACTCATTGCAGAGTTTATTCCTCCCAGATCTGTGGGGAAACACAATTTCACATTTCCCATTAAAGGGGAGCTAACTGTACACCCTAAGATATGCTGCAACCTTGAAGTTGAGGTTCTAAAGTGAATTTAGTCCTCATCTCCCTTTTCCATTATGTGCTCCACAGTTCCCTATATCCCAGGATGATGAAGACCCCTCTTTCTCCCTCTGTATACCAAGAAGTTTAAGTATCAGCAACACACCAAGGGAAAATAGCAAACAGACTTCTGTTTGGACATGAAATTGAACAAAGAGCTCACACCAGTCAGAGCCAGTTTGAACCAGTCTGCACGGCTCTGAAATCTGCCGGACCTCCCTCTGAAGCTGGCACAAAGACACGAAGAACATCATTGACTTCAATCTTTGGCCTTCTAACCAGGAAAGGACTTGTGAAGGTGAATGGTTTGCAGACGAAGGGGATATAAAAGAGACAAAACCAGGATAAAAATTAAATAAAAAGTAGCTGTCTTAAACTGTAATTGCAGTCCTCTGCTGAGCACGCTTGCAGATATATAAATGTGATTTACCATCAGCTTGCAACTACAAATCAGGTCTTGAGAAACACTTGTGCTATGAAATTGTTTAATCTCATCAAGCTCTGCTTTCACAGCAAGCCATAAATCACAAAGTCTTTGTTATCATAGACCTCCACCAGCGCCTCTCTGGCAGGCTATGGATCGTGGGTATATATAATCTTGACTGCACAAACACTGGGGTCGACGCAGGCTGAAATACTTTCATAATAGCCACTGTGCAGCTGGTGGAACACAAGCCTATGATGGATATCTCATTTCCTACAGTCGGCATCTATTTCGAGCAAATTATTACCACATAAATTTCTTGTCAACAGAAACGGCCAATTAATTAAGTTAAAAATTTACTTGTGATCACATCTACAAACCAAATAGAACTGCAAGGCAATTTTCCAGTTACTGAATATACTGCAGGTCAGTTTAATGAATAATTTTTAACTTTGTCATAAACTCAAAGACAGGCTAATATCTCCAGAAACCTGAATGGAGACCAGCTGCCGACAGATTTACACAAAATATATTTATGTGGAATTTGATTGCTGACATCTGGGGACAGAAATAAACTTTCTATAATTACAGAGGCATCTTTGCCATATATATGCATTTCTTTCACCAAAAAATGCAAATCTGTCCCCAGAAAGGGTGTATTTACATTTTCAGGCAGGGCTACAATGGGGCTGGATGGTTCTTGGAAAAATCATTGCATTAAATTCCTGTGCTAGTGATGGGTTCATTATCATGCAGGAAGACAATAACAGGCCAAGACCTGTTTATCACTGCCCCCCACCTTCCTACACACAAAAAATCAGGATGCTTTCTCTCTTTGAGGTTGCAAGCCACTTGGCACATGTCCAATAGTGGAGGCAGCATTGGGAGGATTTAGGGGTCTGTCAGGTAAGGCAGATTGACACAGCTTCCCCTTAGGGTTATTATGCATATAAAATAGATCTACATGGAAATAAGGCCGGCAGAGGGCCCTTTTCATAATTCCTGCTTTAACCATGTCTCTTTGAACTGAAGAAAATTCATGGATGATGGGGGGGTTGGGGGAATGGTAGTTGTCCAGGTGAGTATAAAGGATGTGGATTTGGGGAACACATCAGATCTGACTGCTAACAGTGATTTACTCAATGAGCCACCTATTGGATATAGAATTAGGGTTTTCAATAGGGCCGTTATGTACCCCAGAAGTAGAGGGCACTCAAGGTCCTCCAAATTATAGTCCCAGTCTATCTTTAACAATTTCACTGTTCCCTATTCTCAACCTGTCACTGCCAAATGACCAAGCTAGACTACTTAATGTTCCTACCACGTGCCTTGGCTTTTGTACTTCTGTAACTTTGCTCCAACAAAGGACCTTTGAGGTCTGTTCCCATATACTTCCACTTTCCAGATTTTTATCTCCAAGATGACCTCCTTGGCTTTTCCTCAGCCTAGAAAAGACCTTTGCTCTTCAGCAAGACACTTCCTTCTACACAAAAATTGAGAGCCTGTCATTCTACCACGAGCAGAATGAGCAGTTTGAGTTCACAGCCACTGAAGTGTTCAAGAAGATGCCAGACAACCATTTGGTGGGCTGTTGTAACGGGGACTCAATGTGTGTGGAGAGTTGGACTAAATAACTGCTAAAGCTTTTCATCCCTGGGATTATAATTTTTTAATCCTTAGCCTGTATATCAATAAGGCCACAAGCAATTCTACAATGGTTGCTTGTGCCCTTGTTGGTAAACTTCCTGAAGGCAGGGATCATTTTACTCATATTTACAGTTTTCTCAGCACACAGTCCAGTACCTTTTTTTTTAAGGCACATTCCCTAGAAAAGTTATTGAGGGCTGATTTTACGGAGGTTTTCTCATATTTGCAGCACTCAACTTCAGGTGGCATTTGATACACTACTGTACCATGATAATCAATATGAACAGTGCTGATGTGTGCTTATGATGTTTAGGGCACCTTGCTAGAATTCTGAGAATTCCAGGAGGCAAATACATTCTCTCCCAGACTAATTTTAATTAAGGAAAAAAGTCACACAGTGAGCTCAAAGCATACCCCAAACAAACAGGGGCTGAATAAATGAATGATCAATGTGCAAAATACAAAATAAGATAGAATATAAATGTTAAATCAAGGGTATCAATAATTTTCAGTATCAGGGTAGACAATGCAAAAACGTTTGTGTTTTAGAATCTGAAGGGTGCAAAAAAGTGATTCCATATAATTCTTCACTCTGCTACTGTGGATACAAAATCCCCTACCCCAAGCTGAACCAGCTTGCTCAAGGTCACTAAAATGGAAGATGGCAAAAAGAGAATCATACCTAGCTGTGCTCAATACCTGCCCTTCATTCTTTCCATCACATCCACCAAACCCAACAAGGTTACTCCTATAAAGTCTAAGGATTAAATTGCTTTTCAGTTTTTCCTGGTTAATTTCATGTTCCTTGAATCAAAGTATAAATACCTCTTCTCTGGCTCAGGCCTTGGCTCTACGTGTCCCTGGATTATTTCTGATGACAAAATACATTTCAAAATTTTCTCCTTGACAATGATCTTAAATGTGAAGACATTGCCTAAACATCTAATTTCACCAGTCATCTACTCTGGATCCTTTCTGCCACACACACTCACTCACAAATAGGCATTAAATGCAGAGGTTGATTGGATTCAAATCTTAGCTCAACCCTTTATGAGTTATGGGAATTTAGGCTGGTTACTTCACTTCTCAGTGCCTCAGTCTCCTTGTCTATAAAATGGGACTACCTCATAGTGTCATGAGTATTACATTAGACAACACATGTAACATTTTAAAACAATGCCTATAAGAAGCATTTATTCTGAGATCAGGAGTTCAAGACCAGACTGGCCAACATGGTGAAACCCTGTCTCTACTAAAAATACAAAAAATTAGCTGGGTATGGTGGTGGGCACCTGTAATCCCAGCTACTCAGGAGGCTGAGGCAGGAGAATCGCTTGAACCCGGGAGGCAGCGGTTGCAGTGAGCCAAGATCGTGCCATTGCACTCCAGCCTGGGCAACAAGAGCGAAACTCCATCTCAAAAAAAAAAAAAAAAAAAAAAAGAAGCATTTGTTATTAGTTTTTAATCCTTAGCCCGTCTATACCACTTTTGGCATAGTAAATCTCATATTCTTATCCCATGCTGTGTAAACTTTATTTCTTTTCATTTGTCCTGTACTTGCCTTGTGAAGCTTCAAGGAAGAATTCATAAAAGAATAATGATGATGATGATGATAACAGATAACATTTTTGCCTGTATTATGTTCCAGGCACTGCTATAAACACTTTACATTCGTTATCAACAGCCTTAGGAGGCAAATATTCTTATTATCTCCAAATCACAGATGTGACCTAGAAAGGTTAAGTAACTTGTCCAAGGTCATACAGCTATAATTGGTCAAACTCTAAGTTCATGCTCTTAATCACTGCAATTTAGTGTTACTGTATTTGGTCAGCAATTCCTTATCATTTTATTTCTCTCATTTATAATATTATAGGTATTGCTCATGTCCTCCATCATACTCCATTTTTCCAGAACAGTCTGAGTCAGTCATTATTCCTATCCCCAAGGACCTTGCAGTTCAGACAAGGAAACAAAATAAATGTGGATATGAAAAGCATATCCACATAAGAAAAACAAACTTGTTCTAACCCATCCAACTCCATCATGCTTGTTTATTTCATTCTTCCTTGAAGCTTCTCTCTACCCAGCAACAATAGTTTTTGAGAGTGTATCTAATCATAGCACCAAATCACTATTTAAAGATGTTGGGCAAAGTAAAAGAATCTTTCAATAAAGTTCAATTAGCTTGTGAGTTCAAATATGAAACACACACTACTGTATTTCAGGAGGAAGGGAGAGGCCAGAGGAGGTTCCATAGCAGAGCTTTTGTGAAATTAGAGTCAGGATTTCTATAAAAGAAAATGTTTTATTACAGAGACAATGAACAAGAAACATGGGGAATTACCTATATGCTGTCTGAGTGCTACTAACAAAGGCAGGTAATAGTGTGGGTGAGACACCGCTGACTGTCAGGTTATCTTGTTGAGGGTCACTGCTGCCAGAGTGTCAAGGTCGGGATAAGACAGTATAACAAAGCAGAAGCGAGGAACGCCTGCCTCCCTGGCTGATCCACTGACGATTAGCAGCATAGGGGACATGAGTGATGATAATATCACAGTTTTACATGCGTTGAGCACTTTATAGTTTATAAAGCACTTTCACAGTCATTATCTCATTATATTTTTAAAGAATTTCTTACGGAAGATTCAGTAATGACCAAACCTGCCGAGGAACACTTCACTTTTCAGGGATACATTTTCCTGATTTGAGAAAAGCTATCTACTTTGAGTTGGGTAAACACATGAGCACAGATTTAGAAACTGGAATTCAATGAAGGAGCCAGAAGACTCTAGGGTTAACTGGAGGTATAGTACAGCTCATCCCAGACAGTGCCAGAAATTATACAGGGAATCTGCAAAATCCGAAAAATTCTCATTAATGCATCCAAATCTAGAAAGAAGCAAACTTTATCTAGGCATTCTTCTCTTCTCCTTCTTCTGACTGAGTAATGGATTAAGTAACCACTGGGAAAAGCAAATGAAACACAGAAAACTAACAACTGGGTACACCCTCTAATGGGCATGAAAATTCCATGATGACCCAGTGAATTAGAGAAATCATCCAAAGCCCAAAAGTAAACCCTAATGAAGGTTTAACAGAATGTCAGATGAGAGAATTAAGTCTGGCTATTCCAATAAAGATCACATCCCTTCTCAGTTGAACTATTCTCCTCCCTACCCCATTTTCTGAAGCTACAGAACATGGACAAAACATGAAATACTTACTTCTCAAACTGCAACTTTGAGGGTAAAAGAAGCTCATATTATGAGAGGTGGGAAGATAATTAAGAAGCCATTCACACTGTATATTTCAGAGTTACTCAAACATGATCAGAGAGAAAACAAACAGCACAGCAAAAAATTCAGACTAACAACAAAACCAGGAAAAGGAGGACAGAAGCACATCATGCAAAAGACACAAAAAGGACCCAACAACTAAAGGAACAGCAGAAAAAAAAATCCAAATAGCTTTATGCTATAAAACAACTTAGTAAGAACAAGACTTTAATAAAAGAGGGGCTCAGCTGAATGCAGTTTAATTGAATGTGAGCCTGCCTCTTGCATGAGAGGGTAAGCCCACTACCTCCTATCTCTTCCACTGATTACAACTAAACACTGCACAAAATACAAGGATACTGAGGATGGGGAAAAGTAAAACAAAAGCCAGTGGCTTATGGAGAAGCTACCCACCAAGAGGTGAATTTCTGGGTTTATTGTTCTTTTTTAATGTGGCTTTTCCCCAAATGCAGGCCCCAATCACAGAGTCGTCTGATACAGCAGTACCATGGAAATCTCAAACTCCACTTTCTATTTCTATTTCAAATTTCTGGGCTGAAGAGCTGTGAAAAACAGCCCTTAAGGACTGGAAGGTGTGGAGGGAATCCCAGAGTGAGAGAGCTGGAGAAGGGGATACTCTAATTCTGTATATGAAACTACACAAGTTCCCAGCTCATCTCTGAGCTGTGCATTTGGATGTGCGGGACATATCCAAAGCAGATTAGCAAGGGCTCTGAGAACGGAATGAGGATCGTAAACCACCATCCAGGTTTCATACTAACTCTTGAGTGTACAGGCACAGACAGATCAAGAGGAGGATGTCAAAGGCTTTGAAAACTGGACCAAGATTGGAACCCACGAAAGGCAAGACAGAACCCATAGTCTGAAAGAAATGAGGCTAATTCTTCATAAAACAAAAAAGTAAATATTAATATTCTTCACAGAGTTGTAATATATCCAATATTGAAGCAACATAATGTTCAAAATGCCCAGGATACAAGCCAAAAATTACTAAATATACAAATAAGTATTAGTCACATTTGTGTAAAAAAAATAATCCACATATATGGCTCAGATGTTGGAATTAGCAAATAAACACATCAAAGCACCTATTATAGCTGCATAGTCCATGAGATAAAGTTGAGCTTGCTTTAAATTAGTAGAAAAGTAGAAGCTCTCAGGAAAGATACAAAAGCTATAAAAAACTTAGAAATTTTAGATCTGAAAAATGCAGCATGTGAAACAAAAAATTCACTAGAGGCCAGGTGCAGTGGCTCATGTTTGTAATCCTGACACTTTGAGAGGCCAAGGTGGGAGGATCACTTGAGCCCAGGGGCTTGAGACCAGTCTGGACAACAGAGCAAGACCCCATCACTGCAAAAAAGAAAAAAAAAAATTAGCTGGACATAGTGGCACATGCTTGTAGACCCAGCTACTAGGGAGGCCAAGGCAGGAGGATCTTTAAGCCCAAGAGTTCAAGGCTACAGTTAGCCGCGATTGCATCACTGCACTCCAGCCTGGGTGAACAGGAGACCCATTCTCAACAACAACAGCAAAAACAGAAATACAGAACGAAAGAAAGACAGAATGAACAAAAGAATTAACAAAAGAAAGAAAGAAAGAGAGAGAAAGAAAGAGAGAAAGAAAGAGATAGATAGATAGATAGATAGATAGATAGATAGATAGATAGATAGATTCACTAGATTGTCTCAATAACAGAATGAAGATAACGGAGGAGAGATTTAGTGAACTTGAAGATACATAAAAATAAATTATCCAACCTGGAAAACAGGAAAACAATGATAATGAATACAGCCTCAAGGACCTGTGGAACAATATGAAAAGATCTAACATATATGTATATGGTGTTAATATAAAGAGAAGAGGAAGAGGTTGTGAAGGAAAAGTATTTAAAGAAATACTGTGCAAAAACTCACCAAATCTACTGCAAAATTTTTTCATCAAGAACCTCAGCCAACTACAAATAGGATGAAACAAAAAACCAACACACACACAATTTAATGGATTTAAAAAGAAGACCTAAAGAAACAAAGACCAAAGCAATATGGTTCAGAAGTAAAAAGCAATTTGGAAAGATCAAAGAGCAGAGGGGTCACACTAAAAATCAAATTACTGACAGAGCAACAGTTTGACATAATCACAGTGAATGCATATGAAAAATAAAATAAAATAATTAGATAATTTAAGACTCATAGGAAATAAAGACAGTAATATTTGTATGTGTACAATTAATGTGACAGAAAATATATTCAAACATATACTTAAAAAAGTCCCCAAAATGAAGAAAAAAATATAGTTCAAAAGAGTTTAGCAAGTTAAAAAAATGATACAAAGAATGAAGAACAATCAAATAAATCTTAATTAAGTTACTAAAATTCAGGGGAAAAAAATCTCTAGACAACCAGATGGAAGAAAAAAGAATCTCCTACAAGGAAGAAAAGTCAGTCTGACCTCATACTTATCCAGAATCACATTCAATACAAGGAAACAATGAAGAAATATTTCTATATATATGTAAATCATATATAGCCTAAAACTATTATACCCAACTAAAATATCATTCAAATACAACAAGCATGGAACTTAAGAAATTCAGGCCTCATGAGCCCTTTTTGAAAAAGATAGAAGAAAGCCCAGCCAGTTAGGGCTGGAGTAAGAATTCAGGAGTGGAGAGCTATCATCCAAAGAACTTCCACTGAGCTCTGAGTTCACTTAAATATGGAGCCAACACTAAACAACTATGGAAAGCATTGTTATAGAGGAGAATGCAATTGTCATTAACAATATAATGATAACAATGTAACTAACAAAAATTGAGAGGTAGGGGAATGGTAGGGAAAGTTGTGATCTTCATCCTTCAGAGCAGAAAAGCAGTGAGTGATCCTGTGTAAAATTGACATATATGATTTTTGTAAAAACCGCTCCAATATCAAAACACATATACTCTCTTTTTCTACCATTACAGTGATTGTTGATCTAATTTTTATAAAAAGTAGAGATGTTCCATCATTCTTTTTTTGCCCTGATACATAGCAAAGCAGCTCTCACAAGAATAAAATACGTAACCTTTACCTCAGTGGTACTATGTTCTAACTAAACAAAATAACTAACTGACTAGAAAGAACACAGAAACATTTGGGTTTTACCCAAATCAAGTTCTACTTGACTTTTCCAAGACACACACACAGATGCATACAATATCCACTTTTAATGCCTGGCCATGCATTACCAGTCTACAGAAATCATTGTATTCTTATTGACCTGCTCACTTTTTTAAACATCCCAGTTGGTTTTCAAATGAATATGCATAGATTGTGCCCCAGGCCCATTATAGCCAGATGATCCATATCTAATTTGATGGTAAAAACACCATTTTCACAACTCATTTATTTAATTCTTCCAATTTATGTGCAGCAAGTTTAGATGGGATTAACTAAATGGAGGAAATATGGGCAAGTATACTTCTCTTCCTGGTCTATTTTAAGATCTTCATAAGATCTTAAAAGACTTGTTTAATAACTTACTCCAATATTTGGAACTGGTGATCCTGAAACAGTCTAGGATATACTATGAATGACTCAGATACTATTAAGATGGAATGGTTGGGATACCTGGGATACTAAGTGATGATGACAAATACCTTCAAATATCTTCAAATGTTTAGAAATATATATCCTGCTTTGTCTAAAAAAAAGTAAATCCTGCTCTGTCTAAAAAAAGGTAGTATGTAAAAATCCATAAAAGAAAATAAAGATATTTGAAGACAATAAAACCATGACAACAATAGAATTACTTGGATATTTCCTATATGGCAGGTACTCTGGTATGAACTCTACATGGATCATTTGACCTCATCCTGTAATATCCCCATTAGTTAATGCCCTTTTCATTCACCTGATCCAGGGATACTGGATGGGAAACATACTGGAGGACACAGGAGCCTGCCTCCACTCCCCTGCTTCTGGAGAGGGAACTACATGTCACCTCAACCCTATCCCCCATTTCAGAACATTTCTGGGCAGAATTTAGGCACCATTACTTTATGCCCAAATTGTATTTCTTTGGAGATTGCCATCAGGGAACCCTGTCACACATACTGGGTACATAATAGTACAAGTTATATGGAGGTATGGCAAAGTTTAGGAAACTTACACACAAGCAATGAACAGATTAGATATCATACTATTTAAAAATAGTAAAAAAGGCAACGTGATTTTAACAAACTCTGAAAGAAATCGTTGGTGTCTAATGGTTACAATGATTCTTTAGCATCTATAATGTGATATTAGTAAGTATAAAAGTCAGTTAAATATCAGTTTTTAAACTTTAAAGTCATTGGTTGTCAAGGTGTAAATACCCTAAATATTTACACAAAATTCAACAAAAGGAATCCAAGGATGCACCGTTTTTAGATCTAATGGTAAATACTAGCCCAAAACACTACAGCTTTCCATGAAGCCAGATAAAAAGGTTTTGGTCTAGAAGGGATACATGTGGAGATGTTTACATTTGGGAACAGGGATATCATATATACAATATATGTAGCACTGTCATAGAATTCCTCACTAAAAATTTTGCCCTAAGTGAGAGGATGCTCACCCCATGTATAGGTACATATGCAAGCCTACAAGAAAAAAAAATAAGTGGTTAGTCCTTGATATGGTTTGGCTCTGTGTCCCCACCCAAATCGCATCTTGAATTGTAATCCCCACATGTTGAAGGAGGGACCCGGTGGGAGGTGACTGGATCATGGGGGCAGTTTCCTCCATGCTGTTCTCATGATAGTGAGTGAGTTCTCGTAAGAGTTGATGGATTTAAAAGTTTTTGGCAGTTCCCCCTTTGCTCTCTCTCCCTGCCATGTAAGTTGTGTGTCGCTTCTCCTTTGCCTTCCACCGTGATTGTAAGTTTCCTCAGGCCTCCTCAGCCATGTGGAACTGTGAGTCAATTAAACCTCCTTTCTTTATAAATTACCCAGACTCAGGTAGTATCTTTATAGCAGTGTGAGAACAAACTAATACAGGCCTCCAGACCAGCTTTTCCAATGTATATTCTGGGGAATAGGCCTACTCTGACAAAGGGTTCCTTGACTGAGTCTGTTTGGAAAATGCTGAGAAATTATTCTAGAATCTCAAAGCCCTCATGCTAATGTATCTTGTTAATGCCTAAGAGGTAAACCGAATTTAATGCATTTTCCAAACCTTTGTGATGTCAGAAGCCATTCATGGTACGTATAAAAACATCTGACACAACCTGGGTCACTGTTTCTCCTCACAGACCATGGATTCCAGGTTCTATTGAAGAGCTGTAGAACTATCTGGAAACAAAGCAGCTCTTGAATGAGAACTGTGAGAGCAATGCCCCATACAAGTCCCATGTGGCATCAAGTCCATTGAGGAGGATTTAAATTCAGTTTACCAATGTGTCCATATATTAGTAGACAAATTGTAACCCTCTTCCCCCAGGAAGCCAACCTGGCCAAAAATCCAAGGTGAATGGTGGAATGGGGGCATCTCTGTGATTGTCATTCAAGATTCCTGAGACCTTTACCTTTAATGAAGTCAGGTGGGAATAACATATGCTATCCTCCAGGAGAAGTACCATGGAAGACCAACAATCCCTCCCTATTCCTTCATGGATCTCTCACAGTGGGATAGTGGAGAGGGATGTAGCCCATACACATTTTAGCTTTTCTTACTGAGTGACTGCACACATAAATCAGGGCCCCTTCTTTCTCCCTGAACAAAGGTTCACTCTTTCATTCCCCAAGGCTGGACTCCAATTTTGGTATACTTTGAGTCTGCTTCTCTCCCATGGTCACAAGTATATGGAATTAATTCACAAGAAGGCGAGGGGAAGTAATTCAGATTTTTGGAACTACAAATGCAAAGATGCTAAACTATAAGTGAGATGGAGAAAGATAATAAGTCTTGGGGTAAAAGCAGCTTCTTATAATGCCATTTAGATCTTCCTTTAGGTTCTGTAACATCCACATAATCGTGTATATATCCACAGCTATGCAATGTCCAAGCCTGTTTTCTGTCACTGAACCTATATTTCTGGCCAAAATGAGATCATAGTTTGAGCTATAGGAAAACAATAAACAAGATGGATGAGGCTGAAAGAGAAAATGCAGATTTAATTATTTGCCATAGGGAGCATTCCTTTGTTACCAATCAAAGGACTGGAAAGTTGAAAATTTCTGTTTCAATGAAAAAGCATGGATTATTTTTTTTTAGCATGGAAATTTTATAAGGTAGGAATTTTTTTTTTTTCCAAGACAGGGTCTAACTCTGCTGCCCAGGCTGGAGTGCAGTGGCATGATCTTGACTTACTGCAACCTCTACCTCCCAGGCTCAAGTGATCCTCCCACCTCAGCCTCCCAAGTAGCTGGGATTACAGGTGCATGCCACCACACCCAGCTAATTTTTGTACTTTTTGTAGAAATGGAGTTTTGCCATGTGGCTCAGGCTGGCCTCGAACTCCTGAGTTAATGCAGTTCACCCACCTCGGCCTCCCAAAGTACTGGGATTACAGGCGTGAGCCGCCTAGCCAAGGTAGGAATTCTTGATTACATATGGATCTGTAGTAAAACTGTTCAAGAGGTCACTATAGATTTGGCCTGGGTAGCCTAGGGTTTAGCATTTAGGCAAAGGACAGGGGGAAAGAGACAGCTATTCTCTGTGATTATTTCTACTGTGCACTTATCAAATCAATAAAAATAATAATTGTTATTGATGGTGGCCTTACCACTGATTAAACAGGCCAATTTAATTGCTTCTGTGAAGTCACACAGCTCTTAAGTGTATATCATGGCGTCAGTAAAGAGCATGCAATTGCCCCCAGCTTTGTGGACAGGATGTGCACGGCATTGATTTAATTAAAGCTCTTAGATTGCAACCTGCACCCCTTCCTGAGCCCCTCTCGGCTGGAGACTTCCTCTGTTCTTTTTTAATGCTGCCCTGAGCTGGAATAAAGCAAGGTGCCCAGCAAGAAGCATTGGATTGCATCACAGAGAGGATTAAAATGCCCATTATGAGGTAAGACTCGAGTCAAAGCAGAAGGAAAAGAAGACAGGCTGTAAAAGAAAATGGGCTGCAGGCAGTAAAATATTGATTGAAAGAACTGAAAACACCACGGCATCCACACTCCCTGCCCTGCTCTGCACGCCTTGAGGTCTGCCAATCTCCTGACTTCATAATCTACTCTCTCTCTACAGCTAATAATGCTTCAGCCACTCTGGTCTTCCTCCTGGCTTTCCAACACAAGACACTGATTCCTGACTTGGGTCTTTACAGCTGCCTTTCCTCTAGCGAACCCTATGCTCCATACACCAGCTCCCAGCCATCTTCACATTTAGGTCTCAGCTCAAATGCCCAGTCTTCAGGGAAGCCTTTGTTGGCATCCTAGTGAAAATAGCTCCCCTCCCCAACTGGACACTTTCCATTGCGTTGCTCTCATGCATTTTCTTTGAGACACCAATGTTAGAAAGTGCATGGTTTATTTCTTTACGTGTCTATTGTCTGACTACAAGTATTAAAATATTAACTCCACAAGAGTAGGGACTGCGGGTCATCTTCACTGCTGTATTGATACCCAGTGTTCAGAACAGGGTGTGCACAGAATAGATGCTTTGTAAATACTGACGGGGAACAAAAAGGGGAGTGGCTTGAGTGAATGAGAAAAGGTGAGTGGCTTGAGTGAATGAGAAATGTACTAACATTCATCTCAAGATCTCTGCTTCCTGCCTACACCACATGGTGGTATTAGGTGATGTTAAAAACAGGTATCAGACAATACAACATCTAGTCCTAGCCCTGTTGCTTACTAGCTATGTAATCTTGAGGAACTTAACCTCTCTGAACTTATTTCCACCTTTATAAGCAGGTTTACAAAAAGGCTCAATCTCATGGGGCTGTTGGAATTTTAAAATGCATGCAAAGGGCTTAGAATAATTCAGCGAGTAGTAAACGCTTAAGTAGTGTTGCTATTATTGTTGTTACTGCTATTATTAAATGTACCATATATCGTGAAAAGTATCAGGGACCAGGGAACTTTCAAATGGATGCTCTACCTTTTAAAAAATTCCTAATTTAACACAATTTTTTCATTCAAAACATACATACATATAGATATAGTATGTATCTATAGACATCCTCTTCCATCTCAATATATCATGTAGTCAGCAAGTTCAACAACTGGGCAACCCCATCTTCTATATGGACCAGCATATGTGCACTGTCTCTACCTGCACAGTCCAGCCTCCGTTCTGGCACAGTCATGAGTGGCCTTTATAAATAATTTTGGAGAAAGCAAAGTTCCCATTGTTGAAAGCTATGGAAGAGATTCTTAATTCAAACAGTATTAGGTGGTGGATGAGGCAAATTGGAGCATGTAAAATTTATTGGACATCATAAAAGGGAAGCAGGGATAGGGCCAAGGAGATGGGGGGTTCGATTACTGCTGAATTGCTGGCATAATAACCTGCAGCACATCACAGTGTGCCACTGGGGCTGGGAAGCACTCTCCCCAGATGATTGCTTTGTCACCACGGATGCTACTGGCCCATGAACTACGACCCCGGGAGCAGCAAACCCCATCATAAGAAAGGGAGAAATGTAAATTTCAAAATAGATATATAAATATTCGGTGGCCCAGTGTTCCATTAGTCATTTATATTCCTGACTTTGGAATGCAAAAATGTAAATCCAGGGCCCTTCTGCAGTCAGAAGTCACCTAGGGTTCATATAATAATCTCTCTGACAAGGACTAAGCTGTGGCTGGCAATGAAACCTAGGGGGCCAATAAGCTCACTAAACACGCTCAGAGAAAACACAGGAGAGATACACTCTCAGTCTCAAATGGGGGTAGAGAGAGATTGACTGACACGTCAAACCTATCCCACAAAGTCAGAGATTTCCCTGATGCAATGGGGGCGTAAGGACAGAGCTGATTTACTCACTGACAAGCCTACATCCCCGTAAGCAGAATGCTCAGGAGCTCATTCTCAAGGTTCTGAAGGGCATGGCATTTTTTCTGATTTACTGCCATTTTATCGCTGTAAGAAATGGACACAGTGCAGATGCCCACAGTTCTAAATGAAGGTAAGTGATGTCCTTGATGCAGGCTTTCCTAATGTCCTCCTTAAAAAGGAAATCATTAAGAGTTACATCAGATCGAGTTTGATCTAATATAAGAGGGGTGAGAGAAGTGAAAAGAGAGAGGTGTAAATACCATGAAGCCAAAGAAATGGAAATCCCTCCAGTACAGCCCCATGGAGGGCAAGTGCAGAAGCACACACTAGCCCTGTCATTCCTGAATGTGGGAGAGAAGCAGGACATCCAGGAATGAGCAACAGGAGGAGATGATCTACTTCAACCTGCTTAAGACAGAGAGGAAACTAAGGCACAGAGGACTATGTGTCAAGATCACACAGCTGATTAGAAGCAGTTTTAGCCCAGACTTGAACCTACTAATTGACTCCCAGGGTTAGGGTTTGGGTTAGGGTTAACCTTGGCCTTCACACCAGGTTATATTTGTTACAATTCCTCTCCTCTTCATTTCTGTTCCATAGGGAATCTGGCACTCTAGTATGTTCTGACACACAGCCCACCCCTCAAGTTTGAGAATTAGAGAAGTTATTGACAGCCTATATGTGGCTGAGGTAGAAGATACATTTTAGGAGGTATACAGAACAAATATATGTAAATCATTTTAATAGCAATATGTAATATTACGTCAACCTATGGACTTCATGAACATTAATTAGGACAAAATAAGATAAATATTTAAGACATTTAAAAGTGAACTGATTTCAAGAAAAACACCGAATAAATAATAATACAAGGGTCAATAGATTGGGTACCATTCTAGAAATATCCTCAACATGTTTTCCAAGTTGGTTGTGTCAAATGAGACATTTCACACAAAACTGGTGATTTTACTCACAAGATTGACAGCTATAGATGGAATCCACATCTTCATTCCAGAATATTATGTTTACAATGGAATATTATTCAGCCATCAAAAGGAATGTATTTCTGAAATAGGCTTCCACATAGATAAATCTTGTTTTCAAGGTTTATGTCTATAAGCTAGGCATAAAAGGACAGATATTGCATGATTCCACTTACATGAAGCAGACAGGCAAATTCATAGAGGCAGAAATAGAATAGAGGTTACCAGGGCTGGAAAGTGGAGAAATAGGGAGTTATTGCTTAATAATTATAGAGTTTCTACTGGAGTGATAAAAAAGGGTTTGGAAATAAATAGTTGTGATGGTCGCACAACACTTTGAATATCATTAATGCCACTGAATTTTATGCTTACAAGTTTAAATGGTAAATTTTTTATATATATTTTTACCACAATTTTAAAAGTTGTAGTGTAATATGTCAAAAATTGTTGAATTATATAATTTGAATGGGCAAACAATATAGTATGTGAATTATACCTCAAAATAGCTGTTTAAAAAAAACAAAAAAAAATTATGTGCATAAAGTTAAGGATATTCTTGCTGAGAAAGGAAGCTGCATATGGTGACCTGTGGAAATTCATCTCAACTGTGGGAATGCCATTCTTTATCATGGCATCTGGTCTATCATGCCCCAAAGAGTCCCTATAGAAGGAGGCATGACTATCTTGGGTCTATCTAAGGGAGGTTAGTTACAATTTGAATTTATCAGCACTCTTGATAATGTGTCCCTCCTGTATCATTTTCCCATAAGATCTACCTGGGAAACTCTAGCCTATATTAATTGGATCATCACCCAGAGATTGAATGTTCTCCGGAATCAAAACAAACTCATCTCCTGTTACAAGTCTAGTTTTTAAATTCTAACTTGTGAAATTTTGAAATTAAGTTTCAAATTGTCATCCATTCAATGTATGTAAATATACTAGGGCATTTCTCAAAACTCATCAAAAATGCCACTTTGTAATAAATATAAAATTAGTAATAATCTAATTAACTCAAGGTCTAATATACTGAGTTATAAATAAAGATGCAGGATAGCCTAGTGTCATAGACATGGAATTTAGTAGACAGACCTAAGCTGAAGCCCCAGCTGTTCTACCTCCTCGCTTTTCTTACTTCTCTGTACTTAGTTTCCTATTGTGAAAAATGGAGATAATGACTCTTTCCTCAAACAGGTATTGCAAGAACTAAATTAGGTAATATGATGAAGAGCACAATATTACGGCATATAGCAAATATTCTATAAACAGTAGTTAAATATGTATTCATAAACACAAAAAAGCAACACAGGATCTAGAGAAAGAAGAGTTGATAAATAAGAAATTGTCAGCCTTCCTCTAGCAGCTAACAGGTAATCCTGTCCTTGCAAAGGAGTATTCTATGGAGAAGCAGGTGTAAGTCTCCAGATTCTAACATTATAGGATGAAATGGCCTAGGAACATATCCAATTACCTTTATTACAAAAAAAGATGATTATTATTATACTACTAATACTAGTGTGAATATTTATTGTGTACTTATTATATGCCAAGCATTTTCATACACACTTTTTTATTATCCCGGTTAATCCTCCCAACAACTCTATGAGGTAAGTACTCTTAGTATCTCATTTTCTAGATCAGTTAATCAAGGCTTAAAGAGGGTAAGTAACTGGTCTGAGATCATGTAGGGATTAAGGGTGATGGCCAGGATTCCAAACACAGGCTATTTGACTTGTAACCTTAACAGCTATGCAATCATCCATTCTCACTTAGAAATCTTGCAGATGATTAATTTACTTTGCCAGTTAGTCTAATACCAGGAAGGGAGGTCCCTAGAATGCAAATGTGAACAGTCTGGTGGTTTCCTGAATACTATCCCTCACCCAAATGGAAATAACATGTTAGTCTTTTGGTTTGTAAATTAGTTTCTTAGACATGAACTAATAAGGTCATTTCTAACACATGGATGACTAGTAATAACATCAAACCAACACACATGGAAAGCTGAAGATCTGACTCTTCCCCAACAATAACCAATGTACAGTCACCTTGGAACTCAGCCCATAAGGGCCTGATGGGTCTTCTGTGACCATTCCCCCAGCACTCTCTTAAGTATAAACACTGGGCTCCATACCAAGCCTCGCCTGTGCTTGTTATAGACATCCAAAACTTCCTGACCATGTGGAAAGTGAGGAGCACTTCCCGAGAATGATCCCACTGTTGGAGAAGGGCACAGGTCCCTGTGTCCTCCCAGGACAGAGAAGGCAGAATTCGGCTGCGCTGAGTGTGAGCACCTGAAAAGAAGCAGCTCTATTAACCAGGGCTCAACCACTGAGCCCAGTATTGATTGTGAAGTGCCTAGTTGCTTATGCTTGAGAGATGACACTCAACTTTCAGCCTGGGTGGAAGAGCAATAATAAAAACATTGCCCTCAAAGAAAGAACTCCAAACCGTTATTCAACCCTTCTTTTGGAAATGCAAGGCTTTTCCTTAGAAACATGAATAAGGTACAGAGAACAGCTAAAGGAGGAGGAAAGACATAAACGGACCGGATCAACAATTTCCTGCTTCTGCCTCCTGCTGTTCACGCACTCAGTCACAGAGAGTGCCCCTGTGCAGGCCCCAGAGGCCATGGGGATCAAATATAAGTTTCGAAAGTTGAAGAGGGAGAATCCATTTCAAATAACTTAGAGGATAACTGTCACTGGAATTAATATGGTTGGAATGTTTAAAATTGCCACAGGTTCCTTCACTTTTGAAAGGTGTCAGGCCCCTGTCTTGAACGCTGAATGTCTGTCTGTGATACCTCAGTGAAAGGTTGCACTATCACAGACAGTTTCAGGCTAAGGAAAGCTTATTTAATTTACTGAACTGCACATAGAAATTGGCAAAGATGAGTCCAAAAGGTTAAGCATGGGGCATGATTCTTATCTCTCTCCATTTCCCATAGTACTATAATGTCCCATTAAATTTTCCTTTCACAAAGGTGCCTGAAAATATGTTTTACATTTCTCCATGCGTACCTTTCTGTTTAGTACTCAGGACTCCTCTCCCAAAGAATTAAAACAGACGAGAGATGAGAAATAGAAATCTGCACCTCTCCTATGGGATAAAGCTGGAATTTAAGAGAGCAAAATCTGTAGTGCTGAATTGGGCAAACAGCATGAGAAGCAGCCAAGCTGACCGAAATACTCGCAGTGGACATGCCTTCAACTAAAATGACCATGCCACTTGCAAATGGAAAACACATTATTTCAATCTGCTTCCGTGTTTTTTTTTTTTTTTTTTTTTTTTTTTTTTTTTTTTTTTTTTTTTTTTTTTGAGACAGAGTCTTGCTCTGTTACCCAGGCTGGAGTGTAGTGGTACAATCTCAGCTCACTGCAACCTCTGCCTCCTGGGTTCAAGAAATTCTCATGCCTCAGCCTCCCAAGTAGCTGGGACTACAGACTACAGGCATGTACCACCATGCCTGACTAATTTTTTGCATTTTTGGTAGAGACAGTGTTTTGCTATGTTGGCCAGGCTGGTCTTGAACTCCTGGCCTCAAGTGATCTGCCGGTCTCGGCCTCCCAAAGTGTTGGGATTACAGGTGTGAGCCATCATGGCTGGCCTCAACCTGCTTCCTTTCAACATTAAAGGTAAATGAACAAATTACTGCTAAAAGGGGGAATAAAAAGTAAATGAACTCAGATTCTCAGGTTTCCCTTAGAGTGAATGGAACCCTTCCAAATGGCAGTAGTTCCAAAGTTCAGCTCTTGCAAGATTACCTACGAATGAGTTATGATGACAGCAAATCCATCATTATTATGAAGGCAGAGTTTTAGATGGTTGAATAGAGCTTTCCATTCTTGTTTAACCTGTAGCAGAAGACATCAGAGTTGACAGAGGTTTTGCCACTGTAACATAGGAGGGCCTCTGGGTTACACTTTTATCCCTCTCAGGGTCACCTATCACCAAAATCAATTTATTTCTTTGTTTCAATATTTATGCATGTTCAACATTTTACCCCTACATATTATTCTTGCTCCTACACAGTATTCTTCCACTTGAGCCTATGAGTGCTTTCTACATAGCAAGCACTATGCAAGACGGTAGGGATCCAAGAATGAACAAGCTCCCATCCCTGCCTGGGCTTACAGTCCAAGGGGACAAAACTTCGTAACTATGTGAGATGAGTTATGTAGAAGCTTGAGTAATGTGCTATGGAGAAATATCTTATTGAGTCTAAAAGGCAAAAAAGATAAAGTAACCATCATGCAAACCTGGAAACAATGCCTCAGTAGAATCATCACCAAATTAAAATAGCACATCAACTCCATTTTTCAAACTGGAGAGTTTTTTTCTATTTTGATTTTTCTTTGAATTTCATATTGCTGTAAACTGATAAAAAGTTTTTGCAAAAGCATAAGAAAGAGAGAGAATGAGATAAACAGATGATCTTTTTTTAAAAAAAAAAGTTTGTTAGAAGTTCCTTTTGTGGTCCCAGATTATAATAAAGCATATTGAAACACTTCATCAGAAACAAGTTTGCCTTGGAATCAACTCCCTAGAGATGAAAAGGTGACCCAAGAGGTACCTTCCAAAGTAAAGATCAATCATTTAATGTTTGGAATGTATCCTTCTAAAAATAGCATTTGAATTTTTTTTCAATTTGAAAATGAGATTATAAACAACTATAAAGAAGACTTTCCCCAAAATGCTAATGTTAACAACATTGCAAAGTTCTATGAAAATGATTCTATTTCATTATGAGAAAAATTATGCTAGGGCACATAACATATATATTCTGTAAAGAAAATGGTTAGCAAGGGCTTAAGAAAGGGCAAATGGCTGGTAACAATCAGACACAGCAGCAGTCAGGCACAGGCCAGAGCCAGCTGTGGAAACAGAGTGTCACAAGTCACCCTGGCCAGCATGACTTACCCTGGTAAGCTTGCTGGAAAGCATGAATTTGTCAAGAGGGTTTGCTTTGGGGAAAAAAACAGGGGCCAGCAGAACCTCAAAACTAAAGGCCATGGATTTGGAAGCTTGGGAAAGAATCTGTACAGGAGAAGTTAGTGCCCATTCCCCAAACCTAGGGCTAAATAAGTTGCAGAGGAAAGATGTTGAATAACCCAGGACCAATCAGAGAAGATGTAGGTGCCGAACACATATATGCCAGAGAGTTATTTGAGATCAGTTACCCTAATCTTTCACTTGACAGAAGATGAAGCTGAGACCCAGAAATGGGAAAAGACTCATAAACTTCACACGGTGCCGGAGCCAGAACCTAAACCTGAATGCCAAGTGACTATACTTTCCATCACCCCACTTTGTTCTTTTCACGGAGAATCATTCAGAAAATAAAGCATGTTGATGAGAAGCGCGTACATGAGTGGAGCAGGCTGGGAGTATGAGGCTAGCATGAGTGAACACTGGTGGTAAAGATTTCAATCACTGAGAACCCCGGTGATTCCTGATTTTAGGTTATATGCATTTGAAGGCTTTTGGTTTACTTTAAGAAATGGAGTCTCACGTTGTTGTCCAGGCTGAAGTACAGTGGCATGCACATAGCTTGAACTCCTAGGCTCAAGTGATCCTCCCACCTCCACCTCCTGGGTAGCTGGGACTACCAGTGTATACCACCACATCTGATTAATTTATTATTATTATTTTTTTTTAGAGATGGGGTCTTGTTTTGTTGCCCAGGGTGGCCTTGAATTCCTAACCTCAAGAGATCCTCCCACCTCAGCCATTCAAGTAGCTGGGATTACATGAGGCTCGTTTTCTAATTTTATTGCCAACAATTTTCTTCCCCACTAATATTTTTCCTTCTCCAACAACTCCATAAACTTATCAAGATTGCTCAAATGTCATTCTAAATTTGTTTTTTAGTCATAATCCACCTATTGTGCACATGTGGCACATCAATGAGTTTATATGACGGGTTCATCCTGCAGAAATGTTATCTACCTTTGTAAGTATGTATATAAAAATGTTTGCACATGTGACTTTCAAAAAATATGTAAAGCAAATATTTAAAGTTCAACTTGCAGACCCATTATTGAAGGCATGTGTGTTGCTTTTCAAGGCTTATGAGAAGTGAGTTTAAATAACAATAAACCTAAGTAGGAAAGCCTAAATCTAGTTATCTCCTTGATACTATGACCTAAGCACAAGAGGGTAGTCAAAGGCTCTTATTTTTGCATGCCCAGCATTAATTCACTGTTCATTTTGTAACAACTAGGGTGTCATTTTTTTTTTAGAACCAGTGCCTTCCACCTTTCATTTCATATGATTCTGATGGACATGAGCCCAGTTCCTGGTACGAGGTGTGGGTCTGACCCAGGTGATTAGCTTAGATTGAAACGCAAGCCAGCCGGGCGCAGTAGCTCACGCCTGTAATCCCAGCACTTTGGGAGGCCGAGGCAGGCAGATCACGAGGTCAGGAGATGGAGACCATTCTGGCTAATATGGTGAAACCCCGTCTCTACTAAAAAATACAGAAAAAAAAAAATTATCCGGGCGTGGTGGCAGGCGCCTGTAGTCCCAGCTACTTGGGAGGCTGAGGCAGGAGAATGGCGTGAACCCAGGAGGTGGAGTTTGCAGTTAGCTGAGATCGCACCACTGCATTCCAGCCTGGGCAACAGAGCGAGACTCCGTCTCAAAAAAAAAAAAAAAAAAGAAAAGAAAAGAAACGCAAGTCAATCCAGCCAATAAAAGTCAGTCTTGAAATTTTGTCTTGAACTATTGGAACAAGCTCTCTTTCCAGTAGGGTTGCTAAGCTGGCAAGAAGTAATCCATTTGCTGATATTGGCCATCTTATCAAAATTTATTTCTTAAAAATGCTCACTTCAGTGGTACCTATACTCAAATTATAATGATACAGAGAAGATTAGCATGGCCCCTGCACAAGGATGGCATATGAATTTGTGTAGTTCATATATTTCAGAGAAGGAAAAGGGTGCAGAAAACATAGTTAATAAAGTAATAGCTGAAAACTTTCCAAGTCTTGGAAGAAAGATAGACATCCAGATCCAGGAAGATCAAGGAACTCCAAATAGAGTCACCCCAAACAGGTTCTCTTGGAGGCACATTATACTCAAATTGTCAAAAGTCAAAGTCAAAGATTGAATCCTAAAAACAGCAAGAGAAAAGCATCAAGTCACATATAAGGGAACTCTCATTACATTAATAATGGGTTTCTCCGCAGAAACCTTATAGGCCAAGAGAGAATGGGATGACATATTCAAAGTACTAAAAGAAAAAAAAATGTCAGCCAAGAATATTATACCTAGCAAAGCTATCCTTTAGAAATTAAGAAGAAATAAAATCTTTTTCAGACAAGCTAAAACTAAGTGGATTCATCACCACTAGATTGGCCTTACAAGAAATGCTCAAGGAAGCCTTACATCTGGAAAATCTTCATCATCATCATGAAAACATGCAAAAAATGGCTATAAAACTCACTGGTAGGGACAATACACAAGGAAGAAAGAGAAAAGAAGCAAGGCAATACACAAAAGAAGAAGAGAAACCTATCACTACAGGGAACATCTAAGTCCAAAATTAAATAATAAGAGAGGAAGTAAAGAACAAAATATACCAAACAACCAGGAAACAACGAATAAAATGACAAGAGTAAGTCCTCACCTATCAGTAATAACCTTGTATGTAAATGGATTAAATTCTCCAATTAAAAAACATAGACAGGATGAATGGGTTTAAAAAAAAAAGATCCAATTATATGCTGTTGACAAGAAACTCACCTCACATGTAAAGACATATGTAGACTTGAACTGAAGGGATGGAAAAAGATATCCCACACAAAGAGAAACCAAAAGCAAGCATAAGTAGCTACACTTATATCAGACAAAACAGACTTCAGGTAAAAAGTTCTAAAAAGAGATAAAGAAGGATATTATATGATAACAAAGGGATCAATTAAGCAAGAGAATATAAGAACTGTAAATATATATGCACCCAACACCAGAACACTGATATATACATATATATATATGTAACAAATATTATTAGATCTAAAGGGAGAGATAGACCCCAATACAATAGTAGTTGGGGACTTCAACACCTTACTCTCAGCATTGGACAGATCATCTAGAAAGAAAATCAACAAAGAAATGCTGGAATTAAACTGCACCAGAGACCAAATGGACTTAACAGACATGTAGGTAACATTTCAGCCAACAGCTACAGAATACACATTATTATCAGCAGATGCAACATTCTCCAGGATAGACCATATGTTACACCACAAAACAAGTCTCAACAAATTTTGATAAGTCAAAATTATATCAAGCATCTTCTCAGATGACAATAGAATAAAACTAGAAGTCAATAACAAAAGGAATGCTGGAAACTGTATGAATATATGGAAATTAAACAACATACTCCTGAACAACCAATGAGTGAAGGAAAAAATTAAGAATGAAAATAGGCAAATGATCTAAACAGACATTGCTCAAAAGAAGACATACGAATGGCCAAGAAATATATTTTCAAATACCCAACATCACTAATCATCAAGGAAACGTAAATCAAAACACCAATGAGATAGCATCTCACCCCATTTAGAATGGCCATTATCAAAAAGATAAAAAATAACAAATGTTGGTGAGGATAGAGAAAAAAAGGAACTCTTTACACTGTTGGTGGGAATGTAAATTTGTACAGCCACTATGGAGAACAGTATCGAGGTTCCTTAAAAACTACAAATAAAACTGCCATATGATCCAGAAATCCTTCTACTAAGAATGTATATAAAGGAAAGGAAATCATCATATCAAAAAGACATCTGCACTCCCATATTTATTGCAGCACTATTCACAATAGCCAAGATATGGACTCAGCCTAGGTATCCAACAACGGAATAGTAGATAAAGAAAATGTGATATATATACACACAATGGAATATCACTCAGCCATAAAAATAAATTAAATCCTGTCATTCACGGCAACATGGATAAAACTGGAGGATATTATGTTAAGCGAAATAAGTCAGGAACAGAACTAACTAAACACCACATGTTCTCACTCATATTGTGGAAGCTAAAAAAAGATGATCTCATAGAAATGAAAAGTGGAAGAGATGATACAAGAGGCTGGGAAGGGTAAAGCAAAGAGAGGGTTAGGGAGATTTGTTAAAGGATGAAAAATTACAGCCAGATAAGAGGAATAATTTCTCATGTTAAAAAAACATTGTAGGATGATTACAGTTAACAATAATATATTATATCATTCCCAGTAGCTAGAAGAAGGATATTGAATGTTCCCAACATAAAGAAATGAAAAATGTTTGCGATGAGGGATATGCTAATTACACTGATCAGATCATGCAATACATTATATGTATTGAAACATCACTAGGTATCCCATAAATATGTACAAGTATTATATGCCAAGTAAAAAAAATACATTTAATTTAAAAAGGCTACATGAACTACATAAAAAAGTAGAACTGAGACGAAGTATGAAGATGGAAATTACTGCCAATGTTACTTGAATACCTGGAGATAACACAACCCTTATGGGTAGGTGGTAGATTATTCACAAAAAAGGCTGCAAAAATTTCTTTTACCTCTATACATACTTCCCTGGGCAATGTAACCTTACTGCTTTACCATCAAGAGGTAGAGTCTGGTTCTCCACCCCTCGTATGTGGACTTGGCCATGTAACAAGTTTTGTCCAATGAGTCATTAACAAATGTTATACAAGGAAATGCCTAAAAGGTACTTGAGCATGGAGTTTTCCTTCTCCTGTTAAGGGAACCTTTCTCCCACCAGGTAACATGCCCAGGCTAGCTTTCTGGAAGAAGAGAGATCACATGGAAAGCTATTCCAGCCATCTCAACTGAGCCCCAGACATGTGAGGCCATTTGTGACCATCCAGCCCCAACCAAGTCAGTCCAGATAAGAAGCACCCAGCCAACCCACAGGACTGTGACCTTATATATAACTCTTATTTTAAGCCATTAAATTTCGAGGTGGTTTGTTGCAAGATAAAAGGAAATTGATAAAGTATTAAATTACATATTTTTTCAGCAATTTGAATTGTTTTATCATCTGTAACCAAAATAAAAATAAAAATACCCAGTGCTGGCCAGGTGCCGTGGCTCACACCTGTAATCCCAGCACTTTGGGAGGCTGAGGTAGGTGGATCACCTGAGGTCAGGAGTTCGAGACCAGCCTGGCCAACATGGTGAAACTCCGTCTCTACTAAAAATACAAAAATTAGCCAGGTGTGGTGGTGGGTGCCTGTAATCCCAGCTACTCAGGAGGCTGAGGCAGGAGAATTGCTTAAACCTGGGAGCCAGAGGTTGCAGTGAGCTGAGATCATGCCATTGCACTCCAGCCTGGGCAACAAGAGTGAGACTTTGTCTCAAAAAAAAAAAAAAGAAAAAGAAAATACCCAGTGCCATAGCTAGCATATTTGATACCCAGAGCAGATAATTATTAATACCCCTTCCTCCATAAAACAAAATTCTTTTCAGTTATAAGCACGTAATTAGTAATTATTATTTTTTTAATTTGCTTTTGTTTTGAAATAATTAACAATTAAAAAGAAAATTAAATTTTTAATGTAAAGCTATTATTCAAATATATTAGAGATCTTCATGCATAAACTTAAATTTGCACTTACCAAAGACAAAATAGTACACTTCATGGTTTGTATTTTATTTTATTGTTTTAAATATTAAAAACAAGTAAATGCTCCAAGTAGTCTCATTGAATGACAGAACTAACTCAAGACCTGTTTCTTTATCTCTCAATCATTTTTCTACGACTGCCTAGTTCAAATATATTGTTCAAATGCAGAAATATATGCTACCAAGGTTTTAGAGACACTGACTGTGATGTGATCTCTAATATTCCAAACCACTGTGAATTTACAGCTAAGTTCATGTATGCTAAGGCTTCCTGGAGAGCTAGGAGTTCCCCAGAGTAACTCCATATAGAATACGATGTGTCTTAAAAGATAAACTTTTAAGTGTGTTAAAATGTAATAAATATTAACAATAATAGTCATTATTTTAAAATACAACAGAACTCCTGGCAATTACTTAGAACTTAGATTGACAGCTTTTTTCCAGAGATGAGTATTTTTATCACTTTAATTGCCTGAATTGCCAGTTCATGGTGATAACAGAATATACACAAAATTTTAGTTGGTTTTATTATTGTTTTAAAACTTTCTACAAACAATGCATCCCCTCATTGTCTGTACCTGGAGCAGACCACTGTCTTCCCCCCTGCCCTTGATATGCCACTGTGAATAACGCTGGAAATAAGCTTCATTCATGTTGAGAATTACATTCTCCAAAGGACTCCGACTGAAGCACAACAGAGTGTTTAATGAATATGTTTGCATGTGGGAGAAAATTCCCAGCAAGATAATTTCAATATTGACCTAAAATTTCCAAGTTTCCTAGAAAGAGAAATGAAGACCATTGATGGCTCTAAGTATTTCAGCACAGTGACCAGTAGAACTAACTTAACATTGGAGGAAAAAGTGCTTAAATAGTCTTCACTGTGATACTCTATTGCAATTTACTGTAAAATCCTTCTAATTCCAGAAAATTATTATGGTTCTCTGGACCAAGACAAGCCAACAAACAATAACCTATTTCCAATTAATCATACACTCCTTTAAGGTGAGTTCCCTCTTTCAGGATTCAGGAAAAGCCTCAGATTTTCTTGAGAGAGCTAAAGATATTACACAATGAGCCATAGAATTAGAAGAATGAAACTGGTCACATGATGCCATTGATCTATATAAACCTATTTCCATTGAATGTCCATTTGACTTGACTACATATGTTATTCATCTGCTTTATAGCTGGTCAGTTGTATCTTAGTAAATTAAATCCCCTTCAGACTGAAACATATTTTATTCTCTCTAATATGTGCCTTTCTGCTACATTTTATTCCATTTGGTATACTTCCTAATCAATTCTTTTGTGAGCTTCATTTCATTCAGCACAATGTATCCATTGTTAGGATTTATTTCTTTCGGAATGATTTAAATCTATTTTGCTCCATGCTGCTTTAAAGCTACTGTATGCACTATCAATTCCCATCCACTGGGCCATGTGGTCTGGTTCATACTCCATCTTCTTGGTTGAGGAAAGATATACTTTCCTAGCTTGGTCTGATGTGAAATGACAGTTGCTTTTTATCTATCCTGGCAATGGCTGTGGACTGAATAATAAGAATGATATGTAGCCATGTGTAGGAATGTCAGTGTATTTCAGGCATCCAAGGTTGAGATGGGTAACAGTGGGCTCCTAAAATCCTTATTATGAAGTCATCCTTCAGAATCTATGCTTCTAAAATTCTAGGTATCATTTCCAACAGAGGAAATGCAACACACAATCATCAAGCACTCTCATAAATCCTTGCTGACTTAAGGACAGCGGAAGATTGCCTTCTTTGGTAGTATTAATTGTGAGTCACTTTTAATTTTGGTTGGCCCAAACTTTATGTTCTTTCTTAGCCTTCAAAAGTTCATTTTGCACCATAAAATTATTTTATTCTTCATAGAGAAAAAAACAAAAGGCAATGAAAGACTTGATTTTAATGACCTTTTTGGTGACTCACTTTCTAATTAAGAAAACTAGAAAAGGTCTGGGGGGAAAGCCCAAAGAGGTGAACGAATAAAAGAACAAATCATGTTGCTGGCTATGAGCAGATCAGTTGATTTGAAAGGCTGAGTGAAAATAGGGAAAGTCTGGAAGGTTAGGCCAAAAAAGTACATTGAGTTCAAGGTTAAGTGGACCTCAGAAGCCAGGCTAAGGGTTTGTGGCTGTAACCCAAATGCGAGGAGGAGGCCCTAAAGGTTTTTCAACATGGAGTTGACATGATAAAGGCACATTGTTCCTATAAAACCGGTCGTAACTTCTAAAATAAAATGAACTTGAACTAAACTCACGGTGGTGGGTAATCATGCCCAGAATGTGACAGTGGAAGAGAACACCTTGCTGAAAAGAAAGGTATTTCCAATAGAGAGAGAGGAGAGGAGAAGAGGTGAAGAGGGAAAATCCTTTTTGGAAACCAGGAAAATCAGGCAGAAGTGCATTTAGTGAACATATTCAAAAAGTAGCAACATAATATACATTATATAGCAGAACAAATGCCAACATGATCAAACTTAAAAAATAAAAAGATTGGTGGTATGGAAGATATGAGACCCCTAGGAGAAAGTGACCGTGCCTAATTGGAGATAACTTTGCATATTTTGGAACACAAATATATGAATACTCTTGATTGGATTTGCTTTATTTTTAAGAGACTATAGCATTTCAGTATAGTATAGTATAGCATAGCATAGCATAGCATAGCATAGCATAGCATAGCATAGCATAGCATAGCATAGGATAGGATAGGATAGGATGGTATGGTATGGTATGGTATGGTATGGTATGGTATGGTATAGTATAGTATAGTATAGTAATTTCCACAGATATTGATCCTAATAGGACATGAAATTCAAGAAGGAAGGATGCTACTAAAAGTGAAATTCTGAGTATATAATTATGAATATTGACAACAAGGAAGGAAGGTTGGGGAAGCTTGAGGATAGGGAAGCAGTGAAAGAAACCAAACTAGTATAACTGTATGGGGCATATTCTAGTGAATTCAGATTTTAAGAAGTCACTTATGAAAACCATGCTCAAAGGAAGAAAATAAGTCTACTGTTGGAAAATGGTTGTTAAAAAAAGAAATCCCAAATGACAGAGGAAAGGCAGAATGATTAAAACTAAGCTCTTGTTTTGTCATTATTTTCTCCATCATGAAATTATATCCTTGGGCTAGACTGATGAGTGAAAAGTAAAAAAGAAAAAAGAAATGGAAGAATGAGGCCCTAGAGAGCTTATGAGACATAGGAGATGCCTGGTGTCTAGACCTATACAAATAGTATCTTATTTTACAATAGCAACAACAAAAAAATTCTTATAGATCTGCTCATGGAAACAATGTTACTAATATTTGAAAAAATACAGATAAAAAGCAAATTTGGGCAAATATTTTTGTTGATTTTTTAAAGGAGGAACAGAAGATTCTAAAAATAATGACACTAAAATTGTAAAAAATTATGTTAAATATATGATATATGAGCACGTTGAAAAGATAGTAGCAACTTTTAAGAGCTAGTACATCTTTTTACCTAGAATGAGCTAGGCCAAATCAATCTCTCTCTCTCTCTCTCTCTCCCCCTCTCTTCTCCACTCCCTTTCTCTCTCTCTCTCTCCCTCCCTGCCTTCTAGCTCTGTCTTTTAGAAACAGTTATTCAGCTGGTAGATCAGTGAGACCATAAACATTATAAATTGATTTCAATAAGACATCTAACAAAAATCCCCCATGATATTGCTTTGCAACAAATAAAATAAATGAGATGCAATTCATAGCAGATCAATTAACTACATCAAAAAAATGTTGATCCATGAATCAATGTCCTTAAACCTACCCACAGGACTCTATCCTTGCCTCCAGACTGTTGAATAAAACCCAGAAATCTGTTCTAACAATAGGCTAAACCCAAAGACCCATAATATGCAAAACAAAGCAAAAGTACCCACTTAGATCTGAAAACTCAATTTCCCAAGCAAGGGATGGGAGAGTTTTGCTGGGCAGTCGCTTATATAAAAATAAAAGCCCAGAAAGCACTGGTTGACTCTGAGCTATGTTACAATAACACACGGCAGATGCCTGGCCTCCCTGGAAGTTGCCCCGCTCATACACAACTGTCTGCATGTCCTGGGTGGGATGCGGGATGAAATGTTTCTTCCAATCCTCAGGTTCCACGAGTCTAATATCAATATGAATTCCTGCCTGGTGACCTGTGTGAGTATTGCTCAACAACTGTAGAGGAAGAATTGCAGAAAACGAAGGCGATTACAAGTTTTTCTAAAGCCACTGATTTTATCACAAGCCACATACAGAAACCTTCCCAATATCTGCTAATTACCAAAAGGTAGTGATCCTCCAATATCTAGCAGTAGGACACACACCCCAGCTGACCAAACCATGAGTTTAAGACAGGCAGAAAAACCTAACATCTCCCTACCATGACAAAGGCAACTAGAATTGCCAAATCCTATACACAAAACATTTAATTTATAACAGTTAAAACCTGGCCTCTGACCAAGTCCAAAAGAACTATGTCTTATTTCACTTGCTCTTGAATATGTCTCTTTCAGAGATAAATGGCTCTGCTCTTGGCCAGTCCTCCCCTCTGTGTGGTGTTTTGTTTAGCTGGGCTTATGACAAGCCAAGAGTTGATGCATCTGCTTGAATGTGTAATTTACCTCTCTGGTCAACTTAGCTTTTTTTTCCTTGACAATATTATGTCAAACAATCACATCACAACTGGCTCTGATCTCTTTGTTGTTAGCTAATAAATTAAAGAGTATTTATTATCTGCAATCCTTTTTTCCTCTTTTAATGGTGACACATTTGTGGTGAATTACAGGGCAGCTTTATAAACTAGGCTCCAGGCCAGTCTCAGGCCCTGCGTCCATGTGAACGTTCCTTCTCCCGGTTGGCCTCCCGGACTGGTGGTAAATCAAGGCAGCTGTCACAGTACACTAAGTTAGTGTGCGTCATTGGGGAGAGCAGGAAGCGTTGGGGGTATAATTCTGTCCATCAAACTAATATGTTATATCAGTAGCTTTGTAATCTTCTGCCATAACTTATGGGAAGTGACACCTAAGAATTCACTTTGAAGGCAATGTGTTTCTTAGACTTTAAGTCAAAACAGACCCGATTCACAGCAACAGTTCCTCTGTTTACATGAGTGGATTTCTAGTGCCGGGGAACCAGGTCCCTATCAATGTGGCAGTATTTAACACGCTCCACCACCGGCTGGACTCTGTTTACAGCCCTCACGGCAGGATTTGTAAACTTTTCAAACAGGGTTTCTTCTCTTCTTGTTACCCTTGCCTTAACCTCCAGTAGCGGGATAGATAAACATGCTCCTTGAATGTTATCATGACAAAGCAAACCTCTGACAGATGGGAATGAATGGGTGACCCATTTCCCTTGTCCGGTCCCCTTCAACCTTTGTCTTGACAAATGTGGGAAATGGCTCTGGAGGACAGAAGAATACTCACACCGCTATGATAGCACTGTCAGCTTTGTGCTGTTGCTAAATGTCCACATGATACTTAGAAGCGACGGGAGGGCCGGGCGCGGTGGCTCACGCCTGTAATCCCAGCACTTTGGGAGGCCGAGGCGGGTGGATCATGAGGTCAGGAGATCGAGACCATCCTGGCTAACAAGGTGAAACCCCGTCTCTACTAAAAATACAAAAAATTAGCCGGGCGCGGTGGCGGGCGCCTGTAGTCCCAGCTACTCGGGAGGCTGAGGCAGGAGAATGGCGTGAACCCGGGAAGCGGAGCTTGCAGTGAGCCGAGATTGCGCCACTGCAGTCCGCAGTCCGGCCTGGGTGACAGAGCGAGACTCCGTCTCAAAAAAAAAAAAAAAAAAAAAAAAAAAAAAAAAAAAAGAAGCGACGGGAGATAACCTTCAATGGACAGTGTGCTTTTCTAAGTCATGATATCAGTGTGACCAGACTTAGACCATACGTCCTCTGAAAGCAATGCGTTATTTTCTAGGATTTGCTGTTGGATTGTCCCTGTCTTCCCCCACTCTCTCTTCCTTGGCTGTTTTTCTCAGCAGGCCAATGAGAGAAGCCCTTTGGGGAAGATTAAGTAGTTTTGTGAGCTGCCATCTGATGGAAAAGAAATCTACAAGAACTGTTCAAAGGAGCTCTTCCTCCCCCAGGCACAAGACTAAATATGCACAGTAAAGAAATTTGAAAAATGCCTGCCCTTGCCATCCCCAATACCCCTCTGATTGATAGCAGAGAGGGTTTGCTATGATAATTCTACTTTGACAGGTCCCAGGCATAAATCCCACAAAGTTGTTGCTCTAGTTTGACAACCTTGGAGGGCTCCAGTTAGGAACAGGAAACAGGCCTCTATTTTTCACCCTCAATGCTCCTTCAGGTGCAAAGAAAAGACTGTATGGAAAAAATAATTTCTTATCTAAGGGGGAAACCAAATTCAAAGCAGTTTTAATACTTATTCATCAGAAAGAATGTCCAATGGAGAAAAATGTGACCTCAGTCCTGCTTCTTCAAACTTAAATTGAAATGCTCCAAATACGAGATTTGAAACCTATTCATGATGAGAAACGGATACCCTTTTTTCATTTTTTGGTTTTCCAAAGTTATGTTAGTATTCTCCTTCAAGGTCAGCCTAGAAATGTATCATAATATTTTATAAAAATCATTACTTACAAATGAAAGTACATACATATCATAACATCCATAATTTATCATCAAAGCTTGCAATGTGCCACCCTCTGTATCCCATTATATCCACTCAATTCTCATAACCACCTTAAATGAGTAGAGTCTCAATTTATAGGAATGCAGTTAAAAAGAGAGTCAAACTAATGAATTTTTTCCAGGATACATCTTTCAATCTTGCTTCACAATATGCCAGGGGATCTTTGGGAATCAGTGCACCTTCCCTCTCCCCTTCTCCAGCTGAAGAATGATAACTCAGCAATGAGAACCTTAGTCATGAAATCATATTCAACTGTGTTAAATGAAAAATTTGTGGCCCAGTGAGGTGGCTCACACCTGTAATCCCAGCACTTTGGGAGGCCGAGGCAGGTGGATCACCTGATGTCAGGAGTTCAAGACCAAGGTGGCCAACATGGCGAAACCTCATCTCTACTAAAAATACAAACAAAATTAGCCAGGCGTGGTGGCACATGCCTGTAATCCCAGCTACCCAGGAGGCTGAGACAAGAGAATCACTTGAACCTGGGAGGCTGAAGTTGCAGTGAGCTAAGATCATGCCATTGCACTCCAGCCTGGGCAACAAGAGTGAAACTGTCTCAAAAAATAAATAAATACATAAATAAATAATTTGTGGTTTGCTGTAAGTTAACTAGGCAAATAAATTAAACAGAACCATTCTCCAAGCATTTTAGTCGATCTACCTGGAAATGCAGTATTGTGACCTATTAAAAAATATTAAGTGATCAAACCCAGGCAAATATTTAAAAAGAAGCAATATTTTCTGTTTCTTTAAAACTTGTCAGAAGGTGAATATTTTCCTTCCAATGTCTGCCTCTTTGAATGTGAGACACAGTTTTCTCTTGGCTGTAGGATTCCATTCTAATATTAAGAAAGGGTTCATAAAGCTCTGATACCATAAGAGTGGATTCCTCTTCCTTCATGGGTGCCATCGGAGTTCTGCAGAAGGTCTGCACCTACTGAGAGCTGACGACAACAGGGAAGAAAGAATCCAGTCTTGGAACACTCAGCAAAAGTTGGTTCTTTAATTTAATAGGACTAAAACACAAGGACTTCACCCTGGATCATGAATTGAACCTCCTTTTCTAGGGTATTTTATGACAGAAGCATCTCACTGAGAATCTAGCCACCCGCTAGGAGTACTCAAGCATAGCTTTGCCAAGAAAGTCGGTGAGGAAAGCAAGAATAGAAAACAGCAAGCTGCCCATAAAAATGGGGAGTAATATCTGAGTTTTTTTAAGTCATAGAGCAGCTTGAGCAAATCTCAAGAAAAAGAAACTTGCTACATAATTCTTTCTCACTCCATTGCCCCTCTAAATAGCAAACAGGATATGAGTCCTTGTAAATACCTATAAATTTTCAGGGAGAAAAACAAGTCTGATCTTTGTGTACAGAGTTCTAGGCTGTAAGGAACATGGTTAGATTTCTGTTTCCCTTAGAGGAAGATGCCAGAACAGCATTTTCCCATCAAGTGTTGATAAGAAAGGCATTTAGCATTTCATAGGATGAGGCTGCTGTAAGTGGGTGGTATGACATGATAAATTATGGCCAATGTCATATTAATAATTACAGGCCCTTCCACACATGCTCACTCTGTTCTCAAGCCAATGATATGTTATCCTGCACAAAGCCTTCCGCTGTGGCAGATGTGATAGAGATGTTCCTCTCCCAGAAAAATTCTGGAATTCTTCAAGGTTTAGAGGTGAGGGCCATCTTTGTGGTCCATAAGCAAAAACTAAACTGAACTCATACTTTCTGCAAATGTAGCTCTGCTTACGTCTGACTTTCCACCTTGATCCATGTCCTTCCCTCCGGTATTCAATCTACTTCTCTGCAATATAAGCACAAAATCTGGGGCTAGGAAGGCATTTTAAAATTAGAAAATCATCTTTATCCAACCCTAAAGAGGCATGTCTTAGGATGTTAAGAAATGTTTTTGACGGACTCTTCAGAGACTCCCAAAGAGAGAACTTGCTCTTGAAGAAGATGAGGCTAGGGTTGGAGTCTGGTGAAGTATTGCCTAGATATGTTAAGGAACTCTGTAAAACCTGACATGAAGTCAACAATTGCCCAGATCAGGGTATCTCAACCTCAACACTATCAATATTTCAGACTTGATCATTCTTGGTTGTGGGGACTGTCCTGTGCATGGTAGGATGTTCGGCAGCATCCCTAGCCTATATCTACTACATGCCAGTAGCATACTCCTGCCCTGGGGGTACAAAAATTAAAAATGTATCCAGACATTATTAAATGACTCTTGGGAGTCAAAATAGCTCCCAATTGAGAGCCACTGTCCTGGACTATTGGGGTAAGATCATTCCACTGAATCTCTGCAGGCCACACGTTTTCCAATGAAGACGGCTGGATTCACGAGCATATATGGACACCTGTGTCCTTTCCCCATTATTTGAGAAAACATGATAGGACTGCATATAACAATACCCTTCCACTTGGACTTTTTAGCAAAAATGCAGGTACCTTCACTGTTGGTCCAGGGAGTCTCTGCTGGGATGACTTTTGTCTGCTCCAAATATTCTCAACCTCCGGAAGGCACTCCAATCTCTTTACATGGCAGTCTTAGGGTGTCAAGAAGAGGGTAGGACCCCACATGCAAATGCTTTCTAAGCCTCTGATACATCATGTTTGCTAACGCCCTACTGACCAGAACAAGTCACAAGGTCAAGCCCCCATTCAAGAGGTGGGTAGAGAAACTCTACTCTTGATAGGAGGAATATTACAGACACCTTGCTGGGTTGGGTTGCGGGAGGCAGGGGGGATTCATGCATACAGGGATAGAATAAAAGTGGCCATTTTTAACAATCTATCACACTAGGTGAATGGATTTCATAGCAAGTACTTTTCTAGCCAGAGTATTCCAGTTTTATCCGCAGCTGAATCTCTCAAAAGGATCTATAATTATTTTCCAAATAGCAAATGTGTTTGGTTGTCACAGAGGCCCTGGGCTCTGAAATGGCTTGCTCAGTCCCCTTCAACTAAGCTCACTCCATAGGGTTTCATGGTTAATAGCCAGACTACCTCGCCCAATGTTAAGGATGTTGCCTCAAATTCTGAGAAACCCCAAGACTCCCTCACTTTTCTCCATGCCTTAAAGACAGAAAAATCCAGCTTTCAGTACAGCATTGTGGAGAAATATCAAACTAGAAATCAGAAAATGTAGTTTTGTATTTTAACCCCATAAACAGTCATCTATTTAAGTCACTTTATTCTCTTCAACTCACAATTTCTTGATATGCAACTCTGGGTAGTTAAGCTATTCTGGGATAGCTGGGGCAAGAGTGAAGGAGTGAGGGACAGAGGAGGTAAGACAAGATCGTCACTGGAATGAGTGAAGCTGGCTGGTATAAAAGAACCTGGAGAATACATGCTCTGTTAATGGCATTTAAATCCATTGTTTTCACTTAAAATATGTTAGCCCAGGATCTGACTGCAATCTGTGACTAGTTACTCTCCAAGACCTGACCTGGCTCTGCCATTTGTAGCCTCTCCCCTTTTGTATCCCCTCATCCCTTAGCAGCACCCATCTTTGTTATGCAGTTATCCAGTCCACCTGGTCTTTCAGGACAAGGGACACTTGTGTGCAATGCAAAGACAGAGCACAGGCACTGGTCTCTTCCTTCAAGCCATCTTGTTTCAATCCCACACACCCTTTAAAGTGGGATTGCAGTTGACAAAGCTCTTGCTTTTACATGAGCAATGCCAGTTGGACTAATCCAGGGCCGTAATTCTGCTGTACTCACTCCTATCTGTGCTTCAAGAAAGGTTGCAGGACCTAACACTCTCAGACCCTATTACTGTCCCACAGTCAGGTGTGGATTCGTACGGCTTTCCCTGCACCCCTGGTTCCAAGCACTTGCTTGCCCCAGGGAAGACATGCTCCAAAAATATCTGCCTTCTAATGACCCCTCCATTTTAGAGAGAATTCTCAGGAGATTAGAATGCAGAAGAAAACAGGTTGTTAGCCATGAGACATGAGAGGAGGTGTGGGAAAAGCCCTGCAATTACTGCAAGGTCCTACCATGAGGTGGTAAGAACCTGCGTTAGAAACCTGATCTCTGATATGACCACAAGGCTATTTCCATACAGGCTTTTTGAGTTTCATTTCCTCCCTTCAGTCCGCCAGGACCATTTCAGACCAAACTCACCCCTCCTAATGAGCCTACAGTGGGCCTTGGGTTCCCTTATTTGATGACAAATAACACCAGCAGTAGTACCGCGTGGAACCAGTTGGGCTGGATTGGAATCCTGGCTCACTGCTGGAAGCCCAAAGGCTGTGAACTTTGGTAGAGTTTCCAACTCTCTTATGTCTCAGCTTCCTCGTCAATGAAATATGGACATGGGATCATGGTGACAATTGAGAAAACAATTGTAGAGTCTTTAGTATGTGGCATATACCGTGTAATACATGTTAGCTGCTAGTATCGTATCTCTAATTTTTATATTGTTGATAAAATTGTTAACTTGTCATAGGTATTCCCTTTATGTTAGTTTTATTTGTCTAATTAGATAATATGTTCAAGAATAAGAATGATACATAGTTGTCTTTATCCCCATCCTCCCCTCCTCCACTGCTACTTTCCATCAGTCTGGTGTATTGTATACAATGCATGCCCAGAGCTGTCATAGTATAAGGGCAGGATGCCAAGGCAAATAAAACACAGGCCCTCACACAGACATGTGTTCAATTCCTGGCTCTGCTTCTTAATAATTTAGTGACTTTATCCAACTTACCTAACACCTCCAAGCCTCAGGTTTATAATGTATAAAATGTGGGTAAAGTGATTGCCCCATAAGATGGCTGTGAATACAGATCCTTCCCAGTAGGGAGCTCATCATAGGCATTTAAAAATGTCTATTTCCTTCCCTTTCCTTCCCTCTCACCATCAATGAATTGATCAGAATGTGCTCGGAGACATAGGGAAATGTACATGGAAGCTGACCTCAACATAACAGACAATGGGAAGAGGGCTAATGTCCCAAAAACAAACACCACTACCTTATAACAGGGCCATGTCCCCAGGCACTCCCCTGCCTACTTATTCCCAGGCACTGGATTTTCAATGCCATTTAGAGATGGCAAAACTGTCATTAACACAGGATCCTCAATAGGACCAGGCAGTGGAGGTCTCAAGTCTTTAAAACATCTCTAGTTCTCCCCTGGATGACGGATGAAGCCCTGGATGATATATATAAGAGAACATCCAATATTTTTTAAAATTTTCTTCCCTTGTTGCCTTCCTGTGATTCTCCTCTCCCCAGCAAGCATGCCAAACAAAATACATGTGCTACATGGGTGGACACTGACCTCATGGGGATCACTGTGAATTTTCATGGAACCATTGAATGCTAGTACTGAGATGTACGGCTCCAACAACCTCACTGTGAAGTTGAAGCCTCAGAGAAGTTAAATGACTGGCTCAAAGTCACACAGCTAATCAAGGACAGAAATGAAGCCAGACCCTAGCTCTGCTAGCTCTTGACCAGTGTTCTTTTTCTCATCGTTCTCATGCCTCAGAAGAATACATGGTTCTGAAAACATTTATTAAATCAGCCATGCTCTAAATTCCCACACTGACTTCCCCAGCCTGCATTTGGTGGGATGTAATCAATCACGACTTTCTAGGCCTAAAATCAATGAACTAAAGACATCAAGCAAAAAGCCATTTACATTGGCTTCTTTCTGCAGCCCAGAGTATTATACGCACTCCCCTCCCATGTGTTGTCTCTTCTCCATGGCTGGGAATGTACCCTGAGACCTCCTTGTGTGAAGGAAACAGACCCCAGCTGGCCAGCCACACTGCAGCTACAATGTGGACTTCAGCTGCTTCTCTATAGGGCTGCATTCAATGAACTGCATTTGAAAAACTTTTAATATCTACATGGCTCTCACCCAACTGCCGCAAAAACACCAGCTGTACCATGCTTTCTCCTCTAATTTGACAGTCCTAAGAACAGCTCCTGAAGAATGGAACATTCTTCAGGGGAGGGCTGTTAGTTTTGCAGACATTTTAGGAGGCGTAGAAGATGAAAAAGATTTCAAGTTGAAACATCATGTAGGAAAATGGGTAGGAGGTGATGGGAGAAGGAATCTGATGTGTACTGAATGCCTGTCATGTACCAGGCACTGAGTTGGGTGAGCTTTCACGGTCCTCACGATACTGAGAGACAAGTGTAATAACCCAACTTTTACAGATGAGAAAACTGAGGTTTGTAAAGATTAAGAGTCTAGCCCAAAGTCATATAAGCAATTTATTATAAAACTGGTATATTTGTTTCCCAGGGATCTTGCACCAAACTACCATAAACTTGGTGGCTTAAAACAACAGAAATCTATTCCCTAATAGCTCTACATAAGTCCAGCCTCTACCTCCATCTTCATATCTCTTCTCCATTAATCTCTCCTCTGGGTGTCTATTCCAAGGACACTTGTCATTCGATTTATAGCCCCCCTGGATTATCCAGGATGATCTTTTCTTGAGATCCTTAGCTACATCTTCAACAACTCATTTTCCACTGAAGGTCACATTCACAGGTCCCAGGGATAGGATGGAGCGATATATTTTGGGGGGGCTACCACTCAACCCACTATGGCAAAGTTTTCATCTCAGGCCTGTCTTACTCCACAGCTCATTTTCTCACTACGTTGTCAGATTATTTCCTGCCCTTTCCTTTATCTGCTTTCTCAAGGATGACTTTGGCCAAGTTAAAGGTTCCAAGGTAGCCACAGCCACAGTACAGAGAAACACAGCCCCTGAATTTGTTATCCAGAAAGTTTGTGACCAAGTGGAAGCTTAAGTTCCCCTTATACCTTGCTCTTCCTCTAAAAATCAACAGGGAGAACTGCCTTAAATACCGTGCCATTGCTTCTAAACATCAAATGATTGACTCCTTTGTATAGCTCAGCCCTCCTTTTGCAAGAGTAAAATAGCTAGCTGGTGTCGACGTAAGCTACAGCCACCCACTAATAAGTTTAAGATAAAAGGCCAATATATTTAAATAAGATTCAGACATAATGTAATAGTATTTGTTACCAAGCCCCATCTAATTATATCAATCTTTTATTACCAGACCCATGAGTACAGGGAACTCTATTATAATTTCTCTTTATAATGATCTCTTCACTATCTGACTCCTCGAACTCTGTAGTAAATTACTCATCCACTGGCAATCATGAGTAAACATCAACTCAATTAAGAATTGATAAATAAACAGTTCACTCCGAGGCTTGTCGTGATACGGACGGGAGAATCACTGGGTGCCTGCCAGCATGAGCTTGGCTGGGAAGTTCTGAGGTGTGGATGGGTTCTCTAAGGCTGTACTGCTTCTGCTGTTTATACGAGATGTTCTGGCTGATGTTTCCTGCTCCTATCCTGTCTTTGGAGGTGGAGAACGACTTATTCAAGTGTCTGCTCTGGGTCTAAACGTGGAAGAGCTGCTCATCTTATCCTCACTCTGCACTACATAGCATCTCATATCTGAGAGAAAACCAGTAGGAAAACAGTAAAATGCAAGAAATGTGGCATAACAATAAAGTACAAGGAACCCTTCTATATGTCAAGATGTAGGACAACTCGGTGTTGTATGGTTACACAATTGTTATGGGTTGAGTTGTATCCCCCAGAAAGATATGTTGAGTCCTAAACCCCAGTACCTCAGAATGTCAGCTTATTTGGAAATAAAGACATTGCAGATGTAATGAGTTAAGATGAGGTCATGCTGGAGTAGGGTTGGCCCTTAACTCAATATGGCTGGTATCTTTCTAAGAGGACAATGTGAACATGTAGAGAGGAGAACACCATGTGAAGAGACAGAAGGAAAAGATGGGCATGTGGTGACAAAAGCAGATATTGGCACGATGCATCTATAAGTGATAGCACACCAGGGATTGCCAGCTACCACCAGAAGTGGGGAAGAGGCAAGAGAGGATTCTACCCAGAGTCTTTGGAGGAGCCTGGGCCCACTGGCACCTTTATTTCCCATTTCTGGCTTCCAGAACTATGAGAGAATAAATTTCTGTTGTTCTTAAGCCACCCACGTTGTGATACTTTGTTATGGCAATCCTAACAAACCAATGCAATAGTCAGTAGTCCTGGTGACTCAGGAGGCTGAGGTGAGAAGATCACTTGAGTCCAGGAGTTCTGGGCTGTAGTGAGCTATGCTGATTGGGTGTCCACACTAAGTTCAGCATCAATATGGTGACCTCCCAGGAGCAGGGAACCACCAGGTTGACTAAGGAGGAGTGATCCAGCCCAGGTCAGAAATGGAGCAGGTCAAAACTCCTGTGCTGATCAGCAGTGGGATCTCACCTGTGAATAGCCACTGCACTACAGCCTGGGCAACATAACAATACTCTGTCTCTTAAAAAAAAATTATTACAATAAGAATAATCAAGCCAGCATTTATTAAGCACTGTTATACAGCCAAAACTATGCCAAGTATTTTATAGGCATTAGCATAATGAATCTTCACAACCATCCTGTGAGGTTAGTACTCTTATTCTCACTTTACAGATAAGGAAGCAATGTTGACTGTGGCCAACAGCCCCAAAGTCATGAAGCTGGTGAGTGGCTACCCTCTCTGTACTACAGGCATACCCTTCAGTCTCCAGGACCCCACATTGTAAGCCTGGTGAGGATGGGGGTCAGGCAGTGTTATTCACCAGGGCATTCCCCAATTGTACTGCTGGAGCCCAAGGGCTCCTCTGCTACAGGTACAGAGGATGAAGGGAATCCTGTGCCTGCAGGGGACCCTCAGCCTCCCACTTCCGCTGCATCTGGAAACACTTCATATTCCCATTTCATACAGTCAATGCCCACAGAAACTATGTTTCAAACCAAGTTATCTGCTGTGAGAAAAAAAAGATTTCAAGCAATTACTATATGGAAGAAAATCCTTCATGGCAGAATTCCAGGTAATAAATACAAAGGGATGATAAAATTAGAAAATTATTCTCCCACCTGTAATGAAATAATGGACTTAGGTCACCATCATCAAAAGATGCTCAAACATTAGGTAAAAGGTTGGTTGGGAACCTTACAATGGAAGACTCCAGCTGATTCTTTCAGTGGAAGAACCATCTGAACCTACTGATAAGATACAGTTTTATTTTTAATTTTTTATTTCAATAGGATTTGGGGGAACAGGTGGTGTTTGGTTACATGAATAAGGTCTTTAGTAGTGATTTCTGAGATTTTGGTGCACCCATCACCTGCAAAGTGTACACTGTACCTAATTTGTAGTCTTTTATCCCTCACCACCCACCCACCTTTCCCCCAAGACCCCAAAGTCCATTATATCATTCTTATACCTTTGCATTCTCATAACTTAGCTCCCATTTATGAGTGATAACATATGATGTTTGGTTTTCCATTCCTGAGTTACTTCATTTAGAATAATGGTCTCCAGTTCCATCCAGGTTGCTGCAAATGCCATTATTTCATTCCTTTTTATGGCTAAGTAGTATTCCATGGGGTGTGTGTGTATGTATGTGTGTATGTGTGTGTGTGCGTATATATATATGTATATATATATATACACACATATATATGTATGTGTATATATATACATATATATGTGTATCTATCTATCTATCTATCTATCTATCTATCTATCTATCTCACATTTTCTTTATCCACTCATTGATTAATGGGCATTTGGGCTGGTTCCATATTATGCAATTGCAAGTTATGCTGCCATAAACATGCATGTTCAAGTATCATTTTCATATAATGAGTTATTTTCCTCTGGGTAGATACCCAGGAGTGGGATTGCTGGATCAAATGGTAGATCTACTTTTAGTTCTTTAAGGAATCTCCACAGTTTTCCATAGTGGTTGTACTAGTTTACATTATCACCAACAATGTAAAAGTGTTCCCTTTTCACCACATCCATGCCAACATATATAAATATAACATATATATAATATATAACATGTATATATTATATATAACATATATATACACAAATATATATATTACATATATTTATTATTATGGCCCTTCTTGCGGGAGTAAGGTGGTGAATGAGAACATATGATGTTTGGTTTTCCATTCCTGAGTTACTTCACTTAGAATAATGGTCTCCAATTCCATCCAGGTTGCTGCAAATGCCATTATTTCATTCCTTTTTATAGTTAAGTAGTATTCTATGGTGTGCGTATGTGTGTGTGTGGTGTGTGTGTGTGTGTGGTGTGTGTGTGTGTATGCGATTTTGATTTGCATTTCCTTGATAATTAGTGATGTTGAGCATTTTTTTCATATGTTGGCCATTTGTATATCTTTTTTGAGAATTGTCTATACATGTCCTTAGTCCACTTTTTGATGGGATTGTTTTTGTTTTTATTTTTAAAAATTTCCCGGCTATATTGAGATATAATTAACCAATAAAACTGTATATAGTGTTTAAGGTGTACAATGTAATAATTCGACATATGCTTGTGTATGTATATATACATTATATATAAGTATATATACATAAAATGTAATGATTAGCACAATCAAATTAATTAACACACCCATCACCTCACAGAGTTACCATGATCAGATATTAATTATGCATCTCAGGAGGTAATGCAATAGGAAGTATACAGCACCATATACAAAAAAAAATGAATTTGAATTCAAACAAGTTATTGATCTGACACCAGATTATAGAAAGTACAGAGGATAGAGGAACAAGTTAGATGGCATGGCAAGGAGGCAACCAGCCAAAGCAGAATGTGGGTCATTGCCCAGGATAACTCATTCAATTCCTCAAAAATATCAATGCATAATAGAGAGAGAGAGACAGAGAGAGAAACAGAGAGCATAAGAGACAAAGAGAAGATGAAAAAGGAGAAGGGGAGGGAGATGATTAAAGACTAAAAAAGATCAAAGGGATACAGCAACGCAATAAAAGGTATGGGCTGTGTTTGGACACTGAATCAAACGAACTGGATACAAAAAGATATTTTTGAGACAACTGGGAAAATTAGAATATGGACTGGGTATTGAAAAGCCCTATGGAATTATTATTCTTTTTTTAGTTGTGATAATGACATGGTGACCATGTTTAAGGGTAAATGTTCCTTATTGGTTAGAGAAGCCTAATGCAGTGTGTAGAAATGACCTGATGTCTGGGCTGAGGTTAGGATTGGGGGAGAAGGACCAGAAAGATCAGGGCCTCTCCCCTGAGACCCAAGCAAGCAGCTGGCCACCCCCTATCACCCAAATTGACTATCTAGGGAGTGAACCATGCTCCCTCTGCACAGGGCTGACAGTTTGGGGTATTTCTTTAAAATGCCTAAAATTTGTACGTCACCAAGGCAAGGCATGAGGCAGGAAAATTTGCCAACATGGCCCCCTGGGAGTTGGCCTGGTTGATCCATCTCACCCCCTTCCTTTCCCATAATACCTGTTCACTCAATTCATAGCTAAGATTGCCACCAATATTATTACAAAATCAATAAGGAGAACATATATCTCTGTGTTTCTGTGTTTATGACTGTGGCACCCTCAGCCATGTCCTTCCTGCCAAGTGTGTAAGGGTGCCGTCGCCATCACACACTCTTCTTTATGGGATATGTGATCAAATTAAAAAAAAAAAGAAACAACTTTTGGAAAATCCTTAAAATAGTATGCATTCAATAAATGTTAGCTATTATCATCATCATCACAATTATTATTATTACATTGTTGATGTTGTCCGTGTTTGTCATCGAACATTATCTGTGTGTTCCCTTTGTGTTAGCTTTATTTATCCAATTAGGGACGTTAGGAAAGTCAGCTCAAAATCAAGTATATCCTTATGTGTTTCTACCTGCTGCCCTTCCCCTCCTGCATGCCCACATGGGACATGCCCTGTAAATAACAGATATGCAATAGACACCTGAGGAGAAGACCCCTGGGTAGAGAAGATGGGAGGGCGGGGGGGTCCTTATTCCTTCAATGTAAGGGCAACAGAGTCTGGGGAACAAAGATGAGTATTACAGGCAACAGACTTCAGTTAAATTCGTGGCTCTGTCACTTAATAAGTCATGAACTTGGCCATCTTGCTAAAAGTCTTTTATCCTCAGTTTCCTAATAAGTAAATAGAGGACCAAATTGCCTGCGTCATTAGGCTGTGAGGACATAGCTAAAGTCTAACTCAACCCCGGCTCACCACAAGCACCATGTGCCATGGCAATCTCTGAGTTTCTCTCTTCCCCTCTAGAACAAGGATGGGGACTATTTATTAGGCCTCTCTGAATATTAACTGGAAGAGGATATACAAAGACCTCGCGTAGAGGAGACACATAATGAATATGCACTCTTAGCCAGGTGCCGTGGCTCATGCCTATAATCCCAGCAGTTTGGGAGGCCAAGGAGGGTGGATCACCTGAGGTCAGGAGTTCAAGACCAGCCTGGCCAATATGGCAAAACCCCATCTCTACTAAAAACACAAAAATTAGCCAGGCGTGGTGGCACGTGCTTGTAATCCCAGCTACTTAGGAGGCTGAGGCAGCAGAATTGCTTGAACCCAGGGGCAGAGGTTGCAGTGAGCCAAGATCACATCATTGCACTCCAGCCTGGGCAACAGAGCAAGACTCCATCTTAAAAAAAAAAAAAAAAAAAAAAAAGCACTCTTGTCCCTTTAAATAGAAAGTTTTCAAATTTAGGTTGCAATCACAGGAAGCTTCCCTGGAGTCCCTATGGCTGCGCTTTCTGGGATCCTCCCAGCCCTGCCACTGAAAGCAGGAATTGCCAACAACTGATCTCAGGGCTGGGGAAATTGCTTGCTGCTCCCACTTTGAAAAAGACAACATTGCAAAGACAAAGAAAGGTTCAACATTCCAAGAGCATGTCAGCAAAAGCCACCAAAGTCACAGGAGAAAGGGAAAAGATCAACATACAGTATTTTAAGTTTTCCTTATGTTCTCTTAGTGTAATCAGCTCTAATCTACATCTTATCACTGATTACTGATAACCTTGGGTCACTAAATTCCCTTCTCTGGGCCTCAGTTCCTCATCTGTAAAACCAAAAATGTTCTTAACCTAAGCCTTGTACACCTATAGAATTTAGAGGTCTGTGAATTTTGGTGGGAAAAATTATTTTTATGTATAATTATCTACACATGTATTTTTGTATAATATCTGACATATATAAAAATATAGTTTTATTTTCAGTAATGTTTATGGGGAACTTAACATTTTCTTTCTTTCTGTTTTTGCTATTTTTTAAGAGACAGGGTCTCCCTCTGTTGCCCAGGCTCGAATGCAGTAGTGCAGTCATAGCTCACTGCAATCTCCAACTCCAAGACTCAAGCAATCCTCTGGCCTCAGCCCCATTTTCTTTTATTATAAATGTAGGCAACAAAATGACTGGAGTTTAAGGAGTATCTGTGACTTTATCATTGATAAAAAATCAGGTATTTTCATGTCACATTATTGCAGAAATCCAAAACACTGTTTATGCTTATCAACACTTTGAAATTATAGTAGATGTTAGCATAGCTTTGAAATTATAGTTGCTGCTGGCTGTAAGCACATAAATTACTAAGTCATAAATTTTATTTTTAAATATTTTGATAACAGTATTTCAATATACTACATTTGCTTTGTAACCCTTTGTACTTTATTTTGTGCACTTAGAAAACATTAATCAGAGAAGAAGTCTAAGGGCTTGTGACCATAATAGGTTTGCTGCCTGATGTTCATGGCAAGTCAATACACCAAGATGCTGGGTTGCAGCAGAAAAAGAAGTTTGGTCATAGGCCACTAAACGAGGAGACAGAAGGAAACCTCAAATCCATCTCCCCAAGGAGTTTGGGGCTAGGGTTTTTAAAGGTCTGGGAGCGGGCCAAAGTGTGGAGACCATTGATTGGTTAAAGAGTGCAGAGTAAGTCATGGGACAGGGAGATGAAGAAACCATTCTCATGCTGATTCAGTTCCTCTGTTGGGGTCTTCAAAATGGTTAGCATTAGCTGTTCCACTGGAATTCAGAATCTGCATCTGCAATTCTCAAACATAAACCTTATGATTGTAGTGTCAGAGATCCTATCTATCTTAAAAGCCTGATGTAACTCCAGAAATCCTGTCTATAGGAACAATGGGGATGCAAATAGTCAGGATCTGGTGTTACCTGACTTTCAGTTACAAGGAACTGGGTCAAAGTGCAGCCTGCTTAATTAATGCTTAATTATAACTACATTTCTGTCCAGAATTCTTGTTAACCCTGTGAGGATGGCATCAGGCTTTCCTAGAGATCTAGCTAGACTGTCTGGGTTCTAACCTGCCTCTGCCCCTCCCTTGCTATGTGACCTTGAACAATATATTTGGCCTGAGGCTAAGTTCACTCGTTTTAGAAAATGGATCATCCCATCGACTTCTTTGGGATGGTTATTGGAGGTCATTTTTTGGGCTCGCCAAACAGAATGTACCACCCCAAACTATATTTCTTTGGCATATTTCGAGCTGGTTACTCTGAGGAACTGCACACACGGAAGTAGCTCTGAAAACTTGTCCTTTTGTAAAAGAAACTTACATCTGTAAAGGAAATCTACATTAGTAAACTATCTGGATCAGAAAAAGTCTGCTAGCTGCAGAAAACTGTTATGACCTGAGAGTCTTTTAATCTGTATAAGAAGACAACCCTTATTCGTCATACAGTTTCTAACCCCATCTTCCCAAAACTCATGTCCCTGCCAGCCCCCAGAAATTCCAAGCTTCTACTCCTGTAACTCAATAGTCATGAATTCCCTCCCGTAGAATCTTATCAGCCAGGGACAATTATCTATATCACAAGAGAGGAGAATAGAGGTGACACCACACCCAGAAAGACCCTGTCGCAGGCTGTCACCTATTCTGAGGGCCCATTCATCTTTCCCAGAAATCCTCTGCAGGTATACCTCATTCCACTGCACTTCACAGATACTATTTTTTCTACAAACTGAAGGATTTGTGGCAACCCTGCATCTAGTAAGTCTACCAACACCATTTTTCCCACAGCATGTGCTTATCTTACGTCTCTGGGTTACATTTTGGTAATTTGGGTAACATTTCAAACTTTTTCATTATTATTATATCTGTTATGGTGATCTGTGATCAGTGATCTTTGATTTCATTATCCTAATTGTTTTGGGGTACCATGAATCATGCTCATAGAAGATGGCAAGCTTAATAAGTGTTGTGTGTGTTCTGACTGCTCCACCAACTGACTGTTTCCCCATCTCTCTCTCTCTCCCCAGGCTTCCCTATTCCCTGAGACACAACGATATTGAAATTAGGCCAATTTATAACTCTACAATGGCTTCTAAGTGTTCAGGTGAAAGAAAGAGGCACACTTAAATCAAAAGCTAGAAATGATTAAGCTTAGTGAGGAAGGCATTTCAAAAGCCAAGATAGGCTGAAAGCTAGGCCTCTTATACCAAACGATTAGCCAAACAGTGAATGCAAAGGAAAAGTTCTTGAAGGAGATTAAAAGTGCTACTCCAGTGAGCACATGAATGATAAGAAAGTGAAACAGCCTTATTGCTGATATGGAGAAAGTTTTAGCGGTATGGATAGAAGATCAAACCAACCATGACATTTCCTTAAGCCAAAGCCTAATCCAGAGCAAGGCCTTAACTCTCCTCATTTATGTAAAGGCTGAGAGGTAAAGAAGCTACAGAAGAAAAGTTTGAAGCTAAGAGAGGTTGGTTCATAAGGTTTAAGGAAAGACGCTGTCTTCATAAAAGGGCAAGGTGAAGCAACAAGTGCTGATGGAAAAATTGCAGCAAATTATCCAGGAGATCCAGCTAAGATTTGATGAAGGTGACTACACTAAACAACAGATTTCCAATGTAGACAAAACAGCCTTACATGGGAAGAAGATGCCATTTGGGGCTTTTATAGCTAGAGAGAAGTCAATGCCTGGCTTCAAAGCTTCAAAGGACAGGCTGACTCTCTTGATAAGAGCTAATGTATCTGGCGACTTTAAGTTGAAGCCAATGTTCATTTATCATTCCAAAAATTCTAGGGCCCTTAAGAATTACGCTAAATCTACTCTGCCTGTGTGCTATCAATGAAACAACAAAGCCTGGATGACAGCACATCCGTTCACAGCATGATTTACTTAAATATTAATTTAAGCCCACTATTGAGACCTACTGCTCAGAAAAAAAAGATTTCTTTCAAAATATTACTGCTCATTGACAATATACCTGGTCACCCAAGAGCTCTGATGAAGATATACAAGGAGATCAATGCTGTTTTAATGCCTCCTCACACAACAGCCATTCTGTAGCCCATGTATCAAGGAGTAATTTCAAGTTTCAAGTCCTCTTATTTAAGAAATATATTTAGTAAGGCTATCGCTGCCATAGATAGTGATTCCTCTGATGGATCTGGGCAATAGAAATTGAAAATCTTCTGGAAAGGATTCACCATTCTAGATGTTACTAAGAACATTTGTGATTCATGGGAGGAGGTCAAAGTATCAACATTAACAGGAGTTTGAAAGAAGTGAATTCCAACCCTCACGGATGATTTTGAGGGGCTCAAGACTTCAGTAGAGGAAATAACAGCAGATGTGGTAGAAATAGCAAGAGAACCAGAATTAGAAGAGAAGCCTGAAGATAGGACTGAATTGCTGCAACTTCATGATAAAGCTTTTAAAGATGAGGAGTTGCTCCTTATAGATGAGCAAAGAAAGTGTTTTTTGTTTGTTTGTTTGTTTGTTTTGAGATGGAATCTACTCCTGGTGAAGATGCTGTGAACATTCTTGAAATGACCACAAAGGATTTAGAATATTACTAAACTTAGATGATAAAGCATAGGCAGGGTTTGAGAGGATTTACTCTAATTTTAAAAGAAGTTCTAATGTGAGTAAAATGCTATCACACAGCATCACATGCTACAGAGAAATCTTTCGTGAGTCAATCAATGTGGCAAACCTCATTGTTGTCTTCTTTTAAGAAATTGTCACAGCCATCCCAACCTTCAGCAACAACCTCCCTGATCAGTCAGCAGCCAGCAACTCTGAAACAATACCCTTCACCAGCAAAAAGATGGTAACTAACTGAAAATGCAGATAGTTATTAGCATTTTTAACAATAAAGTATTTTAAAATTAAGGTATGTATATTGTTTATTTAGACATAATGTTATCATACACCTCACAGACTACAGTATTGTATAGCTTTTATACACACTGGGAAAACCAAACATTCATGTTACTTGCTTTATTGCAATTTTTGTTTTATTGGGGCAGTCTTGATAGTGAAAGGAGGCAGCCAAATGCCTAGGCAGACAGTGGGGGTCCCCGGTGAAATCCCACCTCCAAGCTGATTACAGTTTGAAGCCTGAAAGCCAAGCTACAAGTTAAATTCTTGGACCAGACTGAGAACTTGTCTTCCCATTTGGCGCACTTTTCTCTGACTGTCCCCACCTTTCACCTATTTTACATATACCTACCCTTTCGTAATTGGTTTTCTTCACTGTCATGCCCACCTTTGAGTGGTGTCTTTGGTTTAAACTTTTTTGCATACCCCCAAACCAATCAGCACACACTCCCCATTCTGAGTCCATAAAAGGCCCCAGGCCCAGACACACAGGGGACTTTCCCACCTTTGGGTAGGGGGACCACCCCTGTGTCCCCTCTCCACTGAAAGCTGTTTCATCACCAATAAAACTCCCCATCTGGCTCACTCTTCCATTGTCAGTACATCCTTATTTTTCTTGGGTGCAAGACAAGAACTCGGGAACCAGTGTGTAAGCCAGACTTAGGCCGTCTCCTACAGCAGGTAGAGGCCATCTCCTGCAGCAGCTAGTGTGGTCGAGCAAGGCCAGGGTAGGGCATCGCTGGCCAGAGGTCTCCAGCTTGCACGGTGACCAAGAAGAAAATCCTGCATCAGTCTAGAATTGAGATTTCAATATCTCCAAGGTATGCTTGTACCTTCCCTAAGTTGTCTGCATTCCCCCTCTCTTCTCCCCTATGAAGAGGGTATAAAAACTTCTAGATCTCACTGGGTGTTCACCTTTGTTTTATATGATGCTCCTATGCATGTAATAAATTTATGTGTCCTTTCTCCTATTAATTGGTCTAATGTCCATTTATTCCATAGATTCAATTATCAAACTCTCAGAGGGCAGAGGGAAAATTTTCACTCCCTTATATCATCAGAAATATAAATAAAAATAGCACAACACTCAGTAAATGATTATGTTATTATTGTTATGTTTGTAATATCTTGGTGTCTGGTTATTTTAAATCATATCACTTAAAGAAACAGTGTTCCCTAAAACCAAGTTTATTATTATTCAGACTCCTTTAAACATGCTATTTGATATTTCTAGGAACAAAGAAGAGATAAATCAATAGAATAGGAATTACTGGAAATCACTGGGTTTCACCTCCATTTACACTGAAGTGTTATAGAAGAAATAGCCAAGAATGTGATTTTTATTTTAAGTCTACCCTGATCTCCCTAAAATTCTCTTTAGAATTCTCTTTGCTCTGGGATTGTATATGTTTTCCCCTCACTTAATTTCCCTCCTGTGGTTTGTATATAGAAACTGATAAGAAAGCACTAATCTCAAACTAACTGTGTGTGAGATTTTGTGGATATGCCCTTAATGTAAATAATCCAACCTCTCTCCTACAAACTGTTTCTGTCACAAGGCTATTTGTGATAATAACTACCACAGTCACTCAGAGACTTTTTTTCATCATTAGAGGGGTGATATCTCCACTAGCAAAGATGGTTTTTATTACTTTGCATAAACTTCTGTAGCTTAAAAGGAGCAGTAGTAAAGTTAGTTCAAGGCCCTTTATGACTTCTTTTGTTCTGCAAAGTTGGGGAGGAAAAACATCGATGAGGTATGAAAAGGCTGTTTGTTTACAGTCAGCACCAAGATCCTTGCCTTTTTCATAAAAGGAAAGGAAACCAGCAGGAGAATCACAATACCCAGCACCTCCTTGGGTCTCTCTGCATTCTCCACACTTGTGTATTAAGCAGCCAGGCAGCTGTTGAACAAGTACTATCAACAAAGCAATCTTCTAGCCCTTTGATTCAGGCTATTCATATCTTCTGCCCTGAAATAAAATGACTTTCACAATTAAAACACCGAAATCAATGCAGTATCTATTGTCATGTCTGCTGGAGAAAAGCTTTAATTACAGCCATAGTTAGATAACACAATCATTACACCTCCTTAATCTCAAATATAAAAACCAGCACCCTCTGAGTACTTTGCCACCCTTTCTTTGATTTTTTTTTCTTTTTCTTTTTTCTTTCTTTCTCTTTCCCCCACAACATGAATGGCTTTTTATCTAAGCACTTCAATTTGCATGCCTTTGCTCGGAGGCAGCTCCCCATGATATGTTAATTGCAGATTGCTTTAAGTACTAAAAGATTAACATAAAACCCTTTGCAAACAAGCTAATAGTTTATGATAATTTTTGCATGGCCTTTGTCTGTCTATCACTGGATTGCCTCTAGCTGTAATTTTATAAAGAAGCTGTAAAATATCATTTAAACAAGTTCATTTACACATAATTATTACCAGAATCACATTATTCAATTTAGATACTCCAGCCTATTAACAATCCATGAACTAAAATGTAATTAAACTATTTTCCTTTTATGAACCTATTCATTACAATGTATGGGAGATGGATCTCTCAGTTTCACTGCAAATTTCAGCACTTTGTTGTTGAAATTGACAAGTCTGGCACTCATTATGTGCTTTTAATTATATTAAAAGTATTGCAAGACAGCTCAGATAAAGAATATGTTTAGAAAAGAATGCCTGGAAATGCCAAGATGGTGTCATCCCCAAATATATATTTATTTTATTCATGCATGGGATTTTTGGGGTTTTTTTTTTTTTTGCCCTCTTAACAGTGAAAAATAAAATCATGCTAGTTGTTTTAATTGATATTTTCATAGTTTCTCTTAGTAAGTTTTCTAATTTAAGCCAAGGATAAATATCTCATCTAATTAATAGTGTTTACTCATTTTTCCAGATTTCTATCTACTTTTTTTTGAAACTACAGTCAGAATAATATCCAAAAAAGTATATTCTCCCAGCATTTACATACAGATACACAATTATTTCAGATATGAAGGATGCTGTATTTGTAATTTGATTTAAAACTACTGACTCGCTTAATTCTGGATACAAACTTGAATATGTGTGGAAGCAACTGAATTAATAAGAAACATTTAATCTGTTTTGAAAGGGACAAGTTTCCCTCTCTGCTTTCTGCTTGGTGTTGCTTGATTTCAGAGTTAACTCAACTTTTAGTTAGGGTGTTACAGTAGGTAGGCAGTCAGACATCAGCAGGGCAGGAGAGACCCACCCCTACCCCACCAGGAATGTCAGGCAACCATCAGGTGATGGTCAGGCAGTTATTACACTGCCTCGCTAAAATAATAATTGGTCCCAGGGGGCTCCAGGGAAAGGCAGCCTACCAATAGATAGAAATACCTGAAACTGGTTATCAGCAGCTTCCTGAAAAGATCTCAGGAGTTGGGTGAATGGGCTTAAGAAAGTGAACTAAGGGGCAAAATGGTGAAGTCGAAAATGGCTCAAAGGAGCATGCGTACAACTTCAGTAAACACACCCAGGTTGGGTGCTCCTGGAGCAGCTATAAAAAAGGATGCCACCAACTCCCAAGCCCAGACTGGATCCTCCCCAACCTCCCACCCGCAAAGACACGGGCTCGGAAGAGATACCTCAAAGTGTGGGGGTGTTGATATGCTGAGTATTTTGAACTAAAGAAGCAGTCTCAGAACCAGAGTCTGACCTTCTTCTGCCCACCCTCTCTCACCCCTCTACCTCTTGCCAAGCACAGAGGGCGGCTTTTTCTGAAGTTCCCTCATCTGACTAAGGGAAGTTCCTCTAGAAGGAATGCAATTGTCTTGCATCACCTCTCTATAATCTCATCAAACAGGGAAGATTAACTTGCAGAAATGAAGACTAGAGTACACAGCACACTCAGAGCCCAGACAGACTTCGTCCCAGGACATCATCTGTTCTTGATGCCCATTCTTCTCTCCTAAACATCATTTACTTTTTCCTCTAAAAGTGCCTGCAGACCCCCACTACTCTCTCCCATGGAGAAGGGCATATAAGCTTCGAATCTCACGGGGTTATTGGGCACTCTGTCTCTTGTGATGCCCCATGCCTGTAGTAAATTTATGTACCTTTTCTCCTGTTGATTGGTCTATTGTCATTTCAATTCTCAGACTCAAATACCAAACCTCAACAGACGTTCTCGCCCAACAAAGACATACTTGGTATATTATTGTCCAAACCTTCGCATTCCATTGTCCCAGCTCCATTCTCCTTAGAATTTCAACATCTCCTGCTTCTACTATAATCCAGATTGCATTTATCCTTCATAGAGAAACCATGTTTGCAAAAACTGTATCAGTGAGAAAAATTATAACAGTAAGCTAAGCTAACCTTCCCCACATCTTGCCTTTCCCTTAGTTATTCCTGAGTTATTAGGCCAAGCTAACTTTGGAAAACATTTAAGCTATAGTTTAAATAATAGGCCTTGCCCAAAACTCAAGTGCTTTTTGTAAAGCTAGTGGGAGCCTATCAGGCTATGCAGAGGAGAACCTGAGTCCTGCTAAGGTGCAGGCATAAATGATTGTCAGCCATTATTCTGGAGGTTATAAGATGTGCAATGTCCCCAATTACTCCTGCAAATAACACAACTATTGTAGGTTGGCCTTTTGAGATATCTTTCCAGGTTTTTTGCATGTCTGACACCCATGGCTCCACCTGGACTCGCCAACCCCACTCCTGTGGCCCCACCCTGAATTGATTCAGTGCATAGGAGGACCGATTCAACCCCCTATGATTTCATCTTTGCCCCAACCAATCAGCGGCAAGTGTCTGTTACCTGATCACCTTTACCCCTTTACCCCAAACTGTCTGAAAAACGCCAATCCTATGAATTCTGGACAAGATGATTTGAGTATGAACTTCATCTCCCACATGGCATGCCTGGCCTGGTGTCTATTAAACTCCGTCTATTACAATGCCATGGTCTTTGTTTATGCAGAGGGCACCAAGGAACCCCTTGGGTGGTTAAAATAGATTAAATGACCAACAATTTCCTGCCGGGCGTGGTAGCTCATACCTAGCACTTTGGGAGGCTGAGGTGGGCAGATCACAAGGTCAAGAGATGGAGACCATCCTGGCCAACATGGTGAAACCCCGTCTCTACTAAAAATATAAAAATTAGCTGGGCGTGGTGGCGTGTGCCTATAGTCCCAGCTACTCGGGAGGCTGAGGCAGGAGAATCACTTGAACCCGGGAGGCGGACGTTGCAGTGAGCAAAGATCACACCACTGCATTCCAGCCTAGCAACAGAGCGAGACTCTGTCTAAAAAAAAAAAAAAAAGACTAACAATTTCCATTAAGAACCTTCCATGCCCTCCACAGTCCCCACTGGTTGAACTCTGTGAGCACTGTAGCCTGGAATGCTGAGTCAAAATTCTGCACACATTTTCTTATATAAGTATCTATGTGGTCTGTGGGTATCTCATCTCCTCAACTACTCTGTGAGTTTCTCTTCTTATACCTCTATATCCCTCTTATGGCCTAAAAGTGACTTATACTTGGCCAGTATTTAATAAAAAATACTGTACATACTGATGCGATATTAAAACCAACCTGTCTCCCTTTCTCAGAGAGCCAGTAATAGGACATACTATGAGAGACTATAGGATATGCCCTGTGATTCTCTGGTCTTAACACTAATGTAGTTACTCTTCCTTGGGGATAATATCAAAGGGGAAATTCAGTTGATTACAAGAATGGCTTTACAATTTGGCTAAAAGAATCTTGAGAAACAAAAATCACCCTAAAACTATCAGGGCCTTGGGAAATTCACTACTATCCACAACCTCTGCATTCTACTCTGTCTGTCAAAGACTTGCAAGATTTCCACTGATGGAAAAATTACAGTTGGTAGGTACAATGCCCCACGTTCATGGAGCCAGTTGTCAATCACATTGAAGGAGTTTAGGAAGGAAGAAAAAACAGAGAAACTTTCTACTTTAAGACTCTTGCATAAGAATAGATTTAGGATGATTATCAAAAATCTTAAAATAAATAAACAAAAAAAAGTCCACAGCTAGTGCTTCAATATACTTTACCGATATATTTACTGATATTACTTATTGGGTAGACTTTGAATCCAAGGAGGAACACAGTAAACAAGGTCACACCAACATGAAAAACCATTCTAAATTCCTTTTTTCCATTCATACCTCACAGAATTTGATAGAACATAACCAACTCCTGCTTATCTGAACTAATTCAGGCAAACAGGCATGGGGAATTCACTCCATCATGTGATTCAGATAACAGGTAGAGGCACTTTGACAGGCTTTCCATAATATTTTTTTCTAAAGTATATGCCATGTATTTCTCTTATCATGAACCTCACAACATTGCTTGTTTTATTCATCAGTATACGTTAAAATCTGACACAATGTCTTAGTGAATTTGTGTTGCTATAAGGGAGTACCTGAGGCTGGGTAATTTATAAAGAAAAGAGATTTATTTGTCTCACAGCTCTGCATGCTGTACAAGATGCATGTCACAACATCTGAATCTGGTGAGGGCTTCAGGCTGATTCCACTCATGGAGGAAGGTGAAGGGGACCTGATATGGTTTGGCTCTGTGTCACCACCCAAATCTCATCTTAAACTGTAATCCCCACATGTTGAGGGAGGGAAGTGACTGGATTATGGGGGCGGTTTTCACCATGCTGTTCTTGTGATAGTGATTTATCACAAGATCTGATTTTTGTTTTGTTTTGTTTTCTTTTCTTTTTTGCAGATGGAGTTTTGCTCTTGTCGCCAAGGCTGGAGTGCAATGGCGTGATCTCGGGTCACTGCAACCTCTGCCTCCTGAGTTCAAGCAATTCTCCTGCCTCAGCCTCCCAAGTAGCTGGGATTGCAGGCACGTGCCACCATGCCCGGCTAATTTTTGTATTATTAGTAGAGACGGAGTTTCACTGTGTTGGCCAGGCTGGTCTTGAACTCCCGACCTCAGGTGATCCACCCGCTTCAGCCTCCCAAAGTGCTGGGATTACAGGTATAAGCCACCACGCCCGGCCTGATCTGATGGTTTTATAGGTGTTAGGCAAGTTCCTCCTTCACTCACACTTCTCTCTCCTGCTGCCTTGTGAAGAATGTGTTTGCTTTCCCTTCCACTATGACTGTAAGTTTCCTGAGGTCTCCCCAGCCTTCTGGAACTGTGAGTCAATTAAATCTCTTTCCTTTATAAATTATCCAGTCTCTGGATTAAGAAAATGTGGCACATATACACCATGGAATACTATGCAGCCATAAAAAATGATGAGTTCATGTCCTTTGTAGGGACATGGATGAAGCTGGAAACCATCATTCTCAGCAAAGTATCGCAAGGACAAAAAACCAAACACCACATGTTCTCATTCGTAGGCGGGAATTGAACAATAGGAACATTTGGACACAGGAAGGGGAACATCACACACCGGGGGCTGTTGTGGGGTGGGGGGAGGGGGGAGGGATAGCATTAGGAGATATACCTAATGTAAATGACCAGTTAATGGGTGCAGCACACCAACATGGCACATGTATACATATGTAGCAAACCTGCATGTTGTGCACATGTATGCTAGAACTTAAAATATAATAAAAATATATATATAATAATAAATAAATAAATAAATAAATAAAATAAATTACCCAGTCTCAGATATTTCTTTACAGCAGTGTGAACATGGACTAATACAGGAGCCAATGTATGTACAGATCACATGGAGAGAGAAGAAAAGAGAGAGAAGTGAGGAAGTTCCAGGCTCTTTTTAACAACCAGCTGTTACAGGAACTTATAATAGAGCAATACCTCATTCATTACCAATCCATTTATGAAGCATCCATCCCCATCACCCAAAAAGTGGTCCCATTAGGCCCCACCTCCAACACTGGGGATCAAATATCTTTTCTTTTTTTTTTTGAGACGGAGTCTCACTCTGTCACTGAGGCTGGAGTGCGGTGGCATCGTGTCATCGTCAGCTCACTGAAACCTCCGTCTCCTGGGTTCAAGCAATTCTCCTGCCTCTGCCTCCTGAGTAGCTGGGATTACAGGCGCCCACCACCACGCCCAGCTAGTTTTTATATTTTTAGTTGAGTTGGGGTTTCACCATGTTGGCCAGGCTGGTCTCGAACTCCTGACCTCAGGTGGTCTACCCAGCTCAGCCTCCCAAAGTGCTGGTATTACAGGTGTGAGCCATCCACTGTGCCCGGCCTGGGGATCAAATTTCAGCATGAGATTTGGCGGCGTCAAATATTTCCAAACCATAGCACACAGAGACAACTCAATAAATGTGTTAAACGTTTAATTAATTAGTGGATACCTGACATACTAGCTGGGACTTTACTTCAAGATGGAGTCATAACAGAACCAGATATACCATATCTGGTACATTTACAAAGAAATATAGACTCAAATGCTGGGTTTATATTGTTAAGAAAAAGCATCCAAAACTTGGATGTAAAGGGGTAGGGGGACAAGGAAGGACACAATATCCCTTCAATGGCATATTTTATCTTTGTGAACAGGTCTTCCCAAGGGTTAGTTAATTCTTCCTAGATCATACCTATATTTGACTTCACTGCTCATTACTTGATCACAACCTAGATACAATGAAGTTACATGTTAAATTGTAGATTTTTGTCCGGTAAAAAAAAAAAAAAAAAAAAAAAGAGTCCTAGACATTATTATTTTATTGCTCTGTAGAATACTGACCAGCTTTGAATCTAACCTAGCAATCCTTGCCTAACATTTTTTTTTTCTTTTTTGAGACAGGGTCTGGCTCTGTTGCCCAGGCTGGAGTGTAGTGGCATGACCTTGGCTCACTGCAGCCTCAACTTCCCAGGCTCAAGTGATCCTCCTACTATAGCCTCCTGAGTAGGTGGGACCACAGGTGCATGCTACCATGCCTGGCTAACTTTTGTATTTTTTGTAGAGATGGGATTTCTCCATTTCCTCCAGGCTGGTCTCGAACTCCTGGGCTCAAGCAATCTGCCTGCCTTGGTCTCCAAAAGTGCTGGGATTATAGGCTGAGCCATCATGCCTGGCCCCCATTCTTTTTTTTTTTTCAGTGCTTATACATACCCAGTTCCTCAAGTGCTCTTAGAACCAGCTTTACCACATCACTGGTTCCCTCATTACTAATTTAAATATATTAATAATTTTAACATAATGATATATGTGTTCATATAGAATTTGAGAGTCATATAAATTTTTAGAAAATTATAATGTCCTAGGACAGGGCTTAGCAACCACTGTGATGCTGAGGGGCCCTACTGAGGCACAGCCACAACTTCCCAACCCTAACTTATGTAGACATAAGGAATACCTGGGGAAACTAGAGAACAGAATGGTTGGCAGGTAGCTGATCCCAGTCAACCTTCCATATCCGGCAGGCAAGAACAGAAGGCTGAGGCCAAGGGATAGACCAAGTAGAAAGACAATTCTCCCAAAGAGGAAGTGAAAGAAGAGTAGCTGGAGGAAAGAGTGGACAAGAAAACAGAGAAAAGACCACGAAGAGATGCTGTCACAGTCAAATGAGGTGATATAACAAAGGACCACAGACTGGGTGGCTGAAACAATAGGAATTTTCTCACAGTTCTGGAGGCTAAAGTCACAAATCAGGTGTCAGCATGGTTGGTTCTGGTGGGAGCCCTCTCTGGAGCTGCACTGCCTACTTCTCATTGCATCCTCACAGGGCCAAAAGAGAGCAGGAAAGCTCTCTGGGAGCCCACAGGTAAGGGCATTAATCCCATTTATGAGGGCTCCACCCTCATGACTTAATCACTTCCTGAGGACCCCTCTTCCTATTACCATCACATTGCAGTTTAAGATTTCAGCATATGAATTTTGGGGGAACACATGATTCAGTCTATAACATTATAGACACATCCATTAGAGAGAGGTAGGAGCCTCAAGGGAGTCTGCTTTGATACTTGCACCTTCAGAGAAAGAAATTCCTCATCTCTACAAGAAATGGCTGGACCAGGTAATTCTTCTGTAGCTTGAATATGAAATTTCCTAATGGTTTCTCTATTCAGTATTTAAGGAGACTCTTTTTTATTATTATTATTATTATACTTTAAGTTTTAGGGTACATGTGCACAATGTGCAGGTTAGCTACATATGTATACATGTGCCATGCTGGTGTGCTGCACCCATTAACTCGTCATTTAGCATTAGGTATATCTCCTAAAGCTATCCCTCCCCACTCCCCCCACCCCACAACAGTCCCCACAGTGTGATGTTCCCCTTCCTGTGTCCATGTGTTCTCGTTGTTCAATTCCCACCTATGAGTGAGAATATGCGGTGTTTGGTTTTTTGTTCTTGCAATAGTTTACTGAGAATGATGATTTCCAATTTCATCTATGTCCCTACAAAGGACATGAACTCATCATTTTTTATGGCTGCATAGTATTCCATGGTGTATATGTGCCACATTTTCTTAATCCAGTCTATCATTGTTGGACATTTGGGTTGGTTCCAAGTCTTTGCTATTGTGAATAGTGCCGCAATAAACATACATGTGCATGTGTCTTTATAGCAGCATGATATATAGTCCTTTGGGTATATACCCAGTAATGGGATGGCTGGGTCAAATGGTATTTCTAGTTCTAGATCCAAGGAATCGCCACACTGACTTCCACAAGGGTTGAACTAGTTTACAGTCCCACCAACAGTGTAAAAGTGTTCCTATTTCTCCACATCCTCTCTAGCACCTGTTTCCTGACTTTTTAATGATTGCCATCCTAACTGGTGTGAGATGATATCTCACTGTGGCTTTGATTTGCATTTCTCTGATGGCCAGTGATGGTGAGCATTTTTTCATGTGTTTTTTTGGCTGCATAACTGTCTTCTTTTGAGAAGTGTCTGTTCATGTCCTTCACCCACTTTTTGATGGGGTTGTTTGTTTTTTTCTTGTAAATTTGTTGGAGTTCATTGTAGACTCTGGATATTAGCCCTTTGTCAGATGAGTAGGTTGCAAAAATTTTCTCCCATTTTGTAGGTTGCCTGTTCACTCTGATGGTAGTTTCTTTTGCTGTGCAGAAGCTCTTTAGTTTAATTAGATCCCATTTGTCAATTGTGGCTTTTGTTGCCACTGCTTTTGGTGTTTTAGACATGAAGTCCTTGCCCATGCCTATGTCCTGAATGGTAATGCCTAGGTTTTCTTCTAGGGTTTTTATGGTTTTAGGTCTAATGTTTAAGTCTTTAATCCATCTTGAATTAATTTTTGTATAAGGTGTAAGGAAGGGATCCAGTTTCAGCTTTCTACATATGGCTAGCCAGTTTTCCCAGCACCATTTATTAAATAGGGAATCCTTTCTCCATTGTTTGTTTTTCTCAGGTTTGTCAAAGATCAGATAGTTGTAGATACGTGGCGTTATTTCTGAGGGCTCTGTTCTGTTCCACTGATCTATATCTCTGTTTTGGTACCAGTACCATGCTGTTTTGGTTACTGTAGCCTTGTAGTATAGTTTGAAGTCAGGTAGTGTGATGCCTCCAGCTTTGTTCTTTTGGCTTAGGATTGACTTGGCGATGTGGGCTCTTTTTTGGTTCCATATGAGCTTTAAAGTAGTTTTTTCCAATTCTGTGAAGAAAGTCATTGGTAGCTTGATGGGGATGGCATTGAATCTATAAATTACCTTGGGCAGTATGGCCATTTTCATGATATTGATTCTTCCTACCCATGAGCATGGAATGCTCTTCCATTTGTTTGTATCCTCTTTTATTTAATTGAGCAGTGGTTTGTAGTTCTCCTTGAAGAGGTCCTTCACATCCCTTGTAAGCTGGATTCCTAGGTATTTTATTCTCTTTGAAACAATTGTGAATGGGAGTTCACTCACGATTTAGCTCTCTGTCTGTTATTGGTGTATAAGAATGCTTGTGATTTTTGTACATTGGTTTTGTATCCTGAGACTTTGCTGAAGTTGCTTATCAGCTTAAGTAGATTTTGGGCTGAGACAATGGGGTTTTCTAGATGTACAATCATGTCATCTGCAATCAGGGACAATTTGACTTCCTCTTTTCCTAATTGAATACCCTTTATTTCCTTCTCCTGCCTAATGGCCCTGGCCAGAACTTCCAACACTATGTTGAATAGGAGTGGTGAGAGAGGGCATCCCTGTCTTGTGCCAGTTTTCAAAGGGAATGCTTCCAGTTTTTGCCCATTCAGTATGATATTGGCTGTGGGTTTGTCATAGATAGCTCTTATTATTTTGAGATACGTCCCATCAATACCTAATTTATTGAGAGTTTTTAGCATGAAGGGTTGTTGAATTTTGTCAAACGCCTTTTCTGCATCTATTGAGATAATCATGTGGTTTTTGTCTTTGGTTCTTTTTATATGCTGGATTACATTTATTGATTTGCATATATTGAACCAGCCTTGCATCCCAGGGATGAAGCCCACTTGATCATGGTGGATAAGCTTCTTGATGTGCTGCTGGATTCGGTTTGCCAGTATTTTATTGAGGATTTTTGCATCAATGTTCATCAAGGATATTGGTCTAAAGTTCTCTTTTTTGGTTGTGTCTCTGCTCGGCTTTGGTATCAGGATGATGCTGGCCTCATAAAATGAGTTAGGGAGGATTCCCTCTTTTTCTATTGATTGGAATAGTTTCAGAAGGAATGGTACCAGTTCCTCCTTGTACCTCTGGTAGAATTCGGCTATGAATCCATCTGGTCCTGGACTCTTTTTGGTTGGTAAGTTATTGATTATTGCCACAATTTCAGAGCCTGTTATTGGTCTATTCAGAGATTCAACTTCTTTCTGGTTTAGTCTTGGGAGGGTGTATGTGTCAAGGAATTTACCCATTTCTTCTAGATTTTTGTAGTTTATTTGCATAGAGGTGTTTGTAGTATTCTCTGATCGTAGTTTGTATTTCTGTGGGATCGGTGGTGATATCCCCTTTATCATTTTTTATTGCGTCTATTTGATTCTTCTCTCTTTTCTTCTTTATTAGTCTTGCTAGTGGTCTATCAATTTTGTTGATCCTTTCAAAAAAAACCAGCTCCTGGATTCATTAATTTTTTGAAGGTATTTTTGTGTCTCTATTTCCTTCAGTTCTGCTCTGATCTTAGTTATTTCTTGCCTTCTGCTAGCTTTTGAATGTGTTTGCTCTTGCTTTTCTAGTTCTTTTAATTGTGATGTTAGGGTGTCAATTTTGGATCTTTCCTGCTTTCTCTTGTGGGCATTTAGTGCTATAAATTTCCCTGTACACACTGCTTTGAATGTTTCCCAGAGATTCTGGTATGTTGTGTCTTTGTTCTCATTGGTTTCAAAGAACATCTTTATTTCTGCCTTCATTTCGTTAAGTACCCAGTAGTTATTCAGGAGCAGGTTGTTCAGTTTCCATGTAGTTGAGCAGTTTTGAGTGAGTTTCTGAATCCTGAGTTCTAGTTTGATTGCACTGTGGTCTGAGAGACAGTTTGCTATAATTTCTGATCTTTTACATTTGCTGAGGAGTGCTTTACTTCCAACTATGTGGTCAATTTTGGAATAGGTGTGGTGTGGTGCTGAAAAAAAATGTATACTCTGTTGATTTGGGGTGGAGAGTTCTGTAGATGTCTATTAGGTCCACTTGGTGCAGAGCTGAGTTCAATTCCTGGGTATCCTTGTTAACTTTCTGTCTCGTTGATCTGTCTAATGTTGACAGTGGGGTGTTAAAGTCTCCCATTATTAACGTGTGGGAGTCTAAGTCTCTTTGTAGGTCACTCAGGACTTGCTATATGAATCTGGGTGCTCCTGTATTAGGTGCATATATATTTAGGATAGTTAGCTCTTCTTGTTGAATTGATCCCTTTACCATTATGTAATGGCCTTCTTTGCCTCTTTTGATCTTTGTTGGTTTAAAGTCTGTTTTATCAGAGACTAGGATTGCAACCCCTGCCTTTTTTTTGTTTTCCATTTGCTTGGTAGATCTTCCTCCATCCTTTTATTTTGAGCCTATGTGTGTCTCTGCACGTGAGATGGGTTTCCTGAATACAGCACACTGATGGGTCTCGAATTTTTATCCAATTTGCCAGTCTGTGTCTTTTAATTGGAGCATTTAGTCCATTTACATTTAAAGTTAATATTGTTATGTGTGAATTTTATCCTGTCATTATGATGTTAGCTGGTTATTTTGCTCGTTAGTTGATGCAGTTTCTTCCTAGCCTCGATGGTCTTTACAATTTGGCATGATTTTGCCGTGGCTGGTACCGGTTGTTCCTTTCCATGTTTAGTGCTTCCTTCAGGAGTTCTTTTAGGGCAGGCCTGGTGGTGACAAAATCTTTAATTGCATTCTCCCAGTGCCTTTGGGCAATCATGAAAGGCTCTTGCACTCATAGTTCCTCCCAACATTCCTAGTCTGCACCACTTTGTATTTGGATGTATTTGGGCCCAGGAGCTGCATAGATTCTGTTTCCTCGGCAAGGACAGGCTGTGCACCTCCTCTGCTATCACACTGGCTGCTCCCCATGGGACTGTGTCTAACACCAACCCACAAGAAAGGAACCCTATCAGGTTAGAAACAACAATTTCCCCAGAGCTGAGTAATTCTCTTGCTGTTTTTTGCAGTGAGACTCACAGCTATTCTCACCTGCAATTCTGAGAACCAAGGAAAGTAAAAATGGTGATTTGATCCACCAACAGGCCATCAGAGGGCCTACACACCTCCCAGGTGGGGCTGGAACCCACCTGGATGACCAAAGAAGAGATCTCATTGTCCATTTCATTTTTTAAGTGTACTGCATACTTGCCTGACTCAAAAAAACCATGGTGCCTCTTGGATATCTGTAAGTTGCACGCAGCTAACTACATTTCCCTCCATGCCTGGGGGAGAGTTTCAACCTCAAACAACTTTATTTAAACAATTTCTTACTTAACATGTTTTTCTCAGTGCTTCAAATCCAATCACTCCCTGCATTGCAGGGAAGAACTGCTACAGGACAAAAAGAACACCACAAGCTGTTTTTATTTTAATATCTTCCGGGTCTCTCGGCACTGCCATCATTTGGGCTGTCAGCCCTGCACTGCCCGAGGTGGCTTCCTGCACTCAGCAGACAGTCTGCCTCCCCACTAATGGCACTGTTCGGGCAAGAGGGAAATGCAATTTTCCACTCCATTACAAGCACTGTGTAAAAGGACCTCTTTTCCTCAGTGCACACAGATAAGGACCTAATGAAATTCCATTCACTAAGTATTACAATAGCCAACTCCACTCCAAATACACACGTTCCATGCTCCCGCCAGGCCTTCCACTCTAGAAGCCATTGCCACTGAATGTCCCTGGATTGGATTGCATCAGGATGAAAAACTACAGGGTACGCAGGGAGAAGGGAAGGTCACAAAGATGGCAGCAGATTCATGTTTTCAGATCTTCCTTCTATCCATTACACCTGGATGGGGCTTCTTATGGATTCTGGTAGAAGCTTGAAATTCTTGTACAGGAAATAGCAATATTGGGAGAGCCAAAGGACTCCCTAAGAACTCTAGACACCACATATCCTACAGGAACAGGTGACAAAAGTAAGAGAAGAGGGTAATGCACTGTTTGTATTTAATATGGGAAGTAAAAACAGATGAGGCTCCTATTGAGGATATGAATCTCACACAGCACATGAGGGAGAAACTGTTCAAAAAGTAAAATTACTTCTCCATATTCTCCAACCTTACCCATATCCCTTTCCCAACGCGTTTCCCCTTGACTCATCGTAAAGCAGTGTGAACGTAATAGAAAATAACATTCTCTTCTTCTTCCCCATCACAGTGTGAGTACCCTCCTGGTCCCCAGAAGTTCCCAAGTTGTGCTGTGTCCCCCTAGCACTAATATTCTGTATCTACAAGGAACTCTGGATTTGCCTCACATCAGAACTCATCACTCTCATAACCATTCCCCCCCAGCCAGGTTCTATTGTCACCAAATAACTCATGTCACACAAGAAGAATTGGTTATGGTCTAGTTTAATAGCAAATCAGGAGGTCGCTCCTAGAGATACAATGTCTTGGCTTCAAAGGATTGTTAATGTTGAAGCTGAAGGTATAGCTGCTATGTGTATGGAATACAGTTTGGGGGAATGAAGCCATGAAATCTCTTCAATCATGTCACTATATTGCAGTTGAGCCATGCAACTTAACAATGAGGAAGATGGAAAAATATTATTATACCATATACATACATACATATTTGTATCGATACATACACATTCACATATATAAAATGTATGTATATAATAATACATTTGTATTTTAAAATTTTTCCTTTTCTCCTCATTTCCATTCTCATTTGCCCCCTCACAAGCAATTGTTTAAATGCATCTGGTATGGATATGTCTATTATCTTAATTTTTACCAAATATATTTGTTTTTCACTTTCTACCTATTACAAGATATACAATATTGTCATATGCCACTTCACTTGTTTTAACTGGTGTATAATAGTCCATTGAAAATACATACAGCAATTCATTCATTCACTCATTGGTAGACCTTTGGTTTTTAGGTACGAAAAAGAGTATTCTAAAGACTTTCTTTACATGCGTCCTATCGAACATTTACATGCCTCCTGTTGTACAGTGGAATTGCTGGTGTCATGAGCTACATTAATGTTCAACTTTAAAAGAGAAATTTTGCAAAGTATTGTGCCAATTTGTACTCTCATCAGCAACATAGCAGGGTTCCTGTAGATATACATACTCTCCAACATTTGATTTTGAAAAAAATTTTGCCAGTCTTGTCTATGAAAAATATCTTACATTTCCTTTTTAATTCCCTAGTCACTAATGTTGGGAATATCTCTTCACAAATTAATTGGCTATAAATATTTCCATCTCTGCAAAATGTCTCCATCTTGTGCCTACTTCTCTATTGAGTTATCTGTAGTTTTCTTACTGGTTTATAGGAGTTCTTTACATACTCTTAATACTGATCCATTATCATTTGCATATAATGAAAAAATCTACTTTACAATGTGCCTTTTCAGTTTTTTGTTTTTTGTTTTTCTTAGAGACAAGGTCTCACTCTGTTGCCCAGGCTGGAGTACAGTGGCATGATCCTACCTCACTGTAACCTGAAACTACTGAGCTCAGGTGATCCTCCTGTTTCAGCCTCCCAAGTAGCTGGGACAACAGGCACATGCCACCATGTCCAGCTATTTTTATTTTTATTTTTTGTACAGATGGGGTCTTGCTTGTTGCCCAGACTGGTCTCTAACTCCTGGCCTTAAGCAATCTTCCTGTGTTGGCCTCCCAAAATGTTGGGATAAAAGGCATGAGCCACCACATTTGGCCCCTGCCTTTTCTGTTCTTAAAGCTGATTTTTGATGAGCAAGTTTCTTCATTTAAATGGACCAGAATTAGCAATCTTTTATAGTCAACCCTCTTTATGTCTTTTTAAGGAAATCTTTTTGCTGTTTGTACATTTTAAATTTATGCAAGTCATATTGTTATTGTGTCATCCTCTTTCTTCTTTCATCCAGTCCCCTATTTCTGAGATTCATTGTGCTGTGATATAAACCTCTGCTTTGCTGATTCTAGTCACTGTAGATAGTCCATGGTATCCACCACATTTTATCAATCTATTCTCACTTACACCCATTTTATAAATCAGGCAACTACAGATCAATTCACAAGAAATTCCTCCCAATTTCTCTTTTTTCAAGAACAACGTGGTTAAGTAGAATTGGGACATGGATAACTTCAGATGTAGAAGAAAAATGATCCCCACTGTGTCCTTCTATAAAGTCAAGTCCTGTCCTGCACTTAAACTAAAAAAGGGCTTTGGATTACCCACAAATGTGACGGATGCACACTTTTTTTTTTTTCAAGAAAGAATCTACTACTTAGCCCAAATCTTGACAAACAGACTTCATCTCCTGTGCCAACACCTGCCATTTGATAATGGCTGTCCAGAAAGCTCTGTTGAAAGGATTCTGAGGCTATTGGAGCTCAGAAAGAGAGCCATCATAGATTAGCAATGTCTGCCAGATATGGGGATAGCTGAACACGTGCCTTGCATTTGCCATCTCAGATACAGCAAGGTACACCTCCTCCCATCCCTCAAAATGAAACTTGCTCTGTCCTAGGAGCACAAGAAGAGTCAAACCTGCACATGCTCAGTCTGCTACCTAAAAGGTATTTGCTCCTGAACACTCTCGTCCATGCTCAAGTCAATGTGTAAAATAGCAAACTGATGAGAGAAACAGCTGAGGCCCAGGTCTTTGAGTCCTGCTGACATCCCCCAACCATCACCTTACTACACCATTCTCAACCCAGTGCTCCTCATTTAGCATTTTAACTGCCTGTGAGATGATATTTCGGAATTTGGTTTCTGAAGAACAACAGGCAGGTTGTAAGAACAGCTGCAAAGAAACTGATTTTCTTTCTAAACTTGGGCCCCATTAGTTATGTGGCAGGTGGTTGCATTTAATCCAGGCAGAATTTATGGAGAGTTCTGCTGTTCCCAGCACTTCATTCAACTCCAATAGCAGAAAACAAAAGCCCCAAAATCACCAAGTACAGCTCCTGCCACATTGTGAGTGCCCAAGCAAGTGCTGGTCTCCTTTGCTTTCTTGTTTTCTTGTTTTCCTCAGAGATTTCAGTTCAGATGAGGATATAAGGCTTGTTCCATGCCATAACTATCTAGTCAATAAGTCTTCAGAAATGTAGTTATCACTTACCAGGTAAGCTACAAAATGAGCTATTAAGAAATGATGTTGCGGCCGGGCGCGGTGGCTCACACCTGTAATCCCAGCACTTTGGGAGGCCGAGGTGGGTGGATCATGAGGTCAGGAGATCGAGACCATCCTGGCTAACAAGGTGAAACCCCGTCTCTACTAAAAATACAAAAAATTAGCCGGGCGCGGTGGTGGGCGCCTGTAGTCCCAGCTACTCGGGAGGCTGAGGCAGGAGAATGGCGTGAACCTGGGAAGCGGAGCTTACAGTGAGCCGAGATTGCGCCACTGCGGACGCAGTCCGGCCTGGGCGACAGAGGAGACTCCGTCTCATAAAAAAAAAAAAAAAAAAAAAAAAATTTGGTTCAAGTGACATCTTACAGTAAAAGCACAAAATGTTGGAGTTAGAAGGGATATGGGAGATTATTTAAGCCAATTCTTTCATTGTGCAGATGAGAAAATAGTGGATTTTTTACAACGTTATGTGACTTCTGGGACTGGAACTCCGTTTTCCCAACCCCAATTACAGTAGCTTTTGTGCTATATTATGCTGTATTTTATAGCCAAGCTGCAAGTCTCAGGAGAATTATGCCTGGGAGCATTTAGTTGAAATTCAACCAGAGACACTCCTGTCTCCCTCACCTCCATGGGCCATGATGTAACATGCAACCCAGGCAGCTGGAATCCAGGCCCTGATCCAGGTAGATGTGCAGTGTCCCTAACATTGCATGACCTCCAAAGGCAATTCCCCCTAGCTATAGTTTTAATTTTTAAAAATTGCTCCACTTAAGAGTATCTCTAAATTTTAAAAGCATTACCATTAACAGGTTAGCTCAAATTGTTCCTGTCAGCTGGAGCTAGGGGAAGCTCCAATGATGTCCCCCCAGTGAATAATAATTTGTTTCAAATTTTAAAGGACAAAACTTTTTCTTGGCAACCTCCTGGAGGGAGTAGAACTATTTCCAATGCTCTTTAATATGTCTTGAAATAATTTATGAAACTTTACGAATATATTATTTCAAGAATGTGCATTTGCAGTCAAACAAAGAATAATTATTCACTGTTAGAGGAGTCCTTTGAAGGGACATTATCTTTCCTTTCATAGGTGATGGCTGAAAGAAACAATGTTTCAAAGCCACTTCCAGGTTAAAAACCTCCACTTAGGAAATGAAAGCTAATTTGATTAGAAAAGATGTTTAATTAACCACCAAGTCTATAACTGTGCCATTGAAGAGAAATCTCTATGTCATGCATTTGAATTTGAGGAGATTACAACTAACAGAGATAATTACTTTCCCTTCTCAAATGATACATGTTCTAATTTTATTAAATGGATACAACCAGGGTCTTGGGTAAAATTACCAAGGCAGCATCTTCCATTCACAACTTGATGTGGTCAAGGTACACCCCCCAATCTCATATACAGTCTGAATCACCCGACAGAGAGATGTGCCTCCAGTAACGAACACTGGTCTAGATGCCAATGCAAAGCAGGTCTGCAAATTAGCCAATGACATCCTCAAAATCATCTATTTTGTTTTTAAAAGGTGTGGCTGTAACTAAAGACTTCAAGTGATGGGAAATTCCTGAATGTTACTGAAGATCACATATGCTCAATTTGGGATGCGTTTTTGGGGTGAGATGCAAAACAGCACAGTTCACAAAATGGTGATCCATCTTCTCCCACTCATGGAGTACGAGCTCACAAAATTAGGAGGAATGGGAAGTCAGATGTGTGGCCTTGGAACAGTCAGCAATGGTGCACAAAAGGGACTGAATTTATGGACATTGCCTGATTCCTTGGCACATCCCCCCACCCCCACATTGCTTGACCAAGCCCTAGTTATTGCAAGATCCAAGTCACTTCCACCTACACTGATCTTGATCTTCTTCCATGATTATGAGCAAACTCCTTGGCACAGGATTCCCAATCCATGTGGAAGATTCTTAGTGGTCCCCACAATGTAGTACACAGATTTTCTGAAAGCTAATTTCAATATCTGAAACCAACAAATGACAACAAATAATGCATCCACTTGCAATAAGATACAAAGGCTGATAAAAACATGAAGCTTCTTTGCCTTTTGGCTGAAATTATCATTAGTTCAGTGTGGACATCCGGTTATCTCTTTCTTGTTTGCAAGAGGGCTGATTGGTAATATTCATACTTTTATTGGGGTGTGAATGAATTATTGTTCAGCAGATGTACCTTGGCAGACACTTCCTTCCAAAAAAAAGGGAGGCCCAGGAGTAGAAGCAATAATTAGAAAAAAAATCTTTTGAGTGTGAAAAATGGACCCAACAACTTAGCTGTTTCTACTTTTCCATAATGATTTTTCTTCTTTCCAAATTCTCATAGTACCTGGGAACCATAGTTAGCACTTGGTCATTTTTTATATTTCTCTATAGTTTTTTTTTTTTATGTGTGTGTGTGTGTGTGTGTGTGTGTGTGTTTTAATTTTCACACCATACAAAAAGAAAAATCTGTAGTGCAAAATCTGTATCCTATGTTAATTCTGTATTCTCCATTGTAATAAAGTTTGGTTTTAAATAATAGTCAACATTTGTAGGTTAATGGACTTGGGCTATGTTTCCTTTTGATAATCTATAAGATTCTGTGATGCTGAGAGTCTTGTTGCTGAACCAAGAAGCTAGTGAATTGGTTCCTTTTTGAACCTTTGCCCCCACATTGGTGACTTGTAGGATGTAGAGTTAAGGAGTGATGAGACAGCAACTTGAGCCGGCCACCAAAAACTACATGGAGAGCTCCAATGTCAATTCTGTGCACCAGGGAGAATCTCAGTAGTGATAACCACAGAATATGAGAACTATTTGTGAGACTCTGAAGACATTTAGCTTAGCTAAGGATACTTGGGCAAAAGGTACAGTCACAGAGCCAGTTCTCACCAACAACAAACTAAGGAATTGCTCTTTGAAGCAAACACTGCATTTCTATTTCAGATTTATGAATCTTCAAGGTTTTCTCTGTTGATATTAAAAAGACACTCCCAACAACTGATGATTCTGTACATGTCAGCCTAGCAAAACCTAAAAACCTATCTTGTGCAAGTCACCCAAGTGACATTTTGGTTTCAGCTCAGCAAACTATAAAGTAAAAAATCTAAAGTACAGTCATTCATTGTTGTAGTTTCAGCAACTGAATTCTCTCTGGCTAGAGGCTCATTGGATTTTATGTGGCTAACTCCCTGTCAAATGCTATTGGATGTGTAGTAAGACTTCTTGAGTAGTCACCTATGTGTCCAGTCTAAGGCAGAGTGGAAGAAAGACTCAAGAGAAGGCTGAATGTTTCTCATTTGAGAAATTGATTATCTAGTCAATAAGACAAGACTAGCACATATGAAAAAAAGGAGGAATGTGAGTCAGGCACTGTGAATCAAAGGAATCTGGAAAGAGGAGAGAGCACCAATGACAAGTGCAGTCCAGGAAGTCTTTCCAGAGGAGGCAACTGGGTACCAGGCTTAGTGAACTGTAGGATGTTGATAGGTGCAGACAGAGAGGAAGGACATTTCAGCCCAAGATGAGCAAAGACATGGAAGGTGAAAAGTAAAATCACATGGGGGCTAGAAAAGCAGATGAGTAAGGGGGACCCACATACCCAGGACAAAGGACAAGACAGGTGAAGTGTTGGACCAATGGAAACCCTCCAACCAGAGCACAGGAGACTGTCTGTGAGTGGGTGAGTTAGAGGTTAAAAAGGCTATCACATGCAGAAGTTTCCAAACCATTTTTAAGCAACTTTTAGAATAAAACTCTTAGACATCCAATAAATAAATTAAAGCAGAACCTTATCCTCCAGATGTCCCTCCAACACACATACGCAGTGGAGTCCCTGATGTTCCTTTGAGGAATCCAGGAGAACAAAGTTTGATAACCATTAAGGTCTAATCTCCTCCTCCTCATTTGTTAGAGATGCGGAGAAACTGAGTCCAAAGAAATCAAGTGACTTCATAGAAGGGTGATGAATCTCTGCAATCCTGGTCATTTTCTGTTCCTCTCTTTCTTCCTCTCGCCCCTACCCCCTGCACCACCACTGTTCCCACTAACCCACAAATAACTGTCAGCCATAATATTGGCCACCGCCATTTCAATATATATATCCCAAACATCTGCTCACATCTTTTTATATCTATGGATACAATTTCAGCATCCTTGATGAAAAATTAATTCAACAGATGTTTACTGAGCACTTACTATGTACAGTACACTCAGAGGATGAGTCAGACTTGGACCCACCCTTCAGAAACACTGCCAGGCAGGAAAAAAAGAAGTGTGAACAGGGTGGGTAAACTGCTGAATTATGTATTTGTGATTCTTTGCTACTTTGCATTCCATTCCTACTTTTAATTCGAATGCAATCATTATTTAGCTCGAGGACTGCCTCTTCCCCACCTCCACCCCCTGCTTGTTGTAGTAGCAGGGCTTGAAACCATGGTATAATTAACATAATTAAAGTATTAATAAAGATTGAAGGGGTTGGACACTGTGTGAAATGCTTAATTTTGTGTATTTTTAACTGATTGAATGTTTAGGTTTGCATTTCAGCTGTCACCCAAATTATGTGTAATTAAGCCAAAGCTCGGATCTGCCTGTCTCATTCCCGGTGCGGATGGCAGACAGATCTGATTCTGGGGAGAAGGTGGTAAATCTGCCCACTCATTTGTAGCTATGCGCTTTTACACTTTTTATGCATCTCCTGCCTTTTCCCAGTTCATTCATTGATCAAATTATCCCATTAGCATGGAATGAAGAATAGATAGCTACAGTGGAAAATAAGTCAAATGCTTTCAAAATATTCCCTGGCTCCTACTCCCCACCCCAGCATCCTGCCATCTCTCCCTGGATAGTGTCCCCATGTGCTGGTGCTATAGGACACTCTCTCAGAGTACACACAATGGATGTTCATACAGGATTGTACGTGATACATCAGCAATGGAAGCAGCCACAAATCCGAGGGGCTGGCTCCATGTTCAGAGAGACACCCTTCTTTGGAACAAAAATCATTTAAAGAAGTCATTTACAAGACACTTTAGAAGAGATCAAATCCTTATCTTGATATTGAAGGAGAGATAACTCAAAGCAAGGACCCCAGAAATCAACCACTACATACAAAAGAGCTCTGCAGGTGTTTGTATGGATCATGGTAACATCCAGTCCCTCACAGGAGCCATGGATCACGTACAATATACTAATTCTTATGCCGTCAATCCAGAGAGAGAAGAAAACACCCCCAACAGAAGACGAAGGCCCAGAGGGAAACATGAGCAGCAAGTTCTCAGCAGGCCACAGCAGTCACACAAGGAGGCGACCTGCATAGGGAAGCCTGGGTCTCAGCTGGGCCTGGAAAGATGAGTCAGATGTATCTAGGAGGCTGTGAGGAGGGGAACAGGACTGAGCAAATGCTCAGAGGCACGGAAGCACAGTCTGTTTTTAGGTGAGAGTGACTCTCCTTAGCTTATTAGGGGAGACAGTTTGTGTGAAAGGCAAGTTTTTTTTTATTTTATTCATTTATTTTTCAGATGGAGTTTCACTCTTGTTGCCTAGGCTGGAGTGCAGTGGGTGTGATCTCAGCTCACTGTAGCCTCTGCCTCCTGGGTTCAAGTGATTCTCCTGCTTCAGCCTGCTGCGTAGCTGGAATTATAGGTGCCCACCACCACACCTGGCTGATTTTTGTATTTTTAGTAGAGACAAGGTTTCACCACATTGGCCAGGCTGGTCTTGAACTCCTGACCTCAGGTGATCCGCCCTCCTCGGCCTCCCAAAGTGCTAGGATTACAAGTGTGAGCCACCGCACCCAGCGGAAAGGCAAGTTTTAAAAGCAAAGCTGAGGCAACACCAGTGCCGAGGGCCTGGAAAGCCATACTGAGCAGAGTGTGGTGAAAGGGCCTGGGAAAAATATGGGATTGGTGGTCTGGATAGGCACAAGCAGAGGGGAGGACATGCTTGCTGGGTTGGTTTTCCATGGCTGCTCTAACAGATTACCCTGGGCTTCACTGCTGAATGCAATGCACATGTGTTTCCTCCTATTTCTGAAGGTCAAAAGCCAGTGGGCACAGCTGGTTTCCCCGCATTGAGTCTGACAAGGCCAAAATCAAGTTGCTGGCTGGACCAGGCTCTGGGGTAGAATCTGTCCCTTCTTAGCCCCAGTCAGGTTGCTGGTAGAATTCAGTTCCACTGGGCTCCGGGATTGAGGTCCATGTTTCCTTGCTGGCTGCCCTGTGATTAGTCCCACTTCATAGTTTTTATCCCAAAATACTCATAAACTGTTGCCCCCCGCCAATTTCCAGTTTAGGGTTTCTTTAAAATGGAGCAGAGTATAAAGACCCTTGAAAGGCAAACTGAGCACAGGCTACTTTAGATGATAAAGTTCTGCCTTTCTTGTTTTAAGCTCTCTTGGCCTGCTCTCATATAATTTGTTGGCTTCCTTTTTTTAAAAAAACTCGGTAACATTTGCTTTATGAAATTTTTCCAAAGCATTTAACTCAGTGATCATAAAATGACAGCTCTTTAGTCTTGTACCCATAGTTCGTTGGTTTATATAATATTTAATTGAACTATGTTTACCAATCTTGTACAAGAAAAACTGGCATAAACAAGTTTGGGAATAAACGTAACTGCATCTTGGTGAGAGCAGCTGAGTATGGAAGGTCTAGAGGGAGGTGCCTTCTCACTGGGAACAGGAACACCAGTGGACATACTTTTTTTTTTGAGATGGAGTCTCGTTCTGTCACCCATGCTGGAGTGCAGTGGCCTGATCTCGGCTCACTGCAACCTCTGCCTCCCGGGTTCAAGTGATTCTCCTGTCTCAGGCTTCCAAGTAGCTGGGATTACAGGTATGTGCCACCACGCCCAGCTAACTTTTGTGTTTTTAGTAGAAATGAGGTTCCACCATGATGGCCAGGCTGGTCTCGATCTCCTGACCTCAGGTGAGCTGCCTGCCTTGGCCTCCCAAAGTGCTGGGATTACAGGCATGAGCCACCACACCCGACCACCAGTGAGCATATTTTATGGAGGGGACAGAGGAGGTGGAAAAGGCGAGATGATCCCATTGGATAGGTAGGGGTGGATAAAGAGGGCTTCCACTAAACAGGAAGTGACTCACATGACTATGTGCAGAAGTCACACACACTGGGCATTGTTTTTTAAAAAATCACCCCATCCCCCAACCAAAAATAAATACTTAAGTCAGTAATAATGTGGCATGTTTCTCAACTAACAGGACAAAGTTAAAGGCAAAATGGCAGCTCACACTCCCAGCCCCCTTCCCAGGGCTTCACAGACGTAGGATCCCTGAACTAGCTGAGACTTGTGGCAGTGGTCCTCAGTCTTAGAAACAGAATGTCTTAAAGGCTAGTCAGAGCTTGAGAAAGTCAGAATCGACCAGATAGAGGCATCTACTGCGGTCACTTGTAATTATTCTCTTCCCCCTGGTAAAGTGTATCTAAAACAGCTCACTGTTCAGAGCAAGTGTTTTGATCAATTATGTACAATGGTAGGTTAGCACCTTCATGGGTTTCCCCGGCTGATTCATTACCCCTGTTGTGGCACAGAGTAGCATTTCAAAGTGCCAATTAGTAAGTCAGACAGGCTTGAGTTTGAATCCCAGCTCTGCCTGACCACCTTGCTGTGAGCAAATTACTTAACCACCACAAACTGCAGTTTCCTCCATATGAAATGGAAATGATGACGCCTATGTTTACAGAATTGTTGTGGCCACTGAATGCGATGATGTGCACAAAGCAGTTTCTGTAGAGCGTTTGGCGCATAGCAAGCCCCGGACAAATGGGCACTGACTCTTTAAGGAGATAGGTAGGCTCTGATTTGGGAGGGGTGGAATTTAGCCACAGGGAACCAACCTCAGTGCAGGGGCTGCATGAAAGTCTGGGGCAATCGGAGGTATGCCAGGCATGAGAGGGGAAAGTGGTTACTGGATAGTCCCATCTCCCTTGACAATTTTGCTCAGTGCTGACCCAGTCTTTAACTTGGGAGCCTCATGGATCCAGAAATTTATGATTAACACAGCCCACACAGCTGCCTGGAAGAACGAGAACTTCCCAGAGTCCCACAAAAGGCATTCACAGCCAGTTCACCTGTATTTTCATGCAGCCATGCAACAGATATGGATTACATGCCTGCTCTGTGTTAGGGGCTGAGGACACAGAGGTGATCACAAGGGGTGTAAGATCCTCCAGGAGTTCCCAGTCCAGAAAGGAAAACAGACATGCATACTTTCCTGTACTACTGTAATTTATTAGAGGCATAAGTAAACAGAAGGTACAGTACCTAATCCTACCTGGGGAAAATGAGGAATGTTTCCCAGAAAAGATGCCATGTGAGCAAGCTTATGAAAGGTGACAGGAGTTTGATGTGTGAGGAAAGAGAGAAAAAGCATTCCAGGCAGTGGGACAAGCACAACGTCGTAAGAGGTTCCAACCTGTTCTGAGAACAGTGAGAGGGTCAGGGTGGATAGAACGGTTAGTAGCTGGAGATGAGGCAGCACAGTCCCACTGCTGAGTTCAGCTCCTGGAGGTTAAACTCCCTTTCTCTTAGGTCATCATCGACAAAATCAAGAAACCAATCCAGATGCGTCTTTTGATCGACGGGAGGAAGGAGAGGATGTGTGCCTTTCATCGTCCCAGTGGATGATTATCTAGGCCAATGCTTCTCGAGTTTCCCATGCGTATGGGTCACTGGGAGGTTTTGTTAAAAGGTGGATGCTAATTCAGTAGGTCTGGGATGGTGGCCTCAACGATTCTGCATTTCTGACAGGCTCCCTGGTGATGCCAATGTTGCTGGCCCAAAGACCCCATTTTCAGTAGCAAAGATCTGCATATCCTACCACCAGCCAACTTCCCCCAAGAGTTACTTCACAACAGGAAGGCCCAGCATCTCTACACTGGTACAATCCACCCACTGGAATAGCTAAATGAAACACCACTCTCTGCCATCTAGAGCATACTGACAATTTCTCCTCAACCTCCTCCCCTTCACCCCGCACCCCCACAAAGAAAAGTAATTTAGGGAATAATAATCCTATATTTTCTAACTTTCTCAGTAGCATTATGATTCAGACAATTCTCCAAACGTTCCCACCCTTTATCAATTTGGAATGTGAATGAGACATCTGACCCAAATTTCCCAATTTCCTGTAGCTGAGCCTCAAGGTAGAAGTCTGAACATTCTCACTGAGCAACTCTTTGGATTTCCAGTTTCAGACAGAAAAACATGATTCTCTTTCATTTTAAGCCATTAAAGTCTGGGAAACTTTACTTCACATTACTGAACTTGGGATCAAACAAAATTGCCTGGGGTGGATGATGGGGTCTGTTTTAAGAATTGAATCCACCTCGAAACCCAGGATATATCCTTCTTTATATGGAGAGACACAGAAGAGGCACCCCATCTGGTCTGTGTTTTCACCCCAAGATTTAGGTGAAATATGCTCTTCCGGGTCCAACAACCTCTGTCCTAAGCCCCTCTGGAGGGACATCACAGCTTTCCAGAGAAAGTTACTTAGGAAGAAGTGGCTTTTCCTCTCTTTTTTAAGTGCGCTCTTGGGACCTAGGCATCCTCTACTACCTCTGGCAGTTAGAGGATCCCACGGTTGCTAGGGGCCTCTGTCTCCCTTTTCTTAAGTACTATGAAAATGACTACTTATTATGTGGGGCCCTCATTTGTCAAATATATCACTGTCATGGGTGATGTCATGAGTATGTCACTGTCATATCAGACTCTGCCAGTAAACTCCAGAAGCCAGGGATTCTCCTGATTTTTCTGGATCTCTCATAATGTTCATCATTCTTCTAGCCACAGAGTGCTCAAAAACCTACCATCTTCATTTATGGTGGAGGATGGCAGCTCAAATAACATTCTTCCGGAAAGGAAATAACCCTATTTCTTTCTCATTCAACAATTAAGCCCTAGATTGGGACCTTGGGCCACCCCAAACTTAAGAAACAGATGTCAGGTTCTGGCTTTTCTAGGACATTTTAGAAGAGGCACAAAAGAAGTGTTGTATCTTAGGGAAAGAGCCCTGGACCTACAATTGGGGATTAGTCGTAATTTTCCCCTATACCATCTGAGGACATTGGGTAAATGATATAACCTTGTGGCCTCACTTTCCTCATTTGCTATTTAAAAACTGTGTCTTGTTTCCCTGCAAGAGCTGGATAAATTAAAGAAGTTAAGCACCTTAACACTAATGTCTGGAACAAATGAAGAAAATAAGAAGGTAGTGGATATGTGGGTGAATGGGCACATGGAGAGATGAGTGGACAGGCATATGGAATAGAGATGGGTAGATGGGCACATGGAATAGAGATGGGTGGATGGGCACATGGAGAGATGGGTGGATGGGCACATGGAATAGAGATGGGTGGACAGGCACATGAAATAAAGATGGGTGGATGGGCACATGGAATAGAGATGGGTGGACGGGCACATGGAATAGAGATGGGTGGACAGGCACATGGAATAGAGATGGGTAGATGGGCACATGGAGAGATGGGTGGATGGGCACATGGAATAGAGATGGGTGGACGGGCACATGGAGAGATGGGTTGATGGATACATAAAATAGAGATGGGTGGACAGGCACATGGAATAGAGACGGGTGGACAGGCACATGGAATAGAGATGGGTGGACAGGCACATGAAATAGAGATGGGTGGATGGGCACATGGAATAGAGATGGGTGGGATGGGCACATGGAATAGAGATGGGTAGATGGGCACATGGAATAGGGATGGGTGGACGGGCACATGGAGAGATGGGTAGATGGCCACATGAGATAGAGATGGGTGGATGGGAACATGGAGAAATGGGTGGACAGACACATGGAGAGATGGGTGGATGGGCACATGAAATAGAGATGGGTGGATGGGCACATGAAATAGAGATGGGTAGATGGGCACATGGAATAGAGATGGGTGGACAGGCACATGGAGAGATGGGTGGACAAGTACATGGAATAGAGATGGGTGGACGGGCACATGGAATAGAGATGGGTGGACGGGCACATGGAGAGATGGGTGGCACAATCCCTATCAGGGCAAGAATAGAGATTTGCTTTGTTTTGTTTTACAAAGTGTCCTCTGCCATAAACCCAGTAAGTATTTCACAATGTCTTCTCCGAATCACCAAATCTCAAAATCCTAAATTTATAACCAAAAATTAAATATATATTTTTCCAAATTATAGTCTGACCTGACAGAGATTAAAAAATACTTTGGGCCAGGGACAGTGGCTCATGCCTGTAATCCTAGCACTTCGGGAGACCAAGGCAGGAGGATCACTTGAGCCCAGGAGGTTGAGAGCAGCCTGGGCAACACAGTGAGTGAGACGCAGTCTCTATTCAAAAACATTTTTTTTAAACCCTTTGAAATTATTTGCTCCATTCTTCTCATTTTACAAGTGAAGAAGCTGAGGCCAGAGAAGAGAAGGGATTTGTTCAAGTTGTTGAACTCACAGGGAGCAGAACTTGTGAGATTCTACCAAGTTGGGACTCCAAAATGTCCAGTCACTTTCTAATGGATCCCACTGTCTCCACAAAAAGTACTCATGCTCTCTGGCATTAGAAAGCATTTCCATTCTTCTGACCAAAAGCTCAGCACAGGGCTGAGTTTTTAGAAAAGTAAACCACTGAATACCATTTACCAAAGAGTAGCTCTTTCTCAATGGCAGGAAAATAGAGAGATGTGTTTCCAATTAGTCAGAGAAAGAACTCAGCCACAAATGCCTTGCCATTTAGTGTTGCTAAGCTGGTGATTTCTCCGCAGAGCAGGGAACAGGGATAACTGTCATCAACCTTTCTGTTATTTGCATCCAAAGAAGTCACATGTGTCTCAGCAATGTGAAATATTCTCTTTCATCTGCTTGAGAATTATCATCTAGTGTCCGCTCCTTCCTCCAGATTGCACATCAAGTTCCCCTTCCATGAGCTAAACTCCTTGACACAAATTTTCATGCAAAGTAATATGTTTTAAAAAGAGAAAATCATTAAAGAGAGGTTTAGCTTTCCTTCATTCTGCAGTCCTTTTTCTAAAGGGCTCCTGACTGCCAGATAGCTTTCTCTGGACACAAAAGAGTCCTCTTCATTTTGGTGAACACACACCTGATAAAGTTTCATTAAAATTCTTTTCCAAACAGAAAACTCCAGCATCCGGATTCCAAATAAATGCATGCATTTCTAAAGGGAAACCTGACAAGGAGAAGTTACATGCACACCATTAAGAAGTCAGAAAAGCCCTGACTAAGGACAATCTTTCAATTCATTAATGCCAAGCTGTCCCATGGAGGAAGTCAGGGAAGGAAATGCCTCAGTGAAGAGAAAGTATCTCCTGGGTTTTCAGGGCATTAGAACTTCACTCAAAAAGTTTGGAAGGAAAGGAAAACTTGATGTGGCAGTGTAACAGACTGTTGCGGTAATGGCTCTCAATTTGTTCAGATCTCCCTGTATCTGTGTCCCTGGTGATTTCTCGCCAAAACAATCCCTTCTTATGTTGACTCTGGGCTTGGCCACATAACTAGCTTTGAGCAATAAAAAAGTAGCCAACGTGACAGAATCAGACTTGAAAGGTACGGGGCTTGTTCTTTGCTGCTCATGGAACTCTGAAGCCACCATGTGAACAACACTGAGACTAACCTGCTGAAAAAGGAAAGGCCACATGAAGAGAGACCCCAGCCATATAAGCCATCCTAGGGTCCCCAGCTGAGACCAAAGACCTGTGAGAAAGACCAGCCAAGAAGAGCCAGGACCGCTCTGATTGCAAAGAACCATCCAACCGAGTCCAAACTGCCAATCTGCACAACTGGGAACTAAAGAAATATTTGCTGTTTTAAGTCACTAATTGTGGGGAGTAGTTTTTTACCCAGCAAAAGCTAATTGATATAGCAGTTCTGAAGCTCTCAGCAGAAACATCGGCACCAGTTTTACATAGGTTATTGGTTGATTTCCAAGGGCTACAAAACTTCTGACCTGAAAAATATTTGACACTAAGTCCACAATATCCTCAGCAAATCATGAAAAATGTATCCAACAAAAGAAGAGGTGAGGATGAGATACAGATGCAACATAATAGGCTCTGAGCTCTACTCTAAGAACACTATAACAATTATGGCATTGTGGCTAACAGGGACTCAGACATACCCAACAAGCTGGACAACGGATTTGGAAGAAGCAGAACTTGGTATGAGACCTAGCTCTGGTGCTTACAAGTCATGTGACATTCGACAAATCATTTCAGCTCTCTGTATCTTTCTTCAATAATAATATAGGGCCACTCCGGGCGTGGGGCTCACGCCTGTAATCCCTGCACTTTGGGAGGCCAAGACAGGCGGATCATGAGGTCAAGAGTTTGAGACCAGCCCAGACAATATGGTGAAACTCCATCTCTACTAAAAATACAAAGTTAGCTGGCGTGGTGGTGCATGCCTGTAATCCCAGCTACTTGGGAGGCTGAGGCAGGAGAATCGCTTGTACCCAGGAGGTAGAGGTTACGGGGAGCCGAGATCACACTATTGCACTCCAGCCTGGGCAGCAAGAGCGAAACTCCGTCTAAATATAAATAAATAAATAAATAAATAAATAAATAAATAAATAAAAATAATAATACTAATAATATGGGGTCACTAAGCGTTACGAAATAAAAAAAATTGGCCAGGCATGGTGGCTCACGCCTGTAATCCCAGCACTTTGGGAGGCCAAGGCAGGCAGATCACCTGAGGTCAGGAATTTGAGACCAGCCTGGCCAACATGGCGAAACCCCATCTCTACTGAAATACAAAAATTAGCTGGGCGTGGTGGCAGGCACCTGTAATCCCAGCTACTCAGGAGGCTGAGGCAGGAGAATAGCTTGAACCTGGGAGGCAGGCGCTGCAGTGAGCCGAGATTGTGCCACTGCACTCCAGCCTGAGCAACAAGAGCTAAGCCCTGTCTCAGAAAGAAAAAAAAAAAAAAGAAAAAGAAAAAGAAAAAATATACACGTGAAAGTGGTTGGTAATATGTGGCATGCTATCCAATATCAAGTACAATTTTTATGATGAAGTCGATTAGCAATAAGACTATTGCTACTGGTGAAAACTCAAGAAATAAGACTTTACAGCATGCTGTTTGTAGATGCCTACAAACCCATATGACCATCCCACCCCAATCCCCTCTTATGCAAGTAATAAAAACTCATCCAACTAGATCGATGAATGGCATCAGAATTTTAAGACAGAGAACTTTTATGTTTGTGAACCATATTATAAACTGGCAAAAAGTAGACATGAAAGGCATTTGCTGTGGTAAGAAATCCTGTGAATTGTTTAGTAATTAGAATAATCACTCTCTAACGTTTCTATCATTAGCTCCATTAAACATGCATACATTCAGATGTATGCCTGCCATATTTTAAAAATGAGGTCTAAGCTGGATGCAGTGGCTCATGCCTGTCATCCCAGCACTTGAGTAGGCAGAGGCAGGAGGATTGCTTCAGTTCAGGAGTTCAAGACCAGCCTGGGAAACATCATGAAACATCATCTCTACTAAAAATAAAAAAAAATTAGCCAGGCTTGGTGGCACACGCCTATAGTCCCAGCTACTTGGGAGGCTGAGGCAGGAGGATCACTTGAGCCTGGGAGGTCAAGGCTGCAGTAAGGCAAGATTGTGCCACTGCACTCCAGCCTGGGTGACAGAGTGACACTCTGTCTCAAAAAAATTTTTTTTGAAGTGGAGTCTTACTCCACATATGTTTACAAAGTATTTTTAATTGATCGGTGTACCATACTGATATTGTAAAATCAGAAAGAAAGAGGTTTCAATGTGCATCACATGTTGTAGATTCAGGATGCTTCAGAGCACGTGAAAAAGCAGGGTAGGGCTAATGCACAAACTCTCTCAGCCAAACTCCTGTGTCTGCCAAGATCCTGGATTAAAACTCAATAATGGAGATAGCTTCCCAATTTGTTAAAGGATAGCACTATTTCAATTTTATTATTGTCCTCTAATCATTTTTCTTACATCCTCAGTGCCTGTGACTATTGTCTCTGAGAGAATGTGCCATAAGATAGCATTTCTGATTTGGCAGAAAATGCTATATTTAGCCGTTTTAAGTTTGGGTTAATACTAATAATGGTCTCCACGTAGCACATACTTGCTGCATGGGTGTCAAGGATACAAGTAAATGCCTGTGGTTCTAAGCCTCAGCATGGTTCTGCAAGATAGACACTTCAGTATTATCCCTACTTTAAGGATAAGGGAAAGGAGGAATAGAGAAGTTAAGTAACAAGGTCACATAGCCAGTCCATGGAGGAAACGGGAATTCCTCTAGGTTGCCTAACTCTAGAGCCTGTGCCCTTAAACCGGGGCATATGAAATCCATGGTATCACTCAAGAAACACCATAATTTTCAAATGCCCTGCTTCTTGAACATGTTTGAGAACCCCTGGATTCATGACCTGGTAAAAACAGGACCATTATCACAGAGTTTGACATAATGCTGGCTTCATGAATATGAAGTTCCAAAACAAAATTTAATATTAGAACGACACAGATGACATCTGTATTTTTAGGCACACATTCACACACAAGTGCACACACACATACACATCCCATACCCTATACCTTAGTCATTTTACTAGATAACCTGCCTAGATTTATTTTATTTTGGCTGTGAATGAAGATATTCCTCTTCCAATTCAATAAAAAAGCACAACAGAGCCATAAATACAGAGATGAATGTAAGAATTCAACCATTTGATTGCATTAATTCAAAGAACTGATTAAGGAGTCTTCATACAATAGTAGAAATCAGTTTGATTTATTAAGCTACATCATCCTCGAAATCTGCACAGAGTGGGGAAAAAAATAAAACCTGTCACTTTAAAGAAATACACTCTACAATAAAAGGAATGAGGAAAAAGAACACCTAGGATAATTTATAAACATATGCATAATCTGGAGAAACCAGCTCACAACTGGATAGTTCATTCCTCCAAGTCTGTGACTGGGGGCAGCTCCTCCTTCATTCCACCCTCCAACTTTCAATTAGGAGAGTAATATCGCTTTGTTATTGTTTCTCCTTAACCTAGAATAGGGCGATGCAAAGACCTGTAAGTTATAAACACTGCTCAGCAATTAAGCAGGCCATTAGTCTTCTTCAGCATTATAACATCATGGTGCTCAACTACTCTGTCCTGACACATGGCCAGGGCTGAGTGTGACAGTCAAAGGTTCCCAGCATAAGAGGCTTGCACTCTGCTCCAAGGGAATGGAAAAAGCCTTTGTCCAAACAATGCCAAGAGAAAACATGCTAAGACTCTTCCTCCTCAAAGTGCGGCCCACTGGCCTTCTGCCCCAGGCACCACCTGTGAGCTTTTTAGAAATGCAGTCTTCCTCCACCCTAGACCCACTGAATCAGAATGTGATTTTAACAAAATCTCCAGGTGGTTTCTAGGCACAGTAAAGTTTGAGAAGCACTGTCCTAGGCTTCAGATGACAACCAAAGCATTCCATCCCAGGAGCACTGCTCTAACTGCAAGGTGGGTGACCAGAAAGTTAAGAAAGTAGAAGTCTTGGAAGAAATGGTTGACAGAGGGCCTGGAAAAGCTTCACCTACAAGGACATGGTCCTACTGAATCACTTTTAAAGATTTGCAAGATCTCATGTAGCCTGGGATCAAGGTCTACTTCAGGAGGCCCCAAGGACAAAGACTGTGTAGTTTAGACCAGAATTTCTCAGCAGTGGAACTACTAACAATTTTTTTTTTTTTTGAAATGGAGTATCTCTCTGTTGCCCAGGCTGGAGTGTGGTGGCGCGATCTCGACTCACCGCAGCCTCTGCCTCCTGGGTTCAAGCGATTCTTCTGCCTCAGACTCCCGAGTAGCTGGGATTACAGGTGCATGTCATCATGCCCGGCTAATTTTTGTATTTTTTAGTAGAGATGGGGTTTCACTATATTGACCAGGCGGGTCTCAAACTCCTGACTTCAAGTGATCCGCCTTCCTTGGCCTCCCAAAGTGTTAAGATTACAGGTGTGAACCAATGCACCCGGCCACTACTAACATTTTAAACAGCTAATTCTTTATTGTGGAAGGGCTGCCCTGTGCATTGTAGGATGTTTAGCCATATCCACGGCTTCTACCCACTAAATATTAGTGTCACAACCAACCGCCAGTACTGAAAATCAATAAGGTCTCCAAACATTGCCAACTGTCTCCAGGGAGATAAAAATCACCCCCACTTGAGAACCACTGGTTTAGATAACCGCTAGTTTGTATGAATCAATTCAATGGCATGACTGCTGAAAATGAAATGCAATAAAATAATGAATTGTACAGTCCCCAATTATAAAAATAGTATAAGCAGAAGGTCAGATGGAGGAAGGCAATGATCTGTATCTATTCTGCCCTGATCATTCCTTCATGAAATACTATGCTCAGTTCTGGCTCCACGCTCATTAAAACAAAATAAAATAATTTTTTTAAACCACTGGTTAAATTACTATGTTGATATGAAAGCATTAAAGATAGAGATGTATTGGGGAACCATGTCATATGAGGACCAACTGAGGAAACTGTTATGTTAAATATGGAGATGAGAAACATATACCAGGTGTCTTCCAATAGCTGAAGAATTATGTGAAAGAGGAATCAGACCAAACTCCACATGGCTTCAGGAGGTAGACCCCGTGATGTTACAGCTGACTGGATATTAAAAAGAGAAAGGACCATTTTACAGTCAGAGTTGCCCATAGAGAAAAGGGTTGCACCATAAGGTAGCCAGGACCCTACCACCAGAAGACAACGCAAGATGTAGCTAGATGTCACAAAGGTAGAGAATGGACCCTGTGCTAAGTTGAAATACGGCAAGATCATTCATTCATTCTCTCATTCATGCATTCAGCACATATTTATTACACGTTGGATATAATGCAATTGCATGCATGTAATGCACTACAGAATTGCATGTTCTAAGGTGAAACAGAATTGGTCTTGACCTTTTAGGAGTTCACAGAGAGGTCAACTGGAGAACACTTAATGATTAAGGCACAGTTAAGTGGGATGGAGGGGGGATCTGGCCCAGTATTCTGTCCTGTTCTATAATAACTAGCCACTTGATAAATCTTCCTGAATGGCTGGTACAGAGCAAAGCAGTGTAAGGAAGTAGCACAGGGAGAGATCACTGCAGAAGGAGCAGATTTGGACTCTTTTCCTGCCACGTGGCAGCTCTGAAAACATGGTCAAGCCTCAGGTGGGTGAGAACATTTCTAGTTCAGGATTCAAAGTGAACAGAGATTTCAATTATGCTACTGTGGAGTCCCTGCTCTCTGAGAGCTTCTAATTGTGCAGGGCACACCAGGTCCTAATATTGAGTAGGTACTCCATGTTTGCTGAAGAAATTAGACAATAAGCATCCCATAACCAAAGAAGGCCCAAAGTGAGCTTTCTCCTTGTGTTGGGTAACAATGTCCTAGCTCATGTAAACACTAAATGTTTCACTTCCTGTTAATTCATTTTGCCAGTTGGCAAAACAGACAGAGCTGTGCAGTTACTTAAAAGAAAACAGCTACCACCAGTACAATTCTTAGTAACTCAGGCCTCACCTCGGGCCAACAATGAAAAGGTCCTCTTAGCTGAACACTAATTATCATCACAGGGACACAATTAACTATCGTTTTCATGCAAATGAAGGATCTAAACCCAATTTAAATGGTGTTTTGTATTTTCTTGTAATGTGGCACAATGCTGACAAGGAGACCAAAGTAAATGTCTCCATGTGTCTTTAATAATAACCTTAGAGGAAGACATATTTTATCCTAAAAGAAGTGGGTCAGTCACATGACCCTACCAAGCAAGTATTAAAACAGCTGTTCTATGCATAGAATAACATTCCTTTAATTTACTGTGTTTGCTTTTTAGACCCTATTTTGTTTTTCCATTTTGAAGAACTAAATGCCCCAGATGAATCAGTCAACAATATGTCGGCTGCTCTCACATTCAGCCTTCTGCTGTTTTATAATAGTACCCTTATCTTATTTCAAGAAAAGAATGACAAACTTATAGCTGCAAATGCTAAATTTATGGGGTTCTTTGTGGCAGGCATTACTGAGAACAGGGCTAAGGAAACAGGTAAGACGTCCTGGAAAGAAGAAACCTCCATAAATACAAGGCCAGGCCTCAATTTTCATCTGAGCCCTGCAATCCAAGCAGTTTTCACTACCTATTTGAATTTTTTAAAGATGTATGGGGCAATCAAAGGTGCTGAGTGCTAATTAGATGGACAAATGAATGGTCACCCTCAAAAGGCACATTATGCCTAGTCACAGCTCTTCTGAATGCCCTGGTCGCTACTTTAATAGCTCTGTGACTTTCAATGGTACAAGGTCAAGAAGAGTTGCCTTTTGCTGGAACCTTCCCAACAGACCCCATTCTGCCCACCAGAACCGGAAGTTGTGTCTTTGCAAAAGCAACCAGTTAGAATGGGAGGAATGCAAGCCTTTGTTTCACCAACATGATGTCAAATTATTAGTAGGGGGCACCTTTTGTTTTTGCTGAATGGTCTGGTTTTCACTCCCTCTGGCATTTTAGGAACTGAGTAGGCACAACTTTTGATGAAGGGAATTCCATTCAATGTACAATTAGGAGGCCTGTAAAAATGAATCTCAAGAGTGGCTTTGACCAAAGAGCATCCCAGGAAACACAAGTTTCACAAGATGCTTTGTAGAAAAAAATAAGTTTTCACAAATAATTTTAGGAAATTATATAAAATTAGGACACATTCCATCATTGTCTTGGAGATTCATATTGTACTTTGGAACATTAAAGGCTTGAGAAGCTGCAAAGAAAGGAAGCTTGCTTGACTTTGTTTGATAGAGTATTTTGTGGCCTTTTGATAAAAAATTCCTTTTTCATATAACTCCTTTCTGGATCATCAAGCACATATTGGACTTTCCATCCAAGTGTCTGACCCATGGTCTGTCTGCAGAGACAGGTTGATATGGTAGCTAGAGCACTTCCAGTGAATAACTTAAGCACTGGAGAGAACAAAGCCTAACGTTTTCCAACTGCCTCATAAGCTAAGAAGCTACATCTTACAGATCCAACATGAGACTTTGCACCTTTCAGGATTCCCATGTGTGCCACAAGTATTATCAAAGCAGCAAAATAATGCCTGGACATGTGAGCCTATGTGAGATTCAAGCTCATAATTCTATTATGTTCATTTTTCTACTCTTCATTCCTTTCTCTCTTCATCCTACCTTGTGTACCCGGATACCCAAACAGTGTTAGAGCCCAGGCATCCCTGACTGCCCCATGACAAAAAAATAATGGAAGCAGATGTCAGGAAAGAAGTGTTAGGAGCCTCAGATTTTCCCTTCCATTTTCCAAGGGCATGGGATGCAATTGAGATGCTCCTGATTCCAAAAACTTTTTCTCAAAACACAAATCTTATCCTGTTCTTGTCCATCCGAAATAACTCAGTGGTTCCCCTACTACAAACAGGCCAAATCTAAGCACTTCTGCAACAGACTCAAAATTCTTCATACTCTAGTCCCTGTATACCTCTTAGCCCAGTGGTAACCCCAACCTCCTTGCAAATGTTGCTCAAGCAATACTGCACACCACTAATTTTCTGCTATATCCTGTCCCTTCAAGTCTCTGTACCTTTGCACTGGCTCTACTCCCTGCCTGAATAAATGCCATTATTTGTCCACCATCAAAATATCAAGTATGGGTTGACGCAAGTTAGTGCTTTCAAGCTAAATAATGAATACACAGATTCTACCTCCTCACTTTACAGTCATCATTTCTCCTGAAAGCTCCAGTTAGAATTAGCTTCTCCTGCTGCAGGCCTCTCCTTATACACATTTTATCACATTTTACTATAATTTTCTGCTTGGATCTCTGACTCCCTAGGGCCATGCTTTACTCATTTTTGAAGCTCACTGCCTATCACAGTGACTGGCACATTGCAGACAGCAACACATTTTTGTTTTCTGGTCAGTTTCATGGGCATATATTCTGTTCACTGTCATTGAAGATTGCACAGCTACTAGAAGTACATAAAAAATAAGGGCACATTCATCTTAGCTTCTTCTCTTCCCAGAGATATGCGATAATAATAACATCTGGTGTATTTGGGATTAAAAATAACAATAAAACAAAACTCAATATTCTAAAAGAGCCTAAGGATCCCCAGATGAATTTTCTGGGAAAGTTCTTGGTCAAATGACACCACCAGTTGTTAGCCTCAGAGGTGCCTTTCCTTTAAATACCGGATCTTTCCAGTCATGGACTTCCGAAATCACTTTAAAAGAGAATGATTGAAGCAGGGAGCCTAATTATTATTTAAAATGACACAATGAAAACAGTCTGCAATCAAAGACATGTTTAAATTTTTTAAGTACAGAAACAAAAACAGTGATACTTTAATGGAGCACTATCCCCTGCGATGGCAAATATGCATTTCCATCTTGGCTCCCCGCTTCCTTTATCTTCCATCACATTGCTAACAGGCCTGACTTTGCAGGAACAGCAAGGAAACTCCGACACATGTACAGCTTCAAGAAACACGCTCATATCTCTAACTAAATATTTATGCAACCTAGCCTTAGTCCAGCGATGACCACTCTCCAAAGCATTTTATATAGCATTTATAGAAGCCATAAATGTTTTAAAAGAGGAGGGGCATACTTAAAAACATTTTATAAAGTCTTTAATTTGCTTTCAAATATATTGTAAGGCATTATGAGTCACAGAGTTCATAAAGTAGTGGGATATATGCATACCTTTTCAGGCCTTCAATTTAACTTCACAACACATTGTTCGGAGCAGTGCAAGTCTGAGCTCTACCTAACTAAATCACAGGGTAATAGACTAGAGAGAGCACGCCCATTCTTACCTTTAGCAGGAATGACTACAAAGAGTTCCAAGTTAGTCCTACTCTTTTTAGAAATTGCTGGGAAAGATTTCTAAAAAATTTCCCTCCATAATAGGATGTCTTAATTTATGACAGTTTAAATGAATCTTATGTTGCTGCTTAAATCACATCCAGCCAATGAAATTTTAACTATCAACAAGAAACAGCAATTTTCAATACCCCTCCTATTTTAACCATTTCATTTTCTGAGATATTCAGGGAGCCATGCATTCAATAGCTGGTATACCTCAAGATGATTGGCATTGAAATAGCCAGGGCTGATCTTAAGATGCGTAAAATTACTCAAACTCAAGAAGTTCCATCTGCATGTTGACTAGTCGCAGGCCTTTTGGAGGGCTATTTTTGTCAAATGGAACAGCTGTAGTTTCTTCTCTTGGCCCCTGGTCTGATCAATTGTTAAATAAAGAACTGGACAGTTGGGACAATCTGCACCAAAATCACCATGGAACTTACTGAAGAAAATGAAGAGTCCCAAGCTCTGTGTCATATCTAAGAAATTAGACTCACTGGAGGTGGTTCCCAGGAATCTGCATATTTAACAAGCACTCTAGAATATTCTAAAAGAGCACACTAGAATCTAAGAACCAAGGAAGCAAGTGACTGCTGTTTACTTTTAACTTAGGAGTGTTGGTAACAGACTTGGGAAGCATATCACCCTATCCAATGCCAACAAGTTTTTCACACTTACACAAAGGACTAGACGACCCTACTCCATAGATGTTTTCCCCACAGGCATACCGCACGCGAGACCTGGGTTTGTTATTCTGCTGTCTTGGCCAATTTGCCCACAAGTCTTTTTCTGTACCTCCCATGTGTTCTTGCTCATTTTGAACCTGGTGCCACTCCCAGAAGATGTCCTGGAACCTTTGTCATGATCAGGGCCTGTGTGGGAAAAGGCTTTTTCTAACGATCGTTTCCAGTGACTTGGAAGTAAGTTGGATACATCACTTATAAATAATCTCATGCCCTTTGCAAGGTAATCGAAAGAGTCATTTTGGCATTTCCTTAACCAGCCACTGGAATCCCTTCATGGGATTTAAGGACCCAAACTGCAGACAGTCTGTCACTAAACAGCTGCTTTCACTGCCCTCCTAAAAGGGCCCTACAGGGTGGTTTCCATGCCTCAGAAATCTGACATTTAGAAGCAAACACCTGCCTTCTATCCACTCTCCAACTCACCAGCCACATTCCCCAAGTTGCCTAGCCATTAGCTCAAACACAGACTCTCAATTCAGTTGATTTAATCTAAGGCAGTCATGGGCATCAGCCTCTTATCAGGGGCTGAGGTGTTTGGGGAAAGGTTAGAAGGAATGAAGTGACAAAGGATTCAAATATCCTGCAGTTAAATTGAGTAAATAGCCGCTCATTTCAAAGCTTCAGATTTGGAAAGAAAACAGCTCAGGGCTATAGAGGAAAATGGGGAGGGGACACTCAACACCATCCAGGATCTATGTATTCTGTCTGATTTATTTAAATAGAAAGAGACATAGTGCATTTATAAGAATCACTTTAGCTTTTGTATTTATCAGTGCACCCCATCTTACCGCCATTACAGCTCTGACAGAATAATTAATTTCAGTCAATCAATCATTTAACAAAAACTCGCAGGTGACCTCAACATACCATATAAGCCACAGAGAACTAGTCACAACAGCAGTCTTCAAATTCCCTTGGAAAGGAAAATTAAGCCTGCTATGTGTGGCTTGGGGCAACCTAAGCCGTAAATCTCTCTTTTCTGATCTCTTCATATAGATGAAAGAGCAAAGCCGCTCGGGGTTACATACAACAATTATGTGTTCACCAAACTTAGGGAATCAGCTTGCAGACAGCCCTAATCATTACCAATTAACCACGTCTGCTGACATCCTGTAAGAGCTGCCCCAGTGCTGCTGAATACCCGGCCCTCCCTTCAGGCAACCAATCCCTTATATTACAGCGTATGTGTTTTGGAAGGCCTATTAATGTTTGTTGACAATTCCAAATAGAGGTCACCTGTTGTCATGGTGCAAAATACCCTCTTTCCCCCTCTGAATGCTAGGCAGGGAGGGCAGCTTTGTTAGAAACACTTCAATGCATTTCTATATTGCCACCAACATTCAGATCTGATGAAAAGAGATTTAGGGTCTCCCAACTTTTCAATGGCAATTCCCACCTGCTACCACACACCCATCTGGGACTGAAAGGAATCTCCTCCTTGGATAATAAACTTGACAGAATGTGTTCAGGCCCTAGGCCTCCAAAGGAAAATGTCCAGTCACTGGCAGTCAAATCAAAACATGAAGATTTACCAAAATTGTCAGAAATGTAAACCTTGAAAAAGGTTTTCATTCCACTGGAGGCAAAGTGGCCTTTTCCCATTTAAATTATTCTCATTTAATCCCTAGACCCCCAGAACTTGCATTTAGGGATTCTGTTGCCAATTTTGCACAGAAGTCTTTTCCTGTACTTCCAGGGCGTATTCTTGTTCAGCTTGAAAATGATGCCACTTTAGAAAAATCCGAGTGGAAATTTTTTTTTTAAATCCTAATTTAATTAAATGTAATCATTGTTTAATTACTTAATCCAGTTCAATTTCTCTCATTTGTGCCGAGGAAAGAGAAGCATTCTGCAAAAATGACCAGTTTGAATTGTGAGCCTTCAGACAGAGAATCTTTGTCCACCTTGAGCTTGTGACAGTCTCCCCAAGATTGCTTCTTCCTTGAGGTCGAGGCTATGCTAGCACAAGAAACAAGTCCCACAGTACCTGTTGGAGCTGGCTACCAAGGAGGAACCCAGTGCAGGGCTACTAGTTGCGGTGCGTAGCCAGATTTCACTTCACCCTCTAGAATCATAAAATTTGATGCACTGTGTGCAGGGCGCATCTTCCTTTAGTGGTGGGTCAGAGGTGAGCCTGAAAGCCACTATAAGGACAGGAGACTAGACAAGCACTCCTTTCCTCCAGGTTTTGGATTATCTGAGAGCATCTTGTGCTCAGGATCTAGGCTCCCAGCTGTATGCTGAAGGGCCCTGGGTCACCACAGCAAACACATAGGAACACTGTGGGACATTTAAATTAATTTGAACTTAATTTTGAAATATGTTAAATTTTCAAGGAAAATACAGCAATACATGACATCTGTCACTCTGCAAACCAGTAGGTCAATGTAGTTCTCAGTGTCAACATTAGATCATGCTACATTCCTTCTGATTATGCCATATCTTTTCAAAAGTGAGATTTCAGTGGTTGCTGTGATAAAAAGCAAGTACTGCATGAAAATCAGTGGGGAACACAAAAACAGGGTGGTACTGTCCAACCTGATTCCAAGATTTGTGATGCTGTGCAGTACCCAACAGGTACACACATCTCACTGGTAACTAATTTGGTTATTTAAGAATAAAAACTTTTTTTTTTTTGAGACAGAATCTCGCTCTGTCACCCAGGCTGGAGTGCAGTCGCACAATCTTAGCTCACTGAAACTTCCGACTCCAGCGTCAAAGCGATTCTCCTGCCTCAGCCTCCCAAGTAGCTGGGATGACAGGCACACACCACCATGCCCAGCTAATTTTGTATTTTTAGTAGAGATGGGGTTTCACCATCTTGGGCAGGCTGGTCTCAAACTCCCAACCTCAAGTGATCCACCCGCCTCAGCTTCCAAAAGTGCTGGCATTACAGGCATGAGTCACCACGCCTGGCCTAATAAAAACATTTTCTTTCAATGTATACCTATTTTTTCAAATGGCTACTAAGCTGTTAAGACATAAATTAACTTATTGGGATCTAACTACTTAATAAACAGAACTGTGTGTGTGTGTGTGTGTGTGTGTGTGTGTGTGTACATGCAATCATTCGCCTAGAGGCATTGTGAAAAAAAATGACTGAGAAACAAAGGGTATGAAGAACTGAGAAATTTTGGGAACCATCCTCCTCCTCTTGGGTTTGAACACCTCTCTATTACTTTATTCTTTGTAACAAGTTTCAGTCACAGGATTCCAGCCTTTGGAGTCTCAGGAAGCTCCCTACAAATACAGATAAAACATTCCCTTCCATCCACTCATCCTCCCTAGAGGAGCTTGAAGACAACTTGAAAATGAAAACACAAATCTACACATGGCCCAGAACGTGAGTGCTAAACCCCCTCCATCTTCTCAGTTGTATGTACACTTTGGAAGTGTTATTCCATCAGGTGAATATGGGTTGCCAAACTTAGACACATTCCACCATCTGGGATACAAAGGCCCCGCAAGAGGGAACTAGCCGACCCCAGTCAAGCCAGAAGGAAATCAAGACCCATCACCTTGTGCACTGCAATATTGCCACCAACACAACAAGAAGGGTCTAATAAAGATTCATGTCTTTGGGTGGTGTTTTTCTCACCATCACCTCATTACTCCTGGAGTCTGGCCAGTCCTCACTGAGTTTCTTTGAGTAGAGGACAGAAACAAATTATCTGGCTTTTCAAGAAACAAAACGCACAGTGAATAAATTTTCTTAAACTACAGAGTGCTATCATAATCCCAGCCAGGAAAGGAAGCAATCTAATTTCAATCTGTGATCAAAACCAAATATGAGAATCAATGGATGCATCAGCCCCTCTGCAGCAATGCAAAGGGGTTTCCGGCTGACCTCTGAATCTCTGCCCAGGAAATGAAAGCAGGAGACTGGCAGATAGCTTGATGGGAAAACCAGTGAGCTCCATCGAAAGCCAGACAGGTTGCAATAACACCTGGGAGTTACCCAGGGTCTCTGGTGGGGTCCTGCTTGCTGCCAAAAACTGCTGCTACTTCAATTGCCATTAACCACTCCTAATGCTGCAATGAATCAGCCTAGGTGCCTGGGAACTAGGAGAATGACACCCTCATTTTCTTGCACATGTAAACTGCAATCCCCAGGATGAAAATAAAAAAAAATTGAATGCCTTTCTCTGAATTGCTAAAAATGAAAGAGGTTTTCAAGTCTTCAGTGATGAGCCTTCCCAGGACAAAATGGTCCCCCGAACTCACCCAGTCACTCAGAGGACACAGAAGTAAGATCTGTCTCCCATCAAGTCTCTTGGCAGGTTCATGCCCCACTTCCCTTCCTTACCTCTGTCCCCATACCAGCAACCAGATTGAAATAACATCCATTGAGTTCAAGCACATGGAGCAGAGCATATTCCCAGAATTACTCTATTTGATCTTCTTAACAACTCCATGAGGTATGGGGATAATCCCCATTTTACTGATGAGGAAATTGAAGCTCAAAATGATTATAGGTTGTGCTTGAAGCTACACAGCTGGTTGATTTGCATGGTTAAAACTGGAATCCACTCTGACTCCACTATTTTTCCCCTCTGTTGCAGTAATGAACTAGAAGAATGGTCCTGGTCCCTGATACAAGGGAAAGGAAAGGAGCAAGGGGCCCACTGGCTTACAGAGTGTCTTTATACTAATTTTAAAAAGAATGTGATTCTTTTTAAAGAATCTGATTCAAGGTTCATTTGCTATGGGGGACATTTTCTTAATATCCTTAACATACAATGATTTTCTTAGAACAAGACACATCATCTGTCAGGAAACCACTATAAAAATACACATTTACAGTCTCTGTGATGTGGATAGTGTCCTTTTAGATGTGACAGCATCGTGTGGTATATAACTTGCCCTTTCTTGACGGCCTTCCTGGATGGGCTAGGCAAGAGGGAAGGGGGTACATTTTGCCTCTTCACCCTGGGAGAGGCTGGGAGTAGTGAAGAATGTCAAGTCTTACACACAATAGGAAGTTTGTAAATAACTGTTGAATCAAATCAAACCAAAATCCTTATCTTGAAGAAATTAAAACTAACATAAAATCACTAAAAATACCAGTATAAGAATTATTGCAAAAGACCAACTGGTCCATGGAACATAAGTCTAATTCAGTGAGCTGAAATTCAGTTAATAGAGTAGAAACCAAATTTTACAAACCAGCAGAGATGGGCAGCATCCTCAACTAGCAGCTAGATGTTAGATAGAATGTCAGTTCCATGAGGGCAGGGACTGAGTCTATCTTTTTTACTGCCCTGTCTTCAGGGCTTAGTATCCTACCTAGCACACAGTAACTACCCAATAAATGTGCACCGACAAAATGAATGGGGCCTCTGTATTCTCTGGCTACTGTTCAGCCTAATGGCTCCAAGAAGTGACAGAGTACCCACTCAGTGCCAGGCGGAGGGTGGTCCTAACCCACCAGAGCTGCAGGACTTCTCAACAGAGGAAACCTATTGCCACCAGGACAGCCTGGGCTCAAAATGCTCAAGAGGACCAGGGCATTTTTTAGGCCTTCCTTCTATATAGCCTAAGTAAAAAGGTGGTAAAGTTTCACTTGACATGTTATTTGCATGGCCAACCCTGAAAAGCATGTTACTTGCACAGTCCTTTGACAAAAGAACAAAAACATACTGCAGCTCTGATTTAATGTTACCCCTCTGCCTTTTTCTACCAAGCTGGGGCTGCCCTGGGGGTGGGGGCTAATCTGCCAGTTTCTTGGGGCTCCGAGGCTAAACAGAGAATTTCTGCCTTCCAGGCCGCCCATCTGGCACATTGCTGTGAGTGGCACATTCAGGAAATAAATAAAAAATAAACAAACTGTCCAAGATCCCACTATTAACATTCCACACCTCAGGCTAAATGTTAGTGCCATCTTATCAGGCTCAGCTTGGAATGCGTAAATGGAAAAAAAAAATCCCACCAGCTAATGGCTGTATTAAGTTCCATTTAATCAAATGTTGCATTATCTGGAGTTATTTTTAACAGATGCACATTGGATTAATAAAAAAACTACACTAAACTTGAGATTAAACATGAGGTTTTGCTAGGTTGACAGTAAGGCCCACTTTAATACAAAGTTATATTAAACAGAAGCCTTTGATATCAGTGAAACTCATAGAGATCCCGAGTTTCTGGCAGTCGAACAGCAACAAGCCATACTTTATTGTTGAATTCTTTTTTAAAAAAAAATGTACTTTGAGCATATTTGTACTTAGAAAATTAATTGGAAACATAGCTTTGGTTCTTACCAGACCGATTTCAAAACATCTCAACGATGTCTGGATACAAATGTGCCCGGCATCCTGTCTGAGTCCTTAACAGAGGGACAAGAGGACACCAACGCTTTCACATATCCCTCGCACAAACATGCTAAGAATAGACAGGGATTCACTATGGCTGATAGAAGATAGGGGAGGACTTGGGAAAATGTTTTTTTTACAGACCAGGAAGAGCCTTTATAATCATAATAACAATATTTGTGCAAGGCTTTGCAGTATATGAAATATTTTCAAACCACCACTTTGTCCAGTCCTCACAATCTCTTTGAAAGAAAAATACCAAGTATTATCATTCATATTTCTTAGAGACAAATTTCAGTGGCCTTCCCAATCTCTCTCAACTGGTACATGCAGAAGATCTTATGTAAACAAGCTCTTCTGGTTCCAAATCACCATGTGGTCTCCTGGGAAAATTTCATTCCAAGCCCCACCAGGAAGTTTAGCCATGAAGCCTTGTGAACTCTAGCAGGAAACCTACAGGCAGGCTGGAATTTGGATGCACAGAACAGGTTGCAAACATCCCCTCATCCTGAACGCAGTAACTCATTACTGACCATTGTCCATTTTGTGTGTGCTTAAAGAGACACATTAAAATCAGAAAGAGTATTTTTTTTAATACATGAGATATACAAAGCCAATATCCTAAAGGAGGCCATTTAATCCATTATCTTACCATGACTGCATTACACTTATACAATGGTTACTCTCCAGTCTCCTAAGAGAATATTTAATACATTGCCATTTTACTGCTGCCAAGCCTAAAAAGTTTTGATTCAGCGTTTGCTACCCATTTCTTATGACAAGTTGCCAATATGTAGATTAGTCTCAAGAATTAAAGGGATTCCGAAAGTGCACATCGTTCCATTTTGGCCAATTAAATAAGCACCATCCATCATGAAGTCTTTCTTGTTTGGGTCATTAATACACGTACTGGGGGAAAAGAAGACAGCGGGAATGTTAAAGGAGGGAATAGCTTTGAATCTGGAAAAATGCAATCCACAACACATACTTGAGCTCTGGCAATTGGGGAAACTTTAAAACTTAGAAAATTCTACTCTATACAGTGTTAGCTCTATACCCAGACCCACCAGGCCAACATCCTTACCCACTTCATACACTTTTTCCAGAATATTACTTTTTCCTGCCCATTTTTGCAGACTTTGAAAATACTTTTATGAAAGCTACAGGGCAAGGCATGAGATAGCACTTTGTTTTAAGAGAGCAACTGCTGTGTCGGACACATTTTTCTCTATTCTTTTGTTAAATGGAATTGATCATCTCTTGCTTCAACTTCTAATTGGATACACCAGAAGAGCAAGACACAGAACTTCAGTCTTAAGGAGAATAGACATAACATTAAAAAGATGTAGGGCCGGGTCCGGGTACATTGGCTCATGCCTGTAATCCCAGCACTTTGGGAGGCTGAGGAGGGCATCTCACTTGAGGTCAGGAGCTCGAAACCAGCCTGGCCAACACGGTGAAACCCCGTCTCTACTAAAAATACAAAAATTAGCCAGATGTGGTGGTGCGAGCCTGTAATCCCAGCTACATGGCAAGCTGAGGCAGGAGAATCACTTGAACCCAGGAGGCAGAGGTTGCAGTGAGCTGAGATTGTGCCACTGCACTCCAGCCTGGGCAACAGAGTAAGACTCCGTCTCCAAAAAAAAAAAAAATAAATAAAGTAGGGCCGGGTGGGGTGGCTCACACTTGTAATCCCAGCACTTTGGAAGGCCAAGGTGGAGCATCACTTGAGGCCAGGAGTTTGGGACCAGCCTAGGGGCAACAGAGCAAGACCCAGGTCTCTACAAATTTTTCTTTTAAATAGCCAGGCATTGTGGTACACACTTGTAGCCCCAGCTACTTGGGAGGCTTAGGTAGGAGGAACAATTGCACCCAGATGTTTGAAGCTGCAGTCAGCTATGATCAGGCCACTGTACTCCAGCCTGGGTGACAGAGCAATACCCCATCTCTAAAAAATAAGAAATAAAATAAAATGATGCAATTTGATTCCTTATTCAAATGAAATTTTCACAAGTGTAGCATATTTAGATCTCCTTCTGTACCCACATGGATCTTGATCTGCTTATTCCCTCCTTGGGTATTCATAAATCTGGCCTGTCTCACCCTCTCCCCAGTGGTGACGTTGTCCCAACCGGGTTCTGTGTATGCAGCTGATTTCAGTTTTCTGAACAGAAATGTACCATTCAGGTGCAAATAAATGATGCCTTTTTCTTTGAAATTTAGAGAGATCTTTCTCTCAAAAGATGGGGCAAAGTACACAAGGTTAATCTTGCCAGACAACCAGTTTAGATGTCTAGGCCCTTCCACTTCGGATAAACTGCATTGCAAATATCTCATTAACCATGTTGAAATCTATTTCAAATCTTATCATTATTTTTGATAAATGGGTCATGGAAAAATTAAAATAATACCAGCCTGCTGTGGCCTTTGTTCCTTGGGAACAAACTGCTGTAACAATAACAATTTCTGTAGTTTTAAAGAATTCATGCTATTTGAGCTGATGTAAGTGTGAGGCACACAACTGAGGTGAAGGTAAGTTTGCTCTGTGAAGAAAGTTGAGGGCTGTCTACTTCCATGGACAGCATCCACAAGGAAAATGAGAGGGGACTCCTTCCTAAAGATGGGCAGACTGTCCTCTTTTGGGTCCATATTGTCTTCTAGTCCCTTTAAATACATGCAGAGTCTGGGCTATGGGTTCTGATGTCTGACTGGGAAGAAGGTGGAGCCTTGCTGCCCCAGTCAACTCATTTTATAACTGGCTTGTCCTTCTCTATTTCAACTTTGACTACCCTTGATGCTGCTCACCATTCTTTCCTGGGACCATCACCCCTTAGCTCCTCTCCTTCTGCCAGTCTGTCTTGTCCAGTCTTCACCCTTGAGAATGTGTGTAGCAAACTCTTCATTTAGACACTTAGCTTTTCTCTCCTTCCACAGTTCTTTACTGCTTTCATCAATACAAGACCCCAGATGGCTCTCTTAGAGAGATTTGTCCCTTTTCTTGTGTCAGGGACACCAGACATTTTTCCATGTACCCTGTCTACAGTGTGCTAACTTAACACTATAAAATCTGAGAGATAAGAGAACTCAAAATCAGGATTTTCCATGGGACAAGGTAGGACACAACATGAACACTGTTTCCCATCTGCTTCCCAGGAGGCACCGGCAATGATGGTCCAGCTACAATAGCATCGTCTGTTCATTGGTGCCTATTGGGTGCCAAGTACATTGCAAAGTGCCTGACATACAATGTTTTGTTTACTTCTTGATGTGGTTTGTCTCTGCGTCCCCACCCAAATCTCACCTTGAACTGTAATCCCCACATGTCGAGGGAAGAACTTGGTGGGAGGTGATTGGATCATGGGAGTGTTTTTCCTCACACTGTTCTCATGATAGTGAGGGAGTTCTCACAAGATCTGGTGGTTTAAAAGTGTGGCACTTTCCCTCACTCTCTCTATCCTGCCACCATGTAAGATATGCCTTGCTTCCCTTTGCCTTCCACCATGATTTCCTGAGGCCTCCCCAGCCACATGGAACTGTGAGTCAATTAAACCTCCTTCCTTTATAAATTACCCAGTCTCAAGTACTTCTTCATAGCAGTGTGAAAACGAACTTAATATACTTCTCAGAACTACAGCCTGAGGTAGGTATTGCTAGATCTTTTCTCCAAATAAAAAAATGGGGTCAGAGACATTAACTGTCTTCTGTATTCAGCAGAAATACATTAAAGGTGCTGAATAGAAAGTTAAGGTTGCATTTCTGCCATCCTAAAACTCAGCCCCATCTAATAAACATAACAAAGGACTTCTCAGTCTCAAGCAGGAGCTAAATTATGTTCTCAATTTCTAGACAACAAGCACCCCTGTGAGATTTAGTCCCAAAGGCCTCCAACAAGTGGTAGGTTAAGTTTTCAGTCAAGATGGTTTTGCCTGTTTTTATAACTTCTCATTCTCCTGTTATCTGAACATGGTAGGCATTCCATAAATAGTTCTGATTTATTGACCATTTTCATTTGCAGCAAAGATTAGAAAGAGGTCCTTATCTCTGGCCTCTAGCCTGATCTCAAGTCCTGAATCCCGGTACTTATGGGCATACAGACTCTCTTGCTGCCCCCAACAAAAACACTCTTCAAGGGTAGGCATTTCATAGTTTCTCCAAATAAATGTACTCTTCCTGTTCAGATTTACAAGCCAACAAATACCACCCACGGGAAAAAAGGCGTTAGTGTTTTCTCATGCTCATGAGCAACTCGGACGGGATATCTGATGGTTAAATTAGCAAACATGGTTGGTACCTTCAGGAGGAAATTGGGAAGTACTGACGATGAGTCAAACATCTCAAAGCCAACTGAGATCCTGGGGAAAAGCACAAACAAAGCAATTGATGAAGCAGTCCTCTGGGAGGATGGACTGAATGACCCAGTGAGAATGAGCTCAAGGCTTTGGGTTACACATCATCAGCCTGGAAGAGGTCAGTGGGCCCTTGAGAAATGTATATAGAAGAAATGTCTGCAAAAAGGGAGAAGGGTGTCTTGGACATGGTGTTTACCCAAACTTGGGAACAGCCTATTCCAATGGGCTGGGGATCCAGGTCCATCCTAGAAGGGAGCATGACAGTAAAAGAGAGGGAGCAAAGCGGGAGACACTTTGAGAAGACTCACAGTGGCACTCTTATAGCAACTAGGGAGGGAAGCTGACAGCACCCAGCCCAAGCATCGACCCAGAGTGACAGGGTAACCCCTGAGACCTCCTTGTGTCCTGATATACTGCCTGTCACCTGTTCCCACCCCTAAACTCAGAAGCAGGAGACTCTAGGGTAGATTGATAAGGCCAGGAAAGCTTTCTGGAAGCAGTAGATTCAAGCATTAGAGATTCCAAATAAGATACATAGCCATAACAAGTTAGAATCAAGAGTCTGAACCTTAAAGGATAGACAGGTTAGAGGCCACAACAGGCAAAGGGCAGGCCAGTGTGATGGAACCAGGGGTAAAGGGGACTTTATTTCATCAGCCCATTCTGGGGTTCAGGCATTCCAGTGCCCTGGATCTTCTCCTTAGTGGCCTTTAAACCTCAGAGGTATCTATAAAAGTCTCTGTTAAAGGTTCCTTCCAGGCCAGGTGCAGTGGCTCATGTCTGTAATCCCAGCACTATGGGAGGCCGAGGCAGGAGGATCACGAGGTCAGGAGTTTGAGACCAGCTTGGCCAACATGGTGAAACCCCATCTCTACTAAAAATACAAAAAATTAGCCGGGTGTGGTGGCGGGCACCTGTAATCCCAGCCACTTGGGAGGCTGAGGGAGGAAAATTGTTTGAACCTGGGAGGTTGCAGTGAGCAGAGATCACGCCATTGCACTCCAGCCGGGGTGACAGTGTGAGACTCTGTCTCAAAAAAAAAAAAAAAAAAAAAAAAAAGTTTTTTCCAAAGCAGTGGCCATGGCTTTTTCTGAGGCCTGGTCTCTACTGGGCTCACAGGAGTCTTTCTATCCTGGGACTGATTTACCACCTTTGGACTAAAACTAGAGATCCCAGCCATGGGTGCCTTTTTTTTCCCTATCATCAAGTTTACCCAAAATCGAAACTAACGCATTTCCACTTTCATCCTATAAGTAGCAGCAGCCCTTACTTTCAAAGCTATCCCCTATCTGGGCTCCACAACAGCGAAAGCTAACGACCCCAAAGCCTGTGGTAGATCTAGATTCATACACTGCTCTGGAGATGACTGGCTTTGCAGAAACTGATACCTTCAGCGTTTTTCATTAATTCCACTTACCTCCCTATTTGATGGGGACTCTTAGGGACTCTGATGAGAATCTTGTTGATTCACTTTAGCTTTGAAAAGGAGATTCCCCATGTAGAAACCTCTTTGAACATGTCCTCTTTTTTGAGGGACAGTTGGTTCTTCCAAGGCAGTGGACTCACTACTCTTTCAGGCATTCCAGGCTCATATTGAAGGCAGATCAACATCTTCCTCATCTTGAGTCAAACTCGCTCTTCATATAAATATGTCCGTGGATTCTAGCTGTGCCCTTAGCAATTACAAAGAATAAATCTCCCTATGCTGCAGTGTGGAAACGGTTCAAATGTTTGAGGATGGTCTTTATAATCCCTTGAAGCATTTTCTTTCTTACCGACAAGACAGTCCTGGGTTCTTCAAAACATCGTCATAAGCTCCCGATCCTCCCAGCCATCCTCCTGTCATGTGTCCTTGCCTTAAACTATCGTCTGCAGAGCTGAACAAAGTATGCCAGCTATGGAACTGGTCATCAGCCATCAGTGTCACTTGAGGCAAACACCTCCACTCTCTAGGCCTCCGTTTCCTCATCTGTTCAGTTTGAGAATTAGGCCAGCTACATGCTTGAAAAAAAGCTCCTTTCAGGTCTAGGATTCTGTAAGTCCAAGGTGGGGAGAGCAGAGAACAGGGAAATGTCCTCTACTCCTCCACCACCCCCCCCTCCTTGATTGCATCCTATTCTTTTCATGCAATGGAAGGTTGCAGAAACTTTTTTTTAATCAGTCATCAACTCCATTCTACAACAGTGAACAGCAGTCTGTGGGTTAAAAGGAAAAGGAAATGGAAAGGGTGGGGACATAAAGACTGGTTTCAATGAAGTCCTCAAATAACAGTTCTTACAAGTCTAAGGAAACAACCAGAAATTCTTCTGTGCCTCCTGTTGCTGGGCTCAAGAAGCTCTGTCTGGTCTCTCACAAAACTCTGGCTGGGTTCTCTTGTGAACAAACACGGTGAACACCATCGGAGGGCTCATTATGCCCAGGAACATATTCCTAAAGTGCTTGCTGCCTGCAGAAACGATCACACAGAGCTGGAATGAGGGATTTCCTCTGAGAGGTGTCACTGGGTATTTCTCAAAGATGAGACAAGCCTCAAGGAACAAGCTGCCACTTGAATACGCTGCTTTTCTGGATACAATTGTGATGACAGCTGCAATGCCACATTGCCACAGAGGGAAATATTGTTTTGTTCTTCTGATGGTCTAGATCCTTTGAAGTGAGCAAGCTGATCCCAGGAGGCTTACTGAGTAGAGCTGGCCTTAGGCAAAATTGTCAAGTAGGGAAGTTTCTCCTATTCCTCACCCCAACTGAGTTCAGAGGATCCCTGTTTCCCTACCACCATCCAGTGCCCTCTGGAATGCCTCTTTGACTGCAGACTGCTCTCCTTTCCTTCTTATATTGGAATTTGTCTTCCCCGTGCCCACTTTTCCTCAAAACATGGTTCTTTCTAAGGACTTATGCTGCAGTGCTAATGGGTGAAAATGCCACAGGATTAATGTATTCAATTACAGCCATGTACCATACCTACGAAGACACAAAGAGGACTTCACTGGGAACTTAAGAGTGAGATTTGCACCAAGAAGCCTTTCTGAGCTGGCCAGGTAGTCCTCATCATGGTTGGCCTGGTCTACCATAAAGTTCCCCGCAAGAAGCATTGCTCACTCAGCCCCACTGAGACCTCTTAGCAATGCCTGCTTACATTTTCAACACAAGGCCCTGAGGGCTGTGAAAACACAGGGTATCGCAAGGGCCACTGGCTTTGTAATACTATTCCCCTGGTGAGCAGACTGACATTTCATTTGGAAATCTCAATTACAATTGCTCACAGAAGACATTTGCACAAGTCTCTGGGTGCTACAAGACCAGCAGCTTCTGGTTAGAGAAAGACAGCCTATGGCAAACAGCCAATGTGAGCTAAGCAGCATGGGGGAGCAAAGGTAGTGGAATGCCAATCTGGGGGCTCTATAAAGCAGGATTTCAATTCAGCTCTAACACCACTGGACAGACCAGACCAGCTTACTTCATTTCAGTTTTCTCATCTGGAAAATGGCTCTATCATCTCCAACAAACAGCTTTTGTGAAGATGAAGTTAAATAAGATAGCAGACATTCAACCTATGCTGGTTCTCTTTCCCTCTCCCCTCAATCCTCATTGATGTAGGCCTTCTTACTTGTAAAATTGGGAGGTCTCTCAATATATTTTTATATTTGCAAAAGGAGCAAAATGGTTACTAATCCAGCCAATATTAAAATAAGACAAAGCAGGATTTTTTTTATCTACTTAGAAAAAGGAGCCATTTTCAAAGAGTTGAGCATCTATTTACTACAACTGATAAAGAAGATTTAATTTTCCCATTAAAGCAAGAACCCTGAAAGGCATTTGACAAAACTTTGCTAGCTTCCTTTAAATTACTGCAGTCATCATTACTGAAACTAATACAATTAGAAAGGAATTTTAAGTAATCTATAATGAAGAGGTTTTTTTGTTGTTTTTTTTTTGTCTTTTTTAACCAACTCAAACTGGTGTACTCACAAATTAGTTGAAAATTGTCAGCTTTTCATATAGCATTCCAAAGAAAGTGATCAGATATTAAAGTTAAAGCCTCTGCTGAATTGACTTGGGCAAGCCATTTTGTGGGATTTGAAATGTCATCATGTGATGTACCTTTCAAGATGATAGCAGCTGCAAGGAAAAGTACTTGGCAGGTAGAGAAATTCTTCTCCGATTAAAAAGCGTGCTGCTGGGATGGCGACACTGCATGGCTGTGAAGTCTCCAATGATACGCAGCCCTGTTCCTAAACTTGAACAGGCTGTGCTTTTCCCCTTGGCCTCCCAGAGTGCAATAAAAAAATAAATAAACAACACACCATTGGGTGCCCAGGTCCTGTGCTCTGGAAGACTCTATTGGAAAATCAGCCTCAATGGGTATAAACTAGACTTTTGGAGGTCTGAAATGGTGCCACTAATTGGATGGTGCTGGAAGAAACAGGTATTACGTGAATTATCAGGATACAAGTGTCTTACCATCACCTTGATACAATTACACATTACCTGTAACCCCTCTTGGGTTACGGTCTACCTTGGCAATTTATAATTTTTCTCTTTTTGAGACGGAGTCTCGCTCTGTTGCCCAGGCTGGAGTGCAGTGGTACGATCTTGGCTCACTGCAACCTCCGCCTCCCAGGTTCAAGCAATTCTCCTGCCCCAGCCTCCTGATTAACTGGGATTACAGGTGCCTGCCACCACACCCGGCTAATTTTGTATTTTTAGTAGAGACGGGGTTTCACCATGTTGGCCAGGCCGGTCTCGAACTCCTGAACTCAGGTGATCCGCCCGCCTCAATCTCGCAAAGTGCTGAGATTGCAGGCGTGAGCCACCGCGCCCAGCCGGCAATTTATAATTTTATGACAGCAGTGCCTATGATTTTACTGTATTATTTCTGCATGTACTCTGGTGTGTGCCAGTGCATGCCCCCAAGCAGCGCCAGCCTCTACACAGTCACACACAACTTCTGCAGTTGAAGCTGCCCTTCTATTGTAATCGGTATTCATTACCGCCCTTTGATCTTATCCCTTCTTGGTACACAACACTTCATCACCTTTATTTTCTGCCATAATTGCATATGAAAGATTCCCCTTTTGATAGACGCCGGATGCCAAGCTGGTACAGGACAGAGTGTTGAAAAGTGTCATGTGAGCTGCCTGCTTTAGAAGAAGCCCATACACCTGTGGAAGACAAACAATTTTTCAGTGATATGACATATCTATCATCTGTCCACAGGATATGAGCTGTTCTGTCTGCTTAATGGCAAGAGTCTATGAATGGCAAAATAGGAGGTGCTGAAAGAAATTGGTAGCATGCAGCCCACCGTCTGGCAGGCCTCTCCAGGCCCGGCTCATTCCTGGCTGGGTAGAAATCTGCACAGTGTACATCGCTATGGCAGGCAGAGCGGCTAGCTGTGGCCCTGTTTCTGTTCTCTGTCATACTGTCACTCAAGTGCCATCACCTGCTGACATGGCCACATGGTTCTCAATTATAGCCCAGGTCTCCATTCACACTGCATCCCATCACCATTCAGGAAGGCCCAACCCCAACTGGGCGCATCTCTAACAAAATATTCCTGTCTCCGAGATAGATTGTTTGCAGGGTCTGCCCTGCCCTTGCCCGCCAAGGCTTCACTCTTCCCAGGTGCAGCAATTCAGCTTTCTCTGATGAGTCAGGGCCAGGCAGGTCTGCTTTCAACGGAGCCAAATAAAATCTGGAGGCTGAGCAAACTCGAGCACTCAGTGACTCTGTTACCTGGTGTCCTCACTTTGGTTTGTGAATCCTTCTTGCTAGGACCATTTCTTGCTAGAATATCAGACCCTTATCTGGCCTGTTAACAACAGTAATGACCACACCAGTGGCCAGAGAAACGATAATAGCATTAAAATAATAGTTAATGCGAGCACTTACTTGAAAGTGGGCCAGGCATCATTCTAAGAGCTACTCATGTATCAAAAGAACTTCACTACAACACAACTCTGTTGAGATAGATAGTACTGTTAATCCTATTTCACAGACTAGGAAACTAGGCAAGGTCTCACAAACAGAAATGTAACAGAGCTGGTGTTCGAATCCAAGCTATCCTCATCCAGACCCACAGCTCTTAAACCTCATGCTACAGGGTCTCAACAAAATGAACTACCACCACAGCCACCATGCACTGCATGCTTGCTATGTGCCAAGGGCTTTATGTGTCTCACCTCTGAGCTTCAGAACAATCTTCTTTTTTTTTGGAGATGAAGTCTCGCTCTGTCACCCAGGCTAGAGTGCAGTGGTGCGATCTTGGCTCACTGCAATCTCTGCCTCCCCAGGTTGAAGCGATTCTCCTGCCTTAGCCTCCTGAGTAGCTGGGACTACAGGCGCACGCCACTATGCCCAGCTAATTTTTTGTATTTTAGTAGAGATTGGGTTTCCCTGTGTTGCCCAGGCTAGTCTCGAACTCCTGAGCTCAGGCAATCCCCCCTGCCTCGGCCTAGCAAAGTGCTAGGATTACAGGCGTGAGCCACCGCACCCGGCCTTAATCCTCATAATTTCTCTAAAGCTCAGAAACATTAAATAATTTGTTCAACAAATGGTGAAACTTGTATTTGAACCAAGGTCTGACTCCAAAACCCATTCTGTTTCCGCTAGTCCCAAGTCTCACACACTTCTGAGGGTCGCTGGGTCCTAGATTGTTGCTACCCTCTGGGTGACAAATATGAGGCCATATGAATAGGGACCTTCTGCTTAGCTCATTAGCAGATCCCCTAAGACCTGAGGCCTTTCCTTACCCATCACAGTAAGAAAGAAAACCCAGTGCTCTACAACAATGAGGATAAGATGGAGAAGAATAATGTTTTCCTTTTAGGAAAAGGTCCCTATTTACATTTAGAATGTTAAAATAACTTTGTAGTCCTAGAATTAACCCAACTTGGTCATGATACATTATTATTTCTACATATTATTGAATCTGACTTACAAAAAAATCTTTAAAACTTTTTTGCATCTTTGTTCATAAGAGATATTGGAAAGAATTTAATTTTCTCATAATTTTTTAAAAATTTTTTAATTAAATTAATTTTTTAAAATTTTTGTGGGTAATGGTAGGTGTATATATTTATGGGGTACATGATATGTTTTGATACAGGCATGCAATGTGAAATAAGCACTTCATGGAGACTGAGGTATCTCATAAAATCTTATTCTAGTTTTGATATCAGGATAATGCTAACATCACAGAATGAAACGGAAAGTGTATGTTTCTCTCCAATAATCTAGAAAAGTTAATGAGGAATCAGAATTAGTCCCTCATTAAATCTTTCTTAGAATTCATCAGTGAAGCCATCTTAGATCTGTGGTTTTGTTTGTGGGAAGATTCTTAACTACAAATTCAATTTTCAAAAATGACATATGGCAGGCCAGATGCAGTGGCTCGCACCTGTAATCCCAGCACTTTGGGAGGCTAAGTCAGGCAGATTACGAGGTCAGAAGATTGAGACCATCCTAGCTAACACGGTGAAACCCCATCTCCACTAAAAATCCAAAAAGTTAGCCAAGTGTGGTGGCACGTGCCTGTAGTCCCAGCTACTCGGGAGGCTGAGGCAGGAGAATTGCTTGAACCCAGGAGGCGGAGGTTGTAGTGAGCCGAGATGGCACCACTGCACTCCAGCCTGGGTGACAGAGTGAGACTCCGTCTCAAAAAAAAAATTATAAATGGCTATTGAGTTTACCTATTTCTTCTTGTCAGGAGTTTGATAGTTTGTATCTTTGAAGAAATCTGTCCATTTTATCCAAGTTGTCAAACTTATTGGCATAAAGTTGTTCATAATATTTCCTAATTACATTTTCAACATCATTGATATTTACTCTTTTATTCTTGATATTGGTAATCTGTGCCTTCTATCTGGTTCCTTATCACTCTGGTAAGCTAGAGGTTTATCAATTTTATTAATAGTCTCAAAGAACAAGGTTTTGTTTTCATTGATTTTTCTCTTTTGCTTTTCTCTTTTCTGTTTCACTGATTTCTGTTTGTACCTTTATTTTTTTTCTTCTTCTGATAACTTTGGAACTCTAATTACAAACATATCCATCAGCTTGAAGTTGTCCTGTAGCTCACAGTTTCTTTGTTCATTTTCTTCAGTGATTTTTCTGATTCATTCTGAATGATTTCTATTGCGATAGTTTCAGGTTCACTAATCTTTTCTTCTGCTAGTGTCTAATCTTCCACTAATTCCACCTAGAGTGCTTTTGGTCTAGACATGGCATTTTTCACCTCTAGAATTTTGCTTTGGGTCTGATGCTCATTATCTTTTTTTTTATCTTCTTAACACTTTCATGCTTTCCTTTACCTTCTTGAGCATACAGGATAGAGTTATAATAGCTATTTTAATGTCTTTGTTTACTAATTCTATCATCTGTGTATGTTTCTATTGATCAAATTTTTCTCCCCATTTTGGGTCATATTTCTCATGTTTCTTTGATGCCAGATATTATAAATCTGATATTCATTTAAATATTTGTGAAGTGTTTTATTTCTGGGACAAAGAAAAGTGTTTGTAAACAATTTGAAGCTTGTTTTTAGGTTTTGTTAGGCAGGACCACAGCACTCTTTAATCTTGCCCTACTATTGAGACAATACTCTCCTGAGTAGTCTACTGGATGCCCTGTATATTCTGATTTTCTGCTCCAGCTGGTGGCAACAGCACTACTTCTGGTCCTGTGTGAGCTCCAAAGGGTGCTCCATCTGCTCCTTTAGAGAGTTTCTTCCCCAAGCTTCAGGGAGTTTCCTCACATCATGCTCTGATCAGTAAGCACTCAGATACCCCTTATAAAATATTCTCTCCTCTCCATTAATGCTCTCCTTTCTGGTATTCTTCCCTGGGAATTCTAGCCACTTTGGTCTCCCCTAATTCTCAACTTCATCTCAACTCAGGGAGACCAGAGGACTGTTTGAGTTGGCCCTCCCTGCACTGCAGTCTAGATATACTCTGTAGATGGTGGGCTGGAGCAATTGTAGGGCTCACCCTGTTTGTTCTTCTCTTGAGGATCAATGTTCTGTGCTACCTATTGTCCAATATTTGCAACCTGTTTGCTATGGTTTGGATGGGGTGTGTCCCTGACAAAACTCATGTTGAAATTTGATCCCCAATGTGGCAGTGTTGAGAGATGGGACCTAGTAGCAGGTGTTTGAGTCATGGGGGCAGATCCCTCATGAATAGATTAATGCCCAGTGCCTTCCTACAGTGGTGAGTGAGTTCTCACTCTGGTGGGAAGAGATTAGTCCCCTTGAGAGCCGTGGGTTGCTAGAAAGAGTCTGGGGTCCTTGCTTCCTCTCTCGCATGTGATCTCTTTGCATATTCCCAGCTCCCTTTCTGCTTTCCATCATGAGTGGGAGCAGTATGAGGGAGGCCTTCACTAGATGCAGCTGCCCAGTCTTGGACTTCTGAGCCACCAGAATTGTGAGCCAAATAAACCTCTTTGCTTTATAAACTACTCAGCCTCAGGTGTTCTGTTAGAGCGACACTAACCAGACTAAGACACTGTTGTTTCATATATTTTGTCTGGTTCTTAACTGTATAAGGCAGGAAGGTAAATCCAGTCTTTGTCATTATATCATGGCTTGGAGCAGAAATCCACCTGCTCACTTTTTAGGATACACTCACAAGAAGACGTTGGTGCTATGCCCTAAAGAGAAGCACCAACTTAAAGAATCACCCACAGCCTCCAGGAATCCCTGCTGTGGTTACGTTTCAAATCCTCCCCCTTCCCTTTTTCCACTTACTGACCAGTATGCAACTAAAGGCCAGAGCAGTGGGTAGTGGAGGGGCTTGCCATGCTAATGAGCTTGGCCAGCTTCCTATGAACCCAGCCTAACCACTCACAGGAGGTAGGAGGAGAAAGGCCTCCTTCCCTTTCCTTTCTGAATGTATCAAAGATAGGCTGGGTGTGGTGGCTCACGCCTGTAATCCCAGCACTTTGGGAGGCCAAGGCGGGTGTGTCAACTGAGTTCAGGAGTTCAAGACCAGCCTGGCTGACACGGTGAAACCCCATCTCTATTAAATATACAAAAAAAATTAGCCAGGCATGGTGGTGCATGCCTGTAATCCCAGCTACCTGGGAGGCTGAGGCAGGAGAATTGCTTGAACCCAGGAGGCAGAGGTTGCAGCGAGATAGTGTCATCTGAAGGGTAGGCATAGCATAAGAGCCAGATGACTTATCCCATTCCACTACAAACTTAGGGACAAGGGGTTTTAAAACCAGCTTCTTTCTCTAGGCACAGATATAGCTGCTCAGATCAGTACAAACTTTTGCCTCTTCATAGGAAGCAATGCACATCCATCTATGAGACAAAACTAGATATTAACCTAGTGCTGTGTTTAGTACATATACTCATAATAGTTGATATTTATTGTACATTTACCAAGTGCTAGGTATTCTTCTAAGCATTTCATATTTATTAACTCCTTGAATACCAATACCACAAATACCTTGCAAGATTAGTAGTAACAGATAATATTTTTTAGTTTATTTTCCTCCTCTCTAACCTCATATAAATTTTCAAATAAGAGAAGGTGAACTTCAGTCCAGAGTTCAATTTCTGGATTAAAATATCACAAAACTAAAAGGTCTAAAAGAAACCAACCATTTTATAGAATTTTAAAATTTTACATGTATAACATTTCTAGAGATATAGTTTCCTTTATATGATAAACATTTACTTATGCTCCAGTAATAATTTTTACCATTGCTTTTGAAGGGAAGAGTTTTAGGGCAGAATTAGTTAAATCTCCAAAATTGGTAGCAGTATTATCTCTGCTTTACGTATGAGAAACTGAGCTAGACTCAGAGAAGCAAACGGACTTGCTTAAGGTCAAAGAGCTAGTTAGTGGTTGAAGCAGGAACTAAACTCTAGAAGCCTTACTTTTAGTCAATTAGCCAATATTTACTGTAAACAAATTTACCATATTTCCTAGAGACCAGTCTGAGAGCACCTACACAAGAATCTGCAAGAATTTAACATAAATCTCTGGCACAGACTTCACCATATACCTATGGTTATATCTTAAAGACATGCCCATTTGGCAAAGGCATCTCTACTGAGCAGTTGGTTAGATGAGCTAGTTTTGGTTTTCTACCAATTCTGAGTTTATATGAGTCTAAAACACATTGAGCGGCCAGTTTATACCTTCTTGGGTGACTGGTGAGGAGACTGTTCCTACTTTTCCAGCCCTGATCCGCTCCTGAATTCTGTACAGCAAGAATGTGACCTGCAATATGTGTGGAGACCAGAATCTTTTAAACAACTGGCTCAAAGTCTGTAGTCCAATCCTCCGATTATTTTACCTTTCAGCTTCCTCTCTGCATACTCTAGGACACAGGCTACAGGAAACTTCACTGGAGAAATGGCCATCATCCAAGGGTAAGGCCATACCCTTGGGTGATGGGAGGATAAACCTCTGAGAGGTAAACCTCTTAGAATGCATGGGGCAGCCTCACAGTAAACAGCTGTCCTATCCCAAATGACAATGAAGAATTCTCCTATCACACCCAATGTGTTGGAGTCTACCATTTCTACTAAGCTGGGCTGTAATCTTTTTTCACTAGCTTTTAAACCCTTGAGAACCTTGAATTTTTTAGAACCTTGAAAACACTGAACTTGGTAGGACCTTGAGTTTGCTTTCTTTGAAGACCCATGAGACCAGAAAATATTCTGACTGTCATTAGGCCTCCACTATGGGCTTATTACAGAGATTAACCCAATCTTTCTTCTGAGTCTTCCTTAATGACCACTAAAGAAAATTCTTAGGAAGACAGCCTCAAATCTGTCTTCCTCAGACATGCTAATGTAGGGTCTCAGTGATTTAACCATCAGCCCTGATACCAACTTCCCATCTGCTCTAACAGAAGGGCTCCAACATCCCGTCTGCTCCTGTGGGATAGAGAAGATCCAACACGAGAGGCAGCAGGAAAAGGCACTGCCATCTGTGAGGGAAAGAATATTTCAGGGGCTCCCAAGACCATGGCTAAAAGAGTATTTAAAAATGTTTTCCTTATAGGATGAAACTCAGAATGGATTCAGACAAAAATGTCAATATTCCCTTGAGCTGAATTATTCTGGGAACTGAAAGCACTGTGGAATGAATGGTTAGTTGTAGCAAAAAGATCCAGTTTTATGCCGAAGAATCCTATCAGCAACAGATTCAATCTAATTGCTGTGCCTGCACCAAATTTTCCTGCCAATAATTTTAGAATTACTATGGGGCAGGCTGAAAAGAGCTATTCTAAGGAAAGAAAGACTGATTTTCATAGTTCTTAACTCCCCATAATATGGTTTCCTTAATACATATTATCTTTTTCCCTCCTAGAATGTCCTTCTTTTCTCCCCACCTTGTTACCCACAATTTGTAAAGTACCTATACAGTGGATACCTTTCTAACTTCACTTTGCTTTTGTTCTGTCTTACTTATTGGCTTCAACAATAAACAGTGGACTTCATGGAATGCATGTATGTTTCAGAATTCCAATGTCAAGGATAAAATGAGATCTATTGTAATTTTAAGAACATAAAGCAAAAGAATGTGTGGAAGAGATATATGGAAATAGATCTGACAACTTTTACCAATTGTTTTTAGTAAAACATCTTTCATCTACTCATCATCCCCTTTCATCTACTCATCATACAGTTTCATCTACTCATCATCCCCTTTCATCTACTCATCATACAGTTTCATCTACTCATCATCCCCTTTCCTTTCCTTTTTTTGCTATCTTTACCCTTGAACTACCTAAACTTTAAACTCAGTACCAGATTAAAACAAACTGAAATTGATGATTCAGATCATCACCAAGTTCGCCAAGTTCCAGAACAATGCTTCTGTTTGAGCAAAGTTGTTCAAAACAGTAGTGGCAAAGCTGAGGATGGCCATTGCCCAGCTCTGGAAACAGAAGCCATGAGGACCCCTGGGCATAATTCTAGCTACAAGGCATGTTTTTTTCTCTCCCAACACAGAGCATGGCTTCCCAATCAACATAGGAAATCTGGTGTCACTGAGATGGGCTTCCACTAAGGTGGTGTCTGAACTCCTTAACCAGACTTTCCTAGGAGTCAAAGCTATTTTGAAGTGTTTCAGGAAATAGATGTGGTTTTGATGAGAAATTATATAATTCAAAGTCCTGTGGCTAACAAGTCAGCAAAAGTTCTATGGAAGAGGAGAGAGACAGATTTGCCCATATTTTAGCTCAGGGCTTAATGTATAATTTATAAAGCAGGTGGATTATTCCTGAGGACAAAAACTATTCCTAAAATTGGTCCCAAGTAGGCCTCTTTTGAAATTGGATTCCCTACAATCCCATTCACAATTGCCACAAAAAGAATAAAATACCTAGAAATACAGGTAACCAGGGAAGTGAAAGACCTCTAAAAGGATAACTACAAAACACTGCTCAAAAAAATCAGAAATGACACAAACAAATGGAAAAACATTCCATGCTCATGGATGGGAAAAATCAATATCATGAAAATGGCCATACTGTTCAAAGCAATTTATAAATTCAATGCTAGTCCCATTAAACTACCATTGACATTAGTCAAAGAACTACAAGAAACTATTTTAAAATTCATATGGAACCAAAAAAGAGCCCAAATAGCCAAGGGAATCCTAAGCAAAAAAGAACAAAGCTGGAGGCATCATACTACCCAACTTCAAACTATACTACAGGGCTACAGTAATGAAAACAGCCTAGCACTAGTACAAAAACAGATACATAGACCAATGGAACAGAATAAAGAACTCAGAAACAAGGCCACATATCTACAACTATCTGATCTTTGACAAATTGGACAAAACAAGCAATGGGGAAACGATTCTCTATTTAATAAATGGTGCTGAGATAACTGGCCAGCCATATGCCAAAGATTGAAACTGGACCCCTTCCGTACATCATATGCAAAAATTAACTCAAGATAGGCAATACTATTCTGCACATAGGAACAGGCAAAGATTTCATGACAAAGATGCCAAAAGCAATTGCAACAAAAGCAAAAATTGACAAATGGGATCTAATTAAACTAAAGAGCTTCTGCACAGCAAAAGAAACTATCAACAGAGTAAACAGACAACCTACAGAATGGGAGAAGATATTTGCAAAACTATGCATCTGACGAAGGTCTAATATCCAGCATCTATAAGGAACTTAAACAAATGTACAAGAAAAAAACAAACAACCCTATCAAAAAGTGGGCAAGAAACACAGACACTTTTCAAAAGAAGACATACATGTGGCCAGCAAGCATATGAAAAAAAGCTCAACATCACTGATAATTAGAGAAATGCAAATTAAAACCACAATGAGATACCATCTCACACCAGTCAGAATGGCTATCTATTATAAAAAGTCAAACGAACAAACAAAAAATAAGACAGATGCTGGCAAGGTTGCAGAGAAAAGGGAATGCTTAAATACTGTTGGTGGGAGTCTAGATTAGTTCAACCATTGTGGAAAGCAGTGTGGTGATTTCTCAAAGAGCTAAAAATAGAGCTACCATTCGACCTAGGAGGAATATAAGTTGTTCAGTCATCAAGACATACACATTCATGTGTTCACTGCAGCACTATTCACAATAGCAAAGACATGGAATCAACCCTAATGCCCATGAATGGTAGACTAGATAAAGAAAATGTGGTACATATATACCATGGAATACTACGCAGCCATAAAAAAGAACAAGATCATGTCCTCTGCAGGAACATGGATGAAGCTGGAGGCCATTATCCTTAGCAAACTAACACAGGAACAGAAAACCAAATATCACATGTTCTTACTGATAAGTAGGAGCTAAATGATGAGAACACATGGACACATAAGAGAGGAAGAACAGACACTGGGGCCTACTGGAGGGTAGAGGTTGAGAGGAGGGAGAGGATCAGGAGAAGTAACTAATGGATACTAGGCTCAGTACCTGGGTGACAAAATAATCTGTACAACAAACATCCATGACAGAAGTTTACCTATATAACAAACCTGCACATGTACCCCTGAACTTAAAATAAAAGTTAAAAACAAACAAAAGAAGGTTGGAACAAGTACCATTTTAACAAAGAACCAAGCAGGTTTGGGAAAATGTCCAAAAGGAGGCCTTTGTCCATGGTTTTGACTGAGAACTCAACCTAACAGACAGCCTCATGCCTGGTACATAGAAAATGACCCATAAATATGTGTGGAAGTTAGGATAAATTGCCCTTCACATCGGACAAATGATCAGTGGGTGGAGTCTCTCAGGAATTTCCCCTTGACAGTTATCTGACACTGAATCCTGCCTAACCGCTACAAATGCCCATCATTGTTTACTTCATTATTTCTTCTTTCCCTCTGTATTCCCACTGAATATTGGTCTAGAAGGGCAAGAACCATACTGTTTGTTCACCAACCTACCCAAAGCATCCAGCATAGCCTCTCGATACCCACTGAATATGTGCTGAATGAGTGTGCTGATATGGTTTGTTTGTGTTCCCACCCAAATCTCATCTTGAATTGTAGCTCCCACTATCCACACGTGTTGTGGGGGGGACTTGGTAAGAGATAATTAAATAATGGGGGCGGCTACCCTCATATTGTTCTCATGATCATGAGTTCTCACGATATCTGGTGGTTTTATAAGGGGCTATTCCCCTCCTTCACTCATTCTTCTCTCTCCTGCTGCCATGTGAAGAAGGATATGTTTGCATCCTCTTCTGCCATGATGGTAGGTTTCCTGAGTCTTCCTCAGCCAATGAGGAACTGTGAGTCAATTAAACCTCTTTTCTTGGCTGGGTGCAATGGCTCACGCCTGTAATCCCAGCACTTTGAGAGGCTGGGGCTGGCAGATCACTTGAAGTCAGGCATTTGAGGCCAGCCTGGCCAAAATGGTGAAACCCCGTCTCTACTAAAAATACAAAAGCTAGTCAGGTATGGACGTGCATGCCTGTAGTCCCAGCTACTTGGGAGACTGAAGCAGGAGAATTGCTTGAACCCAAAGGCAGAGGTTACAGTAAGCCAAGATCACACCACTGTACTCCAGCCTGGGTGACAGAGCAAGACTCTGTCTCAAAAAAAACTCTCTTTTTGGCTGGGCATGGCGTCTCACGCCTGTAATCCCAGTACTTTGGGAGGCCGAGGCGGATGGATCATCTGAGGTCAAGAGTTCGAGACCAGCCTGGCCAACATAGTGAAACCCCATCTCTACTTAAAATACAGAAATTAGGTGGGCATGGTGGCAGGTGCCTGTAATCCCAGCTACTTGGGAAACTGAGGCAGGAGAATTGCTTGAACCTGGGAGGCAGAGTTTGCAGTGAAACAAGATTGTGCCATTGCACTCTAGCCTGGGGGACAAGAGCAAGACTTCGTCTCAATAAACAAAAACAAAAACAAATAAACAAACAAACCCTCTTTTCTTTATAAATTACGTAGTCTCACATGAGAAAGGACTGATACACGTGCCCTTTGTTCACTGTTGTAATCCATAAACTCATAAAATGATAGAGCCAAACAAGGTCTGAGTGGTGCCTCCAATTTTACAGCTGGAAAAATAAATAAATTCAATAAAAGGAATTTTTTTCAAGGCTAAAAATTAAATTAAATTAAATTGTTTCCTATTTTCCTGCAATCTGTGATGCTCATTTAAAAAATATAAACACAAAAGTATTGTGGGATCTACAAGGAAGGTCACAGAACCTTTCTCTGAATATTTTAGATCACAGATTGGCAAACTTTTCCTGTAAAGGGCCAGATAGGAAATATTTCATTCTTTGCAGACCACACATGGCCTTCACCACATATCTCAAATATTCTTTGTTTTTTGGGTGGTTTTTTGCCACCTTTTACAAATGTAAAAAGCATTCGTAGCTCATATGTAAAAACAAACAAACAAAAAACAAGCCACTGGCCATATTTGGTTTATGGGCTGTAATTTGCCAACCCCTATTCTAGAAAAAACAGGTGGACACTGTCTTTCTCGAGACTACTCATTGGGTAGTAAAATAAATACCTACTCTACCCTCTCTGCCAGCTCTATAATATGATGGAACTGAGAAAAGTAAATCTAAAAAATTCTCAGTTTTAATCATTAAATCATCAGTGGACATTTCAATATCTGACAAAACAATAATGTTTTAGTAAAAACACAAAGCCTTTGTGTTCAGTCTCCTATGCAGGAAACTCACCTTGGGACCTAGAGCAAATTCCTTACCTCTGATTTCTCATCGGAAAAAAAAATCAAACATTTTAATTAAATGATTTCTAAAGAGGCTTCCAGACTTGGTTCTCTGAGAGTCCATGAATTTTCCTAGGAAACTTCAGAGGGTTGTTTAAGGAAGTGTTTCAAAATGAGCTCACAATATTAAGAAAAACTCATTGGAATAATTGTCACCCTGTCTAAAGGTTTCCAGAAAAGCAAATGGCCCTTTTTTGCCCTGACTAAATCTCCCATCAGAGAATATGGCATTCCAGTGACTTTGGCTAAATGTGCAGTCATGAAAAACAGAGACAATGGATTCATGAGACTCATCTTCAGAAATAAAAGATGTGGACTTTTCAGTGGTCATCTTAGGAAGGAAGCAGATACTACAGCCCAGAAATCAAAATCATAATTTCCTGTGATCTCAGAATCTTTTTGACTCTACCATAGTTCACATTTTTGTGATCTCCAAAGCTATTAGCAGTAAAGTTAATTAAAATGCATCTTCCTGATCCTTAATTTTATACCACCGTAATTCCTTAAAGCAACAAGGGTCTAGCTAAGCCAAGTATGAATTACATAGAAAGATGTCTTCTGTCTACTACATGCACGTGCACAGTAATGCTTTATGTATAGCATCATTTTCTTCAAGTTGAAAAAAAAAGTTTACTTTCTGTTTTTCTCCAATCAGTAAAACAGTCTATGGTAAATGCATATCACTTCCATTGATTTACCACACATACATTTAGAATTGAATGTGACTGCCTGGGACTCATGTTAAGCAGGATTAATAAAAAAAGTCCCATCCTGCATAGTCAGAAACCCTTGGTCCCACTCAGATTTCTCTACACACTCAAGCTCCCTAAAGATAAATGAGCTTTATACCACAGAAAGGAAACAGGTCATTTATCTGACATCACATTATTTACTGACATTAAAAATGATAATATCCATCAACAAGCAGCCAAACCCCAAGTGGGTCACACAGAGAACAAAGCTGCAACTGTCTTTTCTTTGATATAGTTACAAGGAGACGCTGACTGAGCTGCCATTTATGTTCCAATAATGTCACTATTGTCACAAGAAGCTCACGTTTTAATAATATTCACATAATTTCCCATGTGCTTATTTGGAACCAAGGATCTGTGATTTGTTCTTTTCTGAACATTTAATAAAATTAAAATCTGGAATTATAGCAACAGACCTATAAATATGATTTGCTTTGGGAGATTTTTCATTTTTAGAATATGTATCTTTCCCTTTCATTCCTTTCTTTTAAAAATAATGCCATTATCTATAATCATCATAACAACACAACAAGGTAGGTAGTGATCACCTGCATTTTCTACATAAATAATCTGAGGGGCTGATATAGTTTGGATGCGTGTCCTCCCCAAATCTCATGTTGAATTGTAATCCCAGGATTAGAGGTGGGGCCTGGTGGGAGGTTATTGGATCACGGTGATGGATTTCTCACAAATGCCTCAGCACCATCTTCTTGGTACTGTTTTTGCAATAACAAGTGACTTCTCATGAGATCTGGCTGTTTAAAAGTGTGTAGCATCTCCCTCTCTCTTGCTCCTGCTCCCACTATCCACCTGCTCCCCTTTCACTTTCTGTCATGATTGAAAGCTTCCTGAGGCCTCCCCAGAAGCCGATGGCTGTGTTATGCTTCTGGTACAGGCTGCAGGACTGTGAGCCAATTAAATGTCTTTTCTTCGTAAATTAGACAGTCTCCAGTATTTCTCTGTAGCAATGCGAGAATTGACTAATACAGGATCAAAGAGGCTTGTTAAATAAATTGCCCAAATTCATAGGGCTAGTAAATGGTAGATTTGGGATTGGAACCTACTGGTTTTTCCAACTCTGCCAGCGATCTTTTCCCTTCTCTCTCTCCTTTCTTCTTCCCTCCACCTACCTACCTACCTTCAAAACAACTTTTGTTCTCGTAAGCACTTTCTTGAAAGCACCTTCCCACAACAGTTTAATTCTATCCCAAAGTAAACACCACAGCACGAAGTACCTTAACAAAACCTAAGGACATGCAAATAACACTTGCAGGATTGACTAACATTTTGGGTTATTAGCTTGAACTCAAGAAAAAACACATGTAATAGTCAGAAATGACCTGTCAGCTGCAGTTATTCAGAAGTAAAGTCAAAGTTACAGTGAACAAAGACTGTAAATTTAGTTACTAAAGAATATTATTTTATACCCTAAAAAAGTTTGCTCTATGAAATGTGAGCTAAAGCTCACCCACTATTTAAAAACAGAGCGAGCAGAATCTGATTTTCTTCCCACTGAATCTGATTTTCTTTCCACTGCATTCACTGAGTAGAATCAGCAAAACAACAGCCCTTCTTTTGGTTAAATTTTCTAAGGTGCCACCACATCTAGGTCTATCTTGTTCCCCTTCATCCTCCTCTGTCCTGTTAAAAGACAGGGCAGGAAGGCCAGGTGGACAGTTTTGGACTGTTGGCCTCATCGGTGACCCTTTCTGTTCATCAACATTTGTTTCATGCGTTGTAGTCTGACTATCTTGGGCTGTGTCTTTCTAATACAGAACAGCCTGGTAGGAAAAGAAAATATGTCATATGACAATGTATTTGCCAAGATGACTCCAAACAATTGATTTCCTAAGTTTTGTTTGTTTGTTTGTTTCCCAGAACTGTCCAAACTGATGACAGCACAGACATTTCTGACGTGAAGAAGAAAGACCGGCTCTAGCACGTGACCAGCATTCTCATTTCCCACTCACATTCGGATCTCGGCTCTCAGGCTACATTCTGGTCAGGATGAATTACATGTATAATTCAAAATCAAGAAAGCTGTTCAAGTACAACGTGTGAGGCTTCTGCCAACGTTGAAATTCATTAGGAACCATGATTTTGGCTGAGCACATGGCTCTGTTTTGAGCTCTTTTATTCCGGTGTTATTGCTCATTCACTTAAAGAGAAATACGTGAGTCAGAGACAAGATCTCTTTCCCTTTTCATGTTTCTCCAATTTATCTCCCTTGGCATAATAAATATCTCAAGCCAAAGACTGGAGAGTGTTGTCTTGTTTCCCTCTGTTTTTCCCATTATCTCAGTTATCTCTCGTTTATTTTTTAGTCTTTTCTCTTATCGCAACCGTTTCTCGGGACATCATAAAAGTTGGAATGAGTAACCTCCCACCCCTTGCGGTTGCTTGCGGGTGTTTCAGGCCCCCACACTCTCAATCACGTGGCTTGGTTGCTTTGACATGTTTGGAAAGAAAAAGAAATCTTAGATACACCTCAACTAGAACTGATGGCTCAACGGGGGACTGCTTTTCATAAATAAAAATTACTCTTTGTACGAAACTTCCTCCAGTAAGAAAATAATTGTAAGCAAAACCTGCTTATGTACCCTTTCTTGCTCTGGCCAGTGTAGAGAGTCCAACCTATCATGGTCTCAATGAGATAGATTGTAAACAGCACTGGATAAGGAGCATTGGTTCTAAAACTATATTTTAAGGCCAATTTTTTAAATTTGGCGGGAGTATTTCAAAAAAATTGTAAGTATAGAGACTACAGTATAATGAGCCCTCTTGTATCTATAAATCAACACACAGCTAATCTAGTTTCAACTATATCTACTCACATCTATTCCCTCTTCTCCCAAGCAAATTTTTTTTGAATGAATCCCAGACATCAAATAATTTCTTCCATACATACTCTTAGGTACCTCTAAGAAAAAAAATTTTAAATATAACCACAATTGTCATACCTAAAAAAGCTTATAATTACTGTTATCAAATATCCAGTCAGTGTCAGATTTCCCTGATCATTTCAGTCTTTTTTTTTACATTAAGAACTTTTTACTTTCAATTATAAAATATTTAAGGTCCAGAGACAAGATAAAATGACACATGTGAATCTACCACCCTAATATGTTTCTAATATTTGCTTCAGATTTCCCTTTAAAAAAAAAAAAAAAGACTTCTCTTAGAGCAGTTTTAAATTCGAAAGCAAAATTGAGAAGAAGGTACAGAGATTTCCCATATACCCCTGGGAAATGGGGGGATACATACATAGCCTCCCCCCTTATCAACATCCCCCACCAGAGTGGCACAATTGTTACACTGATGAACCTACATCAACCCATCGTTATTACTCAAAGCTCATAGTTTACATTAGAGTTCGCTTGGTGTTGTACATTCCATGGGTTTAGACAGATACATGACATGTATCAGTCATCACACTATCATACAGAGTATTTTTACTGCCCCCCAAATCCTCTGTTCTCTGCCTATTCATCCTTTCCTCCCCCATAACACCTGACAACCACTGCTCTTTGTGCTCTCTCTATAGTTTTGCCTTTTCTAGAATGACATATAGCTAGAATCATACAGCATATAACTCAGGTTGGCTTCTTTCACTTATGAATATGCATTTAAGTTTCTTCCATGTCTTTGCATGGTTTGATAGCTCATGTCTTTTTAGTGTTGAATAGCATTCCATTGTCTGCATGTACCCCAGTTTATTTCCCATCCACCTACTGAAGGACCTCTTGGTTGCCTCCAAGTTTTGGCAGTTATGAATAAAGTTGCCATAAGCACCTGAACGCAAGTTTCTATGTGGACATAAGTCTTCAACTCATTTGAGTAAATACCAAGGAGTGTGATGGCTGGATCATAAGCTAAGTTATGTTCAGTTTTCTAAGAAACCACCAAACTATCTTCCAAAGTGGCTGTCTCATTTTGTTTCCCCTCCAGAGATGAATGAGAGTCCCTAAGGCTCTACATCCTCATCCGCATTTGGTGTTGTCAGTGTTCTAGATTTTGGCTATTCTAATAGGTGCACAGTGGTATCTCATTATTTTAATTTGCATTTCCCTGATGACAGAAGATGTGGCACTCATAAAGTTTTTAATATTCATTTGGTTCAAAATAGGGTCCAAACATGGTCCATACACCAAGCACAACTCTTGATGTGCATTTCCTTATTTGAAAATAAGAATGTTAGATGGTTGTTTTATTCAGCATAATCACTTTAAGGTATATTTTTCCAAATTAAAAAATAAAGAACACGAATCAGTTTTTAAAGTTCAACATCTATGTGCATCCAGAAATAACATTGTTTTGATAATAATGGATATGAGCTTGTACATATTCTACTTACCATATGATTTTCTTTAAGTTTTATTCCTTTTGATCCATTTAACCTCTGTCTAGAATTCTATCTCATGAATAGAATGCATTTTATCTATCTAATTTCCTATTAATGAACATTTATTTTGCTTCAAATTTTTCATTATCACAAAACAATGCTATTAGTAGATATCTCTGTAATGTTACTTTATGAATATATCCAAGCTTCTTTAGGACATATACATATGTATGAGAATTTCTAGGTTATTAGAAGGAATAACATTTTTAACTCTACCACTAAATTAATTGTCCTGGAGTTGTACATCTACCAGTATGAGATAAGAATTCAGCATGATGATCTTTAAGGTTTCTTGCAGTTCTGATATTCAACAAGTCAATCCATTAAATTAGATTTTTAAAATCTAATGGTTGCATCTTTAGTAATATTGTTAGTGATATGTTACTGATTTTAACATTTTTATTAATTCTTTGTTGTTTCTTCGTAGTACGTTCTCTTTAAAAAATATATCAGTTTTCATTTCATAAGACTGAGCTTTCTACTCTAGCTAAATCACAAAGGACCATGTATTCACTAGTCTTAAGTTTGGAGAAGTAGAATAAGTGCCTAAAAACATAAATAATAATTAAAGGCAGCTATCAGCAAACCATCAGTAAAGTCTACACCTGCCATTAGTACGTAAGAAGAGAGAGGTCAAAGGGGCCTGGTTTAGAAGGTTTTATATAGGAAAGCAAAAATGAAGGTTACCAGGAAGAAGGAGGCAAAGGGGGTAGGAAAAGGAAAAGAGAATAAATGCAGGTTAAATGGTCTGTCTAAAGTACAATGTGTAGATCAAAGTCCCTAGGACATAAGATTCACATGAAAGAATGGTTAGAGATGAAGTTATAGATAGTCTATGATGGCTCTGAGGCCATCATAGAAAAGGAAAACATATTTGACCAGTCCCATATACAGTCAAATATCACATAATGATATTTCAGTCAACAATGGACCACATATAAGATGGTGGTCCCATAGGATTATAATATCGTATTTTACTGTAACTTTTTTTTTGTTTAGATACACAAATACTTACCATTGTGTTACAACTGCCTACAGTATTCTGTACAGGAACATGCTGTACAGGTTTGCAGCTCAGGAGCAATAGGCTATACCATATGGCCTAGGTGTATTGCATGCTATACCATCTAGGTTTGTATTAAGCATATACTATGATGTTCACACAATGACAAAATCACCTAATTTCATCTATCATTTCTCAGAATGTATCCCCATTGCTAAGTGACACATGCCTATACACACATACACATAATTTTTTTTATTGTCACTAATGCTAAAAAATGAGTCATTGGAGGCTCAGGCTGTCCATCTCGGAGGTCTACATTAAGCCTTCATTTAGGGTCTTTTTTTTTGTTTTTAAGAGACAGTATTTCACTCTGTCACCCAGGCTGCAGTGCAGTGGCACACTCATAGCTCATTGCAGCCTTGAACTCCTGGGCTCAAGCAATCTTCCTGCCTCAGCCCTCTGAGTAGCTGAGACTATAGGTGCATGCTATCACACCTGGCTAATTTTTTAAAAAACTTTTTTGGCAACAGGGTCTGGCTATGTTGCTCAGCTGGTCTGAAACTCCTAGCCTCAAGTGATCTTCCTGACTCAGACTCCCAAGTAGCTCAGATTGCAGGTGTGAGCCACTGCACCCAGTTCTAAGCTATTAAAAGCTGTGCCATTCTTCAATTTGAAATATACTATGGCAAAAATTCATTTGCTTCTTTCCACTATCATCTTTTGGAAAATGAGATCTAGAAGCTTATTTCCTGACGTGGAAACTGGATCATCTTTGTATTGGTCCTAAATTTACCTTGATCCATTTTCAAAAGGGAGTCTCCCAACTCTGTATTTAGGACTTAGCAACTAACTCCCCTTTCAACCTAGTCTTCCCCATGTAGGATTTAACAGATCTTGATCATGACACTTCATTCTCCTCCTCTCTAGACCAAAGACTCTTGGTTATTTCCATTCAATACAAACATTATTAACTGAGCAGCAACTATGCATTACACACTCCTCCAGGCACCAAGAACCTAAAAGTGAAATGTATTACGTTCTCTGCCCCTGAGGCATACCTAACACAACAGGGAAAGTAATTCAGTGGGATAAGTGAAATGACAAAAGCCTCTACAGGAGAAAGAATGTATCTTGGAAGAAATCTGATCTTACCTGCTCTCCTATAAATGTCCCATCATTCCAATAGCCACTTGTTGCCTAGTCTAAGCCTAATGGTATGTCATCTTGAGCTATCATGAGCCTTAAGTCCCCAGCTGACATTCTATGACATGTCAATGCTATCATAAAGAATCTAAACCAATGGCCCATAATACTCCTCTAATATCATAAGTCAAAGATGTGGCTCAGGGACTGCCAGGCATGGAGTTGGTCTGTGAATGTTGGTTAAGCCCATATTTTTTTTTTCAGCAACTCTTCCTGTCATCTGTGGCCATCAGAAGGGCAGCCTGCAGAGTATATCAGGCTGCTTAAGGAGGAAGGGTCAGAAGTCAGAGGTCCCTAGTCCACCCTCTTGTTCTTCTCTTTTATGACACTGTTTGGAAAGAATAATGGAAGAATCAAGATCTTTGGCTGGGTCTAATTTATGAAGAAAACAGTCGGTTTTTTTCATAGAAGAGAAGCAAAATGCTGAACTATGAGTTCTCATCACCTGTGAGCTTGCTGTAAGTGCCCAGGGTGCAGCTCCCAGGGACCAAAGAGAAGTCCTCCAGGGTTTTTGAGCCCTTGGAGACTGCTGGTTGCTGTGATTCCTTGGGAGAAGCAGCTCAGATGGTAAACTAAAGAGCCCCATTAACCTAAGCACAATAACACCGACACTTCCAATTAGCCAGAGGCTGTCAGGTTTAGCCATTTACATTGCATACATTCTCTGTTCCTGACTGTGTTTGAGTTACTTTCTTCCAGCACAGATGGAGAAAGTGATTTTTTTTTCCTGTTAAAGGAAGTCTTCCCAGATGAACCATATCCAACACTAATCACTCTTTTGTTTTAAGAACACAATTCTGTAAGACTTGGCTTACAATTAGACCTTGAGTTGCTATAATTGGATGAGTTAGCCACATTTTAAGATATTTGAGAGTAAATACTTTTCCTATTTCTAGTCAATTCCAGGACTCCATAATCAATGACTCTGTTTACACCTGGAGGCTGATAAGTACTTGCAAAATGTGATAGTCAGGATAGACTGCGTCATATGCAGGAACCAGAAATCCCTAAATCTTATCACCCTAATACAGCAAAAGTTTAGGCGCTTAAACAATATCAACGTGGATGTGAATGACTCTCTAGGGCAGCTGTCTAGTAAGCTAGTTACTAGATGGATGTTGTGATTCCACCATCCCAAAATACAAGGTACCCTCTAAGATGACCTCAGCTGGGATGTAAGTTAAATAGGAAGTTGCACAGGGGCATTTCATATCTCAGCTCAGAAAGGAAATGAAAATCATATATTGAAAAATGCTAATATTGTCTACCATTCTAACATATTCCCTTTATAAAACAGCTTCCAGGTAAGTGACGATCTACCCTTAGACAGATTAAGAAATTAATGATCCTTCCTCTTAGGTTGTAGAAGCAACTCCTCTGATGACCTTTAGGGAGAAGAGTGACAGAGATTTCAGGTATGTTCATTTCATCCCAGGTTTCAGGTTACTGCCAGCAAATGAAGGGTGCCCCATAGCAACACATCCTTGAAATAAAAGTTCATGGATGTCTGGAATACTAGATCTGTGTTCTTTTCCATTAAGATCATTAAAGGCTTGGATCTGGTGATCTTAAGGGTAATATATTTCTACACTGTTTTATTTTGATTTAGCTTTTCTCATTTATTTAACAAAATATTGTTATTCAGCAGAGACTGCTGGTTGTTCTCCAAAATCTATTGTCTCATTCTTCTCTAGGAAATACACTGCTAGGTTTTTTTTGATGGGAACATGCAAAGAGGTGTGGTCATGTAACTTAAGTTCTGGCAAAAGGGAATGAGAGCCGAAATGACTTATACAACATCCAGGCAATGTCCTTAAGAAGAATGAGCATGCTTTCTCCTTCTTTTTGCATTTTTGCTTAATGTGATACAACAATGGGGAGATGAGTCTTCTTTGCCACAGGGACTATAAACATGGTACATGAATGAGCTAGAATGAGCTGACTCCCTGCCACAATGGAGCCACTGCACAAGTCCCGCCTTGCTAATGTCCGGACCATGCCATGAGAGAGGTATGAAGTTCTATACTATTTGATGCTGAATGTTAATCCCAAATAATCCAATATATCAGAAGCTTTCAAGTGCCAGGAACTGTAATGCAGATAAAAGCCTTGATCATAAAGGCAGACCCCTAAGCCTTCGGAAAGGGCAATATTGGTACCACAGACTGCATTCCTAGGAAATTCTCCAAACCATCAACATGATACTGATTCCATATGGCATGTGAGACTTTGGGACATTAGTTGATCATTCAACCTTATTCCCTACATGTCTCATGAAAGAGGACTACCTCCTTCACTGCAAGTCATCTTTTATATTGTATTTTTCAAAAAGACATAGAGGTTGCCTATGATATTGTTTGGTCTAGATGCTCTAATTGTCATTCTGAATATTGTATTTTTTATCTCATTTTCTCACTCCTTATGGGGATATATTCTTCTGACACGTAATCTGACAACAAAACAGAATACCTGGGGCCAGGACTGTCAAACACATGTGTCTACCTTAGCAAAGCTTGTGACTTTGTTCTCTGATACATAAGTATTAAACAGGATGTATCCATCAGAAGGAGTCAGAACTAAGCATTAAGCTGAACAAGAGAAAAATGGCCAAATCCAATGATCAAGAAAGAAAAGGGGTTCTATCCACAGAGCAATTTAATGTAAAAAGGGTCAAGTACGACAGATCTGACAGAGAAAGAGGGACCAATACAAGAATGGCAAATGTGTCATATCTATATTGCCTATCTCTTTTCATGCAGGTTTCAGATATCATTAATCAATCGCTGTGATATCAGAGCAACCTAAGACTTCTAAACACAACAGTCCATATGGCCACTGCCAACATTTGAAGCAGGCACAAAAGTTAAGATCTATGAGCTAGCCAAGTCTCAGGAATAGTCACTCTGCTGAACAGGACTAGCAATAGGTACCTTCTCTTTATCTTGTTTCGTGACTGTTCTAGGTACAGGAAGCACTAAATTTCTATTGCCAAGGTTATATCCCAGGACTGCACCCCTAATGAAGGGAATGACATTGGTTCTCACATTCCAGTGAAGAGGCTAGTATGTGATTTAAACTCTTAGATTATCATAATTATATAGAATACTTTTATCTGATAAATATTACATTTAAAAAATCTAACAGCATACATTCCTTTTAAAATCAAGAACCTGACAAGAATGCCCACTCTCCAGTCTCTTCAACATATAATACTGGGAGAACTGGATATCCACATGCAAAAGACTACATTTGGACCCACCCTACCTCACACCATATACAAAATCCAAACTTAATAAAAGACCTAAATGAATAAGCCAAAGATACAAAATTCTTAGAGGAGCACACAGGTGTGTATCTTCATGACCTTGGATTAGTCAATAGTTTCTTAGATGTAACACCAAAAGTACAAGCCATCAAAGAAAACAATAAATACATTGAATTTCATCAAAATTAAAAATTTTGTTTATCAGAAATACTACCAAGAAACCAAAAATACAACCTATAGAATGGGTGAAAATATTTAGAAACCATTTATCTGATAAAGGTTTAGTATCCAGAATATATAAAGAACTCTTGTAACTCAACAATATAAAGACAAATAACTCAATTTAAAAATAGCCAAAAAAGGCCAGGCGTGGTGGCTCATGCCTGTAATCCCAGCACTTTGGGAGGCCGAGGTGGGCAGATCACGAGGTCAGGAGTTCGAGACCAGCATGACCAACATGGTGAAACCCCGTCTCTACTAAAAATACAAAAATTAGCTGGACGTGGTGGCGGATGCCTATAATCCCAGCTACTTGGGAGGCTGAGGCAGAAGAATTGCTTGAATCCAGGAGGTGGAGGTTGCAGTGAGCCGAGATCACGCCACTGCACACCAGCCTGGACTACAGAGTGATACTCTGTCTCAAAAAAAAAAGCCAAAAAATGTGAATAGACAGTTTTTTAAAGAAGATATACAAATAATCAAAGAGCACATGAAAAGATGCTCAACTTCATTAGTCTTTAGAGTAGTACAAATGAAAGCCAAAAGAGATACTGTTTCACACCCACAGGATCACTGTAAGAAAAAATAACAAGTAGTGGTGAAGATGTAGAGAAATTGAAACTCTCATGTATTGCTAGTGGAAATGTGTAAAATGGCACTACCTATGGAAAACAGCTGGGTGGTTCCCCAAAAAATTAAACATAGAGTTACCATATGACCCAGAAATTCCACTCCTAAGTATATAATCAAGATACTGAAAAACATATTCACACAAAAACGTATACAAAAAATATTAATAGCAGCATTATTCATTATTCATCATAGCCAAAATGTAGAAATAACCAAAATGTCCATCAACTGATTAATGGATAGATAAAATATGGTATATCTATACAATGGAATATTATTTACCCATAAAAAGGAAAGGAAGTTCTGATTTATGATACAATAAGAATCATCCTTGAAAACACTATGCCAAATGAAAGAAGCCAGACATGAAAGGCTACATGTTGTATGACTACATTTGTATAAAATGCCAAGAATAGGCAAATCTATAGAGACAGAAAGTTGATTAAGGTTATCAGGGGCTGAAGGAAGAGGCAGATTGGGAGTAAGTATAAATGGTTAAGGGGTGTCTCTTTGGAATGACGGAAATGTTTTTGATTGAATAGTGGTGACAGTTGCACAACCTTGTGGATATGCTAAAAACCAATGAATTGGATACTTAAAAACGAAGAATTTTATGTTCTAAGAAATTTTATTATGTGGTTCTAAGAAATTTTATTATGTGGGTAAACTAGTAATGTGGGCTTTCTTTATTTTTAAGAAAACTTTTGGGATATAATTCCATTACTACTTTATCCTACATTACACTGGAGGTCCTATATAGTGTAATAAGATAAGAAAAAGCAATAAAAACTATAAGGATTGGAAAGGAAGAAACAAATCTTTTGCTTGTAGATAATATGACTGTCTACTTAAGAAATGCAAACTAGTAAATAAACAAAAGTTAAGTTAGGATGTTGTGTATAATATGAAAACAAAAAATTGCTTTTTCATGTATCAGCAGGAAAAAATGCAATTCAAAAATAAAATTTACAACAACAACAAAAAATACTTTTCTCTTGTTAACCTATCTTTTGGCAATCTAATTTACAGGGCCCTGGCCAATGAGCCTAGAATGGGTAGAGGGAAATATATTTTTTTCCTCCCCCACACATAAAATAAATATCTGTTTGGCCCCTGATATGTGCCAGGCGACGATCAAGAGCTAAGTGCAAAGGATACAAGAGGTTTACATTCTAGTATCAAACAGACAAGAAATACAAACAAATACGATTATTTCAAATAGCGACAGATGCCTTGGAGGGGAAAAAAAAACTGGGTAATGGAATAGAGGTAACTGAGGGATGGCTGTGGGCTTAGGCAACTGCTTTAGAAAACGTGGTCGGGGAGACCTCTTTCAGAAGAACAGTAGCAAGCCGCATAACTGTTTAATAAGCTGATATAGCTGTACCTAAAATAGTTGGCTCCACAAAATGTCCAACAGCAAAGGAAAATCAGGATCCTACTGGAGGGTGTAAAAGTCACCAAAAGCTGACAACGAAGATCTTCACAGGAAATGTACACAGGAAATGTAAACATATAGGTTGGAGGAGCCCCCTTGAGCCCTACGTCTGAAGCTGCCACCCCTGCCTGTGCCTGCTCAGGTCTGGATGACCCAGCTGGGTGTTCAGAGGTGCATACAGGGCGCTTGGATTCTGCTGCCCGGCTGGGTCTTAATGGAGAGCCTCTATTAATTATCTGAGCACTGGCATCACTCCCCTGGACTCAAAGCTAAATAAAGCCACCCCAGTTGCTTGGCCGCAAGCTCTCGAAGGTTTAAACAAAACTGCGTCTCAGTGGATGCAGCATTTGGCGCTTATCTAAAAGTTTTAACGTCTTTTCGCAGTTAATAATTAGCTCTGCCTTGGTCCTCACAAAGGGTGCCACCAAAACAAAAGCAGACGTTAAGTGTGTTCGCTATCCTTGCCACCGGTATAAATAGGCAAAGGGATGATTAATGAATGGGGGGGATTTAAACACAACAGTGAACAAAGACAAAGGCCCAAGGCTCGATCGACTGCCCACAAACTGAGACAGGCTGTATCCAGAGAGAAGCTGCAGAAAGCCACACACACAAACATCCGCTTAATGGACAGGTTGTGAAGACTTCATTTAACCTTGCGTTATGACAGCCGTAGTGTTTTATTAACATTCTGACATGTTAAGGGGCCAGGGTCAGCGGAGGCAAAACCATGCATTGCTGAGGGAGTTTCCTGGCAGGGGAGGGGAAGGCACATTTTTGTGTGGGTGACCGAAAGAAAACAGAGCAGGTCCAAGCACATTCCACAACACCCTTCAGGCCCCCTTTGTGAGGTGGGGCTAGAGCCACATTTTAAAAGAGTTGTTTGGATGTCAAACAAAGCAGATGAGGCACCCACACGCATGCCCAGCCTTTGACAAGGCCTGTCCACGCCTCAGAGTGGCCACATTAGAACCTGGGCTAGGCTTTAGCACTGACTCATAAAGAAGGCTGCTCAGAGGCATCTGCCACAGAAGTGTGTAGCGCGGAGGGGCTTTTGGCAGCCATTTGCAGACACAGGAGGGTTTGCCGCTGGTTGGCAGCCTTTAGTTAGTTCTAAGAGGAAACTTCCCCCCAAGGAGACAGCAGTAGCCCAGTGTGTTTGACCAGCTGGATTTTGAGCTTCTGGCTAGAGATGAGCCTGTGGGAAGCAGCAAATGGCCAAACCCTAGGGAGCCCTGGTTGGTCCACCTCTCTCTTTATAACCTTTCTTCTCCCTCCCAGGGCTTCCCCTCATCAACCAGGTGCCCATTCCCACAGGCTCTGTTTCCAACCAGGTGTCTGATGGGGAAGGATCTGATCAATTAATCCCTGTGGAAGATTTAGGTGATAATGAGCTTAAAGGCTCTCCCCACCCCCTCCAGGGACATTTGCATTTTAATGGAAGACTCCAACAGACCCAAAGGCATTCAAGAACTATAGCAGTGAAACAGTAATTGTGGAGTTTTAGGCTCTAAGGGAGGCCAGAACAGAGATATTTATGGGCTTGAGGAGCTTCCTGGTCTCCCCACAGTCACACTACGGAGACCCCTGCCAAAATTTGTAGGCTTTTATTTCATCTTTTCTCTGCCTACATTACTTAGGTATTGGAAATATCACCTGAGAAAATGGAGGCCAAATGCTTTAAAGAAACACCCAAAAGAATGTGATGATTATGATTTACTAAATGACAAAAATGTAGACCAGAGCATACTCTCTGTGATCAACACCCTTAAATAACAGATGAGGAAATGGAAACACTGAAAAATGAGGTTTTCATGTGAGTCACTCAGCCAATCACTTACAGAGCTAGGACCAGGCACTGACTCTCCTGATTCAAGACCAAGGCTTTTTCTACTGCACTGTAAGAATGACTTCTCTTCCGTCCTCACAGCACATCCTAATCACTCCTTGACTGCTGCATTACAGATGATCATATTATTTAATTTGTGTTTTATAGCTTTACAGTAATCTACTGCTTTGTTAGTGCAAAGGAGATACAGAATTCCAGTTCTGGAAAAATCACCTAAGGGAAGATGAACATTCAAACCAAAATTCTAGGGGATACCACTTTACACCCACTTAATTGTCCTCAAAAATAATAAATTGGACAATAAGAAGTGCTGGAGAAAATGTATATACACAGAAACTCTACTATTTTGCTGGTGGGAATGTTAAACTAGAACAACTGTTTGGAAAACAGATTGGTATTTTCTAGTAAAGTTAAAAGTATGCATAACTAAAGACTCAGCGACTCTATTCCAAGAGAAACTCTAGGTCATGTGCACCAGGAGATGCTTGTAGGCCTGTTCAAAATAAGCAACAGTAAAGATAATAACGGAGGAGCCAAGATGGCCGAAAAGGAACACCTCCGATCTACAGCTCCGAGCGTGAGCAACACAGAAGATGGGTGATTTCTGCATTTCCAACTGAGGTACCGGGTTCATCTCACTGGGGAGTGCCAGAGAGTAGGTGCAGGACAGTGGGTGCAGCGCACTGTGCACGAGCAGTAGCAGGGGAAGGCATCGCCTCACCCAGGAAGTGCAAGGGGTCAGGGAATTCCCTTTCCTAGTCAAAGAAAGGGGTGACAGATGGCACCTAGAAAATCGGGTCACTCCCACCCTAATACTGTGCTTTTCCAATGGGCTTAAAAAATGGCACACCAGGAGATTATATCCCACACATGGCTCGGAGGGTCCTATGCCCACCGTGTGTCGCTCATTGCTAGCACAGCAGTCTGAGATCAAACTGCAAGGCGGCAGCGAGGTTGGGGGAGGGGTTCCCGCCATTGCCCAGTTAGTTGTTTGATTAGGTAAACAAAGCAGCCGGGAAGCTAGAACTGGGTGGAGCTCACCACAGCTCAAGGAGGCCTGCCTGCCTCTGTAGGCTCCACCTCTGGGGGCAGGGCACAGACAAACAAAAAGATAGCAGTAACCTCTGCAGACTTAAATGTCCCTCTCTGACAGCTTTGAAGAGAGTAGTGGTTCTCCCAGCACGCAGCTTGAGATCTGAGAACAGACAGACTGCCTCCTCAAGTGGGTCCCTGACTTCCGAGTAGCCTAACGGGGAGGCACCCCCCAGTAGGGGCAGACTGACACCTCACACGGCCGGGTACTCCTCTGAGACAAAACTTCCAGAGGAACAACCAGGCAGCAGCATTTGCAGTTCACCAATATCCGCTGTTCTGCAGCCACCACTGGTGATACCCAGGCAAACAGGGTCTAGAGTGGACCTCTAGCAAACTCCAACAGACCTGCAGCTGAGGGTCCAGTCTGTTAGAAGGAAAACTAACAAACAGAAAGGACATCCACACAAAAAGTGCATCTGTACGTCACCATCATCAAAGACCAAAGGTAGATAAAACCACAAAGATGGGAAAAAAACAGACCAGAAAAACTGGAAACTCTAAAAAGCAGAGTGCCTCTCCTCCTCCGAAGGAACGCAGCTCCTCACCAGCAACGGAACAAAGCTGGATGGAGAATGACTTTGACGAGTTGAGAGAAGAAGGCTTCAGACGATCAAACTACTCTGAGCTACAGGAGGAAATTCGAACCAATAGCAAAGAAGTTAAAAGTTTTGAAAAAAAATTAGACGAATGGATAACTAGAATAACCAATGCAGAGAAGTCCTTAAAGGACCTGATGGAGCTGAAAACCAAGGCACGAGAGCTACGTGACGAATGCAGAAGCCTCAGTAGCCGATGCCATCAACTGGAAGAAAGGGTATCAGTGATGGAAGATGAAATGAATGAAATGAAGCGAGAAGAGAAGTTTAGAGAAAAAAGAATAAAAAGAAATGAACAAAGCCTCCAAGAAATATGGGACTATGTGAAAAGACCAAATCTACGTCTGATTGGTGTACCTGAAAGTGACGGGGAGAATGGAACCAAGTTGGAAAACACTCTGCAGGATATTATCCAGGAGAACTTCCCCAATCTAGCAAGGCAGGCCAACATTCAGATTCAGGAAATACAGAGAACGCCACAAAGATACTCCTCAAGAGGAGCAACTCCAAGACACATAATTGTCAGATTCACCAAAGTTGAAATGAAGGAAAAAACGTTAAGGGCAGCCAGAGAGAAAGGTCGGGTTACCCACAAAGGGAAGCCCATCAGACTAACAGCGGATCTCTCAGCAGAAACTCTGCAAGCCAGAAGAGAGTGGGGACCAATATTCAACATTCTTAAGAAAAGAATTTTCAACCCAGAATTTCATATCCTGCCAAACTAAGCTTCATAAGTGAAGGAGAAATAAAATACTTTACAGACAAGCAAATGCTGAGAGATTTTGTCACCAGCAGGCCTGCCCTAAATGAGCTCCTGAAGGAAGCACTAAACATGGAAAGGAACGACCGGTACCAGCCACTGCAAAAACATGCCAAATTGTAAAGACTATCAAGGCTAGGAAGAAACTGCATCAACTAACAAGCAAAATAACCAGCTAACATCATAATGACAGGATCAAATTCACACATAACAATATTAACTTTAAATGTAAATGGGCTAAAAGCTCCAATTAAAAGACACAGACTGGCAAATTGGATAGTCAAGACCCATCGGTGTGCTGCATTCAGGAAACCCATCTCACGTGCAGAGACATATAGGCTCAAAATAAAGGGATGGAGGAAGATCTACCAAGCAAATGGAAAACAAAAAAAGGCAGTGGTTGCAATCCTAGTCTCTGATAAAACAGACTTTAAACCAACAAAGATAAAAAGAGACAAAGAAGGCCATTACATAATGGTAAAGGGATCAATTCAACAAGAAGAGCTAACTATCCTAAATATATATGCACCCAATACAGGAGCACCCAGATTCATATAGCAAGTCCTGAGTGACCTACAAAGAGACTTAGACTCCCACACATTAATAATGGGAGACTTTAACACCCCACTGTCAACATTAGACAGATCAACGAGACAGAAAGTCAACAAGGATACCCAGGAATTGATCTCAGCTCTGCACCAAGTGGACCTAATAGAAATCTACAGAACTCTCCACCCCAAATCAACGGAATATACATTCTTTTCAGCACCACACCACACCTACTCCAAAATTGACCACATAGTTGGAAGTAAAGCACTCCTCAGCAAATGTAAAAGAACAGAAATTATAACAAACTGTCTCTCAGACCACAGTGCAATCAAACTAGAACTCAGGATTAAGAAACTCACTCAAAACCGCTCAACTACATGGAAACTGAACAACCTGCTCCTGAATGACTACTGGGTACATAACAAAATGAAGGCAGAAATAAAGATGTTCTTTGAAACCAATGAGAACAAAGACACAACATACCAGAATCTCTGGGACACATTCAAAGCAGTGTGTAGAGGGAAATTTATAGCACTAAATGCCCACAAGAGAAACCAGGAAAGATCTAAAAGTGACACCCTAACATCACAATTAAAAGAACTAGAAAAGCAAGACCAAACACATTCAAAAGCTAGCAGAAGGCAAGAAATAACTAAGATCAGAGCAGAACTGAAGGAAATAGAGACACAAAAATACCTTCAAAAAATTAATGAATCCAGGAGCTGGTTTTTCGAAAAGATCAACAAAACTGATAGACTGTTAGCAAGACTACTAAAGAAGAAAAGAGAGAAGAATCAAATAGACGCAATAAAAAATGACAAAGGGGATATCACCACCGATCCCACAGAAATACAAACTACTATCAGAGAATACTATAAACACCTCTACGCAAATAAACTAGAAAATCTAGAAGAAATAGATAAATTCCTTGACACATACACCCTCCCAAGACTAAACCAGAAAGAAGTTGAATCTCTTAATAGACCAAAAACAGGCTCTGAAATTGAGGCAATAATCAATAGCTTACCAACCAAAAAAAGTCCAGGACCAGATGGATTCACAGCCAAATTCTACCAGAGGTGAAAAGAGGAGCTGGTACCATTCCTTCTGAAACTATTCCAATCAATAGAAAAAGAGGGAATCCTCCCTAACTCATTTTATGAGGCCAGCCTCATCCTGATACCAAAGTCTGGCAGAGACAACCAAAAAAGAGAATTTTAGACCAATATCCTTGACGAACATTGATGCAAAAATTCTCAATAAAATACTGGCAAACCGAATCCAGCAGCACATCAAAAAGCTTATCCTCCATGATCAACTGGGCTTCATCCCTGGATGCAAGGCTGGTTCAACATATGCAAATCAATAAATGTAATCCAGCATATAAACAGAACCAAAGACAAAAACCACAGGATTATCTCAATAGATGCAGAAGAGGCCTTTGACAAAATTCAACAACACTTCATGCTAAAAACTCTCAATAAATTAGGTATTGATGGGACGTATCTCAAAATAATAAGAGCTATCTATGACAAACCCACAGCCAATATCATACTGAATGGGCAAAAACTGGAAGCATTCCCTTTGAAAACAGGCACAAGACAGGGATGCCCTCTCTCACCACTCCTATTCAACATAGTGTTGGAAGTTCTGGCCAGGGCAATCAGGCAGGAGAAGGAAATAAAGGGTATTCAATTAGGAAAAGAGGAAGTCAAATTGTCCCTCTTTGCAGATGACATGATTGTGTATCTAGAAAACCCCACTGTCTCAGCCCAAAATCTCCTCAAGCTGATAAACAACTTCAGCAAAGTCTCAGGATACAAAATCAATGTACAAAAATCACAAGCATTCTTATACACCAATAACAGACAAACAGAGAGCCAAATCATGAGTGAACTCCCATTCACAATTGTTTCAAAGAGAATAAAATACCTAGGAATCCAACTTACAAGGGATGTGAAGGACCTCTTCAAGGAGAACTACAAACCACTGCTCAAGGAAATAAAAGAGGATACAAACAAATGGAAGAACATTCCAAGCTCATGGATAGGAAAAATCAATATCATGAAAATGGCCATACTGCCCAAGGTAATTTATAGATTCAATGCCATCTCCATCAAGCTACCAATGGCTTTCTTCACAGAATTGGAAAAAACTACTTTAAAGTTCATATGGAACCAAAAAAGAGCCCGCATCGCCAAGTCAATCCTAAGCCAAAAGAACAAAGCTGGAGGCATCACACTACCTAACTTCAAACTATACTACAAGGCTACAGTAACCAAAACAGCATGGTACTGGTACCAAAACAGAGATATAGACCAATAGAACAGAACACAGCCCTCAGAAATAATGCCGCATGTCTACAACTATCTGATCTTTAACAAACCTGACAAAAACAAGCAATGGGGAAAGGATTCCCTATTTAATAAATGGTGCTGGGAAAACTGGCTAGCCATATGTAGAAGCTGAAACTGGATCCCTTCCTTACAACTTATACAAAAATTAATTCAAGATGGATTAAAGACTTAAATGTTAGACCTAAAACCATAAAAACTCTAGAAGAAAACCTAGGCAATACCATTCAGGACATAGGCATGGGCAAGGACTTCATGTTTAAAACCCCAAAAGCAATGGCAACAAAAGCCAAAATTGACAAATGGGATCTAATTAAACTCAACAGCTTCTGCACAGCAAAACAAACTACCATCAGAGTGAACAGGCAACCTACAGAATGGGAGAAAATTTTTGCAACCTACTCATCTGACAAAGGGCTAATATCCAGAATCTACAATGAACTCAAACAAATTTACAAGAAAAAAACAAACAACCCCATCAAAAAGTGGGCAAAGGATATGAACAGACACTTCTCAAAAGAAGACATTTATGCAGCCAAAAAACACATGAAAAAATGCTCATCATCACTGGCCATCAGAGAAATGCAAATCAAAACCACAATGAGATATCATCTCACACCAGTTAGAATGGCAATCATTAAAAAGTCAGGAAACAACAGGTGCTGGAGAGAATGTGGAGAAATAGGAACACTTTTACACTGTTGGTGGGACTGTAAACTAGTTCAACCCTTGTGGAAGTCAGTGTGGCGATTTCTCAGGGATCTAGAACTAGAAATGCCATTTGACCCAGCCATCCTATTACTAGGTATATACCCAAAGGATAATAAATCATGCTGCTATAAAGACACATGCACACGTATGTTTACAGTGGCACTATTCACAATAGCAAAGACTTGGAACCAACCTAAATGTCCAATAACGATAGACTGGATTAAGAAAATGTGGCACATATACACCATGGAATACTATGCAGCCATAAAAAATGATGCGTTCATGTCCTTTGTAGGGACATGGATGAAACTGGAAACCATCATTCTCAGTAAACTATCGCAAGGACAAAAAACCAAACACCGCATGTTCTCACTCATAGGTGGGAATTGAACAATGAGAACACATGGACACAGGAAGGGGAACATCACACACTGGGGACTGTTGTTGGGTAGGGGGAGGGGGGAAGGATAGCATTAGGAGATATACCTAATGCTAAATGACGAGTTAATGGGTGCAGCACACCAACATGGCACATGTATACATATGTAACAAACCTGCACATTGTGCACATGTACCCTAAAACTTAAAGTATAATAATAATAATAATAATAATAAAGATAATAACATAATGACCATCTTCTGGAGAATAAACTGTTGCACTTGAATATGATGGAATATTATACAGCATTGAAAATGCAGAAACAGCTGCTATAGCATCAACACAGATGAAGTTTAGTAACACAATGTTGAGTGAAAAAAGTAAATCCCAGAAAAAAAAATCAAGCGTGACAAGCTTTGTTTTTACCAAAGTTTTAAACAGCCCCAAACTAAGCAATATATTATTTAGGTACATAAATGTATTTGTAGTTAAATATTTTAAAAATGAAATGGCATATTACACACAAAATTCAAGATAATGATTACACTGAAGAGGACCACACAGAAAAACATAAGTTATTATCTATATTCTAATTCTTGGGTTGGTTCATTCATTGCATTTTTAAGACTATGTAAATGCACACATATAATTATAAATGTTACACATAAACCAATTGATAGTGTGTCATAAACCAAGAATTATGATTAATTCAATTCCATGCACCTGAAATCCATTGAAAGAAAAAAATCATCTACATTAGGGGATAGCCAAATCTTAAAGCAGAAAAAGATGTCTTCCAGTATTGACCTTGAGGTAGAAAATTTCTTGCAGCCTAGGACCACAGAGAAGCTATGGATAGAGACAAGGTGAAAAGTTGAGATAAGGGCTTCTCCCAAAACTAGCCCAAGTGGGGCAGTATTATGAGTCAAGAGTAGAATCTAGGTAAGGGGGCAACATGTAAATGCATCCACGATTCAAACAGGATATCCAGTGGAAGTTAGAAAAGACAAAGAAACTAAAGTTCTGCACAAAACAATTAAAACGAGACAGAAAATAACTAGGAGGACAGTTATGTTGAAGTCAAGTTGATGATAAAAAGCAAAAACCAAAGGTACAGGTAAAACTCTATGGTTTGCAAACCTTAGAAGGAATTACGCTTTGGGGCTGATGGACCAAGGGGCTTGAAAGCTGGATATATGTCCAATTTCAGAGAGATTTGTGACAAGACTATAATCCCCAATCTAGATCACCTTTCGAATTTAATAAGGTCTCATTAGTTTGAACAAAACTAATTTGGAATGGCTGGAATGGAACTGATCTTTCAACTATAAAAATAGTGTTTACTCAGCAAATTAATAGCATGAGACACATCAGGTGGGAGTACTTAACCTACTTAGGTGTACAAACTTGACATACATATCTAAATTCATTTGTTCTATAACAATCAGTATGTTAATTACACATGATCTTTAACTAGACATTAAAAGAGGTTCTCAACTGAAGGGCACTGCGCCAGCTACTAGTATGTATTACCAGGTGTATTTCAAAGTATTAATTAAAACTGTGCTTTGAAAATAATCTTTTAGTAATCCATTGCTGCCAAAAAGGGTTATAGGAGAGGAAAAATCATTTTCTCTCCACCCTTCATGTTCTTAGTTGGAATGGACCCCCATAACAAAAGACAGATTAACAGAGAAGAACAAATAGAAGCTTATTAACATGTGTGATATAAGAGCAAAGAGAATTTTTCCCTCCTCTTCTGAAAGTTTGAGCCTGCTGAAAGAAACTGATAATAGATTAGCAGAAAAGGTATACACATTTAATAATGTGCTGGTGTGCATGGGAGCCATACAAAATACAAGACTCAAAGAAGGACCAGATGGTTCAAGCTTAAATACTGCCCTCTTCTTAGGGGAGAGGGAGATGGGGGAATGTAGGCAATTTTGAAAAGAGTATGATTTTTAGGAGAGTTGGTTGGACTCAAAGAATAATTTGTAAATAGGCAATAGTTTCTAAATAATTCTTTTTGGAAACTGAATGGGACCAAAGAACAGCAAACAGCTTGTGACAAAGTCTGTCTAGGTGTGGTGGCATTCCTTAGTCTTCCTTCCTGCAATATGAGTTTAATCTTTTCTGGCTAATGAAATTTCAGGGAGGAGATTGAAGGCAATTGTGTTCATTCTTCTCGAGAAGCTTCAAATGAGAGAACTTCAGAGAGAGAGAGAGAGTTCCACCCTGTACTTGGGGAGAGAAACAGAAGGTGAGAAAGTCTTTGGTTCTGAAGCTGCTTCTAAGATCTTTTCATTTGCTTCATTTCAAAGTTCCCATGCTGCCAAAGTGCCATCCTTTGGGGTACTGTTTTCTGAGCTCCAGTGATAACTCATTTATACAAGGGAGATACCCAGAAAAAAAGTGAGCAAATCTTAAAAAGGTGGCTTGAGTTCAGGCTTAAATACCATCTTGAAATGAAACAGAGAAAGAAGGATGTTGGGTGGGAGTGGAGGGAGACATATACTGGGTAGGTATTCAGGTGAAGTATGGTCCACAAAAACAGATTTCAGATTTCAGATTTTGTTCTGCAGATTTCAGCTGGCACCTTCTCCAGTGAAAGGAGTCTCTGGTGATGCAGTCAGCCTTCTTTTCTTGGTACAGACAGAAGCCACCTTCATGAATGGAAATTCCCTTGAGAGATGTAAATTTCCCTTTTAACAGGGTAACTTTTATTCTGTTGTCGGCGCTTCTCCTATGGCTGTAGACCTCCAAATAATCAGCTCAAAATAATCCTTACGCTAGAGAGACATATTTTGGGGTGGCATATTCTGGTTTCCAAAGGGTGGAGACTGGCTCAGATTGGAACAGAGCTTAAACTTAAAAGTCTATGAAAAGAGTCCTTTGTGTTCTGGAAGATGACACAAACAGGGTCAGAAAATTGATTTCAGTCACCCCACTTTCCAAACAGTATTTGAACTGGAAGGCACCTCCATCCCCAGAGAGGCACTGTCCCTCCTAAACATGCTCCACAGAGAGATTTAAAAGCCACTGTCTCCTCTTCAGGGCCTGATATGGTCTAAGAAAACTGCTAACCTGCTTTTTAATCTCAATAACTGTCAGAAGAATAACACGTGCACTCTTAGTTTGACATAACAGTCAGGTCTCTTTGGGTCCCCTAGGTGTGTCTACTTTTCTGTACTAGAAAAACACTGTCATAATTCTAAAACAAGTTCAAAAGAAACTGAAGAGTCAAGTTCCCCACCAGTATCAAGTTTTGAAAGTACACGAAGGATCAAAGGGGATACGCAGTATTTTTATAAGAACTAGACAAACCACAAGAGCTTCACATATATCAAAACAGTTAGATGGCAACATATTGCCTTGGAAATGATTGACAAGTTTCTATCAACAGACTTAGAAATTATGGCTACCAAATCAAAACATCAGTTTATGCATAATATTTGAAACCAGAGTAAGTAAGCATGTGCGTCTGTGCGTGTGTAGAGGAAGGTGGTAAATTAAAAGGGGTTTGTGAAAAAAAAATTACTAAACAGGTTAAATTGTAGGATAATATGCAAAAAATTTTTAACTAAATATGATGTAGTTGAAGTATTAATATAATAAATGAGAAGGGTCTTGCAAGATCACTTAATTTATCTACTAACAGCATCATTCAGGATTTTTCTTTTTAAATTTTCTAACAGCTCTGTTACTGTGGGGCTGGCTGAAAAAAAGATTTCCAGTCCTTTTAGTAAATGTACACTACAGTGAGTTTAATTGCTGTGAAGTCTAATGTTCTCTGTCTGTCTTTGAAACGGTTCAGGAAGGAAGGCACAGAGCTTTTTCTAATTTGGCAGCAAAGGAATACAGCATGTTTATCTCCGCTTGCTTTTTGGAGGTGCAGATGAACACACCAAACTAAAGGGCACTGGAAAGATAAGTTTCCATGACATCCACAGTAACTCTTTTATATTGCCGATTGGCTATTCTATATGTAGCATTCAGAGGCAAATATAAAAAAAATGATGTAAAGCCAAAATTATTTCCTTGATAACACTTGTTTTAAACACCTCGCCACTAAATAGCTAAAAGTCTCCAAAGTGAATGCATAAACCATATAAAAGCCACAAGCATACTTACATAAATTCTTAAGATTAAAGTAATAACTTCTAGAAAAAGGTGGGAGAAAACACACTACAATAAATCTATTTGTAATGGTATTTGGGCTCTACCAACTGCTTTCATTGGTCTCCAGTGGCTTACATATAAAACAATACATTTGATGTATGATTTCAATTCCTTATGGAAAACTGTTCTATCTACAAGCAGCCTGTCAAAGAGAATGCCAAAAAAACTTACTCTGCGTCCCAATATGAGGCAGGACTTTAAGATATAACTTAAGGTCACCATTTGTTCTCGCTTGGCCAGGTTTAAGACTATAATTGAGGAATGCCTGACCTGGGGGAGGCAAGCAAATGGGGGGAGTAGGTTTATTTATAGTGAAGTAGAAATAGGCAAGGTGTCAGAGCTTGAAGTTAAATGGCATTGTTTTGCAGAGAGAGTGGCTCTACAAAATGGGCAAAATTCAAGGAGTGGTTCTCTGGAAGCTGTCCAGAACCTGTCCCCCACCTGTCAGCCAAAGGCATATGGCAGCTGTCAGCTCCGGAAAACCACTTTTGGACCCAGGAATCTGTTTTGCTGTTATTGAGGGGTACACTGGGGGGAAAAAGTTGCTGCAGAATGAAAACAAATGCCATCCTAATTGGTCTGTAAATTGCAGCCCTTCATCATTAGAACATGGCTCTGTGTTTCAGCCATAATTTTTTAATCCCCAATTAAAGTTGTCCAGGTTTAAACAGGGAATTATAAGGTAAAAAATGTCTACAGTTGCAAAAGGGCAATACACAACTCCTATGAGCTATCCTCCCTGAAATTATAATCTTCCTAAAACATTCTCCTAATTTAGTTCTCACCGCTCCTCAGTTCTTCCTTCTGTTCCTAATTTTAGAATCACAGTCCCCCCAGCCAACCCCTGGGATGTTGATGGATCCCTCTCTGATCAAGTCTCTTAAAGGGACATTCAGCCTTGCCAGGATTCCGACACATTGTCACCCCAAGTCAAAGTTTAGGGTTTTTTGTTTGTTTTTTTTTTTTTTGCCATAGGGACTGTGTTTTTTCAAAATAGTAGTTTTAAAATAAATGCATTTCGTTGTTTTTGGTGTTGTTTACGATGGACTTCAGTCATTTGTTGAGCATTGTGACATCTGGCTATAGCATAAACTCCATTTCACAAAGGAAGGGCCTAGCTACAGCACATCTCATCACTTCTCCTGACTCCCAGGAGGGCCTTTCTTATTTTTAACCCTCTTTAGGGAAGTATGTACCAATGCCAGTGGAAAATTTGATCAAGTAAATAACATTTCCATCAGCAAATTCCATCTACCTTAAGTTCCTCCCCAAGGCCCTTTCCTCCAGTCTAGCCTGCACAGACAATGGACAAGCATCGTTGCCCCTCGTCTTGGTGAATAATTGGAGGCTATCATTAAGTAAGACCTCATCAAGTGAGATTAATTATTCAACACTGTTTACAGCCAAGGCACAAAGACATTGTCCATATAAATATATCTTCCTTGGCTGAGCCGATTATAGCTAGAGACAGGAATGACTGATATGAAACAATGAGGTAGCCAAGTGTATCATATTAACTCTAAGGGTTTTAGCTTAAGGAATAGTCAGCATGGGATGGGAATGTCCAAGAAGGCTTGGCAGAAGGCTTGGGAATTGAACAGGAACTAAAGGAAGGGTCGGTAGTATCAACACAGCAGAGCGGTGGAGCGTGGCCCTTCTAAAAGGAGGCAACAGCATAAACAAAAGCATGGAGATAGGAATGGTTTGGTGTAAGGTGGCCTAAGGCAACAAAATAACATGAGCTGTACAGGAGGGCTAGGCAGGCATTGCTAAATGCAGCTTTTTGGTGTTACCTCCTGGATCTCTCCAAGTTCCACAAACCTCCTTTGGTTAGGGCCTGACATATAGGTATCCTTAACATTACCCACATGGACGTGCTTCCTTGGGGTATTGATACGCTTGGTCCTCCTCAGCCTGGTATATTATATGGTCCATCATATAATTTTAATAAACAAATATTGACTGTATCGGATTTTAAAAACTTATGTAAAATATAAATATAGAAAGTTTAAGAACAAAAAGTGCTCATCTATTTTATACAAATAAACATCTTAATCTCTAAACTTGCTATATCTACATTTTTTGGACAAGTTTTTATCAAATATAGTCATTTTTGCTTTTTTTTTAATATGTTTAAAAGTTCACTTGTATGTAAATATGTTTCTGGAAGACACAAAACCTTCCTCCTTACTAACTCAAGACTCAATCATTTGCACATATTAGGTAATAGTTTACTCATAATATTGAATCTCCCTTATATATCAGCATGTGAACCAGATAATATAAACAATATTGAGCCAGTTTTAACAAACTTATAATATAAAGTTTCCATGGGGAATTTTTTCCCCAAGTGACAATGTATTGGCAAGAAAATAAATCCAGCACAAGGCACTGACTTCTGCAAAAACAGAATTATCTAGGGAATTCTTCTCTCTAAAGTGCCATTCACAAAAAGAAGATTCCCTATAAATGGCCACACTCTGAGCTTCATATTATTTTTGAAAGAAAGCCTTTTTTGCTAAAACTTTTGTGTCCCTCTGGAGTTCATTGACTTCATAAATTGTAAATTAGTAAATTTTCCTGGTACAAATGTCATATAAAAATGCCTTTTCCAAGGAAGTTCAAGATTAAAGTCTCATCCATTCATTAATTTAACAAATATTTATCAAGTAGTTACTATATGCCCACTCTTAGATCAGACATGACACGACTCCTGCTTCAAGATAACAATCTATGCCTTAAACTACAAGATAAAGCACTGAAGGTAGAATCTCTCGAATTAAAGTTCTTGGGTAATACAATTATGGGTTGAATTGTGTTCTCCCAAAAAGATGTTGAAGTCCTAACCCCAGGTAAGTGTGAGTGTAACCTTATTTGGAAATAGGGCCTTTGCAGATGATCAATTTAACATAAGGTCATTAGGATGGGCCCAAATCCAATGAGACTGATGTCCTTAAAAAAAAAAAAAAGAAAGAAAATTTGAACACAAGGACAGACATCCATAGAGGGAAGACAAGGTGAAGACAGAGTAAAAATGCCATCTACAAGTCAAGGAGCACCTGAGGCTGTCAGGAGCTAGGAGACAGGAATGGAATAGATTCTCCCTCACAGCGCTCAGAAGGAACCAACCCTTGCAGACACATTGATTTTAGACTTCTGGCCTCCAGAAATGTAAGACAATACATTTCTGCTGTTTAAACCACCTAGTTGGTTGTGCTTTGTTACAGCAGTTTTAGGAAAATAATACAAATAGCTTTCAAACCTTTCAAAATGAATACCAAATAGGTGACCATTTCCCAAGATAGAAGCCTTGAAGGGTTATCAAAAGCACAAAAAATGTAAAACTCCATTCATTGTGGTGCATAGGACTACCACTTAAATCTGAAATCAAATCTTAAGGTCCACCTTAAAGGGACCACATGCCTCCATTTGGTGCTGTCCCTTTGCAGTTCATCAAGCCTGCAAGGGCTTTCTTTCATTCAGAACAGAGACGCACTATGGATGATCTGCCAACGCTAGCACATTTGTGGGCATTATGAGATCCTCAGTGGCTGCCCTTCTCTTCTGGTCCAAGAGGGTCCTTCTGTATAGTATAATTCATGCTCCATGAAATTTTTATAAAAACATTTGATATCATGATGATTATTTACCTGTCACTGTTATCTCATCTACAAATTCTTGAGCATAGGTAAAACCTTTCCTCTAACAATACCAACTAAACTGGTGGAAGAGTTCAAAATACTGTTTTTAAATTTTCAAAGGCCGCAGAAATATTCTCCTGGGTATTGAGTCCTTTTTCCATTTCATAATTCTCTTATGTGGAGCTATTTCTTTTCTGGCATGATTTTGCCTCATAGTTGTATTACTTGCTTTTATAATTCATTCAGTAGGTATGTTCATTTTTCATTCTTATTTATTATTTAGCAATTTGTAAGTAATGTATCAAATTTTATTGGAGGGAAATCCTATTATATTATAAGGTTGAAGTTTTCTAACTTAATTCCTTTCCACCCCCTGACCAATTACTAAGGAATCTGTTGGGTCAATCACTCAAATTATATAACTAGGTCACTTGACTTTATATTTGTCAGTACCCTTTCTTTCAAAGAAAAAAAAATCAATAAATGGGATGCCTTTAATAGAGAGTGAATTAATAGAGATCAGCTCATAATAAAATAGCTATTTTCAGCAGTTATTGCCTAGAAATGATTGTTAGGTCATCACCTGGATTTGTGGCTATAATAGTGTCCCCAGGAAAGAGAAGACAGCCATATGCGAGGTGATATTTTTTGTTCCCATGTTAGGAGGGGTCTTAGTCCTAAGGCCACAGCTGGGGAACAAACAAGGAGTCAGCATCACCACCAACCTTCCATCTCAATCTGAACAAAAACATTTGGGTCTCATTCCGGCCTTGGGAACATGGCTTGAAATAAAACCATGAATATCACCGCCAAGTCTCACCATCATCAGATGCCCCAATTTCCCAAAAGCTGGCCCCAACAGCCGCTGCTGCCTGGGCAGCTCCCCCCGAAATTCTCTCAGAAACTGGATCCACGGGCCGTGATTCATCTTTGTCAGGGATGGTTACAAACCCTGCCTTAGGAGTGGTTGATTAAAGCAAAGGGTCAGCTGCAGAGTGGCTGCAGTGCCTCGAAAGCTCTCTGAGATTATGCTGTAATTAAAACAGCATGCAGTTCTCTGTTCCTGGACTTTGTTGGGGGTGGGGGAGGTGAGGACAGTCAAAGAGCTTTGGCAAAGCCAGGGCCTGTGGCAGAGCTGACTGACCAGACAGTTCTGAGGCAACAGCAGGGGCCTCACCACCCAAGCTCGTCCCTGTGGGCACCCAACAACTTTGCCTGACTTGCCTCCCTCACCCCCATCCTCATCTCCCCCCTTCCCATCCCCAACTTCAGTGTGAGGTTGTCCTATCTTTTGTTCTGGCAGAGATAAGATGTATAAATGATGAGCGGTTGACAAAGTGTACTTCAGTGCCGCAGGCAGCTCATCAATCATTTTCCACATGTCGTCGAGTAATTGATGCAAACCCTGCAGGCGAAGCTCCATCAGGTGAGAGGAGGGAAGAATTAAATCTGCTGTCAGGAGCCAGGCAGCTGATCTGTATTTAACATTCTTTTTAATTTAGCACTTGTTTGTTTTAAGCAGAGTTTGCAGGCCCCTCCTCGCTCTCCACACATTGGGGAGTGGTCTGGCGTTTGCTGACCCTACCTGCACCCGGGGGCCTGAATTCATGGGTTTCCTGGGCAAGGTTCTGGGGAAGGAAAGCAGACAAGACCACCCAGGACTGGTAGGGAGGTGCAGGGAAACTTTCTTTCTGCCTAAGTGACGCTTAACATCAAAGGCCAGGCTGTCAAGCAATTATCTGTCAACAGGTCAGGTTGGCAGGTGCTACCTGCATACAAGGAAAAAACCACTTACTGCTTTCTTAAGAAAATTTACACACACACACACACACGAAATAAATATAATCCAGCCTCATATTTCCTTTATGAAATGAGATTAAGTAACACTTAGCATAGCGTTGAAGAGGTTTTGGTTTCCTTACTTCCCTTGCTTCAACCAAACAATTCCAAAGTGAAGTCACCCTTAGAAGGTGCTTGTTGGCCGGGCTCAGTGGCTCACGCTTGTAATCCCAGCACTTTGGGAGGCTGAGGCGGGCGGATCACGAGGTCAGGAGATTGAGACCATCCTGGCTAACACGGTGAAACCCTGTCTCTACTAAAAATACAAAAAAAAAAAAAAAAAAAAAAAAAAAAGCCGGGCGTGGTGGTGGATGCCTGTAGTCCCAGCTACTCAGGAGGCTGAGGCGGGAGAATGGCGTGAACCTGGGAGGCGGAGCTTGCAGTGAGCCAAGATAGTGCCACTGCACTCCAACCTGGTCAACAGAGCGAAACTCTGACCCCCCCCGCCAAAAAAGAAGGTGCTTGTCAGCTGGTGAAATCTGAGAATCAGAATGATGAATGGTCAAGACTCTGTAAGTTTCACTCTCTAGTGGACTCCAGCTCATTGTTCCTCCGATACTCGTACTCCGATACTCGTACTCATGCGCTCACCTACACATGTAAACATACACGCTCCCACAAAACTTTCCCAGTCTGCAGAAATCTTTGCTTTTGGTAACTCAGGCATTCTGGTGAATGGAAAATTACCACATCTGCCACAATCACCAATTTTCAAAAGAATGACAATATAATTTATAAGACCTTTAACTCCAATGTGACCCTGAACATCATCTTGCTGTGCCTTAGGGTCATTCGTATGAATATGATGTAATAAAAAATGTTCTGCTTGATGGAATACCAGATAAACCAGCTTTCATTAGATTTCATTTTCTACAAGGAAATGAGCTGACATCTAAGAAGACTCGATCCTAATAGCCAGGCATCAGTCCCTGAAGTTGTCACTACACCATCTCCTCTGAAAAGCAGACATCTCTCAAGCACAGGTCTGCTCTCACCCTGCCTTCCTGCTTCTTGGGCTCCAAAATCACCACCTCTATTTTGGTGAAGTCCAGAAGTATAAATAAAGAGCACGTGATGTTCCAGGATCATAGAGAGTGACCAAAAGACCTCCCTACCCCAGAGGTTTTTATGTTTGCAAATCTAACCTCACACTCCTCTTAACCAACCTCACAAGTGGAAGACTTACTAAGTGAAAGGCACTGTCATGATCACACTGAATGGTGCATTCAAGATTTGCATCTTGAATTGTTGTACTGGAGGTAAATTAGAGTCTACACATTTTTAAATGCTTAAGGAACATTAACCATCATCAGCCATATATATTCATTCACTCAACCTTTCAACAAATGTTTAGTACATACCTATCATGTTCTAAGCACAGTAGCTGGGCTGACAGTATAGCTGTTTGTCGTATAGATCCTTGGTAGCTGACAAGTTCACAAAACTACTATGATATAAAGTGTCAAGTGCCCTGTCAACGGACAATTCAGAGAGAATGTGCATGGCTAATAAGCACATTTTTGAAATGTTCAGTCTCACTAGAAATTAGAGCAATGCAATATGAATTAAAACAAAGGTTTTTCTTTAAAAAAAAAAACCATCAAAATAGCAAAAGGTGGCAAGAAAATAATACCCAGGGTTATAGAGAATATGGGAAAATGGGCCCCAATACACAGACAGTAGAGAATAAATGGAATAATATTGCCTAAAAGGCAATTTTGCAATATGCATCAAAGATCTTAAATATTTCTAAGACTATTTCCTAAAGTGATAATTGCAGGTATATACAAGATTCAAACATAAAAATGTCCATTGAAAATATCCTTATACCTCACACTAGAAATGGTATATGATACCCACGTGATGGGGGATGAAGGGCTATGGCACCTCAGGGGTGATTCTGTTTGGCTGAGAGGAATTAGGGAAAGATTCCTGGGAGAAGTGGCTTTACATTGAGTCCTGAACAATGCACAGGAATGTGGTATGCTGTTCCAGACAAGGATACAATAGGAAAGTGGGTGGGTGGGAACTAAAAAGGCAGAGACAGAAGAAGGCAAAAAGCATTTGTGACAAGCAGGAGTCAGCCAATTCGGCGGAAGCACCAAGATGGTGAAGGGGGCAGTGGAAAGAGCAGCTCTCTCACCCATTAAGGTGCAACAGGTTGCCATGGACCATAAATGTGCATTTTTGGTAGGCAACGGGGTGGCCCTCGCTGCTTTCCGGAATGAAAAAATACATAATCAAAATCATGCCCTTGGAAGATTACTCCACTTGCATTGTATACAATAGGCTAGGTGGGGCCAGGCATGGTGGCTCACACCTGTAATTCCAGCACTTTGGGAGGCCGAGGCGAGTGGATCACCTGAGGTCAAGAGTTTAAGACAAGCCTGGCCAACATGGTGAAACCCCGTCTCTACTAAAAAAATACAAAACATTAGCTGGGCATGGTGGTGGGCACCTGTAATCCCAGCTACTTGGAAGGCCGAGGCAGGAGAATCGCTTAAACCCAGGAGGCAGAGGTTGCAGTGAGCTGAGATCGCACCTTTGCACTCCAGCCTGGGTAACAAGAGTGAAACTTCGTCTCATAAAAAAAAAGATAGGCTAAGCTGGGTAGACACAGAAGGCAGGGAGACAGGATAGATTATCACAATAGTCGTGCAAACTGTTCACCTACAAACAATATGCTTTCCCTTCTCACACAAGCCAAAACACAGTCTGGTCTAGTTTCACAGAACAACAGCTTCTGACCGAAGAAGTTTTTCTTTTTTTTAAAGTCTACGTATCAAAACACAGGCTAACAAATGATCAGTCTCCATTTACAAGTTATCAGAACCTGTTATCAATCCCTAATTAAAATTTAAAGATACAAAGAATTCTAAGACATTTTAAACACAAAGAGTAACTGAGAGTAACAGAGGTGAGGTTCCACACTAGTAGCCTACCCAAATGGGGTTCCTTACTAATAACTTGATGGGCTAGCAACATATGTAGCAATTTTTGAATATTTACGGCTAGAGGTGTAAGAAAATATTCTGGATGAGTCTAAGTGGAGATTGGGTATGAAGCTGGGAACTCGTCCTGCACCCAGTATCTTTTGTATCTACTGATTCACAGTAGTCAAGAAGTGTCCAAAAAAAAAAAAAAACTTTGAGCAGCCACAGTGACTGGTGTTCAGATATTATATTAATAGTTAATATTTATTAAGGGCTTACTACATGCCAGGTACTCCTCAAAATACAAAAGAAAACCTCATTTATTCTTTATAATAGCCTTTATAAAGTAAATATGGTTATTACCCCATTTTACATATGAAGAAACTGAAATCAGAGAGGTTAAGTAATTTACCCAGGGTAGCAAAGCCAGAGAGTAGAAGAGCTAGGAATTGAATCCCAGTAGTCTGGTTGAAGACCCCTTGCTATGAACTTCTACTTTAGACTATTTCCCACTAAAACACTTCCCAGACCATTGGAAGGCATGGCAGTGGAAGGGGTGTGTGTGTAGGTATATACAAGTGTGGGTGCTGGGGAAAGGTGAGAAACAGAACCCCACTGGTAAAGAGCAGAACTGTGGAACCCCACACTGAGAAGAGGCCCACTCCTAGGGAAGGAAGATCCACAAACAAGCCTGGTTTAGCAAAAGGACCTGAGGGTAGGAGTGAACAGTGGTTCTGGGTATTTCTTAGAACCCACCCCCACTCCTGTAGCATTAGCCATGTGCACATCCTCTAGGGAGAGGGGGACAGAGCTGAGTACCCTACACCCAAGAAGGTTTGCCATGAGCTCTGTCCACACTAAAGGTCTATTTCAGGAGACCAGCGTTCAGTCTCCGAACCAATTTGCAGTGGGAGCTATAAATAGTCTTCTACCCACTGGAGATGGCAATTTGGGCAACAGCCTGGCCAGAAGTAGGAGAGTGAGGCCTGGCTGAAGGTGGGCCTGAAAAGTCAAGGGCTGTGGCAGGCTAAGGGGTAGGACTGCAGGATGGAGGAGCACCAATGGCCAAGCTGGGAGCTTGAGCAAAGTGAAGGGGGTATCAGCCCACAGATGAGTGACAATAATGGGTGGGCCAGCAGCCCAGGGTTCACTTGTCAATTGGATGGCCCTGGCACTGCTGGTATTGGTTAGGAAGCACACTGGAATGATGCTTGAGAATAAAGTCACCCTTTCTAGGGGACTCTGGAGGTGTCAAAGAGAGAACCATGAGGAGTGGGAGATGCTGAGAAGCACCAATATTTTAAAATTGTATTTAAATTATTTATCACTTTCATATGTGCAACAGAGGGTTTATTTTACTTAGGATAGATAAGTCTCCAATTGGACTCCACTGAGTATCCCTCACAATTGTTAGAATAAGGTAGACGCTCCTTGGAACACAGCCAGGAGGTCCTCTAGCACATGAATTTGCCTTAGATAGAATACATCCTGCTCAACGCTTTCACGTCTTTAATGATTGCCTCCCTGATGAGCTCTGGGCTAGACAGTGGGGAATTGTGTCAACCAAAAAGGTCCCTCGCCTTGTACTCTAGGGCATGCTATGCCCAGGGACTGCTCCAAGGCCAGTCTAGAGTCTTTGGGCATCTTCACAGATGGGAGAAGAGGAGTTCAGGGATGGATCTCATTGCAAGGATTTTTCACACTGGGGATCATAAACATCCATCATCTCCATCAGTAAAGCCAAGTGCATGGCTTTACTTTGAGCTGATGTGGCATCTGGCCTCACTCACTGAGCTACCACTTCCCACACATTCCCAGTCAAAGTTTGCTTTTAATTTCTCCAACTGGGAGCTCTCTTTGTTGACAAGAGTTGCACGGGCTGACGTCAGGGGCCACATTCCTGAGCCACCTCCCACTCTTGACCTGAAAAGCATTGACAGAACTTCAGCCTCCTGCTCTTCATTGTTCCCATCCACACCAACTCAGGGTTTCCCATCTGTGCTGCCCCCATGGCTTGCATCCAGCAGGAACACTGCGGCGGACTTGGGAGCTGTCCCAGGGTCTGAAAACCCTCATTTTCCTCCACACACACACCTTCTGCTTCTCCTGTTGCCATCTAGAACCCGCTTTTCCCGACCTGGAAATGCCTGCTTTTCCTGTTACCATCTAGAACCTGAATTCCATGGCAAAAGAAAAATGGAATCCAGGCAAGTTATTGGAGAATTAATTTCTTTGCCAATTCTCTCCTTTCACCTCTAAACAAAACTACCAGACTTTGATTTTATGGGCAAGTATTAGTGAGCAGAAGCACTTTATACACTGTGATCTGAACCAGTAGTTGGCTAGTTTGTTGTTGTTGTTTTTTTTTAAGTTGGTTAAAATGCTACATTCATATGTAAACATTTTGATTTAAATCATGTGAATCAAATTAATTTGCTGCTCTTTCCATATAGGCTTAGGTCTTTTCTTTTGCATATGGATCTGTTGACTAAAGCTTAGCATGGACTACTTTGTACAAACCATTCTTACTATGTAGCTCTAAAATTTCCTGTTTTGTTTTCTTTAAAGAGGAACTAGAACTTTAAAAGTCTCCTAAGGCAATCTGAGTGCAGACTTCTTCTAGAATTTTATGATTTTTTTTTTCCTCCCAAGCTTTTACAACTGCCTTATCTACACTTGGTTGAGTGTATTCAAAAAACTAAAACACACTGAGTCTTGCCAAACATTCACCTTAGTTTTCATGAAAAAAAAAAAAACTCTGCACTCTTTCATTTCATTGGTTTTATAACATTTAATTAAACCACATTATTACAATATAAACACAACTAACATAAGTAGGTTTGGGAACAGGCTCAGCTGACTTGGTAAACATACAGTTCACCTGGTGGGAACAGAAGTGCCCTGCCATGCATCTGTAGGGTGATGTGCTGCAGCCAGTATATTTCGCAGGAAGATGGCTGGCGTGGGTGAATACGCCAAGTTGCTGAAATGCAAGTTGGTTAAGAGTGCTTCTACTATGAATGTGTGTGTGCATGTATGCATGCATGCATGTGTATAAATATTTGCGCACATATATGCATTTTTTGAGATGGTATTTAAATAATGAGACAACATACTTATTAAGATCATCTGGCAACTCTGCTATGAATTAAAAAATGACCTTATTTCTACTTGCACAAGCCACAGTGGCTAGGCAGGCATACAGGATCCTGATGTCCCCTCAACAATGTCAGCGCTCATAATGGCTGCAACAGTGAACATCCACTTGGCATTTCCTATGTGAGCAATTTTGTATCCACATGGTTGGCTTTATGAGCAAGTAGCCTGAAAAGTCAAAATCTGCTCCCCAGGCTCAATTTCAGGGAAACATTCAGCCAGGTATCTGGACTGAGAAGTGGCCAACCTTCAGCACAATCTGCTTAGGGTGGTTTTTGGTTGGCAGTGCTATCAGGAAGAATGCTGAGAGCCTTTTGCCCAAGATTGTTCTTTTCTTATTCCATGCAGAGAGCCTGTCATAACCACAGCTCTCTTGTGGTTTTTAACATGCAACTCCACAATTCTGCCCACAGCTAAATGGCTCAGAGGAAAGCCTGAGCTAAATGCAACCCCTGCAATAGGCTGGTCAGCAATCCATGAGGCCCCTTACATGGAGCAACAAAAAGAACAAAATGTATTGCAAGATGGAAAAAGGATAGTGTGGGTACAGAAGTGGAGAAACACAAAAAGAAACAGAAGCCCAGATGTAGAGAGGAGAAAGGCAGTGGAGAGAGGGGAAACAATTGGCTGGATGAAAGACCCCAGCAGGAGCGGACTCTTTCTTCTCTATATTTCATTGCAATATTCTCCTTGCTATCTGAAAGAATCCTACCAGCAGTTCTATAATTCCTGCAGCCACAGGTTATACCACAGGGCACTGAACAAAGCAATGTTTTCATGAAAAAACAAACAGAACCCTAAGATTGATATATGCAGAATGCCTATGCGCTATCTGCAATTGTGAATAAAAACAAACAAACAAAAAGCCAAAGTCATTACATTAGAGTAGTATTCAATCTATGATGTGGGAAGGAGAGAGAAAGCAGATCCTAGGTTCAGAGGCAACTGGAAAAGCCAGCTCCATCATGAACAACCTCAATGCTCTCGAGGCCACACAAGTCCTAGAGCAGGCTTTTCTCATGAAGCTCCATCTCTGAGGCAGTCCGGGAATGTGTTAGTCAGGATATCCCCTCTCTCTTCAACCTGCAAGGGCATGTGTGTGGTTTGAATGTCAAAGCCCAATGAAAGGTCCTAAATGCACATAATTGCATTCCATAGCTATCCAAGAACAAAGGGGAAAAGGAGGTGGCTTCTCAAAGCAGAGGCTTATTACTCCCCTGCCTTTCCTTAAGCCCCCTAGGAAAAGTCAGAACATATAGTCAGGACTTTGTATTGGCTCTTTCACCACTGGTGAGGGGAGGAATTGTCTACAGGAGTAGGACAGACAAAACATTCTGGGTTTATGCTCTGTGAGTAGACAGTGATGTCCTCTTCACAGAAACTGAGGAGGTCGAGACAGTCATCTTGGGATGGCTTGCTTGAAGCTCTGTCCCTCCAGCTGCATGCAGTCCTGATGTGGGACACAGTCACCAGAAACCCAGACTACCCCTTCCAGCCATCACGCCCTCCTCCTCTAGGTGACAGACCCCACCTTTTGGGAGCCTCTCCCCCTACCTTCACTGTACTCTGGTTTCCTGCCTTGACAGATGGTAGGCAATTTTACTCTGGGCAGCCACTCAGGCATCAATGGTTCAATTTTTTTTATTAAATGACCTTTCATCATTTCAGGTGTGATACAATGAGAAACAAAAATATTCAAAATCCAATTAGTACATGCAACTTCCAAATATACATTCTGTAAACATAGCAAACTGTCCTCATAAATACTATCATATCAACATTTTGCCGAACAGGAGGTCACCTCATTTCAAAGTGTTGTGGATAATTTTGGAAGAATGAAAATTCTCCAAATCTTCTCCATGCACAACACAGCCGAACGCAAGAAGACATTCACCTGTCCCAGCTTCCCCCTAGCCCTCCACCCCTGCAGAAAAGGTGTTAACAGGAAGAAGTGGAAACAGCGATTTCTATTGCAGTCAGCTGACAGGAATAAAATCAATTAAGCATTTGCAGAGGAGGGAACAAGAGAAATAAATATCTATTTGCTTCTTCAAAGGCCAAAAGAAAAGATAATTTGAATCAGAAAAATAATCCAGATTCTAAATCCCCTTTGAGCGTCAGCTTCTTAAAGTTACTGATTTAAAAGATATTTCCTGGAAATGCCTTCTTAGTTAAGTAGAAATGTCATAAGTAATAATGATTATAGCACACATTTCTCTACTGACAGTATGGCCCCCAAACCCTGCTTTTGAGACAAAAATGATGGGGACTGGGCAGCTCCCAGCTGCTGTTCATAAGCTACCCACAAAGCAATTATCTGCAGATGGTTGGTGAGATTATTTAAGGAATCGGCTGGCAAAGCATGGAAGTTCACTGTCCAAATGGTGAAACTGAGGCCCCAAAAGCGAGTCCTTCTCAGAGACGTGGGGAGCAGTCAATATCTGAAAAGAATTCAGACTACTGAGCCTTGTTAATGCTAAGGGCATTGACCCAAACCCTACTGTGTGGCCAAGGGGCTGGATTCAGGACACCCACAGGGGCCTAAGTCCTAAGGGTGTGGCCTGGTTCAATTACTATTGAGTTCTGCCAGGAAGACCAGGATTCTTTTTATCAAAGGCAAATAGCTTGCCAGAGGCATTTTGATTTGATAAGAACATACCAAAATATAGCATTAGCTGTCCCTGACACATTACTCCACTGTTTGTTCAAGAGTGGTGACATTTAAACAGCAGTAAGTGTAGAGGAAAGAAAGGCAGCCTGAGAAAAGGTGTGAGTTTCCTGTGTCCTGGTAGCATCAATTTCAGCCATGATACACTTGGCAAGGACTGTTATCAAAACACTGACACAGATGGTGTCAAAGTGAAGGAGGGGGACCTCGTTGTCTTGTTACCTAAGCAAATGAATTCTGGGTCATCCTGAGAAATAGTTACCAAGGGAAGAAAGCAAAATCCCAACCCCCTTTCATCTGGGTCACTGCACTGTGAATACTCTGGATTTGAGGGATACTTAGTACTTGATACCGATGGCAGAAGCGACAAATAGTAGACACAGAGAGTCATGGTTGGGCCTAGAGACGATGGGAGAGGTGGCAGAGGAGAGAGGAAAGCAAGGCGGAAATGAGACAAGGTAGAAGAAAGCAAGATTAACAAAAGTTTCAAAAGGTGGAGTGGGAGAGAAAAGATCAGGGAGGGGAAGGAACAAGCTAAAGCACTGTTGCCTCTTTGGTAATAGTAATAATAAGACAGAAGAGGCTCATCTTTCACCCATCCATCCTTCAACCAGTTATTAATTCATTCTGCAAATATTTGCCGCATCCCCTAACATGGCACAGAGTTTGAGATACACGGAAAGATGACAAAGTATCTTTAAGCAAGCTTTGCCACTGGCCTCAGCCAGGATCCTGTGCCTTAATGAGCACCAGTTTCTGAGATGCTGCAGAATGCTGCCTCACATCCACCTCTGAGTGAAAGAATTCCTTCACAGATTATATATATTCAGAGAAGGACTATCCTAACCTACAGTTTAGAACCTTTTATGTATAAAGCACACTGGAAGAACACTAACAACAATAACAGTATCAATGGTTTCCATTTGTAGACCACTCATCAGCACCTTTCTGTGTTTTACATATATTGACTTGTTTTGTTTTTGTTTTTGTGTTCTGAGACACGGTCTCACTGTGTTGCCCAGGCTGGAGTGCAGTGGCACAATCACAGCTCACTGCAGCCTCGACCTCCCAGGCTCAGGTGATCCTCCCACCTTAGTCTCCCAAGTAGCTGGGACCGCAGGTGTGAGCCGCCATACCTGGCTAATTTTTTTTTTTTTTTTTGGTAGAAATAAAGTTTAGTCATATTACCCAGGGTGGTCTCAAACTCCTGGGCTCAATCTGACTGCCTTGGCCTCCCAAAGTACTAGGATTATAGGTATGAGCCACTGTGCCTTGCCTTGTTAACCTTCTTAATAAGGAGGGATCATTAATATCCCCAAAGTCACTGACCCAGTAGAATTCAATCCCAAACCACGTGGATCCCAAGTCTGAGGTCTGTTAGCCAGCGCCCTATGCTGCCTCCACCAGAGGATAGCATGGAGAATGAAGAGTTGTACTGTTGAAAAGATTGCATGCCAAACATGAGGAGAGCACATTTTTCTGAAATCCCTAATAAGCACAGAATAAAATGCCCAGATCTGGGAATCCTTCGGATCATCCTAGATGATCCAGGAGACATAACAGAGGTGGAACCTTCATCCCTGCCCTGAAGGAACTTAGAGCTAAAGAGAAAAGGCTAATCTCCATGGACCATGAGCAGGAAAATGGTCTACTAAATGCCGAATCAGCTTTGCAGCCTTAGAGTTGGGGTGAGCTGAATGTGGCTTAGAGTAGAACCCAGAAAGGCAAGCCTAACAAAAAAATCCTTAGAGTTCATGTTCATGTTCATCTCCATCCCTCATTTTGTAGGTAAGTAGGAGGATGAACTGGGAAAGAGGCCGGCTTTGCATTGTAAGAGAGATGCTTCATTTGCTAAAACAAGTTAACAGCAACAGCAACAATAATAGTGGCTAACATTTGTATAGCATTTATTATATGCAGGTTTATTCTAAGCATTTTCATATATGAACTCATTTAATCTCTAGAGAGAACTAGAGACAATTATCATCTCCATTTTACAGATAAGGATATACAGAGACACAAAGAAGTTAAGTGACTTCCCTAATGTCACACGACCATCATGTGGCAGGGACAAGATTTGTACCTAGATTGCCCAGTTCCAAAGTCTTAAAAGACCTCACAGACAGGCAGGGGAAGGAAAACACCTGAAGGTGCCGATGGGTTTAAAAGGGCTGCTGGCACCGAGACTGGACACAGCCCAAGCAGGAGACAATCTGCCGCAGCAGATGTCTGAGCATCTGATTCTGAGACTTAAGGTGATCAGGTGACCCTGGGCCTCCTGGGATGCTGCTCCTGGTCTCTCACACTCCCTTGGAGATACTAGAGATGACAGAAGATGCATTTGCTGTTCCCTCTGCCTGGAACTCTCATCTACCTGCCCAAATAATTGTATATCACTTAGCATGAGATGTCACCTTCTCTGAAAGTCCATCTCTGATCATCCTACATGTCACAGCATGACCTCCTGCTTGACACATATTTATTTATCTACTTATTATCTGTCTCTCTTACCACTTCCACCCCAAAATGCAAGCTCCTCGGACAGGAACTCAGTCTATCTGTATCTCCAGTGCCTAGAACAGTACCTGGCACATACCAGGTCTTTATAAATGTTTGTGGAATAAAGTAATGCATGATCCCCAATGGGAACCATAGAATTTAGAGGAGAAAGGAGGAGAGGAATAATTGCTTTCTTTGAGAAGCTCCTAAAATGATATAAAATACATTGATTCCTGTCTTTAGGGAGCTCCCAGTCTGACAAAAAGATGTTGACTCCACATGGAGGAGGACTGAATCTAATACTGGATATCTGGTCCCCATCCTGGGGGAATTCACCGTACTGGGGAAAACAGAAACAGTGACTAAGAAGCAAAAAACCAAGTTGGCATGGGAGAATGACATTAAGGGGAGAAGTTTCCTCTCATTTCATGACAACCCTCTCAGGTGTCAGGAGAGTTGAAATATGAAGCCAGAACTCAGTCCCAATGGAGAAACCAAGGCAGGGCCATGTCCCCATCTGATCTGCATCAAACAGATGACAGACAATTGTGGATTGACTGTTTTCTGGCCTCAGCCTTTTGGAAGCCCAATTTTTCCTCCTTCTAAACATCTGATTCAGCTTCTCATAATGGTGCCTCAAGCCCACAGAAATGGGCTGGAAATACTGAACAACGCCCTCTGCCAGACAATTGCCTCATTAACTAGAGTATCTCATTAATATTACCATTATCTAGGCGAATTAGAGGACTCCTTTCTCCTCTCCTTCCTCTTTCTTTCTACTCACCCCTGTTCTCTCCCTATCACCTTCTCCTCCATAGCTCCTCCTCCTTCTTGAAGATACTAGATACCTATTAGATAGGTCTCTCCCATTTCCTAGAGCTGGCAAATTGAGATCCTACGTGCGGGTGGTGTGAGGAACACATACAAACATTTCAATATCAACTAATGTCTAAGATAAAGAAAAAGCAATCCGGTGAAACCCCATCTCCACTAAAAATACAAAAATTAGCCAGGCGTGGTGGCGGGCACCTGTAGTCCCAGCTACTCGGGAGACTGAGGCAGGAGAATGGCGTCAACCTGGGAGTCAGAGCTTGCAGTGAGCCAAGATCACGCCACTGCACTCCAGCCTGGATGACACAGCGAGACTCCGTCTCTTTGGAAAAAAAAAAAAAAAAAGAACAATCAACCAAGAAACAAATTGTTTTTATCTACCTACCCAGTTCCAGAGCTAATTTTACCTCACTCACATAAAGCTATTGGTCTTGATTCAAGTCCTTGGTATGTACAAGCTCAAAATAATCCTAATCTGCACCAACCTAAGAGGATCAGCACATACTGTTTTGGTCTTTCTATCATCAAACAGCATTTCTTATGCTATCATCCCATTTTTAAATATTTTCCAATATACTGGTAAGATCCTATTTTTGTTGTTGTTTTATAGTTTTTATTCTTATAAGCTACCTCAAACCATCCATGAAACATGGCGCAGTATGAAAATTAAAAATCAACACATACTTGGCCAGGCATGGTGACTCACGCCTGTAATCCCAGCACTTTGGGAGGTCAAGGTAGGTGGATCACCTGAGGTCAGGAGTTCGAGACCAGCCTGCCCAACATGGCAAAATCCTGTCTCCGCTAAAATACAAAAATTATCCCGGTGTGGTGGCACAAACCTGTAGTCCCAGCTACTCAGGAGGCTGAGGTGGGAGAATCACTTGAACCCGGGAGGCAGAGGTTACAGTAAGCCAAGATTGCGCCACTGTACTCCAGCCTGGGTGACAGAGTGAGACTCTGTCTCAAAAAAAAAAAAAAAAATCAACACATACCTGTAGACATGTCACCAATGTACAAATGGAAAATAAAGAATGTATAGTAGATACAAAGAGAGTCCAGGAGAAGGTAAGAAAAGCTATACAGGTAATTGAGTCAAAGGGGGCTGCTCTATATGAGGATTCCAGCATCTGGGAAGATAGAAGCTGCAAGAATACAACAGAAACTGATAAAAAGACCCTAACAAATGGGGGGCTTATCCACCCAACACCAGAACTGGGAGGCTCCCCTTCAGACTTGAACTAGGTAACATAAGATATGGCATTTCACATTGGTAAGAATCAACTGAAAAACCTCTTTGTCTTAATAGCTGGTTCATGATTAAAATATAAATGGACATAAATTGAGATTCATCATGCCAAAGCCATGACGAATTATTATACCAAACTGGGACATGCATTTTGGAGAAAGCCCAGAACCTCAGGAATGTACAGAATTACAAAGTTCCAGAGTGCTGCTTTCCTGGAAGTCCCTTGGGAAAACATGGTTTCATGGGTTTGGGGGGAATCAGCCTCTAGACTTAAGAGTGACTGTCCTCTGATGGAAGGAGGAACATGAATGTACTTCCCCAGAAAGTGAGAACAATAGCTCCCTTCTGAGATTAGCATGCCCATTTGACAGAAATGTATGGTCACAGGATGGGCAGAAAACCCAGTTTTCACTTTCTCTCCCTGACCCTGGACATCTTGGAAGCTTGACATACTATATGGACCAGTAATAATAATGAAAACAGTAATAAAAAGCCCCTGCAGTTTCAGGGAGAGATTTCTAGTCATTTTCCAGGTTCCCTCTTCATTTTTAACTTATTCCATACGCTTTGCTACCCACAGACCCCAGCCTCAGCAGCAGAAGCAATCTATGCTGCCCTGCCATTTAAGTGTGAGGAGCCTTGGCTCCATTGAAGCTTGTCATCTTGCCTATTAGCTTGATGTCTTTATTCACAGACCATCTGTACCACCGAGAGATACAGAGGCAGCTAATGTCAATATGAACAAATGCCTCCTCTTTTACAAGAAATGTCAAACACAGGACAGGCTAAGAATGACCCCAGGAATACCAACAGATGTTCACTACAAGCCTCTCAAAAATCAATCCTTTCTACAGGGACTAATTAAGATAAAATAAGGAGCAAAAGTAAAGAAATTTGTGTCATATTATCAGGAACTTCATCCTCACTTTCCAAGCTCATTATGGGCAGATTGGCCTGCGCCCTTTGAAAAAATGCTAAAAGAGGGGCTGCAGCTACCAGGGCACCAGGGAGACCTTCATTCGCCTCAAGTTCCGAACTACAAAAAGAAAATCACTGCTCAAAAAAAAAAAAAAAAAAAAAAAAAGTGTATTTGCACAGGCTGATTTTTCTGTGCTGGTTTCTTTAAACAACCACCCACAAAAGAAATCCATTTTCAGAGTCTCAAAAATAAATAACAGGATAAAAAAGATATGATTGTGATGTTTTTAATGCAAAAGGGAATAAGAGGGCTTGGTACCCTGGGCTTGGGAGTCCAGGCTGATGGGGCCACAGAATGGTCTTCTCCTCCAAGATAAATGAATGTCTCCTGCACTCTACATTTTTCTTATGTTTTCCTCTGTCATGAAAAGGCAGAATCTTGTGTATGTATTAGCCTCAAATGGACCTAAGTTTGCATTTCCTGAATTTTAAATATAGCTCATCTTCGCCTTTAAGTAAAGGAATACCTGCTACCCAGAACATTTGCTGTTCTTCATTAAACTATTTGTCACACACTCTGATTGGGTAATAACATTAGCACACTATATCTTAATATAGAAGTTCTCAAACATGTCTCTGCCCAAGTGCTTGGAGGATGATTTTATAGAGCCCAACCCACTCCCAAGGGCTCCCTTAAGGTGAGATGTGATTCTCCCTAAGTTAATTAACTCCACTCCTCTCTCTCTGCTCAAGAAATTACAGAGGAAGGCAGCCAAAGTGAATCTGGTCTAATTTACATGAATGTACATCATTCACAAACTTCAGTACTGTATCATTAGTCACCATTTGCTTGTGGCCTCTCTCATAAAATGATTCCCAAATTTTACCAGTGAGTCATGGTGACACCCCAAAGTATCCTTAGGGCCTACTAAAAGCAAAGCTGGGAGTCACCTCCACAACAGCATGGCTCTACCAGGAAGTCTCTACCATAAAGCAGTGTGCACAGAGGGAATGGGTCAACATCTTGGAAAAGATGAGGTTTTATTGTGGGTTATGAAAGCCTGAATTTTTGGCATCTCAGCCTATATAGCAATAGGGGAAAGGCACAAGCACTTCATGATCCTCCAAAGCAACCAATGAACTCTGTACTAAAACATATCACCACTTCACCACCACCACACTACACCAGAATGTCTGACAATATCCTGAATACTACAGTAAAGGCTAAGTATCTTCTTGGATCAGTCTGCCAAAGTTTGCTCAAATTTTTCTATCAGCTCACAGAAAAGTTTGGTCCTAGATGATTCCCTTTGACCATGGAAAGCACTCAGTCTCATCTTGGTTGTATTTTATATAACTCACTCGAAGGCCACAGAGCCAGTCTTTAAGTGACTGTTTTTGGAGCACTAGGTCATTCTCTTCTTGGCCTGGAAAGGCTGTATGATGCTGAGGTGAAACCCATGACAAAAATCATATACTAGAGCTCTGAAGCTAATGAACATTTATTTATCCATAATTGATCCCCCAAAGCCTATGCTACAGAATCATGGGGACTCTACTCTGGGAAGATTTTAGTATCCTTTGTACTTTACCCTCATGTGAGGTAGATCTCCCAGTTTGTCCCACAACAAGAAGAGCTATTTAAAGATAATCAACATCAAAATTGTACATAATCAACCACTGTCAGGAGACAGAGTTATGAATATGCCCTGGTTGGGTCTCTTATTCAACTTACTCCCTCACTGACACAATTTAGTAAAATCCAATACAATCTCCATTCTTCCTTCTCCCTCCTTCGTGATCATAACACTGAGTGCAGCTTTGCCATTAAGTCCACAGTTGCAACTCACTGAAGCACGAGCACTGTTGGTATGGATAAAATCCTACTGCAAGGTGATCTTTTTCCTAGCTAGCAAAGATTTCCAATTTGTAAACTCCTGCATTAGAGATCAAGCAGATGTAGGGGGCTGGTCACTGCCCAGCCCAGGTTCTAACCCAGTTATTATTATTATTGTGTGAACATAAGAGCAAGAGTTATTGGATAGACGTGAATAACAAAGGGAAACTGGTTACCCAAGAGAGCCCTGGAAAATGGCTGAGATGAAAGTTCTCCCAGACCCCATTAGAGCCCGGGAATGACTCTTGAATGTATGTAACAGACACATAGGGCATCAAAGGTGGAAGAAGAGAAGCCAGGCTCACCAGATGAAACTCAATACAAACCAGTTTCCCTTTAATGTAAAAATGGCTACCCTCAGGACTCCTGTCAATCAAAACGGCTGCCTTGAGAGCATAGTCTCCTCTCAAAGTTGACATCTGGGAAGGCTGCTTGCCCAAAAGGACTTAATGAGACTCCATTTCAACTGAGGTTTAAACCTTTGACCGGGAGGTCAAAGTGCTTCTAGGAAGGGAAAGAGGGAATATGATAAGGAGAGTAAAGACTCAAGTCTTGCTGGGAAACTCACATCTAATGAAAAGGTCTGAGGCTTCCTACCAACAGACTCATCAAGGGTTTAGTATATGAAACCGGAAATAGGAAGCCTGGGGTTCTAGTCTTGACTTCCACTGGGCAAGTCATTACCTTCTCTGAACCTCAGATTTCTCACCTGTAATCTGGATTATCTGAATTAGGGATTTCTACAGTTCACTTTAAATCTAAAAACCTTTTGATTCTGTAAATTTACAGAATTAAAACTTTCAATTCTGTAAATCCATGTTATTTTCCCATATTATCTTTTCTAAGTAGCACAGTCAAGACAATGTATAGGTGTTGGCCCCAGAAAGCAGTAAATTGAAATATCAGCTCTACCCGTTTGATACATACTTAATCCCCCAGCAGAGTGGAGCACTTGTCCTAGTGTACCTGCACAAACACTCATGCTTACACAGGCACAGGTGCGGGCATCCCACATTCATACCCACAGGGCCTGCAGTGGCCCCATCCCATTCCATCTCAGAACATAAACCACGAGTGATAACGCGCCGTGTCACACTGTGCTTCCCACAAGTCTGAGCTGGCAGTACTTGATGCATTGAGGACCTGGGAAACATCTGCAGTTTTGTGATTCTTCCTCGTTTCCATTCCCACGATGATCTCTGTGCCTGCTTGGATCAGAGAAAGGTCGCCGGCTCCATCTGGCTGCCCTGCCCCCTCCATTTTCTCCCTCACCACTCCAGTCCCCCTTAGGAGTTTCTGCCCATTTTGTCACTTCCACCTGTTCTGACAGGTTCCCCTGCCTGACCCCAAGATAGCCCTTGGGGACATTAATCATATAACAGCCGGAGCTGTGAAAGAAACAAGGGTTTGGCTGGATACTGTTACCATCTCTGTCACCTACTAATCATGTTCTATGACACAGAGGGGCTTAATCAGATGGTCTGCTCTCTCATTAATCATCCTGGGCTCACTCAAACTTCACAGAGAGATTAAAGTTTAGCTCCCTGTCTCCCTGCACCTCCTCCCATCTCATCCGCCTCTAAGGCAATTTCACTAGGGGTAGGTCTCAGGTTCCTTTTGCTTTGCCAACTGGCAGGGTGACCTAAAGTGTCTGATGCCTATCAACACCACAGCGTTCAGGAGGAGGACGACGACTCTGCTTCCTTACTACTCTCCTCTCTTGGCCTCGCCAATCCACATATAATGCAGAGACGCAAAGATCAAAAATGCATTGAATGGGAAGGCAGGGAATCGCACATCTGTGCTTGTACTGAAGAGTCAAATGAAGATTTATATACCTATGAGCAATCTCCCTAACCACCTTAAAGAAGTAATAAAGGAGTATTTTCTTGTGTTTAATCAATAGTAAGGAAAATTAAATACCACAATCATTTTTAAAGTGATTCATTAAAACAGGCACTTGTGGCCAAATTGCCTGGAAATGGCCCCAACACGAGGAAAGATGCTCCCCTCTTAGGATGCTAGCCCAGGAGCCTCCTTGTCACTCTATTGAAATAATAACTTCCAGCAAAGCAAAAACAGCTTGTATCCTTTACGAATGCTTTCCAGACCAAAATAAAAATGACTGAAAGGACCCTCCAAAAATACCGAGGATGTGAGAGTCAGAACACATTTCAGCTCAGCTGATTCATTCGTATCCTGTTTGAAATTTTCTGAGCTTCAGGGGGGACAAGCAAGCCCTGGCAAAGGCCTCCAGAAAGGGCTTCTCTCCGAGTGTTGGTTTTGTACTTGCTCTGGGTGCTGTTGACTTTTGCAGCGCCTTACGATTATGGGAAACAAAGATAATATTTGCCCTCAGAGCCAGGAAAGAACAAATATTTTATCAACATCTAAATCATCTCTCATCTGGCAGGGGAGGAGGCACTCAACGCTCAGCTGCACACACGTAAGCTGATGAGGGGAAGGAAAGGGGCTGCTTGGGGACTCTCCTACCTATGTAAACTCGACCTATCAATACCTGGGATCGTATCCTTTGCAAAGAGCTCTCTCTGTGAAAATCCAAATTACCTCTGTCCTTCCAGGTGCCCCCACCACTACCCCTCATCCCAGAATGATTGCCAGAGTTCCAGGATGGGCCCTTTTTCACTTCCAAAAGTGGAAGCCAAGCCTAGGACTTGGGAAGGTGGGGTAGTTCTATGGATATTTTGGGGTGAATGAGGGCTTGCCCTGTTGTTATGTTTGTTTCCATTTACTGATCCTCTACCACTAGCCCAGAAATGACAGTAGGTGGAAACACTATCTTTCATTACACAAAGTATAAATAGTGTAATCTATCAGCGCCGTCAATCACAATGATTGATTACAGGCTGTCATAGAGAAGAGTGACATATTAGAAAAGTTTTGTTAACAATGCCTATTGCTAGTCAGCCTGCCACAGAGGCTGGTGATTAATGTGTTGTCAGCCTGTAATCCCACACCCTTGGCTAATGAGGCAGGAATTTATCATCTTTACAGAGTGGCAGATGTCAGGGAGAAAGGAATCCAAGTGCTGGAAACAATATACTTTTTCTTACTAGGCCTGACAAGTCTGACAGGCCGAAAAAAACCACAAAGCAGCTTTGTATAAGCACCAACTTAAAACGAGGAACTTTTCATTTGGCATCTTCGCTTTAAACTGTGCTGCAAACCAACCTCGATCCCTTCAGGAAAAAAGGGACAAGAAGAGAGGAGGGCACAATGCTGAGCTCTGTGAACTTTGCACCCCGTTCTTGACAGCCAGAGACCCCAGGAAAAGGTTGCCATGGCGAGCAGACAGCTCTCTTTGGAAGGGACGTCCAGAGCAACTTTTCACTTTTACCTGTGAACTTGTGGCTGGGAGAGAAACGCGGCATCAAATGGAGGCTGGGGACAGCCACATCCCTTCCCACTGCCTTGTGTGGCTTTTACCTGGAGACACATCTCAATTTCTAGAAGCACTGCCCTTTCTGCTATGGATGAGAAATGGGGGGAAATCTGAAAAAGGGGGCTTTTCATTGGTCAAGAAAAAGCAATACAGCATGAAGAGGCGACCCTTGGAAACTGACTCTCACCAACACTCTGTTCTGATTTTAAACCACTCTCAGGTTGGTTTTTTCCCCCCTCATCTTCTTTCCTCTCACTCATCTCTTCCATTTTTCATATGGGGTAGTGACAACTCTCCAAGCCCAAGAAATTCAAGCCCAGTGGAAAAAAAAAAGTCTCTAGAGGTCGTTTTAATAAATGCCTTGTCTCTCAGCATCCCATCCCCTCAACTGCGTCTGCCACCCTTCCACACAATTCTAATAACAGAGAAGACCCATCGGGCTAGGTCTTGGATCTTCTAAGACACTATGAGATGCTTCTGAATATTTCAACGCCTACTAGATTGCCCATTCTGTTCCAAGTAACTCACCACACTGGCCCCACAGGAGACACCCAATGTTTTCCATGGAGTATGGAAGAGATTTCCAAACTAGAAGATTTACACTCCTCTCCCCACTGATGCCTTCTGCCCATGCTCGGACTAACAGGAGGAAGTCAAAGGGAAAAGGCCTGGATTAAGGAGGTTAAGTCCTCTGGTTTGGAAACTTCTTGGTACCAGTGTTCTGTGAAGACTTAATATGTTGTTTATTCTCATGTCAGTTTCCAAGGCAGGGGCAAAACTTAAGTGGCAACATTCTGAGGGAGTTAATCCTTTTTCAAACACAGATACCTCTGCTGATACAGACAAACGCAATGCAAAAAGAAAAAAGAGAGAGAGAAGCAGCAACCAGAGAGAAAAACTCTGCCTTCTGTCAACAGCACCCTCAGGCTAGAACACACAGCAAAGCATTAAGTGATTTAATCTCCAAAAGGCAGCGTTCTGGCATTAAGATTGCACTGGGGGCTCCGGGAGCCGGACCTACCTAGTGCAGTAGGAGATGGGTTTAGTGGCCCAGAAGCCCACATGCCCAGAAGAAAATCCAGGGCAGTACCAGGGCCTCTTGGGGCTTCCCCAGATCCAGGGTGCTGAAGGCTGCGGACCTGGGAGACCTTCCCCCTGACGGGCTTGGGGTCAGGCGCTGCACAGCTGAGGCTCCGCGTGGAAGCGCCCCCCTCCCCACCGGCTCTTTGGGGGATCCGTGCAAGAGGCGAGCGGAACCCTGATGCTAATCAGGCGGCTCTGAGTGAAGGGTGACGAGGGCCGGCGCCGGCTCCACTCTGTCCAGGCCCCGCCGTCCTGGCCACAGATCTCACTTAGCGATAAGCAGGGAGCTGCGCAGACGCCCCATACCCTGCTCCTGCATGCCCCCAGTGTGCTCAGGGAGAGGGGCTGAATGAACCCCCCACCCAGAGCCTCCTGGCAGAAGGGAAGTTGCCCGGTGGGGCTCCCCCAGGCTCATTCCTCGCCGCTAGAAGGAGACAGGGGTCCCCGTCCGCCCTCCCGCCAGCTCCTCCAGGCTGCCAGCCCCTCCTCCTGCTCCCTTGCTCGCTCATGCAGCTTTCATTAACTCCCTCGGCCGGCAATTTCCATCCATTTGACGACAGATTAGAAGTGGAATTCAAAAAGAAAGTCACTTGACCTCCCATAATGTGCTTCTCTTAATTACATTAAAGATTTTCAAATGTAGCCATACTGGGTTTGACAGGTAAGGTTTTAATTAACTTCAGGTGGCTACTTTTAAGTGCTCCCCGGACTGGTGCCGCAACGTTGGCGTCACCTACGCTCCCAACGTGGTTCTAATTTAAACGGCTAATTTTGACGCGAAGAAAAGATGAGAGCCCACCATGCGCCCCCCCCCACCCCCATTTCGGCGGGGGTGATTTCTAAATTAGGATTAATGCAGCAAGCTGAAGCATGGTTGGAGGTTTATTTTATGGAGGGTGGAGCAAGTAAATAACATTTATCCTTTGTATACGTCTGCATATAATTACAGTAAAGTTTTCTTGTGTGTTAAATTATACAAACTCTTCAAAAGTGGGTGCCTAATGTCTTTTTCTAAAGCTGTGTTATTATTTTGGTCAAAAGTTGTTTACATTAAACAAATTCAATTTACTAAACTTTGACATGTTTGCACAACTGCATATAATTTATGCTGGAAACCTGAATCATGACTTTCAAATGAACTTTCTTGATTCTAACTTGAACATTTAGGTGTGGTGGCTTGCTCGACCCAGGTCTGAGGAGCAAGTGGTTGACTTCATTTTCTTCTGCCAAAGTCTTTTCCATTCAGTAGATGGGTATTGAGTACGGACTTCGTCCAAGCATTATGCTGGGTGCTAAGGATATCAATGATGAGCAAAAAAGATACGGTCCCTGTCCTGAGGAGCTTATTTAAGGAAGCAGAGAAGCAAAATAACACATAAAGACATGTTAAATCACAAAGGTGACAAGGGCTAGGAAGGAGAGGTACAGGCTGCTTTGAGGATCCATAAAATAGCAGGATCTGGTCTGGTCTTGGAGGAAGGCTGCCCAGGGGAAGTGATAACAAGCTAAGAACTGGAGGATGAGAAGGACAAAGTTGATTTAGGTTACTGAGAGAAGGGATTTCAGATGTGGCATGCAGAGAAAAAAAAACAAAATGAACAAAGGCCCGTTGTGGATGGAGAATGACACTTCAGAGGGACTAAAAAGTAGATGAGTAGGGGGTAGGGACAGGGATGCTGATGGTATAAGATGGAGCTGGGCTGTAGGCAGTGGGATGAGGTGAAGCATGGTGGTGCAGGCTATGGTAGTGAATACACTCTTTACCCTATGTATTAGTCCATTTTGATGCTGCTGATAAAGACATACCTGAGACTGGGAAGAAAAAGAGATTTAATTCGACTTACAGTTCCACATGGCTGGGGAGGCCTCAGAATCATGGTGGGAGGCAAAGGGCACTTCTTACATGGCAGCGGCAAGAGAAAATGAGGAGGAAGCAAAAGTGGAAACCCCTGATAAAACCATCAGATCTCATGAGGCTTATTCACTATCACGAGAAGAGCATGGGAAAGACGGGGCCCCATCATTCAATTACCTCCCCGTGGGTCCCTCCCATAACATGTGGGAATTCTGAGAGATACAATTCAAGTTGAGATTTGGGTGGGGCCACAGCCAAACCCTGTCACCCTAAAAGCAAGACTAAGCCAGTGCAAGGTTTGAAGCAGGAGGATGACCTGATTTGTCTGTATTTTGCAAAGATCTGTTCAAGGAAGCAGAGTAGACTGCAAGGGGTCAAAAGCTGATGGAAGTAAGACTAGTTTGGGGACTATAATAGTCCAGAATTTTAAAAATGAAAGCCATGAACATGATATGGTTTGAATTTGGGTGACAGAAGTAAAGAACAAGAGTGGATGGCTTTGAGAAATGCTGAGGCAGTGTGGCAGGTAGAATGTGGAACAGATCGGCCAACTCAAGCTTCTGACTTGCATACCTGTAGGGGTGACAGTGCCATTTGCTGAGATCTCAGAGGTCCTTGAAGGAGGACTGGCCATGCACAGGAAGAACAAGAGGGACCTTTGAGGCGTCTGAGACATGTCAAGAAGGCAGAGGCAAATATTTCTCTGGTGGTCAGAGGACACATCCCTGAGTACTTTCAAACTGTGGCTGTCCCATGAAAACCTGGATGTGAATGAGGCCTCCAAGAAAGAAAGTACAGCCCGAGACGAAGAGAGGTCCTTGGGCTGAGTCCCAAGGTGTTTCAACATTGATCAGCTGGGTAAATGTAGATGAGCCTGTACAGAGATGGTGATGTAAGAGTGGCCAGGGAGGTGGTCAAAAGCCACATAGGTCACTAAAGCCAAGGAAAGACTGTGCTTCGAAAAAGAAGAGGTGAACAAAGGTTTATAGTACTAGCAAAAAGCCAAATAAGATATGCACTGAGAGGTCCATTGGATTTAGCAACATGGAGGGAATTAAGCTAATGGTAGAATAGTGGAGCCAAATTCTGCGCTGATACACACTGCACTGAATCGCTGAATAAGTTGAAGGTAACAAAATGGGGAGTACAGGAATAGACAGGTCTTTTGAAAATTTGACACTAAAGCAAAAAGAGAAAGAACTGAAGAGGGCTTCTGGTAGGGTGGTTGCTTAAAGGGAGAAGACAGAGTTCTCAAAACCTGATGGGAATTACTGTGTTGTAAGGGAGCACTGACTATGCAAGATAAAGAAGGAAAAAATGACTCTGTTTCCCCAGAGGACGAAAAAATTGATGGCATCTATCACATGGGTGGAGTAGCTAGCCTTCAATAGGGGGAAGACTTGATTGATTTTGCTGTATATTCCTGGAAAAGAAGATTTCTCTTGGGGATAGAGTGAACATTTCTTTTACCAGCAGACCAAAAGTGCCCAACAAGGATGGAGGCCTTGTCACTAATGCTATTAAGGTCATCAAACATCTTTCTTGCGCTTGATGCAAAGTGCTCACCACTTTGGAAGGAGGGGAGAAATACACAGCCCATGCGCAGGCACACTGTTATCCAGGAGATGTGCTCTAAGGCCCTACAGCACTGACATTAAGCTGGAGGTCATGACCTCTCAGCGAGGGAGAGCTACAACCAAGTTGAGATATGACTGTGGGGCATGTGAGTGAGGAGAAATGGCATTTTGGTCTGTTTTTCACATTTTCACATCTTTTCTATCCTTTCAGAAATTCGCTGCCCATTGTAGAACAAGTATCTACAATGAGTTCAGCTGTATTTGGCCTTGTGGGAAATGGAAAACAGAAAAAGTATCTTTGCATAAGTCACAGTGCACTTGAAGAAATAAGACAAATATACTCAATGTAGGAACAATCACTCAGCAAAAGTATTTCCAAAATTTAGCAGCAAGAGGCTGGTCAGGAAAGTCTTCTTGGAGGAGGCAGAACCTGAACTATGTGGTATGTTAATAGGATTTGGATAGGTGCTGAGCAGAGGGCAGGGCACTGAGCTCTATTTCCTATGCCACACTTAACATATTTTTGGAAGAATAAAAATATTTCATTGAATAAAAACAGAAAACACAGAAAAATAGGAAACAAAAATCATCTGTAATTGCAATAACCAGAGAAAAACATGATTAACATCTGGGTGATTTTCCTTCCATTCTTTTCTTTAATGATGTGTGTAGGGGTGTTTATCTTTGCACGTATATACACACATACCCTTGCACACCCAAATGGAATGTGAATCTGCCTGCCCTCATTGATTATGTCCCAGGTAGCTTTCTGGCTTTCTAATTGGAAGACTGATGGTTATTTTACCTTTCCACACATGCGTAATGTACATATGAAGTCCCTCCACAATCCCAGCTCCATTCACAACTACATCTAGTCAGGTCATGGAGGCACCTACAGCAGAGTTGGGCCGAGGGTAGCTGCCCCAGTGACTCTATGATGACAGATTTGTTCGCCGATCAATTGGATCAGAGACCCAATTACCAAAGACCACTTCCCTAGGTTAAGCAGTCCCTCTTTATTCCCAGGCTCTAGTAATCAGACATTTAAAGGCTAGTATTTCCCCAAGCTTGAAATAAGTGAGATAAATCTTCCATATTTCCATTTGGTATAAATTTCTTACTTCCCTAATTTCTGTTAGACTCCACAGTAATTCTGCCTTCTACTGTGGGTGACAAGGCTGCTCTTGAGATAAAGACTAAGTGATTCTGACTCAGTCTGTCTAGAAAACTCTTTGCCCCTAAGGGAAGAAATATCCCAGGACATGGTACCAGCAGGAACCAGAATTCAACACAAATGGTCTTGAATGCTGGTTGAAAACTTAGATGATGGGTTGATGGGTGCAGCAAACCACCATGGCACGTTTACACCTATGTAACAAACATGCACATTCTGCACATGTATCCCAGAACTTAAAGTTTCACAAAAAAGTAAAATAAAATAAAAAGAAAGGTCTATTTAAAGGACAGGGTCAGAGGAGCCACACAGGTATGTTGAGGCATCCAGAGACCAGCAAAAGGGGGAAGCTGTGAGGGCTAAAGGACCAAGGGGGAGGAAACAGTGTTAACAGAGACAGCGGAAACAGAGCCATGGAGGAAGAAGGTTCATTGCTCTCTTCTCCTGGGAGACAGAGGTAACTAGCACAGATGGGCTGCACAGAATCAAGAGCTGTTTTCACTGCATTCCAGAAACAGGGTGAGACAGGGCCTGGCCCAACCTCAAAAGGCCCAGACTGCCTTAAGTAGGAGGACTGAGGCCAAGACTAAGTAGGAGAGAACACAAGAACATCGTCTCTCTGCATCTAAGCCGCTGGTTCTGAAATGTGGTCCCTAGGTCAGCAGCCTCAGCATCACCTGGGAACTTGTGAGAAATGCAAATTCTCAGGCCCTACCCCAGACTTACTAAATCCCAAACTTTAGGGGTGAGGCCCAGAAATTTGTTTTACCAAGCCCTGCAAGCTGCAGTTTTAGAACCACTGCTCCAGGCTAATAGATTTCCCTTGAAAAGAGATCTAATGAGCAACACCTGGAAGAAGTGATCCAGCCCCAGCCAGAGCAACTGATCAGCCATGTGCAGGCCTCTACCTCCCCCACCCCTTCTAGAGAAGGCCTGGAATCTAGGAAGCAGGGAGGCTTTTGTGAAAGATCAATGCCTGAAATAAGCTCTGTGAAGCTCTCGTTGCGTCTGGGCAGAAATAGCTGCTCTGGGACTCCAGGGGGAATATTTTAGAATGATGGAGGCGCTGTTACCAGCAGCCCCTGCCTCTGAGGACTCTCTCCTCAGTCTGGCAAAAGAATGGACATGATCAGGACTCTGCTATTGCTAGCACCACTGGGAGATGATGTATTTCTGCTAATGGCACCTTCTGTCGCTACAGAGAAGCTGCTCCAGCTTCCTCTTGTCCCGCAGAGAATCTGGCAGCCTCCAGAAGATGTAATAGAGACCTGAGGACATTTGGAAGACGCACTACACAGGAAGGGTGTTTTCAATTTGATTTACCTTCCGTCTCCTACAAGGAGCAGATAGTTAGTACCACACTGCATCACAAGCCCAGCACGCACCAGGACTGGGCCTGGGGGAGAAAAAATAACCCCTGTCAGGTATACAAAGGGTGATCACATAGATGCTTGTGACGGACTCCTCCAAAGACACAATCACTGAGAATTAGCTTAAATACAGCAGGAGGGACTCAGGATAAAAATGGGGAAATGATACAGGGATATTTCATGGCTAAAGACCAACAGGGGTTCCCATCCACTGCCTGAAGAACCAATAATTTGTGAGTTCATTCTCCATACGCTATTGATAGGTTTACAGTGAAAGCAATTATTTGGGGGTTAGGTTAGACTTTAAGCTGTTAAGCATAGTGGGTGAAAATTTTCAGGAAGTTTAAGTTTCTACTGCAAAAATGGACCATACCATACCCCAAACTGGAACACTGCTTAAATGTCAGACGTACTCACATTTACTAACAGGCATTGGTAGCTATTAAAAGCAGAAGAATTATTTCAAATGGAGGTCATATCAGTGTTAACAAGGCTTGCGTGGACTCATTCGGCACATGCTTATTGGGCACTATACTAATAGTTTCCTGGGGCTGCTATAACAAATGACCACAAACTTGATGGCTTAAAACAGCACAAACTTGGCTGGACCTGGTGGCTCATGCCTATAATCCCAGCACTTTGGGAGGCTGAGGTGGGTGGATTACCTGAGGTCAGGAGTTTGAGACCAGCCTGGCCAACATGGCAGAACCCTGTCTCTACTAAAAATACAAAAATTAGCCGGGCATGGTGGCATGCGCCTGTAGTCCCAGCTACTCAGGAGGCTGAGACAGGAGAATTGCTTGAACTGGGGAGGCAGAGGTTGCAGTGAGCCAAGATCATGCCGCTGCACTCCAGCCTGGGCAACAGAGCAAGACTATCTCAAAAAAACAAAACAAAACAGCACAAATTTATTCCTTCCCAGTTCCGGAGGCCAGGTTTCTGAAATCAAGAAGTCTGCAGGGCCACACTCCCTCCAAAGGCTCTAGGGGAGAATCCATCCTTGCCGCTTCCAGTTGCTGGTGGCTTCAGGCATGTCTTGGCTTGGGGCTACATAACTCCAGTCTCTGCCTGTCTTCTCCTGGCCTTCTCCCCTGTGTCTCTGTGTCTGTTTCCCTGTCTCTTCTATTAAAAGAACTTTTCCTAGAATCGAGGGCTTACACTAATATAGGAAGATTTCATTTTGGACTTCTTAACTTAATTACATGTGTAAAGACTCTTCCCCCCCACCCCCCAAATAAGCCCACATTCACAGGTTCCAGGGGACCATATCTTCTGGGGTGGAAGGCACTCTTCAACCTATCACAGGCACTTATTGTGAAGATGGCATTGCTCTGGGAGTCTGGAATATACCCATGGAAAAAAACGGTAACGAAATCCTGCCTTTTGGAGTTTAAATTCTAGCAGGTAGAGACAGATGATAAATATTAAGCATAATATTTATGTCAATAAATATATAAGTCAAATGCAGTTTCTTAAAACGTGGTAAGTGTTCTGGAAAAAAGAAACACAGACCAAGATGAAGGAGGCCCTTGGCTGCCAAGGTGATATTGGTGGAGGGCAGTTTCCATTATTAAATACAGTGGTTTGGGTGAGGCTCATAGAAAAGGTAAGATTTCAGCAAAACCTAGAAAAGGTAATTAGCCAAGTGGATATCTGAGAGAAGACACTTGCAGGCAGAGAGAATGGCTAGAGCAAAGGCCTGGAGCAGGAGCTTGCTTTGTACATTCTAGAAACAGCAATGGAGCCAGTATGGTTGGGACAGATTGAGAAAGGGGAGTGCAGGAGAAAGGCAGCAGGGACATGAGACAGGGCAAGGCCTCCCAGTGAGATGGCAGCCAGAGGGGGGTTCCATATGGGGGGTGAGCCACAAACACGGCCCTTCGTCTTCTCATCCATCCACTCATCTATTCAAAAATTCAGCCCATTGTCATGACCCTGGCAAGAAAGAGAAGGCATATTCACCTGGGATTTTAAAAGAACAAATTCTTTACAGGGGTGTGGGCAAGATCAAAGGAACCCCGGGGACACTGAAGCACCAGAGCTACCCAGAGCAGATAGCCGTGGCCAAGACACACGGTGAGACCCAGAGCTGCAGGGAGACCCAGAGCTGCAGGGAGACCTAGAGCTGCAGGGAGACCCAGAGCTGCAGGGAGGGCAGCCTGGCATGAAAGGCTATAGTCCTGGATGGACACAGCCAGAACCACAAAGTTGCAGGTGGCAATGGGAGGGGAAGTAGCCCTACCTCTCCCTCATTGTCCAAACCCAACCAGAAGCCAGAGGGCAATGGAGCCTGGTGGTTGAAGGCATTATCACCCCAGGACACAGAGCAAGGGAAAGAAGAGTAAAACATAGGTCTGGGATGACAAATAGGGAGTAGGCCACACACCCAAGCATAGTGCCGTCCCTGGAGAGTCTGCAGAGGGTAGAAGAGCCATGGTCCTTCCCTGCTTGGGCCTTGCATTCTAGTGGTAGACAGACATTCAACAAACACACACAAACAAACACAACACACACAAACACACACAAAAGCTGGCAGATCCTGGAAGAAATTCCATCCATACTTGGAAGAAGGGAATGGTGTGGAATTTTTTTTTTTTTTTTAGATAGAGTCTCATTCTGTCACCCAGGCTGGAGTGCAGTGGCATGATCTCCATTCACTGCAACCTCCACCTCCCAGGTTCAAGCAATTCTCTGCCTCAGCCTCCCAAGTAGCTGGGATTCCAGGCGCCCACCACCACACCTGGCTAACTTTTGTATTTTTAGTAGAGGCAGGGTTTCATCATCTTGGCCAGGCTGGTCTTGAACTCCTGACCTCGTGATCCACCCGCCTCAGCCTCCCAAAGTGCTGGGATTACAGGCGTGAGCCACTATGTCTGGCCGGAATTTTTAACCTAAGGGCAGATACCAGTCTGCATCTTGCTGAGGCAGCCCAAACTCTGATAGAAAACACACAGTCATCCTGGCTTGAATAATTAAATAATCATGAGAGAGATATAAACTATCCATTACAATCTGGGAAAAAGGCTTGAATTTATGAATACATTACCTACCACAACTAAAAGGGGTGAAAATGTGTTCATCAACCTCAGGAAGTGTATGAGTAAGTCAGGCTCCATCATGCTGCCCTTGTTCAAAACCTGAGCACAGAACCCCCTGCTGGAAATGCCTTGGCAGCTCTGTGTGCTGCATCTACTGTGAGAGAACAGAGGCCCCCGGGATCAGAAGAGCAGTCAAGGGCAGTGAGTCATCCACTCTGCATGATGAGGAAACTCTCCCACTGGCAACTGGAAGCACTTCTTGTCATGCAAAACTCATGACTTTTCAAGAGGGCTCTTATTGTTAAAAACAACCTCTTTATCCTCAACTGCATTTTGCCATGTTGTATCTTCCATCCAAGAAGGTTATGAAATTGCTAGGAAAGTCTTAAAGGAGACCCAAAAAAATCATCCTCTTTAGAGAAGCTACAAAGGTTCCTACATGAAACTAGTAGAAAGATGACTTCCTTGCCTGTCTTACTTCAATAATGAAAAGTTAGGGCCCTCTGGGAAGACAAACTCAAAGAGCAATATGACAAAAATTATAGTCAAAGGAGATAGTAGGTTCCTTAAAACATTAAACGTAGAATTACCACATGACCCGGCAATTCCACTCCCAGGTATATACCCTAAAGAATGGAAAACAGGTACTCAAGCAGGACATGTTCAGGCCAGTGGCTCACATCTAATCCCAGCAATCTGGGAGGCCAAGGCGGGAGGACTGCTTGAACCCAAGAGTTAAAGGCCAGCCTGGGCAACAGAGGACCCTATCTCTACAAAAAATTTTTAAAAAATAGATAGGCATGGTGGTGCACACCTATAGTCCCAGCTACACAGGAGGCTGAGGTGGGAGAATAGCTTGAGCCCAGGTGTTTGAGGCTGCAGTGAACCATGATTGCGCCACTGCAGTACAGCTTGGGTGACAGAGTGAGACCCTGTCTCAAAACAAACAAACAAAAAAACAAAAGACATGGAACTGACCTAAATGGAAAAAGCAAATATGGTACATTTATACCATAGCATACTATGCAGCCATTAAAACAAATGAGATTATGTCCTTTGCAGCAACATGGATGGAGCTGGAGGCCATTATGCTAAGCAAACTAATGCACGAACAGAAAGCCAAATACTGCAGGTTCTCACTTATAAATGCGAGCTAAACAATGAGAATTCGCAAACACTAAGAGGGGAACAACAATGGGGCCTACTTAATGGTAGAGGGTGGGAAGAGGAAGAGGATCAGAAAAAATACCCATAGGGTATTGTGCTTATTACCTGGGTAACAATCTGTACACCAAACCCCACAACAACGCGGTTTACCTATGTAAAAAACCTGCACATCTAAAATAAAAGTTAAAAAAACAGATGCAATAAAAATATGTTCATAGTGGCACTATTCACAATAGTGAAAAGATGGAAACACCCAAACGTCCATCAAAGGATGAATGGATAAACAAAATGTGATATAGCCATACAAAGGAGTATTATTCAGTCATGAAAAGGAATGAAATACTGATACATGCTATGATGTGGATAATCTTGAAAACATTATGCTAAGTGAAAGAAGTCATTTACAAAAAGTCACATATTGTAAGACTCTATAAGAAATATATAAACTTCATAATCATATTTATAATATTTATAAGAAATAGATAAATCCATGGAGACAAAATGCAGATTGTTATTCCCCAAGGGCTGGAAGAGTGGGAAATGGGAGAAACTGCTTTGTGGGTTACGAGCTTGACTTTGGAACAATGGAAATGTTTAGAACTAGATAGAAAGGGCAGTCACACAACCCTGCGAATGTACTAAATGTCACTGAATTGTTCACTTCTAAATGTTCAATATGAATTTCATCTTAATACATTTTTTTTTTGAGACAGAGTCTCAATCTCGTTGCCCAGGCTGGAGTACAGCGGTGTGATCTAGGCTCACTGCAACCTCTGCCTCCCGGGTTCAAGTGATTCTCCTGCTTCAGCCTCCCAAGTAGCTGGGATTACATGTGTGTGGCACCACGCCTGGCTAATTCTGTGTTTTTAATAGAGACAGAGCTTCCCCATGTTGGTCAGGCTGTTCTCAAACTCCTGGCCTCAACTGATCCGCCTGCCTTGGCCTCCCAAAGTGTTGGGATTACAGGCATGAGCCACTGTGCCTGGCAATAAAATTTTTTAAAAGGAAAAGGGGATAATAAGGGTGAATACATGAATAGTCAGCAAATTCTGCCATACTAGAACTTTTGGTTCAAAAGATGTAAATTTAGAACTAACAACAAAAAGCCAGCCTTACTACCAGGTAACAAACCCAAGGACCTAATAAGACCAAGATGTGGCATAGAATGAAAATATAAATCAGTTCATAAAGGTACAGACTAGCACTTCTTAAACAATCAGTAGTTTTTGTTTATATTAAATTTCCTATCCTTCATAAATAGATACTTTTGTAATAAAATGAATTATTAGGACTTCTGGCTTCCTCTTTGAATATAAAAAGCTGGAGAGAATATCACTCATGCAATAAAAAAAAAGAGCTGGATAATTTGTAAAATTATTACTTTTCTTGATCCCAGCAGGGAACTGAACCAGTGGGAGGAAGATGGGGCCTCTGATGCCTGGATGTGAAGAATTCAGCTAAAATTTTCAATAGATTGCTGAAGGCCAACTATGTACTAGCATGAGAAAATAGAATCCCTGGAACTGCAGACACAGAGGGGTTCACAGCCACTCTTTTCCAAGGACCTCTCTATGTGCTCACAGAGAAAGAGTGGGGGCAGGACTAGGGTACAGGGAAAGCTACCCTCAATTCTACAGGAGGGAGCAGATGCTACTAATGGAAAGGCAGAGAGCTCTTCAAAATTACTTGTCCCTTAAAAGAACAAAAGCTTTAAATTGCTGGGAAAGAGGTAGCATACACTGTCATGCTGGGGGCATACTGTATCTGAGGAAAATGTTAAAGAATGAAAGACTTCAACCCCTGCAGAAGAACAGTAAGTGATCCTAGACCTGGACTATCAGAGGTCTCCTACAGCTGAGGCAGGACTCATCAATGAGCAAGACCCACCCATAAAGCAAAAGCCATTGATTGATGTTGGAGGCAGATAAGGGAGAGGGTCCCTGGAATCTCCGACCTGCCTGCACACTGGGAGAAAGGGCTGAAGCCACGGGAAGCTTGTGTCATGTGGAGGTGGGGAGGAGCCTGGCCTCTTCCGTTCCTGTGTATGGCCTGAAATCAATCTGTGAGATGGGGGCCTGTTAGCAGGAACCCCTCTTGCTTTCTGAGAGTTTTTTTTCTTTTTTCCTTTTTGCCCAATAGATTCCACATTCCCTTTACCCTTCAATATGTCTGTGTGCCTAACTTTTCCTGATCATGTGACAAGAACCTGGTTTTAGCTGAACTAAGGAGCAAAGTTCTGCAACACCATTACCAGAAATAAAGAAGAATATTACATAATGATGAAGAGGTCATTTATCAGGAACACATAACAATCCTAAATGTGTATGTACTTAACAACAGATCTTCAAAATACATAAAGCAAAAAATGATAAAACTGAAAGAAAAAAGGGAAAAATCTATGATTACAGTTGGAGACTTCATCACTCCTCTCTCACTAATCAATAAAGTAGACACTGATATAGAAGACCTGAACAACACTATCAACCAACCTGACCTAATTAACATTATGAAGCCTCATATGAAACAACAGTAAAAATACATATTATTTTCAAATACAAACAAAACAGTCACTAAAACAGACAGTATTCTGGGCAATAAAACAAACCTCAATAAATTTAACAGAATTTAAATAATACAAAGTGTGTTATCTAACAACACAAAATTATTATTATTACTATTGGTTTATTTATTATTTATTTCCTTTTTAACCACACAAAATTAAACTAGTAATGAATACAAAAAAGATATCTGGAATATTGCCAAGTATATGAAATTAACAAATTAAAGTCTAAAGAACACAGGTAAAAGGAAGTCATAAGGCAATGTGGAAAATATATTTTAATTGAATAAAACAAAATACATGGGATGCAGCTAAAGCAGGGCTCAGAGGGAAATTTATAGCACTAAAATGCTTACACTAGTAAAGAATATCAAGAATCTAGGTTTCTACCTTAAGAAAGTAGAAAAATAAAAGCAAATTAAATGCAAAGCCAAAAGAACAAATAAATTAAGACAGACAAAGCAGAGATGAATAAAATAAAAAAGAAAATTAAAAAAATTAATGAAACTGCCATTGCAAAATTATAGCTGAGATAGTGAAAGAGATCTGACCTAATCAACTCCTTCTTGCTTCTAACCTCCAGGCTGTCCTTGTTCATTCCTGGGCATAGGTCAAATTAACTTTGGGAGGAACTTAGTTTATATTAATAGTTTAACTTCAAAACAAAGACAATAACAGACCTTTCTTGAAACAAACCTCCTTCTTGCCTGGGGACTAGATGGCCTTTGTAGGTAGGACTAACATATTAGCTACAAGATTAGAAATTATGGTTTAGGAGTCATGTAGCTGGAAGGCACAAGATTCTGACCCTCCCAAAATTGCTCCTCAGGATAACATCACTATCGTAAAACCTAAGATCAATGCTTGAGATATTTTGCAGACCCTGCACTTGATGAATCAGCTAGCACCATCCAGATTGATAAACTGGCTCATCTGGTAGCCCTCACCCAGGAACTGACTCAATGCAAGAGGACAGCTTCACCTCCCTATTATTTCATCTCCAACCTGACCAATCAGCACTCCTGACTCACTGGGTTCTACCCACCAAATTGTCCTTAAACACTCTGATTCCTAAATGCTTGGAGAGACTGATTGGAGTAATAATAAAACTCCAGTCTCCCACACAGCTGGCTCTGGGTGAATAACTCTTTCTGTATTGCAATTGCCCATCTTGATAAATTGGCTCTGTCTAGGCAACAGGTAAGGTGAACCTGCTGGGCGGTTACATTAGTAGTACCAAAATCTAGTTCTTTAAAAAAAAGTCAATACAACTGATAGACTTCTAGTCAGATTTAATATGAAAAAAAAGAAGAAAGTACAAGTTGTCAATATCAGCAATGAAAGATGGGACGCTAATACAGATATTTAAGATATTAAAATGATAATGAAAGAATATTACAAACTTTAGGACCCTAAATTGTATTTAAATGGCATTGTCAAATCCCTTTGAAGACACCAATTACCAAATCTCATCCTAAAAGGAAATAGATAATCTGAATAGCCCTCTGCCAATTAAAGAAATTGTATTTGTAGTTAAAAATCTTCTGACAACTTTGACAACAAAAGTGATAAAAAACTACATGTCTAATGAATGTATCTATATTCATTAGATATATTTGCTAGTGAATTCTACCAAACATATAAGTAGAGAATAATACAAATTCTACACAAATGCTTCTAGAAAATAGGAGGGAACACTTTTAAATTCATTGTATAACGTATTACACACTGACACCAAAATCAGATAAAATATCACAAGAAAACTATAGACCAATATTAATTACAAACATAGATGAAGAAAATATGGCTAGAAAGGGGAAATAAGTTTTAGTGTTTTAGACCACTGTGGGATGACTATAGTTAACAATAATACATAGTTTTAAATAGCTAGAGAGGATATTGAATTTCCCCAATGCAAAGAAATGATAAATATGTGAGATAATAGATATGCTAATTATCCTCATCTGATCACTATACATTATATTTATTGAAATATCACAAAGTATCACATGAATAAGTACAATTAGTATCAGTTTAAAATTAAAATCTACAACAAAATATTAATAAATCAAATCTAGCAATATATTAATATTAAAAATATGTCATTACCAAGTAGGGTTTATCCTGGGAATGCAAGGCTGGTTCAATATTCAAAAATCAATCAATGAAATTCACCATATACACAGACTAAAGAAAATAAACTATATACTCACCTCAATGAATGCAGAAAAACATTTGACAAAATTCAACATTATTAATGATAAAAACTTTCAGCAAACTAGAGATAGAAGAAAACATCTTCAATCTGATAGAGGACGTTTGCAAAAAATCTATAGCTAACTTCATACTTAGTTGTGATAGCCTGGCTGTCTTCCTTTCAAGACTGGGATTAAGGCAAAGATATCTGCATGCATTATGCCTGTTTTACATAGTACTGTGGAATTGTGGTACTAAGTTACTGTGATTCTAAGTACTGTTGTTCTAAGTGGTAGAATAAGGCAATAAAAATAATTAAAGAATCTAAGAATTGAAACTGAGGAAATAAAACTGTCTCTATTTAAAAGCAACATGAAGCCGGGCACGGTGGCTCACGCCTGTAATCCCAGCACTTTGGGAGGCTGAGGCAGGCAGATTACCTGAGGTCAGGAGTTCAAGACCAGCCTGGCCAACATGGTGAAACCCCATCTCTACCAAAAATACAAAAATAAGCCAGGCATGGTGGCACATGCCTGTAATCTCAGCTACTCAGGAGGCTGAAGCAGGAGAATTGTTTGAGCCTGGGAGGCGGAGGTTGCAGTGAGCCAAGAGCATGCCACTGCACTCCAGCCTGGCCGACAGAGCAAGACTCTGTCTCAAATAAAATAAAATAAAATAAAATAAAATAAAAATAAAAGTAACATGATTGTCAATTTGAAAAAAAAAATCTCAATTTACAAAATCACTCAGAAATAATAAGTAAGCTTAGCAAAGTGAAACTAGCAATGAACAATTGGAAATTAAAATTTCGAAGCTCATACCATTTATAATAGCACAAAGCACATACAATATTTATGTACAAATCTAACAAAGTATGAGCAAGATTTATATGCTGAAAATTATAAAACAGATTAAAAGTTATAAAAAGATCTAAATTAATAGAGAGAGATACCATCTTCACAGACTCAATATTGTTAAGATGTCAATTCTCTCAAAAATGCACTACATAGTCAACAGAATCTGAAAGTCCCAGCAAAATTTTTTATAGAAATTAACAAGCTGATATTAAAATTTACAGGGAAATGCAAAAGAACTAGAATACCCAAAATAATTTGTCAAAAAAGTACAAAATCAGAGGACTTCTACTACTTGATTTCAAAATACACTATACAGTGATTAAGACAATGTAATACTGATGAAAGGATAGACACATAAATCAGTGAGATAGAATAGAGTCTAAAGATAGAGACCAATGTACATGGCCAATTAATTTTTGACAAAGATGAAAGGCAAGCAGGAGAAAGGCAGGCCTTTTCAACAAATGAAGCTGAAGCAGTTCAATATCTGTATACAAAAAAACAAAAACAACCCATGACCTATGCCTGGCACCATATACAAGTAATAACTCAAAGTGGATCATACACTTAAATGTAAAAACTAGAGCTATAAAATTTTGAAAATAAAACAAGAGAAAATCTTTATAATCTTTTATTAGCCAAGACTTGTTAGATACGCTACCAAAACTATGACTTATAAAAGAAAAATGTTGATAAAGTGGACTTTATCAAACTTTAAAACTTTTGCTCTTCAAAAGACACTGTTAATAAAATGAAAAAGGAAGATACAGACCGGGATAAAGTATTTTCAAAATACATATCTCAAAATGACTTATATCTAAATGATATAAAGAAATCTCAAAACTCAATATAAAAAATCAAACAACCCACTTTTTTTTTTTTTTTCTGAGACGGAGTCTCGCTGTCTCCCAGGCTGGAGTGCAGTGGCACGATCTCGGCTCACTGCAAGCTCCGCCTCCCGACAACCCACTTTTTTAAATGGACAAAAGATTTGAACCGACTTTAACCAAAGATGATGTGTGAATCCCAAGTAAGCATATGAAAAGGTACCCAACATCATTAGTCATTAAGAAAATGCAAATTATGACCACAATGGCATAGATATCATTACACATCTATTGGAAAGGCAAAAATTGAAACTAAAACTAAAACAAAAAGATATTGACAATATCAAGTTATATATAGCAAGTGAGTAGAACTGGAACATTCATACATTGCTGGAAGCAATGCAAAATGATACAGCCAGCCACTTTGAAAAACAGTCTGGCAATTTCTTACACAGTTAAACATACATGTATCACGAGACTTAGCAATCCAACTTCCAAGTAATTACCCAAAAGAAATGAAAACACGTCCACACACAAATTTCATGTTCACACAAAAATTCTATGCAAATGTTAATAGCAGCTTTATTCATAATCACCAAAATCTGGACTAACTGCCCCTCAGCTTATGAATGGATAAACAAATAGTAGTACATCCATATGTGAAAAACTGCTCGGCAATAAAAAAGAATGAACTACTGATACATTGCAACAATATAGATAGATCTTACATGCGTTATGATAAGTAAAAGAAGCCAGAGTCCAAACTATGGTATGATTCCATTTATTTCTCAAAAAGGCAACATTTTAGGATCAGAAATAGAATCAGCATTGCCAGGAAGTGGGGATGGTAGGGATGGTTGGGGATGGTTGACTACTAAGGTACAGGAGGTAATTTTCCAGAAAGGTAACTGTTCATTATCTTGATTGTTATGATAATTATCAGACATCTTTGTCCAGACTCTACACTTGGGTTAATTTCATGGAACTCTACACTAAGGGTAAATTTTACTATAAGTAAATTATTCCTCAAGAACCTTCAATAGATTCTATCTCAATTTTTCTCTTTGGTACCTTCTTGGAAAGAAACCTACTAAGTGAAAAAAGCCAGTGGAAGAATAATATGGACTGTGGCTTCCCAGTTATATGAAAAAATCTGGGCGGGCACTGGGGGGTGGTTAGGTGGTGAAATATGTGTAAAATATGGAATGATTTTAATAGTAGTTACTTCTGTTAATAAGCATTTAATATGTAATATTTTGTATTAAAAATAGTTTCTAAAATGAGTTACCAGATATGGGAATGTTACTTTCCTTTAAAAGTTTCTGAAGCCTTACTCGTAATTCCTGTACTTATATCATGGACCTGTATTAATTTTCATACTGGCACCAGTCCATGGACACCTTTGAGTAGTACTGATATAGATAATTTCCTGGAATAATGATGTAATATATATTTTCAAAATTAAAAATAATAATGAGCAATAGTGTAATATAAAATACTATGTAACTTTTATTAAATTCATCTATTCTATTTCACCATATGTAGTGTTCCTAAGCAACAAAAGGAGATCATAAAGAAACAAGTAAAATATAATCCTATTTATACTTCATAAATATATATCTTTCACATATACGGAAATAAAATTCTAACAGTTAATATATAAAAATACAAGTATAAGTAGTTGTTATTTCTAAATATAAGCTTTATTCCTTTCCTTGGTATTCATTTTCTAACTTATCTACAGTACACATGCATTACTTATATAATGAGAAAGAAAGGTCTCTATTTGGTAAGTTGAGAGAAAGATTTGGAGTCTATCGTTCCATCTCAGAAGCCAACCTCATCATACCTATAGGTTCTTTCAGCATATGTTAGCAGGGGTTCCTGGGAGACCAAAGTCTGGACCACCTATTCTGAACAGTGCTGCTCCTTTCAAACCCATATTTACTACCTTCCTACTGTGTGTGAAAGTACTACAGAGGACACAAAACTGTGTGGTACAGCCTGTGGCTTCAAATACCTCTGAGCATTTTGGCGGATAGCGTGGTAAGGGGGTATTGAGGTCCCCAGAGGCTCTATGGGAGAAGGAAACTCAAGATGAGCTATCAACACCACTGTTATTAATGAGAAGGTAACACAGCTGCAGATGTTCTAGACACAGGAACCAGCAGAAGCCAAAATATCAGGTGGGGGAACGTGAGACCTCAGCTTATTGTGACTATGATGCAGATATATGAGTGGCGTTGGGTTGGTTATTTGGAACTTGTCAGTGACCCTGGTGAGGGCCACATAAAGGCAGCAGCAGGGGACAAAGCCAGACAAGGTTTTAGCAATGTGGATATGATATGAGCAGTAAAGGAATCGGGACAAGACTGTTCTTAAGTCGGGCAATGAAGGAAAGGGAAAGATGGAGGAGAAGGAGGAGGAGAAGGAAAGGAGAATGGAAGAGGAGGTGGTAACAACATTCGACAAGGCTTGATTTTCTTTCTTTTATTTTTAAAGGATCAATGAAACTTCATCTTTCAGGTGGGAGAAGGAGCTAATGGTGAAGAAAGAGAGATATAAGGGACACAGTGAGTTTGTTCAGAAGGGAGAGTTCACAGTGGGAGGACTGATGAAGGTAAGGAGGGGAAGATCCTTTCTTTTTTTTTTTTTTGTCTATAATAACTCTCCAATTTGGCTGGGCATGGTGGCTTGCACCTGTAATCCCAACACTTTGGGAGAATCACTTGAGCTCAGGAGTTCAAGACCAGCCCGGCCAACATGGTGAAACCCCGTCTCTACTAAAAATACAAAAATTAGCTGGTCATGGTGGCGGGCGCCTGTAATCCCAGCTACTCGGGAGGCTGAGGCAGGAGAATCGCTTGAACCTGGGAGGCAGAGGTTGCAGTGAACCGAGATCATGTCACTGCACTCCAGCCTGGGCAACAAGAGCAAAACTCCATCTCAAAAAATAATAATAACAATAACTCTCCAACTTAGTTCATGGTGCCCTAACGGTCTCAGTAATGTTTTCCAGGGAGAGCCCACGGACCAAAAGAAATACCTGAGTTCCATTTTATGGAACAACTTAATAAGTATTTATGTCCTAATAACTCAATAGCCATTTGATAAAAAAATGCATAAATTGAAAGGAAACATTTTTATTTCATTCTTCAAGATTCACACTTGTTTACTAAAGGGATGTGTGTACCTATTGGGCCCTGCACAACTTCCTTAATATTGGAATTGTACATATTAGGCACTGCCATCCACATTTCCTATTCCATACACACTTGCTTTTAATCACAGCAACTACCGAAAAAAATTATGCAACTTTGCAAAGATACAGTATTATCCAAAGAATTGTAGCATGATCTAATGATGAAACTGTGAAACACCTGAGATGGTAATTCACATAGCGTCTGTCAGATGTTGCATGTGGTTGTATTGCCTTCAAACATTTAAAATATCCCGTATCATCCCTGTGAGTCTGCTGCAGCACTCTGGGGAGTCTCAGCACACAATTTGGGAATGACAGGGATAGAGGAAGAGAGATTGGATATAGGGCTTCCTAAGGTGAAGAGGAGGGATGTTTGAGCAGGCTCAGAAATAAGTATATCCAGGTCATCATTTGGTGGCTCTCCAACAGTTGCAGCCCTCAATTTACATTTGTAATTAGGATCTAAGCACCGGAAAGCTGTGCTAAGCAGATCCTGCACTGCATAGCCTACATAACTCAACACAATTTCAGTATTACCAGTTCTTACCACCCCAGCTTACCTGCAGGGTGCGAAAGTCCTCAGCTAATTTGTCCTATGATTCATTAACTAGGGGAAATCATTTAAGTGCACACTAGCTAAACATTGACCAGGGTCACCATTTAACCTTCAGGGGAAAATGACCCTCAACCATTTGCATACAGCCAAATTGTCCCACAGGCTTCAGAAATGCCAACAACCTCCTCCTGAAATATGCCCTAGGGTTACTTGGCTCAGGGCCAAAAGAGGCCAAGAAAGTGTCAAAAGCCAGTGAAAGGGGGATACTGGTGGCTCACATCTGTAATCCCAACACTTTGAAAGGCCAAGGCACCAGGATCCTTGAGGCCAGGAGTTCAAGACCAACTTGGGCAACATAGACCCCATCTATACAAAAAAATTTTTTTTTTAAATCACCCAGATGTGGTGGCACACACCTGTAGTCCCAGCTACTCAGGAGGCTGAGGCAGGAGGATCAACTGAGCCCAGGAGTTTGAGGTTACAATGAACCATGATCACCACTGTACTCTAGCCTGGGCAACAAAGAGAGACTCTACCTCTAAAAGAAGGGGTGGGAGTTTGGGGATGAAGGGAGTTGGTGGGAGGGGGATGCATGGCAGGGAGGAAGCACCAGGGAGGCAGATCCTGGGGTGGGATGAGAAAGACTGAGCACCCCCAAGTGACTATGAGTGAGCTGCCCAAGGGCCATGAGGACCACCAGGCTAACAAGAAGTGAGGTATACAATGCCCAGGCTGCAGTCTCTCCAGGATACCCCATTTACTTTCTGATCCTTCAATTAAAGACATGCAGGGGAACTGGACAAAGTGCAGAGATGGTATCAAAGGGAAGGAATCCATCTTTGTGAAGAAACGTTAATAGAGCCAAACTTCAGCCCAGAAAGAAGTCCATGCATAACTTACCATGTATACAAAGATTTTACACACAGACACACACACACACACACACACACACACACACACACACACACGTCCACCATGTTTATTTCAGGAGAACAGTTTGGGGTGGGCATAAGAGAGGATTTCTGAAACACCAAAGTGAGGGATGCTGACATTTATTGAGTACTCGCTATTTTACAACCCTTACAGCAGATATTATTTCACAGTTGAGAAGAGCAGGCTTACAGTGTTTACTAATTTGTTCAAAGTCATACAGCAAGTAAACAGCAGCAGTGAATCTACCCAAGTCCCTAAAGCTGGATTCCTTCTCCTTCTCTTACAAAGATGCAGTAATATTATATGTGGTAAAATACACATAACACAAAATTTACCATCTTAACCATTTCTAAATATATAGCTCAGTAGTGGTAAATACATTCACATTGTGGTACAGTCTCCAGAACTCTTCCTCTTCCAAAACCAAAACTCTGTACATGTGAAACAATAACTCCCCATTTCCTTCTCTTCCCAGCCCCTCACGACCCCTCTTCTACTGTCTCTCTGAATATAAGTAGAATCATATTTGTCTTTTTGTGAGTGTTTTATTTCACTTAGCACAATGGCTTCAAGTTTCATCCATGTTGTAGCATGTGTCAGAAGTGCCTTCATTTTTAGGGCTGAATAATATTCCACTGAATATACTGACCACATGTTGTTTCTCCATTCATCTGTCAATAGTTCCTTTGTTTCCACCTTTTGGCTATTGTGAATAATGCTGCTACGAACATGGGTGTTCAAATATCTCTTAGAGACTCTGCTTTCAACTCTTTGGGGTATACACTCAGAAGCAGAATTGCCGGATCATATAGTACAGTAATTCTACTTTTAATTTTTTTGAGGAACCACCATACTATTCCATAGCATTTTGCATTCCCACCAACAGCACACGAGGGTTCTAATTTCTCCACATCCTCTTAACCTCTCTTTTACACTGCTGCCCATAAGCAACCAAACAATGAAATGGCTGATGCAAAAACCACACATCCCCAACCCAAACCTAGCCACAGTGAAACTGGCTTCACGGCAGCTGCCCACCAACCCAGAGCAAGATAGAGCTGATGCTTGAGAAAACAAGCCTTCCCTCTAATCCAGAAAGGCAGTCCAGGCAATGGCGCCTGGGTCCTCACTGCTCGGAGGGGCTGCACCGACCCCTGAGACATTCCCCCATATACAGGAGGTGCTTAACAGTAGCCCACACTCCACTTTCCGCAGGTATCTCAGGACGTCTCTCCTCCTGGTGCTCAGTTTATTTTCCACTGCTGACATTGCCAGTGACTACATTGAAAAGCTGTGTCAATCGCTTCTTTGTCTGAGAGAAGGGCATTTATCATTTGCTGTTCTAAATCTGAAAACATCATAACCAACCCGTGGGCGTTGGCTCACGTTACACTCTGTAATTTCAGTTAGTGAGTTAATGGGAAAGATGCATTAACATTCTGTTTGTGGTTTAAAATACATATTTACACAGTTTGACTTTTCATATCCCCAAACTTATAATTTATCCATCATTATGTTCCCTATTCTCTACTCTTAAACATTAACTGCCCTTATTTAGGTGATGAAAGATGGGGAGGGAGGCTGTGGTTGTTCCGTGCATATGGAAAGCTGATCAGCTCAGAGCAGAGTGGTGCACTCGTGCCCAGTGGTCAGGGAAGGGAAAGGCTCTGCCGAAATCTCTCTGAGTTAATGGGTTCATGCAGAGCTGTCGCCTCCAAGCATAACAGACAAGGATGACTGAGCTGGAGTCTGCATCAAGTCTACCATTTTATGTCCAACGCCAGACAGAGCCATGATTCCAAGCCTGCATACCAAGAGCTCAGATTCTCCTCAAAGTGGTTGCGGAGGATCCCAGGACACTGGTAAACTTTCTACTTCATCTTCCTATGTGTTTTATTATAAAATGTCTTCATTTTTCACCAGTGCAATTAAGTTCCCCAACTCATTCTTAAGTCACATGTTTCTCTGTATTTCCATCGACAATCAAACAAAGGGAAGTGTTGCACAGTGGAAAGGATGCAGGCTTTGGAGTCAGACAGCCCTGGATTCAGACCCCAGCTCTGCCATTTACCAGCTGTAGGAACTTGAGTGATTCACTGAAATTCTCAGAGTCTCAGTGATTTCATCTGTCACAGGAGGTAGATGAAAGTGACCTCATGAACAATGGCCAGTGTTTGCATCATGTATCATAGCACTCTATTCATTACAACTAATTTGGTTCTGCTACAATCCTGTATAAAGAATGGCAAGAAAAGTGTCTTTTTCACCTCTAGCCTCAGTGTCTCGCTCAACGACTTCCATAGAGTAGGAACTTAATAAATGTTAGGTGTGTGTTGAATTAATCACACGGACAGAATTGTCATACTCAAACTAATGAGAACAATTAGGAGGGCTTTGTCTAGAAAGAAAGTCAAAGACTGAGAAGGGATCCCAACAGAATCAATAGAATCACAAAGAAGATAAATAAAGAAAAAACAATTGTTCATTCTAGAATATGGGAAGAAGAAGGAAATCTTGAAGCTTGAATGAAGAAATAATTTTAAGATGATGGAAGAATTATTTTATTAACTTTGTGGATTCATTGCCTCCAGAATCAGTACAAGCTAAAATAACCAATATATTTCAAAAAGGTTTAAGTAAACCCACCAACAACAAACCCATAAGGAATGGGCTGGCCATTAACAAAAAAGGTAATTAAGAAGTAAGCTGGGTGCCCAACAGATTTCCCTTTCGAGAGCCTGAGTTTCCCTCCTGCCTGGCTTCCCATCCAGATATTGTGAGTCAGTTTCTAATTCTCATTTCTTTCCCTTGGGGCCTTCCTGTTTATTGGCAACCAATTAAATTCCCACCCTCAAAGTCTCAATATATATTTTCTCCAAAAAGTAGACAAATTTTAAGATAACTCTCCTAGAGATAAATGAACCCCTCCTCAATAGGAAGAATGAAGCTTTGCTGGGACAAGGAAGATACTTTGAGGAGAGGAGGGAGAGCATTCCTCACTCAGCTCATTCCAGGGACAGAAGATGGTTACAGATAGAGCAGAAAGGAGCATCCTGTCCTCTCTGCTGTGACCATGACTGTCACCCAGCCTCGGCTAGATTACAGCAGTGATGGATCACTTTCCGCTCTGCCAGGTTTAGGTGCCACTGTTGGATAGTTCTGATGGTTAGAGTTCTTTTTGTGTGTCTGTGAGACTTTGTGTGTCTTGCTGTCACCCAGGCTGGAGTGCAGTGGTATAATCACGGCTCACTGTAGCCTCAACCTCCCGGGTTCAAGTGATACTCCCACCTGAGCCTCCCAAGTAGCTGGGACTATAGGTACACCTTGTCCAGATAATTTTTTGTTTGTTTGTTTTGTAGAGACAGGGTCTGCATGTTGCCCAGGCTGGTCTTGAACTCCCAGGCTCAAGCAATCCTTCCACTCTAGCCTCCCAAAGTGCTGGTATAACAGGTGTGAGCCACCACATTTGGCCAGTTAAGAGTTCTTGCTATATTTTCAAACACTGAGGAAATCAAAGTTTGTGTCACTGAGCAATGGAATAATGATTGCTGGTTTATCTTTTCCTTCCTTTTGGGCCCCTCTATTTGCAGTTCATTGGTCCTGTTTTTGGCCTACAGAGTAGGACAACAGACACGGATCCCTCTTCCACATGAAGCCCTTCCAATATTGAACACAGTACCTCTGGCATCCCCCTTAGCTCTTCATTCTCCAGGCTAAATTCCCATCTCTCTCTACAGCTACACTGAGGACCTGGCTTTGAGGGACCCCAATCACCCTCCCAAGATGATCCTGTATGACTAACCTTGCTGGGTAGATGGAAATTTTTGTCTCTCTTGGGATAATTACCAGCATAGGGTGTGGTATGCAAAAGCTTACGCTATGCAGAAGTTATAGAGAACACAAAGGCATAAAATTAATGTCAGGGCTTCTAGGAACCTCAGAGATAACCCAGTCCCCACTCTGTTTGTAGAGAATCTGAAAGTCGCAGAACAAGTAAGTGGCAAAACCTGGTCAAAAGCCTTGGCCCTACAATTCCTAGGACAGAACAAACAGTTCTGCCCTACACTGCTTCCTCGGATGAAGACAGCTAGTACCTGACCTCTGTTTTCCCTGCTACAACGAGACTACCCCTGTGTAATTCCTCTACCTGACACTGGGGTGCACTGGCATGCCACCCGCCCCACCAGGCAGATCTGAATGTCTGCCAATGCTGGGGATGATTTACAGGGCCTGTCTGGGAGATGATTTTCCAAGAAAACACTCCATATAATTGGCCTTTGGTATATCTCCTCAGTGGTGATTTATTTCTGTCGGACAAGCCAAAGAACGTCTCTCCCCACCTCTGCAAAGCCTCCGGTCCCTGGCCTCAAAGTTCAGCAAGTTTCTGGCCAGAGAATGTTCTTCCTCTCCACCCACTCAGCCCTTTTTTCTGTGGTTTGCAATCTCATTTTGCTAAATATACTGAGATGCCCTGTACACAGCGGTCTGCAGTTCTAGAATGTGCCTGACTTCCTTTGGCTGGGAGCATCACTCATAAATCACTGTGCTAGCAGCTGCCATCCATTTATATCCATGACCTATCAGGACTGAAAGCTCAAGTTCTTCCACGGTGATGCCTTTTTCATTCGGGCCCCTCCACGAGAGTAAAACGCTCTCTCTCCCACACATATACACATGAGTATTTAGCTGTGTGGTAGCCACAGAGAAGGGACTTGGTGAACACTTACTGAATAGAGTGTATAGAAATATTCAAAGAGTAACTTTAAACTTGGCCACTTACTTACGAGTGTTGACTGACAATTGCATGCCTAAGCTAAACTGCTCTGAATACAAACCTGAATGATGAGTTTGATGAAGAACATTCTCAGTGGAGGAAACTAGGGCTTGTTTGAAGAAATAAACAGTGAATTTTCCCAGCCTTGCAAACAGCTTCTGACATTTACCAGCCCACAGCTGCTTTTTACCAGCCCCATTGACATAGCCATTCCCTAGAAGTCCCTGAAGGATTTCCAGAGGTAAGACAATCCCAGAGAAGGAAAGGCAGAAAGTATGGGTTGGTGAGAGTGAACTCTTTCCCAAAAGTTGGGAGGGGTGCTCCAGTTAAACTCACCCCACTTAGCAGGCGCCCCAGCAAGGAAGTGCTCTGAACTCACGAAGTAACTGGGCTTTCCTGAGAATGGGGTAAGGCGAGGAACTAGAAAAAAATCAGAATATGTGTTCACTGGTCCCCAGAAGAGAAATTTGGTTTTATGCATGTCAAGGGAAGTCTTTAAACTTGAGAAGACTATAAAATTGGGCGGGGGGTGGTGCAGAAGAGTGAAGCATGAGAAGGAGGAGGTGGGAGGAGTTGGTGACTGATCCCCATTGCTGGGAACAGCTGCTGGGGCAGATGCTTGTGTTTTGTCAAATATTCCTCTGTCTATAGAGGCTATCTGCAGGTGAAATCCTTCATGAGGAAGAGGATGGGGGTGTGAGTGTGAGGGAGAGCGGGGAGGAAGCCAGGATCACTAGAAAAGATGGCTATGTTTAGCTTACATGGAAACAAACACCTGAGGCCAAGTCTTCCCTGCAGACCAGGACTTTCCAGGCAGGACTGTCCTCCCTTGGCTGTCCCAGGCAGACCAACATCCCACAGCATTCTGCAGCAAGACGCTGGGAGACAGGAAAGAGACCGACTCTCCAAGGACACAGGGTCAGGGTAAGGCTTAGAGAAAGGAAAGTCACCATCCCTGTGAGGTAGGGGCCAGGGGAAAGTAAAGCGACCCCTCCCTCCACCCCAGCCCCAGCCAGGCCATTCTTCAGGAGTGTGTGGGGCGAGCAGACTTGATCTTGGCTGGTGAAAGAGGCTTTCTCCTCCCAGCTGCTCCAGGGGACTGCTGGAAAATACAGCGCAAGATTGCATTACCAATTTCTGTTGGCCTAACACAATGAAAACCCACATCTAATTTGCTGTCCAGTATCCCCCAGGTCCCCTTCAGCATTTACTGCTTTCCAAATATCTTCCTCCCATTGAATATCTGTGTTTCGGATTATTTGTCCCCAGATGTATTAGGATGCATTTATTGCAGCTGAATCTCATCTAGTGATTTCCTGTCCATATGCCTGACAGCTCCAGGTCCCTTTATGTCACGTCTCTGTCATTGGTGGGGTTTGTAATACCTCTCCATTTAGGGGAAAATACAGATATAATGAGCATATTCTTTACAACCTTCTCTAGGTTATTAACAAGGATGCAGAGTATAACTGAAGCAAAAATCCCAGTGGCACCCCAGGCCCTCTGAATCCCATCCCGCATCTCTCTCCAGTGCTGCAATGAAGTGGTCCATTCAGTCCACTGAAAGAGCTTGTGCTGAGTTCCTTCAGTCACGAAATAGGCAAAAGGACCCTTGGTCCAGTGTAATGAAGATGACATTGAGCAAGGACCTAAGAGAAGTAAATTGTAGTCCCACCCCTGCTATTAATGAGCAATGTGACCTTGAGTAAGCCACTTCTATAGTCACATGGCTAATTGTGAATAGGTTCACTGTTAGTCCTCATAAAAGATCAAATGAAGATATTAATAATTTTGATAATAATGTCTTAACAGTGGCTAATTTTTACTAACCTACTACTAAGTGCCAGATACTTTACATATATCATTTTTAACCTTCAACATAAACCTATGAAGTTAAGTTTCAAAGCTGCATTTGCCAACGAGAAAACTGAACCAAAAGAATTCAAAGGACTTGCCAAAGGTCACAATGATTGAAAACTATGACTTGAACCAAATATCTTTCTGGTTTGAAAAAACATAATATGGCTGGGCACAGTGGCTCACGCCTATATTCCCAGTACTTTGGGAGGCCAAGGTGGGCAGATTACTTGAGGTCAGGAGTTCAAGACCAGCCTGGCCAACATGGTAAAACCCTGACTCTACAAAAAAAAAAAAAAAAAAAAAAAAAAAAAAATTAGCTGGGCGCAGTGGCACATACCCATAACCCCAGCTACCTGGGAGGCTGAGGCAGGAGAATTGCTTGAACTCGGGAGGCAGAGGTTGTGGTAAGCCAAGATCACACCACTGTACTCCAGCCTGGGTGACAGAGCAAGACTCCGTCTCAAATAAATAAATAAATAAATAGAGAAAAGAAAAGAAAAGAAAAAACATAATATTCCTACTGAGCCAAGTCCCTTGGATACTAAGGAAGAGGTGGTATCTCAGTTAATGGCTTCTTCTCCAACAAATTGTTGTGCCTTTCCCTAGCCACTTGTCCACACAGTCTTCCTCCGTTCATGAATGTTGCTCAGGAGCCCAAAGCCCTCTGCTAGAAAGAAAGGCTCAAGTACCCTGAGAGGTTCACCACCAAGCTTCATATTTAAGTAAGTAGGTGCTACCAGGAAGGGTTCATGGTCAAATGAGCTTGGGAAACAAACGGTTAAACAAGGTTCAACCAACTTCTTCCCCACAAGATGCACTAGAGCCCCTTTTTTTTTTTTTTTTTGAGATGCAGTCTAGCTCTGTTGCCCAGGCTGGAGTGCAATGGCGCGATCTCAGCTCACTGCAACCTTCGCCTGTCGGGTTCAAGTGATTCTCCTGCCTCAACCTCCTGAGTAGCTGGAATTACAGGCTCACGCCACCACATCTGGCTAATTTTTTGTTTGTTTTTTTAGTAGAGACGGGGTTTCACCATGTTGGCCAGGCTGGTCTCGAACTCCTGATCTCAGGTGATCCACCCACCTTGGCCTCCCAAAGTGCTGGAATTAGAGGCGTGAGCCACTGTGCCAAGCCATGAAGTGACTTTATTTTATACCTATGTTATAAAATTATTTAGGTGTGGTGAGGCCAACAGATCAGGGGATGACTGCCATTGAAAACATAGCTTACTCTAGTTCCCAAGAGGAGGGGGCATGCCATGTTACACAGGGCCCCACATGGAAGCATCTGGGTAGGCAACAAGGCAGAAGGAGGCAGTAAAGTCTTGACTGTGGTGGTTCTGGGACGAGATGGGCCAGGCAAGGTAAGCAGAAGTAGGACTGGCTGTCTTGACTGGTCCTGGGATGATTAGGGCAGAGGAATTCTGTCTCCTAGAGTGTAGGAGCCAGAGAGAGGAAGTGGTTCACAGCAGGGGCTCTGGATTTGTTCCTTTGCATATCAAAGGCACACCTCTAAGTGAGTCATTTGCAATCTCTAAGAATTGGCTAGCCCTGGGAAGGACAGTCTTTCCCTGGTTAGCCCAGCCCCAGATGTCAGTTTATCAAAAGCACAGGAAACAAGCACATGTAGTCAATGCAATCTAGGTCATGTTGCCATGCATCCACTGAATCCCTGCTTCTAATTGTTGCTCAGTACTCCAAGGCATCTACCACATTCTACCTTCCAATCTCCTGGAATTTCCTTCAACTCAAAGCTGGCTTCAACTTTCTACCACTACAAATAATACATTAATGAAAATCCTCCTACGAACTTCCTTATGGACCTATGCAAGAATTTCATCGGGATATTTATCTTAGAGTGGACTTGCTGGGCACAGGATATGAGTATATTAATTCAGCTCAATGAAGCCAGCCTGTACTCCAGAATTACTGTAACTCTACCAGTAGGGCATGAGGGTTCCTATAACCCCACATCCCACTAACGTTTGCCATTACCTGGTTTTTCAATTATCCCAGCCTAATGGGTACAAGGTGATCATTTATTCTTATATTAATTTACATTTCTCTGATTTCTCCAAAGTCTGATCTCATTCAGCTTTATTCCTTGTAACAACTCAATACAGGTTTCTAAGCCAATTCTCGGTGAGCAATAAACATCTAATGGAAAATGCTAGACTTATTTCCTTTGAGTCACAGGTACAAAGGCTGCCTAGTTCTCGCTCCTCCCACCAGAAACCCACGGGCAAAAGCACTAACTACAACAGATACAAATAAATCTGTTTCCTGATTTTGTGGATGATGCAACCATTTAGAAGACAAACCTTGCCATGTTGGACAGCTCACCCCAAAGTGACAGGCAGGGAAATCAAGCCTGAGGCAAGGGTACAATTCAAATATCACACTTTCTAGGTCAACTTAGTACAGTCATCCCTTGATAGACAAGGGGAATTGGCTTGAGGGCCCCCTGCGTATACACAGATCCACGCATAGTCAAGTCCCACAGTTGGCCCTATGGAATATGAAAAGTTGGTGTTCCATATACATGGGTTTGGCATCCCGAGAATTTCAATTTTTGATCTTCATTTGGTTGAAAAAAATCCTCAGGTAGGTGAATCTGTGCAGTCCTAAACCTGTGTTGTTTGAGAGTCAACTGTAGTTAGAGGCTGAAGGATGAGGATTTGGAATTGCAAAGAACTACCTCCTACCCAAGCTACTTGGTTCTATGGCACCGAAATCTGAAACTAAGAAGAGATATTGTCTATTAAATGTGAGCCAATCAAAGCAGAAATCTATACAACAAAGTAAGGGATAGTGTTTAATATATGTATTACATAACATGCATATATAGCTATATAGTAAGTATATAAACATATAATGTGCTCATCTGGTAAGCATGTATGTGTGTACATACACACATTTTATATACATGTGTGTTTCTATAATTTTTCTCCCTGTCAAATAAACTACAAACTACTTTATAAGTTTTACTCAGTTTAGTCCCTGTTTTCAGATCCAGAAGAGCAGAATACCACTTGTATAGGTGAATTTTCTTTCATCTCATCTTAGGCAATTAGTAGGATTAAAAAGAAAGCAAAAACCTAAAACATTAATACAAATAAACATGTTACGTAAAACATATGTCATCCTAAACACAATCTGTGGCTATATCTGATTTTATATAAATGTACACACCACAGGCAATCCAATAGTGTTACTTTCACTTATTTTTGAGATGGAGTCTCATTCTGTCACCCAGCTTGGAGTGCAGTGGTGTGATCATGGCTCACTGCAGCCTCAACCTCCCCAGGCTCAGCCTCCTGAGCAGCTGGGACTACAGGCACCACCACACCCGGCTAATTTTTGTATTTTTTATAGATAGGATTTTGCCATGTTTCCCAGGCTTTTCTTGAACTCCTGGGCTCAAACAATCCTCCCACCTTGGCCTCCCAAAGTGCTGGGATTACAGGCATGAGTCACCGCATCCTGCCAGATACTTTCATTGGAAAAAAAGAACAAGTGGTAAGTGTGACTACTGCTAACTAGAAGCCAATACAAAATCTGATGCTGAATGCACTGGGAAACATAAAGGTGTCACCAGGGCCATTCCAGATATTTCTCTCACAACTTTATTTTCTTTTCTGCCTGCAATAAGGAAGTCTTTAGTGAAAGCGCTGAACACAAACTGTCTGTTACAGCCGTGCTTCCCACCAAGGGCTCTTGGATGGAGGTGTCAAGGTGTGAAGACACAGCCCACCTAGAGAGGAGAGACTGCTGACCTGCTAACTGAAAATATAAGCAAGCCCTGACATGCCACAGGCCGTCGGAAGAGACATTTGCTTTTGAGTACCCAGCCTATTCTACTCTCTGACTTATGTAGATGGGACAAATGGTGCCCTGGGCACACTCATCTACACATCAGCCTGAATTAGCTAGTAAATCACAACTGCAGTAGCTAATAACAGCCATAAAGCCTTTTGAATGTTACAAGGTGTTTATAATGGGCAACTCACTATGATTTATATAAAAAACATGAGTCAGCTCCTGAGACAAAGCTGATATGTGGACAGTGGCCTTGTGGTGTGACCTCTAGCAAGCATCCACATAAATTGCAGAATTGCAGAATTTCCCTCTGGTCCAAGGCTGGCCACTGTCTCATACACATATTTTCAGAATAACACTTGGTGAGAGAACTGAGTGCTGGTGCATTGGGTCTTCCCTGGTAATTGGCCATGGGGAAGAAGGTGACTGTCTCAGTATAGCTCAGTGTAGTAGAAGATGCTAAATACTAAGGGATAATATAGGACCATCCCTAAGTTTGGCCCCATGGGGTAAACAGAAGGTAGATGAGATACATTCCTTGCCTTCTCACTTGGGAAAGCAAGATGGATATATTCAAATATTTGAAAATATAATATGGCTTAAAGATGTAGTTAAAGGAAAGCTCTGGGGTCTGGGAATTCTGAAAGGGGGCTTCATAGAGGACAGAATCTGAGTTGGGCACCGAAGGATTGATGAGAGAAAGAAGGTGAGATATATATTCCCTAGAAGGTAGATGAGTGAGTGAAGAGATTGGGCGAACAATAATGAAGGCATATCTATTTCGAAGGGAAGGGAGGAGGAGGAGGAAGAAGAACTTGAGACATACACTGATCTAGTTAAACTGAAAAAATACACTGCAGAACAGTGGGAAATGAGGCCAGAAATCACAAAAGAAAACTTAGAGCTGGCAGCAAATGACCACGGATACCCCAGACAGAAGGCTCTATGCTATGAAGTTTACCAAATTCCTGGCAGGTAAGGACCAACACACCTAAAAAGACTGGCAAGATGAAGGCAGGTCTCTTCCCTTACTCCTAACTGTTATAAAAGCTGACATGAAATGACTTATCCAGAGCATTCTTTTTAAGAACAAAAAATCCATCTCCATCATTATCAGATGATTCTAGACTAGAGCCATGGTCTAGCTTCTGATGTCCTGGAAGGAAATACTTTCACTACTTTTGCTTATTTTCTTGTTTCTTTTCCATACTTCTTGGGCCTTTCCCTTTGGTTTAAATATTTTGATGTAAGGACTTTCTTTTTATAATGGGATGTTGGTCTTCTGGTATCCATCTAATGTGGGGCTCCAAGCCTTTTTCCAAACTGCCTCCAACTCAATGAGACTTTATTGTTGAAAGCCACATAGGGCTCTTCACACAAGGACTTCCATACATCTGAAGAGACCCACCCCCACTCCCCCTGGCTGGGCTGTGTTTTCCCTGAGGAGCCCATGTGGTCAGCCTGGAGGGAGGCAGATGACATGCATACTGCCCATTCACCCAGAAGTGTGCAAAACTGCACACCCAACTCTCTATCATTCTTCCCTCCACAGTCAGATCAAACGGCAATCTAAAAAGCCCTTTGAAGAATTCTGTTCATTCCATTCTAACAGAATGTGACAATAAAAAGGGAATAAGAGTACTATAAGGCACAAAGGTCAAATTATTTAAAATATTCAGTCTATAACATTTGTAGACTTCATCAGGCACACAAAGGAGAAAAAATTTGTAGGCACCCAAGCAACTGTAGAAGAGGTCAGCATAGTGAGACAGAGGAAAGACTTGAGTCCATCTTCCCTAGAAAGTGCTCCCTGTGAAGGCTAAGGCTGTTTTAGTTCCTTTTCTACCCAAATCCTTCCAAGGACCCTGATAAACAAAGTAAATATAAGATGGATGAATGAGTGGGAAGAAGAATGGAAAAACTGAGGCTTGGTGTTAATGGGTAGAAACTAGCCAATGGGTGAGAAGAAAGACCTTCCAAAAAGAATCACCTGAAATCCATTTTTTTTGTTTGTTTGTTTTTGTTTTTGAGACAGAATCTCGCTCTGTCGCCCAGGCTGGAGTGCATGGCGCGATCTCAGCTCACTGCAAGCTCTGCCTCCTGGGTTCACGCCATTCTCCTGCCTCAGCCTCCCAAGTAGCTGGGGCTACAAGCACCTACCACCATGTCCGGCTAATTTTTTTGTATTTTTAGTAGAGACGGGGTTTCACCGTGTTAGCCAGGATGGTCTCGATCTCCTGACCTCATGATCCACCCGTCTCAGCTTCCCAAAGTGCTGGGATTACAGGCATGAGCCACCGCACCCAGCCCTGAAATTCCTTTTAAGCTGTTTGGTGGAATGCAAAGAGAGGCAGATGCCTCTATGTATTAATTCCCTCATCTTCTAGATAAATATCCTAAATCACCTCATCTTGGTTCTCCTCCTTCCAGTAATAACAGGTCCAATAATTTTCTCAAAAGCTGGGAATTTCTGGTGCTGCCCTTCCATTATGGAACGTCTGTGCTTAAATAGCTGAAGGTCACCTGTGTAAACACGTGTTCAAGAGTTAATATTGGCCGGGAGCCGTGGCTCATGTCTGTAATCCCAGCACTTTGGGAGGCCGAGACGGGCAGATCACGAGGTCAGGAGATCGAGACCATCCTGGCTAACACAGTGAAAACACGTCTCTACTAAAAATACAAAAAATTAGCCGGACTCGTGGTGGACGCCTGTAGTCCCAGCTACTTGGGAGGCTGAGGCAGGAGAATAGCCTGAACCCGGGAGGCAGAACTTGCAGTGAGCTGAGATCACACCACTGCAATACAGCCTGGGCGACAGAGCGAGACTCCATCTCAAAAAAAAAAAAAAAAAAAAAAAAAAAAAAAAAAAATGTTAATATTGCAGTTAGGGGTAGGAATGAGAATACAAGTTGAATATATCCAGGCCAAGTATACCAGAGGGCATGGCCTGAGAAATGACCTAAACCATCTTCTTTCATAGCTTGAGAATACTAATGGTGGGCTTGGGATATTTCATTTTCATAGATGGCCTGAAAATGCCCCAATCTTGAGGCTTCAGGTATGTTACCTTCCAGCTAAACCTCTGGGTGACAATGTCGTTGCTGCTTGGCAAATCTAAAAAGTACCCTATTTCCTGAAAAGCACAGGATTTGAGCAGCTTCTTCTGCCCTCATCACTTCAAATTATTTTTAAGGTTCCAGCAGAATTCATCCTAATTTTGAAACTCAAATGATAAGATCATAAATAAATGGTGACCTCCCAGAAAACACTGAGAAACTATGACCTTGGAAACTCTACTTCCTTCCTTCTAGCATGACCATGTCCCTGATAGAGAAGTGATCTGTCTCAGTTCATTTTAAAAATATGAATATTTTTCTTTCCCAGTGGTCATGGATAGCATAAATTGCCATTAGCCATGACAAAGACAGATAACCTGCCCTACAGGAAAGAGATAGCAGAAAGGCTGAATTCATTGTCATTTTCCTATAGCTTGAAGATCTCCAGCTGTCTCTAGTGCATCCAAAATTTCAGCCCTCTAGAAAGCTTGTTTTGAATAAAAGTGAAGCAAAATATACTTTTTCTCTTAAAAGACTGTCTGGTCGCCATCACCTCTAAGTAGGAGGATGGTGCCTGGCTCTGAAGCTCAAGCATGGTCAACAGAACCAGGACATGAATATGTCATCTCTATTCCTCCCTTCCTTCCTGGCCCTGGTGCTGCATCCTCAGCCTATGATTTGGGATGGGAACTCCTGGCCCTGGGGCATCTTCTGCCATGTATATAAAACCAAGAACTGGTGGTTTGAAGATGAGAGCTGTGGCAAGCTAGACATATAGGACAAACATTGTTTCGAGGCCATGTCCCTGACTCTCAGAAGTGTGGAGAAGTCCAGGTAACGTGGAGCACAAAGAAAAGTAAACCCTGGTCCCAAACTAGGTCAAGTCAACATCATCTTCATCAGATGGATTCAGGAACTTTTGGAGGTTAACCATGTTCTTTCTATTCCTGGCTATAAATGCAACATATTTGTTTGTTGTCTGCCCGACCCTTGAAAGAGCTGCCATTTCCATTTTGTGCTTCCTGAGGGAACTTTAGGGACCTGGCATTGGTTGATGACTCCAGCTCTCCTTTCCTGAATCATGTCATCTCCTGAGCCCTGAAATACCCAGAATGGCCAGGTTAGAGATCATGTAACAACACAGCACTGGGCCAAGAGGAGGCCCAAGTTCGATCTCACTTTCACTTTTCTCTGGAATTGTCAGTGAATCCCACAACTCCCCCATCTTAGTGCTCTTTATTTGTAAAATAAGGCTCCACTTCATCTGTCTTATCCTCTCATGAGGATAAAATGAGATCACGTGCGTGACAATGCTTCCCACTCTCTATCTTCACATTCAGGATGCTTACATGAAAATAATTACAAAATATGCAGAAAAATTAAAAGGCAAAAAAGAAGAAAGAGAAAGAGAGAGGAGGAGATACAAAGTTGTTAAGTCTTTTTTTTTTTTTTTTTTTTTTTGAGATGGAGTCTCGCTCTGTCGCCCAGGCTGGAGTGCAGTGGCATGGCGGTCTCGGCTCATTGCAAGCTCCGCCTCCTGGGTTCACGCCATTCTCCTGCCTCAGCCTCCCAAGTAGCTGGGACTACAGGCACCCGCCACCACGTCCAGCTAATTTTATGTATTTTTAGTAGAGACGGGTTTTCACCGTGTTAGCCAGGATGGTCTTGATCTCCCGACCTCGTGACCCACCCACCTCGGCCTCCCAAAGTGCTGGGATTACAGGCATGAGCCACCGCGCCCAGCCCAAAGTTATTAAGTCTTTATTGGGCACGAAGCCCTGGAATAAGTACTTTACAGTATATTCATTATTTCCTTTAATCCCTTAATCCAGCAACACTTTCAGGTATTTATTTTTATTAACCTCATTTTAAAGATGAGGTAACTAAGGCAGACACTCATTTACTCAAAATCCCATAGCCAATGGGAGAGTGGGGATTTGAATCCAGGTTGAACCCTAAAATCTGGGTCCTTCAGTGTACCACCACAGTAGGCCAGATACTGGACCCCTACCTGACCAAGATGCCAGCTGAGGGACTGTGCACCATCCAGGTCACAAAACCATAGGGAGACCCTCAGAGTTCATCTGCATCACTGTACCCATTTTACAGATGAGCAATCTGAGCCCTGGAGGACAAACTAGACTTGCCCAAGGGTTTACAGTAGCTGACTATTGCAGTGGGGCCAAAACACAAGTGCTCAGTATGGTAGATGCTGGCTCAATGTTTACCAAATACACTGACTTTTGTTTTGGAGCACTCATTTGAGCTGCTGTATTAGTTTTCCAGGGCTGAAATACAAAATATCATTGATTGGGTGGCTTAAATAACAGACCTTTCTTTTCTTATAGTTCTGGAGTCTGGAAGTCCAAGATCAAGGTGCCCACAGGGCTGGTTTCTCCTGAGACCTCTCTCCTTGGCTTGCACAGGGCAACTCTCTTGCTGCCTCTTTACTTGGTCATCTCTCTGTGCATGGGCACCCCTGATGCCTCTTTGCATGTCTTAATCTCCTCTTCTTATAAGGGAAACAGCCAGATGGATTAGGGCCCACCTTAACAGTCTCATTTTAACTAAATTACCTCTTTAAAGGCTCTCTACTTCCAAATGCAGTCACAATCTGAGGTGAGGGCATCAACATATGAGTTTTGAGCGGACACAGGTCAGTGCACAATGTCCGCATTTCCCAGGCTTTTTTGCAGTTATGAATGTTCATATGCCTGAGTTTTGGCCAATGGGCAGAAGTGATGTGTGCCACCCAAAAACCCAGACTGTGGATCCTCCTGTTCAATCCTCCATGTTCTCATGCTTGCTCCATCCATGGGCTGAACCCAGGAAGGACTCAAGGCCCAAGAAAAATGCAGAGCCATTGCATGGAAGAAGCCTAGGTCCCTGGACACTCCTCACTCTCCATCAAGGAGTTATCAGTGAATGGAGACTGACTAAACCACCGGGATCTGGGACTGTTTGTTACAGCAGTTAGTTTCCCCTGACTAATACATGTAGCTCCTCAACCAATATTCTTTCCATAACACATCAAGGGTCAATGAATTTCACCTAGGAGGAAAAAAAAATGACAGGCTGACACCAGCTCCAAAGTCAATGAACAATTCAGGTGGGCTACAGACATGATAGGAAAATCTACTTCCCTTCTTGGGGTTCCAGGCATTTTAGTGAGCACGGTCCCCCAGAACCTCCTCTGACTTACAGTCTCCCATGGGTCTCTGGTTCCTCCTCCCTATATAGGCTAATAACTGGGAGGGGGGTGGAAGCTGTAGATGATAATGGTCCCTTTCTTATTTAAACAGGCCATTTGTCTTCCCAATAAATGCATTTTTTTGTCAGCTCAAATATCCCCCTTTGATAGAAACCTGAAAATAATTAGCCTTAATAGCTCTGCTGTGAATAATGCTGCACAAGAAGGAGGTAGATGTTAATAGGAACCTTCCACTCCAAAGCTAAGTCACCCTCTTGGCCTCCCACCCCCCGAAAAACAAATGTAACAAGAAAAAGATTATAGGTTTAGTGCTACTTGGGAAGAAATGTATATTTGGAATAAATGCATGAAATCCTTTAAAAACAGCACATGCTGAAAACTTCATATTTAGTTTGATTTGCTTTCCAAATCACACAGACTGCACAGTTGCATACAATCTTTAAACAAGTATAACCCCTGAGAAGTGTGGATAGATTTAAGAGAAATAAAAGCAAGATCAGCCAGCTTGTAATCTTCTTTTCTCTTTTTTTCCTCCCCAAAGCCGCATTAAATTGGCTATTGAGAACAATAACATATTTGTGCTTTTATAGGTAGAATGATTGGTATTATGCAAAGATTTGGCTTACAGTCTGAAGGCACATTCACACTGATCAGGACTTCGTGCCACTAATAATTTTCAGGATGCTCTAGGGAACCCGTAATTCCCTAGGACTACAACTTAGCAGGTCAATGCATGCTTTGTACAGAATCTAAGCCTTGCTTCTAGAACCATACCCACCAATAAGACTCTAGGAAACTCATTTCCAAAGAAGGTCTTGGAAATGTTAAGTGTTCCTTTTGACCTACATTCCCTCTAGCCTGGGTAGGTGCAATGACTCAGCCAAGATAGGCTGCCAACTTGAAAAATGGCACCCTGGAATCCTTAGGCAGAGCCTAAAACCGCTTGTGTGCCCACACCTTGTGACCCAATAAGCCCAGCCATGAAAAATTATCCTAAGGAAGTAATTTAAAGGAAACACACATACACACACACACATACCCTGCACATACATACAACTAGCAGTATTTTATACATAAGGTTAAAATCCAGGAACGGTGGGAAAATGGTTTGGTAACTAATAGTACTTAGGTCAACTTGATAGAGAATTATACAGTCCATAGAAAGAATATATTTGAGGAATACAAAATAAGTAATAAAAATTTTAAGTAAAAAGTAAAACATTAAACACATCAAGAACACATTTAGAAAAGGATTTCTAAACACATTTAGAAAAGGATACGGTTTGGAAGGGAACACACATATTCCCTACATGTGTCATAGAGTCACATATAGGGAATAGAGTTGAAGGATTTTCTTTGTTAATTTCCCTTAATGAAACCATAACATTGTTAAAAAATATAAAAACAACACAAAACAAAACAAAATGAAGTGGTTCCTTGGTCTTTTCATCTTTGATAACCACACATATGTCTGTGCCCTGAGATTCAAAATCTAGGCTCAAATATAATGTACAACTTCCATTTTAGGGAATTCAGGAATTCCCTGCTAAGGAGGTTTGTGGGGGGTGGTAAGATTTGGTTGCATGGACAAACACAATCAGACCACTGCCAGACTGGCTGTTTCATCTGCGATGCTGGAAACACCAGCTGTTCCTATGCATCTGGAAACATGGAGACTGGAAGGCCTACTTCAAGACTACTCCACAGAAAGGTCTGCAGATGCATTCACACACAGCAGCAGCAGAAGTACTCAAAGACCTTAGGCTGTGATAAAGAGCAGTTTACAAAGATAAGTCACCTTCACTATGAATGGGAAAGCCAAAGGCAAGAAGGAACAGTGTTGCACACCTCCCTTTCATCTCTGGGAACAGGAAAGTAGCAGTGGCCACCAGGACACTCCCATTCCCCCTGAACCAAATATGTCCTTCTGCCATTCTCCCATGCTTGTTCCTTCAAGAGGTGAGAGAGACAAGGAGCTCCATGTTCATTTTTCATGATGTTTACACTGATCTCTGGCTAAGTGGTTAAACTTCTCTTGGGGCCAACCTAGAGTCATCATAAAACATCACTGCTAGAATGACATGAAGGTCTAGCCTAAAATACTTTTTTTTTTAATTAAAGGCTGTTTTTAAAAAGAATTGTTTCTCTTTACTGAGCACCTACTATGTGCCAAGCACTGGTGTCAGATGTTTCTTATCTATCAGCACTGCAGAACTGCCTGCCAGGCATTATTATCTCTGTGACACAGATTGGAGAAGTTGGAAAAATGGAGGGACTTGCCCAAGGTCACACCCCTTTAAGTGGTGGAGAGGGATTAGAGCCCAAATCTCTGGACTCCCTGTCCAGGGCCCTCAACACAAACTATCCTGCATCTTCGATATACTCAGGGGGACTCAGCTTGAACTGCTCTTGTGGCAGGGGCTATAATTAGTTGTCTGGTCCCAGTTGCTTGCAGGGTAAACAACGTCTGATAAACCCACAATGCTGTAAGTATTTATTACATTGCAACCCAGCTGCCAACTGTCTAACCATTTTAATAAAAAGCTATTTTCTAAGGTTTATGTTTTATTGCGTGTATGACTCCCTTATTGGTTAGCATTTTGGAGTTGTGGAAAAGGTTATGAATTTAGAAACTGGCTGCATTCATATCATATTTAAAACTTAATGCTATTTTATTAAAGACATATGGGCCTCCAAAGTACACATATTAAATGTCATGTAAGAAAAGTAGCAGTTTAAATCATGGTCAAATTCATTTTTGACGTGACTCCTGAGGCTTCCCAAGATCTGAACTATTTCTTTGTAAATCTGGCAGTTTAACCACACTCATAAATCACTTTCAAAGCATATTATTTCTTAATTTTACTGCATAAGAGAGCGTTTGGCCTACACAGTGAACTGTTTGTAGCAGTTATGTGAACAAAGTTGCACATTTAGTCATATAATGTGCAAAGGAAGAGGGGAGGGAAAGCAAAGAAGGAAAAGCTTTTTATTCTTTATTCCGCTTACTCGCCCTGTTCATTTTTACCTAAGCAAACACAATTCATATTTTCAGCTTAGGCCTCTGGCATCTAAAAGTGTAGAGGCTGCAAGTTGGTATTGAGGCTTTTCTGAACACAAAGAAGAAAAAAATATTTTGTAATCTAATCTTCTCCAAAACATCCCATGACTAAAAATTAGAATGAGTACAGAAGTTAGAACCTCTCTTTCTCTTTTTCTAGCATTAAACTGAACAGATTTTTTTGTTTGTTTGTTTCATAATACAGTACTTGGCTGTTTTCTAATTGTCTAAAGAGCCAATATCTCAATCTTGGGTTTCAAAACCCTTCTGATGATGGGATAATATTCTTTGGACATGTGTAACAAGCTCCCAAATTTCATTCCCCAGTTTTTTCATTTCACTCTGGGGGCAGAGGGGCCTGATTCCAATGACAAATTCTAGGATCTAAACATCAGCCTTCATTTCCAGATTCGCCAAGGGAATTAGAGGAGGATTAAGAGAGTTGAGTGCGAGGTCACTCAAATGAAAGAGCTTAAGGGCTCACTTCTGCACCAGGCATCCTTTCCCGCATTGGTCCTGTATGGAGACCTCTCTCCTCCACAGCTGTCCAGAGGGCAGCTGCACCTTCATGCTCCTGGCTCCATCAGTGGCAAGGAGCCTCCCGTCCCCCACGCCATGCTTACTCCTCCCATGCCTTCACCTGCCCTACTGCTTCCCTCTACCATTCCCACAAGAACAAAAGGGTCTCGTGCGGTGGCTGAGGAGATGCCCAAGCTCAGGAGCCTGGACCTCCCCAGGATGAATGTGAGGCCTTCTTTCCCCTCTCACATTCCTTTCTTTTAGGTATTTTACTCTTACTAGGAAGTAGATGTCTCAGAAGAGCAGAAGTATTTCATTTAAGGATAAATTCCAGAAAACTTAGTTAAGCCACCAGAAATAGAGGGGCAATGCCCCCTGCTGTGGACTGAATGCGTACCCCCAAATTCACACGTTCAAGCTCTACCCTGCAATGGGACTCTACCTGGAGACAATATCTTTAGGAGGTAATTAAGGTTAAATGAGACCCTAATCCAATAGGACTGTGGTTTCATCAGAAGACGGAGAGATCTCCTTCTCTTTCTTTACTTTCTCCACCATGAGTGGAGAGTGCAGTGAGAAGGTAGCCATCTACAAGCCAGGAAGAGAGCCCACACCTGAACCCAACCATGCTGGCACCCTGACCTTGAACTTCTGGACTTCAGAACTGCAAGAAAATGCATTTCTGTTGTTTAAGACATCTAGTCAATGGCATTTTGTTATGGTATCCCAAGCTGACTTAGGTACCTGCCCCCCAGCATCTCAAGCCAAAATTACCTTCCTCACATTCACCCACACATCTTGATGACACAGCAGTGCCACAAAAAGAGTCCTTGTAAGTTGAAATTACATGACTAAGAACACTAGCTGCTACTGATGCTTTAGACCAGAGCCTGCATTAGCTCCTGCCACAGATTATCTCATTTAATCCCCCAACAGACTTGGAAGGCATTACATTCCCCATTTTAATAAGGCAACCAATAACAGGAGGTAGAAGTCCAGCCTTTAATCCAAACCTAAACATTACCCTGAAACTTGGAGTGGGCCCAGTCCCCAAATGGAGCAGCAAATCCAACAACAGCTCATGAACAAATTAAGAATTGCAGGTTTTCCATGGAACTCAACAGCTACAATAAATTCAGACTTAAAACCTCCCCAGAAAAACAGCTGGAGGCAACTCCTTAAATTGTGTCAAGAACAAAAGTAAAGGCTGTGGAATGGGGGAGGAGTGAATAAAAATGGGCCCAACAAAAATACGTGACAGGTCACCGAGCCAGATAGCCTCTGTGACAATTCAAAATGCTCAACAAAAAAAGAAGAGGTGACTCACTTCTAAATTTCACTCAAGAGTTAAAAACTGCATAAAGTAGAAGCCCCAGTACATATCCCCCACTTCAAAAAAGAAAAAAAAAAAAAAGACAGCTTTGGAGCCTAGACAGAGTATTAGTTCACTGTTGAAAATAAATAATGAGTTCTAATTCAGGTAATGTAGCTCAAAATTTACTGCCATATTTTAAAATGCACATGAAAAATAAAATTATCCTAAAATGTCCTTGGTGAAAAGGCTGCACGTAATTGCTATCACTGACAATGGCGTTGAACTTAGCTAAATTAACATCAAAGGAAGTCCCAATTACAGAGCATCTGTGCATTATTGATGGAGCCCTGTCTGTTCATCTAAGACACTCTACTGTAAGGAGCAGAAAAGCAAACAGAAGGGCTAATTGTAGCACCAGCCTTCAGTGACCCCAAGGACAAGCCTTCCCCATCATGCTTGTGAAATGGCACTTCTGCTGGTCAGAGTGACAAAGAAGATGCATTTGGAATCTGAGTGTGTATACAGGCCCCAGAAGGAAGCTATGGTGACCACAGGTGGGCAAAACAACTTCTAGGCAAAAACACACCTCCCAGAGGGTTGTAGCAGACTCTCAAGCCGGATCCAACAGCTGTCTGGGAACTTGGATGTTCTAGAGGTGTTGGTGAGGAGAAACAGGCTCTCTGGGGAAACAGGAAAGAAAGATGTTCTCTTTGCTTCTCAATGGACCATTTGGGATAAAGGGCAGAGATAATTTCTTTTGAAATGAGAAGCCCCTCTCTTGTGAGCATCTGGCCCCTCACTGAGTCTGCAGGGTGGTGGAACGGGGTGCCATTACTTGCGTGCTACTGCATGCTGGTACTTGCCTAGGCATACCTGTTTGACACTCCTCCAAAGGGTACCCTGAAAGTACATATCAGCCGCATTCAGACCATCATCACATTTTTCTTCCAAATGTTGTGAAGACTTTTAACTCTGTTCAGGTTGGACACCCTAAGGCAGGGGTCTCCAACACCAATCCCGGGGCTACAGACATGTACTGGTCTGTGGTCTATTAGATACAAGGCCACACAGCAGGAGGTGAGCGGCTGGTGAGCGAGCATTACTGCCTGGGCTCTGCCTCCTGTCAGATCAGTGGTGGCATCAGATTCTCATAGGAGTTCAAACCCTATTGTGAACTGTGCATGTGAGGGATCTAGGTTGTAGGCTCCTTATGAGAATCTAATGCCTGATGATCTGAGGTGGAGCAGTTTCATCCAGAAATCATCCCCCATCCCCACCCCCAGTCTGTGGAATAATTGTCTTCCAAAAAACTAGTCCCTGGTGCCAGAAACGTTGGTGACTGCTGCCCTAAGATTATCTTACTACTTTATCTTCTCCACAACTTTGCTTTTGGGAACAACAAAAAGATCAGGTAAATGTTAAGTATCAGAAACATTCATTTCATCACTGAGCTTACATGAGTTTTCTTTTATATTTTCTTCTTACAATTTGCTCTTCTTATCTGCTATTACCTATAGTAGCAGGTGGTTTGGAAATAGCCAGAACTGCAGAGTAGAAAATGGGACCATGCCATCCCTGTTTTCTCCTTCTTCCTTAGCCATGGAATTGCAAATACATGCACATGTCATTGAAGGCAGCTTCAGAACAATGTTCATGATGTTTCTCTAGTGGCCTGGCATCTGTGTGGTTGGCCTCTGCCTGCCCCCTTCTTGCAGGTTTCCCTGCCTTCAAGGATACACAATGGCCTGAGAGTTCAGTCTCTAGAATCCTACAGTCTGATGTTTCCATGGGCCCAGAAGGGTCTTTCTGAGGAAGACAGAGCTCTATTAAGCTGTAGAGTTCAGGAAAGACAGCAAGGCCCTGGTCTAATGGAGGGGAGGGGATGCCGAGGCCATCATGATTCTCCTTTTACTCATACGTCAGTCATTGGCCTTTTTTCCCTGTTCCTAGACAAGTTGCCCCTGCATTTCCAACTTATTCTTCTTCATCACTAGCCTAGAATCACCAAGCTCAAAGCAAAGAATTGGGAGGGGTGGGCTGGAGGATGGACAAAAGCATGGGAAGGATTTGTCAAGCTCACCCATGCACCCATAGCTGAAGAACAGCAGCCAGTCCTGCCCTGTAGCTCTGCACAGAACCCCGGGTAATGTTGGTTTTAAATATGGATAACTTTAAATCAGAACCCTAACTTTACTCTCCAGAACCCAATTTCTTAAGTAAACATCTTTATTTTCCTCTCCTTTTCCCTCTTCTCTTTCCTTTCAAACTTAATAAAAATAATGATAAAAAGAATCTACATTGCACAAACAAAATGCCAAAGATACTTTTCCAAAGTGGATCAAGAAAATGTCAAGCTGATAATGTGCAGACTAAAGACAAATAAAGGCTCCATCTTAGTCATTGCCAGTGATCATGCGAATGACAACTTTTTATGGCCCAGTTAGGAAGACTTAAATTTACTCCTTAAAACGAGACAGTGAATACTATAAGGGACAGGGGCTTTGAGGTAAGAACATGTCAAAGAACATTTTCGAGATGTTGTGAACTCCCTTTAAGGGGGAGTCACTAGTGGGTCTCTGACAGCCATCAGCTGTCTCCTTGTCCCAGAATCAGAGCTACTCACTCTTACATGGACCCATCTCTGCTATCCCAGAGCTTCTTTAGACACAGCTCTCTAACCCCTGTAGCTGCCTGAGCACTGACACTGGCCTGGGTGCTGGGAACACTGTGGCAGCCTCAGACCAGTGCCTGCTGTTGCACAGATTTCCACATCACCAAAGCACCTGCTCTGCACAGAGCTCTAAGGCTCCCTCTCCCAGATACCCAGGGATGCAAATACAGGCCTGCCCAGACTTTTTTCCCACTTCAAACTCTGCCAAGGTTCCTCCTCACCCTCAGGGGAAACTGCAAACCTGACCTAACTCAGAGATCCCCCCACAGCCTGGCTCCTGTAGTTCTTTGCCTAGCCCATGTATTTCACCAAAATATGTTATGGGGAGTCATCACAGGGTTAAAATTGGAAATTACAAAGTTGCCTCTGGCTGCCTTCTATCTCCTGATCTTCCTGCTCTTTCACCCCTGCCTTCCATCAGAAATGTATGCCTTGTTAATGAAATGTAAGGGATACAGTGGGAAGAGCACAAGCTTTGAGTGTGACTTTTTTCCCTGAAGTAATTCAAGGCATAGAGGGGAAAGAACATGAGTTTTGGGGCTTAGGAAGACCCGGGGGAAAAAAAGGACCTGGTTCCACCTTGCTCTGTAATTTTAGGTTATGTATATAATTTATCTGATCATCAGTTTCCTCATTTGTAGGGAGAAAATTAGAGATAAAATTGTTAAGCAGCTGGTACAATAGCTAGCAGACAGTGACTACTTAATGCATGTTCTTCTAACTCACATATCAGGGAAGTTTCTGTGCATCTAATGTACCACTAGGCAGCCAGTTGACCTCTAGACTGGCCCTGCTATCCTAATTAGTTAAGTACCCAGAAACCCTACAGTAGTTGGTGCTGTGGCACCAATGACTGCCACTAACCTCACAAAACTCCAAGTTGTGTTCCAGTTAAGACCCTGGTTCAATGGCCAGAGATGCAGCAGAGGTAGGGTGTGTGGATGGGATGGCCTGCCTAGGTATTAGTCAGCACACTACTGCTCAAAATCTTAGTGGCTTATTACAAGCATTTCTTTCTCATGTAGAGGTCTGTGGTTGGCTGGGATGTTTGCAGGCCTCAAGTCAGGTTCAGGTCTGGTCATGGTGTCTCTCATGTTGTTTTCATAGCAAATGGCAGACGTGTGCGAGCAGTGAGTGAAAACACATGGTGCTGTGTAAGGCCTTGGCCCAGAATTGTCATGCTGTCACTTCCACTCGCATCCCATTGGTCAAGGAGTTACATGGCCAAGGCCAAAGTCAATGGAATGGGGAAGTGTATTCCTCCCTTAGATGGGGAGCCACAGCAAGGGCAGAGAGAAAGGAATGGTTTTAGACAAACAATGCAATCTACCACACTTCTCCCAGTTGTTGGGTTGCAGAGGCAGGACAAAGTATCCAAGAGTTACTCATCTTATCCCCAACACTTAAAAAATGCTACTTACTTCCATGATCCTCTTGATACATCCATCTAAGCATCTTTGGACAGCAGCGAGCATGTGGGAGGCTAAAAAGAGGAAGAGGGTGAAGCTGGGCCATTGGGGAGCTGGGCAAGCCAGAGGTCCCATCAGGGAAACAGTAACATCCCCCAGGCACTGGCTTCATGGACAGTAGTCTCTACTATGTGCTCAGCACCTGGCAAGGCCCCTAGGACTCCTGGGAATGCCCCTAAGAGGCTGCTACCACCTTCCTTCTTTCTATTGTGTATTTTGGTTTCACCAGCACACCAGAGACATGGCTTTCCTGCAGTGCTCTATTTTTTTATTTTAGAGGGTTGCTACCCAAATGCAAGGCTACAGAGGCCGCCTCCAAAGAGCAATACTCCAAAAGCATTTGCTTGAGGCACAGGATGCCATGGTTCTAAAAATGGAGAAATACAAAATCTTTAAGTGATTCTCCCTCAAATGAACGTGCAAACTGTGAAGTCAGGAATAAGGTTGAAAAAACAAACAAACTGCAAATGTTTGGCTCCCAGAGTTGTTTTTGAACACACCATCTAAGCATTTTCTTAAAAAAAACAGTTAATTAAAAAATTTTCCTCTCTCCAAAATTTACTAGAAAGAAACTGAAAATAGAATCTGAATATGTCTCTAGACAAGAAACATCTGCATGAAAACAGAAAAAAAAATCATAAAAACATGAGCACATTCAGGTAGTTGGAAACATCCAGAAAAACAACCAATATTTTAAATTATTTTTTGAATGTTTGGCACTGTGGAGAACTTTCAAAATATATTGGCTGATGGTCTGTTGAACTGAATGTACTTGTGATTTATAATGTTTATTTATAGGCATGTCCTGGCTTTATATAAAATATATATTCTTGAAAATATTGAGTATAAAGGACAGTAATTGTAATAAACCTAGAAGTAGTTTCTGATACCCTTTTATGCATTTGCAATTGGGCTACATAGGAGTAACAGAAGATATCAAAGACATACGCAGTGTAGTTTAGAATAAGATAGCACTTAGTAAAGTGCTACACTAGGCATAAAAAACAATTAAGTGTAGCAAAGAAGCAACTAGGTAGTGCTCCTTTAGGTATAGACAAAAAATACAATAGCGGCGAAGACGGAAAATTTCATTGTAACTACACACAGACTTGTGGGTACCCTAACATGTTTCATGAGAAGAGCTACTTACTTCCTAAAAGCCCTAATATGAGCAGGTGGGTTGAGAAAGAAGGAGGACTCCAGTACCACCCCGAGTGACGAGGAGAACGCAGCTTCAGATCACACCCTTGCCTCCCCGTGAAATGCTACCCAGTGGAAAAGCCAAGTCATGGGGATTGTGGTAGTAGTAGGTTTTCCCATCATAAATAATCCCAGGAAAATCCTTTGGAAAAACAAATACGATGCCCAGAATCTGTCTTTTCTGCCAGTGTACAGGTGGCAATTAACACACAGTCTAAAGGCAATGGTTTCTTTCCTGCCTTTTAATGTAACCATGTTGACTGAAGTAATTAGAACACATACAACAACCTTTTCATGATGGATCTTCCAATATGCTCTGCTGTTCATGGTTCATTCCTTTGATGAGTATTGACTGAGCCTCTGCTATAGACTAGGTACTAGAGATACAGAAACGAACAAAACACAAGGTTCCTGCCCTCATGGAGCTGGCACCCCAGGGGCGAGCAGCTTCCTCATCCCAATGAGAAGCCAGCTTCCTTATGAATCATTCCGTCTTCATCCTAGATGGCCTTTTGCATGGAAACCTAAAAACACAGACACAGATGGAAGAAACTAAAGGTACCCAGGGGAGTGAGGACCTAACTCCAAGAGTCAATGGCAGGACTATGTAGGGTATTTGTGGGAGCAGGTGATTCTCAGGCCCAAATAGTTTCCAATTTTCAGTTTAGGGGAAAAGAATAAGAGAGACTTTTGGAAATGCATGTACTCCAAAGTTTATTTCTTCAACACAGGGCATCTCCCTCCCTCTCCTTCCTTCTTTCTATCACACACAAACACACATGCACACACACACATACACAATAGCCCACCCTCCCAAGTATCAAAACGTAGGCACACACACAAATATACAAGCTACAACAAACTACACAAATACACAAACTACACGATGGGAAAATCAGGTGGAAAAATCAGGAAAGGAAATCGCTCGCCACTTAGAAGCTGACTCTGGTGTACACATACCTCCCAGAACATGCATATGTATACACACAGAGAGATTGAAGCTGGTATACACACCTGCATGGGAAAAAACATACGTTTGAACACACTGTGCCCACATAAACAAACAAGTGACATGTCTTCAAAGACACCTCACTACTCACAGACATATTTATTACCACATCTTCCCTATGAGGATGGATATTAATGCAAGCAAAACATAAGCGTCAAAACACTTTCTAGAGTTGCCCTCCTTAGGCTCCTTTAAGATTCTGAAGATTAAACAGTTGGTAGCCAACTTTGTATACATGCCTGTAAACAAGAGGGCTCAGCTTTAAATAATTATGTCAAAGAAATGACAACTGTGCTCTTTGCCAGAACAGGGATGAATAATTACAAAGTCAGGACATAATTAAACAATTCTGACTGTCGGATTTTTGAGCTGTCTCTCTGCTGTGCAGGGCTGACATGCCGACCACACACGTCATCCTGGACAGGCCTCTGCACCCCTTTGATCTATGTTTCCCAGTGCAGTGAGGGGCTTCACAGTTTGGTTACTAGCGGGCTCTTTCTTTGGGGGCTTGAACCTTCTCTGTATCCAGTGTGGTGTTCTCTGTATTAACAATGGCATGATTCAATGGCCAATATTTGATAAAGTTATATATATTTTATATATTTGAATTTTGGAAATGACAAAGCCTAGCTGTTGCAGGTCCATCAACTAATAACACACACACACACACACACACACACACACACACACACACAGAGAGATAAAGTCTGGAAGCATCCATTGTAGCATTCAGCTATCACTTCCTAATGAATGACAGCATCTTTCTCTACAACAATCAGAGCTCAGACAGAAGCCAGCTTTGAAACAACAAAAGCTAAAAGGCAGCCACGGAGGAGAAATGTGTCATCATGGGAGAAAGGGAGTGAGGACTTGCACTCAAGCGCCAGCGCCTGCCAGGTACCCAATCAGACCTCTGCGACATCGGGCCTTTATTACCTCCTGGATGGTTCTGCATTTGTGTCAGCCGAGAACACCCAGACTGCCCGTTTCCCTACCTCCAAGGCAAGAGCTGTGATTGGAGGGACATTTTCCATTCTCCCAAATTCTTTATGTCAGGAATAAAATGAAAATAGCTCCCCAAATCACGGCCACCTTAATCATCCATCAGAGCATTCTGCTGAATAAGCACAACAGGCCTTGGCTGCCCTGGAAAGGACAGGAGCCAGCTTGAGATTCCGATTCCATCGTGAAAAATAGGTCTTCCCTGAGTGTGCTCAGCACAGCAGCAGCAACACATGGAAAGGAAATTGCTTGCCACTTAGAAGCTGACTCTGGTGTACACATACCTCCCAGAACATGCATATGTATATATACACAGAGACGGAAGCGGGTATACACACCTGCATGGGAACAAACATATGTCTGTACACACCGTGAACAGGTGAGAACCAGCCTTTTTAATGCCAATTTATTAATTCAGCAAGGAGCTCATTTGGCGTCTTTCTTTCTACAAGAAAAGTACCACTGCCTATCTCTGAAAATAACAGACAAAAGGGAACTGCCTGCCATTCAATGTAGGCATCCAGTTCGATATGAAACCAAGAACACAGAAGAATCGTCCTGGGCACTTGAAGAATCATGGCATAAATTGAACACTTAACTGGAAGCCCAGACCCCCAGGGGTTCTGGTCCCAATTCCATGGAGCCTCAGGAAACTACACCCTCTCCCAGCTCCCTCATCCATGAAACGGGAGCACAGACTAGGTGATTTCTAAGTCCTCTTTGGTCTGGAAATCATGTGACTACAGAAAGAGAACCAAGATCACCATACTTTGTAAGAGTACTTTAGTCTCTCTCCTCAAATAATTAACAGGTATTTTTTTAAACTTTTGTTTTAGGTTTGGGGGTAAATATGCAGGTTGGTTACATAGGTAAACTTGTGTCACGGGGGTTTGTTGTAGAGATTATTTCATACCCAGGTACCAAGCCTAGTACCTAATAGTTATTTTTTCTGCTCCTCTCTCTCCTCCCAATCTTCAGCCTCAAGTAGGCCCCTATGTCTGTTGTTCCCTTCTTTGTGTTCATGAGTTCTCATCATTTAGCTTCTACCTGTAAGTAAGAATATGTATTTGTTTTTCTGTTCCTGCATTAGTTTGCTAAGAATAATGGCCTCCAGCTCCATCCATGTTCCCACAAAAGATATGATCTCGTTCTTTTGTATGGCTGCATAGTATTCCATAGTGTATACGTATCACATTTTCTTTATCTGATCTGTCACTGATGGGCATTTAGGCTGATTCCATGTCTTTGCTATTGTGAATAGTGTTGCTGGGAATATCCACATGTATGTGTCTTTATGATAGAATGATTTATATTCCTTTCAGTATATACCCAGTAATAGGATTGCTAGGTCAAATGGTAGTTCTGTTTTTAGCTCTCTGAGGAATTGCCATACTGCTTTCCACAATGGTTGAACTAATTTACACCTTAACAGGCTTTTTAAAGCTTAATACAGTTAGTAAGGATATTGGAGTCAATCATACAAACATGAACTAATTCTAGAATTGATTAGAAACTAATTGGGAACCCTAAAGGGCATTTCTGCTGATGTTGCTAATGACTCAGAAACAACTAATGCTGGATTTTAAGGAGCCAGTCTCAGATACTTTCAAAAGCAAGGAAGGATTTCGATTCCTCCCACCTCTACTCAACAGAACAGTCCTGCTCTTACCTGTTTTCCTCATTTAGACCTTAGGAGGTTTTGTTTGAACAAAGAGATCCACAGGGTAAATATGTAGCTCACTGCTCCAGGGGTGAGAAAGCAGAGAGAGAAGAGTGTGGGCCCAGTGGTCAGACACAAGGTAAACCTCCAGCTCCACAATTACTAGCCAGGTGACCTGGGGCAGCCCAGTTAACTTCTCCAGCCCTCAGTTCCCTCACCCATAAAGCGAGCCAGTGACCCCTTCCTTCTACTTTAGAGGATGATGTGAACACTTGTAGATCTGTGCACCAAGAACCTTAGAAGAATGGGGGGTGGGCATGCACTGAGTGCCCCATCCAGATATGGTGGGTACTACATTTATTACCCCTTCAGATTTTGTGTGACAATGTAGAGCTGCCCACATCAAAGTCAATGAGCGCAGGAGAAATACTGATCCACTCTGCACACAGGTATACACGTGAATACAGATGTATACAAGAAGGTGAGATATGTAGGGTGGGCAGGTTATTTATAATAACCCAGGATATTATAGAGTGCATTTGTTGTACTTTTGCTGGGTTTGGTCATGCTGGCTATCTCTGGACTGTTTTCACCAAAAACAAATAAAAAGAAGGCCAAGAAATAAATTATTTCATTTGGAAAAATTACAAAAGCTAGAATAACTAAAGGCAGTTGTGTGCAATACATCAAACCTGTGCCTCGATAGGGAGCACTGTTAACACTTTAATAGCTATGAAATGAATCACTCAATTAATTTCCCACATGCTGAAAGAGGTAACAATACATTTATCTGCCAGTAATATACCCTCCATATCACATATTTCCACAACTGCTAGCAATTTTATTCAGCATAATGGAAAATAAGTTGCACCTCATGGATTCAGGGAAAGAAAGTGGCCTGAGGTCTGCTGCCAGCAGAGCAACTTGATGGAAGATGTTTCATTGTTCTGTTTTGTTTTTGTTTTTTCTTTCCCCCCTTTAATCATTTCCAATGCACATGCAGAGTGCTATAAGTCAATAGCTGAGGATAAACTAGACTTCTAGGATATCAGTGCCAGCATTTTCAACACACAAGTTGCAATCTCATGGGAGGTGACCACACAGCTCCACAGAGCCTCAAGGCAATGATGGTTCTCCAAGGAGATCATCAGGGGTCACCGAGTCCATTCCCCAGCCTCTGGCTTCACTGAAGGACTCCCAACTCCTCCCAAAGAGATAGTCATCCATGTCCTTAAAAAATCTCCTTGTGTCTGAATCCAAGACCCCAAGCCAATTCTCCACTGCCTCATCAGAGCTGCCATTAGCATGACACCAAATTCACTTACAGACTCAGCTGGTAAAGGAAAGGTCAGTAAACACCACTCTAATCAGCTCTGGAGAGATACATGTGGGGGGCACATGCCAGCCTAGGGACACACTGTCAGAAAACATCACCTTCCACACTAACGATATCTCAGAGGGCCGTGGAGCCCTTGCCTGTGATGGAAGAAAATCACTCTTCCCTAGCTTCCCTTTGGTGGCAAACAAGAAAGTCCCCCTCTGAAGTACTAGAAGAATCCCCCCTACCCCAAAGCCCACCCATGCCCAATGCTTTCCTCTTTCTCCTTTCTCAGCTGCAAACCTGCAGAGGCCCCACTTAGTGAATATTTCCAAGAAGGAGACCTGCAGTCCCCCACAGAACTTCACCATTGGGCTATGCATAGTGCTGCTTTATTGGTAAAACAGGAAGATCCAATTTACACCTAACCCTATTTCATGTTTGGCCAACAATGTATCCATGGAAGGACCCTTCATGTGAGATTCCAACTGCATTCTAAACACTCAGAGGACATTCTGCATGCCCTGGGGTGTAAGCACTGCCATGAGATGTAAATCCCTTGTGAAGAACAGCAAGTAGGCAGCTCACCTTGGGCTTCACCACCTTCATGAAGACTCCTCTGACCAACGCCTCCTCTCGTTCTTGTCTGGTTACTTTCTGGGCATCCAGAAATTTCAAGTTGGGCAGCTTGTACAGAACAAAGCATCTGGAAGATAAGAGTCAGAGACAACTCAGGAAGTTTGAGTGGCAGCCTCAGAGATCCCGACAGCTTGTCTGATCTTCAAGAATCCACACCATCCGGTCTTCTGGAACTTAGACCTTGGCTGCGCCTCCTCTCTTCTTTCACAAAGAATAAACAACTGTTCCTTGGAGAAGTCAGAATGATTCTATCTTACACACATGCACAACTAAACATTAGAAGCACACACTAATGGTACACTTGGCTCAAAGGTAAACACACACACACACACGTGGGTTAGCCAGTGGCACCCTATCAACGCATGCCCTTCCTTCCAGTCTAGAAAACAGGCTCAGCTTCTTTGCTACACAGAAATTCTCAGTAAAATAAACCTATAAATTGATTGTACCCTTTACGTCACTGCCATTCCTATGGGTCATCTGTATCATAGACTATAATGACCTGGATGACTGTGGGTTACAAGTGAGGAACACATGTAGCTGAGAAATGCTTCCTTGAGGAATCAGGCAGGGGTCTTAAGAACTTTGTTCGCATCATCCCTCGATAATACATGTGGTTATTTCCACACTTGCTAACCTATGAAGATTATCAAGGAGAAAAGGGGGAGTTAATTTCTAGGAGATATTAATGGCCCAACAAATGCTAGGTGCTCTCCATTTCCCTGGAAGAATTCCTTGGCAGATGGACTCCAGAAATAAGCCAATGGCTGCTAGTGTAATTAACTGTCCTCAAATAGGTATATATGGAGTTGACAAGAATAACCACTTGGCCAGGGTATAGTTATATAAATGCATAAATAAATGTATAACAGGTATGGACATGTGTCTATACTTCTCCCTCGTCAGGGACAATCACTAACCAAGATGCTTTCCATCAAGTTCCATAGTCCAACAATCAAACAAGCGAGTTGTTTCCACCCTATTCTGCTTATCAAGAGGTAAGTACACAGTGTCAAGAGCAATGGATTATCTCCAAGGGAATCTGTCATTTCCTTCCTATACCCAGCCTCCTCAGCATATACTCATCTTTCAAGCCTCATCTCCTGTGAAGGTTTTTTTGTACACCTCCACCCTTCATTGCTTTCTCCCTTCCCAGGACTCCTAGAATATGCCATCAGCACCTTACAGTCTAACATTTTGTTGTTTTCTAATTATTTTCTTGGTGTTCATTAATGTCCTTACCCAAACTGTAAGCTTCTTGAAGGCAGGGACAAATTTATTTGCTCACTCTCACCACATCTTGAAAACTGGCATTAGAATGGAGTCAATAACATACCAGTTGATTTCAGTTGCACAGATATTTCTTGATCACCTACTATGTGCCAGGCCTTAGGGATACAGATGTGATTACAACATGCTTCCTGCTCTCAAAGGTGTTCTCAGTGTAACAGAAATTATACACTCACATGGAGAAATTAGGAATAAGCATAGCTAAGTGCCAAAATCGAGGTTATGCATAGAGTGGTTATGGGAGCACAGAGCAAGAGGTCTACTGACTGAAAACTCAATGGAAAAGGAGAAACAGGAAATCTCAAATGGGCATCAAGGAACCACACCTTAAGGCAACCCCAAGAACCTAGCTATTCCTCAGTGAGGATGTTACTTGGAACAGTGTGGCTTGCCTTCACTGGAGCCTTGGGTTCCCAAGGCCACCTTCCACATTCGTAAGGTGGTCTCATTATTGGTGGCAGTAGCAGCCCATCTGGAGCAATTGCTGCAAATACACCAGCTGCAGTAGGGGCTGCTTGCTCTATGGAGCTGGCAGGAGCCAGGAACAGGTGGGAGCCCCATGCCCTCCTGAGTTGGTGGGGCAGGAGCCCCTGCTCCCAGGTGCAACTGCAGCTGCCCAGCTGCAGCTGCAGACCCAGGCATCCCTGTGCTCTTGGGGGCTTGGGAAGCCCCCCTCCACTGGAAGGCTTGGGAGTGCCTGCTCCCACTGCCTGGCCTCTCCCGACTCCCAATGCCCACTCCAATTTTGGAGCAAAGTGGCGGCCAAGCCCAGGCACTGTCACAATCTGGCTGAGTGTGTACATGCTCGGAGCAGTACTGAAACACCAGCCCCCTGCCACCTCAGCCCCTTCTGGACTTTGGGTGCTGATGAGCACAGCAGGGAGGCCAAGGGACAGCAGAGGACAGCTCAGCATGGGCCTGCAGGCATCCCTTGGCACAAACAGCCTGGGCACCATGGGCACTATAGACAGCAGGTTGATGGCTGGCAGCAGGAGGCAGACAGGCTCCTAGGTGGAAAGGGGTGTGTCCCCGGTGAAACCCCACCATCAGGCCAGAGGTGGCCTAAAGCATAGGGGCTGGGCTACCAGTTTCGTAAATCAGAGTGAGAACATATGGTACTTTTTCTGGACCCTGCTGTGGCCACCCATGGACCAATCAGCATGCACTTCCTTTCCTCTGATGCCCATAAAAGCCCCAGACTCAGCCAGACTTGGGCAGTTGATGGAACAACCTGCCTGTGGAGAGGAGCTACCCACTCTGGGTCTCCTCTCTGCTGAGGGCTGCACAGAAACTGAGATGACCTGCCTGCAGAAAGGAGCTACCCACTTTAGTTGTCCTGAGAGCTGTACTGTTGCTTAATAAAGCACCTCTTTGCCTTGCTCACCCTCCAATTGTGTGCATGCTTCATTCTTCCTGGATCTGGGACAACAACTTGGGACCCACCAAATGGCAGGACTGAAAGAGCTGTAACACAAACAGGGCTGAAACATGTCCCCCCACTCGCCACATGGTGGGTGATGAGACAGAGAGAAGAGCTGTGGCCCTTTGGGGAGCCCAGACCTAACAGCTCCCCAAGCAAAGGCTGTGACACCCTCTTTGGGGCTCTGTGGTTCCTGGCATCTTCAAGCTTCCAGGTGCCACCACGTTCCCCAGTGCCTGCAGTGGAAGCTGGTTGTGGTATGCCTGGTCCAGATGCAGCCTCACAGGGAGCTAGTGCCCATGCCAGTGTCTAGAGCTGCCCAGCCTGCTGCTTCCAGCATGCCTGGCTGTATGCAGTGGCCAGACCCTGTGCTTGCTTGCTCATGTACCCCTTACCACTCCACACCTGGCTCACCCTTGGCAGGCATGGGATCTGAACTGGCAGCACGAGCCAAGTGCAGCCCACCAGGCCGAGTAGGTGGAACAAGCTCAGCAGGCCCAAGCAAAACTCAGGCAAAGGAACCACCAGTCACAGAGGTTCCCAACTGAGGAAGTAACAACCCAAGGATTCGGTGACATTATCACCAAGTGGCCTGCATATGCTTATCCAGGTAAAAGGCTTGGCTGACCATCCCAAAGCCAGAGAGAATAGTTTAGAGGTCTGCAGGAATAACCTTCACAGGACTCATTGTTAAAGTCAAAATATTATGAAATTCTTTTCTTCCTTCAGAAATGTCCACCCCATGCCTGGTGTCCTGGAAATTTGACTCTGGCTACTTCCTGTTTCCTCCCTGGCCTCAGTCTATTGTCCTTTTCCTACCCTGGGTTCTGCCTTCCCTCCAAATACCTGCTAACCTCACCCAAAATCAAGAAAGTGCCACAAAACACCCAAATATCTTTCCTTTCTTTGTTTCTTTCTTTTCTTTTTCTTTTTTTTTTTTTTTTTTTTTTTTTTTTTTTGAGATGGAGTCTTGCTCTGTTGCCCAGGTTGGAGAGCAGTGGCATGATCTCTGCTCACTGCAACCTCTGCCTCCCAGGTTCAAGCAATTCCCCTGTCTCAGCCTCCCAAGTAGCTGGGACTACATGTGTGTGCCACTACTCCTGGCTTATTTTTGTATTTTTAGTAGAGACAGCGTTTCACCATGTTGGCCAGGCTGGACTCAAACTCCTGACCTCAAGTGATCCATCTGCTGGAATTACAGGCATGAACCACCACCAAATATCTTTTCTATCCTCCAGTAGAGCTCCCACCGGCCTCAGTCAATGTCAGAGAAAACTTCCGTCTTCTGCTTGTAGCAGAAAAGTCTTTATGACAACAGACTCTTTCAAATAAAGACATGTACAGACAGAAACAATATGTCAGGAGTGACGTGCAGGGAGTAAAGACACCCACTAAGTGTAGGGTGGGAAAAGATGAATATTCAGGTGAAGAAAACATCAGTATTAGAAAATCAGCCAATGTTTAACGATGGAGTGAAGGATGCCTTCACGGGGCTGGCAGGAACCATGATGACAACAGACCGCACATTGTCATTTTGCCTCACTTTGGATCACAGCCCTGAAATCAAAGGAGAAAGAGAGAGACAGAGGTGCTGGCTTTTAAGCTAGTTAAAAATTTTAGATGACAAAGAGCTGCTGTTTTCAGATCACTCTTCTTATACAATCGAAGAGACAGCCCATGACACAGGCTGCCAGTCACCCCCTGAAATGAGGGATGATTTTCACCCATCCCGTGGGCCAGCCTGGGTTTCCAAGTGGTTGCTGCTTGGAGAGGTGTGAGGGACACTAGGAGGACTTGCCCCAAATAGTTCCATCTGAGATTCAGCCCAGGGTCCAAAGTTCCTCCATAGAGATGTCTTCTTTCATTTACTTACTCATACATTCACTCGTTCAACAATAATTATGGAACAGCTACTGTGTGTCAGGACCTGAGTCAAGTACCAACATGAGGAGATAAAAGCAATGCAGAAGATCTGTGCTCTTTCAGTGAGCTTCTATTCTTGCACAGTGGTTCTCAAACTTCAGTGGGCATCAGTATTTCCTGGAGACTTCCCAACACACAGATGGCAGGGCCCCATCCCCAGAGTTTCTGATTCAGTATTTCTGGAACTGGGCCTGAAATTTACATTTCTAATATGTCCCCAGGTGATGCTGATGCTGCTAGTCCTGCTGAGAACCAATGTCCTCGTGAAAATAACACCATGAGGAATAATAGCTTTGAAATTAGGAGGGTGGTGAGGCAGCAAAGGGTCTCCTTCCAGTTCTGCTAAGGGCTGCCCTGCCCCAATGCCTGCAGTGCACAGAACCCAGCCAGTGGCCATGTCTGCCAGATCTTCTTGCCCCTTGGTGGCTTGGAACTCGCTCCAAACATTATTGCCAAGTGATAAGTCAGTGGGCTTCCTGCTTGCCTGTCCTTTCATGGTCCTGGGAGATCTATTTCCCTTTGTTCTAGGTCATGTCAGGGTGTCAAAAGGCACAGCTTCAATCCTGAGTGTAATACAAGTTTGCCATAAAAATACAAGAGAGGATTCCCAAAGCCACAGAATGAAGGCTTTTACAATATCAATTCAACCCTTGTAAATTTAATCCTGGGTTATTTGTTGCACCAAAATCTCTTTACTGTGATGTATTACTTAGTTACTGGGGTTATCACAGCCGTATCCTAAAGTTGCATAGTACATAAAACATTTCAGTTAACAATGCGGGAAGGTTAACTCCCCCAGATAACCTGCAATCACAAGGGCTAGTCCAGATGACATCCCTCTGTCAGCTTCCACGAGCTATTGATGGTTCAATCAGTTTGTTTTGAAGGTAAAGTACAACAAAAGGGCACTAAACTTATTCAGACTGTCAACAGGGGCTATCGGGAATAGGGTTTGCAGGTAAGTAATTCTGGGTGTTTTAAGGCTATTATCAAACAGCAATGGTTGAAGGAAGAGACAGCTACTAATAACACAGAAGGCAGCCATCATAAACCACTTTATGGCAGAAACCCCCGTCTATAAATCCTGCGACACCCGGAGACAGCTTCAGATTTATAAAACTGCTTGTTAAGCCAGGGCACTGCTTAATGAAAAGAGATCGGTCTAAGTTCTAAGTCTCACGTCCCTAGCTCCAGAGGGCAACTCCAATTTTCCTGACCTTCTCAAGGTGGCTAGGGGAAAGCCCCCAAGGCTGGGGGTGGTGAGGGGTGGGGGTGAGAGTCAGAGGTGCTCTTGGCTGAGATACAGAAGGTGGGGTTATCAAGAGGAGAGCAGGGATCCTGGGAAGGTGCTTAAAGACCCATTTGTCTCTGTCTGGAAACAGATTTCCTAAATCTGAGAGACCAGCACATTGAGCTTTTCAGGTCCTCTTTCTTCTCACATAGAATGTTCCATTTGCTTAAAGGACTCCTCTAAGGAGAGAGCTAAAACCGCTAGGAGGAGAAAAGGAACAGGAGAAATACCTTTTTTTTCTTTCTTTCCAAAATCAATTTTCTCTGCTCTAGTCCCAACACTCAGGCATTTTTCATCCAGACCTGAGAGAGAGAGGAGGATGTTCTTTCCCCCTGCCTGTAACTGTTATCCCCAGGGCAATGGCTGCTCCCCCCAGGGCAATGGCTGCTCCCCAGGAACACCTTACAACCACAGAAAAGCTCAGATGGGCCTCCACGGTCTGCGAATGGGGTTGGCTGACATGTTTTTTTCTCTGACACTCTATTCAAGAAGTACCAAGTTTCCAATTCTTGAGGGAACTGGGCATGGGGTCATTAGAGTTTTGTTTCGTTTTTAAAATTTTCTTCCGTTTACGGCAGTCTATGCTTCTTTGCATTATTTCTTGCTGCCTTCTTGCTTCTATTCTTTGGAGGCAGTGAGACATGGTACAAGCTACTGATGCGCTACCTGAGACCCCTGAAGGCAGCAGTGGGTGATCTGTGAGCCATTCTCAATCTTTCACAAAGCTTGATGGGATAGATGAGTCCGTCAACAAAACATCATGCTTCCTCACTGTTGACTAGATTACATTAACTCCATTTAATAGCACTGGTTACCTCATGCTGAACAGAAGCCGTGATCAACTGCTGAACGTATATGTTTCATAATAATAATAAACTTAGCAATGGCTTCAGTGCAGCCTATTTGAGAGATCAAAGTTTTTAAAGTGTTGGGGAGAAAAATAAAAGGAGGGCAAGTTTTTGTAACAAAAAGCTTGGGGACTAATAGCATAGTGAAAGAGGCCAGACTCTTGAGTGTATCTTGCCCTGTGATCTTGGTTCAGTCTCTGCTGCCTTTCTGAGCCTCAGTTTTTCTATCTATGCTGTGAAGGGGATGGGCCAAATGATGTCTAAGCCTCTTTCAAATGTTACCTTGCTTGAACTCTACGTGGCTCAAAGTTGACTTACAATAAAAATGTCCATGTCGTCCTTTCTTGTTATTCCAATTTCCTTATATAACCACCCCCAACACCTCCAAGTAAATGACGACTGTGAGAAAGTCAATAAAGACCACAGAGTAATGAACAAACAGTGTGAGTGGAATAACTGCAGATGCTCAGAGAGATGACAACAATCTCACTCTAATGAGCCGAGGTGAGCTCACCTACAGCATTCATGAATGCCTGACAACTGGCAGAGGCCAGCTGATTTTCCTCACAGTTCACCGGCAGCATGTTTGAAGTCTCTGTGCAAACAATACACCCACAGGACAGACCAAGGCCCTCTACAGAGAGTAACCGGCAATTACTCTGTGGGCTTCTGTCACTTTGATCTCTGGGTCGTGACCTTTGCTTTCTTGTGATCTTCAAAGCCCAGATTGTAGATTAGCTGGAGAATGCTCACTGGGTTATGTAAGCCACAAGTTTTACAGCTCCTATTCGTCTGGGAAATGGTGGCAGCCCAGAGCGACCAGACGGCGGAGGGTCCCTCCCTCCTTCCCTTTGGCTGAGTGCTGCAGACACTGGGCAGGCCCCAGGGCTGCTCCATGCAGGGGAACAAAGAAAGGGTGTCACGTTTTAAATAATTGAAAGTTGTAAGGAATACAGAAGGCCCTACAGGGAGGAGGGAGTAAAGCAAGGCCAACCAGAGACTGGAGTGGCAGGAGGGGATGAACGACAGAGGGTTCAGTGACAGAGGAAGAGCTAAAAGACCATGAGACCAACTCCCTTATTTGAAAGGTGAAGTCCAGACTTGTCTACTGTTAACCTTCAAGTCCATTGTTCTTTCTGTAGCAAAAACAAAAAAAGCAATGGCAAGGGAAGACAAGAAATAGACCATTCTGGGCACCCAACTTTCCCATATTGATTTGTTATTTTGGCTAGCGTTGAAATCCACAAGGGGCACTAAAGTGGTTTCTCAGTAGCATGGTGGTCTCTCCGGCCAAGTCTTGCACTGCTGTTCTCTTCCTGCCCAAATCCTGGAGGCTGCTGATTATCACATTCACCTCCATTCCACATTCATCCCAAAATAGCAGCATGGTGTGTACACACTGAAAATCACAGACAGGTTTAAGCTCCTATAATAACAGGGCCATGGACATTTCTCAGCCATGAACTATGATGAATGGCAAAGAGAAACCCCAGGCACAGTTCTGCTCCTGCCCCAGTGGGGCCAGGGTGCTACTCAACAACTTGGTTGTATGTTCATGCTCACATATAAATTTAATGAGCCTGTTTTATGGTGGGGATGTGTGCCAAGAAAATCCAACTGGGTGCACAGGGGGTAAGTGAGGAAGTGAAAAGGGTGAATTTGGGAGGAGGGGAGGAAAGACTCCACAGAAACTCAAGCTCTGTGATGCCATTTCCAATAACTACATAAATCGAGTCACTTCCCATTTCTGGTCCAGTGGTTGGCCACAATGTGACCTAAAAACTGGGCTGACCTCTTTGAAATCAACATCTCCCATGGAAATGAAACAACAGACACACTTGTTTTGATGTATGCCTGGGTGACATATTATAAATATTACATCACATAACCACAGAGGATGCCAATCAATAAGAATTTTTTTCAGACAGCACTAAATGAACCATGGGTTCTTGCTTCTGAATACACTCCTTTAAGGCTCCTAGTATTGCTTAAATGATTAATAGAAGACATATTGTCAGAAAATGTACTTAAAGTGAAAAACAGTAAACTCTAGAAATAGCATTCATTTTTAAGCAATTTTCTAGTGAAAACGTCACATAAATTTACATAGAGGCTCTACTATTAGGCTCTGGGAAACAGCTAGAAGGAAGGCAAACCTCGTGTTTTGTGGATGAAGGGCCAGGAAAATGTTTTACCAAAAGAAAAAAAAGGCAGCTGCATTGTTTTGTATAAACACAAATGCCACAGGAACTCCAGAATCAAAAGTCATATTGCAAAACCCTAAAATTTCTCAGTGGCAAATGGAGCACAAACTCGAGGAAGGACAAAGCGGATCTGCTTACAGACCATAGAATGGAACTATATCAAGCACATATCTATCTTTTCCATATACAAGTGTGAGCACTCATCAAACCAACAGTAAAAAATAAAGAGATTAAATGAATAAAAAATTTAAATGTGCTAGAGAATCAGCCTACCATTCCACTCTTCAACCAGTTGCTGTGCAGTGAATGTGTAACTACATGGGAACATATTTACTGTTCCTTGTGCTGTTCCTAGTCCCTGATTCTCTCAGAGTGCAAGCATCTTGCCATCATTGTGGATGATGTAAATTTTCTAAGTTAATTTTGACTAGTTATGATTTTGGTTTTGTATGACCTCTAGAATCTAGCCTCTCATGGCAACTTTGTCATATGTGTACTCACAAACCACCTCCCTAGCCCCACCCCTCAACTCCTTCCAAGGGAACAGAACTGGAGTGGGGAGGATGGGCTTGGAGGGTGCCCAGGCTAGCCCATGAGATAGACCACACTTGTAGAATCCAGCCCTCCCTAAAGATTCATGACCCACAACCAGCACTTGGATTGAGTCTGAATCATAGTCCTTTGCTTATTAGCTGCATTTGTTGACATCCAAATGGATCTGATTCCAAATGGGCAGTGGGCATCTGAGATGGCCAAAGATCCCTGCATCTCCCTATAAGTTCCTAGTTCCTGAGAAGGAAAGGTGGTTTCAAGCCACCTCCAGAAAAAAAAAGGTGCCAAGCCCTTTTTTCATATCCAGCACTACTTTAGGCATTGATGAGGCTTCAAGAGTCAAGACAACTCAGCTCCTACCCACTGGAAGCCATTCTCTAGATGTGGAAATACATGAAGAAGTGAGAAAAAATACACAAGATAGGATCTATAAAATGGTGTGAGACAGTAAAGGAAGAAATTGAACTTGTTGGGAGCTGAGTGTCTCCGAATTCTAAAGCCAACTGGACATCAGAAACACCTATGGACTGTTGTGTTGTAATTGCCACCAACTGCATCAGAATACCTTGGATGACTCAGAGGTAGATCCTTGATTATGGAATACTGATATAGACTGTCCTCCTATTTTAAAAGCCCCACTGGGAAAGCCGGACTCCACATCAGATCTTCTGATCTGACCCCACATACCTTGGTCTTAGTACTTTTGCTAATGCGACCAGTTACAATAGAAAAAACAAATAGTAATTATTTGAGAGCTGATGATACACCAAAAAAAGAATAGAAAAAAATTTTTCTTAGCTCTTCTTTTCCTTTTGCAACCTCATAAGCCCTGTACTTGAGACCAATCCCTCCCTACCTCTCTCATTCTAGAAAAAAATTACAAAAACTTGCCTACATGGTTGGCTTCACACATAGCTTCTTGGCCCCATGAATGAATGAATAAATGAACAAGTGCATGAATGTGTGTGTACACATACATATACATATAGACACAGACATATATGTATATATGCATATATACATATACAAAATTTATTAAGTTATTTTTAAGAGTGATTCAGGTGGGGTGTTTAATGAGAGCTTATGTCATAATGGAGAGAGAGGTCCATGAAAAGGTCATTAAAGCATTTACAAAACAACAATCAACAATGAGAACACAGACAATTTTAAATGAAGAAGGAAAATTAGGTGACTTTGGTAAAATGGGTAAGACCAAAAAGACTCTCTAAATGACTTTGGATCAGGGCTTTTAAAGCACATGGTTGAGAAGTAGAGAGAAGAACGAAAAGCATTTCTACTTGGAGCCCATCAAAGCGCATGGCTGGTGGGCGCCACGGCATAGCTCTATGGTGGAGAGGTATGGGCCTGTGGGACTTCCTCTTGAGATTGTCTATGAGCTCCCTAAATTTTGGTGGGAAGTCATCTCTCTCTTCAAGATGACTCTGAGACAGACCACAGAAAGATCTTACAACACAGAGCAGGGGTCAGCAAGTTACAGCCCATGGGTGAAATCTGGCCTGCCATCTGTTTTGTAAATAAAGCTTTACTGGAACAAAGCCATGCCCATTTGTTCACAAATTATGTATGACTACTTCTGCATTATGAAAGCAGGGCTGAGTAGTTGTGACAAGTCCATGTAACTTGGAAAACCTAAAATACTTAATATCTGGCACTTCACAAAAAAAGTAGAAAAGGCAATAACTTTTCATCTTTCTTAGCTTTTGTGACCTCAACCAAGAGAGACAATGGCTATAGGTTACCAAAAGGTAAAAGTTTAACATTGTCATGGGAAACCCACTGATATGTACCAAACATCTACTATGCACCCCAGAGTATAATATCATCCCCTAAAGTTTCTCTTTTTCCCTTTTCCCACCATGGTCCAACCCCTGGACACTCACCTGTATCTCTTGTAGTCTTCCTCATCCTTTTCCAAGCTGACCAGCTCGTTGGGACAGGCCACGTTGCCCAGCAGACTGAGGTACTCCAGAGCTGGTGTCACTTCTGCCAAGTGATCCAGCAGGTTCTCCAAATCAGTGATGTGACAAAGGTTAAGAATCTTGGTCCAGTAAGACAAAAGGCTTAGCAATGAGCATAGGCCATGACTGACAGGCGCTGATGAGTCCAGTCTGCTCCTGTGAGACCTCAGGGTGGGGGCTGAAATCAATTCAGCTGTGGGTATACGGTATTGCTACTTTTTCACTCCCACTGTTGGGAACACAGCCCAACTTTCGCTAGGCAGGTAAGACTAAGTCCAGATCATCTGAGGAAGAATGAATAAACTTGATTGTCCCATCATATTTTTCTTTCCTCTATAGTTCTGTTTCTAAAACACACCAAAAGGGAAGATTCCATAGAGTAAAATATTTTTACAATATGCAAAACCATAAAACTTAATTCGTTTCTAGTAATGAAAACAAGGGCTGGGCATGGTGGCCCACACCTGTAATTCCAGTACGTTGGGAGGCCCTGGTAGGCAGATCATTTGAGGTCAGGAGTTTGAGACCAGCCTGGCCAACATGGTGAAACCCGTCTCTACTAAAAATACAAAAATTAGCTGGGCATGATGGCAGGAGCCTGTAATCCCAGCTACTTGGGAAGCTGAGGCAGGAGAATCGCTTGAACCTGGGAGGTGGAGGTTGCAGTGAGTAGAGATCATGCCCCCAGGTGACAGAGCGAGACTCTGTCTCAAAAGAAAAAAACAAAACAAAAAAACCAGAAAAAGAAAACCAGAAATTATTTCAGAAGGCCTCATTAAAATATATTCTTTCTCTGTTAGTGAGGGAATTAGAGAATGAAAGAGAAAAGTCAGAGGGGGGCATGATGGGGGAGATTATTCCAGGAGCCATCTTCCAGTGGGACCCACTGTCCAATCATGGCCAAACCAAATAAAGCAAGAGCCATAGATTCACAGAATCACAGGTACTGGAAAGGGTTTAATGACAACTTAGTCCCCATACTAACTCCTGGCTTAAGCCACATACAGACAAGCTGAGCCTAGGTAAGGTGATGGTTAGATAGGCATGCCTGGTTAGGCCGTGACTTCGAGAGACATATGAGAGAGGGTTAACCAAGTTGGCAGATAAAAGGGGGTCCCAGCCAGGGAATGGCAGCAGAGCTACAGGAACAAAACATACAAGGGTAGAAGAAATGCCATATGCAAGCGTGAAAGACTCAGATTACAGTTCCCAGAAGTGGGGTCCACTTGAACCTAGGAGAAGGTAAAATCAAAGAAAAGGGATGTTCTTGCTCTGTGAGGATGTTATCTAACCTTGGGCTGTTACACAGATTTCCTCATACTTCATTTCAACTTGTCACAAAAGAATGAATTCAAAATCCAACCAATGTCGGAATTGGGTCCCTAAAATATTTGCCAAGCAATCACCACGACATAGCACATTCCATTTCTGACAACCATAACAGTTTTCCTTTCCCCTGGAATTGAATCTTTCTCTAACCTCTACTCAGTGACCCAATTTAACTGCTTGGGGTCACAAAGAATAAGGCTTCTTCTCTTCCACATGATGAAGCTTCAGATATTTGAAGCTCACATGTCTTCCTTAAATCTTTTATTCTCCAAACTAAGTTCCTTCAAGCATTCTTTGTACACATGCTCTGCCACCATCATATGCAAGGCCAAATGCTATACCCTAGGTGAGAGCAGCCAGAGACAATGAGAAGCAGAGTACAAGCAGAAGAGGTGAAACTAGCAAGAGAGGGAAACTAGCAAAAGAGGGGGAAACTAGCAAGAGGAGGAAACTAACCAGAGGGGGAAACTACCAAGAGAGGGGAAACTAACAAGAGAGGGGGAAACTAGCAAGAGAAGGAAACTAACCAGAGGGAGAAACTAGCAAGAGGAGGAAACTAACAAGAGGGGGAAACTAGCAAGAGAGGGGGAAACTGGCAAGAGAGGGAAACTAACCAGAGAGGGGGAAACTAGCAAGAGAGGGAAACTAACCAGAGGGGGAAACTAGCAAGAGAGGGAAACTAACCAGAGGGCGAAACTAGCAAGAGAGGGAAACTAACCAGAGGGCGAAACTAGCAAGACAGGGTAAAGTAGCAAGAGAGGGGGAAACTAGCAAGGGAGGGGAAAAACTAGCAAGAATAGGTAAACTAGCAAGAGAGGGGGAAACTAACAAAGGAGGGGAAAAACTAGCAAGAGAAGGTAAACTAGCAAGAGAGGGGGAAACTAGCAAGAGAGGGGAAAAACTAGCAAGGGAGGGGAAAGTAGCAAGAGAAGGGGAAACAAGCAAGAGGGGGAAACTAACAAGAGAGGGGAAACTAGCAAGAGAGGGAAACTAGCAAGAGGGGAAACTAGCAAAAGAAAGTTGTGAGCACACTCATTTGCTGTTGGCTTCAATTCACCAACATCCTCCCTGCTTCCCAAACAAAGACAGAGAAATAGACATGGAAGTTTGTTTTCAATCTCTCAAATCTTTCACAAATAACATCCAGAGATGGCCATACAGGAACACTAGAATGAGGAGGTGAGAATGGGAGTTCATATAGAGACTGGAGAGAAGGTCCCACACCAGGGGGATGAGGTTGGGAGTACAGAGGGGTGGGTGGCCAGGAATCAAAATCCCTGGAGACAAAATACACTTACTAAAGTTCAATCATCATACTCTTCAGGAAAATTATTTAAATAGAGCCAATTAAAATGACAGTGAACAATTCCAGGGTAAGTTCAGCTTTTCTAGCAGTTTCTATCTTTAAATACTTCACAGTCATTACTACAACAACAAAAGAAAAAAAAAAAAAAAAACAAAGAAAAAAGTCTCATTGCTAGTATTGCCCTTAGATATGGGCACAGACACCTCAGGTGCCCTGTGCTTTCAAGTACCTTCCTCAGAATGTCCTAAGTCCCCTTCCAATACCCAGGACTGGATGGTGTCATTCAGGTAGAGTACCCCAGGCCTGGACCTAGACCCGGACCTGCACGGGCCTCAGTCCCAGGCTTGGTTTCTCCCCTTCATGGTTTGCTCCAACTTTCTAGCCCACCCATGCGACCCATCAGATGCTCCAAGGAGCACTAGAACTCATGTCTGGATCAGGCTGTCTTAAAACCTCAAGGCCAGGCCCTTGTTCCAGGAAGGACAGCCAGACAAGCTGACTACTGCTTCTGGCCAGCACAGTATTTCTTTTGTGGGACTGCAAGAAAGTGGGCTACCAGAATGGTGCTGACATACTGACTTGGAGTGATTCTAATTATTTACGTAGACAAGGGCCCTACACGACTGAGGGAAGCCCTCTCTACTGCAGATGGAAAGCCCGGACCAAAACCTACTTTCCTCTTAGGAAACATTCCTCAAAGCTTGGCTCTTTTTTCTGTCTGCTGTATGAAGGTGGGGATATGCAGGAATGGAACCCCAAACTGGCAAGGCTTTTAAGTTGAGGAAATATTGGGAAACTGAGTTGGATTGAAATGCCAGTCATTTCTCAACATTTAATGACGAGTGAAGGAAGCCTAGCTGGCCACCATGTTCGGGGAAGTAGGCCTAGATTAAGTTGAGTGAACCTTCACTTGTAGATCTACCATGGAGCTAATAAAGCTCATGCGTCAAGGGTTTCTTGTTTGCATAGGCCCCTTCCAAGGCCCTGGGAAAGACCCTGGTAATAGAGTCACATGATCATGTGATTTTTTTTTTTTTTAATTTGAAAAAGTAGGTAATTTACACTATAATCTGTGGAGATCACTGTCTCGCTCCACTAGGACTTCTACCACATTTTCCCTTCAGCTGAGTAACAATGGGAATGTCTATGGGAATCCCCACCTAAGGGTACATTGTGTAGGAGTAACATTTAATTATGATTCAGTGGGGGAATATTTGTATAATTTGCAGTCACTTCTGTGTCTAGTTAAATTCTTCCAACAGTATCAGTAGGAATGGCTTCCAGTAATACTCTTACTATCCACCATATTAACACAAATATGCAGGGACCAACATAAAACTGATGGCAAAATGATTAACAAACTCATTCATCAATTCAAAGAACATTTAAGATTCAGTTGTTAAGTGTATGTATACATGCCTACACATCAACACACACACAACTTAAAATGTCCTGAAATCTTTTTTTTTGAGACAGAGTCTCACTCTGTCGCCCAGGCTGGAGTGCAATGGCGTGATCTCGGCTCACTGCAACCTCTGCCTCCTGGGTTCGTCTCGAACTCCTAATCTCAGGAGATCCACCTGCCTCGGCCTCCCAAAGTTCTGGGATTACAGGTGTGAGCCACTGTGCCCGGCCAAAATGTCCTGAAATCTTATACAGCTCCTATCATATATGAAAGAAATGTGTAAGAGTTTCTCCAAAATGTAATAATCCTAAAAGTTTTACCAATAATTTAGTGGTGAAACTACCAATAACAAATGGTGAAACTGAAAGAAACATTTCTAAACTATTTTAAAAAATCAATTTTCGATCAACCATGCTAAAAGAGGGAATTATCTATTCTCTCTAGAAAAAAATTACAAAATTTCACCAAATAATGAAACTATGAGAAATTTGCAGGAAAAAAGTTTCTCTAGAGGCATATCTTCAATAAAGATTGATACTTTTCTAGGTATTTTGACATTTGTGAAATTTATCAACTTAAAATTTTAAAATTTCCTTTGATACAGTTCTATTCCAAATAAACATTCATTTCATACCTAATTTTGCATTCCTGATTATATAGTATTTAAGAGGGCTCCCTCAAATTACAGAGGTTTCACACTCCCCAAACCTGGATCTGTCCCTGGCCACAAAGAAGTGGATCATTTGAATGCTCTGATCATGGGACTTTCCTGGGCAAGGGGTCTGCAGGTTCCAAGAAGCTTCAGCCATCCTTTGCCAATGAATCAAAGAGATTTCTAAGAGCCTGCCTGCTTTTGGGTATTTTGTATGGCAGAAGCTCCATCTTCCTAAGCCTTTCAACTACCTACTATAAATGATACTTTTGGCTGAGTCAGGTGGTCTCCCCCAAATCCACACCAGGCAGGAAGCACTAGCACCTCCTCCCTGCATGCATGCTCTAGACCAGTCCTTCGCCTTTATGCTGATAGCACCACCAGAGGATAAAACATGAGAAGTTTTAATTGGTTTCTTTGTCTCCTGGGTCAGCAAGGACAAACACAGCCTTATGTTGGCTGGTTTTGAGATCCAACATAGAACTTCTCACATTTCTTTTTTGTCAAGATGCATAGAAAATTGACCACAGGCAATCTGTGGAAGAAACCTGGTGTCCCTGGCTAATCAAGACCACTGCAGTGGGGATCATTTCAGGGATTCTCCTAAGGGTACCTTTTTTAAAAATGTGTAGCTACCTGGCACAGTTTCAACTCTCTCCAGCTGGGTTCCCGGCACACACCTGGTTTCCCTTATCAAGTCTTCTCCGGGGTACTTAGCGTTGAGATTTTTTTTCAGTGTTGTCTGCAGAAAGTTGCCATTGCAGAGCCCAGCTGTCATGGGGAGGCTTGCCAAAGGAGATTTTCTGCAGAGGGCCCAAGATCAAAGCAGCATCTTGCCTTGAAAGTTTGGAGCATGAGGGAGGAGGGAAGCCTCCTAGCCTGTGTCCAGTTGTGCGGGTCCAAAGCTGTCCCAGGTGAGAATGGACACATCCCTCCCTCTGGGCTCAGCTGCGGGTTAAAGGGCAACCTCCATAACCACTGGGATGATTTTAACCACAGCTAATCCTAATACTGGGTTTTTGAATACTAAATATACAGCATAATGACATACCTCATTTTTATTCACATATGTCAGAAATTTATCATGCTGAAATAACAATTAAGGAAACGGGTTAACGGTCACACAGCTAGTACATGATAGAGTCTGGATTTAAACCCAGATCTTAAAGAAACTGCATTTCTAGAGGAAAAAGTGACTTATAATTTCCTAACACAAAAGCAAAATTTAAAACACTGGAACATGAGGGTTCTTACATGTTTCTGTGTGACAGCACAGGTGCCATCACCGGGCTATGTGCTGTACCTCAGATCCTTCCTTCCAATTTGGGCTACTTCTTTTGACGCATCGAGGCATTGGCTAACAGTAAAATATGCCAAGAAATTGTAAAGTCTTTAACAAAGTGATTTCCTACATATTATACCATTTAAACCTCTCAACAATATGCTGAAGTTTGTGTTAACCATTTTATAAAGAAACTGAGGCCCCTGACAAGGTACAGAGACTTTCCTAAGATGACACAGCAAATCGTTCCTAAGATGACACAGCAAATGGCTATGGGAACTCCAGTCCCACCTCTGACTCGCTGGAGTGGTCTCCGTGCCACAGCCCAGCTGTGTAACATGTAGCACCATTCTTTCTTCGTGCTGGCACTATAATCCAAACTCATTGGCTATTCAGTACATGTGCTGAAGCAAATAGGGAGACAGAAGATGAAGTGTGATTCCAAATAAAATCTGCTTATGTGCCCCCCACACACCCCAAAAGGAAAGTGGGGGAGAATCATTTGATTGCGCAAAGGTTATCTACACTTTCCTGAATTTTCAGGTGGTCAACCTTACTTGGGGTTGATTATTCAGACATGATATGGCTGAGACCATTACCAAATATCCCACCCCTCCTGGTGGAAGAGTTGGGGATGGCGTGTGCATGCTCGTGGTTGGGTGTGAGAGAGAGAGAGAGAGAAAGAGTGTGAGCAGTGGGGAAGGGGTTCAAGTCCATAGCCAGTGACTACCTGGCCAGTCTCAATGAAACAAAGAAAGAAAATGAGATCCCTACGAACCAAGAGATGAGGTAATCTCAGACAACCAGGCTTTCAGATATACCAGAGCAGGATATCAACACGAGGGCTGAACACAATGAGAAAAAGGGCTGGTGGAAAAAGATGGGAGGTCCAGCAGGAGGTATGCAGATGGCAGGGAGGCATTGACTGATGAACACAGAAGAAATTTTCCAGATGCTGGTTCTGGGCTCTGGAATCCCTTTTAAGAGCAGACTCCCAGCAGCCCCAGCTGGGAGCAGGACCTTGCAGAGGCAGGCTCAGGATGCTGACTCCTCCTGTATCTTGGCTCCTCTCCTTGTACAATGATTGCCGCTCCTTTGGGTTTCAGAGTCTGGAGCTGGGAATCAGCATACCTGGGTTCTAGACTAAGCCCCACTACTGACAATCTATGTGACTTCAGAGAGCTCATCCACTCCTAGTTTTTCCATAAAAATGAGAGTAATTATTCACCAACAGTACCCAACTCACGGAATGCCATTAGGGCAATATTAAATTATGCAAGTCAAAGAACCATTCTAAACTCAGAAGTATATCTGTACTCTGGCCTTGGTTACAATGTGGCCCAAGTCAAACCAGATGAGTTTACACAATTCTCTAGGATAATAACAACAACAATAATAGTAACCCTTACATAGCACTTACTATGTTACTAGAATCTAATATGTCTGAGATACTTAGAATAATCTTCAAAACAACCTATGGGATGGGTACTAGCATTGTCTGCATTTTCAAAGGAAACCAAAACATAGAGATGTTAAATCACTTGCCCAAGGTCATGCAGAAAAGTGGCAGGTTTAGGGTAGAAGCTCAGGAAGTCTGCCTTCAGAGCCTGTTGTTCTTAACCACTATGTGATAATCCCTCTTGCTAAAGGATTAAAGAAGCCAATGACCCAAGTGTCCAGGGTCTAGGAACCTACAGCATTATTATAGACACATTTAACTTTGAGTCAAACCAAAGTGGAAAAATCTAGATTTTACATGGTAGGTGGGGTGAATAACCATTTTACATATGCCAAAATACAAACCAAAAAAATTTAAAATAAAGCTAACTTCACAAAAGGATTCAAGATAAAACCTCATTTGGCAGCAAGCTTCCTAACTTGTTTAAAGATTCAATTTACACAAAAGAGCTAATACTTTTTTAGGAGGCCAATAGTTACTTGTTTCTAGGGCTCCCTTTATCACAAATATAAAGTAAAATCTGAAGGAGACAAGATGCCAATGCCAAGGTCTCCTGGGTAGATTGTTACAGAAATGAATTATGCTTCTTTATACATACACCCTGTGCAGTCCCTTCCCATATTTGTTCTACAGTTGGTATGTGACTTGCTTTGGTCATGGGACATTAACACATGATATAAGTTGAACTTGAAGACTACTTGTACTATGGGGCTTGTGCTGTTAGAATACTCCTCCCATGTGAAGTGTCTTATGCTAGCCTGTTAAGAGACAGGTAGTTTAGCCAACACCCAGTACCAACCTCCAGACATATGAGTGAGGTCATCTTAGACCATCCAGCCCCAGTTGAGCCTCCAGGTAGATGTGGCTGCATGACTGACCCAGAATAAGACTAGCAGAAGAACCATCCTGCTGAGCCCTGGCCAAACATCTGATCTATAGAATTGTAAATATTTGTTGTTTTAAGCCACTAAATGTTGGGGTGGATTATTATGCAGCAAAAGCTAATGTATAGAGGCCATATCTAAAGCATTTCATGGGGTGGCAATAACAATATGGAACCTAGAAATTGTTGGAAAGCCTGCAACATTCTCACAGTTAGGTAGGAGAGTCATTTAGCTGAAAAAGTGGCATCAGAAGTGCTGGGTTGAGAAGATAGCATGTGCTGTTATTGCCTGATTTTACCTACCTTTCTCTGTGACTTCTGAGTCAAGTAGATGGGGAAGATGATCTTCACAATCACATTAGTAGAGCAGAGGAGAAAAAAGGAAAGAAGTCTATTCAGAATATTCACTGATAAGAAAATGTGCTACAACAGCACCAGTGATATCACTGGTCAGGTTTACAGCCACACAGTGTCTTCTGCTTCGGTCCCTCCTAGGCCATTACCATTACTCCCTTAGCATTACTGCTACAGATTGGAAAAGTGGAGGCACAGAATAGGGAAAGGACTCAACCAAAGACAAAGAAAACCTCTCAGCACTCTGAAGCCAAGAGGCCTGCTTATCTCTGGTGACAGCAATACTGTGAATAAAACCATCGACCAGTCCAACATATTTCTTTAAAAATGAGAAAAAGAAGCTCACAGAAGATAACTTGTCCAAGGTCACACCGCTAAATATGATTAAGCTGAGACATGAACCAAAGTCCATGGACCCTAATATTCTACGGAGACCTGGGACACAGGACATGTCTAAAAATCCTTCTGTCCTTGATTTATTTGAGAATATTGGCCAACTGATCATCTAAGACAGCCTAGAAAGCCATAAGACTACAAAGTTTTTCAAAGAGTGATTGGGAAACTTGGTTGACTAACAGACATAAGAAGGGAAAATTCCACCAAAATTTCATTATGACAAAGACTGTGAATTTACATGTAGGCCCTCCCCTTCTACTTCTATCAAAGTGACAATAATGACCACAAGGAGCATATTTATAATACTATGGTCTGAATGTTTGTTCTTCCCTCAAATTCATATGTTGAAATTCTAATCCCCAAAATGATGGTATGTGGAGATGAGGCCTTTGGGAGGTGATTAGGTCATAAGGGTAGATCTCTCTGATGGGATCAGTGCCCCTATAAGGAGAGACTTGAAAAAGCTTGCTTCCTCTCTCTCTGCTATGTGATGATACAGTGAGAAAGTATCTTCACCAAGAAACCAACCCTGCTGGCATCCTGATCTCAAACCTCCAGCCTCCAGACTGTGAGAAATAAATGTTTGTTGTTTAAGCCACCTCATGTACGGTACTGTGCTGTAGCAGCAAGAGCTGACTGAGACAATATCTGAGAGAATAAAGAAAACATTAACTTATGGCTTGAAGTATAAACAGTAGCTAACAAATACTTCTGCAAATCATTCTTAAATGCTGGCATATGCATATGTGCCAAGCCTTACATGTATATCTGATTTTATTTTATACTCTAGAGGAAAATGCCTTGTCTCCTTTTCTATTTCTAACTTATTGTATGAATGTGAACAAGTGGTTTAACTACTCCAGGTCTCAAATGTTCCATCCAATAAAACAAAGCCATTGGACCACTGAGTCTGAAGCAACACAGTAGAATGCAGACATTGGACTTTGGACACAACACAGTTGACACTGAATCATCCAGGACCTAGCATCTTGCTAGTGTCTGGCTGTGTGCCTACACCTCACCTCTTTCTATGTCTAGGTAAATGGAAAAGACACACCCTTCTCACAGGGCTTGGTAAGGATGAATAACAACACACATAAAGAACCCAGCACCATGCCTCATTCCTAGGAGTGCTCAATAAGGAATAGCTAATGATAATGATGCATTCATCCCTCAAATATTTATTGAGCTTGTACTTGGTGCCAGGCACTATTCTTAGTGTGAAGAACAGAGGAGTTAACAAAACCAAGGAAACTCCCTGTCCCATCGAGCTGGCATTCTAGTGCCGGGTAATCCACTACACTAACAATGCAGGAGCTACGGGCCTTAGGTTGCAGCAAGGGTTCCCTGTTTCCATCCCCACTACAGAATCCAGAGCAGTTAGTGCCCGTAAGTCTCACCCTAGGCTGACTAGGTCCTTGCCTCCATAGAGGAGGCCATACACTGTCGTGGGTCCCCTAGGCCTCTCATCACCAGAGCATGGTATCCCCCAGTGAGGGCATAGCCAGGCCTGGGCTTCACATGTCTCTGCCACCTTAGCTCCTTTCCCTCACCAAAACGGTTCCCCAAGCCTGCCCCAGAGCCTTCCAGAAACCTCCCAGGAGAGGAAGTTTGCTTGGCGGCATTACCCGGGACTTCCCACCAGAGGTCGCCCTCCCACACAAGCCCAAGCAAACAGACTGGGCTTCGCTGCCTCTGCAGCGGTGACATTATTTTCTTTCTCTATTTTTATCTATTAAAAAGATTTCTTCACAGCCATAACTTAGATCTCTACACTAAAATGGAGCAACAGGAAGATATAATGGTGCGTTTCATTTATGAATGACCTATAATAAATTACTCTGAAGTGTCCCGAGTGCCAGAAGACAGAATGCTTTGTCTGCCCACGAACTGTATTTCACATACTTTAATTTAGCTGACACGTAAAACTCATTTGACATTTTGCAGGTATTTGTGCAGGGTGGGGTTGGGGGACGACTGTGGGGCTGGGTGGGGAGTGGGGGCAGCGGGCAGAGGAAAGGATATTCGGTTCTTGTTGAGGGTTAAGGTATGCAGTCTGGGTAACCCTGGCAACACAAGGTCGTCCCCCAGCTGATTGTTGTCCAAGATGAGTTCCTCCAGGCTCCTGAATGCGCTCAGTCCTTCCAGTGACCTGCAATGACAAAGGCAACAGGAAAAATGATCCTGCACTAAATCAGGGAGGCCATTATGAGCCGAAATAAATATTTTAACCTTCCCTTTCAGGACTGGGAATAGTTTGGGCTTGGTGCCTGTCAGCAAAGTGAATGACAAGAATTAGTAGCAGGAGTCGGGGCGGGGGCGGCGGGGGAGAAGGGGCCGCTGGCACCCACCGCATCCTTCACGCATTGCCAACATGAAGGATGAGGGTCACTTAGTGAGTAGCCAGGATCCAAAACAAAGGGCTTCAGATACGGCCTGCAGGATAAATTTGTCAATGTCTTGTGCCTTCAGGCACCCAGCCTCGGCTGACCCTAACCTCCATTCCCAAGATAAATAACTCTGTCACAGTTCACCTTCATTCCCTGGACACAAATTCAAGTTGTCATCCATCATTCCTGCCCAGAAATATCATACCCTCTTACAATAATAAATATAACTTCAAGTATCATTTCTTAGCAGTTCTCTGTACAGTCGCGGGGGAAACGACAGGGAAGGCTTCCTTTCTCTCCGTTCACATCCTTTGACTTTTTTTTTTCCTCTGCCTTTTTTCTTTACTAATCACTTAATTTGCTTCTGCCCAGCGTCCCAGTGGCTGCCCCAAAGGCAAGGCATCTGCAGAATTACATAATCACTCCGATCTGAGAGGGCTTTTTCTTTTATTATTTCTTTTTATTTGTTTTTGCTGCGGGTGGGGAGACGGGGGTTGGGAGAATTGCTGCTTCAAAGCTCCTGGCCTGAAGTTACTGTTTTAATTTATGGAAAGTGGATTTCTCACTTAATTTTTGAAAGAAGTGTAGAGTGCAACCCTGTAGATGTTGAGGCAGTAAATAAAAAGGCAACAGAAAGAATTAAGTACCCGGCTCCAGGAAAAAAAAAAAAAAACAGCAGAAAGGGAAAAATAGCCTTGCTTATACACATCGCTGAAAGTTAACTCTTAATTTTATGGGCTCTCATGAGTGTTGGGGGTGGAGGTGACACGAGGTAGTTGTGCACAAGTGCTTGCCTGGGCGCACACAGACATTAATTAAAGCAAGCCGGCCGGCAGAGGGGCTTACACAGAGACACAGACTCCCAGCTCGTTCACCTGCCAGACCCAGGAGATGTGCTGAGCCTGCACCGGCTGACAGCTGAGCTACGATGTGGACGGGAGGGAGACACGTAGGGGATGCCGGGCTATTCTATAAAATGTGACAAATCAGGGAGATGTCGTCCACACTATTTATTCATTTACTGATAGTGCTTCCATTACAGCCCCGTGTGCTTGCGTGTGCAATGTCTGCACATCTGCTGTGAGTGTGAACTTCAGCACCAGATCTTTCCCAAGGCATCCATAGCTCCCTTGTGGGATCGCTGCCAAGAGGACTCCAAAATAGGGAGTCAATACTTACGAGGTATAAAAATGTGTTGTAAGTAATTAAATCTGTAGATACCACTGGGCCCAGAGCTCTGCCGGCATGTTCCATTCCTGCCAGACCTCGGGGTGGTCCCACTCAGGACTCGACTCCCAGAGCACGCCTGCTCCTCCAACCAACACTGCCAGCCCCACCGAGGGGGGACACATTTTGGAGTAGGGGTCCAGAGGTCATCGTGTTTCATTTCCTCCTCCTTTCTCTTTTTCCTCTTGGTTCCGAGAGGCAAAACACAACTTGTGAGGATAAATGCTTGAAGGGCTGGATATCCCATTTATCCTGATGTGATGATTACACATTGCCTGCCTGTATCAAAATATGTCATGTGACCCATAAATATCTACACCTCTTATGTACCCACAAAAAATACAAACAAAAAAAAAATTTAAAAACCCACAATGTACGCACATCTAGGCAGGAAGGTTTGGGACTTTGCCTCCGCTCCTCTATTTCCTGTTGTGTGAATTTGGGCCTGTCAATAGCCCATCTGAACTCTCCTGTTCTGTGTTCCTTCCAGCTCATAGGATCTTGTCGAGAATAAGTGAAGGACGGCTAACTGGTTACTAGCATACGCTGTTTTTTTTTTCTTTTCCTTCCTCCTTTTATTCACTGTTTTGTTTCCAGACGCCCTGACCCTGGGGGTGTGTTTGGAATGCAGGGGACGGGCCCATGAACAAACCCACAGAGGAGGCGTGCAGCAAGTCAGGCTTGTGCAGGGGACTTTCGGGCTCTTCTGAAGTCCCTTCCTCCACTAGGGGTTAGGGAGTGATGTGCCAAAAGGCTTCTCAGGACTGGGCCCGTTTACCACTAGGGGAGGTGAGGCCACTTCCCCTTAGGGAGCCTTACGGGTGGTTAATAATTCCTTTGTGCACAAACATCAGTTGGACTCCGCTCAAAGGCAGCATCCAAATACACATTGTTCCTGAGTTACGTTATGCAAATATTAGATTCTTCTGATGAGAATCAGCAAATGGTTGGCAACTGGCAAGCAGAAGAAAGCTCCTTTCCAAGAGTGCTCCAGGGAGGCATAAAGCAAAACGACACAGCATGAAGATGGGGAGAGCCCAGGAGCACCAAGGAAGCGCCCACCTCCATCCAGCCAGCCTTTCTTCCCCTCAGGGTGGGCTATGGGGCAGAAATCCACGCCAGAGTGAGACTTCCCAGAAGAGCTGGTAAGATCAGTCTCAAATCCCCTGTCACCTGTCTGGTTTTGAGACTCTTTTTGCTATGTGACGTTATTAGCTGCTCAGTAAAAAGAGAACCATATTACATGGGTGATTGCTAATGAATAAATCCTTGTTTTCATGTTATCAGTGTGGTGTGCTCCTGGGGATTTAATCATCTAGATCCAGAGCTGAGGGCTGGGGCACAGAAGTCAGGGGGCAGAGAGCATAGTAAATGGGAGTACTGGGGAAGATAGGTTTTGGGGGTCCCAGCTGACACGTGGACGACAATACACATACACCTAGAATGAGGTGGCTTTACCCTTTATTTATTTTTTTTTTACTGTTATTTTTACTGCTGTTTTCTAGGGAGGAATAGGAGAAAAAATATGTGTGTAGATCTTTGAGTTCATTCCCCTATATGCCAGGTGCCTGCAAATATGTGCTGTTAAATAAAATGACAATTTGTCTGCTATCACCTTGTGTATGGACAGCAAAATGCACCCCAAAACCAGATCCCCGGTGGAGACGCCAACTGTCAGTCCAGCATCACTCACCAGCTTCCTGGAGTAGTGCGATGTCTGAGGTATGGGCTGGGGGCTGATAGGAGAGAGCAAGGTTCACCCAGGACCTAGGCACAGCCAGCTGGAGGGAGATCATCCAGGCCTGGATTGTTCTGGAAACCTAATCAGCACCCCTGGAACTCCCTGCAGGCTGCCTGCCTCCCCCTCCACCAGCAGCAACGCAGCCAGGATCTCACACACAGGTACCATCCTCTTACCTCCTTCCCTCGTTCCCAGGGCTCTGCCTGGGCTCCCCCAGGAGCTGCAGCGGCTGCTGGGAGCATCCCAGTGCCTTTTCCAAAGTCACATCAAAATGACAAAACATCACAACGCATTGGGCTCCAGTGGATTCAAACGGAGAGAACTTTTAAGTTTCCACTGTAATTAACCCTATCCTCGTTAAGATAATTATGATCAAGCTTCCTGTCAGAGTTAATATCCCAACATCATCGCCTGTGGCTCACACTCTGCCCTCATTAGCTTATGAAAACAGCAGCGCCGAACAGGCGTGCAGCCCTGCCCAGGCCAGGCCAGTGGCTGGCATGGGGGGGCCATGGGTAGGGGGCCAGGGGCCCCACAGAAGGGCCGCCCCTTGAGGCCCAGTCCCTTCTGCTCCTGGGTGGGCACAAATCAGTGACCTTCATCCTTTCCCTGCAAATGAGCCACTCACCAGAATGGAGGGGAAGAGCCAGGGCCCGGGCCCAGGTAGGGCTGGCAGCCTTGGGCAGGAGCCTCTAATTTGTAGCCATTCCTCCCTGCCCCTTGCCCAGCCAAAAACCAGCCAGAACATTGTACCATAAAAACCACCAGAGGATACTTCCAGAACCCCTGGATCAATCCTTGGATCTAGGCTGTGCTAAGAATTCGATCTCTCCTCCCTCAGCTCCAGCCTATACCAGGGGTGACAGAGCTGCACCAACATGAGATGGGCAGCGAACATGGGGAATAGCTGACCACAGACCCTAAAACAAAAGCATCTGTCTCTTTGGGACTATATTTGGCCCCAAATCCAGGAGCAAAGGCTGGGATGTTCTCAAACCAATCAAGAAAGCAAGATCTCCACAAAGATCTTTACCTACTTCCTCGACTCTAAATATCCCTGCCCATATTTTTAATTGAGAAAATGGTGTGGCCATGGAAGTTCTAAAGGGCCTAACCTGGGTCTGATGTCTACTACCCTGGCTAGGCCCCCAGACCTGCAAGGGCTGGCTGCTGCCTGTTCTGTATGGATCTCTCTGATGATTTCTGTCTGCCCAGGCCCCTCTAAGAGGGGATCTCCATGCAGCCTCCATACTCCTAGAAAGCTGTTAAGTGTACAGTGAGGGCTCGGTACTGCCTCATCCACTGAGCACTGTTCAGCCAAAACCTGGGAGTGTCTAAGAAAAAAACGGCCAATAAATCCAAGCATGGGACAGACAGCAGGACCAGCACACTGGCCAGTGGCAAGGAGGGCAGCCTCTAGACTCGTATTCTTTCAGAGGCCAGAATGCCTCCTCATGGTTTCCCTGGGGCCATGTGGCTAAGATCAGGAAAGAGTAACATTCAGCAAGTCTGCATGGGTATACCAGTTCTCATTATTAAAATATTTAAATACTTCCTTCAGTAGGTAAATAATTGCAGCTCTGAGTGCCCTTCCTGCTACCCTGGCCATTCCTTGGCACCCCCAGACCTCTTCATAATCCAGAAACTAGGAGGCCAATGCCCACTACAGCCCAGGGCTACCATAGACCCTGCTCCAGCCAGCATCAATTCTAATTGGACAGTGCAGTTGTTAAATTGTTTCAACATTACCTTGAGAGCAGAAATAGTAACTTGTTCCTCTCCTATACTCCCCCCACCACTCCAACTGCAGTGCCTGGCACACGGCAGCTCCTTGGGAAATGTCTGTATATCAACTTCCCACAAAGGCATGGCAAAAGCCACAAGGACAGGACAGGTGACCAAAAGCCACCTGGTGGAAAATGAAGGGAGAAAAGAGAGAATTGGTGAGGTATGATGTGACCACTCATCTCCCACTAAATGGTCCAGTGGCAGCACAGTCATTTTTAATTTTTTTAAGATGGAGTCTCACTCTGTCATCAGGCTGGAGTGCAGTGGCACAATCGCAGCTCACTGCAACCTCCGCCTCCCAGGTTCAAGTGATTCTCCTGCCTCCGCCTCCTGAGTAGCTGGGACTACAGGCTTCCGCCACCACGCCCAGCTAATTTTTGTATTTTTAGTAGAGACAGGGTTTCACCATGTTGGCCAGGATGGTCTCAATCTCTTGACCTCATAATCCGCCCCCCTCAGCCTCCCAAAGTGCTGGGATTATGGGTGACATTTTTATACCTATACATTTTTATAATTTGTTTACCTAGTCCTGTAAGAGATATTCTTTTTTCCATAAAACTCTTTTTTATATCCTTAAATGTATGGATAAAGACAGACATAGATACGTAACTCTATATATTACGACATATATTATACATGTTATATATTACTATACATATTATACATGTTGTATATTACTATATACAGTATGTAGAGTTGGCTGTGTGTATTTTTCTGCCATTCAAGTCACATAGCCATACATATATATACACACACACACACACAAATAATTATATAAATCAACTAATCCATACTGTAAGTGTATCAAGATGAATAGAAATGTCTTTAAGAAATAGAAGAACATGAAAAAGGTTCTGGCTAGGGTATGTGAGACAGAGTGTACACTGACATCACAAGGAACTGCATCTAGCCTGGGCGACATAGTAAGACGCCATTTCTAAAACACAAAAAGTAGCCTGGCATGATGGTGTGAGCCTGTAGTCCCAGCTATTCAGGAGGCTGAGGCAAGAGAATCGCTTGAGCCCAGGAGGGCCAGGCTACAGTGAGCTACAGTCATGTCACTGCACTCCAGCCTGGGCAACAGAGCGAGACCTCATTGCTAAACAATAACAACAAAAAAGAAGTAGTGGTTACATGACTTTGGGGTCAAAGTCAACCCCAAAGCTCTATTGAGACCCCAACATGATGGCTAATCCCTGAACTGCAGACAGTAAAATTCAACACTCATCTGAGAGACCTGAATCCAAGACCAGCCAAAAAGCTAAAGTATTAATAGTTAACTAGGTCTGAAGCCCCCTGCACCATATCTAAGAATACTAAGAAAACTTTCAAATATGATGCCTAAAGAATTAGTAATGGAGAATAAGGAGCTAGAAGCCCTTGGAGTTAATGTTACTTGAAAAAGGAGGTAAGAAGGTAGATTCTCCTATTTTGGATACATGAGGTTATATAATTACCCATATGAAATTCTGGTCAGATGATAGCTCTCAGGAACCTGTATTTTCTTGCTGTAGGACAACGTGAATAATGTATCTGATCATGTTATCTTTTTTACTTTTGCTACCAGGAAGCTCAGAGGTAAATTGTGACCCAATTGTAAAAAGGTAATCCTTCATGATATCCATACCTGCTTTCTAACTTCATTGTCAAGGCTTATAATTTTTTCATAGCCTTGGTATTTCATTTATTTATATACTGCTTTTTAATTTTATTCATTCTAATAAGCTAGCCCAAACCTTTCATAGAATGAGGTAGGATATATATCAATAAAATGTAATACAGATTCTCAAACAGGCAGATTCTGTGCATTAAGGAAAAGTTTTGAGAGACCAGTTGTTAATGGAGATACTCATGTAGGAATAAAGAAGATATATATTGTATTCAGAGTTCAAAATGGTTGGCCAGGCATGATGGCTCATGCCTGTAATCCCAGCACTTTGGGAGGCCAAGGAGGGTGGATCATGAGGTCAAGAGATCAAGACCATCCTGGCCAACATGGTGAAACCTCGTCTCTACTAAAAATACAAAAATTAGCTGGGCGTGGTGGCACGTGCCTGTAGTCCCAGCTACTCGGGAGGCTGAGGCAGGAGAATCGCTTGAACCTGGGAGGTGGAGGTTGCAGTGAGCTGAGATCATGCCACTGTACTTCAGCCTGGCGACAGAGTGAGACTCGGCTCAAAAAAAAAAAAAAAAAAGGCTTTGAATAAGCTTCTCATAATATCTTTGTGACAGGAAGCCAAAAAGTAGGCTAGAAAATGACAATCTTAGGTAGAAGTAGAGTCATAACTGCTTCAAAAATGTACCTGAAGAATACTGATTAATGGCTCAAATTGCTCTATGGGTAGATTCTAGGGATTTTGATCTTATTTTTTTGTTTTTTGTTGTTTTTGTTTTTTGCCAGTGGCTTGGTTAAGGAGATGTTTATCACATTTATAGGGGACAGGACCCTAAAGAGATATTAAGAAAGATACAGTAGGATCCAAAATGATCCTGTTAGAATCAACCATTTTTCAGCTCAATAAGATGAAATTTCACAGTGTCTAATGTAAACTAAATAATAAAGTTCAACTATCCAAAAATATTTACTCGAAAAAATTAAAAGGAATATGAAAATTGGGAATATATTTGCAACCCTTCTAACAGTCTAAGATTTAACACCCTTAACATGGAAAGAGCTTTTATAAATCATTAAGGAAAACCTGAAGCCCTAACAGAAAAATGACCAAAAACCTTGGATGGAAAATTCACAAGGAAATTTGTCAATAATAAAAATATGGGAGAAATTTTCAGCTTTATTAGGAATCTAGAATATTCTAATAAAAATATTTATATCCTTTTCTTAGATTTTAACATAGTTTTGTCAAGCTTTTACTTCAAACAAACACAAGACTAATGAGACAGTGAAATTGCTGGATGGCAATTTATATTAAAAGACTTAAAAATAATTACCTTTGCATCCACTAATTCCAATTCCAATAATTTATTCAGTAAATATCAAAGATGTGTATAAGTTTATGTACAAGTATGTTCACTATAGCATTTACAATAACATTGCAAACAAGCCTAAATGCCCAAGGATTGAAGAATGATTAAATAAAGCTCAATATATCTGTATCATAAAATATTACACAGGAATTAAAAATAATATTGTAGGCAGCTATCTAATGAGCCAGTACAATTTTCATGCTATACATTTAAGTACCCCAAATTAAGTCACAATGTAATATAGTACACACACAAAGATCTCATGCATGAAAATTAAAAGTCATCCATATGGTCCTCACCATTTTCCACACAAATTTTAATCTGCACCAAGCTTTTCTGGGCATTTTCTTCCATGTTAATGGTTAAGAATCATCAAAGTCATCTTTCTTAGTTGTTCTAGTTTATAAACTGCTGTTAATATACAATCTTGTACACAGAGACATTATAACAATTCTGTACACACATACACAAACACACTTAAATGTATATATTTATGTGTGTGTGTGTATGTGTGTGATACCTATCTATATCTCCCAGATACATACCGTTAACCCCCAGGTAAGGAGTTTATCAGTCATTTTCAAATAGTTTTCTCTAGCTACTAAATTTTCTATCATGAATATACATTTTATAATCAGGAAAAACCACAGTTAATATTCCTTTTAAATAAAACAAGACAATTCCACATACATAACATGTAGAAGCTTTAGAAAAAGAGCAGTGTCTGGGAAGAGGACTTAGTATGAATCGCCAGTGACCACCACAGAAGCAAATCTGATCCCAATCCACTCTACTACTCTCCTGGCCCCTAAGTGCCTGTGCCTGGAGCTTTGTTTGAATTCCAGGTGCCAGATTCAAAGGTGGATTTGCATTCAGAAACACCATCCAAGGACAACCACCAGGAGGTGAAGGGTGTAAGAAACAGTGATTGAGACAGTCCTAAAGTTGCTTAACCAGGAGCAGAGAAGTCTTAGTCATTTCAAAGTCCTCAGCCTACAGGGTTCCAGAATGCAGAATCAAAAACAAATAGAAAATTATGTAAGCTGGGAGGAAATGTCTTGAATCAATTTTTTGAAACTTGTCAAAATGGAGAAGCTGTTCACTAAAGGATGAGCTGCCCTCAGAGCCACTATACTTATTTGAACAGAGGCTAAAATCATGGAGAATGTTTAGAGGGAATTTCTTCATAGAGATCAGATTCGATGGCTTCTAATATTCTATCCAGATACTATGGTTATCTGACTGGAGCTCCTTCCTTTATAACTATAGTTTATAAGGGCTGTTAAGTCAGTTCTGCTTTGCCAAAGGGTCCCTTAAGAGTCAGTCTGGTAGGAAGAGGGTAGCAGAGTTCCAGCACACTAAACTCTATGCCTCATTCTTCTAGCTGGGACTGTGCAAGGCTTCTTTAATATTTTCCTAACTATGGGAAGGGTGTAACATGTGCCCATAATAAAAAGGCACATGTTTGCACCCTGACCTCTTATAGAAAGTAAACTACATATTAGAGCTACAGCTCTATTTGTGTAAAATATGCCCTATTATAGTCTTCTTATAGACTCATAGACTTTGAATCCTAGAGGAATTTTAGGCTGTTCCACTCTCCCCCTACTTCACAGAAGATGACTAATGTCCAGAGAGGTAAAGTGGCCTACCTGAAAACACACATGAGTCACCAGGCCACATTTAGAACCTGTGTACATAAAGTGCAGTGCTCCCCAACTATGTTAAACTACCTCTACATACTTTCTAGCTGTGGTCCAGAAATGGAAATTCACCATCGCCACATCCTTTATCCAAACACTGTGTGTAGCTTTGTAACCCATTCATTGTACGTCCTCAATTATTAATATAATGATGAACCTAAATGGTTTTCGAGTTCTTTTTCCTTTCACTCTGTACTCCATGGATGCTCCTAGAAGAATCTCCCAAAGAGCTAGTTCTTAGATTTTTTTTTTCCTTTGAAGTTAAGTATGCATTAGGTGGGACTGGCTTGAGATTTATCTGCTAATGATCCCCTTGGGGTACACCTCTATAGCTTGTTCATTCATTCATTTATAAAAATGTATTGAGTGCCAACTCTGTGCTTAGTACTTTGCTAGTCTCTGGAGCTACAAGGATGACTGTGCAATAGTCCCCTACTATTAAGTAGTAGGTATAGACAGGGAAGCAGTTACCAGATAATGCAGGGTAATAGATTGGGATGATTAGTGCTACTCTGAGAAGGGGCTGGGGCTGGTGAAGGAGATGGGCTTGAGCTAAGTCTCAATGCAAATGAATTCTAATCTTTTGAGCATCTGCTGATACCTTATTCCACATTTGGTGGTGAGGGAACATAAGGAAAAGAGATAACTTGATCCTGGCACTCAAGTAAGCTACAGTCCAGAAAGCTGATTTGCTACCAAAAAGCATGTGGTGTGGTATCCATTTCCAACATGACAGGAATTCAGTGAGCACATGCATCTGGGGATACAAATGATGCACAAGTCATGGAATCTGCTCTCAATGCTCTTACCATCTATGAAGGAGACAGAGACGCTGGGCTTGGAATAAGGGGACACCATACAGGACAGCGTATCAGTAAGCAGCATGGATAAGATGAGCTCTGGAAGTTGAGAGGAAAGCAATGAGGGCTGTAGTAAGCCCTTTCTGTTTTTGGCCCATCCCTCCTATGCTTGTCCTGAAGGTATTATAGCAAGTCCCTAAGGACAGAGACAAGGAGCAGGTGTCTCTCCAGGAACATACTAGATGAAGGACAGCCTCCATGTTTTGCTCCCATCATTCTCCTTCTCTGGGCTATCCTCCCTCCTCAAAGCGAATCTTTCCTGTCTTTTTCCCACCCTGGTGACAGGGTTTGGCCTGGGCTTTGACTATGTCTCTGAAATTATTTTGATTCACGGCTTGAGATTTTACAAAACCACACATGCACGCATGGAGCCTGTGGCCTCGGGATCTTGTTTGTTTTTAAGAGTCTAAAGAGTGAGTTTGTTTGGCGGGTTCTATAAATGGGGGTTTTCTTTGCTAGGGAGATGTGAGAGTGGACACGGTGTACCGCAGCCATGGTATGCGTGCACCTCGCCATGGGGCGGAATGCAGAGCCTGGTGGGGGAGGCGCCCACAGCCATTGGGCAAACATATGTTGGGCCAAGAACGCTGCTCTTCAACCTCATGAACTGTTTGCTTGAAAGATAACAGTGTCTCTTCTACACAAGCCTTTCACCACCCTCCATAAAGGGAATTTTTAATTCAACAGATGGTGTCTACTCATTGCAAGCCAACCAGAAAAGGAGACATTTACACGGCTGGATCTCAAAGCCCCAGGGACCCCAAGGGCCCCTAATCAAATACTTGCCCAAAGACCAGCTCCCCACGGGCAGGGCCCCCCTGGAATGGACTCAGGCCAGGAAAGCCAGTAAAAACGTGCCAACTGTTGATTCTGTGAGGTCTTAATTGGCTGAAAAAGGTGAAAACACGTTTTCTGTCCCAGACTACAAGATAGCTTTATGTCTCCAGCAGGAAAGAAGGCCCCAGGAGATATGGTGACCTCCAAAAGTGGCTTGCTACCGGAGCCATTTTCTTTCTTCCAGAATAGCTCTAGCTCTATGGTTCACAAAACCTCTCAAAGAATAATTTGGTGAGCTTTGCTTTCCAGATCCTCTCATGGCATGTCCTGGGCCCTGTGTACTAGCACCTAACAATGTTAGGGACAGAGACGAGATCAACTGTTTCCAGTTGTGCAGCATAGAGAAAAAGAGTTTTTCCCAGCACTGAACCAAGGCTATTTCCTCTGTGTCTGCCTCTCTGGTTATCTGACTGCTGCTCATGGCAGCAGGAAGCCAGTGTGGTGTTTTCATAGGGAATGTGTTGTTCTGATGAGGAATATCTTGTCAACTCAATGAGGCCAAACGCAAATCTAGTTGGTAAACACACAGCATAAGACCACTCCATTGAGTCATGAGCTCTGTTTTCAAGTCCTGGTTTTGTGAGCTAAGACTTTGGAAAAATAACACTTGGAAAATGTAGCTTTCTAATCTTTCAAGGTGGCAGAAAATCCCTGACCTGTCCAATTTGCAGATATCAGAATGGGGATCAGCTGAGATACAGTACATGAAGACAAACCTAGACCAATTGTTGTTTAGCTGAAAGATTGTTTTTGAAAAATAAATGTGCATATTTTCTTTTCAAAGGAAGAAATTAGTTGCCTCAGAAAATGAAGCAGGTCAGTGGCTAAACCTCCAGAAGAAATAGTGATATGTTTCAGAATCATTTGAATGCATGGGGAGATGACAGCTCGGGAGAGCCTCTGTCTTAGGAACAACCAAGGAACCTGATCCAGGTCCTGCCTTGGTTAGCACCTTGCTGCAGTATTTCAGTCAAACCCTTGCCTCCTGTGGGCCTCACTGTACTGTTTTGTAAACTAAGGCGGCTAGGCTAGATTATTTTGGAGGTCTCTTCATTTTTAAACATCCCATGCACCAAAGTGGGTTGCAAGATGAAAACTCGCAAAGTTTTATCATTGCCTTAATTGTTCCACCATTCAGTAAAAAGTTCAGCATGAGACTGGCAGACTATCCCTAACCCTCAGATGGCCAAAAAAAGAGAGCAGGGCATGTTTCAAGCCTCAAGTATGAAATCTGATTAATAAAAACGATCTGGGGGAAGGGGAAAGTTAGGGGAGAAAAGAACTCCCGCCTGCTTTTCTTCATCTTTCAGAGCAACCCAAACTAGGAAATGAGAGGCAAAGCGTCACACGCTCAGAGGGCAAAAGATAAATGTTTGATGAATTGACCATTGGTTGTGAAGTGATGGGCTTTGTATGTGCATAATGGCTGAGCTGCCTTTCCAAGCCGATCGCCTGCCAAGATAAGAAGCCATAATGGATGGATCTTGAGATGCCCTGGACAGAGGCAGCTTTAATTTGACTGGTTTTAATAAAATTAATTCTTAAAAAAAAAAAAAGAAGATGGCAGAAGGAAGAAGACAGTAATTTGAAGAGATCAGAAAGGCTGAGAATTACATATACCGAGAGTAGACATTAACCATTGGTTAATTCATCGCACTAGTCAAGTAAGCAGAAGAAGAAAGTTTGATTTTATTACCTCTATAAGTCATCAAAAAGTTTATAGGTGCCCAGCATTGTCCATTGTCCAGACAGAGATGCTTGAGATACGGAAATTAAACAGCCTGGTTGAATAGAAAGGTACCCTAACAATCACAGACTGGATCCTTCATTCATTTATTTATTCCCCCTACAGCAAATATTTATTGAGCATCCCCTAGCCAGGCCTAGGATGAATAAAATAGGTTTCCTCCCAGCCCACATGGAGCTGGTGGAGCAGTGAGGCCTGGTGGGGAAGGCTTTCCTAGCAAAGTAAGGAAGATTATTCTGGTCTAAGGACTCCTACCATGCTAGGTGCTCTCTGCCAGGCAGCCAGATCTGCACATCCTTGCACTCTGGGCCCTGAGGCTAATTGCCCACTTCTGTATTTACTCCCTGATATGGTGCCTTGGCCCTACATTTGTGTTTGCCTTCACTCAATTGACAAGATCAAGATAGTCTCCATTAGAATAACACGTTGCTTGTGAAAACATCATAAGGCCAAGAGCAGCAATTAGACAGGCAGATGGAAGAAAAGAGCTGCCGTTGAGGCCTAAGAAAAACTCTAGCTGTGCCCATGAGTCAATCACTGGTGGACCTTTGTTTCTTCCGTATGCAAAATGTGGGGTTAGAGCAGGTGACTGGCTCCATCTTTTGACTAACTTTAATTTGAGGCCTCCTATGGATTAGACACTCTGCCAGGCACTAGGAGTACAATCCTGTCCTCCAAAAGCCCCAAATCTCGTGAAACAAGGGCATAAACAGACGACCACTGTTAATGAGATTTCAGTGCTTCTTCTGCTTCCAAGTGACCTTAAAAGGTCTCTAAGATCTCTTCTAATATCCAAATATCTTAAGATTAGTATCCTCACCTCCACTTTTCTTTGACTTTTAACATAAAGTACAGAATTACAAAGAAGTTTGGTTATTCAAGCACTGAAATGGTCACCTTCCATAATATCATGCATTTTTTCCAGTGTCAGGAGGACACTTTTCCTTTCTGCATAGGAAAAAGCGTATGCAAAGCGCAACATTGAAAAAATATCTTCCCCCTGCTCCTGCCTCTGTAGGTATACATTTTTCCATGACTGCAAAAGGAAAGTCACTCATTACTAAACAGCTCAGCAAGGCTCACACTATTGGAGAATATAAAGTTTTATGAGCAGGTCTCTCCTTCTCTCTCTGGGTGTAAGTGAGAAAGTGAGTGAGAGAAAAAGCTGGAGAGGCCTGGCTTAAGAGTCCAGGGTGAATTATAGACTGCCGCTCAAGATTCACAGCTCTTCATGGTAGGAGGTTAATATTCTCACATGTCATTAGGTCTGCTGGCTCTCCTGATGGTTCACTGAAGCAGGCAGCAAATTATTTCCTCATGTTGCAGAGGACAGCACACTTCAAAGCAAGGAAACTCAGGTTAGGACAGGCCTCTGGGTGGATTAATGACTTAGGATCACCATGGGTTGTCTGTAGGTAAGAATGAGCCTGATGCTTTTGACAAAGCTAACTTTTTGATCAGTCTTGACCCAAGCTTTCAAGCCAGACCTCTAGGTTTTATTCCTATCACCTTCTAAGGATCTGCCAAGATCTGCAGAAAGATTGAGTAGTGTGTCTGGTCATTTTATCTTCACTTGAAATGCCCCCACCTGCTCACTATTGACGTGCATCACAACTACGGGTCAAGGTAGAGCCCATTTCCTTGGAGACTTCTCTGTCTGTCCCAAACCCAGCTAACCATGCCTAGACTGAATACCCAAAGGACTTCTATTTGAACACTTTCTCTACCACTGGTCCATGAATTTGGTCTATTGTCCAACTGTCCCAGGTATCTTACTCTTGTCTCCTTGACAATTAATTAAGCTCTGTGACCATGGGCACAATAGGTTATATCTCTTTGCATCCTACTAGCAGGCCCAAATCCCAATCCTGCCTCCTTTCCAGAAGAAAAGTCCAAGAAGAGAGCCAGAAATTTATCTGAAGGCAGCTTGAAAAACATCACTTCTAAAGAGAACACTAACTGAGGGAAAATTGAAGGAAGAGTGATGAAAAGTGAAAGACACTCATAGGAAGGCATGGAAAAACACAAGGTTGACATTCCTCAGGCGCAGAATTGCTAAGTAAGCATATTTAGTGCAAATGTCCACCATAGTCTATATTCTATTCTTTTCAGGTTTTCTGAACAGCAGTGGGGGCTCTCGCTGGGGTCTTCAGCACCATCTTGGAGGTTGCCATGGTGAGGGGATTGGGAGCTGCCAGGGGAACCTGGAGGAGACTCTTCTCACAGGCCCTTTCCAGGCCCCATACCCAGGGCCCCCTGAGCAGGCAGCTTGGACAGGAGTCAGTGGCTGTGGATGCCCAGATGTCCTCACCTTAGAGTGAGGGGCCTGCACTGGGGTTGAAGGAATAAAAAGAACATCAGGCAGCCCCCCATTTCCAATCTGGAGGTTCAAATGGAAGCTTGGGAAAGTGCTTGGCAAACCAGAAAGCACTCAAGAAATGTAAGTGCAGGTGCTTCCAGTTCCAGGCCTGTCTTCGTCCTCTGCCAGACTTAGAAATGTTCTTTTTTGTTTTCTGCTCTTCCCTCCCTATCATTTTCCATAGATCCCCACTCTCTTTCTTCCAAAATACCTTTACCTGCTTTTATGTGACATGTTTTCCTGAACATGCATAGGGAAACCAAATAAAAGCCACATGTGCATATCCATGTACCAAGTATCCACACGCTTATAGTACAGACAGCTGAGAGAAGCAGGGTAGGCGACCCACATCTGGTCCAGTCTGGGTCAGACCCCACCTCAGGCAAAGCTGCCAAGCAGCCCTTCCTCAGCTCACCTTGTGTTTGATGCAGCATCCAGGAAAACACTACTCAGGGGTCAGTGGGCTGAACTCACTACATGAACAGAGCCCTCCCTTATCTGGGCTCAGATTCCTCTGGAGTGGAATCAAGGGGAGTGACCACATCAGACTGTGTAAAAGAGTGGCTCGTGGACCACCTGCACCAGAATCTCCTGAGACTTATCAAAAATTCAGAAGCCCAGGCCCAGCCCTGACTTAGATATCAGGCTCTTTGTGTGTGGATATCCATGATCTAATTCCCCAACTCAAATCTATATCTACTGCAGTAAAAGAACCACTGGGGCCCTCAACTCAAACACATCTTCAGGGTCCAGTCAGGTGACACATTGCATTTCAATGAATCCAAGCTGCACCAATTATAGACACAACATTATTTTATGTACTAGAAAACAAAAAACAACAACACTGTCAATAAAGAATGACCCAAGGTTTTCCTACCTTAAAATGCCTCAGGAACATTCCTTTTTCATATTCTGCTTGTTACTTTGCCAGAAAATATGAACCAAGGTCATTATTTCAATAATAAAGATTTGCTTTATAATGTCAAGTTTATGTTCTTTTTGTTAACACAATAGTTTTGTCTTTCAATGCCAAATCATGATGAGTTCATAAATGACATGTGAAGTACCAAAAATCTGTATAAGTCAACTGCAGCAAAGATAATAAGAACCACCATGACCAATTCAAGTGTGCACTAATAACAGCAACTCCATCACAGCTGCCTCCTGGTCAGTGACAATTTCAAGAATCCATCAATTTTGAGATGGATTCAGGTATGCTAACATGTAAAAGAAATGTACATCTTAGAAATGCTGCAATACAACAAATGCACATATGACAATAAGGAGTGGCGAGGACTGAAGGAATCAGAGAGCACACACTCTACTGAGTGACAGCCATATTAGCATTTGTGCTGTCCACAAACACCACAGTGAGCTGCACCCGGCCCGAGGGTAAGATGACCATAAAATTTGCTGTCTAAATTGGGATACTTCCTAGAATAAAGGGGACACTACTACTGATTATGCCAGGAAAATGGCGTAAACTAAAACTGTCCTGGGCAAACTGTGATGAAAGTTACCCTACCTATTTGCCAGCAAACAGTAACCCCTTGGTAACATAATCACAATAGCTGAACAATCTGAACATTTAAAATCTGTAAGATTATGCATTGATTGAAGCTTCTTTTCACTTTATGTCTTAAGAGTCTCCAGGGCCAGGCACGGTGGCTCACTCACGCCTATAATCCCAGCAATTTGCGAGGCCAAGACAGGTGGATCACGAGGTAAAGAGATCAAGACCATCCTGGCCAACATGGCGAAACCCTGTCTCTACTAAAAATACAAAAATCAGCTGCACATGGTGGCGCACACCTGTAGTCTCAGGAACTCGGGAGGCTGAGGCAGGAGAATCACTTGAACCCGGGAGGCAGGGGTTGCAGTGAGCCAAGATTAAACCACTGCACTCCAGCCTGGTGACAGAGTGAGACTCCATCTCAAAAAAAAAAAAAAAAAAACTTCAGAAGCCTGACATCTTTATGCCTTGTACAATTCCCTTAAATGTCCTCAACTACCTTGCAATTACCCAAAACTACCCCTTCCTAATACGACATGTCTGTGCATTTTCCCGAGACCACTGCAAAATCCCCCAGAGATCCCTACGGTGATTTGAAGGGATTAGATCAGTGGTTCTCAAGTGGGGGCTATGTTGTTCCCCAAGGGACTTCTGGCAACATCTGAAGACATTTTTGATTGTCATGACTGGGTGGTGCTGTTAGCATTTAGTGAACAGAGGCCAGGGATGATGATAAACATCATACAATATGCAGGACAGGCCCTGACTACAAACATTATCTGTCCCAAAGTGTCACTGGTGTCAAGGTTAAGAAACCCTGGATTAGATCGAGGATAAGACTTTTGCTCTGTCTATTGTCGGGCAAACTGCTCTGCTTCCTTTGAGTTCTGACAACTGTTCTGGCAAGCTGTCTTCCACAGCTGCCAAGGGTTACAGCTAAATCCTATTGGCCCAAATCGTGATCTAGGAAGGAGCCCCCACAGTGGTGGAAGAGATGGCACAGATGTCAGTCTTCACGAGGAAAGTAATAGAACTTTCTCAATTTCATGGGAGAAGACAAGATTGACAGACTGCATGACTTTTCCCTTCTCCAACGTCACTAGAAAAGAAAGTGACAGCAAACATATCAAGCAGGTTGAAGCTTCAGCTCTCATTAGCTCTCAGGGGCCCTGAACTTTCACAGATGTGTTTGCACATCTGCCCTGGAAGCCACAGCAGCCCAGGAAAATACCCCATGCCAAATGGGCTGTCCCTCAGAGATTTCAGATCTGCCCCAACACAGCTGCCTGAGTGTAGGAAGTCATTTTCATCACCGTTGATGGGCTACTTTCTCCATGGGAAGTAGCAACTGGGCTGGAACTACCACAGGAAGATACCTTCCCACACAGACACCTTTTAGAGAATGGAGACTCCTGAAGGTAATGGGAGACCTCGGACAGAAAACAAGGGGACTGATTCAGGACCAAGGACAGAACATGAGGTGTAGCAGACTCAAATCCAGGCCAGAAACATCTCCTGTGAAATTAGTTTCCTTGGGCTATTGTTGCAAAGTACCACCAACTGGGTGGCTTAAAACAAGATAAATTTGTCTCACATTCCTAGAGTGGACAAAGCTGAAATCAAGGTATCAGTAGGGCCACGCTCCCTCTGAAGGCACTAGGGGAGGGTCTGTTCCAGACCTCTCTCCTAGCTTCTGGTGGCATGCAGCCTACCTCCAGCCTTCACATGGCGTCTGCCCCAGCCTAACTCCAGCCTTCGTGTGGCTTCTGGCCCAGCCTAACTCTGGCCTTCGCGCGGGATCTGCTCCAGCCTAACTCCGGCCTTCATGCGGCGTCCGCCCCACACATGTGTGCATCTCTTCACATGGCATTCTTTTTACAAGGACACCAGTCGTATTGAAATAGGGGCCTACCCTGCTCCAGTATGAGCGCTTCTTAACTGATGATATCTACAACAATCCTATTTCCATGTAAGGTCACCTTCTGAGGTACTGGGGGTTAGGGTTTCAAAGTATGAATTTGGAAGAAGATCACAATTCAGCCCATATACAACTTCTAAGTTACTACTATTCTTATAAGAAATGCCAAGGTTCTCATCCAGGCCTAAGGAAGTGGTTTCACAAGGAGGCAACATCCCAAGCAGCTGTGTGAGCCAGGTATTACGAACTGAGGACCCTGAGCACTGATGCGGCGGTCAAATCCAACCTCCTTAAACCCATTTATTTTTATTCTCTTTTCCTAAGACCTGGCCTCTGATTCCTAGTGTAAGATGACCATCATTCAGACTATAAAAGTACAGCACACTATTTATCTGAAGTTCACACTTGAATCCATCTTCATTCTCTGAAACACAGTCATGAACCTAGAGGTAAGTGAATAACGCCTGGCATAAAGTCAGTGTTCAATAAAGGTGTGTTCCTTTTTCCTCTGCCTCTCAGTCCCAATGATGATGTCACAAAATCAGGATGTTACAGAAGATCATAAGCATTTAGTCAGAAAACTCGGTTAAAGCAGTATTTCAAGAATCTAGTCCCAATTCTTGGCCAAAATAGAGAAAAGGGAGAAAAGCAATGGTTATTATGTTAACACTAAAGGAAAACAGATTAAAAACTAAAACAAAACCACCTACCAAAATAAATAAACCAAAACTAAAAAAAAAAAAAATCAGAGTATTTGGGCCACCCAATGTAAGGGCAATGAGTAATATACCTTTTTTAGACTATTTTACCCTTTTAAAGCTATTTTCTTAGTAGCCTTAAAAGAATCACCATCATGAATCAGAAATCAACATCATCAAAGGAAAAAAGTCAACATATATTTAAATAAAACCTCCATTGCAGTTGCTTTTATCTGAAGTATTAGACAACTGCTGCACTTAAATTGTTTATAATTCTTATGGAGAGACAAGATGTCGACGTGTGGAAATTAAACAATACAAGATTCAAGGAGTAACTCAAGATAACAATAGAACTGTCACAAAGCAATATATGATTATATGCCACATAAACAATATAGAAAATAAGTGCTACAAGAACCCAGAGGGAGTGATTACTTTAGGCTAGAAGTCCAAGAATGACAATTTCAAAGAAGTAGATTCTGAGATGAGACTTGAAAATCATAAAAGTACATTTTGTGTAACCTCTTTAAGAAAACAGAGGAGTTGGTAATAGAAGTTTCAGAAAGATTTTATTCTAAAGTAGCTAATACTATTTAATGATTAAAGATAGCCAATGAAATCTGTCTAAGTGGGTACCTCATTATTAAATGATACCAGCATAGTGGCATGTTCAGATTGATAGCTGATGGTGTGTCAGGCATCTTCTAAGATGACTCCCAGTGATCCCTCCCTCCTGGTAGTCACAGCCCTGTAACCCCTTCCACTTGAGTGTGGGCTGGACCTCTCGACTTGCTTCTAATGAACAGAATCCTGCAGACGTGATGGATATCACTGCTAAGATAAGATTACAAAAACACTGACTTCTGTCTTTCTGGGCCTCTCCTTCTCTCTCCCTTGTTCATTGCCAAGTCATGAGCTGTCCTATGGAGAGGTCCATGTGGCAAGGAGCCGAGGTAGGTCTCCAACCAACTGCCAGCAAGAAAGTGAGGCCTTAGTTTCATGTGGAACCGAATCCCACCCACAATCACGTGAATGAGCTTGGAAAGGGATCCTCCCTGGGAAGCCTTGACAGGACTGCAGCCCTGTTCCATGCCTTAACCACAGGCTTGTGAGAGACCTTGGGTTCAGCTGCATCCAAACTCTTGGCCCACAGAAGCTGTGTGATAAATAATGTTTGTTGTTATATGCTGCTAAATTGGGGGGCAATTTGATACTTAGCAATAGATAACTAATACACCTGGCAAAGTGCCGGGGCATCTATTTCTTCAATCTTCCAACCAAGTCCCTCTCTGGCCTCATGATAAATGGGTATCAAACTTAACTAACTGAAGATACAAGAAGACAATACACAAGGAGGGACTGTACATCAGATTTTGAATGGCAGTTGCTTTACATTTACATATATGATTCTGAAGAGACATAAGCTAAACGTCAGGAGGTCTGGGCCTGAAACCTTCTCTGGTAGCCTTTCCTAGAGGGAGTGGATATTTAGATGCTGCAGCCAGGAGGCTAGCCTTCTAATAGTTGGCCACTCTAGGTCACGCCTCCCATGAAGACAAAGTGCCACACCCCAGAGGGCTGAGCCACGCTCACTGATCCAGAGCCAGTGGGCCTCCATTCTACCATACAGGCTTCCTTCTAGATTTTTCCTGCAGCCTATCTCCTAAAGCCTAAGCTTTAGAAGGAGCCTAAGTTGTTGAACAAAGAGGTTCAATGGCTTGAGCACAGATCCTTCAGTCAGAGAGGCAGTATGTTAAAGCATTTTTGAGTTCTCCAAGCTGAACTGCTATTTTGTTTCATTATGTTTCTGATGGTGTCAACCTTGGCTTCTGGAAGAAATGGGATGAACCAGCACTATCTGCAGGGATTCTGTCCTTTTGGTGTGTATATGGGCATATGATGTTAAGCTGGAGTTCCTAGAAACAGATCTTGAAGTGAGGATGTGAGAGCAAGTCATTTATTTGGGAAGTGATCACACAAAACACCAGAAAGTGAGATTAAAAAGGGAAAGATGTCAATAAAGGATATAGTATGAGGTGGGTTACTGCTAAGGGCAGCTGGGTTTAACCCCGTAAGGTCAGGGATCAGCAAACTTTTTATGTAAATAGCCAGATAGTAAATATATTAGGATTTGTGGGTCATATGATCTCTGTTAAGACTCAGCTCCATGTAGAAGCAGTCATAGACAATATGTAAATGAATAGGCATAACAATGTTACCATATATATATAATTATATATATATATAATTATATATATATATATATAATTATATATATATATATATACTTTTTTTTTTTAAACAGAAACAGCAGACCATATTGGGCTGACCAGCAGTTGACCACCAACTTCTTCTCTAGAATGGTATGGGATGTAATGTGGATCACTTCTCAGTGACATCTCAGTTAGGGACAAGGGAGCTGGGATATTAACCAACCTCCTGCCATCAGTCATTGGTTGAGGGCTGAGAAGGTTCAAGCAGCCAGAGAATAGAGTTGCAGGTGTCTGTAGTTGGAAGCCATCAGGTTGGCAATGCACAAGAATGGTGATTGCCAAGGGAATATGGGCAGAGCACCAATGGGGTCTGCTAACAGCCCTTGCCCCAGCCTAATCCATTCTGAAAGGAAAGAAAATAGGGTGGTGACAGAGAGAAACACAGAGGCCTTCTAAGATGGGTGGTGTGGCTTGTCAACTCCACTCTTCCTCGGCCTTCCCCCCCACCTCCCTCTGTCCCTGCCCTACTGGACTTGTAAGGAACTGTCATGGTGATGAACCCAGTAAGTGGAGCTTTCTATTAACACATTTTACCTGTTGCCCCAGGTATGCCCAACCACAGCTCAACCAACCAAAGGCCCTCACTTTCTTTGTATACCCACAGACCCTTTTATCCTTAAAGAGCGCTCTTCTGTGTGTGGGTTGGTGGTTGTTGTTTTAATTTGAAATTAAAATGTCATTTTGCTGATTAGGGAAATCAAACAAGGGATTGTGCAGCTACCAAGTCTACCATCAGAAGCCCCACCCCATCCTCACTGAAGGGGAGAAAAATGACCCTTCCTCTTTTCTACATCCAGTTAAAGTCAAAGCAAAAAAAAAAAAAAATTAAATCATCTTATTATGTAATTGGGACTAGGCCTGGGGCTGCAGCAGTAAAGAAGGGATTAAGGACAGCGCCACCTGGGCAGCCATTCTCCTGGGTCCCATTACCACCCCCCTCACTCCTTTTTATAGCCAACAGATTAAAATGCGAGCCTAGCAATCTTTGATCTTTCACTTGCTGACACAAATCCTTTAAGCTTCCAACATTTTCTGCTGAGGTAATTAGTACTAATTAAAAGGTTTCCAACAGTCTTTGCTCCCTTTTTTTCCTATGTGTCTCCCCCTTCTCCCCCTCCCGCAAAGAAATCGCTTTTACAAATACATTCCATCTCTGAAGCACAGGCATCCCTCACTTTCTCCTTTATCTGACTTGGCCAGATCAAGTAGATTAGTGACTCCATTATTCCAAATACAAAGCCAGACAACAGGTTTTTACTATCGCTCCTGACCTGTTGAGACTGCATGGGCTTATATCCCGAAAGAAGCGCCTCAGCTTGTATGAAAAGACAGTCCAATTATGCAGGAAAAGACACTGTGTAGTGTCTTCTGGTGCCCAAGGAAGGACACCACTTAATGATGAGGAGTTTAACTCAGTGTCTGTCACACGCACATACATGCATATGTGTGCATGCACGCACTGCCTCGTTGTGAACTGACCAGTTGCACAACTTACATCCCAGCCCGCTTTGTTCCTATGCTTTATAATTGTTTGGAGGGGTTACAGGGGTCGGGGGAAGAGCCAAAAGGACTATGTATTTAAAGGATAATGCCAAAAATTAAAGAACCATCTTATTAAAGTTTAAAAAAGACTCGGAGGAAAGCACCCCCCAACCCCCGATACACACACACAGCCATGGATTCAAATTCACAATGAAATGAACAAGTGCACTAGGGTCCCATTGGCTCTTCACCATAGGAGTGGGACATGAAAGCTCTCATGCTGTATCTGGGCTGTGAGCTCTGTCCTGGAACAAAAGTATAGCCCTGACATGGGCTTCTGAGATGCACCGTGGCCTGCAGCTATGTCTGATGACAAAGTGCAGTGGCTGAAAACTCTGGTTGGAAGACAGTGGTCCATCGAGGAGAGGAACCCAGTGCAGACCAAGGGCTTGAACAACCGGTAAACAGAAGCCCAATGTTGACAGCAGGACTTTACTTAACTGCGCTCCAGGAACCAGCTTTGGGCAAGGCTGCTGCTCCTCTCCAAGCCATTCTGACAACCTGGCAACCCTGAACTGCACTCAGACCCTGCCCCTAACCCTAGAGTGTGACAGTCTTCTCACATAGGCCCTGGAGTTCTACGGCCAGCCTCACTCCCTCCTCCTCCTCCTATCCTGGACTTTGGGAAGGGAGCAAAGGGAAGGACACTATCCAGCATGGCTTGCCCTCACCTCTGGTCTCCTCCTTCCATCCCATGCAATCTGGAGACATGGGAAGTCAGGGATGTGCCTATGCATCTCCCCTCAGAGTAAAGAACTTGGCCCCATGTTTTGCCCCACCTGCCCAAAGCCAATCCCTGGAGGATAGAGCTGGAACAAAATATTCACTCTTTAAGATGCCACCACTCCACAGGGGAAGGGCACATGGTGTTAAAATCTCAATCACACAGAATCCCTTTCCTAAACAATGAAGACTGAGGCTCGGAGGCGTTAATCTTAAGGAAATGGTGATGGCTACTTTCATGAGCACTTAAGACTTGCACACGATCCTCACATGCAGCCCTCGTCTGCCTCGCCCACTCACCCTGAGAGGCAGGTGAGATCTGCTCCACTAGTCACATGGAGGAACTGAGGATGGAGGGGGTGGCCCACTCGCTCATGGTCACACACTGGCTCACAGCAATGGCTCCATGGCCCCGTAGAGCATCCAGAGGTACGGGAGACGAGATGGCCACATTCCCACACCCCTCATCCTGGCATTCAGTATTTTTAGGGGATTGGAAGTGGCCCCTCTCCTCATTCTTCTGGGTGGACTACACCAGTGGCTATAGCCAGCAGACCCCTTTCCTGACTGGCTGTTGGGGTCTTTTGTGATAAATGGATGAAAATCCTCCTTCAGAACCCCTGGGCTTAGAAATTAGTCACTTCACACCCAAAATGAGCTTTGATGACGCTCCCACAATTAGTGTGGGATGCCACTAAAAAATATATCCACTCTCTACCCCATCCTCCTAAAAAAAAGTTAACACTGAAAAGTAATGGATTTAATGATCTAGAAAATCTAGATGCTGGAAACTCCAAGGGAGATCATATTAAGTTAGACCAGTACAAACAAGCCAAACTCGATTTATCCTCTTGTGGTTACAGATTTTATCTACTAAACCAGGTTTTCAGGGCTAGTCTGTTTTCAATGAATAGAATTTTTGAATGTCAAGTCTCAGGATTCCTAGTGGAAGATAATTTACCCTCAGGATCTCCGTTCAGCCAGGGCTGGCCATGCTTGCATCTCTGCAGAGGGCCTGAGACAGGCCAGTCCTCCTCCCGTTCCTGTGGCCAGGCCACCTGTTGAGGGCCAGCCACAGGCAGGATTCAGAGGTGACAGAGGTCAGGATTCAGGGAGAAAGAGGAATTCTTTCCTTGGCTCCTTCCTGAGAGAGTAAGGAGGCATGAGAGGGGGAGTGGGAGGGTAAAGAAACTGCAGAGAATGTCCTGGAATGGATGTTGCCTACTCTTAAAAATATGGATATAGCCTGGGCACAGTGGCTCACGCCTGTAATCCCAGCACTTTGGGAGGCCAAGGTGGGCAGATCACGAGGTCAGGAGATCGAGACCATCCTGGTTAACACAGTGAAACCCCATCTCTACTAAAAATACAAAAAATTAGCCAGGCATGGTAGTGAGCGCCTGTAGTCCCAGCTACTCAGGAGGCTGAGGCAGGAGAATTGCTTGAACTCGGGAGGCGGAGGTTGCAGTGAGTTGAGATTGAACCATTGCACTCCAGCCTGGGCGACAGAGTGAGACACTGTCTCAAAAAAAAAAAAAAAAGGATATAAATTAGATTAAGAGTACCCTAAACACCATCATGGACCTGGCACTTAGGGAAATACCTCAGGGTACAGTGGACTCTCTAGACCAAAAGTGACACAAAGCCATTTTAAGTCTTCCTTCATCCCGGGACAGTAAGGCCACCAGCTTGCCTCTCAATGCAATGGTGAGGAAGCCTTTGGCTCCCTAGCCTTGCTCTCCAAGGCCTTTTCCCAGGACTGTTGTGCGAGAAAAGGCGGCCACCTTCAGGGGGAGGGAACTTGGCTGCTATGCTGATTTGGGGAGCTGCTAAGACATAATTATAACAGAGAGAAGGCGGGTGGGGGAGAGGGAAGGAAATTACCTTTGAAAATTATGAAAAATACCTTGACGGCATCTCTTTGAGGCTCACATTTAGCTCTCGGAAAAGATTTCTGCCAGAGGGTGAGTTCTGACAGGGGGAAGATGAAATGAGGGGCTGGGGGAGGAGGCAGTGAGGGGGGTTGCTCGGCAAAGAGGCAGCCGTCTGTCAGGACTGATGACTCGGCAGCTGAAGTCAGACTGGGATATTTACCCACCCATTTCAGGGAGCGGCTGCGGAGGAGAAGAAAAACCTGGATAGCAACCAGTCTGGCCGAGATGACCACAAAGAGACACACATAAAAGCTGGTCAGGCCCTCAGACCACTGGGAGGTTCCCCCTAGGCTCTGATGATACATGGGAGAGAATTAGGTTTGGAAGGTAACGCAGAGAGTCCCTGGCTCTGTCGAATCTACCTAGAGCAAGGTTGCGAGCTCCTGGCCCGCAATCCACACTCACATGTCAGAGGGATGCAGGCAAGGAGAGAGCCAACAAATCCCAACACTTCTTTTTTAGGGGCCCCCTAGCTTCGAATTTTAAGACATCACACTTTTCTGCACCATTCCTGGCTAATGTGAGCTCATCAAAAGGCTATTTTCCTTACTTAATTCCAAAAGAAGCAGGGAACTTCTAACATAAGGTTGTTTTTTTGTTTGGTTGCTATTTGATGAGGGATGCATCTTAGTGTAGTGAGAAAAACACAGAACTGGGAGTCAGAAGCAGTGGGGGTCCCAAAGAGGTGGGGAGGGGGCTAGTGGGAGCACCTACCTTGGCAGAAAGGGGTGTTTTTAGCTCTGACATTGTTGAGAATCAGCTCATGGTGGTCATTAAAAGCAGAGTGAGGGGCTTTGTTATTGTTTGTAAATTCCCTGCAGACAGTGCAGTCCCTTATTACCTGCACCTGAGCAACCTGCTGCCATCCCTACCCCAGGTACTCCACTGCTCAGGAGACCTGGGTTCAGGATCACTTCTGCTCCCTGCAGTATGTGTGATTTTGGACAAGGAACTTGATATATCTATGCCATAGGCTCTTCATCTGCAAAAAAATAAGGGGATTGGCTAAATCATTACTAAATCTCTTCCACTTAAAAGTTTCTAAGAACTCATATTTTCTCCCTAAATATTTCAACTTAAAAAGTCAGCAGTGGAAAGGATCTCCCATGACTATGTTTAAGGAAAACACAGGCTCACATGGGCAGTGCTTAAAGATGGGCCCTTTCTCAGAGAGCTCTCCAACACCCATCAAACATTGCTTCCATCTTCAGAGGCAGGGAAGAAATTCTCTGATCCGAAACACTGCCAGCCAGTTTGTCCAGCATGGCAGAGGACTGCAGTGTGGACAGCCATGGGAGTGTGTACCCGGTGGGAGGCAGGTTGGCACTGGCCACGCCAGTCCCCTGTGCCCTGCACAGTGATGCTGGATGATGCCACCTATTTATATAACACCTCAAGAGAGAAGCCAGCCTCGGAATTGAAGGCAAACAGTGTTTGTTTTTTGTTTTTCCAAAGATGAGTTAATGTGTTTCAAAGTCAACTGGAGAAAGGGTGCAGCAGGCAAAAAAGGCAAAAAAAAAAGTGTTTAAACTGCTGCGGCTTTAAAAGCTTAACCAGTAAAGCCCCTCCAGCCTTCAGTCAATGGGAATCAAAACAATGATTTCAAGCTATTTTATTCAGTCTACAGGCAGGATCACTCCATGGAGGCCTGCTCCTTTCCTTCCTTTTCCCCCATTTCTAAACTGTGATCCATGCCCCACTCTGAAAGAACCATTTTGACAGTCTATTGTGTAGCCTTCTTAGGACATTAGCCACCCCAACGCAAACACCCCGGCAATGGGAGTTTTCCAGAGGCTTCTCCCCGGCCCCCGCCCTCCCTGCTTCTTCAAATCCTAGAGGCAATGCTGCAGAAACCTATAAGCAGAGAGGATTTCTAATGCCTGCCACTTGCTTAAAATTGATTTTCAGATGAGAGCTCGAGAGAGCCAAGTATCCCCACAGTTCGGAACACTCATCATCTCTGACGATGAAGTCATTTGCTGCCATAAGCAGAACAAGGGTTAATGACCCAAAATCGAATAAATTACTGGATTCAGATCCATCATGACCATTGGTTTTAAAAATAATCTGAAGCGAGTGAGTGCAGCCTCCAAGCCATCACAAAGACGGCCTCGGCTCCCCTTCCCCTCCTCTGATTCTGACGATAAATCCTTTGGAAGAGCATCTCAGGCTCACACACCAATTAACATTTCTCATACCGGTGCACAAGGGCCGTGAAAAGTGATTCCATAGTAAATTAGTCTGGAAATTGCCTGAATTGTGATGCCAGGAGATGTCCTCTAGGTTTGGGATGGCGGGGAGAAGGGAGAACTTTCTTCCCTAAGTGCCACTCTATCGTCTCACCCTGGAAGAGGTGGTGGGGACACCAGGGCAGGTGGCTTTCAGCACCACAGTAAATCTTCCAACAATTTATCCAAACAAAGGCCAGCATGGGGAGAGGGCAATACGCAGGAAGCAGATGAATAAGCAAGATCAATTATGGTTGGGGGGTGACCCTGTAGCCCTGCTCCATGCCACAGATCTCAAAGCAAATTGTGCCAGAGTGAAGTTGACATGCCTGGACTGAAAACAGCGGTCTCCTAAAGGATGTCTGCTTCCCTCCCATTCGTCAGAGGGGGAGCAAGAGGAGAGAATGGGGAAGGAGGGGAGGGTGGGCAGAGAGGGGCCAAGGGAAGGGTGACAAGGAGGCGGGTGAATGAAAAACCACGCATAATGGCCTGAGGTTTATTTTACAGAGAACAAAATGGCTCAATTTGAGCACTTTAGACTGTCGAAATTGGCTAGCATGAGATACAAGAGGTTCATCCAGGAGGATTGTTACATCGGCTACAGAAGACTGCAGGCCCAGGGGGCAGAGAGACGGAAAATAAATATATAAACACACACGCGCACACACACACACACACACACACACACACACACACACACACACACACACGCCTTCTCCATCCTGCAAACTTTAGCAGGACCAGGGAGCATTGCAGAAGTGCTTTGCCGAGGAACTGCTTAGCCAGGCATCTGAATGCCCTTAACGCTTGCTTTTCAAATTGCATCTCTAAAATGTGGGGCTCATCTTACTTTCCCCTCTTGCTTGAAGCCTAGAAAGCCACGTCTTTTTAAAAAGAAGCCTAGTTTATTATTTAGTAGGATCAGCAGGTTTTTTCTTTTTTTAAGGGCTGCTAATAATTTCGATTCCCCTTTCAAAAACAATCCAGCCCTCACTAAGAAAAAGTCAGAGCGACTGACTAATGGGAGTAATTCAAAGTACCTCAATTAAAATTCAGGTTTTGGCCTTTCGAGCAGTCTATTTAAAGATTTTTTTCCCCTAGATTGGTTGTAGACAGATGATTATTAAATATTTATGTGTCTGTGAAAGGGGCTCTTGGAGCTTCGCTCTGCAGAGGGCTGAGGTTTTTGTGGCTGCTGTTTCTCCTCTTGGAGAAACAACAGAATAGTTAGTTTACTTGGTTTCTTACCCACCTGGTTTCCAAGAGCCCCCTACACTAGCCAGCCGGTCTTCACATGGCCGGACAGAGGCAAAACGGTTCTCTCCAGGTAAGCGGCAGAGTCACCCAGAGCCTTTGCTCAGCGGAGCTCAGGCTGACTCTCCTTCTGAACTCAGTTCAAACCCTCACTCCTCTGAACACCCTCAGCCGCCGCACAGGGAGCTCCAGGGCTCTTGGGTCTTTCACAGTCCTCACCATAACCTGCCCTATATTAGTGGGTGGACACTCCAGGAAGATAAAGAAAGTCTTAGCTCCTTAAATGTTCACAGACTCTGAAGACAGGGTCTGGACCTTGCCTGAGGCCTCTGCCCCATCAACTTTTCTCATTGGCGGATCTGTTCTCTTTCCCTTTGTGAAACAGCGACTCCATTTCAAGCCTGCCTGAACCCCTGCATTAGAGGGGTTCTCACCACAGCCTAGAACCTTCCTAAGAAGAACTAAGTCTCAGCTGGTTCATTTATTTATTTATTTATTTATTTATTTATTTAAGATGGAGTCTCGCACTGCACCCAGGCTGGAGTGCAGTGGCACCATCTCGGCTCACTGCAAGCTCCGCCTCCCGGGTTCACGCCATTCTCCTGCCTCAGTCTCCCAAGTAGCTGGGACTACAGGCGCCCGCCACCAAGCTCGGCTAATTTTTTGTATTTTTAGTAGAGACTGGGTTTCACTGTGTTAGCCAAGTTGATCTCGATCTCCTGACCTCGTAATCTGCCTGCCTTGGCCTCCCAAAGTGCTGGGATTTCAGGTGTGAGCCACCGCGCCTGGCCCATTTATTTATTTTTTTTAGGTATTTACTTATTTATTTTTAGAGATAGGACTCTGTTACCCAGGCTGGAGTGCAGTGGCACAATCATAGCTCACTGCAGCCTCAAACTCCTGGGCTCAAGTGCTCCTCCCGTCTCAGCCTCACAAGTAGCTGGAACTACATGTGCCAAGGAAACTGGCTTGATTTTAACCCCAAACTTCCTATGGGAAACTGACGTGGGGTGGATGGTACAAGATAGCTATGTTCTCTTCATTTATTCAGTCAGCAAAGGTTTATCAACATTTTTCTATGAGGGAAGCACTTGAGTAAATCAATGAATTTCAACAAGTTGAAAGGATGGATCACTTCCACATTCTGGAATATCATGTAGCTTTAATATGTATTGAAAGACATGCATAATGTATCAGAATTGTAAAGAGAAAGCACATAGTACAGTAATACATACAGAGAAGTCCTATGTTTAGGGAGAAGATAAACAAAATAAGAAAAAGAGAGACAGAGAAAGAAAGAAGACTGAAATGCTACCTTGTTGGAGGGGGATAAATCTGTCTCATTTGGCTTCCTGCAATTAGGATTTACACTTATCCATTTATTGATAGACACTAATAAAGTAAAAATTTTAAGGCCAGGCATGGTGGCTCACACCTGTAATCCCAGCACTTTGGGAGGCCGAGGTGGGTGGATCACAAGGTCAGGAGATCGAGACCATCCTGGCTAACAAGGTGAAACCCTGCCTCTACTAAAAATACAAAAAATTAACCAGGTGTGGTGGCAGGCGCCTGTAGTCCCAGCTACTCGGGAGGCTGAAGCAGGAGAATGGCATGAACCTGGGAGGCGGAGCTTGCAGTGAGCCAAGATCACGCCACTGCACTCTAGCCTGGGCCACAGAGTGAGACTCCGTCTCAAAAAAAAAAAAAAAAAAATTAAAAGAAAAGGACATACCTCCTGCTCTCAAAGTTGGCTTTGGTGCAGTGGTTCCTTAATCCCCTACACTATCGACAACAAAATCACCTGAGAAACAATTTTAAACTGCAGACATTGGAGACCATACCTGAAACTTCTGATAAAGTAGACCTGGGGGTGGCCAGTCTGTGGCCTGCCTGACACTGTCTGCCGCTCTTTCTGTAAGTTTCCCCAGGTCTTTCTGAAAATATGCAAAGTTTAGTAACCAGCAGACCAGCAGTTTACTCTGCGTCAATCTCTATGTCATGTCTCAAGACTAAGAGCAGCAATTATCCATAAGCAAGAAACTGTGATTCACAAGCTTATCAAGCAGTCTGCTCTCACTCTACATAGGAGGCAAAGTCATCTGCTGGTTCAGAAAATATGGTCTACTTTGATTACAGCTATAAGTGAAAATCTAAGTTCGGACTATACCATAATACCTAAACATATTTAAAATTGGATAATTTTTCACTACATTTGAAAATTTACTCAATGGTGTAAATGCCTATATATTTTAAATATAGCAAAGCACCTTAAAAATTACTACTGAAGCTAAATGTGCAACTAGTAACTTATGGTGTGAACTTGTAAATTATCTATTCTTAATACAGATAAGAATTTTAATCAGTCTTTATTCATTCATTGTTCATTCATTTGCTCATTGATGAATTTATTCACTCAGTTTTTCATTTAACCACTCATGTCATTCATCCAACAAACGTTTTGAGCCATTAGAAACCCAAAAACCCCACCTGGGCTAGAGAACTCTGGCTTTATACCCAGGTCCCAATCTCCATCTGATACCAAGCACTGCCTAGCGGTACCATGAGCCACATAAGATTAAGGACTGGCAGGCACAGGTATTCTTCATCTCCCTAAGCCACATTGCTCAGATTTGTTAGGAAGAAATGATATTCCAGGCATTCCAATGTTGACTGGCTTCTTCCTCCCCCTATCAGACACTATGAGCTCAGAGACAGTTCATTTTATAATCTTTTTGTCCTTCAACACCCTCAACTGACTTACCTGCCATTTACTCATCTCACCTTCCTAATGCTGCCTCTCCTGACCACCCTGTTCAATACTGCAACCTGTCCTGCCACTTCCACCCGGGACTACTAATTTTATTACCTGCTCTCTTTTTCTTTTTTCCATAGCATTTTTTGCCCTCCAACGTGTAACGTCTTTATGAGACATATTTATTGTTTAATGTCTATTATAAATTTTTCCATTTTGCCCATGGATTTAATGCAAGCACCTAGGATAGTGCCTGATACACACTGAGCACTCACTTGAGTGGCAGAAGGAAGGGAGAGAGGATGGTAGAGAGAGAGGGTGGGCCAGGGGACGTTCCTTCCACTGTGGTCTAGGCTTGCCTTGAGTCGGTCAGGAAGGTTAATTGGCTGCAGGCTGACTCAAGTGGAAGGATTTGGGAGACTACTCATGGCCTCTGATTTTCCACCCACCAATCCCGTCTAATGGTGGAGTACTCAGGAAAGAGGGTTGCCATATCACTGCCCACCAATTCTCGCAGCCAGGGGTGGCGCTCCCTGTTCTGATGGCTTTCTAAATGCTGGGCATTTGTTCCTTCCCCAGATACTGGTAATCTGCAGAATCTAGGGCTATTTGCACATAAATACCAACGCCCCACCTCCATCCCAGGCACAAAACTCCTATATTTATAAAACTCATCATTTCCGTTTGTGTTTTCCATTCTGGAAATGGCAAAAATAAATAAATAAATAAACTGCAGATTGTTTTCTGGTGAAAAACCCTCAAGCTGAGTCTTCCCAACTTGGGGATCTTTCATTCCTGAATCATCCCCAGGCCCAGAAGGCTGGGCCTCTCAGCCCACTCTTTGCAGTCTGGCACAACCTGAGGAGTTCCCTGAAAGCCTGAGACTTCCCAGAAATGTAGGAAAAAAACTTTTTTTGTAGGAGCCCCTCCTTGCCTCAATGCCAAGGACCTTACCTGTTTTCTTGCCTCCAGACATGCTCCTGGCCTGTCTCCCTGCTCTGTGTGTGTGTCTCTTTGTTGTAACTCCACACATAACAGCTGCTGTTTCATTTCATTAAAGATGCCCTCACATGACTGGGTAAATTACAATGAGAAGAGGTACCTACTGGGTGCTGGACCCTTTATAAACATTACTTCTAATGCAAATAGCAACCCTACAGATTGATTACCATCCCCATTTTACAGATGTAGGAACTGAAGTTCGGAGGCTAACCACTGCTAAAAGTGGTGGGCCTGGGATGTGAAACCCACAGCCACAGACTCTGAGGCCTGGGTGTTTCCACCACACTGTATGTTAGGGAGTGAAGGTTTGTGCCCCACCCCGCAACCTCCTCAAATTCATATATTGAATCCCTAGCCCTCAATGTGACAGTAGTTTGAAGTGGAACCTTTGTATAAGTAGTATTTGAAGTTGCAGTATTTGGAGAGAATTGGGGTTAGATGAGGTCACATGGGTGAGACCCTCATCATGGGACTGGTGCCCTCAGAAGAAGAGTGAACAGGGTGTGCTGTCTCTACCATGTGAGGGTGTGAGGACCCAGCAAAAAAGCAGCCATCTGCAAGCTGGGAAAAGTCTTCACCAGAAACAGAGCTGGCTCTTGATCTTGGACTTCCAGACTCCAGAACTGTGAGAAACAAATGTCTGTGTTTAAGCCACCTGGTCTGCAGTATTTTTTTATGGCAGCCCAAGCTGAGTAAGACACCATGGCAAGTAGAAACGGCAGTTCTTCTTGAGCCCTCAGGGTCACTTCCATGACACTCAGGCCAGTCCCAGGGATTTTAGAAGAGGTTTTCCAACAAGCCCATTTGGGGTTCTCCAAGGGCAGCAAATGTTGCAGTATACAATTTGGTTTTGGGTGGGTAGCTGCAAAGAGGTCTGTTTTCAGGGCCTTTCATCCATGAGGAGCTACAAGCATAGCGTCAAGGGCTCTCCTCTAAACTCATTAAAGGCCAATGAAATGTTTGATATCTGAAAATAAATGGCTCTAAAATGTGAAATAAAAATTGCAAAACTAAGATTAATAAATGTTTCATTAAATAAATAATAATATAATAAATGAAAATAATAAATTAAATAAATATTTCATTAAATTTCAACAGAAAGAAACATTATATTCATCAGTCAGTTAAGTGCAAATCAACTCAAGCTTTACAGTTAAATATAACAAAGTTTAAGCCATAATGAATTTACTCTTAAACTTCAAAACTATAAAAATGATTTTTAAAATCCATCCCCAAAATTTCACATTGAAACTTCATAAATCATGTTTAATATGAGATGGGGGTTAATTTTAATATCTTTGATACGCTGTGTGATGGGGCTTCTAAAGTAACAGTGCTCAGGATGTTCAAAGGTTTTGAAGGGCCCTATTTGCTAGTGGGAAATCCAGCCTGGGAAAACACATGTGATGGTTGATGACTTCATTTTTATTTGTTTGTGTTTGTTGTGTTTTGCTAGGGTAACCCAGCATGAAATGACTGACCTGCGTTCTCAGACAGGGGAACCGGAAGCCATAAGGAAGAACAACCAGACAATGCGAAAGAATTTCAGGCTCCTGCAGGAGATGGGGTCTCCAGGAAGGCAGGGTGGTGTGCCAGAAAAGCATCAGATCAGGAATCAAGAAACCTGGGTTTTATTCCTGACTTCACTATGGGCAAGTTATATGACTTGGGGTGCCTCCCCGGGGCCTAGAACTGTGCCTGGCACACATACAAGGTGTTGAATGAATCAACGTGAGGGGGCCTAATAAGTCCTTGTTTTCTAATGGTGCATGTGAAGACCCCTTATGGTGGAGAAGCGGGAAGGGAGGGAAGCAGACTCTCAACACCAAGCATCCTCTTCCATTCTGCTCCCTGCCTATTCACATCAACTTTACGTAATCAGACTTCCAAGAAACCCTCAAATGCAGGGCACGGAGGGGCCCCAGGAGACAGGCTAGCAACACATCCTGGGGTCACATGATACAGCTCTGAAATGGTCCCTCATTCCCAACATGTGAGGCCACCTTTCTCACAGATGCACAGGCCTCCCTCATGAGCAATAAGCCTCACCTGCAGCCCACCATATGTCTTCCTAAACTCGAGGTTCACCACTCGATTCACATTCACCACAGCCCCTGAATGAGGCTGCTCCAAAATCTCCAAAGATAAAACAGGCATCTGGATTTGGAGCCTCTCCAGCATGAGGCTGGGACTGCCTTCCCTCTCACCATTGTTCAGGGGACTTCTCCATCATCCAGGGGAACTAAGACAGGTGCATGGAGTCAGAGCTATGCCTGTGCACACAGATGCACACCCCACCCGACCACCTCCACCGGGAGGGAGGCTGATGGCTCCCAGGAGACACCGCAGTAGGAGCCATCTTCATTTGCAAGATTTCACACGTTCCCTAATTATTTCAAGAGGACTTGCAGATGGAGGTAATGGGCCCCCTTTTAAGATGACTTGCCACACATATAATGTCAGGGCTCTCGCATTCATCAGCGCCATCCTCCCAGCCCCCGTCCTCCACCTCCATCACCAAAAACCCAAATAATTTCAAAAACATTTTTATCCTAAAATGTTCCCCTCAATTTAAAAAAAAAATTATCTTCAAGAGAAGAGATTTCTTTCCATTTCAATCCCACAACAAGGAGAATGTCAGCCCAGCTTTTTTTTGACAGACAAATTATTGAATCAAAGAGAAAATGCCATTAAGCTCACAGGTTAGCAAGTGTCAGGAATGGTTTAAAGAGATATCCCCATTTATCTTCCAAACATGCACGAAATGTCACTAATGTGTGTTTATCATGTATAATCAGACAAAGAAAATATCGAAATAAAGTACTCCCGCATACAATAGAAATCTCCTTCCATCCTTCAAGATATCAGTGCTATTCAAATAGAATAATAATGATGAAGCCTCTCTCTTGAAAATGGAAATCAAGTGAAATGTAGATAGAAATGAATTTTTTTTGGTAGTTGATGTACATTTCTAAAGTGCATTAACAGGAAATCCAGAACTTTTTAGGTCAATTATATTGTCAGTATTGTCAACGCCACTGAAATGAATACTGAAGCAGCGCCTGTTCTTGCTGGAATCAAGCTACAGAAGAAACTCCTAGATTGGGGACTTACAGAGGAACTAGAGGCACATTGGAAGCCTGACATTGTTCAAGCATGCATATATATGTATATCTATTTTTTTCATTCAAATCAATCTGGGTACCAGGCATTTTGACTTACTATAAACTTCAATAGACAGGGGAAAAAAATTCTGCAACTGATCTAAAACCTGGCTTTATTTTCCTCCCTTTTCTTCCTCCATTATGACAAAGCTTATTTTTGTAAGCCAGGTGCTGTGACAACAATAAATCTCAGCCTCCAAATTAGTGCTTTGGACAAGAGTTCTCTACTACTAATTCTGGACTTGCCAGACCCAGGGACATGAGCCACGCACTGGAAAGAAGGTAGTCCTTGTGCCAAAATTGTCAGGCCCCTTCCTGGAAGTCTAGAGAGAATTAGGCATTTCAACTGAAAACATTTTCATCCTTACTGCTTTCTCTCCCAACAGTCCCACCAGCTGTGTGACATGCTATTTCCCGGCTTTCTGGGTTGTGAGTTTCCTGAGAGCAGAAGTCATACCTGTTTTTAGTCTCCATAGCAAGAGCAACATGTAGTATAATGACTTTCAAATAGCATGTGCTCAAGATGTTGGTGAGTGAGCAAGTGAATGGATGGTTGAAAAAGGAGCTCTTCCTCAGAGGTCTCTCCCAGCCCCACAGTTCCCTGGTTCTGTGATGTTCTATAGCTTTGGGGAGGGAACAGCCAAGGTCCTAGACGTCCCCATGCCTGCTCTGCAATACATTATTAACTCAAGAGAGCTTCTGCTCTCCCAAACTAACCATATTGAACTCCCAAATTACACCACAAGTGTTTTGCCATTCCAAGTACAATGTAAGGCAAGGGTCCTAAGAAAGTAGAGGACAATGTCAAGAGAGTAATCTCTAATGTCTGCCTGCCTCATGGTCCCACCACCCGGCTATGTGGCCTTGGGCCCTGGATCGTCACCTGAGAAATGGGACAACAGTAACCCTAACCCCACGAAGACGTGTGCTTTAATAAGCTAATATGTGTAAAGTTCTTACAACAGTACATGGTGCATAATAAGGCTCAATACATGCTTGCTATTATTTTCATTAGCAGTTATTTGGGTTTTCTTCCCTTAATATTACAAATAAGGAAAATGAGACTCAGGGACAGGTGCAAATTCCTGGGAACTTACAAGTAGCAAGAATAGGGCCAGGATAGAGGTACCCAGAGGCCAGGTGATGAGGCCACACCATCGATTACTTATTAGGTGCCCACTGCGTACAAAAACAATGGGAAGTAAGTCAAAGCAGACAAGGAGCAAAAAGGAGCAAAAGTGAGAAGACTTTTGGGGATAAGTCTGGTCAAAACAAATACTATAGAATAGGAATACAAAGGGGTCCACTGAGGCAGCAGACTAGAGGTTTGTCATGCACCAGGAACAGCATGATATGCTTTACAAACGGGACACTTCTGATTCTTCCACAGCCCCAGGATTATGTCTTCTTCATACTTCACCACAGTTACCTGTTCGCATTCTCATCCTAGATGACATTTGAGGGTCAGGACTGAATTAACGCATCTTTGTACCCCTTGCAGCCAACACAGGGTGTGGAACTTGATAGGCATCCTCCAAAATGTTTTAGGTTAAAAAGAAAGGCAAGCAAACATGCCAGGCAGATGGGCTGCAGCCACTCTGAGAGAGCACTGAGTTGGGGAGAGAGGGGGAGAGGAAAAGCCCAGAAAGCTCTGAGAAGCAGTGACGTGAAGCAGAATGACAATTTCGTTAATCTCCATCAGTATCACAAACCACAGTCAAATAGGGGCTGTGAAGAGAGCCCACAATGGCCACACTGTAACCTAGCTTAGCTTTGCCAAGGTGCTGTCCTCACCTCCCAGGTGGTAAGAGTGCCAGCAAGGTGAGTGCCTCCATGGGGCCACCTGGCTGCTCCACTCTGCACCCTGAGGCAAGTAAGTGTAACTCTCTGATCTTCAGTTTTCCCACCATCAAATTTGGATAAAATCCCTGACTTTCTATCACTTTACATAATAGTCCTCGAAAACTAGACAGAAACATCTTAGCCATTCCATCTCTAAGAGTTTGTCTTTAGGATATAATCAGAGCTGTGTTTAAAATGAAAAAAAAAAAAAATAGATGTATGTCCTGGAACATACTTCATGATACCGAGTAGAATAAGGAACAACTGAAAATAACCTAGTTACTCAACAATATTATAATCCTCTCTTCAAACAGAAAACTATTCAGCTATTAAATAGTGGGGTTTCAAGAACTATTTATAACATGGGTAAATGTTTATAAGTGAAAGGCCTAGAACAATATAGTATCTTTATAGAAGGATCTCAAATTTAAAAATCTAATCTACAGGTATCTGTGCAAATACATACAGAAAGGAGTATGTGTGTCGGGGGGATATATTCCAGAAGGTTTTAAGTGGTTATTTCTGGGAAGTGGGGAATTACAGGCAACCTTAATTTCCTTCTTTATGATTCTCAGTATTTTCCAAAATTTCTATAATGAATATGCATTATTTTCATAGTCAGGAAAAAATCCTTAAAAACAAAATTTTGGCCAGGCACGGTGGCTCATGCCTGTAATCCCAGCACTTTGGGAGGGCGAGGCGGGTGGATCATGAGGTCAGGAGATTGAGACCATCCTGGCTAACACGGTGAAACCCCGTCTCTACTAAAAGTACAAAAAATTAGCCGGGCATGGTGGCGGGCGCCTGTAGTCTCAGCTACTCGGGAGGCTGAGGCAGGAGAATGGCGTGAACCCAGGAGGCGGAGCTTGCAGTGAGCCAAGATGACGCCACTGCACTCCAGCCTGGACGACAGACCGAGACTCCGTCTCAAAAAAAAAAAAAAACACCAAACAAACAAAAAAAACACGTAATTTTAGAAATCATAGTCCTTCCTGCTTCGTGGCACTATTCTGAGATCAGCTATGTTAACAGATGCAACATGCTTTGAAGAGTATAGAATGATATGCAATTCAAGTGACTGTGTTATTGCTAGTATCGAAACATTTGTGGTAAACCCCATCAAGTTGTTCTCCTCCTAGCCCAGGCTATTTGTAGCATGGGACTGTGATACTCCAGCATCTTATACAAGTAGATTGCACCAGACTTCAAACTCTCCAGTTAGAAGTAGCAAATGCACAGCAAATGAAATTGCCAATTCTGAAGAAGAGGGGTCATAAAACCTTTAATAAATAGGGGAAAATTGACCTGGATTCCTCCTCACCAAAAGCAACGAACCAAAGAAATTCCACACGTTCAAAACTCCCCATGAACCTAGATTCAAATCTTCTATAATTTCCAGCCCCTCTCAGACTTGTCAGAGTGAGTCCCAGGGATGCCGAAGAAGAGTTAATTCTCTTCTTCATCAATTCCAATAGGCCTCAACAAACAAATTATGTTTTAGAGATTTTAGGACCCAAACTGGTAAATTTTTATCACTATCACTCTAATGGCTTTCAAAGTGTAAACAGATTGCCTATAAACACAGTGATTCTTTTTACACACACATTCAGGCTTTTAAATTGTGCTTAACTTCATGGGCTTAAACATGGGTTGGTGAGTTTGGAGAGGTTAGGCTTTTCCCAGGCAAAGCACATTCATTGAGTCTGTCAGTCAGTTATGGATCTAAAACTTAATTATTTTATCTCAGGAATTTTAAACCCTGAGATATCCTCAGGGTGCCTAAGATCCAAGAGTTTACTCTTGAACACAGTCCAAGAAAGGCCACTAAATAAAGCCTGTTCATGGCAGAAGGCATTATATTGACTCTCTTTGTCTCAGAAAGTGACCCACACATCACAATAAGCCACTAAATTACTGCAGGCAGGAAGGTAGATCCGGGATAAAAACTGGCAGTGGGTTGAAAGAAAAACTTCACAATAATGTCTAATATTGAGATAGCATGGCTCTCAATAATTCAAGGCACATTTATCCTTATTGTTTCTTCTTATCCCAGCTATATAAGCCTAGAGTGGCAGGTATGGCAAGAGCTAGTAATTTCATTTTAGAAATAAGGAAAGAAGTTCAAAGAGGAAAACTGTTGACTTGGTCAAGTTTACAGAGGTAATTAATGAAAGCCAGATTTATAACCCAGTTTCCCACCTAGGGGTAGTAATGTGCCTACAAAGATGACCAGTTGCAACCAAGCCAGTTAGGACAATTCAGAAACCAGCAGCTAAGTCAAAGATGTTAATTGGGTTTCCAAGACTCATCCTTGAGACTCAAGGATGGAGGTTGGACCAAGCAAGTGGGGTTCTCTCAAGAGAAGGTAGAAACTGGAAACTCCACCTTCCTCAGAATGCAGCTGCAAGTACTTCACCTGCCTTCTGAAAGGAGGCAGGAAAGAGTCATAAACTACTCCATACGCCTACTAGTTCCTTCTTGCTTTACTCCACTGCAAATGCTTGGGAACTGCTCACAGGGCAGCTGCCCTCTGAAGCTCAGCAGATATGTCTCATTTTTATTCCCATCTATCTGGAGAATGGGATACAACATTCTAACTCTCCAAGAAAAGTTTACACCCAAATATAAGCATTCCAAAATATATAATGGAAAATATAAATGGAAAAACCACCCAGATAAAGAAAGATCAAAAGAGAGGTATGAAGCAGCCACATTCATTTCTTTGCTCTTGAAAATTTAAATGACTACTCCTTGAGAGCAAACTACAAAATGCTAACCTTGAAGTGTTGAGTGGCAGGAAGAATTATGGGTTATTGTACTGTCAAAATGCCAGACAGCTGTATGTTGAGTTGCTGCGTTATTTAGACAATCAGAAACTTGGAAGCTAATGTGACATATTTTTTCGGTGTGAAAGCTCTTGACATGCGTCAGGATAATTTCTAAAAGGACAAAATGTTATATAAAAAACACGGTGACTTCAGGAGATGGCCTTATAGGTAGAACAGCCCTGAAGAGGGGAAGCAGGACATCAACGACTTGGTCTTTCCAGAGGTGAGCGCGATTTTCTTTCTGTCTCTTAGTCCAAAGGGTGGTGGCCTCAGGCAACATGGAGTGTCCAGCCTCCCTCTCCTGCTCCCGGCACCTAAGGAATGTTCTCGCAGAGTCAGGTTTCTGACTGTAGCCTACACTGTGCTAAGCAAAGCCCACTGATTGCAGGATCACCTTCCATCTGGAAGAGTGATACAGTGATCATGTTCAGAGCATGCTACTGGAGACTGTGGCACTGTACAATCCTAGGGTGCAGAAGGAGCTAAAATGCTGCCTCTGTTCACCTTTCATATGTCTTCCTGATTGGCTTGTAGACAAGTCCAAACAGATGGAATGGCAGACAGTTTAAGTGAATTCCTAGCTTTGCATCTCAGGTTAGCTTGGATATATAAAGACCATAGAGTGGGAAGCAGCACCTGGTCAGTTGCACCTGAAATTCCATCTTCACTTCTTCGACTACAATGAAAATACAAATATTGCTGGGACAAGAAACACATTCATCTTCTGTCATTCATCTATAACTTAGGGTGAATAAAGATTTGGAGAACTGTTCATGACAGACAAAGAATAGATAGGCCTTAGGGGTTTAGGTGAGGGATTGGGGCCTGTGGAGCAGGCAGGTAGATGAAGCCAGAGAAAAGCCCTGATAAAAGGGGCCTGCAAAGATGCTCCATCAGGATTTTCCCTCTCTCTTCTGGATTTAATTTTGATCAAAAAGAAAACAATCTCCAAGAAGAGGAGAGTAAGCATCTGGAGACTGACAGGGAAAGGGAAGTGTTCCTCTCCTAAGACACTCTTCCAGTCACCAAGCACAGACTCTATTCTCAGGCCAGCTCCACCACGTACCAATAATATGACCCTGAGGGAATAAATGAGTCATGGTTTCTTTTTTTTTTTTTGAGATGAAGTCTCGCTCTGTCACCCAGGCTGGAGTGCAGTGGCATGATCTCAGCTTGCTGGAACCTCTGCCTCCTGGGTTCAAGAGACTCTCCTGCCTCAGCCTCTCAAGTAGCTGGGATTACAGGCACCCACCATCACGCCTGGCTAAGTTTTGTATTTTTAGTAGAGATGGAGTTTTGCCACATTGGCCAGGCTGGTCTTGAACTGCTGACCTCAAGTGATCTGCCAGCCTCAGCCTCCCAAAGTGCTGGGATTACAGATGTGAGCCACCAAGCGGGCCAAGCTATTGTTTAACTGCAAAATGGGGATAACAATAACAGCAACTTCAAGTCTATTGAAGAATTATGTTAATTACTTAGAACAATGCCTGCCAGGTTATGATGATTCTACTCAAATGCTAACATAGTATCCTCCTCCTCCTCCTCCATCATCATCAGCAGCAATGAGAGCAATTCTCATTGCTATCTTGGGGAGAAGTGAAATCCTTCTGGGACCCCTTTCCTAGGACAGAAAAGTAGCTTTGGATCAAAGAATTTCCTGAGCTTCCTTCTATGTGACCCAGGCAGGGCAGCAACCCACACCCAGCCCAGGAGGAGACCAGTAGTTTGCTGACTGCACCATGCAGAGAAGAGCCCATTTTCTAGACAGGAATCACAAGGGCTGAGAGGGAGCCCTTCCACCAGCTCCAATAAAAGTTGTAAATAAAGACACTCTCTTCTTTTTTTCCACCTTATTAATTTTCATTTTTATTTTTATTTTTATTTTTATTTGACAGTTAACCTAAATGTTAAGATTATACCCTGTAACCTGAATATTTAAAAGCCAATAGGCAGACAAAGGATAAGCCTGGTGGATGAATGAATTTGGACCTGAGTCCAAGACCTGTGTTATCTGGCTATAGTTAACTCAGGTAAAATTAGGAATACAATGACCAGGTCTTCTGCCTTCACCACACAGTAAACAGGCTCAATGCAAGCCAGCCACCAGCCCCTGGAGCACCATGGGGAGGAGCCCAGAGCTCCCAGAATGAGACTGTCTACTCAGGCTCCTCATAACTTAGGGACAAGAGAGGCAAAATTTGTTAGGGGGAAAGGTTGTCCCTTTCTCCAGCATCAGGGCTCATTTTCTTCTGAAGTCAGGAAACGTCCATGCCCGTTAGCAAAACAGCATGGCAGACATGCTCACCAGAAATTTAACTTTTATGAGTCATTATGCAATTAGCTACAGGGAGCAGAAATAAAGAACTGGAGACTTGATCTCCCCAATTCCATCCAACTCTTGCTGGAGTCACGGCAGCACACACAGAAATAGGGAAACTCTGTATGAGATGGCAAGGACATTCTTCCCCGACGCCTAAATGTTGTCTGTCAGGAGCATCGACCACCCACTGACCCCAGCTTCCTTTGCTACTTTACATGTACATCTTTCTTCATGGTACTCGGAGGATGCATCTATGCTACCTCTAGGGATGGCACCATTCACAAGCACAAAGGAGATGTCCAGTGATTAAAAACACATGCTCTGGAGTCTGTGAGACTTTGAGACTTGCTAGCTTGTGACTCTGCAGAGTTTAACCTATCTGGACCCCTTTTTCCTCATGTGCATAATGAAGAGATTGTCACCCACTGATAAGATTGTTGTAATTAAATGAGAAAACAAGCATCAAAGGCATGGTATAGGACCAGGGACATAGAAATACTAAATAAATGGGTTATCATTAACACAATCATCATCGATCCAAATAGTCTCTTGGGCCTTGGCTTCTTGGCTCTCTGTGAAGGCCATCAGACACGTCAAGGAGATGTCAAACACTATGTCCACTTGAAGTGGTACTCTGTTAAGTCAGGGGCAGCTGACTGCTGTCCTCCTAGGAGGTCTGTAGTAACCACACCAGTGTGGTGTGGCCTCAGTATCACTTGAATTGGAAGCCAGAGATTTAACTCTGTGAGCTTGGCCAGTTGACTGTGCTAGGTTTTAGTTTCCTTCTTAAAACAAACAAACAAACAAAAACTATGAGAGGATGTGAGACACAACATCACTACTTCCCACTCATCAACTCTAGTAGGTACCACTCATCAGTCACGCATCTTTCCTGCTAAACACGGCTATGGGTCAGAATTTTTCTCAATTCAGCACTTCTAGAAGCCACCACTATATAGCTTTCATATGCAATAAAATGTATTTGCCATCCCTAAACAAGATGCTCCTTGAGATTCCTTCCTGTTATGACATGTTGATTTTACAGCTGATTACCAGATGCTTACAGATGTAGAGATTCAACCAAACCCTTTAGCTTCTAACAGGAAGAGGTCAGAAAGAAGCTCAGTTGGACTAGAAAAAGATCAGGGAACATTAACCCAATAACAGATTCCACGGGCAGAAGAGCCCTGGTGGGTAAGAGGTACTCAATGCATTTTATTGTATTCTGAGACCGTATTTTTTAAAATGTCCATATTAAGGTCATTTCATACCCATTCTATATTCCCTATCTTCCACTCGACAGCCAGCAATTATGCACACACACCAAAAATACATGTATCTCTATATGTGTGTATATGTACATACATATGTATATGTATTTTCCAATCCTGCTCTGAGATGCTTGCCATACCCGAGTTCTCTCTTTAGGCCTCATATACAGAGATCTGTAGATTATTTATTACAATTCTAAGTCTACACTGTTTACCATCTTGACAATTTTGTGAGATATCACCTTCACTTTATGGAGGAGGAGGCTGAGGTCCAGGGAAGTTCAACTGCTATCAAAGAGCTGTACTAACTTAGGGAAGACTTGGAATCCAAACAAGCCTCCCAGATCCACACATCTTACTATGGTCCCACGATGGCCTCCACAAGGCTTCCCTTCCTGCAAGTCCCCAGAAGTCCTCCACACCCACAGTCCTCCAGCCCTGATCTTTCCCATCCCTCATTCGAGTCCCAGCAGCCCCTGGCATTTCCTAAACACACACTTAACCAAACTGGACCATTTCCTCTTTATTATCTACACAAATATTCTTAATTATTTCTCCTCCAACCCAAAGTACTTATTTTTTATTTATGGGTGTAAATATAATGCCAGAAGGGCTCATATTTCACAGGGAGCCATTCCAATGGCATCCAGAGCCTTCCAAATTTAAGGAGCAAGAGAGCTGATTCTCTGCCCGTTTCATTATAAAGGGGTTTACCATAAATATTAGAATTTGAATTCCACCCAAGTAATGCATTAATAGCTACTAAACCATTAATAATTTCTGTACTTTTTCATAAATGGGCAAAGTCCAATAAATAAACCATATCTCTTTCACAGCAGAGCAGGGTTAACAAGTACCAAGGAGATTTCAAAGACAAACTACTGGTAGGGGCTGCCAAGGGTAAGATTCATAATGAAACTACAAATTCTGGAGGCCCATTTTTTTCTGTCCACCATGGCAAGTATCTAAAATTAAATGCTAAGCAGAAATCCATCCTGGAATCTGACACGCAGCAGTTTAGGTAAACAATCTCTGAAATTAAAAACAGATTCTGGATAATAAATAAGTCCGTGTGTGAGACGCTCTGATAACAGATACCTCTCCCCGATAAATCAAAGGCTCTAGCCCTACAGAGCCTTTCTAAATTAGGCCAGATGATTTACCTAAAATATTTCATCTTGTGTCACCTGTCTTAATGAACGGCAGAATGGATAGCTTCTTACCAGTTATTGTATCAAGGCCGGAGACCTCTAGGCTAATTATACCCAAGGCCTAAGGAGGCCGGCCTGTCTGGGAGGAGCCTGTGGGGTCTCAGGAGCGGGGGGGATTTCACCATGACACTCGTTTACCTAGGTCTCCTAACTTCAGCCTACTGGGGTCACCTGCAGCTGCCCTAGAATTCTAGAAGCCTGAATCAGCCATGTCAGATATCAAAGATAAACAGCCCAGGGGACAGAAGAAATAAGTTCAAGTTCACTGTTGCTAGCTGTTTGAACTTGAACAGACCCCTGGCTATCTTTGGGCTTCACCTTTCTCATCTGCAAAGTGGGATAATAAAACCTTCCTAGCCTACCTCATGGGGTTGTGGTGAGGAAAGCAAGAAAATGCACACAGAGGCACTCTGTAACCCATGACACCCTCTGCTGCTGTTACTATCAGTCATTGATACAGTTTGGATCTGTGTCCCCACAAAATCTCGTGTCAAATTGTGATCCCCAACATTGGAGATGGGCCTGGTGGGAGGTGACTGGATCATGGGGGTGGTTTCTCATGGTTTAACACCATCCCCTTTGGAGCTGTGGTTGATAATTAATTCTTGTGAGATCTGGTTGTTTAAACATGTGTGGCACCTCCCCCTTCTCTCCCTCCTCCTCCAGCCACATGAAGTGCCAGCGCCCTCTTTGCCTTCGGCCATGAGTAAAAGCTTCCTGAGGTCTCCCCAGAAGCAGAAGCCAGTACACTTCCTGTGCAGCCTGCAGAACCATTAATCCTCTTTATAAATTACCCAATCTCAGGCATTTCTTTATAGCAATGCAATTAGCATGGACTAATACAGTCATAGTAACAGTCAGTCATTTACTCACCAACATTTATTGAGCATCCCTGTGTGTCAGATGCCAGGGATACCCCAATGACTACAACGGATGGGACCCCAGCCCTTGTGGAGTTGGATTCCCGCAATGGAAGGCATGCAACCTGCATGGGAAATGAGGGCTGCAGAGTGTCGTGGAGGACTCTGAGGCTGTAGAGAGAAAGCAAGAAGCAGAGGTAGCTGGGGTGGGAGAAGGGGTCATTCTCAACAGGGAAGACTGTGCAAAGGACACATCTTTTAAGCAAAGATGCAAAGGAAGAAAGAGATACTGAAATAGAAATAGAAGGAACATCAAGGAAAAAGACATCCAATAGGTCCGAGGAGCTGCAAGGACAGGCCGCACCCACTGGCATGGAGGGAGCCAGGGCCAGGGAGGAGGCTTGAGGGCAGAGGTCAGGGGCCAAGGGGAGGGCAAGGTCTCCTGGGCCTTGGGAGCACTTGGGCCTTCAGGAGATTTCTTAGCAGAGGAGTAACAGGGTCTCATCTAACATTTTAACAGAGCACTCCGTGGCTGCTCTGCTAGGAATAAGAGCAAACAAATGTATTATTATTATACTAACATAATAGTATATTGTCATTGAAAGACTCTGTTCCGGTCTGCGTGAATCTTGGTGGGAAAGGGAGAAATGAAAAGAGAGCTGGGGGTGGGGGTGGTCTTATGTTTTTCTAAATGCTCAAAATTAAGCCTAGAGAGGCATGTGTGCATGTTGGGGGTGGGACATGGAGGCAAGAGTGGGTGGCAGGTGAGCCCCATGCTGAATGTAGAATGGGGAACCACCTGGACACCCAGACCTGTCTCTGGGTCCCCTGTTCGGACTCACGGCCTTCAAGGTGGTGGAGGCTGGAGGGAGGAAGAAGGGTGGTGGATAGGAAAGAGAAAACTGACTTCTCCCAAATCCCACACCTTTGCAGCCATCAGTATAGCTGCCCAGTGTCCCATGCCTTTCAAGCCTGGGATCTGTCTCTTTATTAAAAATGAAAACAAAATTTTGTTTTTAAAGCGGGGAGCAACCATATTTTACCAGCATTTGGTGTCAGCGCAAGTGGCAAACACAACATCCTAAGAGGAGCTATCGTGCCTCCTGCTTCAGAATGGAAAGTGACACAGAGGTCATTCCATTAGTGATCGCAGCTGCTTTTAAACGAAACACATATAACCTGAATCCAATTAATGAAAGTATCTGGCCATCCTCACAGATGCTAATGCCAAATGAATATTTAAACCTTGCTCATTCACCAGCTCTGCATTGCACTGTAGTTCAAAATCTCAAAAGCACATGCTAATTCCTGAATGAAGGAAATTATGACTCAGCATTCCTCTTTTGATTTCTGGTGACTTGGCATTTGTCATGGGGCTGGGCTGCCCAGTGCTCCCTCCCTGGACTTCTGCTGCTTCTGCAAAAGAATGGACAGCCCCAAATGCAACAGGGTCCAAAGCTCATTCTCTTACCAACAACCCACAGAGACCACAGATTTTCACTGATTTGCCCACACAGAGCCATCTGGAAAGACTTCGAAGTGGAGAGGGTGATGGGGTGGGGTGAAGGTGCCCAGCTCTTATGGCAGCCAGTGGCAGTCCAGCCCACTAACCATAATACAGGATTCAAATCTGGTCATCCACACGACCTTCACAACTATTGCTACACTTCTATATCACTCTGCTTTAAACTGGTGGTTTACACTACTTGGGGCATTCATGCTATAGGGATACTTATGTCTGGAAATGTTCTGTGTTGTCACAACTTTGGTGGGGGCAGCTTCTGCTGGGTAGAAGCCAGGGACACTGATAAGTAACCTGCAGTGCTCAGGATAACTCTCCACAACAAAGAATTATCTGGTTCAAAATATCATTAGTGCCAAGATTAAGAAACCTTGATCTAAGTTGACCCACTCCTCCTTATATTTATTTTTAAAGGGAATTTTATACAACTATCATAAAGACCAGGATCATCTGTCATAAGCAGAAGGTGCCTACAGTCATAAGTAAAAAGTATTCAGAGAAATATGTACAGTGAAAACAAAATAATTTAAAAATGTAGTTCAGACATAGTGACCTACTGAAGGCTTTGAGCCTGAGGGCTGCTCTCTTAAAAAAAAAAATCCACACGTAATAGAAACATTAAAGACACAGCAGCTCCAAACTAAGACTTTCTCCTCATTGTGGCCAAAAGGACAGAAAGGAGAACTGAGAGGGAAAAAGCATTTCTTCACACAATTAATGATGTAGCTATGCACCTCCAAAATCATCTTGGGTACCACCAGTAGATGATGATACCAGTAAAGTGAATCTCAGTCAGTCTTCCCAGACTCCAAAGAACAGAATTACTGTGACTAGTTCTTGAGGAGAAAACCCAAAGAGGCAAAAGACAGGAGAAGCTGGTGTTATCTGATCTGCGTTATAAACCTCTCAGGAAGCTGGGTGTGGTGAGAAGCGTGGCCTAGGCCTGGGGAAACACTCAATAGGTCCCTTACAACATCCAAGACTAGACTGGGTAACAGGTCTTTCCAGATGGCTCTGCATGTGCAAATCCATGAAGATGTGGCTAATTCTGTGGGCTCTGTTTTATGAACCATGTTCAATACTATACTAGTGTCATGAAAGAAGTACACCATCATCACATAAGCTAGTTGTAATGCCAGGTTAAACAACATCTAAAAGCTTTCATTATTGCCAAACTTCTTGGAGCCATTCATATGACAACGAGCATTGCAAATGCCAATCCTCCCTCCCCCAGTGGAAAGAAGGTACAACATCTTTTAATCTGTCAAGACACAAATTGTTGTTTCTGTTTTTGTTTTCCCACGAAACACCTAAGTCAATCCTGGTATTCCAGGAAGCACAGCCTGAGTAACTTAGTCCTGGAGGAAGAAAATATTTCCTTTTCATCAGAGAATATGAGAGTTTCACGAGATTGTAGTTGTTATATTACCCATACCTCCGCCAGAAGGCAGAAACCATATCTTATTGATCTTTAAACCACTGGTGTCTGTTAAATAGTAGGTACTCAAAACATGTTTATTCCAGCTCATGACTCTCTCCTCACTAACTCTCAGAGCTCTCCAAAATAATAGGTTCTAGCAATGGTTAAGATCCATAGGCCCAAACAACCACATTCCTTCATTCTAAAGCCTACAATAAAAGGGATGCTCTGAATTTAAAATGCTGTCTAGAAAACATCTTGACCAACTCCTGTTGATACAAGAGCCTTTCTACCATGTTGGCTTTATCATCCAGTCTGGCCACCCAAAGCAATGCACAGGTTTGATTTTCCTTGTTTCTCCATCTTCATTGAACCATCACATCAACAGCTCTTCTCCAGGACCCCTTTTCGCTTCATCGCATCTTCCTTTGGCGGGTCTTTTCCTGCCCAGTGTGCATTCACATCCTCCTGTACAAGTACCCTGATGTGCCCCAGGGAAACTCCTCCCACCTCCCTCCATCTCTGAGTTCTGTGGAGCCAACTCCACCTAGGCTCCAGGCAGGCACAGAAACTGACTGGCCAACCAGGGTGTCATCTCTCACAGACTGCTGAGGTTGGTGGGTATGTGGCCCAATCAGGGACTGGAAGACCCAGTCTGGGATCTTGTGGAACTGCTGGTGAGAGGAAATCTCTCTTTTTTGACTGAGGTTGATGAGAAGAGAATATGAAAGCCTTGTGGAGTTCACAGCCACGTTGCCTCCCTTAGGGGAAGTTTACCTGGGTGTCAGCAGCAGGGAAGTAGAGCTGTGAGGTGGCAGGAGAGAGATGGCAGCAACTGTGTTATTTGAGCCTGTGGCTCTAGTCAGGCCTGGAGTCTTATCCACTCCTCAGTTTCTCAGACATGTGAACTAATAAATTTCCTTTTTGCTTATGCTAATTTAAGCTGAGATTCTGATTAACAGAACATGGAAAACGCTGGATGCCATGGTTGGTATCTCTAATACTTCCTCTTATTTACTTTCTCTCCTTCATTTTTATACATTTCCCTTTACTTTTCCTACTCACTTCCTTTCCCATTTCCATCGTTTCTCAGAATTCTCCCTCAAAGTCAGAAAAAAATAAATATGAGAAGTTCTGCTAACTGCTCACACCCGCTCCCTCCAACAAGCCATTTCTCACAAAAGACCACTATCTAGGCTCTCCTCATCTGGGAGACAAGGAGTTCAGCCACAGATAAGTTCATATAAAGCCTATGTACCTAGGCTGCTGTTGTATTAATACAAATAATTAGACAAAATATTCATCCTACTATAATGCATCAGGTTTTCAGGCCTTGGACTTGGACACTTCATTTTCTGAATTGAGGCTCATTAAGAATGCCTTTTGAGCAGAGGGTGAGGAAGAGTCCAACAGCTTACGTTCTTGAGCCCACTTCTCTCAGACTGGGGGTTTGAACAGAAAAATGCAGCAGCTCCTCCTGAAATCTGAGTTTCAAAATGCAAAACGCATCCCCAGGAATTGAGAATCATGGCCTTCACTTTCAGCATTGCCAATGAAAGGGCAATTTGGTTGGCATGCCACGTGAGCCCTCTGCCTGGCTGTGACATGCGCTGATCTTATGTAGGATGATGCGGTCCCTTGGTCCCCCACACAGGGCCACGGACAAAAGAGGTAAACACTATCTGCTCCTGCTCATGCAGCATGAAGGAGGTGTTCTTCCCGCTTTAGGCCCTGTGAGTGGGACACGTTCCCTTGGACCGTGACCAGCCACATGGCTGCTTGTCTCTGCAGGCCCTGGCAGGCCTTCCCTTTCCCTTCCAGGAGGACACAGGGCAGAGAAGTTGACGGCTCCATGGCCTTGACTGTTCCTTCCCACTCAGCAGACCAGGCCCCAGCAGGGAAGCTCTGCGTAGGCCTGAGCTCTTGTCTCTTTCTCCTCCTCCACCTGCTGGTTTGGATATCCTCCCCGCAGGGCACAGATCCCCAAGAATTCCAGGCAGCCTGGCCTTGCAGGACCCAGGGCAGCTTTCTCCAGCCATACGGCCAGTACTTAGTGTCCTCTTGCTGCAGGGAGATTAGCTCAGCAAGAACCCAGGTAAATCATGATGTCGTTGAAGGAAAGACTTGCCATGTGATATGCCCAGACACTGACATTCTCACACGACCTTGTGGTGCACGGCTAGTTCCTTCCCTGTTCACTCCCCCTGCCCTAGAGCTGCCTGGCCGGCTCCCTGCATGGGGAGCAGCATTGTGAGGAGGAAAGGAAACTCAGGACAAATAAAAACACACTGGGGGCCGGGCGTGGTAACTCACACCTGTAATCCCAGCACTTTGGGAGGCCAAGGCAGGTGGACCACTTGAGGTCAGGAGTTTGAGACCAACCTGACCAACATCGTGAAACCCCATCTCTACTAAAAATACAAAAATTAACCAGGCATGGTGGTGGATGCCTGTAATCCCACCTACTGAGGAGGCTGAGACATGAGAATCGCTAGAACTGGGGAGGCAGAGGTTGCAGTTAGCCAAGATTGTGCCACTGCACTCCAGCCTGGGCGACAGAGCAAGACTCTGTATCAAAAAGAAAAGAAAAGCATTGGAGACGTACATGTACGCGTATGTATATGCACACATATACACATACCTATTCACATACATAGACGCATATTATATTTGAAAATGTATAACTTGTAAGTGAGAGCTAATGAAGGAAAAATGAAAATGACTTGGGGATATTACGTATGCATGTGTATACATATATACACACATATATGTGAAGGATTCAATGACAGGTAAGACCATCATCATCGTCAGAATCACCTCTCCCTCACAGAACCCCCGCCACACTCAGCCACTTCAAAGTAAACTGGGATCATGTTTCGAGAGAAGAGATGGAAAGATATACAGCAATGCAGTAAATGAGAAATGAAGAAAGACTTTCCAAGTTAGTGAATGTGAAATTTTTATTTGGCTCCTGTAGCCCTTTCCTTGTTCCTGCTATGGTTTTAGCTGATCAATGGGACCTACTGAACAACTAAGTGCTTTCACATGGTAAAAACTGTCCTGGCAGGCTTCGATGGCTGGATGCCCACATTACTCACATCTAGGATTGTTTACTACAACCCGAGCTCCCCCCTGCCTTCAAGTGGAGGTTGACTTGCAAAGGAGGCAATGTGGTCCTGCAGAGAATGCACAGGATGCAGAGTCAGACCCTATCTACATTTACATCCCTGCCTGGTCCATGTGGGCTATGTGACCTTGAGCAAGATATTTACCCTCTCTTGAATCCCAGTTTTTTCACCCACAAAACAGGGATATGAATGTGCTCCTTGCGAGGCTGCTGGAAAGGCTGGAAGATAACGTATGCAATAGACCTGTCTAGAACAATGCCTGCCACATAGTGGGTGCTCAACAATAGAAGCTGCTAGAATTAAGCTCATGCCCGGTCCTGTGTCTCTAAGTTCTCTCTCCTTTTCTGTTCTGAATAAAGTAAGGCAAGAACCCAAGTACCATGTAATAATAATCTCAGGTGTTTTGGATGCCTTTTTGAAGACATCTACCAAACTCCAGTTCAAAGCCACACCTTGATGAGTCCTAGGTCACCACTATCTTTTAGATAACAAATAAGCTAAAATCATTAAGGCCAGCTTCACCTTTAGCTTGCTTTACAGAATCTAGTCATTGTAGATACTTTTTGCCACCCAACCAATTCACAGAGACCAAGCCCAAGCATTGTGGAATACTGGCCACTCAAGCTAACAGGGGGAATCCACACAACCCCCACAACTCCACAATGGTCTCGTGTATGGGAACTCTGGGGACCCAGAGAATGTGAGTAACCCAACTGGCATTACCCTGCAAGGCAATGCGGGGTCCAAGGATGGTCAACCATATCACCCACTAGGCACCCCAGAAGTGAGAGGGAATGTAAGGGGGAATCGCCCCTTTCCAAGTGAGAGAAGACAGAGGCAATCTGAAAACCCCAATCAGTTCAGCTTTCACTCAGCCTACTGTCTGTGTAGAGTACCACAGTAAATTCTGGTTCACCCCCAAAGGCACTGTGTTTGTAGAGAGTCTTCAATAAAGTAAAAAATGCCCTAAGGAAAAGAAGAGATCAGTTCACTGTTTCCCCCAGTTGAGGGTGGCATTCACTGGCATGAGAGTGCTGGATATCAGGGGAGATTTGACAGGTCACCTGTAGCAAAAAGGGGGGCACATATGTAAGAAGAGAAACACTGGAGGCCAACTTCACCAACATGATTTTATGTCGGGCAAATCAACACTCCCAAACTTTAACTGTGTGTGTGCACCAGCTGTACCTGGTGTATGAAAGAGGAGCTGGCCAATATTTATCTTTTTGTTCCATCCTATCACTCACTCACTTTTTTTTTTTTTTTTTTGAGATGGAGTCTTGCTCTGTCGCCAGGCCGGAGTGCAGTGGTGTGGTCTCGGCTCACTGCAACCTCCACTTCCCACGTTCGAGTGATTCTCCTGCCTCAGCCTCCTCAGTACCTGGGATTACAGATGCCCACCACCATTCCCAGCTAATGTTCGTATTTTTAGTAGAGCTGGGGTTTCACCAAGTTGGCCAGGATGGTCTCGATCTCTTGACCTCGTGATCTGCCCGCCTCAGCCTCCCAAAGTGCTGGGATTACAGGCATGAGCCACCGTGCCCGGCCCACTCACTCTCAAAGAGCTTAAAATGTATGGATAATATTGTCCAATCAAAGCCAAAGAAACCATTCCAGTAGAAGAGTAACTATTGCATCTGAAAACCCACCCTGTTATATGTTATTTCAATAGATGAAGATGAAAAGGGAAAAAGAGTCTTTGCTGATGAAAAGATGCATACAGAAACCAAGTCTGCTCAACCTCTGCAGTGTTTGCCCAAGTCAGCAATACTCCACGGTGCCCTGCATGGCACCTGGCAGAGAGTAGAGCCCAATAAACATTAGATGAATGAATGATACAACCCAGAAAACATATCTTCCAATTGTCAGACAAATGGACTTAAATGTCTAAAAAGCAAACCAGCAGACACACAGACACACACCAAGCCAGCAAAGAAACTATTTTGTTCAAAAAGTGAAAGTAACATGTGAAATAGTCACAGCAAATTTCAAAAGTTAAGAATGTAAAAGTGAACCACTTTAATAAGCAGACAATGTGTATAACTTATAACACTGGAACTTGCTAACATTTATAACAACCCACAAATATATCCTTGATGTTTGTGATTTGACATAAAGTTGAGCTGCCAACTTTAGATGAAGTTCTAGTTTAAAACATGCTAGGGGAGAGTTCTATAACACATGGATTGGGACGCACACACGTTACCAAAGGGTTAATATTAGAAGCAGTATTGACTAGTTTCATTCTGGTTGCTAAGCAACATTTCTTCCTTCCCCCAATGGTCTGAGAGAGAGGATAAAAAGGGCAGAAAATGAGAAATGTTGGAAAAATAGGAAAGTGAAATTCAATGGATCATGAGGTACAATTTGTAAGAAGAGTAAAAGAGGAAATAATTCTTTCAGGATGTAGTAAGACATCAGTTGCTTTGTGACATCATGAGAGTAACACATTGAGCCTCCAGCTCCAAAGAGAAAGAGTGGAAGATGAATGTCCCCTAATCCCTGCATCATGCTGCTCATGTTCAGTTCACACTTAGCCAGACACGCACGGGTCCAGGATGACAGCAAGCTGACCTGCATGACAGAACATTATAGCCCCCCTGCCAAAAAAATCTATCAAGTTCACGAGGCCCAACCAAACCTTACCCACTGTAAGTCACTGTCCCATTCCTTAAAGGACCTTCCATTCCCTGCATATCCGAAGGGCCCCTGGTAGGCGATTCATGTATTCAACAGTATTGACTGCGTGCTCTCCATCTGCCAGACACAGGGCTGGGTGCTGGAGAAGGGGGAGCAGGGCCCTTGACTGATCACTCACCAGTGTGCTTGATCCCTTTGGTCATCATCTCAGTGTCCCATTTTTGTCAGGATCCTATGATACAGCAATTAAAAAACCTTAAAGAATAACCTAGGAGACATTCTAGGACAGACCCACAAGGCTACTGAACTGTTTGCTGCCTTTAATCTCCATCACGAATTATCCCTTTGAGTGAAGACCTCAAGTCCATGTTGAGAGTGAGAGAGGACATGCCAGTGTGAGGACAGTGGGTATCTGGGAAGTTGCTGTACCTTCTGTTCAATTTTTGCTGTGAACTATAAGTACTCTAAAAAATAAAGTCTATTAAAAGAAGAAAGAGAGAGAAAAGTAAATTATTCAGAAGAAAAAAACAAAACCTTGTCAACAAGCCCATTCTAAAATAAATGACCCAGAGAGGGCTACATATTAGTCTATTAATGTCCATTTTCATAGATTAGTTCATTAGACTAGCTTTTGCCTGTTGTGTCCTGCAGGAACACAGATGATGGACAGGGCAGTTCTGAGAGTGGGAAGGGACCTGGGAAACAGCTGGCACATATGGACTAGCTGGTAATTGGGGTGTGGGAAGAAACATGGGGAGGAGGGGAAATCAGAGGGTCCTGAGTGGAATGAAGGGGTCCTTGACATCCAAACAGAGAAGGGGAAAAGGGAAGAAAGGGCACCAAAAAGGACATAAACAAGATGCGTTTATCAGCAGGGACCTTGATGCTGGTCCCCACGGGATGTTGGGAAAATTACTTAACCCTATCCTAGACTAAGTTTCTCCATCTATAGAATAAAAAGAACACTTAGCTTACAGCACTGGAAAAATTAAAAGTAATATATTTAAAGCATACCCCATGGTACCTGGCACCATGTTCAATAAACTCTAATCAATGTTATTATCATATATGGAGCCACTTTAAACATAAAGCACTAGTTTTAATTGTTAATAAAGTCATTATTTATAGCTGTGTCTAAGACTCTCCTGATTAACTGCCAATCTCACTCCTCTAAGCCAGTGTTTCCCTAATTTCAGTCACGCATGTACCACCCTTGTAATTTCTGCTCTATTCAAATGTCATCTATTGTAATCATTATTATTAATAATAGCAGTAATATAAGCCATAATAATAACAATAACAACAGAAATAATAACAATAAGAACAATGACTAATGTTCACGGGCTACTCATCACATGCCTGGCACTATTCTTAGAGCTTTATAAGTACTAACCCATTTGGTCCTTATCACAACTCTGTGAGATGGGTACTATTATTAATGCCATTTTACAGATAAGCAAAGTGATGCATGGAAAGTCCAAGGTCATTTGGCCAATAAGTGGCAGGTTACAGATTCAAACTCAGGCCCCAGGACCCACATTTAGCCACTGCACAGATTGCCTGGCTCATCTCTATATGCCGGCATTTACTTAATTTTTTAAACATTGATGCAGTTAAATTTAGACTTAAAGAAAAACATTATAACATTGTATCACACTGTAGGAGATCTGTGAAATCCTGGGTTTGATATGTAATTATAATATGGTTGCATACAAAAAATTATAAGATTATTCAAATAAAAAATGTATTTGTGCCACCTAAAATCATCTAGGAAACAAAATTTAATACTGCTTTATGTACCTGGGAATTCCTTCAACCTCAAGTCACAAAACCACAGGACAATACTGGAAACTCACTGATAGTTCACTGCGTCCACACCCATTCTCCACCTCCTGCTTTGTAACAGAACCTGGATTTTTATTTGGCATGTGGCTGCCAAGCTAAACGATTCCATTTTCCTTTCAGCTAGCTGTGGCTCTGTGACTAAACTCTGGCCAATGAGATGTCAAAGAATGTCTTACGTGGGACTTGCTGGAAGTTTCCTTAAGAGGTAATGAGACTCCTGTTTGTTCCTTCCTCCTCCCTGCTTCTTGAGGGAGGAATGCGCACAGAATGACAAGAGCACAAGCTGCCATCTTGAATCATGAGAAAATATGCTAAGAATGTCAGAGCTACAAAGAGAGGGAACCAGGGTTCCTCATGACACCATGAAATTATCACACCAGCCCTGCAATACTTCCATACTCCTTTTATGTGAGAGAAATAAATCTCTACAATGCTAAGTCACTGTTAACTTGAGCTCTTCTGCTACATGCAGCTAAGCCTCATTCTAATGAACACACCATCCATCCCTTGCTCCAGTGCCCTCCATCTCCAACCAGGAATAACTCACTGAGAGGATCTGTCCCCTAAGTTGTAGCCAATGAACTGAATAGCCCTGGGACAATCAGCATGCCATTTATGTGTCCATTTATAAACCACTCTCCTCCAAACGCTTTATATGCAGTATTCCATTTAATTCCCCCAACAAACTTACAAGACAGGGACCATTATGACCATTATCTCCACAGATGCGGAAACTGAGGCACAGAGAGGTTAAGTACCTTGTCCAAGGTCACACGACTAATAAGTGGCAGAGCCAGAACTCAACCCGACAGTGTGACACCAGAAGATGAGTTCTCAACCCTGAGGCTCTCTACCTGAAATGAAACAGGCATCAGACCTGGACCCTCAGAGGGACTGGCTTCTTCGAAGCTCAAAGGGCTTCACCATCATAGGCCGTGGGCAGCTCCCCAAAGGCTAAAGTGACTTTAGCCTCTCTAGAGATCACCCTGGGGGCCCTAGCAAATGCTTTCTGTCATCCTATTAACACTACTTTCTAATTAGGACCAGTGCAAACCTGATACTTAGGCAGAAATGTCTGTTTATTTATTTATTTTGCGTGTGGAAAAAAATATTAAAAAGATGTCCAAAAAGAAGATTCAGAAAATCTTTGCTCCTGCCCCTCAGGAATTCGACTCAGCTCCCCAGATGCCCTGGACAGAGGGGGACGTGTGGCCCCCAACAGTCACCATGGAGTTAACTCATATTTCCCAGGCCTGGCACATGTTCAGTCAAAAACCTGGCGGAGTGCCTGTTGTTTACTGAAGCTGGGGAAGAAGCATCTGCAACATTACGAAAAGCATATTGTAAAAGGCAACACATGCAAATTAAACCTCTTGAGCTATGAGTAAATTGCTGGGAAAATTTATAACTCATTTAATAAAACTTGAAGTAAATACATAGTCTGGCTCCCAGGGAAAACAAAATATTTCCCACAATTCTCTTCTCTTTAAAAAAGGAAAAAAAAAAAAAAGGGAAGAAAAGAACCATCGAGCTAGAGGGCTCTATCTAGTATAAAGTATAAATAGCAAATGTGGTGTGAGCAGACCCCATTTACGGTTATGGGGCATTTCATACCCACGTAGACAGTGCCATGCCCTCTGCTCTTGGAGGTTGACAATGTTCAGGCCTAAGACATTTCCACAATAATCCATGATTGTGTTTACCCAACAAAGCTCTACTGAGCATCTTCTATTCATTAATTCACCCAACAAGGGTTTATTCAGTATCTACTAGAGAGGCATTGTAATGTGGCGATTAGGAACACATGCTCTGGAGCCTTGAATCCAGACTCTGCCACTTACTAGCTGTATGCCCTTGAGCTACTGCATTCATAAACCCTCCATACCTCAGTTTCCTCATCAGTAAAATGGGAATAATAATAATATCCACATCCTGTGGTCATTGTAAACACTAAATGGCTTAATATATGTGAAGGGCTTGGGACAATGCCTGGCAAATAGTAATACTTTGACAAATATTAACTGCTTATTAGTTATTAGCTGGCATTATGGTTCAGCCCCTCTGCCAGGTGCAGGGGGCATAGGATTGAAAGAACAAGGTAGGTGAAGGCCCTGGCTCATGGAGTTTATACTCTACTGGGGGTAGACAGACAATACACATTTAGGCAAATGAATAAACAGCACTTGTGAAGATAATAATACGTGATCTGAAGAAAACAAAAAAGCAACAGAATAGAGAGAGACTGCCAGTTATAAGTGGGTTATATGAGTGTTCGAGAAGGCAATATTTGAGTTGAGACCTAAAAGATAAGAAGGGACCAACTTAACCAAGAATGTTGTATACAAAAGGAATAGCTTGTTAAAGATTCTAAGATGAATGAACGAATGAATAGGTTTGTTCTTTTTGAGTGACCACACAAGGCCAAGGGGCCTGGCATGTACAGAGTAGAGAGAGTTCTGCAGGGATGAAGTGGGAGACGTTGATAGGACCAGACCAGACCAGGCCTTGTAGGCCATGGAAGGACTTTGGATTTTACACCAAGTGCAACAGGTAACTGCTGGAGGGAATTCAGCAAGAGAGTGACAGGAGCTGATTGACAATTTGAACGCCCACTCTGGCTGCCATGTGGCAAATAGATTGTAGGAAGAAAAGAAGAAAAGGAAGAGAGCAGTTTGGAAGCTACTACTGTTGTCCCAGAAATATGTAATGGTGGCTTGGCCCAGGGTGGTGGTGGAAGAGATTCAGGAAACATTTTAGAATTAGAGCTGACAGGACTCTGTGATGAATTGGAAACGGTGGTGAAGGAAAGAAAGAAAGAAAAAATGACTCTGATTTTGGAGAGGCCTGGGATGCTCATCAGCCTGAGACAGATGCTGTAGAATATTGAGCAGACATGATTTCTATTCTAAAAGAACTTTAGAGATAGTCACAGCAGCCTAATACACACAACATAGAATCAAAGGAAGATGTGACAGAAGTGCCTCTGTGCATCGTTCAGAGTTCAAGGCCCAAAGAAAGGAGAGCATGCCATGGGCAGTTTTCATGGAAGGCCACAGAAAACAGGGTACCCAATCTGTCCTCGAAGGACACAGTCCCTGGCACTCCACAAAGAGTGTCACATGAGCACATGTGTAAAGGAGGAAAGCCCAGAATGGTCCACCCCAAAGAAACAAGGAAAGTCACTCCACAGAGACGATTCCTCTATCCAATTCACTGCTGTTTTACTGAACCATCTCCTGGAGATCTGGTGCTGAAGGGAGAATGGGAGGGAGGTAATGACCTCACTCCTATTGGGTCGTCTTTGTTTCCATCCTTCAGAAAAAAATCAGGAAGTCCTGGGAAACAACCATCAGTGTAGAGGCACTCAGGCAAGTTGGGCAGTAGGACAGTGGCTTAGAGCCCAGGGCCTTCAGCCCCCTAGAGCTGCGTGACCTAGACAAGTTACTTCTCCAGTCCTCAGTGTCTACAGAATGGGATAATTATGGTACAGCATCTACCATGCAGGATTCAGTAAAATAACTCCGTCCCAAAGGACTTAGTACAATGCCTGACCTAAGATGAAAGTTACCAGTAGTTTTTATTTAAAGAAATGCTGGTCCTTCCATAGCATCTGTAGATCATCTGTCATAGCTTGTACATACTTGGTGGTCATCGCTCATTAAAGCATCCATCTTCCTCATTGGTTTTTAAATACACAAGTGAACTTTTTGGGGATTGTGCATCATTATTATCAGCAGCTAATACAGTGCCTTGCATTAATCCTCATCATGTTAATAATACTGCAATTATTATCTATGGTATATATTTAGTAAACTCTCACTATGTGCCAGGTATTATGCCAAGCATGTTGTAGGTATGAAATTTTAGGGGACAGGATGGCAGTTAGGAGCATAGAATCCTTCCTTTTGAATCTCTGTTCCATTGCTCACTACCTGTCTGACTTTTGGCAAATAACTTAACCTTTCTACAACTCAGTTTCCTCATTGGCAAAATGAGGAAAAAGCAATACTTACCTCATTGAGCTGCTGGGAGGATTGAATGAGTTCATGAATGTGAAACTCTTAGAATAGGCCTGGCCCTTAGTGTAAGGCTATAAAAGCAATAATCATGATTATCAATAACAGCAACCCTATGAGTTAGGTGCTGCTATCCTCATTTTACAGACAAAGAAACAAAGGTACAGAGAAGTTCAATAACCACCCAAATGGCCACAGGTTTACTAAGAGGTAGAATCAGGATTTGCACTCAAGCAGTCTAACTCCAGAAAGGAAATGACTAACAATGATATTTTGGAGGTAGCAATGTTGAGCATCCCACTTTGCTGTGTAGCTCATCCCCTGAATGCTTTGGGCCTGAACACCATGAGTCATGGTCAAAGTCAGGCTCAGCAAGGTGTGTTTGCCTCCCCTCCATGTTGCCCCAGGGAACAGTTAGGTGGAACCAAGACACATTTGTGGATGGCAGAGATGCTATATCTGCAGGGGAAATTAACAGAAGAAAGAAGAAGAAAACTGGGGACAATGGAATACCACAGATAGAAGATGCAAAACTGGCCCCTTTAAAAGTGAAAAATGTGTTGTTTGTAGTTTTGCCAACATCTATAAGACGACTACTGGGGTTGTTCAAACTATGTGCCAAGCCCTGACAGGAGAGCTCAGACCAATAGGTAAGTTTGGCTCCACAAAAGACCTATATCAAGCTCACATGGTCAGGCATTTTGGGGCCCCTTTTGTAGAGATTCACTCTAAATCCAGGTTGCTTTCAACTATAGAACTTTTCCCTTTGAGTTCAGGTGGCCTTTCTCCTCCACCTCCTGGGGTACTTCTGACCCCCACTACCCCACCGCCCCCAAGTCACGGTGCTGTCATTATTCATCTTAATTCAGCTGCCATAATACTGCATAAAGGATGAGGGCCGCCAGGCATGATGGCTCACACCTGTAATCCCAGCACTTTGGGAGGCCAAGGCGGGTGGATCACCTGAGGTCAGGAATTCGAGACCAGCCTGGCTAACATGGTGAAACCCTGTTTCTATTAAAAATACAAAAAATTAGCCAGGCGTGGTGGCAGGTGCCTGTAATCCCAGCTACTTGGGAGGCTGAGGCAGGAGAATCGCTTGAACCCAGGAGGTGGAGGTTGCAGTGAGTGGAGATCATGCCATTGCACTCCAGCTTGAGCCACAAGAGCAAAACTCCGTCCCAAAAAAAAAAAAAAAAGGACAAGGGCACAGGCCTCACCTGTCCAGCAGGTCATTATGATTTCTGTGTCTCCTTACACAGTGGAAAAAAAGACAATGATGGCATATGAGAACTGCACATGGCTTAAGGCCTTGAGGCAACAGTGTCACATAGTCCTGAGTTTGAATCCCAGCTCTGTCACTTACTTGCTGCATGGCCTTAGGCAAGTTACTTGAGTTATTTAATGAATCTGAGCCTCAGATGCCTCATCACTAAAATGGGATGAAAAATAGTACCTACTGCAAGACTACTGGAAAATGAGTGGAGAGTGGATGTGAAACACTTGGCACAGTGCCTAGAACATAAGAACACGTAAACAGGAGTAGCTGCTGCTGCTGCTGCTGCTGCTGCTGCTGCTGCTGCTGCTGCTGCTGCTGTTGTTAAAGTGGTTTTGTCCTGAAAGGACTTACTCCCAATATAGTCTTAATTTCCCCAGTGTAGCACACAGGGTAGAGGAACTCAACACAACCTCTTAACTGGAACTTGCAGAAGTGACATTCCAGGAAGCCCCAGCCCCAGCCCCAGCCCCTCACATGCCTATTTGTGTGGGCTGTAGATGGTGGCAGAGGAGACTTGGAGATCCCAGCACAGGAGAACTTTATAAACTCCTGACAATTCCTCTAAGAATAAAGGCAGAAGATGACGGCTTCTGACGCACACTGCTGCAGGCCTCTCTCCGATCTCTCATGTATTTGGACATCCCTCAGGCCCATCAGAATCCAGAGATTGCTGTCTGCTGACTGACAACAGAAAGAGAAATTTAGAGGTGTGAGTGAAATGACAGAGCTGTCACGGCTGCCTCTGAAACGACTCTTTTCTTAAAGAGAGAAAAGATAACAGTAAAAAAAAAGAGAAAATTCTCAGACAGCTGCTATATCCTGTCACAGTTGCAGAGAGAGGTTTTTTGTATTGTTTTTCAAAAACGCTTCAGATGAATTTTTAAAATGAGAAGGGGAAAATAACCCAAATTTTAATCTCAGTCTTTTATATGAATAGGATAGGATTTGGGGACAAGTTTTTTCCTTGGGACACCATAGAGGAAAATGTCAGCTAGATAGTCTTCCCTGGGGTTAAGGAGAGGTTTTCTCGCTCTTTAAAAAATATTCATTAAAAAAAAAAAATCCCAAACTCCAAAATCCAGACTCCAAAGTCTCCTTCTTTCCTTTCACTGAAACCAGCTCATGAATTCAGATGCTAATTCTTAAGTGGACTTATAACCAACTAATGCCATATTAGTCATCATCCCTGGGCTGCTATGATTCTAGCACATCGAAGCCATGTGTTTGTCAAACATTCAGAAAACAGCTGAAGCGATACATCCAAGAGCCAGATCTCACTCCCCCTTTCTTGCCAGCCAATATTTCCTCTAGTGTTAGTTATTTTAAATGTCTTGTTTCTTTCTTTGACATCTGAAATATGAAAGACTGATCATTTGGAGGGTTTTCTTAAAAACAAACCACTCTCCAGATGGAAATCCACAGGCTGACGACATCCAGCAACCCTTTAACCACACAGAAGTCGTTGGCCAAAAAGATCATGTTTCAAAGGCTCCCATTTTGTTGGGTTTTCTGAGAACCCTAACTTCACTATAACCATGAGAAGAAACAGATTCCCAATCTCACCCACAGGTCAAGCACAGCCCAGAAAGGAATGCCTTTATTAAGATAATGTCTTGAAATACCCAATAATTCTAATAGCAACTAAAAAAACAGATCATAATAGATGGAAGGAAATTGCAGTTGGAGTGTTTTTCCAAGAGTCCAAGAGGGCCAGAATAAGAAACCCCATCCTTGCTTGTAAAATGCTCCAGGAGAACCACAAGCCTACACTGAATTGCTGATTGATGTAACACTTGGATTAGAAATATACCACATGAAATACAATTTCCAGAGAGGAAAAGGAAGTTCTTGATGAGCCTGGTGAAAGAGTGATAAAAGCTTCACTCAAGGCTTCCACTTTAGTATCAGATTGTGGGAAACTGTCATTGAAACAACCCAACTGAGTCCATTAGCCATTCATTGACAAGCACTACATAAACCCTTAACACCTCCGCTAAGAGAAGGCCCCATAATCACCCTGTTTTCCTGCTGCGAGAGGAGAGAAGGGAAAACAGCAGACGGGGAGGCTGTCTATAGCTACCCCAAGAACAAAAGACATTTTTCTTGATGGGGAGAGAAAGGGAAGAAGGAAATGTCCAAAGGAAGGAGAAAACAGACCAATGTGAATTTCTTCTCCTTTTCACCAATATCTCTACATGGCAGTACTGACTCAGGGGTGCTGAGAAACCACTCACTATGGAAGAGCAAAGGGAATAGTATTGGACCAGGATTGAAAAGCCTGGGTCCTGGTTTTCACATTTACTGTCACTGAGGAGGGCTCATTGGTCACCTCCTCCAGGCCTTCACATCCCCAGCTCTAGACCCAGGGCAACAACTACTGCCCTTTCTACCTTCTCAGGTTATTTAGAATACCCAATATAACAATGGCTGTGAAAGTATTTTCAAGATTTTTAAACACTGAACAAATAGAAGGTACCACTACTTCTTTAGATGTTATGGAAGTTAGGACTCAAGAGCTTCTTGTGCAAGTCAGCTCACACGGAGCTGAGATTAGGATGGATAGGAATAAGAAGACACAGTAAAAAGGATGTGGTCCTCTGTGCCCATCCTCTTCCAAGCCCACACTGGGCCTGCCCATCTTCAACCCTTCCTAAGCTCTTCAACAAGTTTCCCAGCTTTCTCCTAACTTTTGGTCCCCAGGGGTACCTGAGAGAGAAGGAGGGTTGGGCAACTAGAATACAATCCCATAAGCTGGCCTCATAAAATGCACAAGCTAGAAAGCACCATGATGCACAGTGGGACCCAAGCAATTAAAGTACCAACTAGATGGGAGAGAAAATGAAGGTGGCTTTCAAGAATGTTTGAGCAGCAGAACTTTTCCCCCAAATGAAATCCTTTGCAGAATGCAGATACAAGTAGATAAAGGTAGAAGTGCTGGGGCTTAAGGGGAGGTAAAGGGCTCAGAGTCCCCATCACAGCTCACCTGTGTGGTGGCACCATGGAAAGGTCTGAAATCCCATGAATGTTTCATCTCTTTCTTTTATGGGTGAGGAGACTAAGGCCCACACAGGAGAAGAGATGGGCCCAAGGCCCCAAAGCTAGCTGTTGGTCAGGCCAGAGCTCAATCTAATAGTCTCCAGCCCACTCCTTTTCCACAAATCACACTACCCCTAAAGGTGAAACTAGGGGGAAGATCAGTGTTTGATTAGAGAGAAGTGGATACAAGTATCCAGAGAGCTACCTATTGGACACCTCAAAAAAAGTAGATGTGTCTTGGGGTCATCAAGTGGCAAAGGTCAAACCAGCCACATGATCAAGGTTGATTTTATCTTTCAACCTGAATCTCATGGTAGCATGCACAATCTTTGAGGTCTATCTCAGACAATTCCATTTGTACAGAGCCCTTGATAAACACAGTAGATATCCCAAATACTGTCTATGATATCAGCATTGGAGCAAAGTTTCACCCCAGTCCATCACCATCCCAATGTACAAGCTAACTTTTGGAAGACATTATATTTAAATATTGGGTCTGAGGACTCAGAGCTCAATTTCCTCAAGAAATAATGTCACTGATGGTGGTGAGTTTCCTAAAAAAAGTCCAGGGAAGCCTATTTGACACATAGTTTAAGATGCTACTAAAGGCATCATCCTTCTTTCAGAAAGAGAAAATTAAAGCATTGGGCTGATGCTTCTAAAGGTGTCAAAACTGATGAAAGGTACCAAGAAGAAAAAAGGAAACATGGCAAAATTATCATAATAAGCGTGAGCTTGTGAACATAAATTGATGTAAGCCAGAAGCTTTACCAGCTCAGCTCCACTGTGCTGAACCTCAGTATGCCCATCACATCAGGTGTACATGCCAGTGGGGGAGAATTTTTGACTGAAACTGTCTCCTTGCTTAGGAGGAAAGAGAACCCAAAAATGGCTGTTAACATGATTAAACACATGTGAAAATTCTTTGAGAACAGTAATGCCAAATACATGTCAAAGGGATTCTCATTATTGGTAAGGTTATTATTACTGGACCGACAACATAAGTAGTTGCTCAATCGAGCAACAAGCAAGGAAAACAGACTTTAGACTCAAAGAAAAGAAGCAGCTGAGAGCCAGATGACCACAGGACAAACCTCCAAGTGTCTTTGTGGGATTTTCCCCTAAAGATATTAAGGCAACATAGACAACCATCTAGGGAAGCACCAGATTCACCCAAGAGGCAAAGAGAAAAGCCAGAGAGTACAAGTCCTTTCTTGCAACAGCCAACAGTGGCTGTCAGTGTGGCTTAGGAAAGCCATTGGTCTTTAAAGGCCTGGGCTTTATTATATTACCCAAGTTGAAGGGTTTTTTTTAATTGTTTAATGGTTATTTTTAATGAGGGGCTGAGGGCTAAAAGCAATCAGTATAAAACAGAAACAAAACCCATACTCACCTAATTACAAATTTACCAAACTCAATAGCCACATAAACAGCTATAGTACCCTCAAGGTTCTAGGTTTGTTTTCATGTTCAAACAATTTTTCCACTCACTTGCTGCACTTTTTTCATATTCCATGCTCTAATTCACCCTCCAAAAGATACCTAAGGGTATGAATCTCTAGTGGGACAGGAATGAGAGGAAAAACAACAGTTTTTAATGATAGCCACTTCATCAATTTGGCCCTTATTTCCCCAGATTTTAGCCCTTAAGCTGACTTATCCCTGCACATTATGGTGGCTCCTAGTTTAATTGGATAAGTATTTTGCCCACATTCTCTGGCAATGCTGTTTTTTAGAAAGTATCCGGCAAGCCCCTAATGCTACAGAGGCACTTGAGCATGCAAGGCCACAGGGAACATTCTAGAATGTGCAGCCTTCCCTCTATCACTCTGGAACTTAAGAGCTTAGTAGAACCTCCTCTCATGACTGAAGCTTTAGAGAGAAGCCTGCCATGGTACAGCCCTTGCAAAACTTCCTTGGTGAAAGATGGGCTGGTCTCCCGGCCAAGGAACTGTAGCTGCTTGTGTGGATTTTTGAGAGGAAGAGAAATGCCTCCCTTTTCCATGCTGCTGGGGCACAGATCAGCCCCACAACTTCTATGAGCAGCCACTCCTCCGGAAGGGTCCCTCTGTCCTTACAGCTCTAGTGGGGCTCACAAGAGCTCCCCACTAACATGATTCACAGGCCTATCCTTTTGAGCCTGCTTGACCCTGTCCACCAAGACCACAGACCAGGTGGAGAGATGCTGCGAGCACTCCCACTGCAGAGCCAACAAGCCCCCTCCCTCACCACCATCAGAAAATTTTTAGGTTAATGCAAAACTGTCAGGCCTACTAGGCTTCTCATCATTCACTCAGCACTTCGCCTTTAATCTAAGGAATACCCACAGAGTTAGCAGGAGGCAGTAGTAGGGAGTGGAAGGGGGTCTTAAATGGAACGGGACACATTACAGGTTCCTCCTGACCTCCCTCAAGAACAGGCTCTTCACGGGGCCCTGTCTCCACTGATGTGGGGAAAGGGTTAACTCGTGGGCCTCCCAGGGAAGCTGCTGGTCCTTTCTTCTTCCCCTCCTCAGCTCCTCCCCCACCCCTGCCCGCCGCCTCCCTCCTCTCCCAGCTCTGTGTCCTGACCTTGCCGGTTCTGTGCCCCATCCATCTTGGGCTGCTTAGCCATTTCGCTGGCTTCATACTGTGCAGATTAACACAATTCATCACCACAATCATCCCCGATTCATCACCCTCTCCAATGAATGTTTTGACATCCAGTTAATTTTCTGCTGATGATTTATCAAATTATAATTACCATGCTCTGAAGGACTCATTTATTATGTTGATACATGATAATGATGCCAAAGTGGATTGAATTTTAAGTAAGTTCTTTGCGATTATAACATATGCGTTATTGTGAGTAATGTTATACAATTTAGGTTTTTACAGCCTGGAAACTCCTGGGACTCTCTTAATGTTATAATAATCAATGCAAAAAAAAGTCAGATTGTTAATTCAATTTTTTTTTGTACAAATTGTTTGGCTAGGGAGCAAGGAGCATGAAAAAGTTCAATTAAATTCAAAGCTACAGTTTAAGATGCTATGTAATTAAAGAATACAGTAATTTAATTGGGAGTTCAGCAATAGACCAAGTGAATTAGACATACCTGAAAATGCCTGAGGCTGGAAAATCTAGAAGTGCCACAAAGGAGGGACGAGGGATTGGAGAGCTCAGCTCTACCGCACAAAACCTGAAACTCCTCCTGCAAGTCGAGGGCAAACCCCAACACCTCAAGGAAACTTGTACTGACTACCCCAGTCTAAAGGGAGCTCAGCCTCCTACAAAGTCCCTACCATATGCCTGATCTGAACAACTCACTGGCTTTGTCACACACTGTGTGAAGGCAACAGCCTTGCCTCCTATGGGGTGCAAATGCTAAGGGATACTATTAGTTGGGTGTATATCTACTGGGTGCCAGGTGCTAAGGAGGTACCTTCCCTATCTTGTTTGATCTCATAATAGCCTCGCAGGGCATTATCTCCATTATATAAACAAGGTAAGCATAGCCTGAAAGGCAGGGTAATTTGCCCAAGGTCACAAAACCAATAAATAGCAGAGCCATGATTTGAACTCAAGAATCTCTAACTTCTAAGGATCTGCTCTTTCCTACATTCCCCTCAGCCCCACAAGTATTTGTCCACTGCTCCTAAAGCACTGTTGCCCATGCCAGGTGACCAAGGGACAACTGTAATTTAATGGATTCACTCATTTGTTAGCTAACTTTTGGAGGGCCTTCTAGGTTCCAGACACTGTGTAGTTACCCAAATGATGAATAACAAGGACCCCTGCCTTCATGGAATGAACAATGTACTGGGTAGGACAGCAAGATAGAGGACCAAGGAGCAGACTTGCTGCATGCTGTTCCCACCACCCAGAAATGACCATTTCCTAAGCACGGTGCTAGGTGCTTTCCGCGTATGGGTTCGTTGAATCCTCAAAATCACACCATAAAGTAGGAGGTATTTTCACCCTCATTTTACAGATGAAGAAACTACATTCAGAGTCATGAAGAAACCTGCCTAAGGTCACAAAGCTAGTGAGCGGGAGAGAGCAGAAATGCTGGGATTCACACCCAGGCTCTCGTCCACCCACATCTCCCAAAACATGGAATATATATATCCCATCAGTGGGACACAAGGGCTCTTTTGCTGATACACAGATAAACATTTAAATTTTCACAATTATGTAGCTACTTTAGTGGATGATAGGAAGACATGAAACTAGCATTGCACCCTGGGATTTTCCAGATCTTATTTCTTAGGCCAAGACAAGGTAATAAGCAATGATATGCTAGATTAGAATTGCAGAAGATATTAAGGAGATAAGGGTACAGGTGGTATGAAGCAATACAGCAAAAGCAGAAAAGGTTGCTACATGAATGGCTGATGTTTGGGCTTCACTGAGCTTCACTCCATTGCCTCCCTATAATGTGTATAAACCCAGTGTCAAGGAGCCAGGGATGACAGATGATTGGGCACCATAGCTCAGGTACAACAGCCACAAACCCTCACTTTGGAGAAATCTAGGATTCTGGATTTCTGTTTCACTAAGCCCAAGACTAGAGTTTGAAGTTACCTAAAGACTTACTAAATAAATATTTTTAGAGAAGTCAAGATGCCATGGTCCTGAAATTGTCCAGAAAAGAAGAGAAAGGAAACTGAGCCGGGCCAAGCCATAACAGCACCACAGAGCCCAACAAGTAGAGTTTTGGTTTTTTTTTCTTTTCACAGTGGCCTTCAAATTCACTAGTGGAGTGCGGAGAAGTAAAGAGCCCACTCATGGAATTGGGATGCCATTCATCTAAGCATACCTCATTTACAAAGTTTAGAAGTCCTAAATGTCAGTTCTAAACTAGTCATGCTCCATAAACATAAAATATATTTCTAAAGATACATTCTCATAATTTAGAATTGATTTCAAATGGTTATGAATCCAAACTCTTTACTTGTCTTATTCCCTGCCACACTGCCCCTACCTAGTTTATGCAACAGGTAATGTTTGTTACTCAGTAAGATTACTAATAATTATTGTAACAGTATAGTAATATAAGCAACAATAATTAATATTTGACAGCTTGTTAGGTACCAGGTGCCAAATACTTCAGATGCTGCAGTGCCTCACTTCTTTCTATAGCCCTTAGAGTTAGGTGCTATTGTTTTCTCCATTTTACAGATGAGGAAACTGAGGCTTAAAGAGGCTAAAGTAACTTGCTTAAGGGTGCCAAATAGTTCATGTTAAAACTAGGCTTCAGGCTGGGTGTAGTGGCTCACACCTGTAATCCCAGCACTTTGGGAGGCCGAGTTGAGTGGATCACTTGAGATCAGGAGTTCAAGACCAGCCTCGCCAACATGGCGAAACCCCATCTCCACCAAAAAATACAAAAATTAGCCAGGTGTGGTGGCACACACCTGTAATCCCAGCTACTTGGGAGGCTGAGGTAGAATTGTTTGAACCTGAGAGTTGGAGGTTGCAGTGAGCCGAGATTGTACCACTGCATTCCGGCCTGGGTGACAGAGTGAGACCCCATCTCAAAACAACAACAACAAAAACAAACAAACAAACAAAACCACTAGGCTTCAAACGCATGTCTTCTGGCTCCGGATCAGGCACTCTTAACCAAGATCCTATCTAGCCTCTATACATGAGAGTTTACTGAGAACCTTCTCTGTGCATGTACGGGGGTAACGCCTTCTGCAGAGATCTGCTTTATGGTCATAGAACTGTCCTCCTAATTCCACCAGTTTGATCATCTTATGTATAAAACTTTGCTTAAACCTACTAGTCTAAGAACAGATTTTAAAAGGAAACAAAACATAAGGCTATGCCAACAGAGCCTGGCCTCAAATTCACTCTCATATTGATATAAAGACAGTTTATTAGTTCAATTCATCTAATGTCTGATTTTATTAAATGGTAGAAATTAAATAAAGGTTTTAAAATAAGTAAATCAAAGAAAATGTTTCCTGTCTACCTTGACCCCCCAATCTGTCTCCTCTGGATGGTGTGTTAATTGGATGCTTTCCAAAGGGAGGAACCAAACATTTCTTAACATCCAATTCTTGAGAGTCCAGTAACATATTTTCTGCATAATAGCTATAAATAATGAACACAGGGCTACATTCATTTTAATCCATGTTAAACATGGTTTCTGGGTTGAGTTTATTTGTAACGCATTCCTTCTCTGTGCTATTTCCCTCCTCCCCACCATGTCACTATGTAGCTCGAAATTTCATAATATGAACGTGAAAAAAACAAACCCAATCCTAATTATCTCCTGCAGGATCATAAAAATCACATTAATAAAATGTGGTAAATATCAGTAGTGATCATTACCAGGTCTGCATCACCAGAAAATAAAATGCAGAACCCCAAAGCAAGAAGGATTAAAGCAAGCCTGCCACCATTAAGCACACACATATTTGCATATTTGCTCTGTAAGCAGATTTAATGGTAATAATAAAGTTGTCTTTAATCTGAACTGGACAAAAATTTCAAATGTGTGTGGATATGCATAGAATTCCTGGCATCAGTGCACCACTTTGTATTGTTCAAAGCACTGCCATCTCCACAATTTCATTTTTGCATCTCTTTTGCCCTCACTCAAAAGCAGGTACAACAGGTCTCATTCCACCTCACAACTCAGATTGAAAGAAGAGAGGAAGATGTAACCTTCCCAGATTCACCAAGTTAGTCAACAAGTGGAGGTTGGAACCCAAGCTCCCTGCCACCCACATCTATGATCTTCCCACTAAAATAATCTTTCTTTTGCATAGACTGCATGGGCATCATGACAACAAGGACCCCTGGTTATTGTATCAAAAATTAAGGGACAAAACACAATCATGAAGAATGAGAGGCAAATAAGGTGTCTTACCAGGGAACGAAGGAAAGAAACAAAGCAGATGTTATCCTGCAGTTGATGATACGGGAATGAGATAAGCAATATTCTATGTACAGCTTTGTCCTATAACAAGGTTACCAACACATTCATACAGGTAAAATGGCTAGAAAAGAAGTGTATTTGGTGATCTCAGATGCAGAGAAAACTGATTGGCCAGTGTGTGGCTCAGATTCTTGGATTACTTTATTACTATACAGAAGACCCTAGATATCAGGATGTCAAAGCAAAAAGTAAACTTTGGTTCCTGTCATAAATGTCCAATATGTAAAATTTTAATAGTCTGAAGGAAATTCAAGTACATTATCAACTATTGACAGGGACTTATGGCTGTAAGAAGATCAGCAAAAGACATTAACCTAAATAAGTAAATAGATATAGCAACATGTATGCTGGGCTCTAATGAATTAATTCCCTAATTGGTCTTCCCTGAACCCCACAGCAGTCTCCATTAGGCCTTCATGTATAATCCATACATCAATAACAGGATGTTTCTAAATCTAGGTCCGTGGGCCAAGCCATCTCGCTGGCCTTGACTTATGCCTTAGGAAAGAGAAATAAACAGGGGACAAGTTAAAGCTTAGCAAAAACAAGTCACACTTATGCAAAAGGAATAGCGTCCAGGGTCTGGTACAGTTCATTGATCAATAAACATTACTTTGAGTGAATGTATTTTTCTGGAGGTACAGGTTGCACACTGAAAGAACAGTAGGGACTTGTAAAAACTTTGGAGTTTGTCACATAGCCACTCACCTAGGACAAAAACTAGATTATCATTTACGTTTAAAAAATTGGCTGCGATCATTTACTAGGCTTGCATCCCTCATGGCAGGCCATGTGCATGGGGCAGTGAACTCCTGTGCACACATGTTTCAGATGTTGACATTTCAGAATTCTTACCCAGAGGGTCATCTGGTCCAGTAGGTCTCAAACTTCAGTCAGCACCAGAACCACCTGGAGGGCTTGATAAAACACAAAACTGCTGAGCCCCCACCAAAGAGTTTGTGATCCAGTAATGCTAAGTTAAGGCCTGAGAATGTGCATTTCTAACACATTCCCAGGTGATGCTGATGCTGCTGGGCTGGGGACCCCACTTTGCAAGCCACTGCTCTAGTCCAACACCCTCATTTTTGAGAGGCAGAAAGCCAGGCCCAGAGAAACAAGTGACTTGCTTGTGGGGCCACTCTGCAGTAGCTCACTCCCTAGTGCCTAGTGGGTCTCTTTTGTTATGAGTGGAATCATGTCTCCCTGAAATTCATGTATTGAAGTCCTAACCCCTGGTACCTCAGAATGTAACCTTATTTGAAATTAGGGCCATTGCAGATGTAATACGATGAAATGATAATGGAGTAGGGCAGGCCTCTAATCCAATATGACTGATGTCCTTACACCAAGGGGAGATTTGGATACAGACATGCACACGGGGAGATGCCAGGTGAAGATGGAGGCAGAGATCAGGGTGATGATTCTCCAAGCCAAGGAATGCCAAAGATTGCCAGCCACCACCAGAAGCCAGGAGAGAGACCTGGAACAGACTCTCCTTCACAGCCTAGAAGGAAGTAACCCGACTGACATCTTGAATTCGGGCTTCTAGCCTCCTGAACTGTAAGATAGTAAATTTCTGTTGTTCAAGCTATCCAACGTGCAGTACTTTGTTATGGTTTCCCAGCAAATTAATGCAACTTTAGAGGAAAGCATTAGTGTTAAAGTCAGCACTCACCTGATGGGCTGTTATGAAGCAGCCCCAGTCCCCGTTTCCCCATCTTTTTCTCTTTTCCACTTTCAAGGATGACTTACTATACCCCTCGACTGAGAAGTAGGAGCTCTGATGTCTTTCAAAGTCGATGCTTCAGGCTTCACTCCAATAGCAGAGTAAACTGCAATAACCTCTTGCCAAAGTGATGTGGCAATAGGTCTCAGAGACCCTTCAACAAACATGTTCATACTCTAACCTGGTATTTCTACTTCTAGAGCTTTAGACTAAAGAAACCAAAACCCCCGTGGGGGAACACATGTACCTGTGAATTGAATAATAGTAAAACAAAACAACACCTTGCTACGAGAATATTAGGTAGTCATTAAAGTACTTTTCATTAGGAATATGTAATTATATGGAAAATGCAGGTGCTATAAAATCAAGAGGCAGCATATAAAATACCCTATATGTAAAAAGTAGAATACTGGAAGGAAATACATCAAAATATTAAGAGTGTTTTAATTTGCAGGCTGGCAAGAGTATTAGAAATATTTTTCTTCTCTCTGCTTTCTCTTGGAAAAGCATTTATTATTTTCATAAGAGAAAAGATATGGGAGAGAGAGTTCCAGAGATTTACAACTTTTCTTTGTTCATATGAGCTCCAGTATTCCTTCCCATCAGGTATCCTCTTACACAACAGAAACACCTAAAATCTATCAAAGATTTGACAAATCTGTCCCTAGGATAGAAAGATGGGCCTTTTCAGGTTAGAGACTAGGTTTATCTCTTAAAATTGGATTAAAACCAGGCCGGGTGTGGTGGCTCACACCTGTTATCCCAGCACTTCGGGAGGCTGAGGCAGGTGGATCACGAGGTCAGGAGATCCACACCATCCTGGCTAACACGGTGAAACCCAGTCTCTACTAAAAATACAAAAAAAATTAGCCAGGCGTGGTGGCACATGCCTGAAGTTCCAGCTACTCAGGAGGCTGAGGCAGAAGAATCACTTGAACCCTGGAGACAGAGGTTGCAGTGAGCCGAGATCATGCCACTGTACTCCAGCCTGGGCAACAGAGTGAGACTCTATCTCTAAAATAAATAAATAAAAATTTAAAAAATCAACAAAAAAGGATTAAAGGATTAAAATCAATTTCTTCCCAATCATGGAAACCTCCAGTTAGAAGGATGGTGAAATTCTGCATATAAAGTTTTCTCCCTTTTCTGTCCCTAGTGCCTGAGGTTGGTTTCTGCCTTCAAACCTTTCCAAGTGATTCTCTCATGAAGAACAATACTCACATTTATCATCCTTTGTCTCCTAAGCTCTTTTCTTTCCTGCAGCCATTTGTGGGTTTTTTGTTGTTGTTTTTAAACATTGCTGCTTAAAATTCTTCCTTTGCCGCAATGATCAAATTCAGTAGATTGAGATTGATTTGGGTTAAGACATATCCTCTTCTAAATATGCCTATCCATGGGGAATTTGAAGTAATCAGTTATTCACACTTTAGTATGAATTAGCTCTAGAGCTCTGATTTCCTCCCAATATCCAGCTAATAGCCACTCACATAGCTAAGATTATGAAACAGAAACTGGAGTTCTAAAGAGAAGATGAAGCAACATGTGGACACGATGTGGAGAGAGGGCACTGGCCAGGAGGGGGGCATTTAGGAACCAGAGTAGCAGAGGGTAGGAAAGAAGGAAGAAGATGACAGAATGTAGCAAAGACAAACTAAACCTGTGTTAGAATTCTACTGGATGGTCCCACTTGAGTAGCCTTAATCCACTTATATTTTTTGCAAAAGGAGAATTTCTGCCACAGCTTATAAGTAACATTCAAACTAGACAGAAGCACCAAATGTTTTTAAATTGCACATGTAACAAATGAAATGCTCATAAGCACACAGGGTCTTGGGATTCCTTTGATACTGAATACTGAGCATCAACCAGTTGGATGCCAGTTGGATGATATTAGTCATTCACATAGATAAGCAAATATATACATATATGTGATATATATGTAGGTGTGTGCATATAGGTACAGTAATGCATACACATATGTGTATATAAACACACACAAACACATATATATCGTAGAGGCCTTCTAAACTACTTAGCTGAGTTCTCAATATTGTAAGGAATTCAAAGGGTGGCAGCAAACCCCCCTTGAAGTTATTATATACAGAAGTATGTGTGTGTGTGTGTGTGTGCATGCACGTGCGCGCACATGTGCATATGTGTGCTTTGCTTCCAGTATGAAGAGTCCACAGCTTTGATCTGATTCTTGAAGGGGATGAGTCACCACAGTAGGGACTGATGGCTCTGACTTATACATGTGGTATGCTAGGCTCCAAGCTTTCACACATTCATCCCTAGCTTCTCACACAAGAAGGAGGAAGGCCAAGGTGGTGCTGCCCAAAACCCGGTCCCTCTCCCACACTTGGCAATGTTGCAGCAGGCTTGCTGCACCAGGGACCTGGTCCTGGCATCCAAGCAGCTCCTCCATGAAGACTGGGGAAATGGGGCGGGAGGACCTTCTAACTAGGTTTTCTCTAAGAGCCTTTTGATCCCAAAGAAACAAACAAGCTGATTTCTCAGATCTGCCACTTACTCTTAAGGCGGATCCATTTGCTCTCTGATATGGTTTGGCTGTGTCTCCACCCAAATCTCATCTTGAATTGTAGCTTCCATAATTACCATGTGTTGTGGGAGAGACCCGGTGGGAGATAATTAAATCATGAGGGCAGCTTCTCCCATACTGTTCTCGCGGTAGTAAGTCTCACGAGATCTGATGGTTGTATATGGGGAAACCCCTTTCACTTGGTTCTCATTTCTCTCATCTGCCACCATGTACGATGTGCCTTTCACCTTCAGCCTTCCACCTTCTGCCACGATTGTGAGGCCTCCCCAGCCATGTGGAACTGTGAGTCCATTAAACCTCTTTTTCTTTATAAATTACCGAGTCTCGGGTATGTCTTTATCAGCAATGTGAAAACGGACTAATACACTCTCCAAACTTACTCTCAGCTATACAACCCAGTAGCAAATTCTATTCCCTTTTCCTTCATTTCTTGAATAGAAATCCATAAAACATCAATTATCCAAAAAATTATTAAAAATCAAAACTCTACACTTATTAGAGAAAGTGGGCAGGTTTTTTTTCAACCTGAACTCTTAGGGGATGCTCCAGGCCAGGACACATTTTATATCTTCAGGGGAAGGCAACAATCACTGATGTGTAAAATGATATGCCAAAACCAACACAAATGCCTGCAATGATCAATTCACTCTTGTGAATTTTCTAAGGCAGGAATATGAGCAAACACATTTTATAATGTTTCTAACAAGGTAACCGGAAAATTGAATTGACCGGAATACCGCATTCCCAAACCATCCCAGTTAAGAATTATATACCTAGTTACAGACCTATTCAATTCCAGCTTAATTTAACATTTGCTCACAGCAAAGGGAAGGTGTGACAAAGGCGCCCTGTTTATGCAATAAGCAAGAAACCAGGATGTACCTGAAGCAGCCCTTGGGGCTGCTGGCCACCCCTCAGCCACCCTCCTCCTCCCATCCTTCTCCTCCTCACATAAGTAGCAGTGTAACCCTGGAAATGCATTTCTGTCACCAGCACCATCGTCAGCAAGGCGCACAGGCTACAGTTTTCAGTTTATAAACCTGTAACTTGGATACCATCTCCTTTTTGCCCTCTGCACAAGCCCATAAACATCCTCAGCTCTGGCTCATGACGGGTTCTTTACTCTAATGGAAGCTCCCTCCTGGATATCCCCAAAGAGAAAGATGTGTCTGGTAAGGGAGAGGTCAAACCCGAGCACAGCTATTTATTACATATACTGCGACCAGATGGAGCTAACTCATCCATCAAAGCCCTCGTCATCCTCATCACATTAGCTTCTTATAAAAGCCTCCTGCTCTTTCCCCTCACAGTCCAGCTCTCCTGCTTCTCTCCTCCTCTCACTCTCTCCCGCTCATGCACTTTCAAGAAAATGAACCCTCTCTAACCCCATTGCTGTTCTCCTTAAATCATGGCTACCCATCACTCCGTGGCTATTTTTAAACTTTACTTTTATCAATACTCATCCTGTAGCTCAGGGAGATATTAAAACTGTACTGGGGCAAGGAAGGGCGTTTCTGACACTTGCTCCCTCATTCATCAGTTCCTCATAGGCCCGTTGGTGACAATGAAAAGATTTCACAATACCGTGCAGCAGAAACTCATTCTCCTGCTCATCCATCATGCTCAACCTAGCAGCAGTTCTACTGACCTAATCTGCAATGCCTCGGTACTCACTGGAGATTTCTTAAAGGCACCCTTCATTGTTGTCTGTAACAAAGAATAGGCCTGGGCCATTTGATAAGGAGACTAAATGGTGCAAGGATTAATGAAATATTCCTTCATCTCCCCAGTCCTGGGTTCAAAGACCACATGGCAGATGAAGCCAAGCATCCTCTTACAGGTTGAACTCAGCATAGCCCACTAACGGTTCAGCTAAATGTACTCAAATACAAAGACTATTTCTTAGGATACAAGAAAGAAGGGCCCCAAATAGTGTGTGCCATCATCAGTGCATTTCTTCGCTCATTCATGGATTGTTTCCCTCATTTAGCAAACACTTCTTAAGTATCTACCATGAACTAAGTTCTATTATAAACACTGTGACCATTAAAAAAGTATAAATGCTAGTTGCAAGGAACTCATTGCTTAGTGTAAAAGAAGGCAAACAAAGCAAAGATTTCAGTGGTAGCAGTTGTGGCAGACAAGTAACTGCCTCCTTGCACACTTCTTCATGGGGAAAAGTCCACGGTAGCCCAGTTAGAGACTACATCTCCCAGCTACCCTTGCAGCTGGGTGAAGCCATGTGACTAAGATCAAGCTAATGGAATATCAGTGAAGTGCTGTGTGCAAGTTGATGTCATATCCTTAAAAAGGAAGCTGGCTGTGCTTCATGCTGCCTCCCTTCTTCCCATGAAATACAGCACAAATGCTGTGCTGGTAAGCCAGCTTTGGCCACAAAGACAAGAATGACCAGTTAAAGAACGACAGAGCAACCAGGTAGAAGCAGCCTGGGCCCCATGATGACCTCAGGACAGAGAAAGACTACGGGCATTAGAGGACCCTGAACTAGCTATGGCAGGGACCACACTTGTACAGTGATGGTGGTAGAATAAAGGGGGCTCAGACATCCAATTCCCATTTTGAGTTTCAGAGGTGTTTAAGCCCAGAGCAAAAAACGGTGCCTACAGGTCCTTATGTGTTTTGTAGCTGACACCAGCCCCATTTGAATGCCCAGAATGAGGACAAATGAGAGGCAATTCAGAGACCCCAATAGACAAACACAATAAGCGCTGCTGATTTATTTAAGTTCACAGACCATTTAACCCTCATCCTCCAGCTTGTTCTCTGCTAAACAAAACAAAACCCTCTCCAGAAGACTGTATTTCCTAATAATCCACACAGTTCATTCTGCTATCTACTTACTCACATGGTCTTTGAAATACTCCCATTTTCAAAAGGAAGTGAGAGTTCCTGCAAACATTTGTGCAAGTCAGCCATTTTGGAAGCATATCCTCTAGCTCCAGTCAAGCCTTCAGGTGACTGCAGTCCTGACAATATATCTTGACTACAATTTCTTTAGAGACCCTGAGCTAGAACCACTTATCTAAGTTGCTACTAAATCCCTTGCCCATAGAAATTAGGAGATAATAAATATAAATTGGTTTAAGCTACTAGGTTTTGTAGTAATGTATTACATTGCAATAGATAACTAATAAACTTTCTTTTTTCATGCTATATTAAAAATAAAGACATACTCCCATTTTCAGATATCTATCCTCTCTCTGAAATGCCATGGAAGAGCTCCCTGAGGATAAGGATACCATCTTCAGCTTTTCTCCCATGCATAACTCAGCATAGGGCTCAGCAAGCCACAGGAACTCCAAAAATACGAACAAATGTATACCAGAAATGAGAAGTCAAAGAAATGCAACAAGGGAGACACTGAGCACATTTTTTGAAAACAAAATATTAGTGCTAGAAACAAAATTTGAGGCACTATAGTTTAGCTCTTTTGTTACATTAATGCAGAAATAGAGACTGCCAAAGCAGGTAAATATTGAGATCAAAGTCTCACAGCTAGGTAATGGTAAAGATGCCATGAAAATGTGGTCTGGTGTGTTCTTTCTGTGACAGCAGAATACCACCTTGGGCCAGAAACAAAGCAAAGCCATGTTATAAATTCCAAGGACACCTACCCCAACCACTCATGGTCTCAATGCCTCACCTCCCAACCAACTCATGTTTAATCACAGATTCCAGGTGAGAGCCCAGAGGCATCTCAGGTGGCAGAGAGTGGCAGTAAATGTTTGTGGAGCATGGAGGCTGGGACACATGATTGGCACAATTTCAACCTGCATCAAGCATTCAGTCCTTTCTCTTACAGTCTAATCAACAGACACCTCAGCAATTCTGAATTTTAAAAGACACCAATTTTTGCAGCCCATCACAATGCCAAAACCCCAGTCTCCACTTTTCCAAGTAAAATATCCCTATCTTACAAGATAACCAATGTGTAATATACTAAAATGTTTTATTTAAAATTATATGAATCTAATGTGCCGTTGATTTTAATACAGCATGATTTTATGTAACACTGAGAAAAACAAAGCAATTAAACTGCCACACAATGCTTTCCAATCACTTGGCATTTTTATTTTATACTTATTAAAATAGCTCTTTTGGATTAATGTAGACACAGACTTTTATCACTTGTGTGCATTCATAAAAATATACATAGGTGAAATACATGGAATAAAGCATTCCCAAAACTTCTCCCACTCACTGCCTGACTTTTCAGAATCAATTTTCAACTCAGAGTTTATCGATGTTTGTGTTTCTCACACAAAATATCATCTTCTCTGTCACTCAAGAGCATAGCTGCTGCAGCCGCCAACAAGCGTTCTGCAAGTTTTGATACTAGCACTTTCTCAATCTTACCAGGAAATGTCAACAGAAGGTTTTCAGACAATAACTAGACTTAGAATCTTTCCTCAAATGGCCGTTCAGTGGTTTGCTGACTGAAACCCTAGGGGTTACAGTTGAGAGGAGCCACCAGGAACAGCTGCCAAGGCTGCCCAAGCATAGGCAGAGACAAACATGGCAGACCCTGGCCAGCAGCTTTCTTTCAGAAGTCACCATGCTTTGGAAAGATGCACCCCCATTTCAGAGTCATAAAATGTGAAAAACATGCATTTTAGCAACATGAGATGCAGTATGACTTTTAGCAAGCATTTATTATATTATCTTCCCAGAACTGCATTCCCTTCTTTTGGGGCTGCATATGAGCTTACGGTGGGGGGCTGCCTATCATCGGGATAGACCTTGGTCAGGTGCATAACCCCAATCCTAGGACTGCACACAACTGCTCCACCCCTCAGCTGGGTTCTATGCTCAGGGTATCACAAGGCCAAAATCAAGGTGTTAGTCCCCACATGTCTGTGCTCTCAACCAGATACGCTGGGGGAAAAGATCGCCTTCTGAGCTCATTCAGGTGGCAGGCAGAATTCAGTTCCTTGCAGCTGTACAGCTGATGTCTCTGACTCCTTGCTGGCTGCTGGCTGTGATCCACTTTCTGCTTCTAGGAGCTGCCCGATCCTTCTCGTGAGCCCCTCCATTGTCACGCCAGCAAGAGCATGTCAAATCCCTCTCTCTCTTTGAATATCTAGGACTTTCTCTGCTTCAACCAGGTGAAGAAAGTTCTGCGCTTTCAGATCCTGTGTGATTAGATTCGGCCCACCTGGATAATCCCCCTTTTTAAGATCCACCACTCCATGTAACACAACAGAATCAGGGCAGTGATATCTCATCACATTACAGAGGCTGGGCACTAGGGGACAAGGAATACTGCGGGGGCCATTCTTAGTATTCTGCCTACCACACCAGCCCTCCTGTGAACTATAGGAGTGACCTGAGTAGCTTTCCAATAAAATCCTTTATTCCCTCAAGCTGAATCAAGTTGGATTTCTGAGCCCTAATACATTATTTTATTAAATAGAGCTAAAAACTAACAATGTCAAGAATGACTTGACTCATTTTGACCAAGGGGTAGCAGATAGCACTATTCTTAAATTAATCTAAAATAAATAAAGCTACTTCCAATTTCATTTGGGCACATAGACCCTTCAGGAACTAAATTACTAGCAGCAGTGAAAATGCAGGAGGGTTTCAACAGGGCCCCACATATCTGAACAGGAAGCTGGTATTACCCACTCAGCCTCACACAGGGCTGGCAGAGTCAGCAGCCAAGAGCCCCTAAAAGACAATTTCCTGCTAGGCATGGTGGCTCACACCTGTAAATTCCAGCAATTTGGGAGGCTGAGGCAGAAGGATCGCTTGAGGCCAGGAGTTCAAGACCAGCCTGGGCTATATAGTGAGACCGCTATCTCTATAAAAAATTTTAAAAACCGATTAGCTGGGCATGGTGGTGTGTGCCTGTGGTCCCAGCTACTCAGGAGGCTGAGGTGGGAGAATGGCTTGAGCCCAGGAGGTCAAGGCTGCAGTGAGCCATGATCACACCCCTGCACTCAAGCCTGAACAACAGAACGAGACCCTGTCTCTTAAAAAATTAAATAATTTTTAAAAAGACAATTTCCTGCTGGGTGCAGTGGTTCACACCTATAATCCCAGAACTTTGGGAGACTGAGGCAGGCGGATAACCTGAGATCTGGAGTTCAAGACCAGCCTGGCCAACATGGTGAAACCCCATCTCTACTAAAAATACAAAAGGTAGCTGGGCATGGTGGTGTGCACCTGTAATCCCAGCTACTTGGGAGACTGAGGCATGAGAATTGCTTGAACCCGGGAGGCGGAGGTTGCAGTGAGCCGAGAGCACCACTGCACTCCAGCCTGGGTGACAGAGTAAGACTCTGTCTCAAAAAAGAAAAAAAGAATTTCCGTAAGAAAAAAATATTCCAAGACACATATTTTAAATCCTACATATAAGGAGGAAAGGAACTTCCCAACCCGTTTGTCCTAATAAATAACTTGATGGCATCCGCATTAGAATCTTCTAATTTAATTGCTATAAATGATCTTATTTCTGCCATGATACCCTTAGTGAGGCCTCTACTCAAAAAAGTATCCCTCACTCACCTTGCCTTGCCAAAATCGTTCCAATATTCTTTGTAATGTGTGATCAGAGAGAGAGAGAGTGGGAGAGAACACAAACGTATCTGAAGAAACCCATTTCAGAATTTTTCTTCAACACTTATCTCCAAAATGGCCCATTTGATTCATGAACATCTCTAATGTATATCATCAGTGACTGAAGGAGTTTTTTTATATGATTTTTGACAATTTAACAAGTCCTCCTGACAAATTAAATGGTTGTGTTGACAACTTAACTGTACTGCCAATCAATATTTTCAATTACTTTCATTGTCATTCAGAAAAAATACAACACGAGGTCATACCGTGGTAAAACCAAGGAAAGAAAATAAAACGAGGAGCAATCGGCGGGGTCGGGGTGGGAGGTTGAGAAGAAGCAAACTTTGAGGCCCAACACAGCCCCATGTACTTGGGGCTGAGGGGACCCCAGGGTTTCTGAGATGAGTCTGGAAAATGGCACTTCCCCCGGGGTGACTCCTGGGCTCCACCATGGAGGCTTTCCTCTTCCCAGGAGCTATTTAAAAGTCATTAGATTTGAGCCATGGACATACTGCATTTTATTAAAAGGCCCTCCTTTCAGGCATTTGCCAAGTGGCCGCCACCACCGTGGCCTCCGTCCCCCAGAAAGTCCCTCCAGGACCGCAGGTAACGTTTCTCAGCCTTTCCAGGGGTCAATTGGTCAGTCTGAAAAATTCAAGTCAGAGAACGCTGAGGCAGAGGTCAGCCTTCTTAAGCTTTTCAAAGGGGTAGCAGCAAATCAATATTTTCAAATGTGTATTTATCATGCAGGAAGAGAGGTTACCCATGGAGAGCAAAGCAAACACACAGAAATATTCCAGTTCTTCACCGTGGAAAAAAAACTATTTGGGGGTTAGAGGCAGATTTCAAGAATCATGATTTGTTTTAAGTGATTCCTCAGAGTGAAGAATTTTAAAAGGGACTCTTCAGGACTATGCACCAGCTCGCAAATCAAGGAGAATGCCATGGCAGTGCCGTCCAGGTCTTTGAGACATCTGGGCTTTCCATTGCTAGAGGTTGCCCTGACCATAAGAAAAGAATCTAAAGCTCTTCCCTCTTTGGCCTGCCTCCTCTGAGGAGCTGCTTGGGCTGTTTCTCCTCCTGCCACAGACTGTTCTCCCAATTCCTCTAGGTGTTAAAGCCACCTCCTCCAGGAAGTCGGCTCTGACTGCAGTGGCTCAGCATTCCTCACTTTCCAAGCTCCCCAGATTATTACTGCCTGCTACCGCCCACCACCACTCGCTTAGCTCTGAACCACTTAGTGCCTTGTGTGACTACTTAAATCTTCCACATACTAAGTACTTTTAAAATATTTACTTAATCTCCTTAGTGAACTGTAAATTCCCTTGGGAAAGGACAATGTCAGCTTTCTCAGGACCTCTCATCATAGCTGAACCAGGGATGGCAGGACAGTTACACTTCAAATACTAACTAATGATGGGTAGCAGCTGCCAGGAATGACACGTGGAGCCAAGTTCACAGGCGATATTGGGCCTCACTGAGAGTGAACACTGTGGCCACCAGTGATGTCTGCCTTGGGCATGGAATCAGGAAGTGGTGGCACATGGATCTTACCCTGCTTTCCAGGACTAACCACTGATGTGTGCGCAGTAGGTTCTCAATGAAACATCAACATAGAAAACTAAGTCATTTACCAGGCACTAGCAAGAAACAATCCAGGAGCCATAAGGAGATCATCACACTCTAGCTTCATTCATTCACTCATTAAAGGTTCCTGAGTGATCACTGTGTGCAGAGGGCAATGCCAGGTGATAGGGAGGAAGAATAGGGCACCATAGGGCCCTGGACTTCAAGGGACTTACCAGCTAGTAGGTGTGCACAAAAAGTATTGTCATTAATAATATAACAAGTCCCCGAAGAGGACTTCAATTAGCAGAAAGAGAAAACATCTCCCAGGAGTGATGGCTCTGATGTTGGGCCTTGAATGATAAGAGAACTAAACAAGCAGGAATGAAAGGAATGAACATCTCAGAACAAACACAAAATGCTGAGTCGGCCCTCAAACAGGGTGCAGTCTGGAAGGAAAGAGGGGGCATGTGTGAACAGAGCTGTCTATGACATAAGGTAGGAAGCAATAGAGACACAGCAAACTGCTGTCAGAGCTCTCTGGTCAGCTCAGGGTCTTAGAAGGGTAAGCTTCAAGTCAATGAGTAGCATATATTCAAGGACAGGGAAGCTGAAGGCACAAACTAGCTGAGGTGCCATTGCAAACATTGAGGGAGGAAGTGATGAGTGCCATTGGCCCTGGGCAGTGGCTACAGAGAGGGAAAGAAGGGCAGAGCTGATGAGTCTCTTAATAAAAGATTATGAGTACCTGGTCACTGGACAGATGTGAGCAATGAGGAAGGGGGGTGACCCCAGCCTCCAAAGGCCACAGCCACCCACATTCAGGGCTGAACAGGGAGGGCAACATCTGGTTCCCCTCACACATTTTGCCGTCTTGGCAAGGACTCTTCTAGATTTTCTGCTTTGGGGAACCAAGGTGATTCCAGAGACCCTCTCCTGCAAAACTGGAAGGACCTAGAGTTCTCTGGGCTTCAGAAAGAGTATTCCTGTCACCAAGAAAACGTCATGACACTAGCACATGGCAGCCTTGGTAGTATCCACACTTCATGCCCTCTTCGCAACATCTTGGGGCAAAATGGAAATTTTCCTTGGGGCAGAAGAAAAGGGAGGTGAGAACTGGTGCTCTTGGTACACAGTACCTGCAGATAGAAGGTTGCATCTCTGGCTTCCTCAAAAAGCAAGCTTCCCTATGGGTAAATATGGGTGTTTTCAAAGCCTGTTGTGCCACTGAGGTAGATCATCACAAGCTCCAAATCGAGGGTGCCCAAGGAGAGAAGCATAATATTGGGGCTTCCCAGGGACCCTTCATTGTAATGGCCAAAGGATGAGAGAGGAAGGGCTAGAGGATAGTTCTATTCCTTCTCTAAATTTCTTCCTAAGACTCCTCCAATTATACCCCATGGCCTTCCCCCAACCCTTGTGCCTAGGAAAACCACGTGAGCCCATCATCATCCCAGGTCCAGAACCTGCACGCTGCTCTTTGAAGCACATGGCTATCCCCTGAGACTTTCTAAGTTTCTTTCCAACATTTTAAGACTTTTACTGAGAAGCCCTCAAGGCTCAAACATTACAAGGCATTGTTGAACCAATCACTTGATTGCACAGTGTGAAGACAAATTGACAAGCTACATGATGGAGGCCCAGATTTATGTATTCTCAGGAGAGATGCCTAACAAAACAATGCCCTACTAACGACAAACCTTTTTTGCAAGTGGCCAGCTGCTTCTGGTATTCCAGGACACCCCTCCTAAACACCCACTTCCAACTCACCTAAGGTCTTTTCTTTGTAGAGTGAACAAACACTTCTTCAGGCCTCATGCTAGTACGCTGCAGCAATTTTTTTTAAAAGAAGGAGAATAATCTGGAGTCTGGTGCATTTCCCTCAAGATACAAACACACACATGCACACACACACATTTTACACACACACACAAAAGCTTAGAATTGAAGTGTATGCAGGGAAAAGCAGGGTTCTCAAAGCCAGTCTTATGCTTGTGTTACTGAAAAACCAATGGATTTGGCTCAGTTCTGTTAACCATCAGCAATTATCTTCCTGTCAAAGCTAAAGGTAACAAATTTCCCCATATCCAGCAAGGCTATATCACCAACCGGACACCAACATCATCTGATGGCAAGTAAATCACCACAGCAGCCATGGGTCCTGACAGACAAATGCACTGTCTCGGAAAATCCAGGCCTATCACTCAGAAGGGGGAGAAAAGGTTCTCTCAGCTGGTCTCACATAGAAGAGATTAAATGTTGCAGATTCAGTAAGTACAGTAGAAACCAAATCCTAAATATGAGAATTATTAATGGACTTTACACTAGTCTTTTTAATCTGTCGCCAACATACGCTCATCTATTTTACCTTGGTCGGCCTTGTTTCCTGATGGACGTAACAGGCAGGAACAGTGCATTATCCCAGCCTTAATCAGCACCAACAACACAAGAACAATGTCCCACTACCTATCAAATGGGGACTACTTTAGCAATAGCTGTTCTTTTATAATGAAGACTGCGTAATAAAAGATACCACTAATATGCCCTGTCCTTACACTTAACAATAACATTCATTTCATGATATGCCACATAATGGGGATATCAGTTCCTAACCTGCTCGGGAACAAAGTACTGCATTATCACAGGGCAATTGGAACTTGGCTGGGATTCTCTGATAATCTATGGGTGGAAGGAGAATTCTCCCCTCAAAGGACATAGAGTGCTGGTGTCAGACTCTAAGAGCCAGTCTACAATTTGAGAAAAGCCACCTTTAACCCTCACAATCACCAACCATTAAATGTGGGGCTGGAACGTATAACATTATGCAAACACTGCTGGGGAGGTCTCTACTGGATTATACAGTGGGCATGTGAGTGTCTGCAAAGAAGCTTGTTTTATTCAACAATTTATTTCATTCAAGGCCCTTCTATGGACCTAAGGCTGAAGAAGTAATAGTGGGGGTCCCAAATAATATCACTGCCCTCAACAAAAATACAGTCTCCCTGTGAGGACGAACTTTATCTACAGAATCCAATAATCGAGCAAGAACATTGAAACAACGAGCTCTAAGATTCAGAAGAGACAGGCAGAAAGGGGAGAGATCTATGAATTGGTGCAAAGTGCTGCCCAAAGTCAAAGGCTCAGCACTCTGGTACCGTGAAGTATGTGTGTGTTTTCGGAAATAACTGTTTATAGAGCCCCTACTATGTGCCAAGCACTGACCAAGTACTTTTGCATATCGTGCCACTTAACTTTCACAAATCATGAAGAAAATCTTTTTATTCTCATTTTAAAAGGAGAAAACTAAAAACCAGAGAACTTAAGAACTTGCCCAAGGTCACCCAGCTAAAAGGGGTAGACCCAGGACTCAAAGTCAGGCTCATCAGTACCCAAGGGTCCCTCCCCTTCCCTTCTACTGCAGTGGCATGGAATGGACATGGGCCTCCTCGCACTCTGGGCACCTGCCTACATGAATATCCGGAGCCCAGCAATGGGAGCACTGCTGTCAGGATGGCTGCCTGAAGTGAGGCTTGCGAACTAGCATGGGGAAACAGACAAGCTTGGAAAGCTACACAGTCCTCTGACCTGTGATCTCAGCTCATCAGCACCATGTTCCGGTCACCTGAGCCAACTCATCCCCCAAATCAACACTCACCCAAAGAAAAAGGCCAGAATTAGGTTGAACCGCACAAAACTGACATTTTTGTAGGTCAAGACTGGTCAGATATTGGCAATTTCATACAGTTAAAACTAGTACCACACTAGGATTAAGGGCAAGAGAAGGTGGGGCAAATTGTCCACCCTTAGGCCGAGAGGATTTTTACCCCAGATAAAATGGTTTAGACAATTTCACGCCAAAGCAAAATGGTTCCAGTGAGGTGAAGAAAAGCACTGGATGGGTGGGGCAGGGCCTAGAAAACTGAGTTCCAGATGTGTCTCTGCCCCTAACCAGCTACAGGCTTCCAGTGGCTTCCTGTTCCTTTCAGCCCCAGTTCCTCCTATGTGACGTGAAGGTGTTCAACCAGAAGTCTTGAAAGGTTTCTTAGAGTTCTGCAGTGTTGTTGCACTGGGGGTTTGTGGCTGACATAAGATCTTCTCCTAAGAGTGGACCCCTGCCTAAGGTGAGTGGCCGAGAACACGAGAGGAGTCTGTAGCAGGCGGGATGTAACTACCATAGAAGATGAAAGGAGCCCAGAAAGGGAAACTAAGGTTTAAGGACAAAGTTACTAATGTTATAAAATGGGAAAGGACCAGATCTGGAATCCCAAATATTTACTGTTTCCATTTGCCTACTTGTAGAGCATCCAAAGCCCAAGAAGGAGCTAGGATGGGCAATCCGAACCATATTTTCCCCACCATACTCCTCTAAGAGGTTGTGCGACCTTTCACACACCCACAAATCAAACGCCAGCAGCCAGATGAATCTGGCATTATTCTTCTCAGGATTTATGGCTGGTGCACCAATTCCTTGTCTGGTCCTAAATCTGCCATTTATGAGAGAAGCATCCCAAGGCCCATGTGCAGTCAGATGCTCCATGTCTCCCTGCACAGGGGCACAGTGACATTTGGTGACAGGACAGAGTTCAGGAAAAAAGTTATCTAGCGTGACAGTGCTTTGGATGAGAACATCAAATAGCTCACATGGGCACAGCGGAGAATTGGTAACCTTAAACATAAGAATGACTGGAAGAGAGCTAGATTCAGGAGGACTGAGTCAGTCCACCAGGCAGCTGTCTGCCTGTCCTCACAGTGCCCCAAATATCAAGTGGGCCAAGTGGAAGAGAAAAAAGCAGTCCAGTAATGGCCCACGATGGTGCTCCTTCTCCAGCTGGTCTTACTGCTTTCCCACTCTTTGCAGGGGTTATTCTCTGATGTCTCCCATGGGAATCCTAGCCAGTGCATCTGAGCAGTTGCCTATTCTAGCAGACAGAGAAAGGGACAATAACTTGGCCTAACAAAAGAGATATATAGCTGAAAGTCAGAAACCTTAGTTCTAGTTGAAAATCTGCAATGATATACCAGATGGCCTCAGAGAAGTCACATCCCCTCTCTGAACTTATTTCCCCATCTCTAAAATGGCAAGCTGAACTAGATCAAATTTTGCAAACTGAGGGTCTAGGGGCCATATTTAGCCCATAGGCATGATTTTTTTCCCTACACAAGGTGTTTTAAATATCAATGTAGCTGCCCAGAGTAAATAATCAAGAGATTTCACAGAAAAATCTATATATTTCCGTCTTCTCTTAAACAATGAGAAGATCTAAAGTTCAACTTCCAGTAATGATAGAGTAGCTTATATTAAACAAACCCTCCCATTGATGAAAATTATAAAATTTGGACAAAATATTCTAAAAACTACTACATGTGGGTACCGGAAAGAAACCAAAAGCAGACAGAAGCTAGATGGAAGCTGGCCCTTAACAGAAGTCTGCAAGATGGAGTGGCTAAAATGCAAGCAGGAAGTCACCTTTCTGCTTCTTCTTGGGTGGTTAAGGATGAATTTTGCCACTGGCAGAACAGTTGGAAAGTGAAGGGAGTGATCCCAGAAAGAAGAGAACAACAAAGGGTAAGGCTACAAAGTCTGCAAAATCCTACAACTAAATCCTGAGATGACCCTAAACTGCACATATGCTGGGAAGATTACAAGACAGAGTGAAAAGTAACAACTGGAAGTCTGAAAGAACTGACCACAGATTTCAGGGGCTACTTTCCACATGAGAGACTCAATTAGTAATTTGAGTCCAGCCAAGTTAGCTGCCTGCTAGAACAAAATCTCAGCATGCTTTTTAAAAAGTGGGGAGGAGGGAAAGGTAATACCAGAAATTGCAATCTATCAGTGTCTATACAATGTATTGTCTACAATGTCCAGGACACAACAATAAATTACTAGACAACATAAGAATAGGAAACAGGGCAATGTGACCCATAGTCAAGAGTTTTTTTTAAAAGCCAGTAGATATTAACATTGAGATAACCCAGATTTTGTAATTAAGACTCAAATGCTTTAAAGTAGCTGTAATAAGCATGAACAAGGTCTTAAGGGAAAAGATGATTATAATGAATGAACAGATGGATAGAAGGGAATTCTCATTAGAGAACTAGAATTTTAAAAGGAACCAAAGAAAATGTGGAAACTAAAAAGCACAATATTTATAATAAAATATACATATATATTTTATTTTATATATATATACATATAGATATATATGTGTATATACACAGACACACACATGATTTGACCTTAACAGGAGAACAGAAATGGGAAAAGTTCAGTGACCTTGAAGGTAGATTAATAGAAATTATCTAACCAGAAGGATACAGAAAAAAAGGATTTTAGAAACAGTAAACAGAGACACTGTGACCTATGAGAGTATTTTAAATGGTCTAACATACATGCAATTAGAGTCTCAGTAGGAGAAAAAAATAGAATGGAGCAGAAAAAAATATATATGAAGATCAATGGCAAAAAACCCCCACAAATTTGGTAAAAACAAAAAGCTTAAACACGCAGATAGAAGAAACTTACAGAAATCCATAGCACAAAATCAAAGAAAATCATACCTATGAATATTAACCTCTGAATTCTGAAAATCAAAGATAAGGAGAAAATATTAAAAGCAAAGAAAAATGATACTTCATGTGGGAACAATGATTAAATAGTGACAATTGACTTCCCATAAGAAACAATGGAGGCCAGAGATGATGGAATGGCCTCTGTAAACTGCTAAAACAACAAAAATCAAGTCAGAATTTTATATCCAATGAAAATATTCTTCGAAAATGAAGGCAACATAAAGACAACTTTGGATGGACAAAAACAGAATTTGTTGCCAGAAAGCTGATAAAAGAAAAAATATTCAAAGAAATTATTCAGGCTGGAAAGAAATATTACCAGATGAAATTTCTCTTCTACAAAAAGGAATGAAGATCAGTGGAAAAGACAAATATGGGGTAACATGTAAAGCTCACTTCTTTCAATTTCTTTCAAAGATATATAGCGATTTAAGCAAAATGTTAACATTGTAGTACATGATTATAAGTGTATGTGAGACAGCAGAGCAGAGCATACAACCACATGCAGCATGAGCATATAGCAGGTCCTCAATAAATAATTGTTGAATAAGTGTTGAATTGAGCTAGATAACTACCCAAAGCTCCTTTCAGCCCTACTATTTCATGAAGCTAAGCAACCATGGCCAATCTCTAATCCACTGGTGCTAATAAACTGAGCAAATAATCTCTAATAGTTTATCATCCAAAAATGAACTGTTTGATTTGGATTAATATGTCAATATCTCCCAATATGCCACTGAGTCCCAAATACAGCAGCTAACATATCACAGGAGATCAATTCACATTCTTGGTTCTATAACAGAGAGGAAATCCATGATAATTCCACTTGCTTGGGACATTTTTCTTTCTAATGACATAAAAGTAAGAATAAAGTACAGCAGTTAAGAGCATGAGTTTTGATATTAGACAAAACTAATTATTTCTGGCTGTGTACCTTTTAGATGTTTTGCCTAGGACAAATCACTGAAGCTCTCTGAGCTTCTGTTTTCTCATCTGTAAAATGGTGGGAGAATAGTACTTTCATCACAGGTTGTTGGGATGACTAAGTTGTTTATAAAGCTCCTCCATGAGTGTCATAGGAGATTCCTGGTGGGATGATTTAGAAGTTAAAATGTGCTTAAAGGTATAATCCTCAAAGCAGTGAAACAAGAGTGGACTCTGGAAGATTCTATCTCATAGTCCTTTTTTTTTTTTTTTTGCTGAAAACATCAGTGGGTGCTTTTGCTAAGCCATCCAATTTAGAACCCTTTAACTTCATCTAACAGTTAAGAAACATCCATCCTGGAACCAGACTCCCTTGGATCCCTGTTCCTAACCTACTCGGAGACAAAAATGGCCTGACCACAAAGTGGCCCATTTCTTTATATAAGCCTCTCCAAATGAATGGTCAACTCAAAAGCCAATCTAAGTACATGACTTGTAGCATCACAGTAGTTCATATCCCACACAAATCCAGACTCATGGATGATAGGACTTCAAACAAAAGACTACTGAAAACCGCAATCAGAACACATAGTTACAGAGAGAGCAATGTCTCTGTGATCCTTCAATTGCCAGCCATGAACTATGTTCCAAGCAATCTCCTCAAATGCTCAGCTAAAGAAACAAAGACCAGGAACCCAAAGACCCAGTGTGCAGCAACCAGCATCCCTCATCAGCACATTAATTGATGAGAAGTTGACCAGGCCAAATCCTCCAGGGCATCACTGCAAAACTAATGGGGTTCACCTCACTTGTTGCCAATTAAACATAAACCAAGCACAGTGTTTATAATCTCAACTGCAGAAATGGGTTGCTTCTCTGGTTAATTACTGGTCAGGTGGATTTCTACCTGCCCTTAACTTCCCGCAAGTGGTTAACTACCGAGCCCATCATCACCAGCTTCATGAGGATTAGAGGTTAAGCATAAGCTTGATTATAAGCCATAAATGTAAGTAATTTGAAATGTTATTGGTTATTACCAAAATATATGATAATAATTTCCTCTTTATTGAAAGGGAACATGTTTATAGTGGTCCCAAGCTCCTTGTTCAGGCTTTGGGAAAGAGATGAGCATGATAAACAGCTCAGCCTCTGGATGGGCATCTGGGGTGAGGTGGCACAAATGAATACTCACCACTTAGCTGGGTCATAAAAATGCAAACACATCACCACATTTGTATGATAAACACTGAGTTTATGGGCTCTCTTCTTGAAGGGGCTGCACGTCGCTGAGGAAGGGTAGGTGTTGAAGTGTTTGGAGTCAGAGGAGCCAAAGAAGAAGAAGACCAGAGAGCCTCCATCCCACTGGCAGGATGACATGTTAGAAATGAGAACCTGCCCAAGCAAACCCTACACGCTGTGATTACAAATCCACACAAAATGTATAATATGTAAAATAATAATACAGACTGCAGAGGTATAACACTATATTTTAAACCTCCCAACCACATAAATGTGACATGGAGAGAGTAGGACATGAACAAGGAGCCTAGAAGGAGTTGGTGAAATTCTGAATTTAGGATAAAAACTCAATATCCTCATTGAACAGAAAGAGGAGCTGAGTCCTATTCCTCAAGAGATGGAAGGAGGGCCTGGATACTGTCCACATGGCATGATTGTCATCAGTCCCCAATCTTTACAAGTGGTTTGTGGTCTGCATGGCTGCTTTGGGGGCTTCCTGAAGCTACCAGATCACAGGATACTCTACATTCCAGGTGGCTCGCTCTTAGGAAATTCTAATCAATGTTAGGCAACCCAAGCCAATCAAGTCGCAGATCTGCCCACGAGGTTACAATGCAGGAAGGGGATCAGGATGGCACCATGCCAGTGAGATGCTGGCATCTTTCCTAAACCCCATGAACGGTGACAGAACCCCTGGGCAAGCAAACCATGGCGCCAACACCAACAGCTAAGAAGCCTCCGAAAGCAAAGTGGTGATAAAAGCTTTATAGCCACCCCTCCTTATGCTGAGTGTTCTCTTTCTAAATTAAAAGTCGTTTTCCATTTTTAACAGCCCCAACAATAACACTTTATAGAGCACTCTCTTTTCACAGAGCACTTTACAGTCATTAGTTATTTAATCCTCAGAGGTGTCTCAGGAGGCCAACGGGCAATAGACTTGCTTACTCGCCTTTCCTTGGCCAGAAGAGCAGGAGCTGGCCTGTGGAGTATAGGGTGGGCTGGAGGCGGCGGCATTTCCAATACAGCGTGAAGGGCTCCATTTAAACTATAAGGTGGCTAGCTTGCATCTGCTGAGCTTGTTGATATTTGCAGAATGATTAGTTTTTAAACACAGTCAAACTATTTTCACCAACAGAACTACGTTTTGCCTTTGTTCCCCCTTAGCAGACACCAATGCTAGCTGTTCAGAGTGGTAAAGATTTTATTACAACCTTCAAGTTAACAATCCCTCCAAAATGTGTTTGTTACCCAGAGAGGCAGGCAGACATCACTAGTCCATTCAGATATAACAAACCCACTCAGTGAAATAGCTACACACAACTGTAAGGCATTTCTATTTCATGGAAGCATTTCTATGTATTAGATCAAACCCCAGACTATTTCAAACACCCCCTCAACACACACACACGCGCGCGCACACACACACACACCCCATAAATTTCCCTAGCTTTTCTCTGTAATTATTTTATTTAATGAATATTTATGAAGCACCTACTAAGCACAAGACACTGCTGAGTATATCAGGGATAAGATATTATAGGTACATAGTTCCTGTACTTAAGGAACTCACAGGCAAGGAGTGGCGATGAGATGGGACGCAAAGCTACTCTAACACAAGACAGAAAGTGCCAAGTGCCAATGTGGAACAGAGATAGGAGGTTACACAGGAACTCAGGGTGCAAACTCTCACTTTTAGTTGGTGGAAACCAGAATGGCTTCGTGGAAGGCACGGCTTTTTACCTGAGCCTTGGAAAATGAACAGACACATGGGGTCCAGGGCACTTCAGCTGTCCTCAGAACAGTGTGAGAGCAACCACCAGAAAGAAGACTGGGCACAGATGCATGAGGGGACAGGTGGCTCCAGATGCCAGGTGTGTAGTATGAGGAGAACAAAGGCCTTTCAGTCCACCTGGTTATCAACACGCCCTTCCCACCCCCAGCCGCTTACTGCCCCAATAATGCCTTCTGTATTTTTCAGTTTACATCAGAAATTGCCCCTATTTTGTTTATATTCCATCACCATCGCTACCTCCCACTACTAGAATGTAAACTCCATCTTACTCAACTGTGTATCCAGAATTAAGTTAGGTACTCAATAAATATCTGTTGAATTCATCACCTAATTAATGACTGGGTCGTGGAATCCTGAAAATGTGCCCTCTCCCATTTTAGTCCCAGAAGGTGCATAGTTCTCTTCATCCAAACTCTTGCTCACCCTCTGCCAGATTTGGGGGGTCTGATGTTATCTTTCTTCTGCTAAAGGCACGTGTGTTGGTACAAACATGTCACAGTGTCATATCAAAGACCAAATACATGCTTTGAAGTCCCCCAGGGAAGGCTCTTCTCCCAGCCAAAGCCATTTGGCTGGGCAGTGTGCACAAGGTTGATGCTGTACAGAGGATGGGGACTAGGAAGCCTGAGAGCCAAATACCTACCTAGTTCACCCCAGCCCAAAGTCCGGATCTGGCCTGAGGAATGACCTCTGAGAGTACTGACTGCACACTCACAGCCAAAGGTAATGGAGGAGAGAAAAGCTGCGAACTCCTAGGAAGTAACAAAGTGGAATGTGACCTCTCTAGGTTTTATCAACACTCTCTCTTTCCCATGGGTCCAAAATGCAACCCAGTGAGAACTCAGGGAAGATTCCCAGGAAGGAGACTGTGTATCCAAACAAGATGAGCACAGACCTTTAGCAGATCTTCACATTAAAAATGAACAGGAAGCCAGCCCCCCAAAATCACAGAGCAGATATGCCTTTTCTCCCCTGGAGAACATCTCTCCAAGGATCTTTAGGACATAATTCACGACAAATAGGGAAAACAGAACACAACACAACCAAAAACAACAACAAAGTCAAATGCTTGTGGGGTATGTGTCCCCAAATATGGGGTGTTCAGTGAATTCAGAGTGGAAAGCTGCATCTGTCCAGTGGTCACTCTCAAGTGCACATACTCCAGCCCCTCTGTGTTGAAGGCAGCAGCTGGCCATATATTTGCATCTGGTTCCCACACAGGTCCAGGGCCCCTCACCACTGGAAGGTATCACTTCACACAAAATATGTTTTTAGGACCACAAGGATAATTGAGACAGAATGTTAAGCTGGCATGATTTTGGGGGGATCCATCTAAAAAGCCTAATCATGGCTAATTCATCGTTTGCGGCCACCCTGGGATTTCATGCCGAGCGCTGGTTTCACTAAGGTAATTGGTGCTATTGAAACAGGCCAGTGCTCTGCAGTTCGCTGCTTCCCTCCTCGCCTCTGGGCACGGAGAGGATCAATATTTGTTAGGATTGCTTCTTGTTCCAACAATGTAAGATTTACAATACTAGCTGGGATTCTCACTTTGTCTTCACACAACTCATCAGTAGAACCCAATTACTAACCTCAGACAAACAATATTAACATGAGCCTCTATGCTGCTTTATTGCCCTTCATCCAAGTCTCATTTCAGGGTCTTCAGGCAGTGCCACTATAACAGATACTACACTTTAAAGTGTGCTCCAAGGAATAAATTCTCAGTCTTTCATTACTCGTACCTTGATTTACTTCATATCATCTTGCCGCTATAGACAAAGATAACACACTGTAAATTACAGCCATCCTGTCTCGTAGTTCCAGAGGTAGGGGGAAGGCAGGGAGTGATGCTTTGGCTTCACAATTAGTGCCGGACCAGGCGCTATAGCTCCCACATTGCCCATGATGAGCTGGTGTTTATTGGAACCATTTGCAAAGCATGGTTCGGGCACAAATCCCTTCTCCCATCCTCAGTCCTCCCTTCTTCCAAAAAGCCTGTTAAATTAGAAAAACTTCAAAGCTAAATGAAAACATGGTTGCAAGTGTTCTTTATCGGCTCCTCTCTCAGGCTAGGCTAGCAGCTTGGTCTAGGAGGTAACGTGGCAAATTTATTTAGTGGAGAAACCCTGACAGTAATCAAGCTCCTGTTACTAAATGGCTCAAAATCTCCCAAATTGGGTGTAATTCTCAGTAGCATCTTCTTCTCTCCTTCTTGAACCCTTGGCTAAATCAGAGCCATCTACCTTTGCCTTAAATTTCACCTAACAAGAGAGCCTGGGAAAGGAGAGACCTAAAGAAACAGTCACTGGAAAAAGTCCTTCAAGTTAGCTGTAGCAGTACCCCTTATTTGTCCTACAATTTCCTCCATCCTCCATCCTATTCCAGTAGCTGATAACTAAGAACATTAGTTTTATGCGACTTGTCAAGCTCAAATGAAAAGAGAGCTAACTTTAATGACACTGCAATTAATCGCCCCAATAGACAGACAGCTAAAAGACAAGATATTGACTTCATTAAGGATAATGTATTATGTCATTAAGTTGGTAGGGTCACCTTGTGTATCATACATGCCTGCTAATATATTGGCATTTTCCTCAAATAAGATAAATTCAGATATGAGTGATAAAGCTGATTAGAAAATGTTTAATCTAAGAGGCTTCTTTCCTTACACGCCCGCTCCGCAGCCCCAGGTGGAAGTGAAGTCGTAAGAAACCATTATAGATTCAAGATTATCTCAAATACCAGATCCCACTCATTTATAACCCAGTCCTGCCCCCCTTCATTTCTATGGTTTAAAGGGTGTCTTAACTGATGGAAATTGGAGAGCTTTTGGCAACTCGATGGTGCACATGCTTGAGTTACGGGGGGCAGTGTTGCTTTCAAACACAGCACCTGCTTTACTTTGAACTTTCACATGCTCAAACAATTCAAATGAAAACAGCCACGTGCCAGTGGTGACACAAGGCTTGGGGATAACCCTGTGAGGGCCAGGCCCCCAAGCTACTCGGCTGACAAGAGGAATTGTGATACAACAGCAGCTCCAAAATGGCTCATTCTTTTAAATGAGATAACTTCTCTTCAAGGCTTATCTAAAAGGAGTTGCTTGGCTTAAAATAAAATCATTTTTCATTTAGGGTGGAGCTTTTCCTGGCACATGATTTCACATAAATAAAATAAGATTTTAAAAATATTTATCTCTGTTCAACAAATTTAGCAAAAATGTAGTCATAGTTCAAACGTTGTCTGAAGCTGAAGAATTCCCACAGAGAGTATCTTGTCATTCTTGGAACTGGTAACTGGTTTCACAATATACGTATTTTAGGGGTGTTAGGGCTTCTTCCCCCAAAAGTAAAAACTATATGAGTCATCATTTTTACCCAGTAAACAGAAGGATGATTTTATAATATTGAGGGTTAAGTCCATAAACAATATTTAGATGAGAATAAACCAAAATAAAGATGAGAAGACAGTGTTAACTGCAGACTAAAATACTGAAATACATGCATGGCTGAATGCTATGATCTGAATGTTTGTGTCCCAAAAGCCATATATTGAAAGCCTAACCCACAAGGTGATGGTGTTAGGGTGTAGGATCTTTGGGAGGTGGTGAGGTCATAAGAGTGGAGCCCCCCTGAATGGGATTAGTGCCCTTATAAAAGAGACCTCAGAGAGATTTTGTTTGCCCCTATGTGAAGACACAATATGACGTCGCTGTCTATGAACCATAAAGTAAGACCTCACCAGACACCTAACCTACTGCTGCCTTGAGCTTGGATCTCCCAGTCTCCAGAACGCTGAGAAATAAGTATCTGCTGTTTATAACCAACCCAATCTGTGGTAATTTGTTACAGCAGCCCAAACAGACCAACACAGTGAAGCAAAAAGATATGTGCGGGTAAATATGTGAGATATGTATTTGTATATACAAATAGATATGCAAATAGGCCTAAAACCACACACCATGTCTAGATATAATATTGAATCCTGGAATTATATACCAGGAAGAGAATGTCAGAAACCTTTTCCCTCCAGAATTTCTCCATTTTAAAGATGAGCTCGTCAGACTCTGGAGAAGTAAAGCAAATTGTCCACATTTACATACAGAGTTAGTAGTAAACAATGACCCAGGTCTGAGGATTCCTCCACACCTTCCCAGGTCACCTCCCTCCCTATCCACATATGCACATTTTTAAACCCACTTCTCACGCCCACAGACAGAACATCCTGGATTGTGCCTCTCTTATTAGAGTGCAGAAATGTAGGACTCAATGTACCGGGTGCTTTACAACAATGATAAATATAAAACAAGGAGACATCTTACCAAACTCAACCAGGCAGATAACCTAGAGCTCACTGCCTCTCACTTATAATCAGTCTTTTAAACAAAATAAAATAAAATAAAATAAAAATAAAAATGAGGGGGCAGACACACTGCAGTCCTGAGATCAGAGCTAAACCTCTGATTTGATGTGCCCCGTCAAGCATCACAAGCACACCCAGCCCACATTCTCTCTTTCTGCTGTCACTACTGACATTAAAATAACTTGCCTGATTTTCCAAACCTCTGGGAGGAGGGCAGGCCTGCCAGCAGCAGGAAGCACCTCAGTTGCATGTGGACAGACGGCTTCCCAGTGGTGGGAGAAGGACTTCCTGCCACTCCCTCTCCAAACTCACCACTAATTACCCACACCTGCAGCCCTTCATGCCCTGCCATCCCTTTTAACCTGAACCCTCATCTTTCCTATTATTTCCATTAAGGTTGTCAAAACCAGAAGTTTGGGAACCTTTCTCTGTGACCTTGGCATTTCTTTGCAGGCTTAACGTATTGACATTTTTTCCTCTGACTGCATCTCTTCTCATTTGTCATGATTATTGCTGAATTTTTCAACTGTCATTCCCAAACGTAAATCAATGGTTGTCTACTTCCCCTTTGTCATATCTGCACAGCAAACAGCCTTTCCCTTCTAAATGAAGCTTCCTCCCTTTCCATCCATTAAAAGGGGCCTGTCTGCAGGAGAAGTCAATCCTTTGTTAGGTCATTGCATTTATCATGCTTCCAATCAGTACCTGACACACTTATTCAGCCAGGTCTTCAACCACACAATCATTGTTCATCCGGGGGATTTGCTGAAATTTATTTATGCATGGTGTTTTCACTATCCATCTTGGGCAGTTTTAAATTTTTCACCCTTGCCCTTCTCTTTCTTGGGATCCTCAAGGCTTTGAGGGAATTTGTGGGGAGAGAGTAGCAGAATGCAGTGGCAGGAGTAAGGGAAGGATGGAGACGGGAAAGAAAAAGGATTCTTGTTTCTTTGGGAGTGGCTGTAGTGAGTTCCCTTTGGGATGAGAAACTGAGAGCAAACCAAGAGAGAAGCTGGACCAGGGACCAGGAGCACTAGTGACAGAGCACCCATTAAGCCAGGAAACCCTCCTGCCATGAAAAAAGCCCAAGAGGGAAATCTCCGCTGATGGACTCAATGAGAGTGAAGCCCCATCAGGTTCAATAAAACTCAGTTATAAATAGATTGGCTCCAACTGTTGTACAGAACTATTTAAGAGGAAAACTGTTCTAAAAGAAAAAGGGAGCAACCCAATTTCTTCGCATTCACACTGCCTCCAGGTAGTGGCTTAGCCTGAAACAAACCAGCATGTGTTGCCAGGACATTCCCAGATGAACAGGAAACTGACATCAACACCATTTGCAGGCACTGACCGAGAGTGCCCATCCTGCTGGCCGAGTGGTACCTAGACCCCTGCACCAAACTTGTCTCTCTTCCCCACTAGCCAGGAGCACACCCTTTATGCCCTCACTGCCTCTTCAAGGTTCTCACTGTTACCCAGGTCTCTGGCACTGGCACACACTCTGTCTTCTATTGGAAGAAAAGTATTTAAACAGAAGAAATCTAAGCTTTTTCCTTCCCTATAAATGCTTTCAACTCAAGGTTCAGAGAAAGGACACCTCCAAGGGTAGCCAGGGGTCTACTGGCCCATACCTCTCCTGGCCTTTCCTCTCTCCCATAAAGACACCCAAGGCAAAAATAAAACATGGAATGACAATAATTCTAAGGCATATTTAATTGCTGTCTCCATCCTTTTACCAAAGTGTCCCAGAAAACCGAAAGGTCCATAGCAAAGGAAATGGCTCAGGGGAAAGGCTGGCACTGGACACTCTGAGGTGTGTAATGAGTGTAATTAACATGTTTATGCCATAAAGAAAGCATAAAGGCATTCACTCATATTTCACTTTCCTTAGGTCAGCAGGTGATGCCTTCTCCTTACCCAGGACCCATGCACATTTTGCAGACTCAGAAATGAAGGACTACTATTGTTGAATAGCTTACCTAAGGCCACAGAGCTAACCAAGAAGGCTGGAGCTGCTTGGTCCTCTCATCACTAACTGCTACTAGGAACCCCAAGACATTTCCTGATGTACTTGTTCTTAGGGATGCTGTTTACAGCTGTGCAGTATATTACCTTTACAGCTGGACATGGCTGTCCTATGTAAGAGTGAGCAACTAGGAGGGAGATAAGCAGTCTTCTAAAACCACAACCCTTATACAGGCAAATGCATCTCTGAACAAAGCCCATTCAGCAGGAGACAGCTACAGGCACCTAAAAAACATATCCCCAACAAGAATATAAAGGCAGAAAAAATGGCTATCTCACAGCATTCTCCTCCTTGGAGCGAATACCCTCCCACCTGTCTCACCAATCCTCCATATAACTTGTGAAGCTATTTCTACGAGGTGGTAGTGGGTGCAGAGTACTAGATACGACATTCTAGCAGATGCATGACCAGACAGGAATTACTGCTACAAACATTACTGGCCCTACAGTATCTTGCAGGGACATACATTGCACTCTGAATCTTCTGCAACTTCAACTGCTATATCAGGAAACCACCTTGGGCTGAATCCACTGCTCTTAACAAGGACCAGGTCATTTCTTTTTCATGCAAAGACTACAATTTAGCCATAACTGTATCTGAAATGTATTCTCACTCTTGAAGTCCTCATCCAAACATAGGTGTAGGGATGCAAAGCAAGTCTTGAACTATTTCTCCATTAGTAATGAATCAGAGCCAATTTCCATGGATGAGCGTGGAGTGACAGGTTGAGAGACTAAGAGTCCAGTGAATCTCGTTGGCCAATCTCCTCTAGCATCCTCCTAGGATGTCCCAGTAGCCTATCCTTTTAGCCTGATTATTTGCTTGAAGGTGATGAGTCAGGATGGTGACAGCTCAGATAAGGTTCCTGTCCACAACTTCCTTAAATTCAGACCCACTGTCAGAAATGATAGCATCTGGCCAGCCATGTGTTGAAAGCACCTGTGACTATTTCAGAAAGGGCTAGAACTAGAGTATCTGTGAGCATCTTAAGTCACTTTCAAAAGGAATCTACGCCTGAATGATTCTGAAGAATTAATACTGATTCTTGACTAAGGCTTTGGTTAAGTAATTTAATGGTTTACAAAACACCTTTCATATACAGCATTTTTGGTTGATTATGTCAAGTAGCTTGACATTATCCCTAACAATCTTCAACATTATCATCCATTCTAGACTCCTAAATAAAACTTCAGTAAGTTACTTAATGAGCAAAATTCACAAAAGTACTGCACTTTAGAATAGCCAAGATAAAGTGATAACTACTAGCCTTTGGAATAAACAACATGATTTTATGTTTTCAAGGTTTCATGGAAGGGGGCAGATAATTTACTCAGGCTGGTTGCTTAGATTAGTCGAGTTTCTTTTTCATTGGTTTTTTTTTCTGTTGTTTTGGTTTGTTTTGTTTGAGATAGAGTCTCACTCTATTGCCCAGGCTAGAGTGCAGAAACACAATCATAGCTCACTGCAGCCTTGAATTCTTGGACTCAAGTGATCTCCCACCTCAGCCTCCCAAGTAACAGAGACCACAGGTGCATACTACCACACCCAGATAATTTATTTTTATTTTTGTAGACCAGAAGTCTCCCCATGTTGCCAGGCTGGTCTTGAACTCCTGGCCTCAGGCTGTCCTCCTGCCTCAGCTTCCCAAATAGTTGAGTTCTTTAATGAGTTTCTCTACAGCCATCCCCTCTATTATACCCAATTGGAAGGAGAACCCAAGATAAGTAATTTGCAGCCATGTGGCTTGATCAGTCAGCTATACTGATCAGAAAGCTTTAAATCAAAATCATAGATGAAATCTGTGGCAAAAGAGCATCAGTGTTTATTAGTCTTCCAGCTTCTTAAGAAAGTACAGCCACAGGGAAAAAACAAAAGACACTATAAATGTACTAATATAATCAAGCTTGAAATGAGAACCCAAAAAACTTGTTATTGATATAAATGATAACAGCTTTTTATTGAGATAATTTGCAATTTGTCTTTTCTCACAATAACAGCAAAACTGACTTCATGAACCTCTGGTTCTGTTGTTGAGCTGGGCACTCTGTGTGTGACTGAGCTGTCAGGGATTTCGTGACCTAACATAGCTTTGACATGGTGAGGGGAAGAAGACATACAATAGGATATGATGGTTTGGGTTGATCCTAATGTGTGAACATGGGCTCCTAAATCAGTAACATTGCACACCCTGAGTATGACTGCACAGCTGGTAAAGCCGGCTCCATGGACAGGACTTCCCCAGCAAGAGAAGCAGGTAGCTCAGTATTGCTGATGAGAGTGGCTGTTCCAAGCATCAGTAGGCCTGGAATCTCTTCTCTCTGCTAAAGAGTCTCACTGATGCACCAGCATTCTTGGGTGGACTTCCTTGAGCAGAAGCTTAGAGGAAGGAAATAATACAGATTCTGGTTTTGCATTTTCCTTCCATTCAGATCCTTGACTTATAACATCAGTAATGACTTCCAGAAGTATTTTGGCAATCCCATCTTCTATTGAGGGACCAAGATGTCTATTACTATCATCATTTGAGATGATTCCCCCGCTGATATCCTAGAAATCTGGGTCTTCATGAGGCTACAGACATCTATAAAGTAACGGAGATTCTGGACTGAGAGCCTTTAATATGAAACACTACTTAATTAATGATGACAATTTAGACACATGAACAGTTATTTATATGTTCAGGCAAGGTCACATTTGGCAGTGACCTTCCTGCCTCTTTTCTTCAGCAAGAATGCCTATGAGTTGACTGACTTCTGACACTGGATGTAACCTCTGCTGTCCCTATTCACAATGCCCATGACATCTTCAGACCGTTTTATCTCCCTGGGTATATGCAGCTGATTCCACCCTGGAGAGATACTCAGGTTTTTCAACTTGTTTTTAGAGTAAAAAGCAGTTTTAGCTCCCAAGCAAATTGATGCAGTAGCGGGAACTAGATAGGATGGCATAATTGTCTCTTGTCTGTTCCTTAGAAAATGCCTTGGGGTTTCAGTTGGCAAAATCCTGCAACTTTGCCTAATAGTACCAATACTTTGTAGTCTATCTGTCCCTGGTAGAATGTTCTAATAACTCTGGATGTGGCAAATGTCCCAGTACTGGGAGAATCTAAGCAGATCACCTATAAGAATAACTATAGCTGGAATTCTTATTAGGCTTATTAGTTGAATTAAATAATCTCAAATCTCAACTTGGGGATTCTATGTTTTTAATGTCCAAGATTACTTCTTTTCTAAGAATCACAATTAACACTCACAAAAACATTCCAGCAACATCAACTAAATGAACATTGCACTCAAAGAATATATAGCAGGTATGAAGCATAGGAGTGGAGATAGATGAAGGCTCTCTCAGCAACTTTGACAAATGGCTTATTGAGAATATACCCTGAAAAGGGTCTTGACCACTTGTCAATAAACTACAACTCAAATAGCCTTCAGTCTAACAGTCACAATCACTGAAACCAGCAACAAAGACATGATCATCACCATCATCGAATGTCTGCTTACCATAAAACTTTGCTGAGTTATAGATCTAGGAGTTGACCTCTGTCATACATTACATATATTTTATTTAGCTAGTAAGTCCAGATTTCTCCAAATGGCTGCACCAATCTATGCTCTCACCTGCAGTGTGCAAAGGCTCCAGTTTCTCCTCATCTCCAACTAAGACACCGAGAAATTCCCCAAAGTGTTGTATCTATAAAAGGCCTAAGCTCAACACAGAAAACAGCTTGCCCTTCCTCCATTCTCATTTTAGTTGGTAAAATTTAAATTCCTAAACAGTGATTGATGGTTCTGGTGAGAGTTGTTTATACAAGATCTTAGTCTTAGGCAAATCAGGTGAAAGAACTATTATTAGATATACTTAGGCTTCATGAACCATTAGAAGCAGAGCATAAATCTATTCGCAGGTTTCATGATTTTCTTCAGAATAAAAGCCTCTCAGCATATGATTCCAAGGAAGCAGGATGACTGACAGTCTTCAATGTGCTTCATGGTATGAATAAAAGGAAACAAGATTTCCTAAGGTCTTTGCTAGGATTGCATTCAGTTACTTGCCAATAGTACCTAAGAATGACTTTGCATAATAGGACTTGTGACTGATCAGCCTCATTTTTCAATAGGCTCCCAACTCTGTCACAAAAGAAGTTTTGGAAGGAAGCTCTCAAAGAAGGAAATCCTGAACAAACTCCTGACGACATTATTTAGTCATTTTTGGGAAAAGAGTGGTTGGGATAAGCCCTGGTCATGCTATGTCATTGTAACCCTCAACTACAGGATCCCAAAAGTAATGAAACAAGAAATCAAACAAAACCAAAATTCTAAAAGACTAACCCACAGTGGTCCCTGTCATATATGAGACTCTCCTCATCACACAGAAATTTGAGGGCTATGTGGACCAGGGCCCTAATAGTAAGGCACTATCCCAGGCATATATAAAACAAATACCTAATACAGTATGATCCCTCTACTCTGCAAACTGTTAGCCATGTAACTTGGGGAGGTTACTTAGCTTCTGTAAGACTCAGTTTCCTCACTTCAACCACGAAAATGAAGGTTAACCCACCAAGGTGATGGCTGGCATAAATGAGACAACAGTTGGCCAACGATGGTATGGCTGTGCATACATCTTCTCTATGCACAAATGTAAGAAACCGATTTGTACATGAATTCTACCAACATATGCACAAACGCATTCATTTACACACACACACACACACATAGATCATGCATTTAAATGCTTGTATATGCACTTACACATGTATACAGGCACACAAGCCTGCATCCATCCATGTTTATAATGGGATTTGCCACCACTTTTCTTCCCTGGTCACACCCTACCTTGTGCTGTATCTAGTGCACTGCCCTGTCTCCTGGACCCCGAGGTCCTTTCTGGGCACTGTAGGTGGTAGAGCTGAAACAGGACCCAGAGTGCTTTCAGAGCCAGTTCAAACTTGGCATGGTGGAACTTTCAAAGGTGAGAATTGTAGGGTTCCTTAGAAATAATCAAATCTGGTGGTTTGACAACCTATGTTTTATTCGTGTAATCCTTTCCCCAAAGAAAATCTCACCCAGTTGTCCCAATATGTAAAGCAGATACAGGCAGTGTTGCACCTGTCTGAGTGGGGTGGGTATTCAGAGCCCTGTTTTTGCCACTCTTCCCAGATTACCCTGAGATCCTGCCACAGAGCCACTGGGTGCCAGAAAACACCCTTCCTTTAGCACATGGAGGAAGTGGGGCCCAAGGTTATGGAGCATGCCACCCAGTGCCACATGAGTGGTTTGTGTCAGGAAAGGACCTAAAACCTAGTTATACCAGCTCAAAAACCACCTCTCTTCCTCCTGAGTTGCCAAAATATAGCCATCTAAATATCAGCATTTATATTAAGCATTAAATCCATTTTACTAAACAGTAACTACCCTCGCGGTATATGATGCACCATGCTTTAGATGTCAACTAATTTGACTTACTCTCCCTTTCATTGCCCTTATATCTTGCTTAATAAGACATTTTATTCAGATACTGCTGAGGTAATAAAGGAAGAAGCGTGGTTGCCAAATGTACTGCCATTTTTATTTTTAGCTTCACTGGAGTAAGGGGTTATTTTCTTGTGAAAAGGATGAAATGCAGCTGCCGGCCTTTTAAATTGTATCACGCAATCCTGCTTTTGCCCGAGCAATAGATTTCCAGATAACTGTAGCAATCTTCTCAAAGTGTAAAAAAAAAAACCCAAAACTAAAAAATAATAATCATAGCCACTGCCACTCTTCCCAGACCCCACCCAGCCTCCATTGTAAAGCATCCACCAAAGGGTTATTTGCAGCTCCCTGCCGCGTGAATTCACCCCCCACCCCAAGAGTTAGGTGGCCACATTTCAGGCTCCATAGCCAACCGTGCAAAGCTCTGACATTCTCTATCATAATTTTAAAAATAGATGATGATGATGATGATGATGATGATGATGATGATGATGTTAAACTAAAACTTACTGAGTGGTTATCACATACAGGTGCTGTGCCAACTGCTTTACATGCTTTTTCTCATTTAATTTTCACAACAACCCTGTGAGGCAGGTAGCATTATTATTACTGTTCCACCAATGAGGACACTGAGATACAGAGAGGCTAAATAACTTTCCCAAGGTCACCAATTAGTATATGGAGACTTGAACCCAGGCCTGCTGGGCTCCAGAATCCATAATTATAACCAGTACATTAGACCTGCTTTGTAAATAGCTGAGGCTTTATTGTCGGCAGACCTGAGTCCAAATCTACTTTACTGTTTACTAGCTGTGTGTCCTTGGGCAAGTAACTTAACCTTTCTAAACTTCAGTTACCTCATTTGCAAAGTGGAAATAGCACCACTTGATTACAGTCTCATTTTGGGGAATGTGTCTTATTCCCTTACCTCAATTCAGGAGGTCCTTCCTCGAACACCTAAATTCTGGACTCAGGGCTACCTGAAATTAAAGCAAGGAATTGGATTCTGTTGAAAGAGTAGGTGAGCCATAAAAAGTGCAGAGCAAGGTTGGGAAGAGTGGGCTGGAAGGAAGAAGTGAGGAGAAGAGGAAGAGGGAAGAGTCTTGATAGAAGCTCTCTCTAGCTATTAATATCTCCATTGAACATGATGGAACGAACAAGTGAAGGAGAAAACAGGCAGATCTCTACAGGCTGAAGACTTATACAGTTTTACAGTGGTTTATGGGATGCACAAATTTAACACCTGGGATCTTTGTAGCCCCAGGGAGTTAGGAAAAGGACCAATGGATGGAAATTCTAGAGAAACACATTTGGCTCATCTTAAGAACAAACCCTACTTGTCTCAGATAAGTTGGCTTGTGCTGCTTCTGGGTATAATGAATTCCCTATCGCTGGAGACCCCTGAGCTGAGGCACTGAAAAGGCTAGTTAAGCTCTATCCATTCCAATCCTAAATTCTTTGATTCAAGAGTTGAAATCTCAGTGGTGTCCCTGATGGTGCAACTTGAGACTGGCAGTATTGCTCTCCAGCTTTTAGGTTTGCTGCAGCCAGAGGGCAGCGTGGAGCACTAGGGGAGGCTTCCTAAAGACACACTGAAGTCAACCCAGATCCGTGACAAGTGTGCGCCTTACTGTAATATGTAAGTCTGCAAGGGTTCCTTCTAAGTATCAGATAGGATAGGAGAAGCCCAGAGATTTCCAGGAGAAAAACAACAAGGTCTCCTGCTGTGTCAGGAAACAGCCCACTGAGTAGAAAGCAATTTTGCTTGTTTACAGCAAAGTTACAGGCCCAGGAAACCAAAATAACAGCAGCATGAGTGGGTGCTAGAGTGTGGTAGCACACCACTGCAATCCACAAGACGTGCCCTGCAGGCTTGAAGAACACGGGAGCAATCCCAAACTGCCAAACATGCCCATAAACACCCAGGTGAAGACCCCACTAATTAATCTCTTTAGTGAGCAATTTCATAGTATACTGCATAAAATCAAGATAAAAAGGTGGGCGGGCTGCCACCCGGCTTCTCCAGCTAGGTTCTAGGAAAACCAGGAGTGCAGGTCTCCATCTTCTGGAAACCGGCTTACTATAACCTAGAACTGAATGCAGAGTGTAAACATACATGTCTCTGCAGAGCACTAGATGAAAAATTTCAGACAAGTGTTTTGAATCTAACTTGGAAGTTGGTTAACTTTTGTGACCAGGAAAGATCCTCCTGCCACTGTTTCATCTTTTCTCTCCCCTGCTCCACTTTTTACTCGGCTAACACAGAGAAGATAGCTCTGTGGTCTTGCTCCCTGCTAGGTGGCTCAACCTGCTTTCCAGGCAGTTGATGCCCAGTTCTAATAAAATCCTTCCCAGAAAGCCTTAGACACACAAGAATAATAGAGGCACAACAGGACTCCACCTGGCATTTCAGGGTTCCCCACATGCCTATGTGTACCTAGCACATGGATTAAAAGAATGGACTCTGCTACCAGACTACCTGAATTTGAATTCTAATTCAATGACTGCAAGTTACTTAACCTCTCTGGGGCTCAGTTTCCTTCTCTGCACAGAGGCAATATTAATAGAACCTATCCCTAGAGTTGTTATGGGAGCTAAATGAATACTGCCTGGTATGTAATAAATGAGGCAGCCAGATTATACGAGGTCAGTAGTTCGTAGTTCGAGACCAGCCTGGCCAACATGGTGAAAACCTGTCTCTACAAAAAATACAAAAACTAGCCAAGCATGCTGGCAGGCACCCGTAATCCCAGCTACTTGGGAGACTGAGACAGGAGAATCACCTGAACCCAGGAGGCAGAGGCTGCAGTGAACCGAGACTGTGTCACTGCACTCCAGCGAGACTCTGTCTCCAAAAAAAAAAAAGAAAAAGAAAATGCTTATGTAAGTGTCTGCTGCTGCCACCATTACCACCACCACTGCCACCATCACCTTCTTCCTCCACAATGACATAATTATCTCTTTGGAAAGAAGCTCCCCCCCTCCAAACTACTAAACCAAATGTAAAATTATATTGGGGCCATATGCAGTTCAAGAATTTGGATGTCTCTCAGAATATATTTTTTAAGATCAAATACACAAAATATTTCTGTACAATAAACTGCCATATTCCAACCCCCCCAGACGCTAACACTCTCAAGCAACTTGGGCAATTAAGTGGTAAACATGTGGTATGTCTTACGGAGAAAGTACTCCGAGGCCTGATATAAAAATGTTCATTACCAGCCAGGCCCCTGCAAGATGACCAAATTAACCTCACCGCCAGGAGTATATGAAGAAGGAATAATAAATTATTCAAAACCTAATGCTGAGAGGGCAAAAAAAATTTACAAAAAAAAATCAGATTATTGTGTTTTACTCACAATCCTCTTACATAGCTAAAGTGTCACATCCTCACAGCACTTTGTCAGACAATAAGCCAGTCCCAGGACGACTTGGTATTGGTGTCATCTCTGGGAGAATGGACTGCATACTCCGATGAGGAGAAAGGTCAGCAGAGGAGGCTGTAGATCTGAAAAGCCAGAAATCGGCCAAGGCAACCCGAGGTGCACTTGTAAGAAAGCCACCCATTCAACTAGAGTGGCAGCCACTGGGACGAGCATGTGACTCTCTTAAATCACCCGTTTCTTCAAAAGCAGAGAAACCCCAGCCCCTCAAATTTAATTTGTTGGCCCTTGAGAAAAGGGGGAAAATATAATAGGAAAGAACATATCCAGAAACCCACATACGAAGCCTCCCCCACCTCCTTCCCACTCCCTGCCTGTGCTCTCCGCGCTGCTCTCTGCGCCCCCACCCCCTTGTTTAATGTCTCTAACTTTATGCCATGTTCTCTTCCTCTTTCAGCACGGCTGAGCAAAGCTGACAGGCGGATTCCTTTGCTTTTCAGGGTATTAAAGCCACTTTCCCGCTCTGACAGCCTGTTCTACTCTGCCACCTTATAGCTCTGGCTTCACACTCCTCTGGGCAGCCAGTCCTTCCTGACAGACCACTGTCACTTCCCATCATCCTCTCTGTATATCCTGTTCTCTCCCCCTCAGCACGCATCCCGACTTTCCAACCAATGCAATTATTTTTTTTGACAAGCCATCCATCAGTTTTAACTTTAAAAGCACTTTCTGCTGATATCCATTGTTAAATCCTTTGCTTTTTTATGGGGCTTGCATGAGAGAATATGATATCAGACATTCAAGCTACCAAACCATGTAAATTTACTTTGTTCTCAGCTATGTTTCCAATTTCACGTCCAATTTTTCGGTACATTATGCGTAGTTGTTGTGCTTAATATGATGTTGTCAAATCCCATTAAAGTTCACTGCATTGCACGGCTTTAAAAACAGGTTACAATTTGCATTCTATAAAGAAAGGAAGGAGTGCAGTCTGAAGTCAAGCTGAATCTTATTAAAATTATCTGTTCAATTGTTACATTTGTAGATGGAGTAATTTTGAGGCATTAGCTGAGACACATATGAAAATGTCAGCGTGCCAACTAACGACAATGAGAGCAAAAGGAATATCTCTGTGAAACTCAATAAAGCTCCTTTGCTGGTGACATAAATTTGATGATAATCCGAGGAAATGAATAAGGGACTATCCCGTTTGAATAGGAATTACCTTTTCTATTAAATCACTTTGGTGTGTTTCCACTTGGCCTACATCCTGGTCCTAGGCCGTAGTGAGTCTCAAGAGACTTACTCCAATGCAAGGGGGTAAGGGAGGGGTGCAAAAAAGGGAATCCCTAAAATGGAAGGTCATTCCTCTGAAGGGTGTCACACACAGAGGAGTCTTAAGACACCTTAAAAGGAGTCTTTAAAATTATTTTCTCCTATTTAGAACAAGCAGAGAAAGTAGAGCTCTTCCATGCATGAGCAACACATAAAAAATGGCATTGATCTAAAAACAAATCTCTAAGCACAGGAAACTCACTGGGAAATGCAAGCATTCACTGCAAAGGGGGAACACTTAGGTGCAGCTGGATGGAAAGGGGGAATCACGGGAAGGATCGGAGACTGAGATTTATGAGACTGGAACCAATAACGTCAAGCCATTTCTAGGGGTTTTCCTCTCCTATGGAGTTCCTCTCCCGGCTGTTTTTATGACAGCGCTGATTTCTACATGTCCTGTCATTAAATCTAGTCTCTGATTTTGAGGGTACCCATCACCGGCACTGAGCAGAATTATGCCATTAGAGGCATTATTAACTGAACCATTGACTTCATTGACTATAACAAGTTGAATTTTTGTTTCACACACAAAGAATATTCCCAGTGCAGACATCTATACCCTCTTCAATGTTATTTTATTAAGGATACCATAATTTTAATTTTTCCAATACAGTCAGTATTTAAATAAGCCGCAATGACAAAGAATAAAATTCAGTGACTATGGAAGATGTAATGAGGTACTAAGGAAGTAAAAGGTAGTGCAGAGGCAGGGAGAAAAGGGCAGAGTGTGTTTCAGGTTCAGCTCAGACACTGATGAATTATGTGACCTTAGGAAAGTCACTTAACCTCTCTGGGCCCCCATTTGTAAAATAGTATCAGTATCCCTTAGAGTGACTTTAAAGTCTAAATGAGATGATACCTGTAGCCTTTATATTCTGGCACACTGTAAGAGTGTGATAAATATGGATATCACCATCACCACCAATAATAGATGAAGAACAAAGTATAGGAAATAGATGGAAAGAATAGGGAAGAAAAAAGTCTAGCAAGACATCTAGGCTGAAGATGAAAATGAGTACTTTGGTAAGATCCAGGGAGAGAAGATAGGTTTCAATTTTCATGATAAAACTGATCAGCTGGTGTCTACCCTCAGGACATTGCTGAGAAGGATTCTGAGGTCTCATCCACATTCTGGAGAAACAGTCCTGCAGTCAGTGAGTTATGCCCACAGTGGGAAGTAGAGGGCAGTGTAATATGTGGAAGTTGGAAAGGCAGACATTAATGTTGGAACTCTGCATCAAAGGGTAAGCATAAGGTAAGGAGGAGAAGCTAGGCCAGGATTCATGATGAACCACACAGATGAAAGGAAGATGGCAGAAGGCAACCTCCAAACTGGCTAATAAGAACCAAGCAAGTAGACAAGAGGGCTCCCAACAAGGACAGATCCATACTTTTTCCTGGTCTTGACACTCAACCAACCAGTTCCTTTATGCCCATGGTCCATCAAGCAAGGTCATCTCAACCATTCTGATATGTCAAGGAAGGCAAACCAAACCAAAACTCATGCTGTCATGCCTGGGAATAATGAGAGAGACCATTAAGGTGGCAACAATTGAAAGCTTCAGAGTAGGAACACTTCTTCTTTCTAAATAGTGAGCAATTTTCCAGAAAGGGAGGAAATTGATCCTAAAAAGCGGTCTTCTTGATGGAGCATGGAAGGAATGAAACAGACGCCATGACTTTCCCCCATTGTTGGGAAGTCTGGCCACCAGGATGGGCAGGAAACAGATATCAACCCAGAAGAAAGACTTGCTACAAGTTTACATTTGGTTCTTCTAACTCACTATAGTGGAAGAAAACGAAAGAGATAAAAAGTAAAAGGAGGCCAATGTTGGGGGGAAGGAAGAGGAGAACAATTGGAGGATGCAAGAGTTTACTGTTAAGACACATTAATAAGTCCAGATGACAGAAAATAGAGGTGGGCAAGGGAATAGGAAGTTTATCAATATTAAATGCCAGGAAGGATCAGAAGGAGGAAGGGGATATGTAAATATGGTTTTATGAAAACTTCCTCACAACAAGAGCTTCTAGAAATTTTAGATCTTGAAAATAAAGAATGCTTCAGGTTGGTTTTAAACCAAGTTTTGAGGAGCCTCACTATCACTCCAGGAAGTCACTTTGGAATCTAAAAGACAGAAATGTCTATACAACCATGTAGATAAGCTTGCATGCACATATGCCCACATGCACACATGCATGCACACAGACACAAACACAAAGCTTTTTTCTACTTCAACTGGAAATCTTCAGTGACTATCTGAAAATCTCTCCAGATCCTTTGTCTCCTATGGGAGTCAAGATTCAGCCCCTCATCCTTTGACCAGGTGAAAATATTTCACAGCATGAGCTTCCCTATTTGAAGGCTAATTAGCCCTACACATCATCCATTCCTCCCATGAATATCTGCAGCAGTGATTACATACAGAACTAGGCTGACATTCTGCACTTACTGATCTGTATTTGTATTCATCTTTCTACACATATATGTCTGTCATCAGCAGAGTGGAAGTCCTGTGAGGGTAAGTACCATATATTCCACTACTTTACATCCCAGTATTAAATACACACTACCCAATACAAAGTAGGGCCTCAACAAATAAACCTATTTGAGGAAGGTAATGTCAGGAGGTAATGATTGGACCTAAAATAGTACAAAAGAACCAGGTCTCCAGCAACTTGGCATTTTTTCTTATTGCCAAATCTCATATCCTATTAAAGATTTACATGTCAGTGGCAGAAATATCCCTGTTTAAATATCTAAAGAGTGAATCCATTTGTTTCTCCCTACATTATTAATTTGATTGGTTTTAAAGTTATTGGATGTGAGAGGCATTAGACAGACCACATACAAAATGAGAGCTCCCTTCTCTCCTCTCTCTAGGAAATTACTCTAGTGGAACAACATGGCCCATCCGCACACCCTATCAGACATCTCCAGAGGCTGGAATCATGCCTGCAACTGCGCGAAGCTATGCACATAAAGAAGAGGCAGTACTTCCTGGGGGTGCAGCAAGTCATAAGCATTTATTGAGCACCTCCTATGACTGGCATTATAAAACCCAGGCTGAGCTGTGTTTCATTTTCTAGTCTTTGGGGTTGTTTTTGTTTTTGCTCTTTGTGCTAGAAAATCTGAGAGCCAGAGAAGAAGGAGGAATGTGGTACAATGCTAAGGATAACGCAGCTCTGCCATAACAATCAGCTATGTGACTATCCTTGGGAATTTTCCTCTATATACTTTGGCTTCCTTATCTGTAAAGCGCATAGAGAGGGCTGGATTGGATAAGTTATAGCAAGGAGTTGGTATCAGACAAACTTTTAGACTCCTGCCAATGCTATTATCCCAAGACTACTAATATTGCTGACTGGGAGACCTCTGTCCTTCATTTTCTTGTGAAACATCTGGCCTTCTGAACAAGCAGGTTCTCCAATCATTTCTAAGTCATGATCACCGAAGGATGCTTATGAAGTGCTCATAGAGAAAAAGCACTACACATTACTATACTGTAAGTCAAATGTGCCATCAACAGGAAAAGTCCTGGGGGTAATCTCAAATCCGGATCTTTTGGGTGGGGGTGGTGTACCATCTAGGCTTGCTTGGATTGCACTTTCTGACCCAAGATGTTTTGAAGGTCTCTAGGGAGCCAGCACTGAAAGGGAAGAGGCTTTCCAAAACAATGTACTTACTAGGCCTAGAGACTGGGAACATAGGGAGGGCCCTAAACCCAACCCCCAGGAGAATCAAGCATTGAGTGTTCAGCTGCAGAAGAAAACTGAAAAACTGGACTAAGCTCAACTCAAGGGATTTAGTCAAGTTGATGTTGATTTTCAGAGTGAGAGAAAGAAAGAGTAGAGAGGAGAGAGAGATAATTATTAATAACTCAGGGACAATGCGTTTCTGAAAATCAAGGGTTTAAAAAAAAATGCTGCCTACTCGGACGTGTCAGAGAAGCATCAGAAGGCCCCAGAGCAAACTGAACCATTTCTCAAAAGCCACAGGGCTGCTCCCTGGACCTTCTCCAGGTGGCACATCCCAGGGAGAAAGAGGAAACATATCTAATCCAGGCAGACATCTCCATAAAAGCTGCAGTTTCAATTCTCTTAACCTTAGATACAACTTTACAGAATGCCTAAAGATTTCAGAAAGCCTTTTTCGGGGGGTAAGCCATTGAGTTTTCATGAGATGAGCTCCAAGGACCTCCCTAACTGAGATTCCTTGGATCCAAAAACCTACTATCACTCCCTCCTACAGAAATATCTCTACATCTTAGAACACTGAGTAGGCAAAACCCTAAAGGCCCAGGTGCTGAGCTTTCCTGTACCTGTGTTTGGCCACACACAGCTCAACGAGTGGCGGTGCACAGGATCTGTATGCTCCAATTGCACCTGCATGGCACTGAGCTGAATAAAACCTGTAAGATAAAATCATCTACACTGCTGAAACACATTCCAAATGATGCCAAGAATAAAAATTTGCAGACCAGCTGAGTAAATGAATCTTGAGCCTTCACTATTCTCCTGTTTCTTAGTCAACCCCTAGACTAAACATCCCCGACAGCTTTGGAGCTGCCCATGATTAGCATCATACAGGCCATAGAGAGAAATTTCAGAGCCAGGAATCAGAGGCCAGGCTGCCCAGCTTCGCATCCCGGCTTTGTCCCCGGTCAGTTCTATGACTTCAGTCAATTCACTAAGCCTCTTTAGAACCTCAGGTCCTCCTGTCTAAAATAGACATTAATAACGGCACCTACTTCCTACGGCCCTTGTGAGGATCCAATGATTTAAGATACGTAAAGCCCACAAAATCACGCCTGACACATGGTAACTACTCATAAAGCTGTTATTTTCTCTTTTTACTCTGCAGGACAACTCTCCTAACTCCCAACTATTTGTGGGAGGAACTGTCTGCTCCATCTTTTTTTTTCTTCACACACAGTGCCTGGGTTGAAATATAACTGGTGCCCAATCAACGTCTTTAAACTAAACAGGTGAATAAAGGCAAGAATGGGGCAGGTTCCCATGAAGGCCTCACATTCATACTTACCTACTCTATGCTCTCTATGCTCCAAAGTCAAAGCCCCTCTTCTCCACCTGGCTTGATTCTCCACATTGCTTATGGCTCAGTTCAAGACATCTGCTTCTGAAGGTGTTGGAGGCATCATAGTTGATATAGTTTGGATATGTGTCCCTTCTAAATCTCATGTTGGATCGTAATCCCTAATATTAAAGGTGGGGTCTGGTGGGAGGTGATTGGATCATGGGGGTGGATTTCTTATGAATGATTTAGCACCATCCCCTTGGTGCTGTCCTAGTGAGTTCCTGCGAGATCTGGTTATTTGAAAGGGTGTGGCACCTCCTGCTCCTCTCTCTCGCTCGCTCCTGCTTTCCCCACGTGATGTGCCCGCTCCCTCTTTGCCTTCCACCGTGATTGGAAACTCCCTGAGGCCTCCCCAGAAGCAGATGCTGCTATGCTTCCTGTACAGCCTGTAGAACTGTGAGCCAACTAAGGCTCTTTTTAAAAAAATAAATTACCCAGTCTCAAATAGTTCTTTATACCAATGAAAGAATGGCATAATACAATAGGGTAGTGGTAAAGGCCACTGTTCTACGGCTAGACTGTCTGGGTTTGAATCCCAGATTTTCTACTTGCTCGACCCCAGTGAGCCGTGACACTGCTCTGAATGCTTAATTTCCATGATCTCATCAAGTTCTCACAGAAATCAGAGGTTGTCTAGAGCTTGGAAGTACCTGATGATTCTCATAGTCCTGCTTTGTCACCATCTTGGCTTTCAGCTCTGGGGGTGTCAGGAATGGGCATGGCCAGTGCCAGGCCTGTGTGTGTGTGTGTGTGTGTGTGCGCACATGTGCATGTGTGGGTGTGCATGTGTGTGCACCGACCACCACAGCCTGTGAGCCTTCCCTGCAGGATGCTGCTCCTGCAAGCACCAAGTACCAAGGCGGGGTACGTACCATTATTCTGAATTTATGGAGAAAGAAACCGAGACTTATAGAAGTTTATTTGCCCAAGGTCACTGTGCTCTAAGTCAGCTCTTCACTTCTTCTGTTTGCTCCCAGTGACTTCCTTTTACCTTGTTTTTTAAATGTTCCTGCCATGTTGTGAGGTATAAAGAACTCATTGCACCATTCTGGGGCCAGTGTCCAAGCCCCTTGCTCTTTCTTATCACCCTGCACAGCTGATTAGAGAGATCACATTTGAAAATAATCCATTCGTTGATATTTGTCACACTCTCCCGATTCCGGATTTAGCCTTGTTCTGACCACACTAACATCCCTCTTATACCAGAGAACGGCTCTTCATTTAGGAGGAGTATTTCAGATGGGTCCTTCCTGAACTTAGCCTAAGGCCTACTGGCCATGCAGCTGTGGGGTCAGTGGAGAACACAGGCCTGGGGACAGCATGGAGTCGTGTTCTCTAGAGCAGCCCACTCCCAGGATGAGCTTCTGCCGAGACCCATGCTGCTTGGCCTGGGGCTAGATGGGAGAACTCACCGGATGGGTTTCAAAAACAGAATACTGGAGCTGCCTCTGTCACCTGGAGACAGAGGAGAGGCCACACATACACTGGGGAGCAGCTGACATCCCATCTCACCCCAATTCTTACCTATTCTGTAACTTACCTGAAAGAGACTTGCCCATTGATGGCCTGCACAGCAGGCATCCTAAGCTGCTCCTCCTTCTTGGCAGAGGAGATGGTGGGCCCTGCCACTGCCTCTACACAGCAAACTGTTGCTAGGTTTATGTAAATACCATGGAAACCAGAGCTGTAACACAGAAAGACTCGCAAAGAAGCAACTTAACATAAGGTCAACAAGCCCCCGACAAAAAGTGTATATAGTGCTCAATCTTCAAAATACAGCCAACGCTCTGTTTTCCTTCCTAACCCCTAGGCTAAAAAGGCTAATGAGATTCACAGACAACATATTAAATGATGGAATTCTCGGCACAGCTCGATTTCTTTCTATAAATAATTTTAAAACTATTACCCAATAATGTATTGTAATAAAAAAGCTGACAGGGTCTTGCTCAACAAGTAATCACCAGCGTGTTTTCGCACCTGGAGATGGAGAACTTTCTTGTTATGTGCCCCTGGTGATTTTTAGGTGTTTCCATAAAGCTGTTGCCATTATTTATAAGCCACAGGTTACTTCCCTTCACTGTATGCTAAAATTAATGAAAAACTTATTTTAAAGATTCAGAAAAGCATGGCAGAGCAGAGGGTATGTGCCAGGCAGCCCTGGTGGGGTGGGGACGGTTTTTCTAAGTCCCCTGTGGCCTTATGGCAGGTCTGACTCTGTTTGCAAGGCAAGAGGCAGCACCTCTAGAAACGAGGTGACCTCCTGGGGAATGAGGCGCTGGGAAATAGCCATCCCATCCAGGTAGGGGCTGCCTCACCCCTGCTGCCTCTCTCTTGCCAGGCCCAGAGCTCTGAGGAGCCCAGCCAGCAATAGCCATGTGTGCCTGGCAGTCTCTGCTGCCAGGCACTGCATGTCCTGCCTGCACCCACTGCTTAGCCTCCTTGGTACTTGGTGCTTGCAGGAGCAGCATCCTTCAGGGAAGGCTCACGGGCTATGGTGGTCGGTATACACACATGCACACCCACCCACACACACACACACACACACACACACACACATAGGCCTGGCAATGGCCATGCCCATTCCTGACAGCCCCAGAGCTGAAAGCCAAGATGGTGACAAAGCAGGACTATGAGAATCATCAGGTACTTCCAACCTCTAGACAAGTCTCTGTCTTCCTGGACACAATTAATACCAATGGGCCCAATAAGACCTACTCTAGCACCTATAAAAGCCCAATCTGTACATCCAAACCCACTTCAGATGTCATTGTCTCTTCTAAGGTGCCTTCCCTGATACCATGAGGTAGGACCACTCCCTCATTAAGTATTCAGTCCACAGGAACGGTGGCCAATTTTATGACACCAACTCACTGGCCTGGTATTCTAGCTACTTATATTCTGACCCTATCCCCCTGCAGAGCTAGCTGAATAGACAGCCTCTTAGGTGGACCATGTCTCACTCAACTCCAGAATACCCACACTGCCTAGCCCAGTCACCTGGTAACTGCCCCCTGAATCTAAATAAAGTAGCCTAGTTCAGAGCTTAGAAAGGGCCCAAAACTTGGGAAATGAAGACATGGAGTCAAGCCTAGGTCGTCCTACAAACTGTGATCTGGATAAGTCACTTAACCTCTCTGAACCTCAGTTCTCTCAACTGTTAAATTAAAAAGGTTAGACACGAGGCCAGACTTGCTGGCTCATACCTATCATCCCAGCACTCTAGGAGGCTGAGGCAGGAGGCCTTGTCTCTATAAATAATTTAATTAATAAATAAATAAAAGTTAGGGCCAGGTACAGTGGCTCACGCCTATAATCCTAGCACTTTGGGAGGCCGAGACAGGCAGATCACCTGAGGTCAGCAGTTCAAGACAAGCCTGGCCAACATGGTGAAACCTCATGTCTACTAAAAATACAAAAATTAGCTGGGCATGATGGCAGGTGCCTATAATCCCAGCTACTCAGGAGGCTGAGGCAGGAGAATTGCTTGAACCTGGGAGACAGAGGTTGCAGTGCTGAGATCACGATCATGCCACTGCACTTCAGCCTGGGTGACAGGGCAATACTCTGTCTCAAAAAAAAAAAAAAAAAAAAAAAAAAAAAGAAGGTTAGACATGAGAATTTCTAAGGCCTCTTCAGCTTTAAACTTCTCTGACATTATAATATAAAGCTATAGTATTTGTAGTCAGTCATGACATAGTAACTTAATCCAGTCAGATAACAAGATAACAACCTGGTTCTTCAATGGGCCAGTGAGTGCATATGAGGGGAAGGAGGTGTATTTTGAGGATTTTATTTTTCTTTTGTCATTAAATAACACCATATAGACTTTTACCTTTGTATAGGTTACAACACAAGAGGTCATGTTGCCCTGTATTTCTAAAATAACACCTGTCTACTAATATATCTGGATGACATTTAAAATCACTAATTAGCAGACTTTTCATCCAGTGAGAAATTTGTCTATAATTAAGAAACCAAATACACATGATTCAACCCAGTTTACAAGAAAGATCATTTGAGAAGAAGGATAAGAGAGAGGTTAGTTAACTGAGGGATGTGTACTCTAGGTGATATCTTGACCATGACATGCCAATCACAATTTCAGATCCATAAAAGGGAACCAATAGATCTTCTATCACAGCAGAAAATGGGTCTCTGATATTGGGAGACAGCATTCACTTATTGAATTATGCTTCTTAACTTTGGAGAAAGAACTGGAAAAAAAGAGGCTCAAAATATGTCCCTGCTCACAAAAATGAAAATTTTATGTACTTATATGGCAGTGTAAGTGCATCCTTACAATGCAAATCATATAGACAGAAAAGGCTGCATCTCTGTTTTCCCAGCACATGGGATAAATAAAGTCACAGGTTCATTTTTAAATTTGGAGTAAAGTAACACGAATAGGAGAGGCAAAATACCCATTAACATAAACTAGCCATTTCAACAGCTGGAAGCTAAGGAGCAACCAAATAACAGTGGGGAAAACAACTGCCAGCTACAATTTTCTCTCCTTTTTTGATCCTTTTACAAGTATGCGTTGCATGTGTTTTGACTATTTTTGAGAAGAAGGAGGAAAAAAAAATCCTTGCGCAGTCTTCTCACCATGGTTGCTTTTCGCAGGCTTTTTTCGGATGATATCACTTCATTTCGTAAACCTCTGCTTCTTTGTAAGCATTTCCGAGGAAACACAGAAGGACAGGAGGGTGCTTCTCTAGCAACACTGACAGTGGAAACGCTCAAGGAGGGTGATGCTGCAGCAGGCAGAGAAGCTTTCACTTACCCCCACGGCGGGGCAAGCCTTTTGGAGGATAAGCTCACAAGGGATTCATACGGGAAAATAAGCAAATGGGAGCCTGCTCAGGTGGCCTAGACAGATAGAAAGCCGGACCCAATTTCAGGGGCTCCAGGACGTTCTCCTGTCCCCTTGCTCCTCTCCAGGGGCACCCTGATGCCGGCCACCAGGTATACCTAAAAGGCCACCCCACATTGTGCCCTCGAGCTTCTCACTCAGGGCCTGGCAGGTGAGCCCAAGGCTCCCTCCTAATGCCAAAGCTGCAGCTCTACGAAAAGAGGTGAGGGAAACCTCAGCCTAGCCTCAAGGAGGTATGAAGATTCATCCGGCTCCCAAAAGGCAGGGCTCACTTCTCTATCAGGCACACGGGGCGCATGACCTATGAGACTTTAGAGACTACAAAAATGTTTTCATTTCGTTTAAAGTCAAAAGAAAAATTAACTTCAGGCAGAAGAATTTTTTTTCCCCCCAAGACGGAGTCTCGCTGTGTCGTCCAGGCTGGAGTGCAGTGGCGCGATCTTGGCTCACTGCAACCTCTGCCTCTTGGTTCAAGCGATTCTCCTGCCTCAGCCCCCCGGGTAGCTGGGACTACAGGCTCGCGCCACCATGCATGACTAATTTTTGTCTTTTTAGTAGAGACGGGGTTTCACCATATTGGCCAGGCTAGTCTCCAACTCCTGACCTCATGATCCACCAGCCTTGGCCTCCCAAAGTGCTGGGATTACAGGCCTGAGCCACTGTACCCAGCCAGAAAATGTTTTAATATATAATATTATTATACATGTTTGTCTTTATCAATCTAATCATTAAGAAAAAAAACTACTAGCAGTTTTTTAGGTGGGAAGGGACCCAGAAAGGCCCATGTACCTAGCGTCTATGAAAGTCATGATGCATCTCTAAAGCTAGATTATTCCTGTCCCTGAGCCTTTGCACATTCTGTCCTGGATGCCTGGCTTCAACCTTCTCTTAACTACCGTCTATTCATTCACTAGACTCAACTTCTACCTCTCACTTGATCCCTCCCTGGCTGCTCTGAATACTCACACTTGTCTCTCCTCAGTTTGAAATTCCCCAGCAATTAGAGGATAAGCAATAGCCTCACACTTGACATGTTTCTATTTTGTGTATATATTATTCCTGCTTCTTCATCCTAAAAGACACATACTACCCCATTGCTAAGATACCTTGAGAGCCCACCACTGCCCACAAAGGCAAGGCTACATGTCTCAGCCTCACATTCAAACCATCAATAAGTAGAACTCTACCTACAGTCCTTACATTCTTCTTCCTACATTCCCTCATCCTCACCTCCCCTATCCCACCCTAATGTACCCTGAACTACAGACATATCAGACATTTACCATTTTGCAAATATGCCTCATATTCCTCCCACCTCCAGGTCTTTGCAGAAGCTGTTCTCTCAGCCTGGAATGCCCTTCCTTTCCATAACTTCCTAACAAAGCCCAACCCAACCCCTACAATTCTAATTCAGATGCAACCTCTTCCAAGAGGGCTTCCAAGATCCTTCTATTTGGATTCTGTCACCCATTCTCTTCTTTACCTCAGCACTTTGCATGTCCTCTGCAACATTCATCAGAAATTTACTTCAATCAAAGGCATGTGAAGAGCATGGAAGATATTATAGTCTGGTTTCTTCAGAAACAGATGATGGAAGAAGGATTTAGGTGAAAGCATTTTTGGGGAGGTGACCCTAGGAGTGGGAGAGTGGGGACATGAGAAAGGGAAGGGGGGGAAATGAGTAATGGTGCATGGTGTATTGTTGAGCAAGTTCCCACTGTGTCCAGCTGGAGTTCATGCAGCTGGGGAGCTCTGGGAGACAGAAAAGACTGTGCCTCAAAGTCACCCCCATGAAAAATAACAGAGTTTTTAATCCACCAACTCCTGCTTCTCTGGCCTTATCACCTTCCCTGTCCCAAGCAAAAGTGGTTCAGTCACCAGAGAAAACTCTAAGGCAAAGCTGCAGGTGCTGCTGGCTGGGCAATGTACACAGAAAGGGTAATACTGACAGGGCATAGGTGGTCACCGACAACTTCTGCTGAAGACAGCATGGACTTATTCAGCCTCAAGCACCCAGCAGGATCCTGGGCATGTGGCAGGCACTCAGGAAGTGCTCACAAAATGAAATCACTTTTAAGCTCTTTGAAGGCAGGGGCTACATTTTATTTTCTATCTGACACAGTAGATAGCCACAGCATAAGGACTCAAATCATACATGCTCACTGAAGAACAGTGAGTGATTTAACTTACTACCCCAACTCCTGAATCAGACCAAGCCATGTGAATTGAATTCCTATCTTATTAGCTGTTCACTCTTTCATAAACGCCAGCATTACCTGCTCTTGTGAAGTTTAGCAATGAGGACAGTAACAAAGATGTAAAGAGTTAAACAGTCTCTTGAGAAAATGTACCTACATCCAGAGAACGACCCAGGAACACTACAAGATTCTGGGTAATTAACCTGAATTTCTACCTTTCTGGAGCCCCTAGCTCCTCAGTCTCTCAGGTAGCACTGTCTGTGCCCAGGAACTGGGATTGAGAATACATTAGGGGATCTTCTGTGCTCCCCCCATGCCACCTCCCAGCTTTCTTGTGATTGTACCATGTCACACAGGGTGCACCAAGAAATAGCCTCGGGGCCCAGCCTACATTAGACATAGCCAAAGACTCAAATAATAATAATAATAATATAAGCCCATGCAATAGCACCAGGAAAGGGAGGGACAAGCCAGCTTTTCTTGCCAATGTCAGAGTGGAACAGATGTTTCTTCATCTCCAAGGTATCTACTCTCCTAGGACACCAGACATAGGTCACCTGTCAGTCATTCATCTTTATGATGAGTTGCAGTGGCCAGCACACAGTAAAGAATAATGCACATCCTCTCCAAAAAAAAAATGCTGTTTAATAGTGAGGATATGCTGAGGGTGATTGTTCATGCCAGATTACTCCATTGACGCAACCAATCAACTCCCAACACTAAACCACAAAAAGAAAATCCTGCACCCTGTCTCGCACCAAACAAGAGACAGAGAACCCATGGAAAGCATATGAGTTGAATTTTGCCTGGACAGAAGTATCCTATGGCTGAGTTTGATGAGACCTGGCCACCTCGGTATCTGGTAGAGAGACCAGGGATTGATGAACTTGGCCTGGCTATGATATTCCTCAAGCAACATGGCTAAAAGAGCACAGGAATCACACACAGAAGACCTGCCTTCTATGCATGGCTTTGCTCCCAGCTGACATCTTGAGCAAATCACTTGCTCCAATTTCTCTTTCTAGAAGATGAGACGATAAATTCTAAGTCCCCCACTTCCAGCCTTTACATTACATAGAGTCCTAAGGATCTTCAACCCAGAGTGTATGTTACATTTCATTCCTAGAGTGACAGCAAAATACTGGACGGCACAGCATTTAAACCCTCCAAAATGTTAATACTATCACTAATAAATTTTAACCTGAGTAAAGCTAACTGTCCTACCACTATTTTTCCCTAGACATTTTTAGAACTAAAATGCTGCAGAAGACCTGTTTAATAGAAAATTTACTTTATAGTTTAACTAGAAAAAGAAATGAGCAAAGGAGAAAAATAGAATTTGAACCCAGCTCTTGAACATCAACTTGATGTTATTCCAACTCATCTAAAAGAGCCACATAGGAATTACTTTGACCACCAGAGGGCTTTCCACACTGACAAAATGCATTAATAAGACATAAAGTGGCGAAATTAGAAAATAAAAAGTTCTAAGTTACATTGTCTAGGTCTCCAAAGGAGTGGAGGTGAAATGAAAAACATCAATGTCAAAGAAATAAAACCCAACTCAAGTTTCTCCTATGATACATTTCTCTATAAACACGATGAAGAAAAATTCCAGTCCCTCCTAAGTTTCAGAAAACCATAAGAAGAACTTGAGTGGTGCATAGAAGCAAAAGGAAATCACAGATTAGCTACCGGAGGTTTCAGAATCTTGTTACTAAGATATCATTCCCTACACATTGAAGTCGTTTCCAGCATTCTTTTGCTTACTCCATCAAAATTTAGAAGTACTCACAAATATGATGTGATATGTTTGTAACACATGGGTTTCAGAGACCCAACACTGTTGACCATTCACTAAATGACATGCTTATGACAGTCCTTTATGTATATTAACTTGTTTAATTCTCATAATCATTCTAGGATATAGGCACTATTATTATCGCTGTTTTACATATGAAGAAATTGAGGCAAAAAGTTTAAAAGCCTACCCGAGGTCAAATAGATAATGTGTCCAAATAAAAGTTCTGGAATAAACTATTCACCTACCACCAGCTCAACTTCCACCTATTAGAGATAAGCATTCTATAAAACAGAGCTACCATGTACCACAACTTACAGAATAAAAAAAAAAATACATCAGTGCAAGAACAGTCTATCTTTGGGCTTGAATCTGTCTCTGTGGGTTTTCAGAGGATACGCCACAGCATCCAGGGCTGCAGGGACATCAGAGCAGGCCAAGAGGATGCAGAGAGAGGTTCCATGAGCCTAGAGGCTCCTGTTTCTACTAAAGGCCCTTCAGATTTTTTCTGTTGTATGAACTGAAGGATCCCACATATGATTTCATTCCAAATAAAAGGTCCTACTGAAATATAAAAGTTTAAATCTGCTATTTCACTAGATATTTCAAAAAAATTACTTCTTTGGGTTCTCCTCCCTTAAACACATTTTACAGCACTTACTATACTAGGGTAAAATATTTTCACTTGTATAGCTCCCTTACTATGTGATTGCATTCCCCAAGGTCAGAAATAGCATCTTTTTATCTTTTTTATCCTTATGTCCTCAACCCTTAGCCCAAGATTTGGCCCAGAGCAAAATATTTAACAAATATTTGTAGAATGAATGAAGGAGTTAGTTACTAGTTAAGGTAATACTAGATGCTGTGATAGATAAATCCTGAAATTTTAGGGACTTTAAACATAATAGATGTTTATGTCATGCTCATAAGAAGTCCAATCAGATATTCAGTACTTGATGTTCAGTACATGGCTTTCCACACAGTGATTCAGGGGCCCAGGCTCCTTCTATTTTGTTTGACTCTGCCATTGCCTATGCCTCTGAGTCCTTCACCTCTAACTGGCAGATGGGGAAAGAGCGCGTGTAGAGCCTGTGGGTACAAAAATCGCATGATCCCACGTGGAGCAAGATGGGGATAGGAGGTGGAAGATGTAGTCCCAGCAACAACGCTCCACTGTGGAAGAAGAGGATGACATCGATGGAGAGCTAGCCAGCCATCTCTTTCACAACGACCTCAAAAGAAACATCAGCCTACAAAGGAGACCCAATGCATAAGACTCAGCTCTCAAAGAAAAAAAGAAATGTGTATATGAGTCCCTAAACCCTTCCTCCCAAAAAATGCACAAGTATGTAAATTTAACTATAGACATACTACATGATAACTTCTTGTAAGAAATTTCCATTGCATTTTGCCATCACAAACCAGACTGCCAATTTATTACTATACAAATGAGTAGAAGCTAATATATGGGTCAGCCTAGAGACATTTTTACCATTTACCAAGTGTCTAGTTCCATCCTGCAAGAAGGTGCTGGTGGAGGGAAGACAACTGTAGCACATGATGTGCAGAGAAGCCCAGGGCCCTGGCTCTGGCCAGTCAGTATCTGCATCAGTGACTTTGGACAAATCAAAAAACTTCTCTGCGCCTCAGCTTTCCTACTTGTCAAAGCTTTCCTTTTGGAAAGACAGCACCTTCCTTTCCACAATATCCCAAGTAAAGTATGAGGACCCTACAATAAAGGCTATGGAAAATCTGTAAAAATATTTATAATCCTCCAAAAATGCAGGGCACAGGACTGTTACACAGCTGTTTCCCCAGGCAGATGGTGATTCCTCCAACTCATCACCACCATGGATGACAGGCTTCAGGGAGCGTCTTCATCAGGCAACCTGGGCTTTCCCCTTCACCTGCCCAAGAGTCATGCTCAGAGCCACCATGCCACCGTGAGTGAATCCCTTAACTTTTCTGGACCTCAACATCTACTCCTATGAACTGGGTATGGCAAGCCCTGGGAAGCCTACAGTGGGGAGCTGAGACACTGCTCCCTTAATAGTCCTCCTTCTGAGACGCAAGTTTTGATTCCCAAGTTTGAGCCGATGGTGTTGGAAATGGCACCAGGGCCACTGTGATGATTTCGCCCTCCCTTCCTACGTATTTTAAACAGGTTGACCACATGGGAGGTGTGGATATTAACGACAGCTCCACTCTAACGCTACTGTAAAGTAACAGCAGCGTACCATGCCATCACTCTTTAATGTCAGCCATAACCTTCATAAATGGGTTTGTAATGAGAAACCCTTGTTTGTCACAGAGAAGGTATGATTGATGCGGCCAATGAGTGAAATGAAGCCACAGTGACCATCTCAATAACATGAACAGCTGCCAAATATTCATTTAGCAGAATGAGTTTAGAAAACTTTGAGCAGATTGCTTTCACAAGGCTGCCTTCAACAAAAGGAAACATAATTAACGAGCTAATATCAGCATGTGTCTGGCTAAGCTAATGAATATCAAATTACACAGAAACCTGTATAAATCATCATTACCCTGAATTTTAATTGAACTTGCAATTAAACATGACAAATTTTATATACACTAAACCTTTAATTTATACTTTCAAATAAGGAATAATTTATCATTTTTAGTATTTCATAGTTAATTTCCCAATATGTGCACTTCTAATTAACAAGGACAGACAGGCATTTAAAAAAACACACACATTCTCTCTCTCCTATGACTCTTTTCACAACAATAATTTTCCCTTTCGTATACATTAGAAACTCCTACGTCCAAGAGTTTGAATGCCAAAGGGCCTACTTGTATATTCCAGGAAAGATCTTACAGCTACAGAGAATCAGAGGGAACAATTTCCCCTCTTGGTTTTCAACTCTCCCCTGGAAAAAGAGAGATTGAAAAGGCCAGACCATGTTAAAGCAACCTAGCCCCGGTGTCTCAATTACCTGTTCAACCTTGCACCCCCAAGTCCACTTATGTTCAGAGGACAGGGCCTCCTTTGCTAGAGAAGTAAAGCATCTTGTGTTTCAAAGAGGCACCACATTAGAAATAAACTGCCTTGTTTCGGCATCAATGCCAGGCCTGTTTGTTTTACCTGGCCAGCCAGTAATGAGCGCACTCCGTGGATGGATTTGTATTTTATTATTATAATTACGCCACCATTATAAACATACCTCGAGCAACCTCAGCATAAAAGGCAGGGAATGCTATTAAAACATACATATAAACACACAGGGAAACAAGACAGGATTGTAAAAGAGCTGCAACAGAAACTAATTGGGTTTGCTTTTTTCGTTAATCCCAGCCTATTAATATGGTAAGCAGCATGAGACTAGGGAAGTGCAAGCTGGGAATCGGAGGCCACAGTTAGCTCTATACCTGGTTAGACCTCTAATTGGCTGTGTGACCACAAGCAAGATACCTCACCTTTCTGTGCCTCAGTGTTCTCAGGGGCAAAATAAAGCTAATGGAGATAATGGTGCTGGTTTTAAACATGTGAAAATAATTTGAAAAAGAAAACACTATAAAATGTAACTGCATCATCATTTTTCTAGTTCTGGAAAAGAAGATAAACTAAAAAAGCTGACAACCAACAGTGCTCACACATGCACCATAATCTTTAATGCAATGATCACATGAAGTATGAGCAATTTCATTCCTATATTCTCATTTGATAAGTGAAGGAGGCTGGACAGATACTATGATCACCATTTGAAAGATGAGAAAACAGAGGCAGGGGAGAGTCTTCCTCTGTGGCAGGGGTGGAGCTGGGGTGAGAGCTGGGACTGGGAGCATCTAGGATGAGGTTCTTCTGACCTCACCATGCTACCTTTCTGCACCCTCCCTTAGGAAGAGACTAGAGAACAAATAATGAGATCATTTTTAAAAAAAAGAAAAAAAAAACCTTTGGCTAGGGGGACTCAGTGACCATCACTCCCACCTCCTCCCCAGCAGACTAATGGCTCGGCTGAATGCCTTAGACAGAGAGAGGGAAATGTCCCACTTCCCAAGAGCAAGTTTGAAGGCATGACGATGGCAACAGCATGAACATTGTCTATGCATGGCCAAGAACATAGGGACATACATCAGCCAGGTTAACGAAAGCAGAGAACACGAGAGACCAACAGAAACAGGAAGGGACAGAGTGGTTAGCACCATGCTACTCCCCTTCATTGCAAACCCCAAATCTCTAGAAATTAGACTGACTCAAAAAAGGCTGGGGGTGGGAGGCAGCTGAGGGAAATGAGAAGGAAGAGTCTTTTTTAACATTTTGACAGACTCTTTTTTTTTTTGGTATACATGTGATAATTTCATACATTCATATAATTTTTAAAGATCAAATTGATGTAATTGGGATATTCATCACTTTAAATATTTATCTTTTCTTTATGCTAGAAGCATTTGAATTATTCTTTTTTAGCTATTTCAAAACATACAATAGATTACTGTAAACTATAGTCATTCTACTGTTCTGTCAAACACTAGGTCTGATTTAGGGAGAATCTTTTTAAAAAAAAATCAGTTACCATTTCATTTCAATCACAAATTCTCATTTTGTTTTTAGAGGGTCTATGATTTAAAAAAAAAAAAAAAAAAAGAGGCAGGAGAGAGCTGGGAAGTTTAATGCATTTTCTGGAAAATAGTGCTTGCCCATGCCTGTGAAGCAAAGGGACAAATATTTTCACACATTATCAGATAGCCGAGTAAAACAGCCTCCACCAGAATTTACAACTGAAGGCTACCAGAATTTACAACTTGTGAAATTGTGCCTGTCCATATTTTCTCATTACACTGGATGCACGCTGCAGATAGAGTGTGCACTTTTTTTTCCCTTTCTCCCCCTCTCTCCCCTCCTTCCACTGTCTCACTACTTCCTAGTTAAACCTTGTCTCAAGTTATCAACACTCTCTGGAGAGATAAGGCTCCTCTCACTTACAAGCTGTCACTAATAATCGAACTTTCAAGACTCCATCTCTAAGAGAGACTCCCCGAGCCACACAGGTCACGAGAATTAACTGCCACCAGTCCTTGCAGAAAACTCGGCTCATCAATCTATAGCTTTCTCGTCATAATTAGAATAACGGCTTTGAAAATTTGGGCTGATGTTGACTTGGTCTCAGGCCGCAAAGAGCGCTGATTAAAATCTTGGTGTGAAAGTTAATGATAAGTGCTGGTGGCGTTGCCGTGGAGACAGGGACAAACAATTCCCTCGCTGTGACATTTTCAATGTCCTGGAGAAGAAAAACTGTCCTCTTTAGTGTGGCAGCGAATGAAGCTTATTTATGGCTACAGGGCTCAGTGGATTGATGACTGTCGTAACATACTGTCAAATCCTTTACTGACACATTCATTTTTTTGGAGCCCCTGGTACAGCAGAAATAAAATAAAATAATAAAAACAAAACCAGGGGGAAAATTCTCCAGCAAACCATAGACGGCCACCAGTGGACCTTGCTTTCACTACAGGACCTCAGAATTAATAGACAAAAAGACTTTATACTTCTTGCCTCTATGACCAAGGAGAAAAGCAAGGCATAATTAGAAGTTGCTGAGTAAGAAAGAACACTATCAGGGCCACCAGCTCATCCCAGAAATGCTGGCTATCAAAGTAAGCTATTTGTAAATATCCAAGATTGGTAAATATACACAGGTATGCTCTCCCTACTTATCATAGAGGATGATGCCTTAGAAACCTATGGTAGTTTTTTAGAAAATTCTCCCAGCCAAAGAGACACAGTCTAGCCACTGCCTCCACTGTACAGCATCCCAGCCACAGCCGTCATTCCAAGGTTCAATACGGTAGTATTAGTCTCTTGAATCTATGGGTAGTTTTATGGTCTATAGAACATGTTCACATTCACCATTTCTTTTGCTTTTCATCACACAGCAGAGCAAGTGTCATAATCCCCATTTCATTTGCGAAGAAGCTGAAGTTTGGAGAATTTAAGCAACATCCCTGAAGAGACAGAACTAGTTAGGGGCTAAGCAGGGACTCCCAACCTAAATCTTTAGTAGGCACAAGTAACTAGTCACTATCTCAAACCAGGCACCCGGCCCCACATGTTCTGAACTGCTTTAACGGGAGCTCTGTTAAAAGCTTTTGGTTGGTGCAATGCAACGGAGTGGCTGCATTTCAGCAGCAGATAAAGGGACTCCTAGTGATCGCACTGAGTCCATAAAGACTTCTCGAGGCTCTGGCATTTTTCTAGTTCCTTTCATTCAAGGATCCTAGTCATCATCATTATTATTGTTGTTGTTATTAATAATGATAATGAAATAAACTATGCAAATGCGGGGAATGGCTTTAGCCCTAAAACGCAGGCAGTAATGTGGTAATTTATCCAATAATGGAATCGCGAAGTGATTTTATTTGCTTTTATGGCTCCTTTCTTTCAGAGGAGCTAGGCATCAATAATGGCAATAGTAATGAAATCAACTATGCAAATGTGGACATCGTTTTTGCCCTAATGTACCAATTTAGCCAGCGAAGGAAATTCAACACAGTCTGATGTGCTTCCCGACACCCAGGAGGGAGGGCTTCAGAGCTGACCTGTGCTCAGTTACCCAGATGTCATGATTAGTTTTCTAAGAGCAAGGCCCTGTCAATATCCATTTGGTATTATAACCAAAACCTTCCCTCCATGGTGGAAAATTTAGGAAATTCCCTCAATGACTTAAATAGAGAGAGGGATTTTAATATGAGAGCAAGATACGTTGATTTTAACACAATTCACTTTCTAGGCAGAAGCTCCACAAAAGGATCCTGGTTCAGGCTGCCTGGAGTCATCAGTCAGAACGGCCCCTCCTAGACTGGGCGTTTTCACTATAGCTGTAGAAGATTCTCTGTGGGACTGATGCCCCCTGCCAGACTCTCCATTTATCTGCTTCTGATCTGGATTCAGTGGGGACATTTCTCTGGCCAGAGGGTGGGAGCTCTGAAGGGCCCCTGGGGAGCCCTAAAGGAGCAGCACGGGGGGTTGTCGGGGGAACCAGAGTCAGTCCCCTCTTCTAAGCCCTGGGTTGGCCCTCCTCACTGCCACAGGATCTGTAACACCTGCTGCCATGATAAAGAAGAAAAGAACAGCACTCAGAGGACAGAATACAAGGCAGATCTGGAAGGCAAAGAACTTTGAACAGATCTCTATCTAGTATTTATTAATGCATTACAAATTTGAAAAGCCCGTGAGATCCCTGAAGGGAGAGACCTTATTTTCCTGTGTCCTAGAGCTTGGCACAGTCAGTGCCAAGTGAGTGTTGAATAAATGAAGGAATGAATAAACAAACAAAAACAGAAAGAATAAAATAGATTTTAGTGAGAGAGCTCTAGATACCCCAAAGCAAAGAATATGCATGTCCGGTACTGCTTTTAGATCCAAGTAACTAGAGCCCCCTGCCCAAGGCCAAGCACTTTAGAAGGCCCACTCTGGCCCTCCTCCATCCCCTCCCACCCCTATGGGATAAAGAGGTCCAGGGAACAAGGGCATTTCCAACCTGGAGCCTACTCCCCAGTTAGTAGACCATGTTATGATTACCCGGAACCCAAAATTCACTTCTCAAACAACCCTAAGCATTTCTAGCGCCTGCAATGACCTCTTCCCTGGGTCCTATCTCTCAATAGTGCATGGTGCCACGGGCATGCACCCCTAAGGCCAAGGGGTAGCCAAAGAGCAGCCATTGGTGGGTAGACCTTGGATGGGCAAGCTGGGTGCCCATGTGGATGTGTGCAAAGGCCTCTTGTGGGGGGAATGTGGGGCTGAAGGAAAAGAGAAGGGAGCATTGAGCAAGGGGCCTCATCTGGACTCTCATACTGAACCCCCCAAATGTTAGGGGTACTTCAGTTTAATTTGTCTGCTGTCAGTCTGGGTCAAAACCCTGAGGCTGGTGAGAGATATCCACAGTATGAGAAAACACAATTACATTCTCACTCCTTGGCAGGTTGATGACTTGGGGAGCGAAGAAAAAGACCACGTGAAAAACCTCGAGATCTAAAACAGGTTGTCAATATTTAAATAAATAAATAAAAAGGAAACTCCAGCAGTCAGTTCTAATTAATTCGCGGCAATCAGCTTCTCTTGTTCTATTAGTTACCATTACAGCAACACACTCTTGAACAAAATACCAGAAGCTTTCATTAGAATCATTAACATAATTTGATAACTGATGGTATTTGATTTCTGACTTTTGCACTTTGACTTGAAGCTTGGTGCAAGATGTAATCTCATTGATTGTCTCGGTTCTTTTTTCTCCCCCCATGAATACTTCACATGACATTTCTTTGTTAACTGTAATTAATGTTCGCATTTGTCACAAGTTGTATTATTTGGAAAAGCAGTCATGATGATAAAAGATGTGACAAAGACACACACATGTCTTCTTATCCAGAATGGCTTTATCCTCATTTAGGTTTTGGGAGAAAATAAATGAAATAAGTCAAGCATATATTTGTTTTCACAGTCAGGATGGATTGTTCAAAGTGATGCCTCTTGGAGAAACCAATGCAATTAGCTTTCTTAAAAAAAAAAAAAGGTGTCATTAAGGCATGAGTGAAATCTTAAAAAGACAAGGAGATTTGAATTCAGGTTGAACATGCCAGGCCATAAATCTGTCCCACTTCCATTGATGGTAAGTGCTAGAGCACAGAGGCTACTCCCAGACCACTGGAGTTCAAGGTGACTCACACAGAGATAGAAACAATCTCTCTTCCTCTTCTTCCTCCTCTCCTCCTCCTCTTGCATCTCCCTTTCCCTCTCTGTCTCCCTCTCTCTCTTTCTCATTATCTTGAATTGTCTGTTGTTGATGGATGGGAGAGATACCTAAGCTGGCTCTACGTAGGGGATCAAATAAATACTCCCAGCCAAGGACTACCTTTTTGGCTTGAATGTCTGGCATCAAGTATGAAGAAATCTCTGCAAATATGATTATCCAGCAGCTATCTCTAGTTCAGCGTAGACAGGATATACTCAAGGTCCTATGCAGTAAGACTTTATGATCCATAAGGGCATAAGATGGCAGGCAATAGTGTTCTATTTGTTTAAAAAGAAAAAGAAAGGTGGGGGGGTGGGCATGGAGGAAGAACACATTCCAAGAAACCCAAATTCCAATCAAGATTCAGAATTGGAGTGGATCTGCAGTGAGGTCCACTTAGACTGACAGAAATGGCAACTGTGGGTACATGAAAGGCCATCTGTGTGCATTAACCCCTCCAGGGGCATGCTGCGGGGGCTGGGGGGCAATGCACTGCACAGGCTGAAAGTGGCCCAAATCAATCTCTTTTTTCTTGTGCCCTTGCCTTCCCCTCCCCCAATCTAGTCTCAAAGGGGTTTCCTCCATCATGTACTAATGGTCTGCAATTTATTTTAAAGAGGCTATTTTGATCCTCAAGAAGTACTTAGGGGAACCGGGAACCATAAACACCTCCTTTTTAAAAATTTTGTTTCCTTTTTCCCAGCCTGTAATTTAACTCTGACTGGCACCATTCAAATCAAGCCTTCCAAGCACAGACTCCCATCAAGTCAGCTCCAACTTGGAGCACAGTTTTACGACCAAGTTAGAAATCCCTTAAAACAAGGTTTTCAGAGGGAAACATTTGACAGACTTAACTCTTGTGGTGCAAATATGCCAGGATGACATAGCAATTAGTTATTCAAAATACGGGAAGGGATTACAAGCTTTTTCAAGTCTTTTCATAAATATGTCCGCTTCTGGTATACAATCAGTAATTATACCATTCTTACTCAACTGTAAACTTCCTGGGTATGATTTATATCTCATAGAAATCAACACAAAAGTATTTGTTTTCTCAAAGGAAGAGCCCCAGCTCTAATCTCCAAGGCTCACACACATCAAAGCTGGAGAACTACTGTTCTGCCTCACCAATGTAAATAAAATCATACACAAATATCTATGCAAATTAATAGAGACAGGTCTTCAAAGAAACATTTCTCTTCTGGGCCTGATGTGGATTTGCAGAGTGCTCCCCCAAGAACATTCCTGCAAGGGAGTTGAACACATTGGAGAGGAAGGTGAAACCAAAGACAGTTCTCCTGGGCTCTGTCCTCATCCCTGCAGAACTAGTACTTTGGGGATATGTCCAGATTTAGGCGAATCCTGTACCAAAGCCATGAATGGATGCTTCATCAGTCCCCCACCTACTCCAGCCCCAAATCTAAGAGGTTGTAGTTGGCCATTTTTGGAAAGGAAAGGGAGAAAGGAAGACATCTTTAGCTGAATGGATGCCCTTAGCTGCTAGATCACAGGCCCCGCATTCTGGCCTTGCATGTAACAGCCACCCAGTAACTGTCCATGACTGACCACACAGGTGAACAGAGAAGATGCATTTACATTGTACCTCTAGGATTAAGACAAACTACAGGAAAACTTTCCTATGCTAGCGCATCTGAAGAATGTGAGTCTTTGTCTTTACGTAGCACACTGGGCACATCTCTGTCTCAGAACTTAACGCATTTCATAGAAATGATTCATTTCCATGTCTGTCTCCTCTACTGGATTATAAGGTTCTTCATGGCTAGACTTATTCTAGCATCGCATCTGGTAAGAAATGTTTGCTGAAGATTCTGAACCAAGTTTGGTAGAAACAGCTCTTCTGGAAAAGCAAACACTAATAATTTTTGAGAGGGTTGGAGCTTTTGAAGTACTGGCGTGTAACCAAAAATCTTGCCTTCTTCAATAGTCTTCTCTGCATTTGAATATTTTACTATAAGCGAGAAGTCAAAGCACCCTATATATGAACCTGACTAATGCCCAGGCTGCAGAAGGGCACAACATTTTGTCTGCTTCTTGGTAACCAATGCACAGCATAGGGCCAGGTATAGAGCATGTACCTGTGTGGAAAGATACACACATGGATGGTTTTACTATTTCTGAAATGTCGTCATTTTCAAGGGTATTTCCAAATCTGGTCACCTATATTATAGTCCAAAAATCCCACCACAAAACTTTCACTTAAAGTTTAAGGCCCTGAACCAGCAGACTCCTATTTAAGATTAAAACATGAATAGCCGAGCCCAGAAGTAAATTGAATCCCAAAGTTATCTATGAATTAGTCTGTACCTTGGACTATATTTTCCCATACAGCAAGGTCAAGCTTCAGAATGACCCATAAAGTCTTTTATCTTAGACATTTCTTGAGTTTGGGACAATCTAAAACCTGGACTCTTTTTTTTTCTTGTTTTGAGAAATTCCCCAAAATGTGTGTTTTTTTTTTCAGTGGGCAGTGCCCGTTCCCAGGGTCCAGTAGAAGCTAGAGCATCCATACCTCTCCTCTCCCTGCTTTCCCGGCAGGCAAAGCACTGGCAAATCCCTTGGCTCAATTCTTTAAATTTCCTCACCTGGACTTTGCATCAGGAACAAGTGAGATGAAGACAGAGAGCTGGTGAGGATTCATTTATGATACAGCAGTGTCAAATGCTGGGACGGAAGTTTCTGCCTCCAGAAATCTGTCTTGTGTCCTCTTTCTAGAACTTCTGGACCTGCTTTGATATCTTTCCCTTTCCCTTACCAGGTCCTTCAATCTCTGACCAGTTATGAGAATCCCTAAGGTTCTTCTAATGGATTCCTTCTTTTTTTATTATTTTTTAAATTCTTGGACTAAGTAGCAACAGGCAATTTCTTTGTTTCAAACCAATAGTCTTTACTGGTTTATCATGGTCCAAGATCAAATGGAATATATTTGCTTTAAAAAGTAGTAGGAAGGCCAGGCGCAGTGGCTCACGCCTGTAATCCCAGCACTTTGGGAGGCCAAGGCAGATGGATCATGAGGTCAGGAGTTCAAGACCAGCCTGGCCCACATGGTGAAACCCCGTCTCTACTAAAAATACAAAAAAAAATTAGCCAGGCGTGGTGGTGGGTGCCTGTAATCCCAGCTACTCAGGAGACTGGGGCAGAGAACTGCTTGAACCTGGGAGGTGGAGGTTGCAGTGAGCCGAGATTGTGCCACTGCACTACAGCCTGGGCAACAACGTGAGACTCCGTCTCAAAAAAAAAAAAAAAAAAAAAAAGGCAGGAAGAAGTGCTTTAGCAAAACTAGCTCATAAACAACATAAATCCTATAAGCCAAGAAGAGGTTTTGCTTTTCCTTGAATATGAGTATTTGAGGATAGATCATTTTGATTAGAAGTAGGTGGTTTAATCTTAGGAGATCCATTACTCTGCCTCAAGTGAACTATGTAACCACTGAGAAATTTCTTAGTCCCTTTAGCCTCAGTTTCCCTGGCTGTAAAATGAAAGGACTGATTAGATAATCCTTAAGTTTCCTTAAAGCTCAAGCATATTTTATATCTAAGGTTCGGTAGAGGTAAGAATGAAATTCTTCAGGTCTAGCAGGCATTCTCCAGGCCCTTTGTCAACTCAGTGATTGCTAAGCACTCCTCATCTCCTACAGTCACCCTCCCCAAACATCAGAAGAACAAGTGCTGGCCTTGTGTTCCCCACTTCTGCAAGGTTGCTGACCTTAGACTATGATCTTGATTAGAAAATGAAAGGCAAGAAACCTGTAATGTTAAGGGCCTAATTAACTTTGTCATTAAATCAAACTCTTGAACTTAACCTTTGGTTCTAGGAAAAGAATTGTTGATAGAAAATTCTGCTACTCATTGGAGAGCCATTACCCATTCTAAGAGGCATATTTAAACTTATTATTGCCCCCAAACACATAGATAGATATTGCTATTATACATGGCGGAAGAATGGCCACTGGTTCAGAACAGGGCTGGGTGTCTGCTAATGTTGAATACATTTCAGCTTTTCTACGGTAAGACCTTAATTTCAGAGATTTATAACCAGTGTAAATCTGCCCTGAACAGAAGCCTGACACAAAATTACTTTGCCCAGTAGCAATTTTTTTGAAGTTTTGGACTAAGTGCCTTTTATTCAACTTTACAACCAAAAAAATGAAACAAAGCAAAGCAGCATGAGATCTCCCTTTAGGCTACTAATATTCTCTTACACACACACACACACACACACACACACACAAATGCACACTCTCAGAGTTAGCACTGTTATCTCTCAGTCCCTTGTGGAACAAGGTCCATGCCTCAGTACAGGTCCCAAGTAAGAGAGAAGTGGGGCGGATAAATATTAAACGAGGAGGCTGATGTCAGAAATTCACAGCCCAGCGAAATTCCTGTAACCTATGTGCTGTGCCCTTTATGTGTGATCATCACCCACATATCACATCAAATCTTCATAGTCACTTTGCTCATGAATCTATGTTTTGAGGCAGCAATGACTACTTACCCAGACACATTCTCAACAGTTAAATAGGATTCAGCAAGGGCAACACCACAGGCCACAGGCCACAGGCCCCTGTGACACACCAGGGACAACAAGAGGTCTAAATGTTTCAGAGGCAAGAGGCAATGAAGAGGAGAAAATCACAATTAAAAGAAAAAACAACAACTTTTGGATCATCAATAAACAACTGAGTGTGCTAAGTGCTATTCTAAGTGTTTCATATTTACATAATCATCATCATCAACCCACAAGTTAGGTAATACTGTTTTCCTTGCTTTCAGATGAGAAATTGGTTAAGTGAATTACCCCAAATCATATAGCTAGCAGGTGGAGCCAGAACTGGAAACCTAGAAGCTCTTGAGTTTGTGTTGCACCCACTAACACCAAAGTACTCTCTCCAAAATAGAGATCTCATTATTCTGTTTTAACACCCATGAATGACTGTAATAACGAGAAGCATAACAGTAATAGCTGGTATTGATGGAATATGTCATATTTTTCATCTCCTTTCCATACATGAACTCAATCTTTATGATATCTTAATAAGGATGATGCTTCTATTATCCTCAATATACACATGGGAAAACTGAAATGCAGAGATTATGCAAACTGCCCTAGGTCACAGGTTAGTAAGAAAAGGACTGGAACCCACAACCACATCTGTCTGATTCCAAAACCAACAAATCTACTCACTTCACCATACTCATTTCTCATACAACTTCCATGGTTTTTATCAGAGTACATGCAGGGCCATCAGAATGGCAATTTCCTATGCTATCTCTTCTCCCATGTTCTAAACATAAACCCGCTTATTTCAGAAAGGCCTTCTGCCTTCCTTCACGTGCTGTTCTAAACCCTACTCAATTTCTTTGTGCAAGGAACTCTTCCCTGCTGGGGATTTCCTAAGCATGCTCACACTATTCCAGCATCATGTAATACCTGACATTTACTCTTTATGTCATGTATCTCTATTTCCACTTCCACTTATCACTGCCAAAGTCCTAGGAGATATAAGAGCCTATAACAGAGTAGACAGTAACCTAGATTCTGGAATCAAGCAACACAATTTGAATCCTGACTTGGACACTAGCCAGCTGTGTGACCTTCAGCAAGTTACTTCTCTGTACCTTGGTTTCCTAACCTGTAAAATGGGTACATGATGAGTATGTACTTCACAGGGTTTTTGTGAAGATGATAGATGTAAAGGACAGCACATGGCATATAGTGAGGGCTCAATCAATATTCACTTTTGTTGTTTGTGGTGTTTTAGGAAATGGTTTTAGTTTTAGCTAATCTGTTTCTAGGTACCCTCCACTTGAATCTACACAGCACCTGACAGATTCACCTTAAAACACCACTTTCCCCATGTTGTTTGTTGGCTCAAAAGCTGCCCATCATCCAATGAATAAAGTCCAAACACTCACTATTGAGAGTAAGGTCACATAAAGGATGGTGGTAACCACAGGATTTCCCTGTGGCTTTCAGGATAAAATTCAATCTCTTCTCCAGGACTTCAAGTTCTTCTGAAAGCTGTCCCTTTCCCACTGGATTTCCACTTTTCATCCAAACAAATCCTACCCTCCAGGCCAGGAAACCACATGATTTGGGGTAATTTACTTAACCAGTTTCTCATCTGAAAGTAAGGAAAACAGTATTACCTAACTTGTGGGTTTATGATGATGATTATGTAAGTACAAAACACTTAGACTAGTACTTAGCACACTCAGTTGTTTACTGATGATCTAAAAGTTGTTTTTTCTTTTAATTGTGGTTTTCTCCTCTTCATTGCCTCTTGCCTCTGAAACGCTTAGATCTTCTGGTTGTCTCTGGTGTGTAGTCAGCAAAGGGGCATGGTACCAAGCAGTCTTGCAGTGCTCCCCATCTTATGGCATTCTCACATCTTTCTCATGCCAGGCTACAATGCCCATCTCCATACATGCACCCACACACCAACTATCCTTCCAAAGCAGTGGTTCTTGAGCTTCATTATGTATCAGAATCACTGGGGGTAGATCTACTTTTGGTTCTCCCACTATTGGGTGTCTACCCAGAGGAAAAGAAGTCATTATATGAAAATGATACTTGCACACACATGTTTATAGCAGCACAATTCACAATTGCAAAATCATGGAACCAACCTAAATGCCCAACAATCAACAAGTGAATAAAGAAACTGTGGTATATGTATACAGTGGAATACTAATCAGCCATAAAAAGGAAGGAATTAACGGCATTTGCAGAGACCTGGATGAGATTGGAGACTATTATTCTGAGTGAAGCAACTCAGGAACTGAAAACCAGACATCGTATGTTCTCACTGATATGTGGGAGCTAAGCTATGATGACACAAAGGCATAAGAATGATACAATGGAATTTGGGGACTTGGGGGGAAGAGTGGGAGGGGGACGAGGGATAAAAGACTACAATAGGATGCAGTGTATACTGCTCAGGTGATGGGTGCACCAAAATCTCACAAATCACCACTAAAGAACTGACTCATATAACCAAATACCACCTGTACCCCCAATAACTTATGGAAAAATAAAAAACAAAATTAAAAAATCAAGTATTATCAGGTTCTAAAAAGAAAAAAACAAAGAATCACCCAGAGAACTTTTCTTTCTTTTTTTTTTGTTTTTTTTTTTTTGTGAGACGGAGTCAGTCTGTCACCCAGGCTGGAGTGCAGTGGTGTGATCTCGGCTGACTGCCACCTCCACCTCCTAGGTTCAAGCAACTCTCTGCCTCAGCCTCCTGAGTAGCTGGGATTACAGGCACATGCCACCACGCCCAGCTAATTTTTGTATTTTTAGTAGAGATGGGGTTTCCCCATCGTGGCCAGGCTGGTCTTGAACACCTGACCTCAAGGTCCACCCGCCTCGGCCTCCCAAAGTGCTGGGATTACAGGTGTGAGCCACTATGCCCAGCCCAGGGAACTTTTCAACACACAGATGCCCAATGAGTCTGGGGCTGGGCACAGGCATCTCAGTTTTCAACAGTTCACCAGGTGATTCTGAGATGTAGCCAAAAGGTTCACACATCCTCAGGATTCCTGGAAGCTCTGCCACTTCCGCTTTCAAACTAATACTAAGCATTATTCTGTTATTTGGCATTTCATGCAAATATACTCTGCTTCCCTTCTAGACTGGAAAGTCTCTGAGGGCAGGAAATACGTCTAACCTGTTTATAAATACAATGGCCAATGTCATTCCCTGCTCTCTTAGGTTTTCATACATATTTTTGATGTGGGTTTTAGCCTTGACTATCTGGAGAACATAATTTCAGGGCAGATGGAGATCAATGACAAATATTTTGGTGTCATCTATATGCCTAGCACCCACTGAGCCCTCAGTAACTCTTTAGGGGGTCAACTGGCAAACAGTAGGTGTCCAGTAGCTACTGGAAGACTGTTTGCATCACCAGGTCGTCACTAAGAAGCCCATGTGCATGCTACCAAACACACGCTGTACAAACAACACAGTAACCTAATTCCTATCACACGAGTCCAACCCAGTGAACCTTTACTGAAAGCCAGCCTCAGGGTACTAAAAGGAATTGGCTATCTTGAGATGCAGTGGTGGCTTAATTTTTATCATGCATTTATGACATCTAACCATTGCCCAAAAGTCTATGCTGCTCAGTTCCTCTCTACTAGGGCTTTCTATTACCCACAGTTGTCCCATGGGGGCTCTGAATTGAGGCAAAGGAGCAGTTTGGCCAGATGAGCTCTATAGGTTTACCCAAATCTTTAAAAATGAGGAATGTTTTAAAGGTTAAAAAGTTATCTGTGATTCCTTAGGCCCCTGAGAAGTGAACCAACCCAGGACCAGTGAGTAGGGACATGGAATTTGTCTGAGGCCTGACCACAAGCTTCCCTCTACTCCAGCCACAGGTGCCAGAGGCAGAACTTTGAGATGAGTATGTGATACATTATCGGCTGCTATTACCATCCTTCCATAGCCAAAAGAAAGAGGCTATTAAACATAATATATAAAATAACATTTAGCAAGGAAATCTGGATAATTACTTAGTAAAAAGGACATTGAGTCAGGTTCTAAGCCATTGCCCTGAATTGGGAATGGTATTACTTATGTCTTAAGTTAAACTGAGTAAAACTTCCTAAGCGCTCCCTTAAAGAACACCTGTAAGTAGTGAGTTGGAATATCTCATCCATCCTGCTTTGTGCTGCAATAGGGCAGGATTTCAGGGCCCTGCCACCCAGAGCTCCCTGGGCTGAGCCAATTCAAGGTGACAGGGACATCCCAGTCAGTGTGGAGTCCAGGTTTCCCTAGTGTGCACTGGAGTTGGCATAGACAGGCAGAAGCTGAAGGGTCCAGTTAATAACATATTTTCTTCCTTTTGCTGCAATTGATGAATATTAAAATTACATTCAAAATGAGAATAGACAAGGAATATAACGAGCAAGCGCACTATATGGAATCAGAGGACATTAGAGCTGATTAAGTTCCAGCAATACCACCATGATCACCAAAACCCATTGATCATCACTGTCACGCTAATTCCCTACATGTATCTGGTGGGGAATGAAGTGATCTCATTCAGCCTCATGACTTTAAATATCACCTACATACTGACAGAAACTCCCAAGTTTCTAGCTCCAGTCCTGACCCCTCCCCACAGGGGTCCTCTCAATTCAGTTACCTTCTTGACATCTCCATTTGGATGGCTGATAAGCATCTCCAGTTTAATATGTCCAGAACCTAATTCTCAGCCCCAAATCTGCCCCTCCTTGCCAGTAAATGGCACCTCCACTCTTCCTGTTGTTCATCTCTGTCTCTTACATGGTATTTCCAGTCAGCCAATCCTTTCAACTCTTTCTTCTAAAACATCCAGAATGTGACCATGTCCCACTACCCCCATGGCAATCACACTCTGATCCACCAACCAGAGTGATCAGTAGGAGTCTAAAATCAAGTCAAATTATGTCAAAGCCTTTCAATGGCTTCCCCTCTAATATACAATAAAACCCAAAGTCCTGACCAGAGCCTTTGAGGTCACCCATGACCCAGCCTTTGAAGTAGTACCTTGCTTCCCCATCTCACCACAATGACCTTCTCACCCAATTGCAAAGTCACCAGCAAGCTTCTGCCTCAAGGCTTTGTGTGTGCTGTTACCTCCACAGACATCAAGATGGCTCCTCTGCTCCCCTCCCTCAGGTCTCCTCTGAAAATGCTGATTCTGATTCAGCAACTGGGATGGGACCCAACAATCAGAATTTCTACCAAACCCCTAGAAAATGCCAATGCTGCAGGTCTATGGACTACACTTGTGGTAGCAAGGGGCTATAAGACACATGTCTGCAGTAATTAAGCCAAATCCATTCTTGTTTCTTCCTACAGGGAAGGGCAGGGACCTCTCAACAGCTTCCTGGCAGTTTTCTCAGGTGGGCCAGCCACTACGCTACACAACACAATATGGCCAGGAAACTTTCTTTCTTTCTTTCTTTTTTTTTTTTGTGAGACTGAGTCTAGCTCTGTCGCCCAGGCTGGAGTGCGGTGGTGCGATCTTGGCTCACTGCAACCTCTGCCTCCCCAGTTCAAGGCAATTCTCCTGCCTCAGCCTCCCGAGTAGCTGGGATTACAGGCATATGCCACCATGGCCAACTAATTTTCATATTTTTAGTAGAGATGGGTTTCACCATGTTGGCTAGGCTGGTCTTGAACTCCTGATGTCAAGTAATCTGCCCACCTCAGCCTCCCAAAGTGCTGGAATTATAGGCATGAACCACCACACCCAGCCATAGGCCAAGAAACTTTCAACAGCTTCCTGGCAGTTTTCTCAGGTGGGCCAAGCATGCCATGTGCAACATGACATGACACAACACTACAGTAGCTCTATACCATGGCCAGCTGGCATCCAAGCTTCTACCTCTGTGTACCAAGTCAATCTTGTTGCATTTTGTAAAGCATGGTACAGGTCCTCTTCACTATCATCATGACCCCCACACATATACACACCTACAAAATGAACACAACTACCAAGATCCAGCCAACTTCAGGACCCTCACACCACCTGCCAAACAACCCCTTCTGTCCAACTCTGAGAACCCTGGATCGGCTTCATATATCACCAGCAAAGATGAATAACCCTGGCCCTGGCCATCATTTGTCAGGTGAGAACTGATTACATCCTGACACTACTCTATTCCCTGATATTACCTCTTTATTATTCAGGGAAGGGTATGCTATTCCCAAAGTAATTTTTTAATGTTTTGTGTGCCTTTTAAATATCAGCCACCACATATATAGAGAGAGAATTCAAATGACTGCCTAAGATATTCCATTTCAGGCTTAAATCTTTAAATATACTTATGAATTTTTGACTTTGACAGATTTTCCAATGTCTCTTCCCTCATAATGGAAATAGATACCAGGGAATCCTCATTAACACCATCTCCTTGGGGCCCTCTCCTTTTGCAATGTCCCTTCCATCTCAAGATGTGAGCTTTGCGTTTGCTTACAGTGAGGACTACTGAGGTCGCCAGTCCTTGGGCCTGAGCTGGGTTGCATCAGAGGATAAGGGGGCCATGTTTCTGCTTACATGGAACAGGCTTTTCTTCCACCATCCTTTACAGCACCAATAGCCAGAACATCTTCTAACCAGCTAAAATCCACCTACCCTTCAGGTCCCAGTCTTAGAGTCTTATTCTTCTTTGATCAGCCCAGCCCTCTTGGCCAAACCTCTATAGCCCTTAGTTTGAACCATGCAATTTAGCAATTAATTAAACATAACCATATCATAGAATGGTCTTGTCTCTCCAGCTGGGGAGGGCTTGGGCCATTCCACCCCCATCATGTGCCTGGTTTGATGCTCTGCACAAGCAAGTTCTCAATAACTAACTGCTGAGTGACTTCAAGAGCTGCAACCGGATTTGTTTGGTACCCACATGCCACCTCTCCAAGTTCAGCTCTGATCTTTAGTAAGTTGCCAGTTCTAGGCGTGTGCTGGCACAATTGCACAATCACCCAATCTCACCATTCTTGCTGCTCACAGTTACCTCCATCTTTAAGCATGATTTAATACCAAAGTTTGATCCTGGAAAAAAAATAATAATCCATTGCAATGTTACTGACAGTGCAATACCCCTAACACCAGAAGAAAGCAAGGAGGGGAAACCTAAGACTCTAATAATCTCTACTCCAAAAAGCAAGGCTATGCTCTACCAGCAATTCCTTCTAACTCAAGACAATAGCTGAAGGGAAAGGACCTGTTCATATTTTTCCTTGTGAAAGGAAAGATGATTTCTAGTGTTCCTAAAGGTGGTTCTAATTTCAGGTTTGAACCTGAAAATCTGGCTCACTGTATTTATCCTTCGCACATGCTTGGGAGATTACATCACTTGCTAACATTTCATATTCTTTACTAGGCAGGTCATTAAGAATCTCGCACACAGGCTGATTTTGTCTCAGTTTCTCAAAACTCCACAAACACCCTTGGAGCAGGGATTCCCATTCATACCACTTGACATACATGTATACACACACACACATATAGCTCACTCTTTTCTGGAAAGTTTGCACTTAGCTATTTCCATTTATATCTTTGTACTATAGTCAATGGGCAGAGGAAGAAAGAAATTCTTACACAGAAAGGTAATAAGGCATTTTTAAAGAAAACATGTCTAAACTAGATTGCTACAAAAGGCCCATTTTTATCCTAATACCTACTTTTGGCATCTTGTCTAAGACCCGCTTAGTAATTACCAGAATCTTGTCATTTCATTTTCCATCCCTCTGCTAAGACCATATTAGCCATCCCAAAATGAGCAGGATATTATATTACAAATACATGTACGTTGATGGCCCAGATGTTATTTGTACATTTGAAGTACGACATCTTTACTCCTCTGTCATCATGCAGAAGTAATTAAGAATAATCAAGTGGGTGTTAATTGGATATAATGAAATAATCTCCAGTCAGCCCGAGCCTAATATTTGCTTCCTACTAGTAATTATGAACACTAAACATTCGTGCTAATCTCCTTCTTCTTACAGAAGCTAAACAGAGATACAGTATTTACTCAGCTGATGGCTTGTTTTGTCTGCAATTTAGGCTGTTTTAAGCTAGGAAATTCATAATTTGCCAAGCTGTCACCAGCTGCTGGGCCCAGATCAGGGATGTGGAGTTTCTAGTGACAACGGTTCAGTGTATGTCATCTGAGAGGAAAGGACAGATATTAATTAAACTGACCTCTAGTTGCAACTGTACCTGAACGTGTAAATGCCAAAAAAAATCGAAGTTTTCAGATCCACTATTGTGGATCACGAACTCATCATACGCGGAGAGTGTCAAGAGAAAGAAAAGAGTTTCCACATGCAGCTCTCAGAACTCTCTCTTTTTTTCTTCAGTACTGTTGCCAGGCCTCTGTGGCTACAGGGCTGGGGCTGGGGCTGGCCTTTGGTCATATTCTTCAGGAGCCTCTTGGCTGTTGGACAACGATTACAGGAGTGAACTAAAAGTGTCTTATCGAGAGTGACCATTAGAAACGTATTACTGGCCATTAAGCAGATGGTTAGATGTTTTTAAAGAGCTCTTACATAGTAATAGAATCCAGAGTCATTGACTATATTTATTACTCTCTTAAGAAAGTGGAAAAAATAAAAAGATCGGATGTTTGTTCCAGAGGTGGTTAATTTCATTCTCTCAGGATCTCCAGGAGGTCATAGGTAAACTAAAAACCGGCAGCTGGTGACTGGATTTTAAAACAGGCTTCTGAGCAAGGTGATTAAAGTTCATTTTCTTCCTTCCCTATCAGAACTCAGCTAGGTGAGATTCCAAATGAAGACCCCCTGCCTTATGGTAGTAGAATCAGTGATATGAACCAGATATGCATCTAGACCAGAGGTCACCAAGCTTTTTCTGTAAAGGGCCAGATAGTAAACATTTAGACTTTGCAGGCCATAAAGCATATGTCACAATGACACAAATCTGAAGTTGCAGCTCAAAGACAGTCACAGATGACAGTATATAAATGGGTGCAGCTGTGTTCCAATAAAACTTTATTTACAAAAAAAAAAGGTAGCAACAGGATTTGGCTTACAAGTCAAAGTTTGCCAACACCTCAGTTAGACCACACTGAAGCCTGCTAAGACAGAGATGATGTTCGGGGGAAACAAATTCACCCACCCAGGCCTCCGTCAACACTCCCTAGTTTAATTCATAGAAGAGTCTCATTTTCTCCTATAGATACATTTCTAAAAATGTGCGTGTACCAATATATTTGTATCCTATTTTTCCATTATTTTTCCATTAATACATAATTTTATGTAAAGCTTTATCCTCATTTTGAGACTATAAGGAATAGCAGTCACCACATCTCTCCAAAGCCAGTATTTTTCTATAAATTCATTCATATATATTATTTTGTTATTATTTACATAAATCATATATTTATATATAAATATTACATTTATGTATAAATGTATATATACTTATATATAAAATCACCTCTTCGTTCCCTGTGTTCATAATTTCAGATACCAAGTTTTCTTAAAGGTAGAACCATCTATAATTATTTGGCAAGCAAAATCTGTCCATTCTAGGTCATCTATCAAATAGCGGCCCAGAACTTACCACAACAGAGACACACCTTGGATGTTATAAAATCTGAAAGAATTTTATTAAACTTCAGGATAAAGTAGAAAAGCACAAGAACCTAGGAGTAAAGGGCCCTGACGATTTAGTCCCAATTCTTTTATAAATAACCGTGTGACCTGAGACACTTTACTTAACCTCTCTGAGCCTTAACTGGCTCTGAAAAATGAAGGAGCTGGAGCAGAGGATAGCTAGAGTCACCTTCCGAGCTTTAATATTCTCTGATCAGTGGATAGGAAACAGCTTAATTAGCTTATTTGATTATAGGATAATACTAATGAGGCCAAAGGAGTGAGTTAAATAGCCATGCAAGACTAGCTAGTTTTAAATAGAGAAAAACACTGTCACACAGATTATAACTCAACTTGGTTGACTGAGGGGGTGTAGCTAGTTCAGTCCTTCTCAAATCAACAACATAGAAAATATGTGATTATGATGAGTCAGAAACAGCTTTACATGACAAACAAGATCATCAATATTTTAATAAAAATATGACTGCTAGGCTACAAAACCAAGGATTTCACCTAGTTTCTTTCTAGTTATGTGGTGCAGGATAATTTCTTCCCTGATATGTCATAGACCTATTTGTGGTCCTACCATACAGGACTGGTGTGCAGTATACACCATGTGCAATTCATTTATGACTTTAGCAATATACAAACTGGTCCATACACTGTTCAGCCAAACAAATCCAGCAATCACATGCTTGGGTGTCATGCAGTGTCCAATTTCTGTAAAAGTTTCCTAATGTATATGCTCTGTTTCTATACTTACCTAGTCATACACTAGAAACCATCTGCAGACCAATGTCAACTAGAAGATGGGGCTGCTGGTTGTCACTTTCTGTTATGTACAAGAGATTTCAGCCACAGCTTAGGGGTGGAAGGAAAGCAAAACTAGGTGTATTGCCACCAAGTTTCCTACTTTCTTCTCTTTTCCAGGTTTATATTCTCTCACCAAATAATCCAAATAACCTTGGAAAGTTCAACTACGCTTCTTTCATGTCATATCTTTATTCATTCATCTATTCAGCAAACATACCAAACAACTTCTATGTGCCTAGTCATGCTCAAGGAACTTGAGACCTAGTGGTAAATAAGACAGGTGTGGTCCCTGCTGCAATGGAGCTCAGCGAGCACTTTTGAGGAGGCATGTCCTAGGCACATGTGTTATGCTTATGCAATGTCTATGTTAAGTATGTCTTATCATCTGAAATTCTGTAATACTTCATATTCAGTCAGTCCCAATTTACTAAACATCACAATTCACCACACAGCCTGATGGCTTTGGATGTGTAAAAATGAATGACACATGGCCCCTGGCCTCAAGGAGCTTGCAGCCTAGAGAACTCCTCTACGTGATCTTTCAGGTGGGTGAAGAGCCAAAGTATAAGCCATCACTTCCATTTCCACAGATTCCTGAGATTGACTGTATTCACATTGTCAGCTACACCAGGAGCTTCTATAACTGGGCCTCCTTAGTTACAGAACATGTCATGCTTAAGCTGAAAGGGTCCACAGAGACCTTGCAACATTTTACTTACGAAAAGCTGAGACCTGGAGAAGTGAAGAGGCTTGCCCAAAGTCACACAACTAGTAGGTAGAAATATATCTGATGAGGATCACATCCGAAACAGTTACTGAGTAGGGCTCCAGAGCTGGCTGGCACATTCAGGAAGGGGGCCTACCAAGCATGCAAACAGCCCAGCTTCAGGAGAGCCACTCCAATCAAACAAACAGAGAGCAACAGGATGTGGCGGCAGCATTGCAGGGTGAGGAAGCACAGCAATGCCTGAGAGGCCTTGGGTATGCCTGCTGTCCTCCCCTGGCCTCCTGAACTGCTGTCCTTCCCAGGCCTCCCGAACTACTGTCATCCCCCAGCCTCCTGAACTGCTGTCATTCTCTGGCCTCCTGAACTGCTGTCCTCCCCCGGCCTCCTGAACTGGAGTTCTCCCCAGGCCTCCTGAACTGCAGTGCTCCCTGGGCCTCCTGAACTGCTGTCCTCCCCGGGCCTCCTGGACTGGAGTTCTCCCCAGGCCTCCTGAACTGCTATCCTCCCCGGACCTCCTAAACTGGATTTTTCGTTGGGCCTGCCCAACTGCTGTCCTCCCTAGGCCTCAGTCTTCTAAACTGGAAAATGATGCTCATGACTTCCATGACCACAATGGTCCCCTTCAGTTCCCAAGCTCTACCATGCAAACCTGACTCCACCACTTTGGAAATCTGGATAACCTACTAGAAAAAGCAGACTACACAGAGTAAGCAGAAGCCAAGCAAGGAGTTACTGTCAGGCCCTGCATTGCTTCTTTAAACAGCCACTGTCAGGTTCATGTAATAAGGAAATCCAGAAGACTCTAATTCTCCTGTCCCTAGGTCTAGCCTACAAGGCTGTCTATCCATGATCTCATTCTAGTTGGCTCCAAGTCATCTTAGTTTCTGATCTTCTTCTTAGTTCTCCATCTGCTTCTGCTAGATCACAGGACTTGTCACTTGGTGCCATCCTTGAACTAAGACTTTGGACTCCTCCTTGTCTATAATTCAGATTATCCAACCTCCAGCAGCCCTGAGAAAATAGTCCCTTGGATCCTACCTAGACTATGGGATCCTACTTCAGTTTAGACCTTAATTAAATTTGTTCAGTTTATCCACAGCTCACATGAAAACATCCCCTCCCCTACACACACACACACACACACACACACACACACACACACACACACACAAAGTCGCCTGCCCTTCCAAACACTAGCATAATAGTGGAGGGGAGCTTTCATTGAACTCTATTGTGAAACATTCCATTAATTCAACACCCACCTGCCAAAAAAATCTAAGAGCTCTTCAAATCTATTAACAAACTTCAATATTCAATATACAAATGTTCACGTATGTCTACTAAAAAAAGAAAACAGACCATCAATTTAGCCAAGAAAAAAATAAAAATTCAAAAGCAGCTTATGGAAGGTCAAAACCCCTCCTTATGCCTCCGATTTAACAACAAACGCCTCACAATGAATAGCTTGATGAGGACAGGGCTTTGCACTACAGTGAGAATTTTTCTTTTATTTGGCAAGCAATGAAATCATTAAGGTAATATATCACCATTCCCACTAACAGAATCTCCTCATGTCATCTCCTTCATTGTACATGCAAGCAGAAGACACACATCTATTGTCTCTTACTTCTGGAAGTTGTAAATGTAGGGAAATTGTCGTCATTAAATTGAATATAATGATCCTCTCCCCCCTCCTCCTTTCATTCCCTCACTCAGTACCTCGGCTCTGCCTGACACATACCTTGTAAATGTCAACACAAAAGTATGTCTTGAAGACCAATGGGCAGAAAGTTCTGATTACCAGCAAAAATCCATCATGTGATAACCAACGCCCACCCCTGCAATGAAAGGAAATGATAATTGCTTTGCCGTGCAAGGTGAAAAGGCTGACCTCAAAGTGTCTCTGGTGGTATTAACATGTAATGAAGATGGGTGCAGACAAAGGCCACTGCTGAGCACCCCAGGGATGCCATCAGAAATCTTCAACTCTTGGGTGTGCTGTTGAGCATAGGCTGATTATCAGCCTACTCTGTACTCTCCAAGATGTTAACCCAGAGCCTGCTTGGCACAATCCTTGAGGGTAACCAGGGACTGCTCACAAGGTCACAGTGAGGAAAATTCCCAGCCAGGGCTTATGGAGGGTTCAGACCAGGAAGCCAACTCCTGTGGGAAAAGAGGAAGGAACATAGCACCTGAACTCTGCCCAGAGAGTGCCCGATGGTTTTACTGCTAATCGGTAGTAGAATGGGTAGCTTTGATGTCATCAGCATTTGGCTTGAGAGGTCAAAATGAGAGCACTGGAGCAACCAGCGTGCTGAGCTAGCAAGGAGAAGGAGGAGGTTTCCTGACCTGGGGGATTGTGCATGAGGCCTCGGTCCATGGGTTGTCAGGGACTGTCACTGGGGCACAAGGACTGTTTGGCCTTGAGCATCAGTTATGTTATGTAAATTACGCTTAATGAAAGTGCGGCCTTGGTCCATAAAAACTTAACAATGCATTTGTCTTCATTTGATCATTCCCCAGCAGCCACCACCTCCCTTTACAGACCATAATAACTGGGCTTTCACAGCATATCCCTGTCCTCCACAGCCACCATCAGGAGGGCCCTGGAAGGGGGAGAGGAATTGGCTTACACTTAATAAGACAAATGTGCCATCATGGAGTTGGCATCAGGTGGCCAAACACGCACACAGGACAGAGGAGCAGATGCGGTCGTGCCCGTCCCTCCTCCCCAGGCCCTCTGTTAGCAACGTTCAGATAGCTGGAAAACAGAAAACATTGTTTTGCATTCCTGAGAGCTGGATGTCACCTCTGATTCATCAGCAAGCATTTATTAAGTGCCTCCTGTGTACATGCTACATAGAAAAGACATATATCTTTATCTTTTCATGCATGTCACAATTTCTGACTCTTAAGACACTCCATCTTGAGATACCTGTAGAAAATTTTAGGTGCTCTATAGCTGCTGTCCTCATTTCTATGCCAAACACCTTTGCAGAAGGAATTTCAAAAAACAAAGAAATTCAGTTTGAAATCCTCAGCTGAAAGTTCCAATATAGGTCCCCAGAATTGAAGAGGAAAGGAACTATGATTATATTACAGTGAGAAGAAGAAGTTTGAGTTTGGCTTGCAGTGAATACAACCTCCATAATTATTTCACATTTAAAAAAAATAAGATTCCTGGCCACCACCTGTGAGGCCTTCCATTAACTGACCCTGCTCGCCTCCCCAGGTTCAGTTTTGCCCGTCTTCCTTCAACAACCACTCAGGCCTCTTTTCGGTTCCTCCTCATAATCACCAAACTCCCTCCAGTCAAGAGGCTTTGCACTTGCTGTGCCCTCTGCCTGTGATGCTCTTCCCTCTCCTCTTTTCCTCTAGTTAACTCTGCACCCTTCAGCTCCCAGGTGAGCCAACACTTCATCAGGAAAATCCAGACCTCCATCGGTCAAACAAGGTCCCACCACAACACCATATCCTTTTTCTGAAACCTTAGCCCCTGTTGTTACCAGGAGAGGGTCTTGACTGCAAGTTGTCTAGGTTCTTGGAAGTTTGGACAAAGAATTGGACAAAATGCGCAGCAAGGTAAGGAAAGAATGAAGCAAACAAAAGCAGAAATTTATTGAAAATGAAAGTACACTCCACAGGGTAGGAGTGGGATGAGCAGAGGCTCAAGGGCCCTGGTTACAGAATCTTTTGGGGGTCCAAATTCCTCCTAGAGGTTTCTCATTGGCCACTTGGTGTTCACCCCATGCAAATGAAGTGGTGGCCTGCAATCAGTCTCACTGGTTGTGGAAAGCAACGAATCAGAGGCTAAAGTGAAGTTACAAAGTTACACTCCTATGCAAACGTCTGATTGGTTGCAAAAAGCCATCAATCAGAGGTACTTTCAATTTTCCATCTGCCATGCAGAAAAGTAGGGGTAGTGGGGGGGAGAGATTTGCAAAGGGAGTAGCCTCTCGTCCTTTTGTTACTTAGTGTGGAAAGTTGGGGCTTTCCTTTTGATTCAGTTCTAGGAAGTCAGCGTGAATCGGCGTTAGGTTCCCTGCCTCCAGATCTTATTCTCCTGCCTCATTATCCCTATTGTGACTTTACATCTGTTTATGTGAGTGATTTTATAATTAATGACCTTCACCTCTGCTAGATGGTGAGCTCCAGGAGGGCAGCAGCCACCTTTACTTTTCCTTACCATCAAATCTGTAGCACCAGCACACCGGAGGCAGCTACAGCCATTGCTAAATATGTATGTATGTGTATCCATACATACTGACCACTTCCTCTCCATGACTATGGGAAAAATTAGCAAGAAGAGAAATCTGCTTATATTCACTGGACAGGAGAAGAACTGAATGAACCTTAACAGTGACTGAACACTAGAAAGAGCTACTAAGAGAAGCCAGGTGGACTCCAGGTAAGAACATCTTCAAGAAAGTATCATTCCTCCCAAACAGGAGAGTAGGCAGATGGTCAGATGACCTCTCATGAACCTGCTGTTCCTGCGTTTCCTGTCCTGGCTGCCCGACTGTGCAGCATGGTGGTCCTATCCCATCATACAGTCTGGAAGTACTCCTACACCAAGTACAGGCTCCACTAACGGCCTTTATCTCCACTTTTTGTTTTGCCTCTTGGCTTGCAGGAAGAACATGGATCCTTTTGTTTTCCAGGCAGCAAAATACAGAGCATAACTGCAGTGATGCACCAGCTTAGCAAATACCGGTTTCCTGAGAGTCAAGGACCAAATGAGTGGGTTGCCCTGCCCCAAAGTGTAACACAGAAAACAGAAAATCCCCAGTGAAAGTGTGTACTTACAAAATCCCACCCTCTCACCTAGATATCAAGGGAGTTTCAATGAATTAGCTTGCCAGAACTTCCTGGAAAAGGAGATTATCCCAATTTGTTCATCTCACAAAGGAATTGTGTGAATCCTATTTGACCCCTGTTTTTCCAATCTATGGTATGAATTTAGCTAGCTTTGAAAATGTTTTAGGGCTTACACAGAAATTTGTAAAATGTTAGCGTGAAAATTTTAATTGAGTTATTAGCAATATCTCTTCTTTGAATGACCTTTTAGTACTCCTTATAACATATCACCTCCTTTTACTACCTTCTGGCTGACAGTTTCTAATATATTCCTTCTTCCTAGATGATATCATCTGTCCTTGGGTGGAATTAACTAAAGCACTCTACATTCAGAAACTGACATTAATCCATAGCCCCAGATTTGTAACAGCTGCTGGTATAAACACTGTTTCCATATATTGGGTTTTAACAATGACTGGAAGAAACACATACTACTCATTGGACACTGATGACACGCAAACAAAGGAATCAGGCCGACAAACAGCAATGATTTTTTTAAAACATTATAAAATTAGCTTAAATATTATACCTACTGCATAAATCTACGAGAATATTGCTAACATCATGGAAATTTTATTTTCCTCTTAAGGATCACATGTGTAGAAGAAGCTAATCATACCAGGAAATTATAAGCATGAATGGCAAACAAGTTGTGAGTTCAAATAACTTTCTGATACTCAGTAAAGGAAATATAGAAAATACAGTCCCATGTTCGTCATAACCCAGGCATTTTGCATCATTCCAAGAAATGGAAAAAGTAAATCCACAAGGTATGTGGATACAGAAAGGTACATTCAGAGCTGAGAATCACCAAGCAGGGGAAAGGTAAATAAAACACCTCCCTGCAAAATTCCCAACCTCAATGGCTTTTCATAAGACCCCAAGGAACCCAAACCCCAAATCCTGGTGTGAAAACTACCAACAAAGGATGAGAGGTCACTTGCCCTCAGCCTCATCCCAGTCTCTTCCCTTCCCCCAGACCTTATATTCCAGTAGAAATAGGCATGTATACATCAGCGCAACAACAAGCAGTGACATCTATAGGGACCTGGCCGGCATTTTCCATCAGCACAAACCATGTTATTTAGAATCTGAGGCGGTAAATGACCATGGCTAATGCCAGACTGCTGATGCAGATTCCAGGGCTCAAGGCGGTTGGAAATTAAAGAGTGTCTACTCTAATTGTGTGGTAGGAACCTGGTGGTGGGAAGAGAGAGTTTCTAAGGGCAAAGGTACGCAGGGCTAATGGAAGCAAAATTCTGCAGCAGCCAATTGAGTGTTCGGGAGGTCCGATCCTTCTCCTGCTTCACCCCTGTGGTCCTTACACTCTGGGCCTCGCTGCCCCTTGTGAGAAAATGCCAGCCCACTCCTCACGCCGCCACCACCCTGCATCACTCAAGTTATAAGACTGACACCGCTACTGCATTAGGATATTGTGATGGTGGGCAGGGGATTGTGAGATCGGTTGAAGAGTAAGGCTATGTCTGTCAGAGTCACCTGGGGAACAGATGTGTCTCTGGATGAGAAGCAATGTCCAAGACAGCAGACCTAGGTAAGTGAAAGAAACGTCTCCGTTGGCCTGAGTTTGGAAGGGGCCAAGTATCTAGGAGGGTGCTCCTGGAGCTGGGAATTAAGGAACGCACCCACTGCATAGAAGCAGGAACCACTAAGCAAGGGCCCAGATGACCTGAGACAGAGATGACAGTCTCCAGAGCTCTGAGAGGTGGCTGGTCAAGTCAGCAGGAGAACACCTGGGGCCCTGGAAGCCAGCCAGACTACACTCCTGGTACCGTCTTTGATACAGGAGGGGGCAGGGAAGTGCTGGGTAGAGAAGGGTGGGGTCCCTGGTGAGGGTTTCACCCTTGGGCTTGTACCCATGGATCTAAGTGAGAACAGGCACTCCTGTTTTTACACCCAAATGTTGCATTTTCCAAGACCACTCTGGCCCACCATGCCCCCAATCCTGTGCTCATAAAAACCCAAGACCCTAGCAGGCACAGACACAATCAGCTAGACATCAAGAGGAGCAGAAGAGCACACCAACAGACACCAGCAGACACCACAAGGCCTTTGAGGCGGGATGACGCAGAATTCAGTCAGGGGCAGTCAGTGACGGTCTGAGGAGAGTCCAGCTGTTGGGTGGCCCTACCCCAGGGGAAGACCACCTTCCCACTCCATGCCCCCCTTCTGGCTCCCCATCCACCTCACTGAGAGCTACTTCTACCACTCAATAAAACTTTGCACCCATCCACCTCACCGAGAGCTACTTCTACCACTCAATAAAACCTTGCACCAATCCTCCAATCCCACATGTAATCTGATTTTTCCAGTACCCTAGGGCAAGAACACGGGATGCAAAAAGCCCTCTGTCCTTGGGATAAGCCAGAGGGTCTAATTGAGCTGATTAACACAAGCCACCTGCAGACAGCAAAACTGAAAGAATACACTGTAACATACGCCACTGGGGCTTCAAGAGCTGTAAACATTCAACCCTAGACCCTGCTGTGGGGTCGGAGTCCAAAAACACTCTTCATGACCTGCCCGTCTGCATGCTTCCCCAAGGGGTTTCAGCAGCAGGGCATCAAAGAAGCGAGCCACACCCCTGTTGCATGCCCTGTGAGGGGGATAAGGGAACTCCTCCGATTTCATCTTGACATCCCTGTGTCATCCCCGAGAAAGGTTCCAGTCTGCTTCATTTGTGCTAAGGATAGAGTGAGAAAACAGCTTATCCCTGGTACCAATGCGATTAGCAATGATCACAGGAAAATTGGGACAGGAGTCCCATCAGCCCCTCCCCTTCAAGAGAGTCTCACTATCTGTGGAAGGTTCTGAGTTTTGCTTTTACTAAGGAAGGTGGCACATTTTTATACTAACTACCTCCAGGTATTCAAAATGTACCCATCCTATTATCCTCTAAGCTAGTTTGCCTGTTAGACTAGGTTAATAGGTCCAACTATTATACCCTACAAGTAACATATTTCATTCACTCATGTTCTACTCAATTTACTGCCCGTTTAGAATGAGTCCAGCACTGCATTAGGTGTGGAGCTACAAACACAAATACAGTGTGATCCATGCCACCCAGGAGCTCACACGCAATCTAAGAAACAACCTGGAGACAGAGCCTTAACTAAAAGGGTAACTGTATTGGTGGGAATTGAGAGACTATGTCAGCTCTGGTATTTCAGTTCGGGAAGATGCTTTGGAGGATGCTTAAATCACTGCTGGAAGGCAGACACCTCCACTGCCCACAGACGAGGCCAACTCATGGCAGAGGATTCCAGGAAGACTTCAAGAAAGCAGTAACAAAGTCAGTTTAGCTCATTAAGGAAAGGGGACGTAAGCCCAGCAGAGAATGGGTTCCACCAATCCTGGTCATGCATCATGAAAGGCTGAGACTGTGGTGAAGAATATGAACTGGAGATTCAGGCAGACAGGTTCTAGCTGCAACTCTACCACTCTGGGAAAATTACTTATCCTAGCCAAGTCTCTGGTTTCCTGAGCCATATACAGACAACAATCCCTGCCCCTCCTATGAGTGGTGGACAGCAGGGGTTCTAAAATGTGGCTGGTGGGCCAGCAGCAGCTCTGTAGGAACTTGTTAGAAAAGCAAATTTTCACACTCCGCCCCAGACCTCCTGAATGAGAAATCCTGGGGGTGGGGCACAGCTGATGATGCACTTTAAAGTCTGAGAAGCACGGAGGCACTCATGAAAAGGGCTGGTGTTAAAGTGCTTCACAAAATGCCAAACACTAAGGAAGCACTTAATCGTAGTTATTGAATCTTGTTATGTCATGAGGCCCCCTGGGAAAGTCTCATAGAAAAGGACATGAAGGGAGGAGTTACTTTTGCTGAAGGTCAGAACCAAGGGAGAACTTCAAGAGCTCTAGCGTCCTGCACCAGAAGCCCCTGGGAGATTATCAAAATGCAGATCCCTGGGCTATATATCAGGCCCATGAATAGAAAGTTCTAGACTAGGACCTGGGACTCCGTAACCTCTTATGCAGAAGTCTACCAGGTACTCTGTGTGTTTGTCGGGGTTTTGTGTTTGTTATTGGGATATTTTTCTTTCGATTTTTTTCTTATGCCTGCATCTACCTTAAGATAGCTCCCGCGAGGGCCTCTCTCCTTCTCTTTCTGTCTCTCTCTTCTGAATTTCTACACTGGCTTCCACTACTGTCCCCTTCTCCAGCCTTTTCTCCCTTCCAGTCTATTGTTCTAAATCACTCCCTCAAGTGACATTTCTAAAATATAAATCTAAGCATATCACTTCCTGCTTAAAATAAGCAAATCAACTTTCACTGCCTCCCCAAGAAGGATTCCAATTCCTTAGCCAGCTCCCCAGGACACTCTTCAGGCTGACTGCAGCCTCAGCTGCACCTGCTTCTCTTCATGCCATGTGTCCTGCTACCAGGTCCAATCACTGCCCTCCAATCAGGCCTGATGTCCTCCCACCAGGGTCCAATCAGTGTTCCCCAGTCAGGTCTCATATCCTCCCACCAGGGTCCAATCACTGATCTACAATCAGGCCTCATGTCCTACCACCAGGATCCAATCACTGCTCTCCAATCAGTCCGCATGTCTTGCCACCAGGGTCCAATCACCGCTCTCCAATCAGGCCTCATATCCTACCACCAGGGTCCAATACTACTCTCCAATCAGGCCTCATGTTTTACCACCAGGGTCCAATCAATGCTGTCAAATCAGGTCTCATGTCTTCCCAACAGAGTCCAATCACTGCTTTCCAATCAGGCCTCATATCTTACCACCATGGTCCAATCACTACTATCCAATTAGACCTTTCTCTTTCTTTAAAAAGAAATGGCTGGCTGGGCACCGTGGCTCACGCCTGTAATCCCAGCACTTTGGAAGGCTGAGGCAGGTGGATCACCTGAGGTCAGGAGTTCGAGACCAGCCTGACCAACATAGTGAAACCCCGTCTCTACTAAATGCAAAAAATTAGCTGGGCATGGTGGCGCATGCCTGTAATCCCAGCTACTTGGAGGCTGAGGCAGGAGAATCGCTTGAACCCGGGAGGCGGAGGTTGCAGTGAGCCAAGATCATGCCATTGCACTCCATCCTGGGCAACAAGAGTGAATCTGCGTCTCAAAAAAAAAAGAAAAAGAAAAACAGAAAAGGAAAGAAATGGCCAAATGGCCTTGTCATCTTTCCCCATAAGGAAGAAGCCTCTCATCCTTCTCCAAACTCCTCAGTCACTGATTCTACCGCTGATGTGTTTTCTGTCTTCTTCACTAAACCAGCAGCTCCCAGAGGGAACAGTCTCACTTCTGTATAGTCTATACCTTGAAAAGTCTCACCAAAATTAGCAGGAAGCAGTTCAGAGATGAGGTAGTAACTCCTGTCACTGCATTATGCTTAACTGCCTGGCTAGGGTAACCACCACTCTTCTATCTCTCTCTAGAACACACAAGCTGCTGGCCATGGTAAAGGGAATACTGGCAGCTACCCTGTGCATGTTACCATTATCCAGGGGCTGGTGGATGGCTAAGTGATTGATATTGGCATGCAAGAGCTTCTAGGACGATGTGGCCCTGAGACTGAATAATTGCTCATGATTATATTCCCTGCCTATCTGCATGTGCACACACAGATGTGGCACTTGGATGGCCTTAGGCTCACTGAACTGAATTGATAGAAAAGGTGGAAGCCAAAATGTAACTTAAGTTGTTGTGCTTCTTTCCATTCATTCCAGTGAGTGGAGCAGAGGACCTCATCTTCTGTGACTTATCCTCTGTCATTAGTATATACTATTATATATTTGGGAGATGTATATATTTTATAAACCTCAGCTCACTGGGTGGCTTTGATCTTCTGACAGCCCTGTTAAAAATGTTGCCAACAGTTTACAGCATAGTATTGTAGAAACATCACTACACTATGGAGCCATAATACCTAGGTCTCTTGAAACTTAATTCTGCCTTTTATTAGCACTGTGACTTTAGGCAAGTCCCTAAAATCCTTGGGCCTCAGTTTCCTCATTCACGAAGTAGGGTCACTACTCCATGTTGGACCAAAATCACAGAGCTGCTATAAAGAATAGCTGATATAACAAAGAGAAATGTGCTTATTAAGTGTAACTCAGTATTTCTGTAACAATTCTGCCCCATTTTAAAATTTTATCCCATGTAGTTACACAGGTGTCTAGATGCCTGGCCCTTTTCTTCTTTTCTGAGAATGTGATGGCACTGTTGAAAATTCCTCTTTAGCTATTTTTCATTTTAGACTCTTGGCCCATCACATCATATCCCTTCTTCTGAAATCATCTTTCTAAAGTGTAAAATGCTATGGTCTTCTCTAACTCTTCTTGGCTATAAATGAGCTTGAAGCCCCTTCTTTCCCCCGACTTTTACTTAATTAACTTACATTTATTGATCAGAATTAAGTCTAAGGCATATGTACCCTTCATTGAAGCCTCTTTCAATCTACCACCTCTTGAGTTCAAAGAGGTTTGCTGGGGGTGAGGGTGGGATGTGGTAAGTATAGGGATGAAGAAGAAGGGCTCAGGTAAGGACAGGTGTGGGCCTCTGGAACACTTCTATAAATGCCACCACCTGGAAAACAGAGAAATAAGAGAAGGCTGTTTCATCCTAAGAAGTAGCACATCATTTGGCCATTCTACCCTTACCTGGAATCTTCCTCCACCCAACCCCACATCAGACCTGATACTATACAGTGACAGGAAAGCCATAGGTAGTCACAATTCTGCCACCTCTCCTTGCTGCTGTTCCCCGCTGATGACATTAGCTGGAAGACTGCCAGAGCTTAGAGAGAAAAACTAACCAAAATGATCATAAAGCCATTTGGAAATATACGAGTATGATCAACACACTAAATAATAATTATGCACTTTTGTATTCCCTGCCAATCTTCATATACAGAGTATAAATGTAACCTGCTCCAAATGAATCACCTAGTTTTAAATACCTGAGAGTTATAGCCCTGTGATTCTGACAAAGTAACCCACATATCTCATACCTCAGGTTTACCACAAAAACATTGCCATGAATTGAAACCCCAAAGAACAAAGCCAGTTGGAATTTTAAAACATTGACTTCATACTTTTCATTATGGCTTATATTCTTCTCAAATATTTCATCAAGCTTTTTTCCTCTCTCTGGTTTAAATCTCAATCACTAAAAGGAATGATTCGAAGGCAATAATGTAGAAACAAAAGAGGAGATTAAATACAAATTAAGCTTTCATTTGTACTGTTTTTCCAGACTGAATTAAAGTGATTGAGCTAACTTTGGTGTAAAGTAAATTTTACAGCTGTTAGAAATGATAGAATGTAAATTGGATTATACTATTTAAATATTTTACAAATAATTGAAATGGCATTCTTAGAAGTTATGTTCCAATATTCCTGTTCAAACACAGTAGATCATGTTGACCAGCTCTGGGTATTTATCTTTTCTTCTGCTTGATATTTCTTCCATTACCAAAATGAAACTCAAGGACATGCACCAAAAATAGGTCAGGGGCACCAGTTAAGGTGATGTGCATGCAAAAGCATGATTATATTATTTAACCTATTCAAATTAATTCATTCCAACAGATATTTATTGATTGCAGGGCATTGAGCAAGGTACTGGATTCAATGAGGACATAACCAGCCTTGCCCTGAATACACTTATTGTCTCTAAGAAGGAGAGAAGACAAGCCACATAAAATTATGCTACATAAAGCAGAATAATACAAATGTATAACAGGCGTGTGTTGCAGAAGAGGTGATGATTTAACAGGGTGGATTGGGAAAAGCTTTATGAAAAAGATGGCATTTAAGCTTGGACTTGAAGGAAGAATAGAATTTTTATAGGTAAACAGGCAAATACTGTAAGAAGCATGTATAAAAAGCAAAGGAGAAATAAATAGCTTCAATTCATGGGAACGAGAAAACATGTAACATGTTTGGAGAACAGAGAATAGAACAAATCAGCCAGGCACAGTGGCTCACACCTGTAATCCCACCACTTTGGGAGGTTGAGGCAGGCGGATCACGAGGTCAGGAGTTTGAGACCACCCTGGCCAACATAGTGAAACCCCATCTCTACTAAAAATACAAAAAAATTAACCAGGCATGGTGGCACACAACTGTAGTCCCAGCTACGCGGGAGGCTGAGGCAGGAGAATCGCTTGAACCCAGGAGATGGAGGTTGCAGTGAGCCAAGATCATACCACTGCACTCCAGCCTGGGCTACAGAGCGAGATTCCATCGTCTCAAAAATTAAAAAAAAAAAGAGAGAGAGAGAGAATAGAACGAATCAGAAGGCCCCAGAATGTCTGGAAACATAATGAGATGTTCTCTCAGTCTTTCAACCAACATTTATTAAGGAACCATGTACCCATAAGATCTGTGGGGAAATATAAAGAAAATAAAGCAACATCGCTTCTCTCAAGGAATTTATATATTAGAAGTTAAGACACGTAAAAAAACATAAAGTAGAAATTTAAAAGTACCGTACAGTGGTAGAGATGGGGTGCTTTGTCAAGTTAGTGGAGGTGAAGATCACTACTAAGCAATGAGGAGGAGGAATGCCTCAATGGATGCACATGTGAAGATGAATACATTCAATTCACTCATTCATTAATTTGCTCACTAAAAATATACATTTGCCTTCAGTTTCCTCAGATCTTGGATATTGAGCAAATGGAGAAACAAAGATGAATAAGACACAATCTCTGCCCTTAAGGAACCTGGTTTGATGAAAACAAAGGGTAAAGGTGAGTAGGGGAAGATAAAATTAGTAAGATAAGCTGATATCAAACAAACCCAGGGAGCCTAGGATTTTAAAACACAATCAGTCCGATATTGGGGAGCTTGTGAAGCCACTGAAGATGTCTGGGCAGAAGCTTTTAGAAGACTGGTCTGTGTCTTGGTTTGAATGCTACTGAAAGTGGAGCCTGAGAGGACACGGGGGCAGGAAGCTTATTTGGGAGATGACCCAAGAGAGCAGGAAAGGGAGGGGAGGAGGAAAATCCAACATCAGGGTGCATTATCAAGGTTGCTGCTCTTGGCAATGGGCATGACTCCTCCTCCAGTAGGCCCAAGAAGCATACGGAGGCCTCCCAGAGCTGCCTGCATGAAAGGTAAGAGGCTGGGCAGCAATCCATCAGCTTTAGTCCCCCATCAGTTGCAGGTTACCCCTGATGGAGGCACTGGCTCAATTGCACTTGCAGGCTACACTGAACTTATGCACAGGCTCATTTGGCTCCTGGGAAGGTCCTGGGGCAGAAAGAAGACAGACTCTTGCAGTAACTTGTGAGACACCATCAGCAGGAAACTAAGCCCATGCGAAACTCTGCATGGGAGCTGTCACTGAAACCAGAGGTGAGCCAAGGAGATGTAATGGGGGCCCCTAAAGTGTCTGCTAGAGTCAGGTGGCAGCCTGACTGCACAGCAGGGAAGAAGGGGAACAGCTAGGGGAAATGGTCATTGGCTAGCCTGGGAAAGAGAAAGATAAGAAAGAGCTGAAGGAGTGGTCGGACTAGGGAGATGGGAATGGATGCTGAAAATATCCTCACAGATTAAGCAACTGATAAACTATTTGGAGTTGAGGAGATACATCACAGATAACTGAGATTCTAAATCTTATGACAACAGAGAACAAAGGGGTGTGAGGGACCAAAGAGAAGTGAACACGAGAAGAGCAGCAAAGAGAAGATGATGCCCCGGAAAGTGGGACAGAGCTGGGGAGACAGTGAACTGGAAATCATCGGCATGGAGACAGGGGTAAATATCACAATTTTGCTACAAGCACTCTACAAGAAAGGGGGGAGTTTGCTAAAGATGAGACACAAAGAAACAGTGAATGGGGAGAGTAGACAAAGGATGAGACAGCAAGGAGAGATCACAAGGTCTAAGCAGACAGAACAGAGAATTTCAGAAGTAGAAGCTGGTCAACAGTGGGAGGTGCTGCAGAGAGGATGGAATGATAAGACCTAGAAGCGCCCACCAGATGCGGTGACTGAGAAGTCATGGGAGAGCTCCAAAGGACATATTCCAGTAGAGAAGGGCTTGTTCCAGAATCCGGACAACAAAGGTCTAAGGAATAAGGGAGAGAGTCAGTCTTTTGCAATGGGGTTTCCTCATCTGAATCACAGAATGTGATTCCTGTGACTCACTTCTTAATTCTCCCAAATGTCGTACATAACACATGTTTCTAAATGCAGAGAAATCAATTCATTATACACAATCAATGCCTTTTTCTACAAAGAGCCATCTGGTCTCTGCAGCAACTACTACACTTTGCTTCTGTAGTGCCAAAGCAGTCACAGGCAATACCAAAATGAATGGGCCCAGCTGTGTTCCAATAAAACTTTATTTGTGGACACTGAAATATGAATTTTATCTATTTTTCATATGTCAAGAATTATTTTTTTTCAACCTTCAAAAAATATATAAACCATTCTTAGCCCACAAGCCCTACAAAAAAAGATGGTGGCCACATGTGGCTTTCAGGTGACAGTTTGTCCCTTCCTTAGGACATCAGAGCTTAGTTATCACCCACAGCCCCAGGTGAGAAAGGCTGGTTCATATAAACGAAGCAGCAAGAGGGGAGAGGACAATAGTGTAAGGGACAGTTAGGATCAAGGATGTGTTTAAGAGTAGAGAAAGCACATAGAGTATGACAGATTCACAGGAAATTATCTTTGGAGAGGGAGAGTTGAAGACACATGAAAAAGAGGAGTGGTGGATCAAAGTTCTAGATGACAGAGGAGACAGGACAGAAAAGCGAGCCTGGATCAAGAAGAGGCAGATGGCTTCCCCTGAGATGGAAGGGGAGATGGGGAAGACAGGCAGGAACCAGATTACGGAGAACCTAAAAGCCAACCTGAAGAGTTCACACTTCATTAAGTGAGCAATGAGGAGCTGCAGAAAGTGTTTAGGCTGAAAAGCACAGCCCAGGAATCAGTAATGCACTTGGTTTTCCCACCACAGACCGAATAAATAAGCAAACACTCTGTGTATACATATTTACATAATGCAGGTATGACCGGAATAGAAGAAGCTGAAAATACGTGATAACAGGCTCTCTTGCTCAAAAACCTGCTCCACAAATGCATTCTGGGATGGAAAGATAAGACGAGCTAACATACTCAAAGACAGCTAGTTTGATATATCCATATAGAAATGTGCCCTCACCCTCAAGACGGAATATCACATATGGCAGCAATATGGGCCTGTATCAGGCTGGGGTTGGCCATGGGGTGCAGCATGGTAACCAGAACTAGGCTCCAGTCTCAACTTCATTATTAACCATCTGTATGATGCAAAGACAGGTAAATTAGCTTCTCTGGGCCTCTGTTCCTCAGGGTCAAATGGGGATTAAAATGTTCCCTGTGCCTCAAAGACTTGTTATAGGATCAAAGAGCTAGTGGATGTGAAAATGTTCTAGAAGTGTAACAGATGACATAGATGGAACACTGTCACAGAAAACAAGTTCTCTAGACCCCCATCCCTTCATATCTGAATCCTTCTCCCATTGGGCAACATTCAGTGATTTCAGGGGCACTCAACTTGGCCAGAAGACATCCTGCTTGCCTTACCTGTGACCTCCATTATTTGCCTTTACCCTTTTTCTTAAAACCTGTACATCTTTGGGAGGACAGGATGTCCTTTCTATAAGGTGTGTGCCAGGGGTGGGGTCAAGCCATTCACACAGGACGGAGCTGCATGTGTTAAGGACCCTGGTGGAGAAATCCTGGGTGAGACGGCACTTCAGCCAGGCCTTGAAGGTGAGCCAGGATGGAGAGAGAGAGGAGGGCGGGGCTTTCTGAGCAGTGGGACAGCACAAACTGCATGTGATCCCTTCAGTTACACCAAGCATCTGGACACACTGGGAGAAATCGCTAAACAAGCGGGAGAGGCTCAGGAATGCCCAGCCAACATCAGAGTCTAAGAAAGTGAAAAAACAAGAGTATCTTTTCTTTACACCATTCAAATTCTGATTCTGTTTTTGTAGCTGAAATACAAAAGACATAATGCTTTAATACTAGTAACAATCAGAGTTAATAAGAGTCTGCATTGGTGAAGCAGTGCAAATAATCCCAAAGCCTTACATTCATATAATGACAACGTTTACTAGGCATTCTCCTATCTCTTGACTACTTGGGCTATAGTATAGTCATGTAATACAGACAGTGAAAATATAATTACCCCCATTTCATAAAAAGAAAAAGGAAACAGGAGCTCAGAGAGGTTAAGTGACCAACCTGAGGTTACACAGCTAGGAAGTGTTAATGGGGGATTGGTGTGGGAACCTGGACTGTCTGCCTCAGAGCCCAGCATTGTCTTCATTCCCATCCACTCTGTCTCCTTGTTGAATAGGCCATGAACTTAATCTTTAGGGTGTCCTCATCCTCCTACCAAGACGACAGCCAACACCTCACAATGACAAAAGGAAAATAACAAGACAGAGCAAATCATAGACCAGAGGTAAGCAAACTAAAGCTCATGGGCCCAATCTAGCCCACCATCTAATTTGTACAGCCTGCAAGCTAAGGATAGTTTTTATATTTTTAAATGGTTAAAAAAAATCAAAAGAGGAATAATATTTTGTGACCTGGGGAATTATATGAAATTCAAATTTTGGTGTCCATAACACAGACATGCCCATTCATTTACAATGGACTGTGACTGCATTTACACTACAGCAGACTTGAATAGTTGCAACAGAGACTATATGGACCCAAAGCCAAAAATAGCTACTATTTGGCCCTTTACAGAGAAAGTTTGCTGACTGCTTCCAAAGATCATAGGTCTGCAAATCACAGCAAGGACCAAAGCACCTAGAAAGGGGAATCACAGGAGAAAACAGAACCCTAAATCCTGAGTCCCCAGATTTCATATATCTTGCTTGTAAAAATGGGGTTTTTAGGGATAAATTCTTAAAGTGTCAGTACCTTCCCACTGGGTGCTTTGGGGTTCCTTTGACAGTTTCACAACCAAAACAGCTTCCTCCAGTCACTTTAATTTCTCTCTAACCCCTCACCCTTCCCTACTGTGTCTACATGGGTTGAACCTCATTGCTTCTAGAAATGAAGACGCTCTGGTGTTAGCTGTAAAATCTGTATCATGGCTGGGTGCGGTGGCTCATGCCTGTAATCCCAGCACTTTGGGAGGCCGAGGCGGGCAGATCACAAGGTCAAGAGATCGCGACCACCCTGGCTAACATGGTGAAACCCTGTCTCTACTAAAAATACAAAAATTAGCCAGGCGTGGTGGCGGGTGCCTGTAATCCCAGCTACTCAGGAGGCTGAGGCAGGAGAATCGCTTGAACCTAGGAGGCGGAGGTTGCAGTGAGCTGAGATTGCACCACTGCACTCCAGTCTGGCAACAGAGTGAGACTCCGTCTCAAAAAAAAAATAAAAATCTGTATCTCACTTGCTCAGACAAGAGGATATTTATTGACAGGGTGCAGGATAGAGAAAGAAAGGAGAGAGACTGCCTGTCCAGACGGCAGTAACCTTGGTGGAGATGCAATGTCACCAGCCCCAAACCATCATTCTCACAGATGTACAGCATATTATTTAAAGGGAAACAAATATCAGCCACTGAATGTCATGGCAAGGACACATCTCCTGCCTCTTAACTAAACTTATCAGAGCTGCAGTTTAATACAGTTCCTTTTTCATCCTCCCCTCAAATTCATCTTCCCAGGCAGCTCTTGACACGACCAGCAAACAGTCAAGACGAAGATTTAGTGACGTTAGCTTCAAACAGATCTAGATTTATTGACATGTGGGCTGGCTTTCTCAGGAGCTGCAGTACACAGGATTAATTTTAACTGTTCCTTAATGTTCAGCAGTGCTTTGCAAATACCCAAATGTCTGGCCGTTCCTGGGTGAGGTCAATTTTCACCAGAAACAAGATCCTCAGCAGTGGCTTGCACTTTCTCTAATCAGGTTGGCCAGGTTAATTGACGTACTCTGTTTCTTAATAAGAGGGCAAAACCTGAGCAAACTTCCTGCCAGAACCCCTTCGCTTCTCATGCCCTCTCAGCTGCCCATGCCTCTCTCTGAAATCAGCAAAGAAGCAGCAAAACCAACAAGCAATCTTCATTGCTACCAAAGCTTTACATCTTGTTGTTTGCAAGCTCCCCACATGCCTACAGGTACTTGGATGTCTGAAGCCAGGGAAAGGCAGCAGCCAGCCAGTCCCCTTACAGGCTGAGTGTGTATTCCAGAGTTGTAGGCCACAAAGCTGAGTGTTGCCCATCTCCCACAAACACCTTTGATGAGCCCACTTGCTGTGCCACAATTCTGTGCTGTGTGGAGCAGAGGTGGCTCACAGAGCCATGGGTGGCCACTGGCTGCAGAAAAGCAAAATCTCCCTCTCTAGCCTTTCCATCCTGATCCCTCACTGCCCATATGACTAGTCACAGGGTCCAGGGTTGCCCAATAAGGGGAGTAGCCTGGGCTGCCAGCACGATGAGGAGGGGAAAAAATTGAATAGAAGAGAAGAAATAAAATCTCTGTCAATCCTTTTCTAACGCCAGACTAAAGAACAAATTTGCAGAGCTCTGTTAAAAGATTAACTACTAAATGAAAAAGAGCTACTAGACGTAAATTTAAAAGTCCAAAAACACCCAAGAGGCATAACTATAATTATTGCTGAGGGAAGCTCTTTAGGACTAAAAATACATTTCCATTAACAATCAAAATTAGTTTTCATTGCTTTTTTCTTCAGCTTTCAGTGAATAACCTTTGATGGTAGTACATGATAATGATTCATTAGAAAAAGTGAATTTGTATTTCAGAAGTATAAAGCAAAAAAAAAATTAGCCAAGAAATTATTCCTCCATATAAGTCAAATGGCAGGAGAAGGGAACATTTTTAGAATGAGTAATGGCTTCCTATAAAAGCTAACCCAGACGGCAGGTACTCACTTGAATATCATTGGACAACAGAGCTGACAAACAAATTTTTTCTAAACCTCCAGTGATTCAGAAGAACTGGTATGGTAAGATAACATCCTTTTCTTTAAATTCTGGCTAAAAATATACAAGGAAAACACATCATATCACCTCAAGAATTCCATAGATTTTAATCACCATAGAAGTGTGTCTAAAATAATATATGTAAAGAACCAGTGAGTCATGATTAATTTTTTCATATTTTTTATTGAGATATACTTGCATAATGAAATGCACAGATCTTAAGTATACAACGTGATCAGTTTTGACAAGTGCATATACCCATAGAACTACCTCCATTCAGATCTAGAACATTTCTAACTTGCCACTGTCCCACAAAGTTATCCTGTGGCTCTCTCCAGAACAAACTATTATTCTGCTTTCTATCACCCCAGATTAGTTCTAGAGTGTCATGTAAATGGAATCATACAGTAAATACTCTTGTGTATGACTTATTTCACCCAGCATGTTTTTGAGATTCAATTTTGATTAATTCATTTAAAACTTAGCTATGCAAAATTTTTCAGAGGCCAAATGATTTGGAGGGAAAACTGACAAGCAACAGTACTTTCAGGTAGAGGGTAAAAGAAAGAGGCAGAAAAAAAACAGATTTTTCTAGAGACATTTTAAACAAGGAAGAAAAAATTGAAGATTTTTTTATGTCATAAATCATTCTGAAAGGCTCTGGAAATCCTGTGATGATCTCTAATTCACTCACCTACCACAAGGAGGTATGATATAATGGCAAGCTGTACATAATTCATAATTCTAAACCTAATTATGATGAGTGGCCTAGAAATTTGATTAAAAATCATTAATTCTGCTAAAGAGCCTCAAAACAAAAATGAATATATAGAAAGGATAAAACTGTTTTGCTAGATGGATTATTCTTTGAAAATCTGAAGCAAGATGATAAAAGTAAATTATTTCAAAGAATCACTGCCAAATTGTAAATTGTAAAAAGCAAATGTTGAGTTACTAACATTAGAGCAGAAAGTGTAGCTTCCATTAAATGATGGAGATAAAACACAGTCTTGCACCCAATAAACAAACAATAAGGAAATTACAAGGGAAGGCCTTATTTTTTTCCTAAGGATGTGGTCAAATAGTATATTATAAACCATATTAATGCCACATGGGTTGAATGAAAGGGTAAAACTCCTTGGAACTAAGAATCCAGGGAGCCTGAGGTTCCCCTAGGCCTCTGTGTCTTGGGAAGGGTTAGGACTCACACTCAGGGGAACAGGAGGTTAAAGGGCTGAACCTGCATCATGTCCCATAGGTTCATAGAGCACATCCCATAGGTTCATAGAGCACATCCGGCTTCCTTCAGTCTTTTCATATCTATTATATCATCTCGTCTTTGCAATAACTTTGTTAGGTGGTATTATTAGAAGTTCCCTAACATTTACTATAGAGTTTTAGAGTATTCAAAATAACACTGCAAATATTATCTCATCCGGTTCTCAAGATAACCTTAAAGAGTAGACAGAGACCTTGCCCCGTTAAAAGTTAAGTCTTCTGCCAAGGTAGTAAGGTTATGCAGTAGCAGGCCTGAGGCTGTAAGTTGTCTATTGACTTCTAGTTCACTGTTCACATCACTACTATCTCATGCTGCAGAGAAGTAACATTAAACCCACATGATAGATGAGAAGACTGAGGCAAAGCTTCAAATCCTTAGAAGCTAGCTAATGGCAGGCCCAAAATTTAAAAACATTAAAAAATAATATATGGGAAAAATCAATTTTCGGGACTATTCTTCAGCTCTCAATGAAGTCTTTTCTTGTCTAGAGGATACCCAAGCACATTCTAAGTGTCCTTGCTCTGCTGAATTAAAACTAAAGTCAAGTTTCCCATCTGAAAGTAGCTGAGCCTTCCCTCTCTACCTAGCTCGCCACCTACTCATTGGAGTTGTAATAACTAGCATTTCATAATTTCCAGTGTCCAGCATTCTAAGCATTTACCAATGTTGTTCATTTTACCAAGGTTGTCTTCTCACAACAACTTTATGAGGTTGTATAAATATCATCCCCATTTTACAGGTGAGGAAACTGAAGCACAGAGCGGTAAATACCTTGACCTAGGCCACACAGCCGGTAGGCAGTACAGCTAGGACCTGAGTCCAGGTAGTGTGGCTCCAAAGTCTGCACCATTTACCACCAAGCTGTAAGAAAAGTGCTCATCCACAGAACACCAGATCATCCCCAAATTCTCTACTCCAAAGGGCATGAGGGTGCCAATGAATGCTCCACCATCTAAAATATAGATACAGTATATATTTTTGATTTCAGAGAGTGGGCTTATATGTGCAGACAGATTAAATAAATCATGATTACAACAGTAAACATGTAAATTCCGATCAATAACTACTTGCCTTCCCCTCCCCCCAACGCTAACAGCTGCAATAAAGCTTTAACTGTAAAGCGATGCACAACCAGCCATAAAAGTATGTAAAATAAATGAGGATAACATAATGAGGGAATCCAACATTCATCTCATAAATATAACATAACGACCACAACTAAAATGTCAGAGAATCTAATAAATCAATATGGTAGGACAGAGCTATCTTTATGTTCAGAATACATAAAAGATATATTTACATGCAGGGCTTTTTTTTTTATAAGCCAGGACCAAACAAAAAGAATTATAAGAAAATTAACCCTTTGTTTACATAGATGCCCTGGTCTGACGATGAATTTTCAACACTCCATTGGGTTCTCCCACATCGTTTCATGGTAAGAAATGGACTGCCCTCTAAGGCTGTAGACACCATGCTAATATGCAAATGCCACTGGAAGTGAAGCGAACAGAAAAACATCCTGAGGGTACTTTGAAAGGATCAATTACAGCCCTGATTTAGAATACTTCTGATCATGGTGATTTCTGGAACTTCCAGCTCATTTTATTAGCGCCAACAAACCCTAGGAGGTTTAGTTATTTCCCTGTTAATGCACTACCGATTGATGTGGATAAATCCCATAAATACTAATGAGGGTGACACAAGTAAATCTCCCCTGAATTAATGAGAACAGAGTCTCCTGGACTGACCAACATATCGCCTAATGACTTGAAATGATGGATTTATAAATTCTTCCAGGTTCTCCATGCATGCAAGCTGCAGAAATAAACATCCTTTCTCAGTCACCTCCCCTCATGGCCTCTTCTGGATTGAGGGGACCTAATGGGAAGGGACTGTGCCCTAATGGGAAAACAGGTAGTTCTTTCACTACCTTTTTCTTAATGAAATGGACATACCCCAAATGCAATGCTCCATCTTGAGTCTGAACTAAATTTAGGAAGTAAATAAAAGTATTTCCTGATAAAGTAGCCTGAACCCAAGTCCAAAAACACCAACTTCTCAGATATGAAAAATCATTTCATGCTCAAACATTAAACTGACTTAAGTGCGTGTGTGTGTGTGTGTGTGTGTGTGTGTGTGTGAACCCAAGGTTTTGATTATCTATTGCTATATAACAAATGTAGTGGATTTAAACAACCACTATTTTACCTGCCCATAATTCTGTAGGTTGATAGGGGCTCAGTTCTTCTACTGGTCTCATTTGAGGCCCCTCATGTATTTGTTGTCAGATAGTGGCATGAATTGGAACGTCCAAGATGGCTTCACTTATATCTCAAGAATCTTGGGGGGGATAGCTGGAGGCTGTGAGCTCTTTCTCTCCACATTGGCTAGGTAGAGCTTCTTTACCTGGCAGGTGGATTCTAAGAGCAAGCATTCCAAGAAGACCAGCTCCAATGTGCAAGCATTTACTAAGATTGTGCTTGCATCCCACATGCTAATGTCCCATTTGCCAAGTCCAGAGTCACCATAAAAGGGAACTAGATATAAAAGGGAACTACTAGGAAGTGTGGTTCATTGGGGGCCACCACAGTAAGAATCCACCATAACTAGCACCTTCCCTCTAGAGGGATAAAGACTGTTGCCATTATAATAGTAAATCCCAAGAAACTATCTTTTTTTTTCTTGTTCTAGTCTTTCACTTTAATATTCAATGACCTAGTGTTCTTACATTTAGGTAAGTAGGGAAAGAGAAAAAGAGAAGCATTTCACAATTTATAAACAAATAAAAAATAAAACTTCCTTTTTTAATTTGAAAAACTCTAGACATAGCCAGTGATAACACAAGGAATACTGCAGCCAGTCCCACTCTGCCTCTTGACTCTTGTAACAGAAGAACTCCATACAGCACTTGTTCTCCCATTATTCACACTTAACAGACCATTTGAGTCTTTCAAAGGACCAACTTTACACCTTTTTTCACCCAAGTGAGTAAAAAGGACCCCTATAAATGGATAAATCACGCTCCAACAATTCTCCCCTGAGGATACCCAGCTAATATGACCCTGCTTCACTGTAATAACCCCATGGGCTTGGTTAATATTTGCTGATTCCAATCCACCTGTTGGTATTCATCAGCAATAAATAATTTGTATGACATTTCAATTTTATCAAAGCACATCCCATTTGATGATTGGAACAGCTATCTGAGGCAGGTGAGACAAAGATTTATTATCGTCATTGGACCAAAATGAAAATGAAGCTTGTACACATTAGTATATAGTTCCAGTTTCCAGGGTACCTGACAGTTAACAAAATGCTATCTTATAACCTTATTTCTATAAAAATCTCTTAGAACCATCCTGAGAGGTCAATAATATCTTTATTAGCAGATGAGATAGAGAAATTAAATACTTGCCCCAAACCCCATGTTCAATAAGTGGCAGGTGCAAGCCAGGATGCTAGGTCTACTCAATCCGAGTTCTTCCCCAGTGTATAACAGGCAGGGTAAGTAATCTGTGGCCACAGAACTTAGGGCAGAATTAAAATTAGAACCTGTATCTTCTGATGGACACCCTGTCACCATCACTTTGACTCACATGCCTCAAAGCCTATGAGAAGCGTTCCAATGTTTGTTAGTAATAAAATGTATCACACAAGCAACATTGGGCTTCAAAGCATGAGTTAGAAACATCATAATGTGCCAGGTGTGGTGGCTCATGCTTGTAACCCCGGCACTTTGGGAGGCCGAGGCGGACAGATCACTTGAGGCCAGGAGTTCAAGACCAGTCTGGCCAAAATGGTGAAACCCTGTCTCTACCAAAAATACAAAAATTAGCCAGTCATGCTGGTGCAAACCTTTAATCCCGGATACTCAGGAGGCTGAGGCAGGAGAATCACTTGAACCTGGGAGGCAGAGGTTGCAGTGAGCAGAGATCGCGCCACTGCACTCCAGCCTGGGTAAAAGAGCAAGACACTTGTCTCAAAAAAAAAAAAAAAAAAAAAAAAAAACCAGAAACATCATAATGATCTAGCTTTCCAAGAACACAGGAATCGAGCGTAGTCCTCAGGCTCTAGAGATTACTGTTCAGTTGAAGCCAACAGCCAGCAAAGAGCAAGGTGACCTCTTGCACAAGGCGACCTCTTGGGCTCCTCTCATAAATTTTGTGAAATACTCTTAGCCAGTTTAGACACTATTTTTAATACTTCTAATAGCAAACAGATAGACAAATAGATCAACGGAACAGAATAGAGAGTCTGGTTTTCTGTATAATTAGAAATTTTATATGTAACAAAAACAGTATTTCAAAATACTTAGCAAAATGACCTAAAAACAAATGGTGTTGGGTCGAATGTATCCATTTGGGGAAAAATATATTAATTTTAACATCAACGTTAACATAAAACCATTCACCAAGGGAAAAAAATTCAATGGATCAAGGCCTAAAAGGTAAAATTAGAATAATCAAAGTTTTAGAAGAAATACAGGAGAATATGTTTACAGCCAAAAGGTCAGGAAGGCCTTAAATTAGACATAAATAGCATAACAGAGAAGACCTGTTTATTTGACAGCATCAAAATTTAAAACCTATATATAAAAAGGGTACCATAAAGCTGAATGGCAACAAATTAGAAGAAAATAATTGCAATGTATGAGGCATCGAGGCCAGATGTATGTGTGTGTGTGTGTGTGTGTGTGTGTGTGTGTGTGTGTGTGTGTGTATGCCCTGAATATATAAAGATGTCCTAGAAACCAATAACTAAAAGTCATGCAAGCCAACAGAAACATGAACCAATAATATACATGGGCAATTCACAACAAAAAAGACAATACATATGTGAAATTATTTTTCAAATTTGGCAGGAAAATGAAAATTGTAAATGGCAGTGAGATGTACCATGTCATACCCAAGAGACTGCAAACATTTTGAAAGCATGCTAATACCAAATGTGGGCAGGGCAGCTGGTCAAATAATACTTTCCATAAATCACCGGGAGGGGTGAGTACTGATAAAAATCACCACAGGGGCCAAACTGACAGCATCCAGTACCATTTAAAATGTGCAAACCCTATGATTAAGCAATTCCATCTCTTAGAACATACTCAAGAGAAACACCTGTACATATGCACAAAAGGCCCATAATAAGGCCATTCATTACTTATGTGACACCAAAAATGACCAACACCCAAAATGCCCATTAGAAAGCTAAGGATCAAATAAACTTTGGCATAGCCACACTATGGAATATTGCACACAAGTCAAAAAGTGCAAGTATATTTACATGTATTGACATGAAAAGATAGCTAAGACATACCTTTGGGTGTAAACAGCAAGCTGCTGAATGTATACAGCACTATACTTTCTTTAGCATGCATAAATAAACGTGCCTGTGGCAGAGAGGGATATAAATTCACAGAAGAAGCAGAAGTCAATGTAGCAAATTCCTAATGTGGTTATCTCTTCTGGGGAAGAGATTAGGGGTAGAGGAGCAGCCAAAAAGAACTGAGCCTCAGCAGTTAGTATGGAGAATACCTGTGTAGTTAAAATTTAATTTTCAATGCATAAAAAGACATGGCAGGGCAACCTTCCCTTCAAGCATTCTCCAATTAAGAGTTCATAGTATTTTCAGAAATTTATAGAACAAACAACAAGCAAACCAGATGAATGGAAAGGTAGCCATTAGAAAGGAGGGGGATGGGAAGTAAAAACAATGTAGAGCAAGGACTGTGGCATCAGCTGGCTAAGCTCTAATCCCAGCCTCTCCCACTCTCAATGGCATGTGACTTGGTCAAGGGAATGCTGCTGTTACTCAGCACACATTAAGTGCTATGTGAAGTATTAGCTAAATAAATGCAGCACAGAGTCCCACCTAGTTTGGGTGGAGAGCCTTATGCATTGTTAGGCTGTACTGTGATAATTAGTGGAGAGGGGGAAGAAGAGAAGATGGGGAAGGGAAGGGTGCGACAGGTACCAGAAGGAGCAGACATGAGCACATATGGATATATTTTAGCTTGTCCTTCCAAGGGCTCCTGCAAGCTATCAGCATCTTTTCACCGGGCCTAGCATGAGCTGCATACTGCCACTTACTGCGGTGATACAGGGTCCCCATGTGGTACCTGCTTCTACTGAGTAGACAGAGGGGCCAGGGCACTGCTGGTGGGCTGGTACGGGGGGGCCTCAGAATCTGTGCCCCACCTAGGCAGCCAGAAAGGTCACATAAAGCCAGCATCACAGCAGACAACCAGGCCTGGCCACCTGCACTCGGGACCCTTCTTCCATAGACTTTGAGCCATCTGGGCTGGAAGCCCTGAGAAAAATAAATCCTTTTTCTCTTTCTAATTAAAAATGTGAACAGGAATAGTAATCTCCATGAAACTACACAACTTGCTTAAAATCAGCAATCCCTGTAGGGCCAGTAAAACAGAACTGTGTGTGCCCTCCTGCAGCATTAGCGAAAGACAGCAAGCGTATGAATGAAGATCGTCTGAAAGACCTGTGCATCTTATGTGTATTGCTTCATGCGGTCATTTTACCCCAGGATAGTGTTCAGCTCATTTGGTGCTTTACTTCTGTATAAACAAGAAAAACATGATTTGCCCTGCATCTACAGTTTGCAACACTGCTTTATCTTTATGGCCTCCTTTAATTCTATGATCTCTATCCCCATTTCGCAGATGAAGAGATAGAGGCTCCCAAACCAATAGATTACTTTCACCATTATATTACATGTGAAAGGCAAAGTTATTTATTGGCCCTCTGGCAAGCCTCCTGCTCCTTTTGCTAGAAATGCTGAATCAATCCTTTGTTTGAGCAAACAGCAAATTCAGCTTCTCACTCTTCTGGGGATATCTTTTTGCATCTCTTTACATGGGGCATTCCAAGAGCCTTAGGGGGAGAGGTTTTCCCTCAAAGAGGACCTTCTCTCACCCACACCAGGTGGTGAGAGGATGATTTTTCTCTCTCTTTTTGTGACACCTGATGCTGACTGAACTGCCTGCATCAACTGGAAAGGAGGTTCGGAAACATGCCAAAGCCTCTGGCCCCCAACCCGCCAAGTTTCTTGGCATATTCTGAGGAAAAGAACAAATGTTTATCCTCTACCTACCTATGTGCCCAACAATCTGCTGGGACTTTTCCCTGTTATTTAATCCTCAGCACAAATCTGTGAGGGATGTGCAATGATCGATCCCCATTTATTGGATAAAGAAACAGAGGCTCAGAGAAGCTAACTTGCCAGAGGTCACATGCCAGGGAGTAAGTTTAAATCGCTCATTTTTGTCTGTTATTGGTGTATAAGAATGCTTGTGATTTTTGCACATTGATTTTGTATCCTGAGACTTTGCTGAAGTTGCCTATCAGCTTAAGGAGATTTTGGGCTGAGACAATGGGGTTTTCTAAATATACAATCATGTCATCTGCAAACAGGGACAATTTGACTTCCTCTTTTCCTAATTGAATACCCTTTATTTCCTTCTCCTGCCTGATTGCCCTGGCCAGAACTTCCAACACTATGTTGAATAGGAGTAGTGAGAGAGGGCATCCCTGTCTTGTGCCAGTTTTCAAGGGGAATGCTTCCAGTTTTTGCCCATTCAGTATGATATTGGCTGTGGGTTTGTCATAGACACCTCTAATTATTTTGAGATATGTCCCATCAATACCTAATTTATTGAGAGTTTTTAGCATGAAGCATTGTTGAATTTTGTCAAAGGCCTTTTCTGCATCTATTGGATAATCATATGGTGTTTGTCATTGCTTCTGTTTATATGCTGGATTCTGTTTATTGATTTGCATATGTTGAACCAGCCTTGCATCCCAGGGATGAAGCCCACTTGATCATGGTGGACAAACTTTTTGATGTGCTGCTGGATTCAGTTTGCCAGTATTTTATTGAGGATTTTTGCATCAATGTTCATCAGGGATATTGGTCTAAAATTCTCTTTTTTTGTTGTGTCTCTGCCAGAGAACCAAATCATGAGTGAACTCCCATTCACAATTGCTTCAAAGAAAATAAAATACCTAGGAATCCAACTTACAACGGACATGAAGGACCTCTTCAAGGAGAACTACAAACCACTGCTCAATGAAATAAAAGAGGATACAAACAAATGGAAGAACATTCCATGCTCATGGGTAGGAAGAATCAATATCATGAAAATGGCCATACTGCCCAAGGTAATTTATAGATTCAATGCCATCCCCATCAAGCTACCAATGACTTGCTTCACAGAATTGGAAAAAACTCCTTAAAAGTTCATATGGAACCAAAAAAGAGCCTGCATTGCCAAGTCAATCCTAAGCCAAAAGAACAAAGCTGGAGGCATCACACTACCTGACTTCAAACTATACTACAAGGCTACAGTAACCAAAACAGCATGGTACTGGCACCAAAACAGAGATATAGGCCAATGGAACAGAACAGAGCCCTCAGAAATAATGCCGCATATCTACAACCATCTGATCTTTGACAAGCCTGACAAAAACAAGGAATGGGGAAACGATTCCATATTTAATAAATGGTGCTGGGAAAACTGGCTAGCCATATGTAGAAAGCTGAAACTAGATCCCTTCCTTACACCTTATACAAAAATTAATTCAAGATGGATTAAAGACTTAAATGTTAGACTTAAAACCATAAAAACCCTAGAAGAAAACCTAGGCAATACCATTCAGGACAGAGGCATGGCCAAGGACTTCATGTCTAAAACACCAAAAGCAATGGAAACAAAAGCCAAAATTGACAGATGGGATCTAATTAAACTCAAGAGCTTCTGCGCAGCAAAAGGAACTACCATCAGAGTGAACAGGCAGCCTACAGAATGGGAGAAAATTTCTGCAATCTACTCATCTGACAAAGGGCTAATACCCAGGATCTACAATGAACTCCAACAAATTTACAAGAAAAAAACAACCCCATCAAAAAGTGGGCGAAGGATATGAACAGACACTTCTCAAAAGAAGACATTTATGCAGCCAACAGACACATGAAAAAATGCTCATCATCACTGGCCATCAGAGAAATGCAAATCAAAACCACAATGAGATACCATCTCACACCAGTTCGAATGTCGATCATTAAAAAGTCAGGAAACAACAGGTGCTGGAGAGGATGTGGAGAAATAGGAACACTTTTACACTGTTGGTGGGACTGTAAACTAGTCCAACCCTTGTGGAAGTCAGTCTGGCGATTCCTCAGGGATCTAGAACTAGAAATACCATTTGACCCAGCCATCCCATTACTGGGTATATACCCAAAGGATTAGAAATCATGCTGCTATAAAGACACATGCACACGTATGTTTATTGCAGCACTATTCACAATAGCAAAGACTTGGAAGCAACCCAAATGTCCAACAATGATAGACTGGATTAAGAAAATGTGGCACATATACTCCATGGAATACTATGCAGCCATAAAAAATGATGAGTTCATGTCCTTTTTAGGGACATGGATGAAGCTGGAAACCATCATTCTCAGCAAACTATCACAAGAACGAAAAATCAAACACTGCATGTTCTCGCTCATAGGTGGGAATTGAACAATGAGAACACAGGACACAGGAAAGGGAACATCACACACTGGGGCCTGTTGTGGGGTGGGGGGAGTGGGGAGGGATAGCATTAGGAGATATACTTAATGTTAAGTGACGAGTTAATGGGTGCAGCACACCAACATGGCACATGTATACATATGTAACTAACCTGCACATTGTGCACGTGTACCCTAAAACTTAAAGTATAATTAAAACATAAATAAATAAATAAATAAATAAATTGGTCATTTTTCCAAAGCCTTGATTATTTCAATATGCCACTGTTTCTATGGTACTAGGACAACAAATATAAACATTCCTTTTCAGTATTATATAGAAAGTGGCCATCCAAATCTGGATATTTTGAGAGTAAAAGGCATGGGGGGTGGCCAATATTAATAATCATACTAGAAAAATAGGCATAAATTGAGACTATCCCAGGGAAACCAGGACATATGGTTACTTGATTATATACCACACAGGGGAATATCACCCAAGCAAAGAAGGATGTTCTAAAATCCAGAAACCTTGAGCAATAAATGACACATGCCAGGAGGACAGTCTTATAGATGGTCGAGACTTTGCCTATCCTGTACAAACCTCAGAAACAAATCCAAAAATACTAGAGCCACTCATTCGCATGAGCTCCTCCTGCACTCCCACAGCATGTCCAACAATCAACAAATCTTTATTACACGCCCCCATTACATAACCACAACTCTAAAACGCAAGCTAGATGAATGAGGACCAACAGAGACACACAATATCAGCTGCCAGGCAAGGAATGCCCACAGATGCCTCACTCTGTCCTGCAGCACAGACCACTGGCAGGGCCCTCCTGGACTTCCAGAAGCAAGGCAGAAAGACCATTAGCTGCATTTTCTTCCACCAACCTTCTCCAACAACAAGCAGAATTCTACTACTATGGGTAGGAATCTAATAAGAGTTGGGGAGGCCCAGTAGCTGGGATAGGCAGTTCTGGGGATGTCCAGAGGATTAAGATGTCCTCTCATCCTGAAGGTGTAGAATGCCTCATGGAATCACTGTGAAATCACAGAGTCGGCTGGTTTCAAGGACACAGCCCAGAACATCTTTGCATTTGGTATTCAATATCTCAGGGAACAATTGCTCCTTTCTACTTCATGACATAATGCTCAATTATACATCATTAAGTTTAGTTTTGAGAATGGGTTATTCAGATGCACAAATGATTTAGCAGCAACTAACCCCAACACCAGAACACACTCACACATGAGAATTTGCACCACTCACTTGAAAGCAGATTGTTCTTTCAGCTGTGCAGATGACTGTGTGTGCATGTGACCACACACACACACACACACACACACACACACACCCCTCTTCTTTAGGTGGATGCTTTAGAACATGCCAGGACACTCTGATTATCACAACACAAAGAAGTAAGAGAATGTGCTTCTTACAATCCAGGAGATCATTTTCATTTTCCAAGGCCAGGATGTACATTTACTGTACTGGCCACTAGGGGAATTGGGCAGGCCTGCAGCAGATGATAGGAAGTTTAGAAAATGAGAAAAGTAAGAATGAGTTTTCCTTAAAAACCCTATCTTCATTCCACTTCTGATATGGTTTGGCTGTGTCCCCATCCAAATCTCAGCTTGTACTGTAGTTCCCATAATCCCCATGTGTCGTGGGAGGGACCCAGTAGGAGGTAATCGAATCATGAGGGCAGTTTCCCTCATGCTATTTTCATGACAGTGACTAAGTTCTCATGAGATCTGATGGTTTTATAAGGGGCTTTTCCCCCTTTGCTCAGCATTTCTCTCTCTTGATGCCACGTAAAGAAGAATGTGTTTGGTTCCCCTTTTGACATGATTGTAAGTTTCCTGAGGTCTCTCCAGCTATGTAGAACTGTGAATTAATCCTCTTTCCTTTATAAATTACTTAGCATGAGCAGCATGAGAACGGACTAATACAACCCCCATCTATGGAGCCTATACTAAAGCTAGTTTTGAACACTCATCATATACTTAACTAGCAGCTGGAAGTCTCAGGAGCTACCGCCTACTGATGTCTGTCTTCACCTCCACAAGCCTGCCCATCCATCTCTCTACAGAGGCCAGCAAAAGTCACCCACACTCAATAGGCAACAGAGAATTTCCTTGTCAGCTCTGAATAGATTTGCTAACAATCCAGGATCACATCTCAAAGCTGGACCAAATTTTTGAGACCACACCCAAGAGATTACTATTTTTTTGTTGTTTTTTTTGTTGTTGTTGTTGTTGTTTTGCTTTTTTTTAATCAGCAGTCTCAAATTCAGAACTTTAAATGACAGGTAATGGTCCTAAATGAAACTAATTTACAACATTTCCTACCATCCAATTAACCTCTTTTCCAAAAAGTGTTGTTTTTTAAAATATCTGTTGCAAAATAGGCTCCTAAATGAATATAATTTCCCACCCACCTTTTACCAAAAATTATGTGTCACTTCATACCTAATATATGCAGATTACAACAACTCTTTACAATGAACCTCAGAAGTCAGAGTTTTCAATCTCTATTTTTTCTCAACTTTTAAAATCTTGGTTTTCACTGAATTCTAGTGAAGCTTGGCTTCTTAGGCCTGGCTGGAAGTTAAGTTGAGACAAGATGATGAAATGGCTCAGGGCCTACTGCCAGCCTTTTTTTGGATCCTGCCATAGCAAACCACTCCAAAAATGCCAGCCCACCTGATGGGGTCTGAGTTGTAAGACAAAGAACATGAGGATATCTGTTCTAGAGAAGGGGGTGGGGAATTGCCCACTCCAATTTGGACCTTCCAGAGAGCCTTCTCAAGGCCATTCCTAAGGCTACAAGTCATGGATCTCAACCGAAGGGACCTTCTTCGTTTCCTGAAGCAATGCTACAAAGGTGAATTACTTAAGAAACAATTAGGTGCGTACACAAAGCAATTTGCAGGCAGCCGTACTCCTTCAGCTTTCTAAGTGAAGGGCCTTTCAAGGCTGATTTATAACACTGTCGTCTTCAGAAGGCAAAATAATTAATAGGAGCATGGACTTCTAATTTCAGTGACTTCCAGAGAAAGTGGATTTCATTTGATTTATGATGGCCAGTGACTTTGCATTTTATCAGTTCATTCACTCATTATTTATGCTGATGGCCAATTTCAATGGGTCACTATCATCTAACTTGCTACTAATCAAAGAGAATTAGGGTTCACTGCATTATTTAGAAGTCGCTAATTTATCTTCAGAACAAGTAGTGAGAAGAGTTTGGGGCCTTCCACAATAAAAAAAACTGAACAGCTGGCTGAAGCCAGAAAATTTGGTAAGCAGTATAAATGAGTTTTATCAGGGGTATTGCAAGTTGATGAGTTTTGAGTTGGAAGGAAAGAAGAGGAAAAAAAGAAAAAGAGAGAAGCCAGGAGGCAAGACACAACAGGATAAGAATAGAAAAACATAACAGTAAACACTGAGTTACCTTTATGGTCTGAGTAGCCCAGCATCACAGAGGACTAATCTAGTTCTTTAACCCTGAGATTTAAGCATCTATATTATCGTAATATTAAAATATCCCAGCACCCTTCATGTCAGCTCAATAAACAAGGATGTTTGTGCTGAAGTAACCAAGGTTCCCTTGTTTCTCATTTTGAAGTCATTTTAATATGTTCTAGACACAAGATAATGGATCACATTTAAACAAGAGAAAATTAAGTCCCATCAGCAAGTAATAATACCCAATCATATTCAATCATGTTGAACAACAACAACCACCAAAATGATCCTCTTCCAGGCGGGGTTAAAAAAACAATTTTTTTTAAAGCTGTTATTTTACTTTTAGAAAGACCCAACTTTAAAATATTTCTGTGTCATTTCTCATGAGACAATATGTTCTCTCATTGTTCATGCCTTCAAACCTCTGCATACTCTGGTAGCCTCTGCCCAGAACACTACTGTTTCAACTCCTGTCAAATGAATTCCTCTTGTCTTTCAAGTTTCAGCTTCCAGATCTGTCCAGACAACCTTTCCTCTGCTCCCAAGGCCCCGAAACTTCACAGTTACCATCCTGATTGTCTGCATTTTCCAGTAGATTATAAACTCCAAGATGGCAGGAACCGAACCGAGTGATCTTAGCTTCTAACCCCCAAACCCTGTGTATTAGATGAACCAATATTTTTTAATATGTTACTGTTTTGACTTTGATGTTTTCTATACCACTCAACAGCCATTCTCTCAGGCCAAAGTGTACCTCTTGGAAACCCAGATGGTGTTATATGAGCAACAGAAAAACACTAGATTCTTACCCACCCAGTAATTCTTGGGAGCTTAAAAACTGAGAAGAAAGAAAATAATGTTTTTAACACTAAGTTTGAGTGGGAATGCCCAACTCTTGAAGCTAATAGTGGATTTGACAGCTTGTTGGGGCACCTCCAGCATACACCAAAAAGGAATGAAAGACTCCTAAAATAAAAGACTCCATCATTTACAATTTTCACAATAGCCCTACTATACTTTTTAAAAATCTCAAATAAAATGAAAAAATGGTTACAGACTAAATGTAATCTGCAGTTTTTAATCTTTTTATTCCCAATTGAGAGACCGCTTTTCAGCTTATACTGGGCTCTCTTTCTAGTTTATGTCTGGCCTGATGCCAGACCATCAAGGTGCTCATATAATAAATACAGTCTTATTAAACTGGATAGACTATCCATGCTGAGTTATGATGATAGAAGTTTCTATAATATGAAAACACCATGTTTATCATCATAATGATCTAAAATAAAGTCTAAGATACCAGCATTTATTTCCATCCCATTTCACAATTTATATGCTACCACAAGTAAAAAAACACTCAGCAAACATGAACCAGTTTACCTTCACATTGTCATCAATTGCTTTCAGCTTTGGCTACAGACCCAGCAGACAACTAACTAATACTATAACTAATACTGAACCATGTGTAAAAATTTGACACTGTTGGTTTCCAATCTTGCTTTCCTTCAGTAAATGGTTTTTTCAACAGAACTACTTAGGGCTTTTTTAAATTTTTATTTTAAATTTTGGGGTACATGTACAGGATGTGCAAGTTTGTTACATAGGTAAACGTGTACCATGGTGGTTTGCTGCACCTATCAACCCATCACCTAGTTATTAAGCCCAGAATGCTTTAGCTATTTTTCCTAATGCTCTCCCTCCCGCAACCTCACCCCCGAAAGGTACCAGTGTATGTTGTTTCCCTCCCTGTATCTATGTGATCTCATTGTTCGGCTCCCACTTAGAAGTGAGAACATGCGGTGTTTGGCTTTCTGTTCCTGTGTTAGTTTGCTGAAGATAATGGCTTCCAGCTCCATCCATGTCCCCTCAAAGGACATGATCTCATTCCTTTTTATGGCTTTATAGTATTTCATGGTATATATGTACAATTTTTTTTTATCCAGTCTATCATTGATGGACACTTGGGTGGATTCCATAGAACTACTTAGGGCTTTCTAAAGGCCTACAGAACTGCATCAGTTAGGGTCAAACCGAGAAAATAGGAACTGCTTCAAGTATCTACATAAGAAGAAATGCAATGCTGGGAATTGAATTTACAGCAAGGATATACAGCACAGGAGAAGCAAGAATAAGAAGGCATTACCACTCTCAGACTGAAAGACAATGGGGACACTGGGACGAGGGTCACCAACTAAAACTAAGCCCTGGTAGGCCATGTCCTATAGGAGGAGTTGGAGCCACAGCAGAGATCAGCCCATGCCAGAGAAGCTACCAGAGGCAGAGAAGACAGGGACAGATACCCTGGCTTACCACTTGCTCCACCTTCCAGTCTCCTGACAGGGCCTCCCATTGGTCAAACCCAATAGGAAGCTGGCTGGTCAAGGAGCTTGGGAACTGCCCCCACAGATGACAGCCCCTGTGATAGACAGCAAAGCAGAGTATGGGCAAGAATGGGTCTAAGGGCAAAACGAGCCACTTTTCCCTCCCAAAGAGAAAAGAGGATGTGCCAGATGGAACTTACACAGAAGAGTGATGCAGGTGTGGCTGTCCTCTTCTGCTCTTGCTCTTCCTCCCTAAGAAGTGTCTATGGTCTGGGCACACAAGATAATTAGAGAGGCATTAAGGTAACAATGCCAGTGAGTAACACTGTAATGCATCTGGGGTATTGTGAAGATTTATGAGCCCAATTCTCCCTTGGAATTTGGAAGTAAATAGGCAGATGCCTATGAATACCCAGGAAGAAGGAGGCAGGAAAAGAAGAGACTAGTCCCGGGTGCCCAATGCTGGATCACAGTACCAGGACTCAGCATAGCACAGAGGTATGTTTACAGGCCTGTTGAACAAACAGCAGGCTCTGGTAGAAAAGCTGCTCATTCACCCAGTGAAGCAATGGGCCTCCACTCCACAACCCAAAAGAAAACCCATACTCTACATCATCACCAACTTTTACTTTGTTTCTATGATTTTGACTACTTTAGTTACTTCCTACAAGTGGAATCATACAGTATTTGTCCTTTTGTGACTGGCTAATTTCATTTAATTAAGCCTAGAGGTTCATTCATGCTGTAGCATGTGACAGGGATTTCCTTCTTTTTTAAGGCTGCATAACATTTCATACCACATTTTCTTTATCCATTCATCCATTGATGGACATTTGGGCTGCTTCTACCTACTGACTATTGTTAATAATGCTGCAATGAACATAAGTGAGAAATTGTCCCTTCCAGATCTTGCTTTGAATTCTTTCAGATATATATACAGAAGTGAGAGTGCTAGATCATAAGGTAATTCTACTTTTAATTTTCTGAGGAACCTCTATACTGTTTTTCATAGCAGTTGCATCATTTTACATTCCTTCCAACAGTACACAAGGGTTCCAATTTCTCCATATCCTTAGCAGTACAGGTTACTTTCTATTCCTTTGATACTGGCCATCCAAATGGGTATAAGGTGATAGCTCATGTTTTTTATTTTCTTTCTCTTATGATTAGTGATGAATCTTTTAGAGGATGTCTTTCCATTTATTGGTACCTTCTTTGATTTTCCCCTTATGATTAGTGATGTTGAATCATGTGATATTTTCATGTGCTTGTTAGCCATTTGTATATCTTCTTTGGAGAACTTCTATTCATGTCCTTCACCCATTTTTTAATGAGGTCATCTTTTTGTTATAGAATTGTAGAAGTTCTTTATATATTCTGGATTTAACTACATATATATGATTTGCAAATATTTCCTCCCATCACATAGGCTGCCATTTTGTTCTGTTAATTGTTCCTTTGATGTGAAGTTTTTAAGTTGGATGTAGTTCCATTTGTCTATTTTTGTTTTTGTTGCCTGTGCATTTGGTGTCATATCCAATATCATTGCTTAATCCACTGCATTGAAGCTTTCCTATGTTTCCTTCTAAGAGTTTTATAGTTTTAGACCCTAAGAGTAATAACTAAAACTATAAAATGTTGAATTGATTTTTGTATATAATATGAAGTTAGGACCCAACTGTATTCTTTTGCATATGGTTATCCACTTTTGCCAACATCATTTGTTGAAGAGACTGTCCTTTACCCATGGTGAAGTCTTGGCACTCTTTTTGAAAATCATTTGACCATACACACAATGGTCAATTTCTGAACTCTGTATTTGGTTCCAATTGTCTATGTGTCTGTCTTTATGTCAATAGCACACCATCTTGATTACTGTTGTTTTGTAATACATTTCGAAACTAGGAAGTATGAGGCCTCCAACTTTATTCTTCTTTTTCAAGATTGTTTGGACTATTCAGGGTTCCTTGAGATTCCACATGAACTTTAGAATAGCTTTTTCTATTTCTGCAAAATTGCCACTGAGATTTTGATCAAGATTACATAGATTTATAGATTGTTTTGGGTAGTATTGACATTTTAACAGTATTAAATTTTCCAATCTATGTACATAGGGTATCTTTCCATTTATTGGTACCTTTGATTTCTTTTAGCAATGTTTTATACTTTTTGTACAAGTTTTCCACCTCCTTGGTTAAGTTTATTCCTAAGTATTCTTTTTGATGCTATTATAAATGGGTTTGTTCTGCTTTGGTTTTTGTTGGTGGTGGGGGGTTTGTTTTTGGTATCATTTCGGTATTATTTATTTATTTACTTTGCCTACACTCCACACTTAATATGGTGCTTTGCACATAACATTTGAAGCTCATGAAATATTTGTGGAATGAATAAAAGACTTAATGAAAAATGAATTTGTCTCCAACTAATCTAAACGGCAATGTTAGGAGAATTAAGGCTGCTTCTTTCTTTCCAGTGCTATGACCACCTTGAGCAGTTCCTTTCAGTGACATTAGTTAGATAATAAATCCCTTTTCTGCCTCAAGCCTCAATTTCTGATTGTTTATATTGATAAAAACAATTTTACCAAATGCAGTGAAAATGAGGTTAAGCCTATGACTTTTCTCATTATTTGGCTTTTGCCTTTTGAGACTTGTTCATTATTTGCTTTACTTAACAAGTCCTTCTTTCCCTTTAATTATTTTGAATGGTTGGTATGAATTTACTCACTAAGCTGGGTGGGGTCTGCTTATATCCTGCTTAGTTTAAAGAGAAAAGCTCATACACACACACACACACACACACACACACACACACACACAAACACACACACAAATAAGTAACAAAAGCAACAGCGTTTCTGCAAGAAGTAAATGCATTACTTCTTATTTAGGAGGTACCTAGCATTTTCATACCAGTTTCCCCATGGAGATTCTTCATAAGCCTGGCTTCAACATCCTAAGGAGTGAATTCCTTAGGCAGAGCAACAAAGTAAAACAATAGCAGCAATGATATACAACTTTGGTGCTAGGCTGCCAAGTTGTGACTATATACTCCAAATTGCTAAAGGAAAATCTTAGGTAGACTGAGAAAAACTAAGTGTTAAAATTCTGCTATTACCATTTCCTCTTACTTCCAGCTTCTTCTCTCTCTGCCCCCATGTGGTTCTTTTATTAAAGGATGCAACGCAGAGGGCCCTTTCCTGTTTTTTCTCCTCTCTATCCAAGTTACAGGAAATTCAACAAAGCCGATCTCCCTGTGTGACATAGTTACAAAACATGTAGATGTGCCAGGGGGGAGCCATAATCAAACACTCAAAATAAGAGAAGAGCTGATGGTGCAATTGATGGCCTGAGTCCTGGCTAAAATGGTCACAGAGCTCCTTCCCTCTGCAGCTACCTGGCATCCTGGACTTCTCCAAAAAGAGACGCAAGAATATGGCCTCATCGTCGTGATGACTAAGTGTCCACCTGAAGGTGGGAAGGGAGCATGAGACTGCCAAATGCCAATGAGGGACACAGAAGCCAGGGAAACACAGGATGTGTTGCCGGCATATCATGACAGCCAGGCAAAAGCTGGAGTGGGAGTTTTTGAAACAAATGCCAGTTAAATGATCCATTCAGTTATACTTGATATGTCTGGTATAATATAGCTTGTTCCAGATGTCAAATAATATTGCCAAACCATGCTCACTAATGTGAAAACCATTGTTGCTGATAAGCCTAAGTGTTGTTGAATTTGTGCAACAGCCACCCGTCTGCAAACAAAATATTGCATTTAAAAAAAAAACCTGTGGCTCATAATTTAAGCCGACAAAGGAATTGACTGAAAAATGTAATGTATAAAAAGCAGCTTTCCCCCAAGAAACTTTTGTAAAAAAAAACAAAAAAAAATCATATTTACACATTTAAGTTATATTCAATTTTATACAAAAATTATAGTAATTGTCCTTCACCTAACATGAATGATATAATTATACTTTCAGCGTTGCCACACTTCAACATCCAGCCATAAGAAAACTATGGTATGTTCACAACCAATGCTGGAAGGAACAAATAAATTTGCAGCAACTGACGTGACCCCTTTAAACATACAGCTCTAAAATATCCATTGTTCATAAAATTCATAAAGGGCTTCATATGTACATCCCAGCTCACTTTTCTATTCGATATATATGAAAATGCAATTTACTGTATGTCAAATGAAAAATGCCGTTTTCAAATGCATTGACAACAGGTGCTAGTTAAATGATCAGACGCTATTTGTTACCTAGTCCCTTACTCTCATTTGCAGCAAGATAAATTGCATTTTAGGAGAGTAGTGCGACCTAAGGGGTCTTGACATGTTTTTATTGATTTGCATAGGTTATATGCATGTATTCCTGTTTGTAGGCAAAAAGTGCCACAAGTAAATTCAAGGCACTGTGCCTGTGTTTCGAGAAAATTGGAGTCATCACGGGGGAGCCAAGATGGAGTGAGCCCGGGTAAAAGAGACACATCCAGCCTGCTGGAATCTCAGAACCTCTATTAAGATTTATAGGCTGTAGGATTCTTTTGGGCTTCAACATTATTCTTAGTAAACCCTTTCTGTCTTCTGTTGTTTATAAAAACTGGCAGCTTTAGCAAAGACAGAAGCTTAAGTTGTAGGTAGCACAATTTAACATAATAGTTCTCGCCTGTCCTCCAAATAGCCTAATGCTGATTTTGCAAAAGGAAAAGAGAAAGGGGGAAGAAAAGCCACACGAAACCACATACCATAGGCCATTGCTCTGACATGGATGGATTTGGCTGTCACTACAGAAAAGCACTGGTGAAATTTGATTATATTTCTAATGTCAAAATTTACTAACTTTTTAGACTCCTGGGTTCCATTTCTCATTTGATTTTTCATTTTGTTATCTCAGCACCATCAGGCCCATCAAAGAGAGTAATGCAGCAATTAGCCCAGGGAGTCACTCACTGAGAGGGGACTTTTTCATCTACAGGGGCTTCTCCTTTCTGCTGCCACTACCACAGCCCAGCGAGAAGGGCCTTCCTTTCTATTCAAGACTCTCTATCTCATACCTCTGGCACCACCTCCCCTTCTCACCTTTCCCCAGAGCTTTTGCCTCAGCCTGGGGAGTCTGAACATTTGCAAGGGCATGGATGACCTTACAACATCTCCTCTTCTATTGGCTTATTTTAAATTTTGTGTTGCTATTTACCTTTTCACCAGTATAACAACCTTAAAGATTCATTAGTTTAACCACGAGGACCTTAAGGGGTCTGAGTTTCTAGTTCCCACTGTGCCAAGCACATGTCTTGCCCACAGAAAGGGTCTGATACAAACGTTTTAACATGACATAATAATGAGCACTGCCTTTGCACACGGATTTATACTTTTCAAAGTGCTCTCCACCTCATCCTCTCCTCTGATCTTCACAGCTGAGTGTCTGATAATCATTATTATCATTCTCACTTTGCCTGGGCTGAAGGAATTTGGCAAGAAAGACACAGGAAACTCATCTAAGTTCCCAGAAGTTCAGGGTAGAGCAAGCACTGGCACTCAGGACCCCTAAGCCAATGCTTGTCCCCCTTCTCTATACCACACTTAACACATGACCTGACTATCCTTCAGGATGGAACTCAAACCCAGCTTCCTAGGTGCCATCTTCCAATACAGAAAATAAATTATTTGTTCACTCTCTGAAATGCATTTCCTCATTTCAGGAAACCGTATGCATTGAGCTAAACACATTAAGACATGTTCAGAGATTATTTAGTAGCTGTGTCCATAATGTTCAATAGTCATGCCTTATTTCTTCCCTGAACTCATTAATTCATCTCTTCAAACATTCTTAAAAGCCTATTTTTTTCCCAGGCATTGTGCCAGGCCCAAGGAAACAAAAATGAATGAGACAGGCTTTCTGCCCTCAAAGAGCTTGTGCTCTAGTGCTGTGGCTTTCCACCTCTTCATTTACTTATTTACTTACGTATTTTAGAGATAAGGTCTTGCTCTGTTACCCAGGGTAGAGGGTAGTGGTGCCATCATGGCTCATTGCAGCCTTGACCTCCAGGGCTCAAGCAATCCTCCCTCTTCAGCCTTCCCAGTAGCTGGGACTACAAGCTCATGCTACCACCCCAGGTAATTTTTTTTTTTTTTAAGAAACAGGGGTCTCACTGTGTTACTGGACTCCAGCTCCTGGGCTCAAGCCATCCTCCCATCCTGGCCTCCCAAAGTGCTGGCATTATAGGTGTCAGACACCATGCCCCACCCTTTTCCACCTCTTTGGGCCATGACCCACGTTATATTTGACATGGTGACCCAGCATGTACACACATACAAACACGCTCCCATCTGAAAGAAAAACTTCATAAAACAGCATTCGCCATACCACATGCAATGCACTTTGATATGTCCTGTCTTTTAAAATTCTCTTTTATTTCATTTATTTATAAGATGCTGTTTGTAACCCTCTAAATTGATTTCACCAAAAACTAATGGATCATGACCCACAGTTTGCAAACCACTCATCTAGTGAGACTGTGAAATAACATAGACCAGAGGTCAGCAAACACTTTCTGTAAAGGACCAGAGAGTAAATATTTCAGGCTTTCTAGGCCAAGTGGTAAAATCAAGGGTACTATGGAGAAACTAACAAGAGAAAAAAATTCCTTTGCCAAATAAATTTTACTGACAAAATTAAAAATATAATAAATATTGAGCATAATTTCTTATAACACAGCTTACTAATGAGAAGCACAGAATTTATTTATGGACACTCATATTTGAACTTCATATCAGTTTCACTTGTCACAAAGTATTCTTCTGATTTTTCTCCATGATTTAAAATGTAAAAACCATTTTTGCCTTGCAGGCATATGAAAAGAGGCAGCAGACCATAGTTTGCCAACCCCGACTTAGAGTAAACCCAGTTTTCATTGATAATGTTAAAATTTCAATGGTTTTCATTTCAATGCCTGGCATGGAGAAAGACCCAGAAAAACGTGGATATCTAAATAACTGAGGAACTTTAAACAAGCGATGAGTTCAGCCCCATCATCTCCATCTACCAATGAAGAAACAGAGACAGAGGGGAAACGAGACTCCAAGCCTCCAAACCCAGGGCTAGTTGTACTACAGCCATCTAAGCTGTGACAATGTCCTAACTAGGATGATCACAGCATGGAGACCAAGATCAGTTCTGGAGCAAGCACTCACTCACTACTCCAGAGGCACCAGCAGAGATGACTATGCATTCCAATAAAGAAATTTTCTTTTAGAACGTGCAGGTTACCAAAAAGTGCCAAAGCCAACCCTCCTTTCCTCTTGGCATAACACTGATCACCTACAGGGTGCTTGGATCTCAAAGCAGCTGAACTGTCATCACCAGGCTTGAACATAAGTTACCACCAGACCTCATTCACAGGTAAGTCTTCACGGCATAACTAGTATCAAGTGGGAAGACAAACCACACCATTCAAAGTCTCCACATATATACTCCACTTTCCTGTGCATTTGGCCAAGTGCCCAAGCAACCAGAGGGAACAGCAGGGCTCTCAAGGTTTGGGTGGCAGCCACAAGGTAGGACTCAGGCTCCCAGGACTGGCTTGAGTCGACATGCATATGCTCTTCCTGAGGGCAATCATTCACACAGACAAAACATAGCATTCCTAACTGCAGGTATATTTAAGTTCGATAATAAACCATAGGAGATCCACAGCTACTCAAGGCCTTTAAGGACACATGTGCTGCACTTGAGAGTGAGAAGGCCCATGGAAGGAGATGATTAAAACACATCCAACATGTAAATATGTTATCTTGTCCTCTTGCTAAGGCTTCGGGAACCAAGCATGTTGCCTTTAGAATGTGGGCTCAATGTTAGCTAAAATAACACTTCTCTTTGCTTCAAAGTGAATGCCTGGCACTCTGGTCTATGAATTCTGCTGAAGATGAACCCCAGAGCTACAGCATGTATGAGCACTGTCACAAAGCCCTGGCAATGTTGGCAATTTTAACTCAGATGGGTCTCTATGACAGTAGAGATATTGGTCTTTAAACAAAAGCACACACAAACACACTTAAACTCAACATGCCAATTCAAAGCATAGGCAGACAGCTGCCATGGTCAAAAAGTACATGTAACAAGTTAAACAAATTTATGATTACCAGTAGATAGTTTGCATTTTGAAATGACTTATTACGGAGTTCCTCACTTCTGCCTTAGGGTATTCAGGATCCCAATAATGCTTATTTTGAATGAAGAAAGGCGCAACTGTAAAATTATAAGTTATTCTTCATAGTTCATTAATAGCAAGATAAAGCAATATCTTGTCTCAAGCTCTATATGAGAGTTTCACTGCCTTCTTGTAGGTTTTTTCCCCTCCAGTTTGGTCTGAAAATGAACAGATACATACAACACACGTGCGTGCTCACTCGTGTGCACACACACACAGACACACACAGTGAAAACAGATACAGCTTCACAGACCCAACATATCTGGCACTAAATGTGAAGCTCTAGGCAAACAGACCATGAGGATTTAAGCAGATGTTGACAACTCCCTAAGTGAAAACTCTACAAAAGAGAACTCATTGTTTAATAGATCACAATTCAACATTCATAATAATTGTAGGATGCTTTTCAGAGTTCACAAAATGCTTTTACTTAGACCAACCCTGGAAAGGAAGCATTACCATCTTCATTTCACAAACTGGGAAATGAGGTTAAAAAAGAGAGGGTTCTCAATCCTTTGGTGGTAGTCAAGGGTCCAAGGATCAAGATGAGAAGCCTGGACTGTGCTTCCAAGTGAAGGAAGGCCTGTAAGGGTATGTAGGCCAAGATCTATGCTAGCAAAGGGCCAAGAAGTAAAAACGAAGAGAAGGAAGGGAAAGAAGTAGAATTGGATGATACAGGGTAGGGTCAATGAAGTTCTGCCAATAGGGAAAAAAAGTGTCTACCCAGCTGATGTCAGCAAACAAGTTGTAGCATGTCATTATAAAAGTTGAATGCGGCCAGGCGTGGTGGCTTACGCCTGTAATCCCAGCACTTTGGGAGGCCAAGGCAGGTGGATCACGAGGTCAGGAGATCAAGATCATCCTGGATAATACGGTGAAACCCCGTCTCTACTAAAAATACAAAAACTTAGCCGGGCGCGGTGGCGGGCGCCTGTAGTCCCAGCTACTCGGGAGGCTGAGGCAGAAGAATGGCGCGAACCTGGGAGGAAGAGCTTGCAGTGAGCCCAGATCGTGCCACTGCACTCCAGCCTGGGCAACAGAGCAAGACTCTGTCTCAAAAAAAAAAAAAAAAAAAAAAAAAAGAAAGTCGGATGCATCCTAAGGAGTAGAATTGGAAGGTAGCAAGGTCAAAAGCCATAAAGCTTTTCATTCTCCTGCAGATCCAGATAATCTGCTAGGTAGCAAACAGAGTGATGAGGCAGTTAGAGCTACTGCAAGATGAGTGAAAAAAAAAAAAAAGGAAAAATAAAAGTGGTATTCTGCACTAGCTGTGCCCCAAGGCTGATATCATGTTATGGGAGCACAGGGAACTGATGTGTCTACATATCCTCCCCATTCTTGCACGCCCTTACTTCTTCAGAAAAAGAAGTGCATTCAGCAGAATCACAACACATGCACTTTGTTTGTGCTTATTAAATAAAAAGAAAGGATCACCTTCAACTATATTAATGATGGACTGGTGGATGAAGGATGCCTGTGAAAATTCACAACATCTGTTTGCTCCACTCTCTTCTCAGCATGCTGCACCTATTTCTCATGCTTAATGATGCTCAGCCACTCTGCAAGTTTTACGAACAAATGTGTGTTTAGCCACATTCATCATTCTGAATGAGCATTCTTGATGAAGCCTCCACTGGCCTGTTTCGCTCTTTCTGCTACACTTTAACAAATGACAACTGCTCTATGTATTTTTCATTTGTTAAAAATAAAAAGCTAAGTGAAGGATAGGCCTGGAGGATTTTTTCCCCTTCCCTTTGACTCCCCCAAATCCTTCAGAGCACCATCCATTGTATTTCTCCATCCACCAGCTTGCCCACAGTCTTTGGGGTTGGATTGCCACTGGCCATATCAAGTTGTGCTCTCCCACCTACTAGAATCCATGGATTGTCTCTCCTTTCCTGATCATCTACCACTCTTGGAATTTCTGTCACACAATGCAGTATTTAAATACACATCTTCACTCTTCACTGGGCAGGACTTTAAACCAATAAGTTGGCAAGAAACCAGGAAATACTCTTTGTGTTACCAAGAATGCTTAAAACATATGTGATCACAATGTAGGAAACAAATAAATGCTTGTTGAGTTAAGAAGTAGTAGCTCTTTCCAGGTCTCCTGAAGAAAGCCAAGATGCAGGCTTGGTTTTGACAAACAAGGCAATATTTACATTATCATAAACTCAGACACTTCAGCCAAAGCAAGAGGCTTGACTTTTTCATCCCTGAAAAAAACCTGAACTCACAGTCTGGATGACCCACACAAATCAGCTGGCATGCCAGCTAGAATCCAAGAGTTCGAAGCTGGCAAAAATATGAAAATATGTTAAGAAATAATCTTTCAGAATTTATTTTCAAGTGATTGTTTTATTCTGGTCATTTAATTAGAAGCATGAAAAGCAAGAAAAAAAATGTTCCCTATATAAACTATTCAGAATCACTGGAAATTATATTTCATAAGACGATACACAATACATTTTTCTCTGGATTTGCAATGCTGGATATTATATTAGTATTTGTATTGCATTTGACTCAGCATGCATTGCAAAGCACTTTACAAATGAAATAATCATATTATATATTCGATAAAGCCACGCTCATATATCACCAGTTTTAATCACAATGGTTTCTGGCTTTTCCCCTCCTGATAATGTTATGGACATTTGAAAAATAGAACATTTCAGTCATCAAATTTAGTTGATTTTCCTGCCCCTAACCTTCTTTAAAATGCCCCTTTAGTCATTGTGGTTTTTATATATACTTCATTTACTGAATTGAAAATACATTTCAATTCAGTTGAAAAACAAGCTTCTGAGATCGGGTACAAAAAGCCTTTAGGACATGTCTACCCAACAACAAAAAAAGCTAACTAAACCTTAGCGACATAGTTAAGAAATTGGTAAAAGAGTAAAAATCAAGAAATCTTAACCAGAAATCCATCACCATCACACAAGTATTTACTAAGGTCCTACTCCACAGATTCCGAGAACCATGGTCCACACCAAGGAGCCTTGGAATTTTTTTTTTTATTTTAATGTGTAAATAGTAGATAGTAAATATCTATGGGGTACACAAGATATTTTGATACAGACATACAATGCATAACAATCACATCAGGGTAGACGGGGTATCCATCACTTCAAGCATTTATCTTTTCTTTCTGTTATAAACAATACAATTATACTCTTTTGGTTACTTGGAATTCTTGAGCCTTCAAATCCACATGTGTCCTAAGCTTGGTTGAAGACAAAATTTAAAACATGCATTACAAATACATGTAAATTCATTTTGAACTGGCACCATTTTTTGTCCATTCTATTTTTTAACAACTAAAATGAAAGATATGACAATTGTCCTATAGACAAACATGAAAATGTTTGACATTTCTACGAAGACCTTAAAACCTGAAAAAGTGTTTGATCATTCAAGGGCTCACTCAAATTCTTTCTCCTCCTCAAAGATCTCCCCAACCACTCCAGCTTACAGAGAGCATCCTCTTCTCTGAAATACAGGAGTAGTGACTATCTGTATCACAAAATTTAACCCCACCTAATACTATCGCTCATGAATATTTTGCTATATTCTCTCCACAATTAGAATATGGTTTTACTAAGGCTTAGAGTTTCAAGCCTTATACATCTCTTACATCAACACTCAGCACTATCTTGAGTACTAAGTCATCTCTATCTATATCAATATCTATATCTATATCAATATCAGTATATCAATATAGATTTCTATGGACATTAATTTATATTTTATGTACCCAGTGAGTCTATGCTTACATGTACAGTTAGATATTTTTTCTATTCATTCTTTCTACACATATTAAGCCCTCCTCTCCAGTTTTATGTACTATGAGAGATGCAAAGATGAATAAATGTCTCAATGACATTATAATGCACCTGAGAGAAAGCATGCATTTAAATTCCTACTGTGGCCAATGCTGTTAAAAAATTAAAGACTGAAAATTCAACAGGAGTTTAAGAAAAAGAAAAGATCATTCGGAGAGAGAGGAAATAAGAGGTTTTGTTTGAAAGCATGGTATTTAAGCAGATCCTTGAAGGACAGAGAAGATTGTAAGCAGGTAAAGATGTGGACAAGAATTTCCAGACATAGGAAATAACATGAGTAAAATTACAAAGGCTCAAAGGTAGGGTGCTCATTTGTGTGCTGAATAGAAGATTCCTCTTTTAAAAAAACACAAGATTTAACCTAGCCTTGCAAAGCAGTTTAGAAAATCCTAAGGCCTACCAGAGGGACTGCTTTTCAAATTCTAATCATCATACTTACTGCCCTTTAGCAACAACAGAAATATTGTATATGAGTCCCCAGTGGTATAGAGTCCCAGAGGACAAGCTGAAAAACTAAATATCCTCTTCTGAATCCTCCTAGACTCAGTGCTTAAATTCCTTGACCTGATTTCTTTGAGGCCTCTTCTTCAGTTGATTTCCCTGGTTTGCTTGTGGAGGACTTAGCATCAGACATCACTTCCAACTCTCTTGAGCTCTATAACATGTGTTGGCTGCAGCAGCCTTCTGTGCAGCTGCAAGAATCTAGCAAAAGCCAATGCACATTTTCTCCAAAGGACCTGCTTTCTCCTACTGGAGACACGGACCTTCGGAAAACCTTCCCATCCTTCCTCAGCCATAACTTCCACCCTAGAGAACATAAGAAACCCTTTACTCAGACCTCAGATTTTACCATTTAAGTCGCCCTGAACCCCTACACTAAGAGAGTGAGGATTTTTTTTCTTATTCAGTGCAAGTGCCTTCTAAGAGAAACTGTGCTTGATAATGCTTTTCCATTGAGTTTGATGAGCATCTACTGTATGTAAAAGGCCCATAATCTGGCAAGAACAACAACAGTAAACTAAGTCACCTCAACTGACTTTAGCACTGAACTGCAGCACCATTTTGGCTAATTCACTCTAAACTGTTCAGCAACTAAAACTCACCATTTCTTATTTCTAAAGAAGCACCTCATTGCAATGAAAGCCCAGAACCAAAGAAGCATAACAGTAGAGAGTCCTGAAGGGCCTTAGCCATCACTCAGTTTAATCCCCTCACTTTACAACTGATGATATTGAGGTCCAAAAAAGCAAAATGGCTTGATCTAAGGCATAAAACCTTTTAGTAGCCCAAGTGGGACTGAAATCTAGGTTTCTGACTCCCAGATTAGTTCCTTCCACTACTACGTGCTGTCTATCAACCTTCTAAAAGTTGGGAGAACTGAAATAATAGCGATATGGTAGGCTACATAACACCACCCCAAATATGTCCATGAATTTTCAGAACCTGTGAATTCATATGGAAAAAGGGACTTTGCAAATGTGATTGAGTTAAAATTCTGGAGATGAAAGGATTACCCTAGATTATCTGGGTGGACCCAATGTCATCACAATAGTACTTATAAGAAGGATGCAGGAGGAGTCAGAGTCGGAGAAAACAGTGATATAGTAATGAAAACAGTAAACTGAGAGATGTGCTTTGAACAAGGAGGAAGGGGCCACAAGACAAGGAATACAGGTGGTTGCTAGACACTGGAATGCACAGGAAACAGATTTTTCTCTCAGAGGCTCCCAAAAGAAACAGCCTTCCCATCACCTTAATTTTAGCCCTGTATGCCTCATTTTGAACTTCTGACCTCTAGAACTATAAGAGAACAAATGTGTATTACTTGTAGGCTACTAAGTTTGTGGAAATTTGTTGCAATGACAATAGAAAACGAATACAGATTTTACACTTATAAATAGAGTGCTGCTGTAACAAATATCTAAAACAGTAGAAGTGGTTTCGGAATTTGATAATAAGTAGAAGTTGGAAGAATTTTGAGGAGCATGATAGAAGAAGCTTACATGGGCTTGAACAGGCTGTTAGTAGAAACATTGGCATGAATGACTCCGCTGGTGAAGACTCAGAAGGAAGCGAGGACTGTCGCAGAGAAACCAACACTGTCTTAGAGAATACCCAAATCATCATCAACAGACTATTAGTGGCAGTATGGATGTTAAAGCCACTGCTGCTGAGAGCTCGGAAGGAAATAAGGAACATATCACTGGACACTGGAAGAGGATCCTTAGTTTTTAATGGCAGCATTATTTGCTGAATTGTGTCCTACAGTTACATGGAAAGCACAACTTGAAAGCAATAAAGTTGGATATTTTTCTGAAATTTCCAAGCAAAGTGTTGAAGGTCCAATCTGGTTTCCTCTTGCTGCTTATAGTGAAAGGCAAGAAGGAAAAGATAAGTGGAGGGAAGGGATGTTAATTAAAAAGGAGCCAGGACTTGATGATTTGGGAAATGCTCAGCTATTCAGATTGCAAAGAAGGTTAAAATTAGGAGGTTCACTGCCATGAAGGGATACTCTAGAAAGAAAGCCAGGGTGTAAATGAACAACCTTTGGCAAATAACTCAGAAGGGTCAAAATATCAGAGTATTCTTTCACACAGAAAGCTCTTTGAAGAGATTAGGCATGTGACTCGTGAATCCCCTCAACCATCTCAACAGAAGCCAGAAATAGACATAGAATTATCCAGAAAAAGCTATGGAGGACCCTTTTGTCTCATGGAATGAATCCCCATGACATACATTGGATACCATAAGTTTTTTGAGAATGTTATACTAGCAGAAATACTGTCAGCTTAGAATAGAAGGGATAAAAAGGATAAAATGAAAGAAGGCTGTAAAGTAGGCAAGTTCTACAGACAAGAAACAGGCTGATAAAACTACTCAGCTGCAAACACATCCTACCTTCACGAAAAAGGAAGGATGACCCAGTGGGTGGAGCCTCAAGCCCAGAGTGTAGAAGCTCAAATCCAGAGCGCAGGTCCTCAAGCCACACAGAATTATTCCCGGGTCCTGAAACCTAAAGAAGTTTGCCCTGCCACGTATAAAATTGCTTGGGACTGGTGACTGACTCCTTTTCCCTTTCACTGTATCCCTTTTAAAATGGAATGTCTATAAACAGTCTCCTGTGCCTGTCCCATCACTGTATTTTGGGGGCAGACAACTTACTTCTGATTTTACAGGTCCACAGATGAAGAGTAATTTTCACCAAGAATGGATTATACTTAGCGGCTCACTCATACTTGATTTAAATTATTGAGATCATGAGATTTGTTATTTTTAGCTGATGAGATGTAGATGAGGTTTTAGACTTGAAGCTGTAATGGCTGAAACTTTTGGTGACCTTGGGATGGGGTGAATGTATACTTCACGTAGGATTGATGTGAATTTTGGAGGGACAGAAGGAGAATACAGCTGTGTTATTTTTGCCCACTAAGTTTGTTGCAAATTGTTACAGCAGCAATGGGAAACTAAGCAAAAAGAGAAGAGATCATCAAAGGAGGAAAAGGCTCCAATCACTGATAATCTTACTTATGGAGAGATCACAGCCCTTGAAAGTACCAATGAACAAGATACATCTTCTTGATACACCACCCTAATAGGCAGAGACATTAGAATATGAGATGCTCTTCAGAGTGTCTTTCAGGCTTTAATACGTGGTTGCAATATCCCTACAAAACCCTTCTTTCTCTTGTACCAGTCAGGTGATCCATGATATGCCAGAAATAGGATAACTGTTTTCTGATTAAAATTAGGATGCATTAAACAATGTCGTTTGTGCTATTTTCTGGTGCAAGGGGCTGGCTGGGAGATTCTAAAACTAGACATCAAGTTGTTGAGATTTTCTTGACATTTCAATAATTTAGAGGACAAAAGGACAACATACTTTAAAATGAGATAGCCACAGAAAACCTATGATATGTGATCACCTTATTTAGCCAGGAAACTAGGGAGAGTATATGAAATGGTTTGACTCTGTGTCCTACCCAAATCTCATGTAGCTCCCATACTTCCCAAGTGTTGTGGGAGGGGCCCAGTGGGAGACAACTGAATCATGGGGGCAGGTCTTTCTCGTGTTGTTCTCGTGATAGTGAATGGGTCTCACGAGATCTGATGGTTTTAAAAACAGAAGTTTCTCTGCACAAGCCTTCTCTTTGCCTGCTACCATCCACGTAAGATGTGACTTGCTCCTCCTTGCCTTCTGCCATGATTGTGAGGCTTCCCCAGCCACATGGAACTGTAAGTCTAATTAAACCTCTTTCTTTTGTACGTTGCCCAGTCTCAGGTATGTCTTTATCAGCAGTGTGAAGACAGATTAATACAGTAAATTGGTACCAAGAATGGGGTGCCACTGAAAAGATACCTGAAAATGTGGAAGCGACTTTGGAACTGGGTAACAGGCAGAGGTTGGAACAGTCTGGAGGGCTCAGAAGAAGACAGGAAAATATGGGAAAGTTTGGAAATCCCTAGAGACTTGTTGAATGACTTTGACCAAAATGCTGATAATGATATGGACAATGCAATCCAGGCTGAGGTGGTCTCAGATGAAGATGAGGAACTTGTTGAGAACTGGAGCAAGGGTGATTTTCATTATGTTTTAGTAAAGAGACTGGTGGCATTTTGCTCCTTCCCTAGAGATTTGTGGAAATTTGAACTTGAGAGAGATTATTTAGGGTATCTGGTGGAAGAAATTTCTCAGCAGCAAAGCCTTCAAGAGGTGACTTGGGTGCTGTTAAAGGCATTCAGTTTTAAAAGGGAAACAGAGCATTAAAATTTCGAAAATTTGTAGCCTGATGATGCAGTAAAAAAGAAAATCCAATTTTCTGAGTAGAAATTCAAGCCAGCTACAGAAATGTAAGATGGAACCAAATGTTAATAGCCAAGATAATGGGGACAATGTCTCCAGGGCATGTCAGAGGTCTTCATGGCAGCCCCTTCCATCACAGACCCAGAGGCCTAGGAGAAAATGGTTTCACGGGCTGGGCCCAGGGTCCCCATGCCATGTGCAGTCTAGGGACTTGGTGCCCTGCATCCCAGCCACTTCAGTCATGACTAAAAGTGGTCAAGGTACAGCTCAGGCTATTGCTTCAGAGGGTGGAAGCCCCAAGCTTTGGCAGCTTCCATGTGGTATTGAGCCTGCAGGGGCACACAAGTCAAGAAATGAGGTTTGGGAACCTCCACCTAGATTTCAGAAGATTTATGGAAATGCCTGGATGCCCAGGCAAAAGTTTGCTGCAGGGGTGGGGAGCTCATGGAGAACCTCTACTAGGGCAATGTGGCCAGGAAATGTGGGATTGGAGCCTCCACACAGAGTCCCTACTGAGGCACTACCTAGTGGAACTATGAGAAGAGAGCCATTAGCCTCCAGACCCCAGAATGGTAGATCCACCAACAGTTTGTACCATGCACCTGGAAAAGCTGCAGACACTCGATGCCATCCCATGAAAGCAGCCAGGAGCGGCGCTATACCCTGCAAAGCCAGAGGGGCAGAGCTGCCCAAGACCATGGGAACCCATGTCTTGTGTCAGTGTGACCTAGATGTGAGACATGGAGTCAAAAGAGATCATTTTGGAGCTTTAAGATTTGACTGCCCTGGCCAGGCCTGGTGGCTCACGCTTGTAATCCCAGCACTTTGGGAGACCAAGATGGGTGGATCATGAGGTCAGGAGATCAAGACCATCCTGGTTAGCGCAGTAAAACCTCGTCTCTACTAAAAATATGAAAAAAATTAGCCTGGCGTGATGGCAGGTGCCTGTAGTCCTAGTTACTCAGGAGGCTGAGGCAGAAGAATGGCGTGAACCCAGGAGGCGGAGCTTGCAGTGAGCCGAGATCACGCCACTGCACTCCAGCCTAGGCGACAAGAGTGAAACTCTGTCTCAAAAAAAAAAAAAAGATTTGACTTCCCTGCTGGATTTTGGATTTGCATGGGGCCAATAGCCCCTTTCTTTTGGCTAATTTCTCCCATTTAGAATGGCTGTATTTACCCAATTCCTGTACTCCTGTTTTGTCTAGGAAGTAACTAACTTGCTTTTGATTTTACAGGCTCATAGGTGGAAGGGACTTGCCTTGTCTCAGATGAGACTTTGGATTGTGGACTTTTGAGTTAATGCTAAAATGAGTTAAGACTTTGGGGGACTGTTGGGAAGGCATGGTTGGCTTTGAAATGTGAAGATATGAGATTTGGGATGGCCCAGGGGCAGAATGATATAGTTTGACTCTGTGTCCCCACCCAAATCTCTTGTAGCTCCCATAATTCCCATGTGTTGTGGGAGGGACCTGGTGGAAGATGACTGAATCATGGGGCAGGTCTTTCCCATATTGTTCTCATGATAGTGAATGGGCCTCACAAGATCTGATGGTTTTAAAGACAGAAGTTTCTCTGCACAAGCCCTCTCTTTGCCTGCTGCCATCCACATAAGATATGACTTGCTCTTCCTTGCTTTCCACCATAATTGTGAGGCTTCCCCAGCAACATGGAACTGTAAGTCCAATTAAACCTATTTCTTTTGTACATTGCCCAGTCTCAGGTATGTCTTTATCAGCAGCATGAAAACAGACTAATACAGTGTACTAATGTACATGGAATCTCAGAATCCAAGTTCACTAAAATGCAGGCACTTGGAGACAGGGCCCAAACCCCTGGCATACACAAAGATCAGCAGGAGATGTAGGGTCAAGTCCAGCAGAATAATGCGAAATGACCATCTCTACCTCCTGAGCATCTGCTGGGTTACTAGAGCTTCACACAGGCCATTTTGCTCACAACAGCCCCTCAAGGGAGGGTAGATGGGGAAATGGACGTTTAAGGTGGTTCGATATATTTTCCCAAGTAATGCTCATAAGCAGGTAAGTGGCTGACCTAGGTCTCAAAAATGCTTCCCACTCCATCATACTGCAAAATAATTTGATCCAGTGATAACTAATCAAAGAAAATCTATGATGAGAGGAGGTGGAAGGAGGGAAGCCCTTTCACTGCACACTTGGGATGAACAGATGCTTTTAAAGTGAATAGCAGAAAAACATCTTTTCACGATGAAGTTGGGATACAAGCAGTCAACTGACATCTCTCAGCAGCAAAAAAAAAAAAAAAAAAAAAAAAGTGGCCTATTCAAAAATGTATGCATTCAACATCCACTCAACAACAAACATTTGTTTTGTAGGCCAAGTGCTGAACATGGTACCAGTCAAAATTTGCCATAAGACAGTATCCCTTACCCTAAAGAATATACAAGCCAGGGGAAGTATAGATAGACTTAATTAACATATCTGAATCTTCCTTCAAACCTAAGATATTTCATGAATGCTTTAGAAGTGTTACTAACATATTCTAAGGGAAAAAACAGGAATAAATAAATATATTTTATTCCTTAAAATAACAGAATTGACCTTGAAAGTTGACTCAGAACACCAGATTTAGGTAAAAATAAATCAGAAAAACATTATTTTTTAACATCCTAGAATTTTTCCTTTTTTCTTTCCAAAAAGTGATTTTTAAAACTGCATTCTCAGAATTGGGGCCAGTAGAGAGAAGCTGCAGGGCCACAGACAGCCCATTAAAACAAAGACAACTGTTCTCCCGAGAACTGTGCAGCCATGATCCAGGCTGCTTTGCTCCTTACTAGTGGAAGGGTTCAACTGTTGGGCTGGCCTTGGGTGGATGCCTGCTTTGGTGTGGAGCTGAAGTGTTGAGCTGGCCTTGAGTGGATGCCTGCTTTGGTGTGGAGCTGAAGAGGATGGCCTCATATCTCTGGGATTCTTCTGGAACATCATCTCATGGGAAGGGCTCAGCACACCATCTAGAGCCATTCAGCTCCAACAACATTCAAAGAATGTCCATTTTGCCAAGACTAACTTTTGAATCTTGTGCTAAAAGTCATCTCATAACACAGAACCTAGATAACACTTGTTTTCTAAATAGAGCTGAACTAGTCCTTCACCTTGACTGGCTGCAGCACCTAAAAAAAGCCTGCAGGCTCAACGGCAGGGACAGCTGACCCCAGAAGGCTTTTCCCACCCCCTTGTTTCCCCAATTCCACATCTCACTTATCTCTCTGGCTGAATAAATTACAAGAAATACCTCCTTCAAAGACCTATAATAAAAAGAGATTCAAGAGGACAACACCAAAGTGGAGCAGCATTCATGAGAACTCTGAGATGGAAATTCCCAGTCAGCCTTAATGCTGGAGAATTTACTTTAGGATGTAAAAATAACACGTACCGCTATATTTCTTCACTTTATTTGCTCTCCTCTGCAGAGATTACTGCTGTGTGTGCAGCGTCATAAGAGTAGAGAAGGTCAGGTTGACAAAACTTCTTGGTGGGGAATAATCTTTAGTCTTCCAAATATATATGCCTTGCAACTTCCAGGCCACAAAAGCAAACTCTGGTTTGGAAAATGCCAAGTCCCATCTCCAAGGAAACTCAATAACTTCCAAATGGCCCCAAGATCACATTTGTGTGGTTATAATAAATCATTAAAAACATTAAGGAATAATTCAGAATGAAAGAGCTTTCAGGGTTGTTAATATTTTCTTTTCCTCCTAGTTTTGGCAGACAATATAAACCTCAGTAAAGAAAATGCCTGCTAAATAAAATAGGAAAATTATAAAATTGGACCTGGTTGAACTTTCTTTTCACCTACCAACAACTCCTTAAGAAAATGATAATATTTATGCAGCAAAAAGATATTTCTTAGCTTCTCTGTTGAAGAGAATCTACTTCTTTTCAGGTCTGAGATAGTTTGGGGTCGTTCTAAATAATCATTTTTTTCCTGGGGAGCAGTATCCTCTCAAACCAAACATAAAAACAGTTTAAAAGTTTGGGCAGGTTTCAAAGGAGACAGTATAGGGCACACAAGGAGTGCTATTCAACACATCAGTCCCAAGACTACATTTAAAAGCCAGAAATGAAAATGGGGTTGAGGAATGTACAAGCAAAGTTACTGCGTTCCCCAAAGATAATTGCCCATCAGCAATGCCGGCTCTTATGCTGTAGTTCTCAGAAAGCCCAGACCCTCCAAAGAATTCCAGCTCATCCTGGAATTAAGGCCCCACTGCAGAATGTTACAACAGCTGGAACACCAAAGATCACCATCTTTCAGACCTCATATGAAGCCACAGCATGATAAACAAATTCAATAAAATTACGAATTGGCAAACTGTTTGCAACAAATGTTATTTCCTGGATAACAAGATGGATAACGTACATTCTGCAACATATGCGAGGAATTATTGAAAACAGATGTAAATGTTCTCAAACTCAAGTCTTTCTTTGGCACAAATCTGAATATGTTGATTTTTGCACTTTGCTTTACAGCAGTGCCTCAAAGTCCCTCAAACACTAACCCTTGTACTGAGCAGAAGACATTTTAGGAAGAGGTTTCTGTTGTCCTCCACTATTTCATAAAACTTGTGATGAGGAGGGTGTTCATTCCAAACATGCTTCCATAAGAGACCAAATAAAACTTTGAATCCTGTATAAAAAATCACAAGCAAGAAGAAAATACAAACAGAGGATGGCAATTGTGTTTAAATGTCTCCAGGTCTAAAAGTCCTCTGTTAACATTCCCATCCTGTAAAGAAGGCTCATGACACACCCACTTCAACAACTAAGACCTCCTTCCCTTAGTGAAGTGCCACCTCCACATAAGGTCTCTTGCTTATTCCTCTGGTACCTCCACTGACTCACCTATGCTGCAGAAGCAGCCGTGCCACCCCATTCTACCTGCTGCACAATCAAGACTTTTCTAATTATAAGAAAAGCAGTCCCCTGAGCACGCACAAAAACATGCGATGTGCAATCATCACATTTTGGAAATGGGGGCCCAGAGAGGTATTTTCCATGAAAAGTAATTTACATTTTTTAGCTACAAATGCATCTTTTCTTCTAAGAAGAATCATCTGTACAACAGATTTGTATCTGAAAATAGAAGGCCGGATTTATGCAAAAATGATCTCAGGGGATCATCACAGAAACACAAAAAAAGTAATTTTCTGCCAAAATTATACAGAGCGCTCACAAGAGATGTTTTTCAAATATGACCACTAAACACATAAAATACACAAATGAAACAGAATTAATACAAACCAAGAGTTCTTTGGTGATATTAAAGAGCTTAGAGATGTCAGACAAAACATCAGAATAAAATTCTTGAGAGTCTAAAAATTATAGTCATGTCAAAACCCATATATTTCACATTAAAAAGAATATCTTTTGCTTTTGCAAGGATCGGCCTCTCTAGTTTACTTAAATATGCCACAAATGCACTGGGCAGTAAAGTTAATTCTCTAAAATTCCCAAAGTGCATTAATCTGCCCACATATAAAACTGCTGCTATCACTTCAGTAGATGTGAATGAGTTGAAATATAAAACTTCGTAGTTAATAGTTTAAAAGAAAGAGCTCCACAGGCCCAGAATCTTAAAACCAATTAGGAGTGTCAGGCCGAGTAAGGTGTCTTAACATGGACACTGACCTAGACCATTTGCAAATTTACAAAAACATCAAAAGTCATTTTTCATTACTCTACCCAAAAAGAAAACAGCAGTTGCAAGCAACTTTGTGTGTGCACACACAAGCAGAAAGGTAGAAGGCAAGAGCTCCGGGCCAGAAATTGAGATATACTTGCATTCTTAGCACCAGTCCTGCACTTAACTAGCATTTGACATTTGGCAATTCATTAACCTTTTTGAGACTCCAGCTTCTTCATCTCTGGGAGAAGAAAGAGTTATACCAAAACGTCTCCTACGATTCCTTTTGGCTTTGATATCCAGTATGTAGCCAATAAATCACAGTAGGATTAAGCAAGAGTCACCCCTTAATAATTTTTGAGGAGGTCAAATTCCACCTATGTTATAAGAATGAACCAAGAAGCACTTCTGAGGCCCCCCAAAGCCATATGGCACTTTTTATTCTGCTAGATGATAGGAAATAAGCTCCATTTTACAGACTAGAAAGGGAGCAGGAGACAGAGAAAGTCCCACCTCTATTTGTCTTGACTTTGACGTTCCACATGCAGCCGCTGTTTATGTTGGCTGTCATCCTTTGACTTCCACTATAGTTTGCAGCAAGGGGGTCACTGGGTAACCTCCGCCTTCAAGAGTCTTATGAGTTCTCAACCCCCAGGCCAACAGTGCCTATGTATCTGGCTGGCTTTCTCTGACAGTTTCCAGCACTTGGCAAGAGAAGATCGAAAAGATGCAGAATAATGTCAACTCGAATAGTAATCTGTTAGGTGAATGGTTCTGTAGCTTACTACACAAGAGTAGGTTATGGTTTCATATATCATGTTCAATGTGCAATAGATATTTTCTTCAACCATTCATATTAAACTGGTGTAAATGTTTTTATTCCTTGCCACATTTCTGGGTGGTAAGCTCGGGCTCTCCCAGGAATTCGTTTGCTTTAAAATGCCATGCATCTCCAGGCAGCCTTACCTCATAAAAAATGAGCACGTCTTCTAAATGAATTTCCCCTTTTTTGCAGTTAATAACTAACCAACACAGCAGAAATACACCATGTGTGAAGCCCTGTTTACTATAGGTGGTAAATCACGTGCCTAGCGCCCTATAATTCATTCTGAATACTGTAACTCCATTCACTGTAATATGCTTTGCCCTGTGTTGGCAGGAATTAACACCACCCAAAGTTTGTAGAAAAACTGATTCTGATTCAGGGTCTTGTCTTAGAAAATGTATTTATTTTGGGAGAAGAAAGTGGGAAGAGATTTTTAAGGAGGCGTCACACCAAAGTCTCTGATTACCCTCCAGTGGCCCATGCCCATAGGGCGGTCTCGGGTGTGGGCTGTGGTCTAGTCAAGATAAGCTCCAGCCTCTTGTGCCTTCTATCCTGTGTTCCACATCTCCTTTCCAGTCTTCTCCATTCCCCAAAGCTTATGGCGTCAGCTGATAATGAAGGTGTTAGGTCTACACACCTCCTTGAAAAAGGTTCTTGATGATGAAACCTCTTGGGTCTAAAATATCTTTACCACCCCAAATAATTTAAATGTACTATGGCTGCTCATTGGGGTCACTGGACCTCTTAAGTCAGTCCATATGTTTGTCCCTACCTTTCAGCCCTTACTCTGTGTCTCCACTGGAAAACCTTTAGAAATGCATGAATCAGTAGCAAAGTTTTCATAGTCTTCCACTGGGTGGTAAAATGCTCCAAATCTGCCTTCTATGCAGAGCCAATATGCTGGCTCTCCAGTCCCTCCTTCCAGGCTCTTAGCAGGAGGGGAGTGAAAGTTTACAGCTTGTTTAGATAAAGTAGTTTAGGAATAAGAGGGAGCAAAAGCCAGAAGCACCTCTAAAGTGTCAGGAGAATCCTTGGTTCTCTCTTCCTTACCTAAGAGTGTGACCTACAAGAGTAAGAATCAGGGTTTCCTAGATTGATTTTAGGTCCTGCCAAGTCTTCTAGAATTATTTAGATCAGAGTTCAGCAACCTTCTTTTGTAAAAGTCCAGATGATAAATATTCTAGGTTTTGCGAGCTATATAGTCTCTGTTGCAACTAGTCAACTCTGCCACTATAGCATGAAAGCAGTCACAGCATGTGCAATACATAAACAAGTGGGCAACTTTAATTACAAAAATAGACAGTAAGCTATACTTTGCTGAATCCTGATCTAGACCAGCATTGCCCAATAGAAATATGAGCCAACAAAGATAATTTAAATGTTTCTAGTAGCTACATTAAAAAGGCAAAAAGAAACAGGTAGAAAAAAATATTTTGATAATATACTTCATTTAATATGTCCCAAATACAATCAACATGTAATCAAAATATTTTTTGAAATTAACTTCTTTATAGATTTGGGGACACAAATGCAGTTGTGTTACATGGATATATCACACAGTGGTGAAATCTGGGTTTTTTAGTTCACCCATCACCCAAATAGTGCACACTGTACCCTAGAGGTGGTATTTCATCCTTCTCCCGAAATCCTCCTACCATATGAAGTCTCCAGTGTCTATTATCCCACTCTGTATGTCGATGTGTACCCATTGCTTAGCTCTCACTTATAAGTGAGACCATGTGGTTTTTGATTTTCTGTTTCTGAGTCATTTCACTAAGGATAATGGATGGCCTCCAGTTCAAACCATGCTGCCACAAAAGACATGATTTCATTCCTTTTTATGGCTGAGTAGCATTCCATGGTGTGTGTGTGTATGTGTGTGTGTGTGTATGTAAGTAGGTATATATGTGTCTGTGTACACACACACACACACACACACACACACACACACACACACACACTACATTTTAATCCAATCATCCATTGATGGATACTTAGGTTGATTGTATAGCTTTCGGGTAGATACCCAGTAGTGGGATTGCAAGATCAAAGGGTAGTTCTATTTTTAATTCTTTGAGAAATGTCCATACTGTTTTCCATAGAGGTTATACTTATTTACATTCCCACCAACGGTGTATGAGTGGGAATTCCCTTTACTGCATATTACTGCATATCCTCACTACCATCTGTTGTTTTTTGACTTTTTAATAATGGCCATTCTGACTGTTGGAAGATGGTATCTCATTGTGTTTTTAATTTGCATTTCTCTGATGATTAGTGATAGGGAACAGTTTTTCATGTTTGTTAGCTGCTTGTATGTCTTCTATTGAAAAATGTCTGTTCGTGTCCTTTGCCCACTTTTTAATGGGTTATTTGGTTTGTTTGTTTTGTTGAGTTCCTTGTAGATGGTGGATATTAGCCTTTTGTCAGATGCATTGTCTGCAAATATTTTCTCCCATTCTGTAGGTTGTCCTTTTACTGTGTTGATTGTTTCTTTTGCTGTGCATAAGCTTTTTGGTTTAATTAAGTCTTATTTGTCTACTTTTGCTTTTGTTGTATTTCCTTTGGAGAACTTAGCCATAAATTCTTTGCCTAGATCAATGTCCAGAACAGTTTCTCCTAGGTTTTAGGATTTTTGTAGTTTGAGGTCTTTAATCCATCTTGAGCTCATTTTTATATATGGTAAGAGATAGAAGTCCAGTTTCATTCTTCTGCATATGGCTCTCCAATTATGCCAGCATTATTTATTGGATAGGGTATCAGCCAGGATGGTGGTGCATGCCTGTAGTTTCAACTACTTGGGAGTCTGAGGCTGGAGAACTGTTTGAGCCCAGGAATTTGAGGCTACATTGAGCTCTCACCAGTGCACTCCAGCTTTGGGTGAAAGAGTAAGACCCTGTCTCTGAAAAAAAAAATTATACTGAATAAGGTGTCCTTTCCCCCAGAGTATATTTTTTTCAACTTTGTCAAAGATCAGTTGTTTATAGGTAAGTAATATTTCTGGGTTCTCTATTCAGTTCTATTTTTCCAAGTATAATTTTTATACCAGTACCATGCTGTTTTGGTTACTATAGCCTTGTAGTATAATTTGAAGTAAAAAATATGGTACCACTAGCTTTGTTATATTTTTGCTTAGAGTTGCTTTGGCTATTCAGGCTTTTTTTGGTTCCATATTAATTTTAAGTTTTTTTTTAAATTCTGCGAATAGTGACATTGGTAGTTCGACAGGAATTGGGTTGAATCTATAGATTGCTTTGGGCAGTATGGTAATTTTAATTATATTGATTCTTCCATTCCAGGAGCACAAGATGTTTTTCTATTTGTTTGTGTCATCTATGATTTCTTTCTTCAGTGTTTTGTACTTCTCTTTGTGGAGATATTTCACCTCCTTGATTAGATGCATTCTTCAGTGTTTTTTTGGTAGCCACTGTAAATGGGATTCAGTCTTTGATTTGCTTCTCAGCTTAATCATTACCAGTGTACAGAAATGCTACTGGTTTTTGTACATTGATTTTGCATCCTGGAACTTTACTGAAGTCTAGGAGTCTTTTCTAGGAGGGTTTATGGTTTTCTAGGTATAATATTATATCATCAGTGAACAGAGATAATTTGACTTCCACTTTCCCAATTAAGATGACTTTTATTTCTTTCTCTTGACTGAGTGCTGTAGCTAGGACTTCCAGTTGAATCAGAGTGGTGACAGTGGGCATCCTTGTCTTGTTCCAGTTCTTAGAAGGAATGCTTTCAACTTTTCCCCATTCAGTATCATGTTGGCTCTGGGTTTGTCATACATGGTTTTTATTATTTTGAGGTATGTCCCTTCTATACCTAGTTTGGTAAGGGTTTTTTTTGTTTGTTTGTTTGTTTGTTTGTTTTTTGAGATGGAGTCTCTCTCTGTCGCCCAGGCTGGAGTGCAGTGGCGTGATCTCGGCTCACTGCAAGCTCCGCCTCCCAGGTTCCCACCATTCTCCTGCCTCAGCCTCCTGAGTAGCTGGGACTACAGGCACCCACCACCACGTCCAGCTAATTTTTTGTATTTTTAGTACAGATAGGGTTTCACCATGTTAGCCAGGATGGTCTCAATCTCCTGACCTCGTGATCCACCCATCTCAGCCTCCCAAAGTGCTGGGATTACAGGCGTGAGCCACCACGCCCAGCCAGTAAGGGTTTTATCATGAAGAGATGCTGGATGTTATCTAATGCTTTTTCTGCATCTATTGATATGATCATATGATTTTTGTTTTCAATTCTGTTCATGCAGTGAATCACAATGATTGATTTGTGTGTGTTGAACCAATCTTGCATCCCTGGAATAAAACCCACCTGATCACAGTATACTATCTTTTTTATGTGCTATTGGATTCAGTTTGCTAGTGTTCTGTTGAGGATTTTTGCATCTGTGTTCTTCTGGGATATTGATCTGTAGTTTTCTCTTTTTGTTGTATGCTTGCCTGGCTTTAGTATCAGGGTGATGCTGGCTTCATAGAATGAGTAAGGAAGGATTCCCTCCTCCTCAATTTTTGGAACAGTTTTAGTAAAGATTGGTATTAGTTCTTCCTTGTATGTCTGGTAAAATTCGGCTATGAACCCATCTGGTCCTGGAATTTTTTTGATGTTGTTAGAGGGTTTTTTATTACTTATTTAATTTCACTACTCATTATTGGTCTGTTCAGGATTTCTATTTCTTCCTGGTTCAACCTTGGGAGGTTGTATGTTTTCAGTAATTTATTTCCTTTAGATTTTCTAGTTTGTACATAAACAGATGGTCACAATAGTCTCTGGTGATCTTTTGTATTTTGGTTATACCATTTGTAATGACACCTTTAACTTTTCTGATTGTGTTTATGTGACTCTTCTTTTTTCTTTGCTAATTTAGTTAGTGGTCTATTAATTTTATTTATGTTTTCAAAGAACCAACTTTTCATTACATTGATCCTTTGAGTGGCTTTTTTGGTCTTAATTTCATTTTGTTCTGCTCTGATCTTTGTTATTTCTTTTCTTCTGCTAGCTCTGGGTGTGGTTTGTTCTTGTTTTTCTAGTTTGTTCTTGTTTTTCTAGGTATAAGGTTAGGTTGTTAATTTGAGATCTTTCTATGTTTTTATGCAGGCATTTAATCCTTTAAAAACTTGCCTCTTGGCACTGCCGTTGCTGTATCCCAGAGGTTTTGGTATGTTATGTCTCTATTTTCATGTGTTTCAGAAAATTGGGTTTTTTTCCACTTAATTTCATCATTGACCCAACAATCACATATGATCAGATTATTTAATTTCCATATGTTTGTAGAGTTTTGAGGGTTCCTTTGGTGTTGATCTCTAGTTCTATTTCACTCTAGTCTGAGACGGTACTTGACATTATTTCAATTTTTTAAAATGTATTGAGGCTTGCCTTGTGGCCTAGCATATGGTCAATTTTTGAGACTGCACCATGAGCAGATGAAAAGAATGTAGATTCTGTGGTTGTAAGGCAGAATGTCTGTAAATGTCCATTAGGTCCATTTGGTCTAAAGTCCAATTTAAGTCCAGGGTTTGTTGTTTTTCTGCCTCGATGATCTGTCTAATGTTGTCAGTAGATTACTGATGTCCCCCTTATTACTGTATTGGTTCTACATCTTTTTGTAGGTCTAATATTATTTATGATTCTGGGCACTCTAGTATTTGGTGCATGTATATTTAGAATTGTTACATCCTCTTGTCAAAATAAAAGATTACTGATGAGATATTTTACATCCTTTTTTCTACTACGTCTTTGGTGTGTATTTTACACTTATGGCACATCTCAATTTGCCATATTTTCAAGTGCTCAATAGTCACATATGGCTACTAGCAGTTACCATATTTGACAGTACAGGTCTAGATCCACCATTTTCTTGCCTGTTTTAGGAGCCATGTGGAGAAACAGCTGGGGTCCTCCTGACTACCAGAAGGCTACCTGCATCATGTCCTCCAGAGACCTATCCCAAGTTCCAACATATCTAGGACATCACCAGAACCACAACTGCCAACCCAATGACCTGCCAATCACCAAATTTCACTGGAGTATGAAAATTTATCATATTATCAGGGAAAATCTCTGATAATTGGCACATATGCCTAAGAGGTCCTTTTATCATAGTCAAAAAAAGGTAAGGCAATTTTAAAGGTATCTGAGGAGAGCAATTGAACTCTAGAAGCATTTCCCCTACCAAAAAGAAATATTTTCATTGCTTGAATTTTGTTTCCTTTACCCTCCTCTACTCCCCAAATTTCACATTACAGACTCAAAATGGTTTCCTATTGGATCTATAGGTAATCCCTTCCCACAACCACCAATAGCAAATTCTTACTTTTAAAGCACCTCTTTAATCTTGACAAGTACTCAAGAAGTCACTGATCACAAACTTATCAGCACTAGGACTTCTCAAATAATGCCACTTTCCCACCTTGCTCTCTTGTTTAAACATAATCCTCCTCCCACAGACAAAGGTTTGTTTAGTAGATGGGAGGAGGGAGGGAATTGAAAGAGCTCTCACTACAATTTTTATTGTAATAAAAAGCCATCAAGACATTTACTTTCTTTCCCTCTGTTTTCAACTTACACAAGATTCTTTTTAAAAGCATTTTCTAAAATTTGCCTAGAGTAATCTTTTCCACAGGGAAACACAAACCCAACAAAACAGCCCTTTGTTTCAACTAACATTTAGCAAATAGAAAATACAAGTACCTGGCACGGGGTCTTGGGATTAAGGAAGTTGGGGAAGCCAAACTAACTTTTTTACATTGCCCCTACTTTACTCATGAGGAGCCTTGAATGCCTGCTAATGGATTTCAACGTGCCCTGCAATAACAGTTGCCATGACATCACTAGTGCCAGCAGCCAGTATCTTAAAAGATCCCTCCCAGGGGTGGGGAGGTGGAACCACAGAAGAAAACCAGCAGTTATCCTCTATCCCATGACAGGTCTGTGCTCTGCCAGTGATCCGGTTTGGAAAGAACACTGGACCAGTGGTCAGAAAACTTTCGTCTCTGCAAATATTGAAAAGCTGGCTCCATTGCCACTGGGCAGGGATGTTGAAGGTAGGGCTGGGCACCTCTGGAGAAGAAGGCAGTTCTGGGCTAAAACGTTTTTCAAAACTGAGACTCTGTGATTCTAAAATTCAAATAAGATCTCATCTCTCTAGGCACTAAGTATCTGAGTCACCTACACACCACTCAGTCTCCTCATCAGTAAGTGAGAATGACATGATCTACCTGGAAAAGTTGCTGCCAAGAGTAAAAACAAAATACTGCAGAGTTCCCAGTGTATAACAGATACTTGACATATGACAGTTATGATTTATCTTTATCAGTGAAACTAAGTGATGGGGCAAGATGACCTGCAAGAGCTGGCTGGGAGCAATACCACTAGTGGCTGACCCCACAACTCTTACCCCACAAACCCCCTCATTACTAGCAAAGCCTGCCTTCCTCTCTAACTCCCCTAACTCTAAGGTGTGGGTATGTGACTAACCATGGCCAATGGGGCACAAACAGACATTTTCTGGAGGACATTTGAAAAAGGATATCTCAAATAAAAAGGGATGCACAGAAAGACACATCCCTCTCACTTCTCCAGATCTTGTTGTGTCCACCTGCAATTCATGGAACCATCATGCTCAGGCTGTGACTATGAGGAAACAAGTGTAAGCACCAAGCCAAGATGGTAAAATGGGCAGAGAAAAAAGATGGAAAGAGTCTTGGTCCCTGATGTCATCTGCTGGAGCAATCCCTTAATTCTTTAACTCAGTCTTACTCTTACGTGAGATAATGAAATATCCTCCCTGCTTAAGTCACTTTCTCTTGGGTGTTCTCTTACAGCAAATAATATTCTACCTAAAACAAGTTCCCTCTGGTTCTCCGATACTATAGCTATAGGTCCACTTTCCTAATTGTATCATTCCAATACCCTCCCAAACGCTTATTTTCCTTTAGCTTCTTAAAGACACAAAGTAGATGTGTGTCTTCTCTTTTATACATACCACATCCATTGTCTTTGTGTCTTTACATATTTCACTATGCCAACTGGGAATATATTGTTTCTCCTGTGTCTATGTGCCTTCTCTTTCTTCAGGGATAAATTCAAGTTTTCATTACTCTAAAGAGACTTTTCTGACCACTTCTAGCACATATTTTCCCCCTTCATTTCTACAGACTGTATCACATGGTTTATTTTAAAATCACAGAGTTGGAAAGAACAAGGGTCATGTGGTCTAATCTGCTGGAAGAGGAGAGAATTATTCAGATAACATCCTGTTACAGAGATGATCATCCTATCTCAGATGAAATAATTTCAGCATCGGTGAGTTCACCATCTCACAATAGTAGCTATTAAAACCTCCTTATATTAAAACAAAATGTGGCTCCTTCTAACTGTTAGGCATGGGTCCAATTGGATCCCTTGGGTTGAGTTCTGGCCTCACATGCCCCTCCGCAGCAGGAGAATCTAAAAGACAGAGGCACTGCCTTATTCATATTCCACATCCTCAGCACATAACCCAGTGATTGTCACATCCTAGGCAATCAACATATGCTGCTGAACAAATGTCAGATATGATCCCACCACTACCGATGATGAGGCCAGGAGTAGACCATGCAACGTGGATCAAATTTTCTGTTCCCAGTTTGTTGAATTGGAAGTTAAAGTTTCTAATCACTTTTTCATGGTTATTTGAACTGAAGATCCATAAGCTCAGGTACTATATCATGGCCATGTTTGCCCTTGAACCTATGACAGCAGAGAATACTAACCAGGTAGAAGAGCTGAAATGTACTGAGAAAATTGAGAGAAGTTTTGCATAACCTCCAAAAGTTGAAGAGGGAGCTGTGCCTCCAGAGAGCTTCCCAATTTCTTGTTCCAGTCCTCCATGAGGACTCGCTATACATCCAGGATTGGGGATCCATAAGAGGACCCTATATTTTACATTGTTTTAACAAATCCTGCTTTTTGCTTAAACAACATTGAATGGGCTTCTGTTACTTACAATAAGAAGTTCCCTAAAGCTTCACCAAACCACCTTGACCAAACCATATTAGAACAAAGGAGCAAAATCAAACCTCTTGAGCCTCTCAGACTATGCCACAACTTCTTTCCTTTTACCCTTTTGGGAAATTGGCCCTCATCTTCTTTTGGAAGCAACAAACAGTTGAGCATACCCACAGTCATCCTATCTCCCACTACTGCTTGGAAAGGCTGGATGAACTCCACAGGTGGGAACTCCCACAGGATGCTCGTCTTCTCTGGGCTCACAGCACAACATGGCAGTCACTAGTCTTAATGAAGGAACCCTCAGCCAAAGGGCAGCTCTAGTCCTTGATTGCTCCTTAGCTCTCCCAGAGTTCTAGACCTCCTCTCTGACGCTTCATGCACTCTTGTGGAGTACCTAGCTTTCCAAAAACCATTACAGAGTGTTGTCCACCATAGCACTATGTGAATTATATAGGCAGATAGAAAGCCGAAAACTTTCAAGACCTAAAAGTAAGAAACCATAATGGAAAAATGACAGGTAGCAGAGAGATCTGGGATAGATGACACTGACCGGTACCTCCTCCAATGATGTCACATGAAAGATCATAGCTGCAGCAAATCACAAAGCACTCTCTGATCTTGACTTTCTCATTCACCATTTATTATTTACCAGACTGCCTAGGTTCAAATTTCAGTTCTGCTCCTTACTAGAGATACAATCTTGGGCAAGTGACTAAACATCTCATCACCCATGTGACTTCTCCTGCAAAATGGTGATAACAGCAGTATCTTTTTCACAGGATTATAGAGATGATTAAGTGAATTAATACATAAAAATACTTGAAGCACACAGCACTGAATAAATGTTCATTAGTATATCAGCCAAAATATGTTAGATTATTTTGGCTGCAATAACAAGTCCCAAATCTCAGTGGCTTAAACTAACAAAAGGTTAATTCTCTCTCATTCTACATGTCCAGTGTGGGTTGGCTGGTGGAAAGGGGCTCTGGTGACTGTAGTTATTCACTGACCTAAACTAACAGAGTCTCCAACATTTTATAATGCTCCTTTCTCAATAAAAGGCTTTAGGGTTTACCATAACAGAAGGGCCATTTACTAGGTCTTAAATGCTTATACCTAGAAGTGACACAAATCACTTCTGCTCCCACTGATTTGACCAAAGCAAGGCACATCTCACTTCAAGAGGAAAGGAAAGCATAATTCTCCCATGTACACAAAAGGAGAGGGGAACTGGAAATATTGGTGAGTACTAATCACATCCACCACAACTGTAATTATTACTCTATGCTGCCCCATGCTAGACACCAGAGATTCAAAATTAATAGGTTTCCCCTGACTTCTAGCAGCCTACATACTGGTGAGTAAGTTACATATTTAAATAACTCTGGTATCTTTATGTAACACACCCATTGGTTTTTGCTGGACATTTGGCTTTAATTTCTCCATATGCCTGTGTGGATCCTGTGAGGAGGCTCCATTTCTAAGCCTGAGTCTAGTGAACATGAAAAATGCCAGGTTGTTCAGTTCAGGGATTCCATTGAAGTAGTTGGCTGGTAGCAGGCAGAAAAGCCACCTAAACTGATTTGTTCATCCATGGTAGGGAAATTTTGAATAATAGATTATTCTTCCTCTACTTGGAAAACCAATGGGTACAAGCTTTTTTGTGACCAACATTTCTGTTGTTTTGGAAGATATTATTGTAAACAGAAGAGCAATGGTAAGATGCACTTAGGAGTTTCAATAATGTGCAACGATTTTCTTAAAACTGCAATAGAAAAAAATCAACTGAAACATGAAAATTTAAAGCCCTATTACCTGCATTTCACTCTGTAACATCCCACTTCCCATCATTTCTAACACGCATCTTAAGTGTGCTAATTGGAAAGGCTCTGCTGTGTATACAGCTCTGTTTTCAAGATGACAACTGCTTTGCTTTTATCACTGGGCTTGATACCAAGAGGGGAATCATTTTCAGAATTCAAAGCCTTTTGATCTGGTTGTGTCAACCGGCTGCCTGCACTTGGTTGGTATTCTGTCTTAGAGGAAGAACATGAATGTTTCAGGTGGCGGGGCCAAGGCTGGGGAAGGGAAAATGTTGCTGAATGGCTGAGTGGGAAAAAGGTGTCTTAAGATTACAAACAAAACGAAAGTCCAATAACATGCTGATAAGGCTGCCAAATTATTTCCCCCTTTAGGAGAGCACACTAGTATGTATGCTACAAGTGTTTATTGAAAAGAAAATCACTAACTAATAAATTCCAGAAAGGAACATTCAGACAGCATAAGTACCACCCAGGGAAACAAGCAGAGAGACTTTCTCAGTTTGCACTCATCTCCTCCAAAATGACAAAAATGTTGGGCAGATGACAGCTGATGTGTGGTCTGGCTAGTGACTCATGCCTATGAAGAATTCTCAAGAAAACAAGATCAATACCTGCTTTGGTGAGCCACTGCATATTAGGGCCATGTCTTCCAGACAGAAAAGCAGGATCTTCAAGTTCAAGGGCCCAGTGTCCAGAAGGAACCTCTTCACTCTTCCTCCTGCATAAATCATATTCCTAAATGGTTCACATATGTAGGACTAAGGCAAAAGGAAGAATGGCAAACATTCAAATGAAAGCAGAAATGGGAATTCAAGAATTACAATGCTTTCCAATAGTGACAAATGGATTTATTGGCTGGAATGGGGACCACATGCTTCGATTTTCATCAAGGTGTTTATTAGCATAATGAAGATTCAGCATTTTGACCCAGCAGAGATTTTTCTAGGACAGTAACTAGAGGTCATATCTTGATCCTGTCTTCAACACAAATGGTTAGAGCAAGCATAGGGTAATCAGTGAAAGGTAGCAAGAATTAATATAACCCTGTCTTCCAACCAAGAGCTTTCAACAGGGAGTTCACGATCAGGGAATTTGGATATCTGAAACTGCATGTAAAGTTGTATCTATAATACAACAAATATAACCTAAACAAAACATATATTGTATATTTTCTGGCAAATATCACTTTCTCAAATGGACCTGTGGAGTAACGCGTATCTGTCCCACGTCGTCCAAAGAGCATCACTCTCTCTCCAGATATAAACCCAAACTCTTTCGGAAAAAATGAAAGGAGACCTAAGTTTGTTCTAACTTGGAAAGACTCCTTAAGTGTGAAGCGATGGTTCAAAGCTTTATTGGTTTGCATGGAAATCAGCTGGGGAGCTTTATAAAATACAGATTCTCAGCTTCCTCACAACAGATTCTGATGGAAATCCCAAGTGATTAAGATGTAGACCCTCCAGGGAAGATACTTCAAGAAACTCTGGTCTGGTAGTTTCTCCCCGTGGGTCGGCACTGGAAGCAACTCTGAGTGGACCTCCTCCAGTCATGGAAGCAGTGACCTCCCAGGGCTCTCCTGATGCCACCAGCAGCTCCACTGCAATCTTCCCAGTGTGCAAGGCAGACCTTCTCTCTGGATCACCTGATCTCAGATTTGCCGCCCCTCAGACTCTTGCCTATCCATTCCTATCCTGCTAACATGATCCACATTGCCCGTGAGTGATCCCTCACTTGTCTGCTGCTGTTCTGAAAAAGCCTCACTTTGTCCCAGGAGCCGTGTAACTCTCATCTAGGAAGCTCTGGACTCTCCCAGGTCTCTGACACTGCCACGACTGTACCCATGTGCTCACCCCAAACATTTCTTGTCCATCAGCTCTGCTCCTACTTTGGTTCATCTGGGACAAAGCCAAAGAGAGATGGAATGATCTAATCACATAACCTAATCGCTGTTGAATGAAAATGGCAAGATATTGGGGAAGAGGTGCAGGGTCAAGATGTACAGAACATATGGCCCCCAAGCATATAGAACACATGCCCTTGAATTTCAAAGTCTTATGCTCACCTCTCAAGTAAACCAGGAAACACAGACTACACAGATAATCAGAACTCAAAAGAAAATGTATGTGAATAATGGAAACAGACAAAATATGGATTCTAGAAGCTCTGTCAATAATCTCTGGCTGGATTCCCACTGCACCATTTAACTATAAATCCATACTCACGAAGAATTGTATCACAGATCATAAATACCTGTTTATATCATGTCACCACGTTCAGAATTGCCCCAGAAAATCATTAACTGGCAAAGAAAGTTTGCGGTTTGGAAGGTGGTGGTAATGAAATGTTCCTCTCTGCATTTCCCACTTATGGTCGAAAGAGCAGAAAGAAATCTCTAAATATATATATTTTAACACACAATCGTAAATATGTACCACCCTTCCCAAAGACACATTGTACGTGCTAATTTATACCAGGCTGCTAACTTTTTGTTTCATGCTACATTGACGGGCTTGACAGTTTTTCGAAGAGTTTATAACTGCAGCAGTGTTGATCTTATTTAAAGAGAATATTAAATCAAATCCCTTGTCATCGGCATAAAATATCCTATAGCATCAACAAAAGGCAGGAGTTTTTATTGATTCCCTGATACAAAAGACATATGAAGCAAACTAATGCCGCTCTGCTAAAAAAAAAAAAAAAAAAAAAAAAAAAAAATCACAATTAAAGCCCCTTAGAAACTATTAGTCACTGTAAAGGTCATCATCGACTTTTAATGGCATTCTAAAGGGAAACAATATGTTTCACTTCAACGTCAAGGGCAAAGGGAAGAAAATCCAGGGTGGGCATCACAGCGGGCACAAAGCAGCCTAAAAGAAATACTTGTATCAAAAGGCAATCCTAATAAAGTATAATTCACATCATTCAATTCACTGTCCACAAGCATGATGAGGGAAGTTCCAGAGGAACAGCTGATGAAAAATGCATGTCCACAACAAGATGTGCTCCGTTTTGCTGAATGAGCCAACACAGCAAGTGGATTTGCCGTGTGTTCCAGGCCCAAGGAGGGACCACTGACTAGATGGGAGGTAGGAATGGGAGCATGAGCTCCATCTCCACCAGAAATGAGCAAGTCACTGCCTCTCGGGCCCTCAGCATCCTTACCTGTAAAAGGACTGAACTAGAATCTACTTTATTTGATTTAATAAGCAAACAGATTTATTCTAGCATTAACTGATTGTTGAAGTAACATCTCTCTGGATCTCAGTGCCCTCAGTCCTAAAATGAGATGAGTACCATGTTGAGAAGGATCCTGAGTCCGTGCCTAGGCCCAGCAAGATTTAGTAATGTGCCCTAGGGGTTCCCGAGGGAGCGCAGCAGCACCTGAGGCAGCTGTTAGCCCTAAAATGTCAAAATCCTATAAAATTCACCCCAAGAATACTAGAGGAGGAGCCTAACTTATCATTAATGGATTCATCTGCAAGATGTTGCTATGACCACAACTGAGGCTCTCTACAAAGTTCAGACCTCAGCAAGGGGTGGGGGTGGAGCTTGCCCATGAAGGAGAGGAAAGTGTGATGAGAATAACCAGACAGGCAACCATGTAAATTCCATCTATGGTTGCTGACACTTTGGGGCCTTGGGACCTCTTTCAAGAATCTCCTATTAAGAAGGGAAGATATCATTATTTCCACCAAATATTTTAAATGTATTTATCCAATAAGGAATTCCTAAGGATCTACTCAGTACAAAGAGCTGTGCATCCTGATGTGAGGAAACCACTGAGAAGGCAGTAGGCACAGTAATTAGGAGCTTGGGCCCTGGACCCAGCTCCTCCACTTGGTGGCTGTGTGACCTTGGGCAAGTTAATTAACCTCTCTTAGCCATATTATTCTCATCTGGAAACTGAATACAATAGTACATTCTTTACAGGATGTTTGCAAGTTTTAAACAGGGTAACCCTGATAAGGTGTCTATACAGCATCTGCTCCAACAACTGTATCTCCTGCTCAGGCACCTCCTCTAAGCTCCAGATGCATATAGTCCACCTCTTTCCTTACCCTCACTTAGAGGTTGCAAAGGCACCTCAAGCTCACTGTGTCTAGAACCCAGTTTGTAATTGTCTCTCATAGCTGCCACCACCAAAGCAAAAACAAAGCAAACCCCTCTGATCCTCTAAGCATTCCCGTGTAAAGGGATGTCCCACCAACCACCCATCTATCAGAACAAGTTGTGTGAAATTGGTATTTCTGCAGATCAAAAGTGGCAGAATGTTGGTGATTTCATGAGGTTCAACTCAGGGGTTCAAAGCCAGAATCTAGATGTCATCTTTGGCGTCTTTTGTTCCTTCAGCTCCACTATGCCCAATATTGGGTGTCCTCAATATTCCTGCACACCTTCTCCCTCCACTGGCACCACTCTGGACTAGCCCCTGCCCTCCCTCAACTGGACAGCTCTGACATCCTCCGAACAGCCCTGCTTTCGCTCCTGCTACCTACCCAGTCTGCCCTGCACACTGCAGCCAGTGTGACTGCAAAATCCAAACCCAGTGTCTTTAGCTCCCTGCTCAGGACACTTAAGTAGCTGTGTAGGGTTCTGCTTTGCCTTCCCTATCACCAACTCTACTGCCCTGGCCTCGTCATGCCCCACCTGCTCTCTGAACTCCAGCTACGCTGGCCCCTTCATCATTTCTGAATGTGCCAACCTCCTTCCTGCCAGAGACTCTGCTCATGCTGTTTCGTCCACCTGGAGCCATCTTCCTACCCTCTTCTCCCCTCACATCTCAGCTCAAATGTCACTCCTCAGGCAGGGCCCGCTTCATGAGAATGCAACCAGCATAGCCACACAAGGCCCCCTGCACAGAAGGACCCCACAGTTGATTTAATACCCTGCTGCCACCACTCACCATAAAATTCTCAATAACTTTTAAACAAGGACCTCTGCATTTTCATTTAGCATTGGACTCTGAAAATTATGTAGCTGGTTCTGTCCTCAGGAAAGCCTTCGCTGACCTCCTGAATGGTTCACATGCCCCTTTGCAAGCCCTCACAGTGTCACGCACCACCTGTCAGTCAACATCCTTCCACTGACGTGAGTGACTACTGGTTGGTCTATCCTTCCCACTGGAACATGAAGTGCCATGAATCCAGGGTCCATGTCTGTCTTTTTTTGTTTTTGTTTTTGAAACAGAGTCTCATTCTGTCACCCAGGCTGGAGTGCAGTGGCACAACCTAGGCTCACTGCAACCTCCACCTCCTGGGTTCAAGGCGATTCTCCTGCCTCAGCCTCCCGAGTAGCTGGGATTACAGGTGCACACCACCACGCCTGGCTAATTTTTGTACTTTTAGTAGAGACAGGGTTTCACTATGTTGATCAGCTGGTCTCGAACTCCTGACCTCAGGTGATCTGCCTGCCTCAGCCTCACAAAGTGCTGGGATTACAGGCATGAGCCACTGCACCTGGCCCATGTCTGCTTTTTGATGACCACTCCATCCTCACCCGTAGCAAACAACAGGCAATCAGTAAAAGCAGGCTGAATAAATGATTTTATTATTACCATTATCATTAGTGTTATTACCCTCCATCACTGACGCTAAGAGTGCAACAGGTGAGATGCAGAGGCCACCTGGCAGCAAGGTGGCTGATCCTCCCCGAGTGCTACTGACAGGACACACTCAGCTCTGGGGAGGTGGCTATGAAGCCTGCAGGGAAGGTGGTGGGGGAGCTGGAACAAGCTGACCCCCAGAGGATGGGCAGCAGCTAGTGGGCAGAAGCCAGCAAGGGTGGGCCCCTCTAGTAGAAGGCACAGCCTCCATAGAGGCACAAATGTGAGGCTGGGATGGGAACTAATGGCAGGTGAGACATTCTGGCCCAGGGGCTTCTGTGCAGAGCAGAGTCAGTCAAAACTGTGGATGGCCTTGAGTCCACATTTTCCTACCATAATTGTGGAGATGACCAAAGCAGTATTCTAAGAAATTAGGGAAATTCCTCATGAAGCCTTTAAAAAGTATGACCATCAGGCCAGGCATAGTGGCTCATGCCTGTAATCCCAGCACTTTGGGAGGCCGAGGTGGGCGGATCATGAGGTCAGGAGATCAAGACCATCCTGGCCAACATGGTGAAACCCTGTCTCTACCAAAAATATAAAAATTAGCTGCGCATGGTGGTGCATGCCTATAATCCCAGCTACTCAGGAGGCTGAGGGAGGAGAATTACTTGAACCAAGGAGTCGGAAGTTACAGTGAACTGAGATCACGCCACTGCACTCCAGCCTGGCAACGGAGTGAGACTCCATCTCAACAACAACAAAAAAAGTGTGAACATCATTATTCAAATGATTATAGAAAGATGACTTTCTAGCTATGTATAGAAAAGAAAAAGTTTGAGTGCAGGGCACCACCTTCCTTTTTCTGGAACCATATGTTAAGATGTGCCTCACAAAACATGCTTTCATATTATACAGATGCACGAGACGCACGCCCTGCCCTCCAAAGTGCTTTCAAACACAGTAAACATAAATGGTTCTCAGCCACTTTTGATGCTCCCCTTGTCAATTGATCAAGTCTTTGGTCATCCCAGGTGACATCTTCCAGCTGGTGCTGTCCCAGAAAGACATTTCCCAGATGAAAGACACATATGTATTTCTCCAGAAGGCAGGGACATCTCATCTGCGGCTCTCCCACACTAAAGAATGAGGCTGAAAAAAGGAGGTGTTCATTCTATTCGGGATTGCAGTTGTTTTTGCTTAAATTCCCCAAGACAAAGGTGAATTTTCCTAAAAATAAGAAGAATGCCCTTTAGCAAATGAATAATCCACAAATGCCCACATACTGTGTGCCTCTGTAACAGGAACCCAATTGAGCAACAAAAATGCTCTTATTGTGATGTACAATAAGATCCAAATATTCAAAAACTGCATTTAACTCATTACTCAGAAATATGTCCATTGCTCAGAAATGGTAGCTGTGTAATTTCAACTTGAAGGCTGCAGGGAAAATGACATGCCTCTGTTTACACACTCCCTATTTAGAATCAACATAAATACAGGTACATTATGTTTTCCATCTACGGCAGATCAAAGAACACCATAATACTGCAAAGCCTCAGCATTCTTCTGCCCCATTCCCACAGCCTCTTATATGAATTCTTGTCATTACATCAGTTTAATCCCCTGCCATTTTCGGCCACTGTTCGTCAAGCTGAATGAAAAGCACAATAGCCAGCATTTAATGTGATGGAGCTCCTTTCTCCAACCTGCTGCCTTTAAAGTAAAAGTTTGTCGAATGTGCAAAATTCCCTTTACACACATTTGAGATGCAAATACAATCCCGAAGACAGAAAAGAACAGAAAAATAATAATTTGCCATTTGAAGGAGCTAGGCTGCTTGGGGGAAGCACTGAATTTTAGACCCTTTGCCAACGGCTAGGCGATGTGAGCCATCCTGCCCCATCGCTCACCAGGCAGGCCTCAGGCTGCCCAGGCCCATGCCCTGTCTGATTCTCTGTGCCTCTGTGCTCCATGGAAGGGCTCGACTTCTCTTGACAGTCCCATAGGGAAAATGCTGCTTTCCCTCCCTGTGCTGCATCCCTCTGTACACACAAACCCTGGCCATATGCCTACTGCTCACTCCATCTCACATGCTGCTTCTACTTGCTGGGATGCAGAGCAACAACAGCAACAGGACCGACCTCCAGCTAAAGTCACAATGAATTGAGAGGTGAGAACATATTCTGCACACTCACCCCCCACAGGGATTCCAGAGCTTAAACAGGCAGAGGCCAGAGGCAGTCTGGGGAAAATTAAATTATATATCAACGTAACCAGAGCAATTCTTATGCTACCCTGAAATTTACTGAGTGATGCCTCTGCCAGCGGGAAGTACCTTCTGAATTGGGGAAAGACAGATGCAGAAAGGAGAAGCACTTTAAGAGCCTAAGACATAGAATAGGAAGAACTGTGGGGTCAAAGAACTCCCAAGGTAGGTTTTTTTGTGTGTGGTTTTTTTTTTTTTTTTTTGCAATTTCCAGTGTTTAAAATAAATCAACTGTGGTTAAGACATGGGGGTCCTAGCACACAGCAAACCAACCATGTTCTGTAATCACAGGTGATTGAGGTAGCCTGCAATTTGTAAGGGGTACTCGGGATTTCTAAGTTGAACCACTTGTCAAGAATGGAAAAAAAAAAAAAAGAACTTTAACAGACAGATGATCAACTTTATCCCGATCAATCACCCAGAGTCTTCTGGTGGTACTGTTGCATTAACAATACTTTAATGTACTAAGGAGTCTTCACAGAGACATGTTTAGTGATTATTACAGACACACTGGAAGAAAATCATTAATCCTATCAGAATGTTCAAAGGTCCTTCACAGTTACAGAGGAATATCTCTCCTTACCCAGAATCATTGACAATTTCAGAACTAGTCCAGATAAATAAACATGAACAACTAAAGCAAAGTACAAGAGATATGAATTCTCAAGAATGCTGACGCATTCCATGGTTCACTCAGTGTCGAAGACAAAGCACTATGGGCCCTTGATATAGTTTGGATATTTGTCCCCATCCAAATCTCATGTTGAATTACAATCCCCAGTGTTGGAGGTGGGGCCTGGTGGGAGGTGTTTGGGTCATAGGCGTGGATCCCTCACAGCTTAGTTCTGTCCTCTCAAAAGTGAGTAAGAGTTATCATGAGATCAGGTGGTTTAAGTGTGTGGTACCCCCCTGCCTCTCTGTCTTTCCCTGCTTTTGCCATGGGACATCGCTGCTCCCACTTCGCCTCCTGCCATGAGTAAAAGCTCCCTGAGGCCTCGCTAGAAGCCAAGCAGATGTCAGATGTCATGCTTGTACAGCCTGCAGAACCATGAGCCAATTAAACCTCTTTTCTTATGTTACCCAGTCTCAGGTATTTCTCTAGAGCAAGGCAAGAATGGCCTAACACAACCCCTAATTATAAAGTATCAGTATATCCTCAAAAATACAACACTGAGTAGTCTCAAAACTTTTATATTAAAAAATCCCAATGATGAAAACGGGAACTCAAGTCACAAAATCTCTCTGGCCTTGTGCATGGGGAAAAACTGAACCCCAAAAGTGCCACATACAGAGGTTCATTAAGTAGAAATTGATAGTAATAGTGCCCACACAAGGCATATGGCTTCCAGGAAAGTAACCCATCTAGAATCACTGACCTCAAAAGTCCCTCTTGTCACAATCTCAGCTACCCAAAATCTCAGAATCCTGACTCCTTTGCATGGCCCAAACCACCCACCAACACCCAATCCCCATTCTACTCATGACTTTTGCTAGCCACCAGGCCAAATTCATTGCCCAACTCAGGTGCCTGGAAATGTCTACTCTGTTGGCTTGATTCAGATGTTCTGTTCATATGTCTCATTAAATATCTCGCTAACATATTCTAACCTCCAAGGTTCCTTCAGTGCCATACGAAGCCAGAGGCTCCACATCTTAGATCAGCAGCACACACGAAGCACTCCTCTCAGGCAGTGGCAGCTTGGCCTTTGAATTCCTTCAGGGGACCTCTCAGATGAACACCATTACTTTCTCCAACCCTTATTCCAAGCCCCAACTCACTAAGCCACAGTACTTTAGGGCTAAAAGGAACCCCGTTCACTTCAGATATGGAGAACACACTAGTCTATGGAGGCTAGATCACTTGACTCTGGCCTCACAGAAAATCATCGCCACACCAGCATTGAAGAAGGCAAGGTCCTTGACTGCGCGGATCTTCTGAAGACCCTCTGGGAAGAGTGTTGGTAAAGGAGTAGTTGAGGCAGAAGGTGGGATTCACAGGGAACACTGTCTCACACCAGGGTTGTTTGCTTACTACATGCCCAGTCTTTGCCACCTGTCAGCCACCTGCACTTCAGTCCTGCCTAAGGCTGGCCAGCATCACCACCATCAACTCCTCTCAGAACCCGCCATGTCAACGCAGGGACCACTCCTCTCATGCACAGGGAAAATGGCCTTCCCAACATTTAATCTCAACCTCAGAAACTCAAAACAGCTTATACAAAGGACAAGCCATTTTAGAGCCATCTATCTTCCCTACCTGCAAATGTGGGCTGCTGCCAGCCCAAATTCTATGAACAGCCCCTGTCTGCAACAATGAGCCCCTCCCAGAGCAAGCCCCACGGCCCAGGCCTCGGAATGGCAGCACACAGGTACTGAAGCTCTGACCACAATGCAGCAGGAAGGGAGAGAAGAGGAGCCCTCAGCCAGGGCCAGGAGGAAAATCGAACCCTTGAAAATTGCAAAGCAGAAGATGCCAAGAGAGATTCTTCACTGTCACAGCTGCTTACTCTAGAAATCTCTCCTCATTTGGGGTGACATCGGCAGGCCTGATTTTTTGTCACCAGTCACTCTGCGCTTGCTTTAATTATGCAGCACACCAACAGGAATTTTCTTTCTGATCACATAAATCACATCGCCGTGACACCAGGCTCAATAGGCAGCACTAGAACAATGTGGTGAGAGCTATCGACTCCATCGCTCAAGTCCACAAGGTGTATCATTTAGCCAAGAGTGATAATTAGATGCAGAATATACTGAAAACTGTCAATAGGCATGTCAATAGGAGAACTCTTAGCATCTAACACCCAGTGAATCAATGGTGTTTTTCAGCTATAAAATCAAGAAAATGATAGCTTTCAAATGAATGGTGGAAAGGAAACAGGAGCCTCCTTGGGGAGGAATAAAACAGCTCAATTTTCCCTTACTGAGTGCCTTTCCAACTACCTCACTCAATGGAAAAGGTCACAGAACATTACAGCAAAATATCTCTGAAACAAGATGTACAACAGCGCTGGGACATGACACGCTGCCTGGGCACTCCACAAAGGCCACGCTATCTTTGACGTGACAGGAGCAGCGAATGGGTCAGCAGATGGCAGACCAGGACGGAGCGGGAGGCAGAGTGATTGTGCTGCAGGGGAAAGAGATGTGTCCCACTCAGACAGAAAAGAGACTGCGTGCAGTGGTTAGGGGTGGGTATCTGAGCCAAATGTACAGGAAATGGGCACTTGGACTCCATGCTCCTGAAAAGACAGCCTCTTAGCAATGCTAAATTATGTTTCACAATCAATGCAAGTATTAATAGACAATACTTCTATGCAGCTTACTAAGTGCCAGTCACTGCTCTAAGGACTCTGCATGGGTCAACTCATTTCATCCTCACTGCAGTTCTATGCAATAGGTAGCATTACTAACCCATCTCACAGGTGAGGAAACTGAAACACAGAGAGGTTAAATAATTTGCCCAATGGCACACAGCTAATAAGTGGCAGAGCCAGAATGTACATGCAGGCGGTCTGGATCCATGCTACTCTGACCCACAGTGCCATGCAACCTCTTACAGTCTCCCGGCAGGACTTGTTACCCCAGCCTTCACCCTGTTACCAAGAACAGGTAACCAGTGGACCTGTATAAAAGGCCGAATGATACTATGTGCTTCCTCATCTGATCATGAGACCTGTGAAATGTGTCACCATATTATGAGCTAAGTGACCTTACACACTCACTTGCAGCCTGAAAACTGCACCACCATCTTCATTTGACAGATAAGTAAACCAAGCCTTGGAAAGGTTTGGTAAAATGCCTCTGATCACACAGCTTGTGGGGCTGAGGCTGGGCTGGAATGCAAATGGGTCCAGCTCTCAGGCTGTGCTCTCAATCACTGCACTAAACTGAAGGCTACCAGGAGGCTCTGCACGTCAAGTGCCAGAACAGTGACTAGAACATTTGGTTAGTCCTCAATAAATGATAGGAGGAATGGGAGGAAGGAGAGAGTGAAAGAGAGAAGGTAGAAGTAAAGGGAGCTAAGAAAAAAAAAAAAATATATATATATATATATACACACACACACACACACACACATAATGTATTAATGCATGCATCAGGTCAAGACCACAAATAACTTCTCAGTAATTAACAAATCAAGAGAAGGTATGCAAGTTTCTACTTCTGATTTTGGTCCAATATAGTGTTTATTTAACTTATAATTTGTACTCTTTATAGAGAACCCTTAAGACATTAAATTGGAAGAGTATTTTTTAATCAAAAAAGCAGTAAATCTAATTTCAAGTAATGCTTTCTACGCACTTATTATGTGCCAGGTACTGGGCTTGGTTCTTTCATTCGATAGTGTTTGTTTAATCTTCTTCGTTCTTGAAGCTATTGCTAAGAAAAAAAAAACAACACTACCCTTTTTGATATGATAAAGCAACTCTACCAAAGATACTGCCTTCTGTAAAACAAACCAGCTATCAGTCCAAGGACAGAACGGCAGCTTTATAATTAGCTAATCATTAATGAACATTAGCCAGGTGACATTTGTAATGACTTACACAGCTAGGTATGTGGCTATATGCACACACAAGTAAATCCTTCACCCAAAGCTTTATGCTAGACCGGCCTTCCTTAATCAAGTTTCCTTCCCTATTGTGTGTGTGTGTGTGTGTGTGTGTGTGTGTGCGCGTGTGTGTGTGTTTAGAGATAGGGTCTCTCTCTGTTGCCCAGAATGAAGTACAGTGGCACAATTACAGCTCAATGCAGCTTAAACCTCCCAGGTTCAAGTTATCCTCCCACCTCAGGCTCCTCAGTAGCTAGGATCGCAGGTACACGCCACCATATGTGGCTAATTTTTTAAATTTTTTGTAGAAATGGGGTCTCCCTGTGTTGCCCAGGCTGATCTTGAACTTCTGAGCTCAAGAAGTCCTCCTGCCTCAGCATGCCTGTGTTGGGATTACAGGCATGAGCCACCATGCTCAGCCTCATGTGTTTTTCTATGTAGCAAGAGAGTCCTCAAGCTGTGTCCCCTGCCAAGGCAAGAAGGAGATTGGGAACACAGCTGCTTAGCTTAGGTGGGTAGCATCATACACAGCACATACGAAGCTCTCAACAAATCATTTTGTTTGACCCAGATCAATCATCATCATCTCTTACCAGTCATAACTGCCTCCTAACTGGTCTACCTGCTTCTTCTCTTGCCTTCCTAGAGTACAAGGCAAAAAATTAGATAACATTTTTTCTCTAAGGAAGCCATTCGACAGCTCCTTATCTCTCACTCAGAGCAAATGCCGAAGTTCAATGGCTTAGAGGGATCCCTGGATGTAAACTTCATTCCAGCCCATGGGCCTCCAGCTTCCACCCCAGCTCATTCATCTCAGTCCTGCTCAGGGCTTCTCATTTGCTCTTTCCTCCACCTGGAGATCTCTTCCCTAGACCCTCATGTAGGAGGCAGATGCATAAAGAGTTAAAAATTATAAACTCTTGGAAAAATATAAACAACTAATAGAAGGCACTGGAAAGCTACCAAAAGCAGACAGAAACAGAAGACAATCCAATGGCCTTGAAAGAAGAGAACCATATTGGGTGATATCTATGTTTAAATGGCTTTTCCCCTTGAGGCCACTCCAGAGTCTGCACTGGACACAGCAGCCAGAACTCAAGAAAAAGCTTCAGTCTCACTGCCTTGAAAAGCCAGATGTCAGGGATGCCAAAGCGGTTGGAGATTGTGAAGGGAAATACCAGAACAGAACAGGTGACAGAGGGAGGAAATCTGCATACATCTCCTCACAAATCCTGGGCTTATCCCTGAACAGTAGATGCTTGAGGGAAGTCCAAGTAGTCTGGCAGAAACAAACAGGTGAAAGGCTGAAAAAGCTACCAAATATTTCATAAGCTGTCCATCATTAAAAAGTCAGGGTCTGGAGTTTTAATTCTGACATGGTGAAGGCGCTTGGTAAATATTTTAAGCTTTGCATGAAAACTCCTGAAGGAAGACACCTTAAAGTGCAGGTATGCCTTAGGATTACAAATTTACACTAAGATCAATTGCAAAATTGAAACAGAGCTTCCCTAACAAAGTGTACAAACAAACTTTCCCAAGTTCAAGGTAGTCAGCCAGTAGGTGCAAAAATTAATCTAGAACAGAAGTCTTAACTTTTCAGGGGGAGATAACAGAATTCAGAATCCTTGCAACATATTAACGCAATGGAAAATGCTACATATACAAAGAAACATAAAAATGTGACTCACAGTCAAAAGAAAAATCAGGCAACAGAAACAGATTTTGAGATAACCCAAATGTTTGAATGAGGAATCAAGAACTTTAAAAAAGTTATAATAAATATTTTCAAGAACCTCAAGGAAAGAGAGTCATAATAGGGGAATATCAGCAGAAAATTTGAAACTACAAAAAAGCATCAAACAAAATTCTGTAATTGAAAGGTAAAATATTTGAAATGAAAAATTCACTTGAAGAATCACTTGAACGCGGGAGGCGGAGGTTTGAGTGAGCCGAGATTGCACCACTGCACTCCAGCCTGGGTGACAGAGCAAGACTCCATTTCAAAAGAAAAAAAAAAAAGAAAAAGATTATCAGACTGAATAAAACACCAAGATCCAACTAAATGCAATCAACAAGGATGCATTTAAAATATAAATACCAAATTAGGTTGAAAGTAATAGGATAAAATATATATATATGCTGCAAAAAAAGTACACATAAAAAAGTGGTATGGCTACAACTGATATTGGACAAAGTAAGCTTCAAGGCAGAGACTATGATCAGAGGTTTAAACATGGTGTTTCATGATGATAATCAGGAAGACATACAAATCATAAATATGTGTGCACTTAAATACAAAGTTTGAAAACAGATGACACAAAAACTAGACAGAGGTAAAAGAAGAAATTGATAAATGGTCTTAACAGCAAATGGAAATGTCAAGGGGGAAAAAAGGACCACTCAACTTGAAGAAAGATCAATAATACTTGAAAAGAAGTCAAAATATTTATCCAATCTGAAGAAATGAGAGGAGAAAAAAGATTAAAACAAAATAACAGAATTACAGTCAAATGTGCAAACATATCAAGTGATCTAATTTATGTGTAATCGGGGTGAGAATAATAAGGCAAAAACAGTATTTGAACAAATAACGGACAAAAATTCCCTTCAATTTGGGAAAAAAACAACATGCTGATCAAAAAGTTTTCATAAACTCCATCAAGGTGAGCGGATCACTTGAGGCCAGGAGTTCAAGACTAGCCTGGTCAACATGCTGAAACCCCGTCTCTACTAAACACACACACACACACACACACACACACACACACACACACACAAAGCTAGGAATAGTAACACACACCTGTGATCTCAGCTACTTGGGAGGCTGAGGCAGGAGAATCACTTGAACCCGGGAGGCGGAGGTTGCAGTGAGCCGAGATTGCACCACTGCACTCCAGCCTGGGTGACAGAGCAAGACTCCATTTCAAAAGAAAAAAAAAAAGAAAAAGATTATCAGACTGAATAAAACACCAAGATCCAACTAAATGCAATCAACAAGGATGCATTTAAAATATAAATACCAAATTAGGTTGAAAGTAATAGGATAAAAAACATATATAGGCTGCAAAAAAAGTACACATAAAAAAGTGGTATGGCTACACTGATATTGGACAAAGTAAGCTTCGAGGCAGAGACTATGATCAGAGGTTTAAACATGGTGTTTCATGATGATAATCAGGAAGACATACGAATCATAAATATGTGTGCACTTAAATACAAAGTTTGAAAACAGATGACACAAAAACTAGACAGAGGTAAAAGAAAAAATTGATAAATCCACAATTGTGGTTAAAGAATAAACATGCCTGTGGATAAAGAATAAACATGCCTCTCTCAGAACTCACAGAAACTCTTAATAAAACAAAATCCAGTACAGATACTGTAGATGTGGACACACTACTGAATAAATTAATCTAATTGATATTTTTAGAACACTATATCCAAAAATTGCACAATGCACATTTTCAAGTACACAAGATGTATTCATGAACATAGACCATATGCCATAATGATAATTAAAATAAGTCCTAATAAATATCTAAATTAAATTCTTTTTAAGTTTTTTTAATTGACAACCATTTTACATATTCATGGAGCACATAGTGATGCTTCAAAACATGTAATGTATATAGTGATCAGATCAGGGTCAACAATAGAATAAAGTCAGAACTTGACAAAAAAGATATCTAGAAAACACATATAATTGAAAATTAAACTATACACTTCTAAAACATCAGGGATGTAAAAAGAAATCACAAGAAAATGTTTAAAACATTTTTAATGTTACATTAATAAAAACACAACATAGCATAATCCATGGATGCAGCGCAAATTATAGTTAAGAGAAAAAATTATAGCTTTAAATGCTTATATTAGAAAACATGAAAAGCTTAAAATCACAAGTTTCCATATTAACAAGCTAGAAAAATAGCAAAGTAAGTAAAAAGAAGAAAAATCAATGAAATAAAAATTGGACTAACAATAGAGAAAATTAACAAAGGCAAAAGCTGGTTCTTTTGAAATATTAATAATATTGATAAACTTAGGAGAGAAATCTTCATGACCTCGGCAGGGATTTCTTATATGTAACACCAAAAGCATTATCTATAAAAGCAAAAAGTGGTTAAGTTGGACTTTGCCAATATTAAAAACTTTTGCACATCAAAACATACCATAAAAAAATGAAAAGATAACCCACAGGCTGGGAGAAAATATTTACAAATTATATACTGTACTTTATAAAGGAATTATATCCACAAAAATGCAAGGAACACTTGTAACTCAGTAATAAAAACAGAATTCAATTTTTAAAAGGGGCAAAGGATTTGAATGTTTTTTGAAAAAAAGATATATGAGTAGCCAATTAGCACATGGAAATGTTCTATATTATTAGTCATTAGAAAAATGCAAATTAAAACTACAATGAAATACACTGTCACATGCACTAGAATGGCTAAAATAAAAATATATACTCACTAACAAATGTTGGGGGGATGTAGAGAAATTGGAATCTTCATATACTGATGGCATAAATGTAAGATGCAGTCATTTTAGAATTCAGTCTAGCAGCAATTTGACTCAAAGGTATGTATCCAAATGAAGTGAAATATATGTCAACACAAGACTTATATGTGAATATTTATGGCAGCATTGTTCATCATCAACTGACAAATGAACAAACTAAATGTGCTATATCCATGCAATAAAACACTATGGAGCAATAAAAGCGAACAGAATACTGATACATGCCACAAAACGAATGAATCTCAAAACCATTATGCTAAACGAAAGAAGCCAGACACACAACACCACATATTGTATTATTTCATTTGTATGGAATGTCTAGAAAAAGCAAATCAATTGTAACAGTAACTTGTTTTGGTTATCTAGAGTTGGGGGTAGGAATAGAGAGTGACGGCAAATGGACATAAGGGATTTTAAGGGTGACAGAAATCTTCTAATATTGGATTGTGGTAATGGTTATATAACTATATGATTTTATTTTAAAAAAATCACTGAAGAACATGCTTAAAATAATTTTATGTAATGCAAATTGTACCTCAAATAAAGCTGCTAAAAATATTGTCAACCCCCTAGCAAGATTAGTTAAGAGAAAAATTCTAAAATAACAATTCAGAAATGAAAAATGGTATAATGGCAGAGCCTACAGATATTAAAAAGATAATATGGTAACACTATAAATAATTCTATGCGAATAAATTCAAAAATTTAGGTAAACAAATTCCTTGAAAAATTAACTTAACAAAACTGACACAAGAAGAAATAGAAAATTTCAGTCACCCTATATTTATTAAATTAAAGTTATAATAATTTTTAAAACCTTCTACAAAGAAAACTGACAGGCCCAAAGGGTTTCATTGGTGAATTCTATCAAAAACTTAAGAAAAAAAACCCAAAATTACACAAACTCTTTCAGAGCACAGAGGAGGAAGGAACACTTTCCAATTCATCTTGAGGCCAGTAGATAACCCTTATCCCTAAATCTTACAAAAATATTACAAGAAAAGAAAATTACCACAATTTTTTATCATGAACATAGACTAAAAAATCCTTAACAAAATATTATCAAATTGACTGGGCACAGTGGCTCATGCCTGTAATCCCAGCACTTTGGGAGGCCAAGGCGGGTGGATCACCTGAGGTCAACAGAAGCCTGGCCAACATGGCGAAACCCCATCTCTACTAAAAATACTATAATTAGCCAGGCGTGGTGGCAGGCACTTGTAATCTCAGCTAACTGGGAGGCTGAGGCAGGAGAATCGCTTGAACCCGGGAGGCAGAGGTTGCAGTGAGCCGAGTTCACACCACTGCACTCCAGCCTGGGAGACAAAAGTGAAACTCTATCTCAAAAAATAATAACAATTATCAAATTGTATCCAGAAATATACAAAAAGGATAACACATGATGACCAAGTGATGCTCATCTGAGTACTGCAAGGTGAGTTTAACATTTGAAAATCAACAAATTGCTTTTACCATATTATTAATAACAGAACAAAGGAGAAAACCCATATAATCAATAGAGGCTGAAAAGCATCAGAAAAAGTCAATACCCATTCATGATAAACTAGGAATATAAGGGAACTTCCTCAAGTTGATAAAAGGCATGTAAGAACTTCTACATCAAAGATAATACATATGATAAAATAATAAAAACTTTCCTTCTAATACTAAGAATGAGGCAAAGATGTCTGTTCTCACCTCTTCTGTTCATCATTGTACTGGAACCTCTGGCCAGGGCAATAAGACAAGAACAAGAAAAAAATACATAAAATTGGGAAGAAGTAACTTTTTATTTCTAGACAATGTAATAGCTTACATAAAACCTCCTGATGAATTTAAAAACCAAATACTAGAAGTAGTAAGTGACTTTAGCAAGGTTGCTAGATACAAAGTTAATATACAAAAATCAATATTGCTATGTACTAGAAGCAAAGAACTGGAAAATGATTTTTTTAATTCAATTTATAATAGCATCAGAAACAAAGTAATAATAAAAGTAACTAAAGTTGTACAAGACCTCCACTAAAAAAACACAAAACACCTGAATACATGGAAAGATGTAATACATTTATGGATTGAAAAACTTAAGATATCAACATTCCACAAATTCATAGAGTCAATAAAATCCCAATCAAAACCCCACAGGCTTTTTTAATTGACAGGGTGGTTCTCAATTTATATGGAAACCCAAAGGACCTCAGTTTATATGGAAACCCAAAGAACAGGTGAAAGATGCTTCAAAAGAAATACAAATTTGGAGGACTCATACTCCTTAATTTAAATCCTTACTATAAAGCTACAGTAGTCAAGACAGTGTGGTAATTGCATAAAGGTAGAAAAATAGGTCAATGGAACAGAGCAGATAACACAATAATAGACCCACACATTCATGGCCAACTGATTTTTGATAAAGTTTCCAAAATAATTGAATGGGGGAGTGTAGTTGAAAATAATAAATGGGGCTGAAACAACTAGATATACACACAGACTCTCAATTCTTTTTCTTTTTCTTCTTTTATTTTATTTTATTTATTTATTTTTGAGACAGAGTCTTGCTCTGTCGCCCATGCTGGAGTGCAGTGGTGCAATCTCGGCTCACTGCAACTCCACCTCCCAGGTTCAAGCAATTCTTCTGCCTCAGCCTTCTGCATAACTGAGATTACAGGCATGCACCACCATACCCAGCTAATTTTTGTATTTTTAGTAGAGACAGGGTTTCACCATGTTGGTCAGGCTGGTCTCGAACTCCTGACCTCGTGATCCACCTGCCTCAGCCTCCCAAAGTGCTGGGATTACAGGTGTGAGCCACTGTGCCCAGCCAGAATCCCAATTCTTAACTCTCCTACACGAGAATTAATTCAACATGGATCAAAGACCTAAACATAAAAGCCAAAACTCAAGGTAATAAAAAGAAATAGAGAATATCTCACAACCCCAAGGAAGGCAAAGGTTTCTTAGGATACAGAAAGCATTAACAAAAAAAAAAAATGATAAATAGGTATTTATCAAAATAAAACCTTCTGCTTATCAAAAGGCACCATTTAAGAAGTGAAAGGGCAACTCAAAAACTGGAAGAAAAATTTGAAATAAATAAATATAGACATAGGATGTAGATATATAGATATCTGACAAAGGACTTAGGACCAGAAATCAATTTTTTAAATGGTCAAAATACTTGAACAGTCTGTTTACAAAAGTTGATATACAAATGGCAGTAAACTCATGAAAATACATTCAGCATCATTAGTGATCAGGAAGACACAGAGTAAAACTACAGTGAGATACCATTTCATACCTAATAGAATAAATATAGTCAAAAGACTGACGACACTAACTGTTGGAGAGGATGTAGAGTAGGTAGAACTCTCAAACATTCCTGGTGGAAGTATAAATGGCACAATCACAGTGAAAAACTGTTGGCCAGTTTTCATAAATTTAAACCTACATCTACCCACCCCCTCCAGGATCTGGCAGTTATACTCCTAGCTATTTATCCAAGAGAAATAAAAATCTAGATCTACACAGATTTTCACATGAATGCTCATAGCTTTATCCATAATGACCAAAAGCTATAAATAGTCCAAATTTCCATCAACAAGAAAATGAATTCTATATTCATAAAATGGGATAGTTTTATGATACATAATAAAGCATATACTTAATATGTATATATTTATTAAACATCACATAGCATCATTTATAAACATCATTGAATAACACACATAAGATCTGTGCATTTCACTCTATGTAAATTTTACCTGTATTTAAAAAGAAAAGCTAGTTGGGCAAAGTATCAGTCAGGAATAGCTTGATTATGTGGTGGTAACAAATAGCCCCCAAACCATAGTGCCTTAAGTAGGAGTCAGCCTGCTGGTCAACTGCAGCCTGCTGCCTGTTTGTGTAAACAAAAGTTGATTGGAACATAGCCATGCCCATGTGTGCACATATTTCCTATGGCCGTTTTCCCACTATGGGGACAGAGTTGAGGAGTTGTGACAGAGACTGCATGGTCCATAAACTAAAAGCCTAAAATATTTTCTATCTGGCCCTTTATAGAAAAAGTGTGCTGACCCCTGGCTTAAAAACCATAACGGTTTATTTCTCACTCCTGCTCCATGTTAATCAAGAGTCAGCTGGGAGTTCTGCTCCATGTCATCTGTACTGCAGGACCCAGCTGATGGAGCCAACTCTATCTGGAACGATGCTAGTCACTGTGACAGAGGGAAAAGAGCAAGCTCTGAAAGATCTTTCAGCAACAACTCAGTGATATGATTACAAAGTAACATATCACTTTTCTTACAACTCCTGGACCTGAACTATTCATGTGACCCCATTCACACAAGGGGACCAGAAAATACAATCCTACCATTTGTTTATACATGTGCCTGAAAGTGGAGAACTGGGATATTTGCCAAACAGCACTAATGACTACCACAATTAAACTGAGAATCAATCAGTCCAGGTGTTCATTTCCAACAAACATGCATAACCCTGCTGAAATATTGTCCTACTGGGTAGAAGTCTGAATCATAAAAATTCCAAAAGTTGCCCCTAACCCTTCCCTTCGGCTCCCCTCTCACTTGTTAGAGCAACCCAGTACACTGCTTTCCTAATGGATCTAGACTGGAAATCTGACTAACCATCACCTTCACAGTGAATATCCTTCAACAGGGCCCTCCTGTCCTCAAGAAAAACTCAAGCCTCTGTGACCAGACTCTGCCAGCTACTGCAGCCTCCTCTCTCTCTCTGCCACCAGCTCAATTGTGTCAGGCTCTAAGAAGATGGAGTATAGCTTATAAAGAGCCAGGCACATCATACTGTTTCTGTATGCTATCCCTTTGCTCCTGTGGTTTTCCCTGTGTGGAATACTCTCTCCTATTATTCTCACCCTTTAAGACTCAGGACAGTCATTCTCTTGTACACAGAGCCTTCCGTGACCACGAGCTTGCTATTGCACCAGACCCAAACTATCAAAATACCCCAACCACTGCTATCATACCAGAACCAAAGTACCAAGTCACAGGACTTCACCCTGTCAGGTTAAATGACTGCCAACTTACATAGCACTCACCAGGTGCCAGGCAGTTTTTTAAGCACTTTTCATATATCAACTCATTTAGTCCTCATAACAACCTACAAGCAGATATTATTACTATTTTTTCTTTTGTGGATAAGGACACAGAGGCATATGAACATTAATTAATTTGTACAAGTTCCCATAAGTGATAAGCTTCAGAGCAGGGCTATGACCCCAGGCTGGCTGGTGGGCTCTGAGGCATACTCTTAAATCACCCTGCTGTTCGCCACTGCAGGCATACAGGTCTGTTTCCCTTTGGGAATGTAAGGTGTTCAATGGTTAAAAAAATACACCAGCCAGGCACGGTGGCTCACACCTGTAATCCCAGCACTTTGGGAGGCCAAGATGGGTGGATCATGAGGTCAGCAGATCGAGACCAGCCTGGACATCATGGTGAAACCCCATCTCTACTAAAAATACAAAAATTAGCCAGGCATGGTGGGACGCACCTGTAATCCCAGCTACTCAGGAGGCTGAGGCAGGGGAATCACTTGAACCCGGGAGGCGGAGGTTGCAGTTAGCCAAGATTGCACCACTGCACTCCAGCCTGGGTGACAGAGTGAGACTCCATCTCAAACAAACAAACAAACAAACAAACACCAGTACCTCATTTATTTCTGTAACCCCAAGGCCTGGAACATAGTCATTTAGGCAATAGCAGCTGCTCAGCTGGGGTTAGTTCAGATAAAATAAGTAAGATCCTGGGGCCGGGCAAGGTGGCTCACGCCCGCAGCACTTTGAGAGGCCGAGGCGGGGGATCACGAGGTCAGGAGATGGAGACCATCCTGACTAACACAGTGAAACCCCATCTCTACTAAAAATACAAAAAATTAGCCGGGCGTGGTGGCGGGCACCTGCAGTCCCAGCTACTCAAGAGGCTGAGGCAGGAGAATGGCGTGAACCTGGGAGGCAGAGCTTGCAGTGAGCCGAGATAGCACCACTGCACTCCAGCCTGGGCAACAGAGTGAGACTCCATCTCAAAAAAAAAAAAAAAAAAAAAGATCCTGGAATCCCAAAATCAACTTGTCACTAAACAAAGTCCTCTTGACCAGTGACATTTAGCAAGCGGTCAGATCATTACCATATATACCTTTTTCCTGAATCCCAGCCCTTTCTCCAGGGCTGATGACAAACCTGGTAATGGAGAGGCCGGAAGGGCCTGAATTATTAGAAAGATCCTTAGAAAATAAGCTACTGTAAGTTGGGACAAGCATAACCAATCATTCTGAAATGTTTAGAAAATCCTGAATATCTGGGAGTGTGAGAATTTGACTTTTCTGTGGAGAAAACAGCACAAAGCTTTCCTAAAAGTTTTTCTCCCTCACATAATTATGCTTTAAATTGTTAATAGGTATAATTATGGAAGATGGCATTGTGCTTGTAATTTTTCCTATTCCCCTTGGTATTTATTGATGATAAATGGCTTTATTAAAAAATAATGATAATTTCCTTGTTTGGTTGTATATCAATACAGTTTCAGCTTTTGTTTATTACTGCTTATGGAATTTTATGGATTGCCAACATTTAGTTCTTTTATTGGTTTCTATTCTCTTGATGGTATAACAAGGGGGTGGAATTAACAATAATTTTATCCCTTCATTTCCTGACCCTCCCAACCCCATCCCAACTCTTTTAAGAAAGCACTCTAGTGCACTATTCATATGCGGCTACAGGACGGTATGATTTTTACTACTACATAATTAGAACAATTAGCTGTATACCCAAAAACTCTCCTCTAAGGGCCAGTGCCTCACCAAACTGTGGAAAGTGGGATGCTCTGTCCCCACACTGCACTGCACAGAATTAGCCCCCATAGCTCGGAATGAAGCCCCTTCTGCTGAGACCAGAGTTTTAAACCTGTTACATTAACTGCAAGAGGATCAAATAGGCAAATAGTTGATCTCAGTGTTCCCCAGAAGAAAACCCTATTTGGTTTAAGAAATATTTGCAAGAACCATTACAACGAAAGCCACCTTCCCCACAGAGGATATTGCAGTTCTTAGATAGCTTGTCTCAAAGTAACTCCTCTTGGACCTGGTTTGAGTTTTCTCAGGAGACTCACAGCCCTTGAAATGCTAAAAAGACTACATATCTCTTTGTTTATCAACAGCCCTCCACTGGGGAATAGACTGGTTCACGTTCTCCACAAAATGTATGCCAAATCAGATCAATCACCCAAATATAAGTTGTGCATGATTCTTTGAAAACTGCTTTTGGTTTTCATAAGAAAGTGAAGGCCGAGCTTGGTACCAAGAAGAGGAGCAGCATAAGCTCTTGTGATACTTTACGTTTATGTCATACAGTTAGGAAGGAGAGGAATACAAGGAAAAGAACATCACATTTGGACTCAGATCCCATCTGTCCCACCTGGGGTCATGTTCTTAGCTTCTTGGAATCCCACCTCTCTTTCCACAAAAATAATTTTAGCAACATCTGCAATTCAGGCTTGTTGCAAGGACTCAATGGGTTAAATGTCTAGCATATAATTGTTGTTTACTTTATATCATCTAATTTTCCTTTCTTCTAGATCAGTAGTTCTCAACTGGGAGTGAATCTGCCCTCCACCCAGAGACATTTAGCAAGGTCTGGAGACATTTTTTGTGATCATAACTTGAGGAAGGCCATGCAACTGGCATCTAGTGGGTAGCCAAGGATGTGGCTCAATACCCTACAATGCACAGGACGGCCCCCACAACACAGAATTATCCAGCCAAAAATGTCAATAGGGCCAAGATTAAGAAATCTTGTTCTAGACTAGTGTTAAAATAATTCTTTCATTGTGATTGTTTCTTCTCCATAGCTTCTGTCTCTTTAAGTGAGCAAAGATATACTGAAAATCTACCTGCTCAAAGTTCTGTGCTAGGCATATCCTTAACCATCTCGTATATTTGGTTGCCTGCTGCCATTTTCCCAAAGCAATTCACGTCTTCAATTATTGTCCATCCCTATGAATATCAAGCCTCAGCTTCTCTTTTCTTCTCTATGCTGCTTTCAGAGGTCCTGAAATCAGACATGCTATGTGTCAGAGCAAAGACTCGTATTAATCAACATCCAAATATAGCAACAGCAGTTTGAAATTCAAAGAATGGGCCTTGGGGACATCAATATTTGCATGTTCATGATAAATAACTACACATCTGTGCAATGTTCAATATAGTTGGGAGAGAAAAAGAACATTTATGTTGATTTCTGTCAAGTTCCACAACTAAAGGATCTGATATGCTAAAGAAACATAACTGAATTGTCATAAAGATGATTTTAAATATATTTATAATATACACTTATGAATTAGAGACATTCCTGGTTTACTCTGGGATTTTTCTAACCATCAATTAGCTTACACACCTACCCCTAGGGGCAGTGAAATGAATAATTTTCCAGTTTGAACATTAAACATCCATTGCTTTCCTATCTGAATCTGGTCATCTCTACAACTCATATCGACCCTACATGTAATGTTCAAGGCCCAGTTTCATGTTTTCATTCTTCTCACTGTATGTTGCACACATGTGTATCTTTCCATGAGCAGAAGCCCCTGCTAACTATTTACTGTGGGTTTACAACCTGCCAGGCTCTGCTGTAAGTGCTATGTAGTCACAATCTCATTTCATCGTCACAAAACCCTGCAGGGTCAGATGGTATCCCCCACTCCCATTTTACATGGAAAAAAACATTGACACTTACAGAGGTTAAGTAAGCTGGCCAAAGTCACACAGCTAGAAGTGTCTGAATGAGTGTTCACACCCTGTATGTGTGATTCCAAAATCCATGCTCATCACCACTACACTACATTAGGAGGAAACAGACCAGACATCTGGTGAGTGTTCTTTATAAAGAGTTAAGCAGAGGGCACATACCCTTTGACCTAGCAAATCTACCTCAAAGAAGCTATTGTCCACAAATGCTGGTTCATGTGCAGAAACACAAATGTAAAACTATGTTGACTGTTGCATAACTTGAAAAGGAGACAAGAGTTAACAACCTAAACAGGGGAAGCAGATCCAGTCTGTGGAATACAAAGTGGGGAGAATGTAGCAAAGAGTGTTTTCTTATTCATTATCACTTTCCCTTCTTCTTTAGTAAAAGGACTGTGATTTTATTCTGTGTGGCAATGCACCAAGTTAAAAATTACATTTCCTCGCCTGTCCTACAGCCAGGAACAGCTGTGTCTCGTAAATGGTTAACAAACAGCTCTCTCTTACACCATTTTCTCTTGTGTAAAAACTATGGCCAATTTCAAGCTACCAAACTCAAGACAATCGGCTTGCAAAAACTCTGGCAAATGTAACAATTGGCATTCATAACCTAGGGTGAGCTGGCTTTAGCACATGACTGGCTAGTGCTGAGCAATGTAAACAAATAAGTCCCTGCATAAAAATGGGACGGACAACTAGCTAGCATGTGCTTTTTCTTTTCCTCTCCCCTTCTTCTTCCTTCCTGCTTAAAACTTGGATGATATGACTGGAACTCCAGCCTTATATCATGAAGTGTCTTAGAAAATGAAAGCCACAGCTAAAGATGTTGATACAGAAAGACAGGAGAAGCCTTGTCTCTGTTGACCTCAGGAAGCTAACACAAGAGGCTGAATCTGTTCCTTTTTGTAAAAGAAACTAAAACTCCCATTTTAAGCCACTGTTATTTTGATTTTCTTGTTTCTGAGACAGAGTCTCGCTCTGTTGCCAGGCTGCAGTGCGGTGGCACAATCTCAGCTCACTGCAACCTCCGCCTCCTGGGTTCAAGTAATTCTCCTGCCTCAGCCTCCCAAGTAGCTAGGATTACATGCACCCACCACCACGTCCAGCTAATTTTTGTTTTTGTTTTTGTTTTTGAGACGGAGTCTCACTCTGTCGCCCAGGCTGGAGTGCAGTGGCGTGATCTCAGCTCACTGCAAGCTCCTCCTCCTGGGTTCACGCCATTCTCCTGCCTCAGCCTCCCAAGTAGCTGGGACTACAGGTGCCCACCACCATGCCCAGCTAATTTTTTGTATTTTTAGTAGAAACGGAGTTTCACCGTGTTAGCCAGGATGGTCTCAATCTTTTGACCTCATGATCCGCCCTCTTCAGCCTCCCAAAATGCTGGGATTACAGGCGCAAGCCACCTCGCCCACCCCTTATTTTGGTTTTCTATTACACACTACTTAAAACAGAGACCTTCAGACTTTGCTACAACATCTCTATTACTTGTATCTGTTATAATAAAAATGTTTTATTCCAGCATTGTTTACAAAATTTAAAAGGCAAAGATGTTTAAGGGGTAAGGGGTTGGGCCCTTGATTTTGGCAACAGTATCATGAGGGCGGGGGGTCTGGAGGAGACAGAGAAATGACACGCCTGGCACACAAATCCTCACTGTGGGTATGTCCTGACAATGAAAGGGACAGACTGGAATCCAACCAAGTTCACCAACTGCCAAAAAGATTTCTGGTCAAATAAGATTCAGGCGCCTCCTGAGATAAGCCTTCAGTGAAACATCCCGTTTCACTGATGAAACGTGATCAGGTAATGGGGAAAGCACAGGCTATGCCGCCAGGCTGACGTCTCCAACCCAGGAAACACCCAGGAATCCTGACAATGTGGAGGGAAAGCAGCAGGACTTCAGCCCCCTGCCCAGGCAGCAGGGGCTCCCCGATTAAGGTGTCCCAATTAAGGGGACCCCAGAGACGGTATCAAAGAAGTACAAAACAGAATATCGAACCACCACCAAGCATGCGGAAGAGCCAGAAAAGATAGAGACACTCAAGTCTATAGACCCCAATGTACTATCAGAGACAGCTGCAAACAGCAACCTGGTGGTTAAGTCCTTGGCGACAGCACAGACAAATCTAGTGGGGGCTTCATTCACATTCCCCAAGGTGGTCATAAGCACTACACTGAGAGTGACACACTGTAAAATCAATTGTGTGATACCTCTGCCTTTTCTTACACAAAATTACTGCCAAGTCCATTTAGGATTCATCCTTGTGGACCAGGTCAAGTCACTAGGCTTTTAGTACAACTTGTGTGCCCAAAAGTAGTGTGTGTGCTATGGAAGAGATATTAAGCATAGGTCCCTATTCTTAAAGATGCTGTAACCTAAAAGGAAAATGAATTACACATAGAAAAAAATATCTAGAGAACCATCATCTATGTTCAAGCATTGGATGCATATTCAAACCTTGATGTTTATGAATTCAGAGAAGAAAAACAAAATTCTTCCTGGAAAGAAGAAAAACTGCACAGAGAATATGGTCAGGAAGACACGGGTCTTCAGAAAGGCCCTGAAGAATAGATACCATTTGAATCAGAAAAAAATCAGAAAGAATATATTCCATATAGGAAAACAGCACACAATTGGTACTAAACCAACATATTTCCAATGAACAATAAAAACAGTAAAGAGAAGAAAACTAGAGAGGGGTAAGGATAATACTGGACAGTCATGAGTATTAAGCTTGAAAATGAAAAGTGGAAATTGCTCATTTTTCCTTAGAAAAATGCATCAATAAATATTAGCTAGATACCATTTAGGTGCCTGGATACTTGTTCTGGAGCCCCAAATACCCAACTGTTGGCTCCTGGACAATGGGGAGCACCTAAAGGCTGAGGAATGGACTCCACCTACTCATCAGAATTGATGGAAACCCACACTTTTCATACCGCCCCAAATGGGAAGTTGTTATGAGGAGAAGCGACCCAGATTTTTCTAGGCCTCATCTGCTCATAACTGAACAATGTAATAACCAACTTAGGAGTAATGAGCCTGCCCCTTGGGCTAAGATATCTCTTTTCCAGCATATCGCATGCAGTGAAATTGAGTCCACTTTGTGTCCCCCTCACAATGTCTAGTGGGCCTTGAACACAGCATGTGCCCGATAAATATTTGTTTGTGAATTCTACTCATTATGTGAAAAGGCCCAAGCAGGGCCCAAGCTAGGGTTGGTCAGTTGTCCAAGGTGCCAGAGAATCATAACTTAAGGCTAAGTCCATGATATGTGTTCTCCGGGAGGTGGTGGCAGATTTTTCACAATGTTTGATAAAATCGAAGGCAGGGGTACTGGTATTTAACACAGAAAGCAGCACTGGCTTTAAGTTAATGTTTCATATCCAGTAAAGAGGCTAAATATCTATCGTTTTGATAGATTGCTATAAATGAAACATTAGTGGGGCTCTTAAATACCTTGTTTCAGATCTTCATTACCCGAAATTAATCTTGAGCAGAATATCACACCCAATGTGGACTCCATTAAGTAGTCAGTTAGATAACACAGGCCACGCTTTATCTAATAAGGATGGAATCAGGAACGAATCTAACAGCACAATTTTACCACTCCTGCAGCCCAAGAGCATTGCAAGCCAGAGAGGCAGAGAATGTTTTCCAGAAATTCTCAAATATAGCCATCATGCCCCTGCAGGAGGACAGCTTCACAGTCGCTTCTCAAAAGCAGCCTGGTGACCATGCTCAGTGTTCGGTGTGGTCTTACATCTCCACCCTGGGCTCACCTGGGAACTGGGAGAGCTTTGCTCCTCCACACCCGTTCAAGGACTTCCACAGAACCATTAGTTTTGGTGAAGGTTTATCTGGAATTGTCTTCTGCCAACTTCTCTCATTATGCAGAAGCAGACCAAAAGTTCAAAATAGCATAAATTCAGAAGACAGGAAAGGAGAGGAGCACAAAGCTCACATACAACCAATCAGCTGAGCTAAAAGCAAGTTGAGGAAAACAAATGCACATCTCTAAGAATGAAGAGAAGGCAAATCTCCAATAATCTCCAGGAATCCACGCAGCTGCATGCCACATGCATGTTACAGAGGCTCCTGCGCGTCCATGCCACACGCCCACAAGCAGCGATTGACGTGGACTTTACCATTACAGAAGGCGCATGGAGAATCTGGCTAGAGAAGACTGTGTTCCTTTAACCTTCACATTCAACACAGCAAGTAAAGGCTATTTACCCGAAGACCCTACAAAACCTATTTGCTTCAATATGGATGTTTTTGGAATCAGCCTAGCTCAAAATTCCTCCAGTAGGCAAGTTTCTCCAAAATGAAACAAGTATTTCACTCCAGTATACCATTATCATGCATTTCTATATCTAAATATGTTTCTTCCTTTGAGACTGTTGACCCACTTGAATTTCAGCATTATCTACCTTTGTTTCTTTTTTTTTTTTTTTCTGAGATGGAGTCTCGCTCTGTCGCCAGGCTGTAGTGCAGTGGCGCAATCTCTGCTCACTCACTGCAAGCTCCGCCTCCCGGGTTCACGCCATTCTCCTGCCTCAGCCTTCCAAGTAGCTGGGACTACAGGCACCCACCACCAAGCCCGGCTAATTTTTTGTATTTTTAGTAGAGACAGGGTTTCACCGTGTTAGCCAGGATGATCTCAATCTCCTGACCTCGTGATCCTCCCGCCTCAGCCTCCCAAAGTGCTGCAATTACAGGCGTGAGCCACCGCACCCGGCCAGCATTATCTACCTTTCTTAACCAACTAACCATTCATAGTAATCATGGTTAACATGTACATACCAGGTACTCTTTTACATGTTTTGTTTTGTATATACTAATTCAATCATCCTAACAACACTGTAAGATAACCCTATTACTATCCCCATTTTATAGGTGAGGAAACAAGCTCAGGGAGGCAATTAGCTCTCTTACCTGCAGTCACATAGCCATTAAGCGGAAGATCTGGGATCTGAATTGAGCCATCTGGCTCCACCAGTCCTACTTTTAATCCCAACACTATATTGCATTGGTTTCACTTGTTCAGAGTTTAATCATATGAACCCAGACACATAATCTAGAGTGTAATGGTAAGAAAAACCAAGTGTCCCTGGCCATATTTCTCTCCCATTCCTTCCACCTCATTCCCTATTTTCAGTATTCGGCAATTAGGTATTGCTTCTGCCTTGCTGAAATATGTTTTTGACATAAAAATGGCCATAAGATATTCCAGTAAATACAGAATGACCCAAACCAGGCAATGTATTATTTATTTTGACCATGAGGGCATATCCTTAATCTTGACATCTTGGCTGGTTTGGGGCATTTCGCTTGATTGAAAGAAAGGGAGGAGATGAACATTTATTGAGCACTTGCTCACCATGTCCCAGGTAATGTGCCTGGCGCTTTCACCTAGATTGCTCTGTTTAATACCAAAAGCAAATCCACCCAAGGTAACTAATGAAATCCCATTTTTAGAGACAAAGAAACAGACTCAAAAAGGTTAATACTTACATCATGGTCAAGGAGACTCACTTTGGAGGGATGGCACGTGGATTCAAGCCTAAGCCTCATCTAAAGCTGAGTCTATTTCTACAACAGCATGCTAGGTAGTAGATACCCTATCCTATAAAACCAGAAACCATTCTCAGACTTTTTTTTTTTTTTTTTTTGCCTCTGAGCAGTAAGTCTTTACAGATTTACTGGTTGTTAAATGCTACTGACTCTAGCTAATTCCCAAATTAACTAGATTCCTTTTGGAGCTTGTAAAATGTGCTACACACTCAACTTCCGAATTTAGCATGCAAGATGATGACCACAGCAGTAAGAATGGTGCAACTTTCTTGTTAGAACAATGCATGCCTAAAAGCCTCCTTTTAATTTCTACCTTCTTTTATGAGGACTATGTGATCGAGGACACACCTAGGATACTGCATATTAATTTCAACACAGCTAATACCCAAAATGTCCCACCAATTTACTCTTCACTGACAATGTTAAAAGAAAATGATTTATGCAGATCAATCATCTCGCTCATCAAGTCCTACCCTGACAGCCAGCCTTCATCATTGCTATTTAAAAGGCACTGCTGACAGAAAAGACCGACTCTTTGATTAAGGGTCCTGTCTGGCTAACCTTTTATTTGAAGAATGATTGCCGCTGAGTGACAAATACTTTTCCATTCATTTCAAGGCAAAGATATTGACATTCAAATTCTTGATGGCTACACTGAGCAGATGCCACTGTTGGCAAGAGGCATGAGAGCAACAGCAGGTACTCCACGGCTTTGGGGGCAAGGGAAAAAGAATAAAACTAAAACACATGCACGCCGGCGCTGGCTAAAGGTTCTCAACAAGTGAAAGTTGCGGGTCTTTCAGCCAGATCCTCTTTCTTCAACAGTCAGCAAAGGGCATCTGCTTGCAGTTTCGCCCCGGTCTCCATCTCACAAGTGCCTGGCTTTATGTTGACTCTACTTGGAACTGCACCGGCAGCGAGGACTAGAAGTCAAAAGAAGCTCAGAACATGCCATTCCCAACCCAAGGGAAAAACATCTCTCTGTCCGGAATTGCAGCACCCTGGCCGACCTCAGGCTGAAAGTACCGGCCTCCTTTCCGCTTCACAGGATGTTAAGTGACTCAATATAAAGTGGAAGAAGCCGGTGAAAAATCACCCATAAAAAACAAAACAGAAATATTCCATCCCATCTGCTAAAGAGGAAGAAGAAAAAATAATAATAAAAGGAAGAGGTAAGATTGACAAATAGAGTTAGCAAAAAAGACAAACTGAACTTATTTTAAAAAGGTGGTTTTTCTAATTCATTTCAGGTGAATTTAGACCTTGGTCAGCATCACACACACACACCCCCACACACAAACACTGCATTCATATCCTCACAGCAGGATTATTTTGCTTGTTTTTATTTCTTAAATGCAAAATATTACCTTAAAGGAAAGTGAGAAAATTATGGATTAAGGAAGGCTATTTGTGACAAAGGCCATCACAAAGCCTCAAGATTAATCATTTCCAGGAACAAAATGAAAATACCTCAGCAGGTCATCAACAATTCCTTTTAAATCTTGCCGAGATGCAATGTTGGTTCTCACATGCTTCACAAAGGAAAGGGTATCCGAAAAGCTGTAGCTGTGATCCTCGAACACATTCCCCACAGAGGGAGAGGCAGGAGATAGCCAAGACACAGCCAGAACCTTCTCCCCATCACCCCAGGGCCAAACAGGTGACCAGGGCTTCAGAGAGAGAGAAAACCTGGGTGTGAATCCAATCTCTACTACTCATCAGCTGGGGGATTTGAAACAAGTTACCACCTCAATTCTCTGTGATCTCATCTGCAAAATGGGAGTGGTGAGATTGACCTCGCAGAATTAGTTATGAATATTAAAGAATAGAAACTAAATAAAGCAACTTTCCCTTACCTAAACCTCTTTTTTCCTCCTTTCTTCTCCTCTTCTCCTCTTTGCTCACTAGTTTGCATGTGAATCGAATCATCCATGAGGGGTATCAGCAAAAAGATTTACAGTTATAGCCTCGCTTCCCTCACTGTGTTACAATGAGAACAAATAAGATAATGTTCGCATTAAAGCACTTTATAAATCTTAAATCAATACAGAAATGTTTGCTGTTGTTATTGTTGTTCTCCACAAACGGTATACTCTAACCCATTTTGATCTTTTTCCTCATTTATTTCTCCCATCTATATTTCTCATGGTGAATAATAAATCAATAACCAATTAATTAGTCAATAATCATAATATCATCTCCATTCCTGAGAACTACTAGTGGTTGTTTCTGCAGCTGTCTGAAAGGAGTCCCTGGGAGAAATGATGTTTCTTCTATAACAAAAATGTATCGGAGGTTATTATGAGCCAGGCACTGGGACAAAGAGGTGAATGAAAAATGCAAAATTCAGTCAAGTGAGGCAAACAGAAAAATAAAGAAATGATTTCAATATTGCTGCACCATATAAGTTAAATACAAAGGCCAATGAGGAGGTCAATGAGGAAAGGTATGACTACCTGGGGCAATCAGGGAAGATTCTGCTACAGTGATATCAAGGCAAGTCTTCACAAGGTGGAAAAGGAAGAGTGGGTCACTTCGGAGAAAGAGGATGCCAGGTGCAAAGGCATGGAGGCTCAAGACAGATCACCATGCTCTGGCAGGGACAAGGGGGAAGTTCCAATCATACTAAAGAGTTAAGACTTATTCCTTTAGGTAATGGCAAGTTTGAGCTTGAAATTGCTATCATACAGCCTATGGTTTCAAACATGCCCCTGATGAAAGGCAGGACACAACAACACTTGCTGGGTACCCACACAGTGCTAGCAACTGGAGACACACAGATGAGCAAAACTATCCTGACACACTCCCAGGAAGGGGAGCCAGGGAGACTCGCCTGCTCTCAAGCAACCTCTGAGCAGCTGCCCAGTGAGGGGCAATGAGACCCCACTGGCCCTAGTACTTGTGCCTTCTTGTTTGGCCTCAGAACCTGCATGTCATCCCCAGTCTGTTGGGGTGGGTTCTTGCTTTTTTGCTTGACCCTCCTCTTGCATTTCTATGGACTCTGATGTCAACTATGGATAGCTCACATTCACCTTCAGAGCCATGTCCTCCAGCTATTGCTGTCCTGCTTTGACCTGCAGTGATCCTGTGGTCTCCCTGATGGCTCCTGAAAGCATCTCTGTCAGCAGGGAGATCTATATTCCAGGTCTCTATCCCTTACTCTTGGTACTGTACCCAAAGTACAAGGGTGAACATGTGTTCACCAAATCCTGTTTCACTCTCCTTCTCCTGGGCACACAGATGGCAACATTTGACATTCTCCCTCACAGTTGGTTTGAGTTCTAGTCAATATAGCAAAAAAGGGATGTGAGTCACTTCACAGTATAGATCTCCCATACTAGCTACTATAGCCATGACAATAAATGCAATGACTTAAAACAACAGAAATTTATTCTTTCACTTTTATGGGTACAAGGAATCTAAAATCCAGTGTCAGTAGGGTCACATCCCCTCCAAAGGCCCTAGGGGAGAATCTCTCCCTGGCTCTTCCAATTCCTGGTGGCTCCGGCTTAACCATCTTGCCACAGCATCACTCCAATCTCTTCCTATCTTCATATGGCCTTCTTCCCTCTGTGTGTCTCTGTGTCTAGATCTCCTCCTTTCTCTTACAAAGTCACCAGTTTTTGGATCTAGGGTCCACTCTAAATCCAGTATGATTTCATCTCGAGATCCTTAAGTAACTATATCTGCAAAGAATCTATTTCCAAATCAGGTCACACTCTTAGGTTCCAGGTAGACATAAATTTGTAGGGCTGGGGGGGTCACTATTCAATTCACTCCCCCTCCCATGCAACCTTGGAGGTCTCATGATCCAGAAGGTACAGCCACAAGATGCCAGAGCCTTCATCCAGCCAGATCCCTGAGTCACTACAAGAAGCCAGGCTCCCTCAACACCAACCCTCACTGGGCCTATAAGGTGAGCAAGAAACGAAGCCTTGTGGTGTTAAGCCACTGAGATTTCAGGGTTAATTTGTTACAACAGCAGAGCCTAGCCTGGCTTGGCTACCACTCCAAGCATGATGCCCTAGCTCTGCAATTCCAGTACTGTTTATGGGCCCAGGGCTAGCATGCAGTATTTTTATTTGGCTTCAATTTCTGCTCAAAAGCCCTTTTAGGTTGCTCTTGCTGAATGTCCCAGGAATTTCTCCCAGAGCTTTGCTTGGCTTGGACATGACTTTGGGAGGTTTCTTGTTTTTCCTGGGTAGTGTAATTAGGCTTTTGCTGATAATATCACTGTTTTCTCTACTGGTCCCAGAGGAGAATGTGGTGGCCAATGGTAGTTATTTCTTGCTTTTATTGGGGTGGGGGAGAGGGGCAAAAGGGGTCAAATATAAATGTTTTCTAGCTTAATTCATCCAAAACTGAAATGAGAAAAACAGTAGCTAGTGTCCCTTTCTTACAGAAGTGAAAAGAGCACAAGATTTTAGAGTCATGCTGACTTGTGTAAAAATTTCTCAGCTCTGCAAACTTAATGGCTATGATACTTTAAAATATTACTTATTATCACAGAACCCTAGCTCTCCTACCTTTACAAAAGAACCATTTAATACCACCTATTCCAGAGGCTAGCTGGGAGGATTAAATGATACTAGACATACATCTAGCTGGGTGCTCTGATCACAGTCATTCCCAGATAAATGTGAACTTCCCTTATTCCTACAAATAGGCCAATTTATTCCTACTTGGATCCCTTCCCTTCTGGCCCAAGGTAATAGCTAAGTTCTTGTGAAACCATGACCTTCAGCACTGGTCTCAACCCTCTCCAAGGCAGAAAGCACTTCTGCCTTTTCTCTAGTTCATCCTTTTAGATACTGCTAGTCTATTCCTTGGAAATAGTGACAAGATAGTGAATAAACTGACTAATCTCTTTAACCAGGTGAGTGTTGCTCTTAAATATTTCATGAGAGTTCATTTTGATTTTCCAGTTTCATTGAAAGTTCTCTAAAGGTAGGAGTTATGTCTGATCCTACTTCTGTAAACCCCACAGCAGGCAGCACCATGCCAAGCTGACCACAGGTGCCTCCCCCATCCTCATTGATTGACTACAGAGAAAGCAGAGAATGAAAAGTTTCCATGATTAAGACAGGATCTGGCCTCCAATAACATGGATGTTCACAATTAACGGGCAAGTATCAGTGAGCTAGGAATACTCACAGAGCAGGGGGAAGGTGGCAGAAGTTGAAATACTTAAAAAATAGACGGACAAGGCCAGGCATGGTGGCTCATGTCTGTAATCCCAGCACTTTGGGAGGATGAGGTCAGAGGATCACTTGAGGCCAGGAGTTCGAGATCATCTTGGCCAACATGGTGGAACCCCGTCCCTACTAAAAATACAAAAATTATCTGGGCATGGTGGCGTGCACCTGTAGTCCCACCTACTCAGGGGGCTGAGGCAGGAGAATCACCAGAACCCAGGAGGCAGAGGTTGCAGTGAGCCAAGATCACGTCACTGTACTCCAGCCTAGGTGACAGAGTGAGACCCTGTCTCAAAAAAAAGAAAGAAAGAAATAGATGGACAAGAGGGAAGATTCATCTCTACTCTGGGGCTAGGGTGGATCTCCCCAGAAATGAATCAGATTATAGTGTGTTTACTGTTCCCTCCCCTGCTGGGCCAGTTAAACTTACTCTTATAATTGTGTGAATATATAAATTATACATTATACATCATATAGCATATATGTGCATTATATATAACTATTCACTATCTGTGTTATATATAAATATATATTTATAGCACCTGCTTTGTGCTGGACACTATCCTATATATTAAGTCACATAGCCTTCATCATGACCACAACATGTGTTCCACTGTTACTACCATCTTACAAGGAGGAAACAAACCCAGAGAAACCTGCCCCAAATCACAGAACTAGTGAGTGGCAAGACCAGGATTCAGATCCCGGCAGCCTGGCTAAGGCCAGCACTCTTAACCGCTAGACCACAATGCCTCTCAAGTGGGAGCTGGGAGTGAAGTGAAAAAGTAGGTCCCCAGTCAGGAGGGTACCCAGCAGAGGTGGCTCACACACCTAAACAGATTCTGAAGACATAGCCCTTCAACAAAAGCAGCTTGTTGCAGAAGCAGGAGACTGCTCTGCCAGGCACAGATGCCATGGGACAGCTCTGTCTGAGAAAAGAGCTAGTGGCAACCCATGTTAGCAATAACAGGAGCCAGACTGAAGCAGCCCCCAAAAGGCTACCTTTGGTCTGAGATGGGACCAACCCACAATTAACACCCTGAATAGCAGCAGTATGTGATGGCCCAGAGACACACAGCTCTGGGAGATTGAAGACAAAGGAAATGGAAGGGGCTGGGGGAGGTTCCAGAAAGCCTTGTTGGGTCTGCTTTGAGCTTCACATCTTTAATGTTCAAACTGCTGGGGGCAAGAGACAGCCAGCTTTCCCACCAGCCCTGCACAGCTCGGCAGCCTGTACTCTGCACTTGTTTACCATCACTGAATAAATCATTTCCGTCTCCCCCAGCCTTGGCCCTGCTCCCTTACAAACAGAGTAAACCCGGCTCCCCACTCAAGGTTGCCATCAAAAGCAGAGGGCACCAGCTTTCCCTCCCCGGCTCTGCAGCCCTCATGGGCAATGCCCCCTCCTCGCTCCTTAAGCATATCAGAATGAGCAATATTTGACTGTTGATTCTTTCATCTCTGCAGCTTTGAAAACCTCAAACGTCATATCGGATCTACAACAAAGAGCAGGGACTTCAGGGGTTGACAGCACGGCCATAATTAAAGACAACCATCAGTGAGCTGCCATGTTAAACAATGCCACGTTATAGCTGCTCCAAAACCAACTGTTTACCTTTCAGACATTTCTGTGGAAAGGTTTAAACAGGTGCGGTTTAAATTGTTTTCATAAAAGATATGCAAACAGGAGATAGGAACTTTTCTTCTCTCTAAGACAGGGTAAAATGTACAGCATGCAATTCCCTTGCTAATAGTGTCCAATTGATTTACTTAGGGGAACCAATCTCTGGTAACTGATACAAATATGAATCCCAAAATAGCACTGAAAATATTACAGGGATACAGCCAAACATGGAATGGGAAATAATCCCCAAATTTCCATCTTAAGTTCCTTCTGGCCCATGAACCTCAGTTTCCCCCTTTGTAAAATAAGAAGGCTGCATTTCAAGCTTATGTTGGCATGCAGAACTCTTTTTCCAAATCAAGTCCAACAAATAGTACAGGAAAACCTAGTGGTTTCTGAGAGTGGATCAGGGTCCCTTCTTCCTCCAATATGCCCCCAGATGATTTCTAGAACCTTGCGAACTACTGGACTGAATCATCTCTGTGAGTTCTTCCAGGACCCAAATTCTCAAGTTCTCGAGAGAAAAAGCAGCAATAGCAGCAGTTGTAAAAGGCTTTCTCCATCATTGGTCCACAATGCTTTCCTCAGTGTTCAGCATCTAAGTGGCACTGAATGAATGTGGTTCTGAGTTGATCAATAATAAAGGAAGTTGTAAATAGCTTCTTCTCTGCTTCTCCTTGAGTTTGGGGTAAGGTTAATTAATATCAACAGCAAAGGGAAAGAGGCAGATATTAAAGCAAATTATAGTAGCCTCATGGTTTGCTAACTAAACTCCTCAAGCTGGGTATTCATAGCAGGCTCAGTGTCCTGGCCCCCAGGTCTGAGGCAAACAGAGGAGTGTGCTCTCTACACTTTTCTTCTGCCTCAGAATCTTAAGTCAGCATCCCCAAGGCCTGCACTTGTCATGTTTCCAGGTCTACCTCTACGCTGGAGATCTCTAGAGGTTTTGGAGCTCCTTGAAAGTAAGACTGTGAAAAGACAGCCAGGAACATTGCTACCTTGGACAATGCCATAAGAATTGAGGTGGGAACAAGAAGACTGCTCTGTGGAGCCACCAAGAGATTCCTTTGGAGTAGCTCAAACAGAGACTCCTCAGTGGGATGTGGGAGGTTTCCCCACGCACAAGAGCTGCTTACATCCTCATTACATATGACTCACACATGTTCGGGGGACCACTGGACCAGGATCATACTGACTGTGGTTAAGTCCCCACATGGGACATCATGACCCATTATGTTGACCACTAGTGGAATTTTCCAATACCTGAGGATACAACACTGTTAGAATCAATGCAATAAGCTGTCGCTCATTTCTTTGCAAGCTGAAAACCTATTTATAAAAGGAAGCCGGGCACAGTTGTGCATGCCTGTAGTCCCAGCTACTGGAGAGGTTGATGCAAGAGGATTGCTTGAGCTCAGGAGTTTGAGGCTGTAGTGTGCTGTGGTTGCACCTATGAATAGCTGTTACACTCCAGCCTGGGCAACATAGCAAGACCCCATCTCAAAAAAACAGATTTATAAGAGGAAAATCTCCAATGCTTGTTTGAGTCAGACCAAAAGAATTGCAAAGGCTAAATCTGACCTCTTCCTATAAAAATAACATGGAGAATCCTTGTGTGGACAGGCCTAACCTTCTTGATAGGCCCCTCTCAGGAAGGCCCCACAAAATCTACAGTGGAAGAACAATCCACTTCTGTGAAGGAAAAGTTAATGGCCAGTTGGTTTCAATTGACTAGGACAGAGCTAAGTGAATGTAGATAAACCACTTCCCGACTGAGGCTAGGCCAGGGGATCCTCCCCCACACCTCCCACCGCTGATATCATTCTTGAAAGCCTTGTTTCCTTCCAGCCTGGAAAGCTCCATTTTGGAAACAATGACCCTTTATGGAGAGCTTTCATCCCTGCTTAAGTTCTAAAAATCAAAGAGCCAATATGTCTAAGCTGCCCTCAAGGATCTGGGAAAACTGCCGTGGGTACGTTGTTATTTAGTGGTAATATCTTATTTAACTTGTCAGTTGTCTTGCTGTTTTCAGAATGAAACCAGATATAAATAAAGCAAAAAAAAAAGTGTTTGAGATAGGCTACTGATCACTAGTTTATTTTTTGAGTTGAGAAGCCACACAGTTTTCCAAGCATGGTTACATTATGGTAATATGCTTTGTCATAAATCTACTATATCCTTCTGCTTGTCTATAAAACAGTCTGCTCCTCATCGTTCTCAACTTGGCCTGCATACAGAACTTTTAACTTAAAATATCTAACAATATGTCATATCCACCAGATACATGACAGCTATTTCTAAGATACATAATATTATTAATTATTTTTGAATTTAACTGAACTGTTATGAATCCAAAAAGTATAAAAATGACATTTAGCCATCAACAGTTCTTGAAACATTATACACACAAAGAAGAAATACTAACAAGTCCTACAGTACTCATAATTTCAAAATTATACCCTTTGAAGCCAAAATGACATTAAGAGAAACAAAAAGGATGTAAGAACTTAAAAATAAAAATGTAATGCTTGAAAATATTAAACTTGTCTTCAGATAAAAATTAAGTGTGAGATAAATTATTTTTTATGTTTGCAGAACTGTCAAACAATGTGCTGTCTCCTTAAACTATTTAAAGAAATAGGGCTGGAGTGTGTGGAGAGGATCTGGAAGACATAAATGACACTGAGAGGATGAGCAAGAAGACTGACTTCCATTTACTCTGATTCACTTAGCATGTACTGAACACCTACCATGTACTCATACTATGCTGTGTATCATGGCGGATTAAAAGAATGATACAGACTAAGCCTTAAAGGAACTTACAGACTCAGTGAGGACATGAGAAACACACAAGATGTGAATATAATGAAACACAACTACCTTTGATTAAATGCCCAAATAAAAGCTCTGGTAAGTAATGTGAGCATTAGAGCAGGAAGAACTCAACGTGGGCCAGGATAGTTGAGGAAGCTCCATTAGGAGCTAGAATTTCAGCTGGATCTTGAAGACTGACTCATATTCAGAAAGATATAAAGAAGGCCAGAGGGAACTGACAAGAGGGGAGGCAGAGTAAACAGTGACCCAAAGGCTGGAACAAATATTACTCACTGGGCGAAGTGTGAGCTGAAATGAGTGAGTGGCCTCACCGCAGGCCTAGACCTCAGGTGACCCACAACTCAAGGACGTGGAAAACATTCATCATTCATCTGTCTCCCTCTTCCCACATGTTTCTCATAGACAGCTTCATTGGCGTCCCCCAGGGGCTCGGAGTTCTGGGGCTCCCAGTGTCCCCTCTCACCAGACCTGCTCCACTGGACCCACACAGGAACCCCCTAGATTCACCACCATGAGTCACAAACTTCCTTCCCCAGCTCCAAGGGCTGTGCTTTCTTTAAGAACCCATCAAATTGCTCAGAACTGGGAGTGGTCAATCCCTTCACCTAGTTAACATACTACAATCTTTCCATTGCAGCCTCTCTGTGCTAACCTGAGATCAGTGGTTCTCAACCAGGGGTGACTTTGACCCAGAGGGACATTTGGCAATGTCTGGAGACATTTTTAATTGTCACAAAGGATGTGTTACTGGTACCTAGTGAGTAGAAGCTAGGGATGCTGTGATACATCCTTCAACATATGAGACAGTCCCCCATAACAAACAATTTTCTACCTAAAATGTCAACAGTGGCAAGGTCGCAGTGGAATGAATATAGACATTCACGATACTTTTCTGAACAAATTTATTTTAACAAGATGGAGAGCTTTCCTTTTTCTTTTGTATTTTTCTTAAATTTTACTCAAATCCATTCACTTTCAGAAGGTGTACACCCAAATTCCAAGAAGCTTCCCAGGGCAAGCTGGGATGATCCATACATCCCTGATTAATCTGCCCCCCCCCATCCCACCCCCCCCAAAAAATAAGAATAGTGCCCTGAGGGGCAGGGCACTCTGGCTATGAAATGTGCTCTAGTCCTGCAAATGACCAATATATACCTAAACCTAACTAGAAATGACAGGATATTGAAAGCCAGTACATTTTGTACCTTTTGGGCCCTTCCACAGCAAGACGCACTTTAGGTACTTACATTTTAATAGGGAAGAACCTCATTACCCAAATATTTGCTATTCGAGCACTTTCAGTTTTGAATTTGCATAAGGAAACAAAGTCATCATAACTATTCATTAGCGAATTGACCGGTTCCCACTCAAACTTCTCTTCCAAGTAGCATTCATCCCTGATCCTTGTATCAACAATTTAGGCCCATCTGATGGTCAAATGTTACATAAGCCTCTGGTGCAAAGCAACTGCAAAATGAAACCGAAACTTCTGCAAAAGATGTGGCGTTTCACGAACTCAACTGAAGTGACAGAGAAATGCTCAAATTACACCCAAAACCATTGATCCTATGCCCTTAGGCCAACTGAAAAAGCAAAAATCAAGTCAATAACAACATTTTATAAGACTGACTTAAATACTGAAGGATTAAGAAAGGCCCTCATAAAATTGATAAAGTCCTAATTTTACAAAAATAAACAACTTTAATGATTGCACAATAAAAGCAAACATGAAGTAAAAGATATATGGTGCCAGCGTGTAATTCTGTCATTAACACTTATGGAGAAAAATTAAATTAATAGTTGAATTGCTTTTCTGAGAATTAGAGCATAGCTGCAGCTACAACTGAAAATGTTTTTGATACCAAATATTTTTATCCTTTTGGGTTTCAGCTTGCAAGATTAAATTCCAAACTTTTTTTTTCTAGATTTACTATTACATACTGCTTTCCATGTAAGTTGCTTTGCTTTAGCTGATCTTTTCCAGTACTAATTGCCTTCCTACCATGGGCCTCCCCCTGAAAACTCTGACCACCTGAAGCAACCACAGAGCTGCAAGACGGGCTGAATCCCTCTCCCAGTCTCAGCTTCTTGCCCAACCTGCCTTTCCCACACCTGGTGATTCAAGCCCTGTGCCACACCCTTCTTCACAAAACCCCCCCACCTCTGTCTGACTGCCACACCTGATTCTCAAAAAGTAGGAACTGGAAGGTATAAGGAAAGTCTGAAAGCAGAAACAGAAGGCCATCCAAGATCCATACTCAAATCTCATCTCTCTCAGAGCAAAATTCCAACTCCTAAGCAGAGCCCACCAGGCCCTGACCAACCTGGCTCCTGCTTCCTGACTTCAACCTCACCTTAAAGCTCTTTCAGCCTCATCACCCCTCTCACTCACCAGCCACACTGACCTCCTCTGGTCCTCAAACTCGCCAGGCTTTTTCACACTTTGCAGCACTGGCAAGGGCAGTGCCCTCTCTCGGGAATGTTCCTCCCCAGGTCTTTCCATTCTGATTCACGCGCCTCAGCATAAATGTCCTCTCTTGCAATGACTTTTCTTACTAGCCTATGTAAAGTGCCCTCAATAATCTACATATACTTAGTAGGTGTTAAAGAACTCTTGGCTAAATGGATGACTAGATAAAAAAAAAAAATGCATGGATGGAAGGAAGGAGGGAAGGAGGGAGGGAGTGAACCTGTGTAGAGTGAGCCAATATCTGCTGTCAATAGCCATTATCCCCTACGGCCATTTTCCAAGCAATTGTTTCTCTCCCTTGGATCATTTGAGACTGAATCAGTGAATCCAGAGCTAGGCAGGGAAGAGCCTGATTAAGGTCACCACACCAACCCCCAGGGACAGTTCCCTATCATCCATTTTCTCATGCTTTGTGTCAAGTCTTATTTCCAGCCCCTCCAGTGGCAAGGCGTCTATTACCTCCCCACGGACACGTCTACACACTCGCCCCATTGTGAAATTTGTCCTGATTTTCCCAGCCTAAATTCCTCTCTGCTTAACTTCACCCCATTACTCACAGCTATCTCCCTCTGGACTACAGCAAATGACAACTCCATAGAACTCACTTTCTCCTCCTGGCTTCCCACAAGTTCCCAATTCAGCTTCCTATTCCTTGATGAAATAGCGTGGCATGAGACCCGAGCAAGGAGAGTTTCCACAAATGTTCTGAATTAGAACTTGGTCACCAGCAGCCTCACTTCACCCACCCATCTCTCTTCCATCCATCATTCTCTTGCCCCACCCCACCCTCGGCCTCCACAAGGCCAATATGGTTTTATTTTCCAATTACACAATTCTTTCAAAATATAGTTCTGTGCTTGAATATTCACAAAAAGTTTCTGGAAGACAACAAAAGAAGCTGTTAGTGATGGTGGCCTCTGGGAAAAGAACTGCTATAGGGAAGAAGGCTTACTTTTGGCTGACTGTTTAATGCTATTGGCATTTTTAACTGTGTGCATATACAACTTTTTAAAAATTATGGTGAAATACATATTACATAAAATGTATCATAGTAACCACTTTTAAGTATGCAGTTCAGTAGTATTAAGTATATTCATACTGTTGTGCAACCATTACCACCATACATGAAACTTTTTCAACTGTAAGTTTTTAAATTAATTCTTTTTTAAGAGACAGGGTCTCACTCAGACACCCAGGCTGGAGTGCAGTGGTGAGATCAGAACTCAATGCCACCTCAAACTCCCAGGCACAAGGGATCCTCCTGCCTCAGCCTTCAGAGTAGCTGGGGCTACACGTGTGTACCACCATGTCCAGCTAATTTTTTTATTTTTTGTAAAGATGGTGTCTTGCCATCTTGCCCAGGCTGGTCTCAAACTCCCAGGATCCTCCTTCCTCAGCGATCCTCCTGCCTCAGCCTCCCAAAGTTCTGGGATTACCAGCTTGAACCATCACACCCAACCTAAAATAATTTTTTTTTGAGACAGAGTCTAGCTCTGTCATCCAGGCTGGAGTGCAGTGGTGCACTCTTGGCTCACTGCAACCTCCACCTTGCCAGTTCAAGCCATTCTCGTGCCTCAGCTTCCCAAGTAGCTGGGATTACAGACATGTGCCACCATGCCAAGCTGATATTTGTATTTTTAGTAGAGATGGGGTTTCACCATATTGGCCAGTTCTTGATCAAGCGGCTACACAAGACAAGAACAGGAATGAGGATGCCATGCCTGGCATAAGCAATCGAAAACAAATAACAATGTTGCTTAGCCAATTTTGATATGTTAAAATTTTTTTAAAATAAGGTAACAGATACTTGATACAAATTTTAAAAATAAGGGGAGAAAACGAATGAAATATAAAAAAATAAAATAAATTAACACACCTTTACCACCACCCCCACCATACTTATAATAATGATGGACCAAAATAAGTATGTATGTTTGCATTCACACATAGAAACAAGACATCTTAACAAAACAGAATTATGGCTATCACAGCAGTTTGCAAAAAAATTATTAGCCTTATTGCTACAAAAGTGGTTTGAATAGGAGCATTCCAGCTGTTAAATGTGATCATCAGAACACTGCCAATTTTCTCGGCCACATAGTCTTTTTGTGCAGTGTAGAACATGTTGCAATTAAGAGATTTTCACACTTCTTAATAATTCTCAGATTTGGAAGATTTTTCTTGTGGCAACCCAAGTGATAGTATCATACTCGGCTCCTTTTATGTAATTTTATAACTTGCTGGAAGTGACAAAGACTGCACATACAAAGATGGTGATTTTGTGTGTCTCCGGTAGCTGTCCTCAGAGTTAAACTTCTCCAATCTGACAGCATGAAGGCTGAAGCAAACCTCTGATTGCAATTTCTGAAATCAAAACACTCTCTCGAATCTCACAGGCTTCATAGGACATGTACACTTTGCCCGTCTCTGATGGGTTCCAGCTCCCATTATGTCTGACTTCTCCTTGGAGTAAGTGCTCTTTCAACACTGATATCTCACATCTGAATTGCAGGCCCTGGCCAAATCAAGAAAAGCTAGATGTCTGAAACAGGAGATGTCTAGGTGACCAGTTATATTTAGTTATTCAAAAACAATCCTAAAGCATTTTTACTTTGCACCTCAATTATATTTGTTCCAATTCTCTCTCTGTCACACACACAGACTCACATACAATCCCATTGTACTATATAACACAGTTACTTTTTATACTAAAGAACCACAAAGAGCCACCTGGCTATCAGAGTCAAGTACTCTGCCATGATGTAACAGTAGTCTTTTCCAGGTTAAGCAAAGTATATTAATATAACAGAAGCTGGGACTGAAAGACCGCATTTGGAGAAAAGGAACAAGACCCAGAAAAATACCAATGTGTCTGATGCTACCTGGAGACTCGGAAAATGGTAAGTGAGCTGAAATGAAACATAACACCATAGTGAAAAGAATAAAATACTACACTAGGATCTGAAATACTTACATTCAAATCCCAACTACAGTATTCACCAGCTGGCTTTCTTTCCTTAACTAAGTTATAACCTGAAAGTTCCCTTACCCATAAACATGGGGTGATTATTACCCATCTGATGTACAAGGTTCTTATGGGAATAAAATAGATAATGCACAGCAAAGAAATTACTAAGGACATTTCTACAATAATGTGTCCCTTTTCTCTCCTATAGTGGTCCTTCCCATAAAGTCCATCAATGAAGGAGAATGGGCTGCCTAATAATAATGCCAATCCAACTTCTGGGAGTGCCACGATGCCAGTGCCAGGACAATCAGGTGCCGTACTGGATTCCCATGGCTGTTACAACAAATGGGCACAAAATTGGTGGCTTAAAACAACAAAAATTCATTTCCCCACAGTCCTGGAGACTAGAAGTCTGAAATCAGTGCCTCTGGAATATATTATCTCCAGAGGCTGTAGGGGACAATCTGACCCTTGCCTTTTCCAGCTCCTGCTGCCTGCAGCATTCCTTGACTTGTGGCTGCATCACCACAGTCTCCAAGGCCAGCCCCTTCACATCTGGTCTATCTTTACATCACTTTCTTTGCCATGTCTCGGTCAAATTTCCCTCTGCCTCTCTCAGAAGGATCTATGTGATTACATTTAGGACCTTCCAAGAGAATCTTTCCAGCCCAAGATCGTTAACTTAATCACATTTGCGAATACATTGCCAGGTTAGGTAACACTTACTGTTCCAGGGGTTAGGACCTGACCTCTTTTCGGGGGGCATTTTTAGCCTACCATCAGTACCAAAGACACAAAGTCATATATATCAGAAGACTCTAATCAAATAGCTTTTTAAAATTTCAAATTATCCCTTGAAGTAGAAATCACGTTAAGTTTTCTGGCATAATTTACATTAGCAGATGAATGAATGACAGTCTTCACCGACAGCACTAAGACTGCCATTAAATGGACAGGAATTTCACTCAAGGGAAAAAAATCAGAAAGGTTAGCTTCCAAGGATGCATTAGCAGGTAGGTGGGAATCAAGACACAGCAGGAACAAGGCATTAGAAAACTTATGCAGCCAACAAACATATGAAAAAAAGCTCATCATCACTGGTCATTAGAGAAATGCAAATGAAAACCACAATGAGATACTATCTCACGCCAGTTAGAATGGTGATCATTAAAAAGTCTGGAAACAACAGATGCTGGTGAGGATGTGGAGAAATAGGAATGCTTTTACACTGTTGGTAGGAGTGTAAATTAGTTCTAGCATTGTGGAAGACAGTGTGGCCATTCCTCAAGGATCTAGAACCAGAAATACAATTTGACCCAGCAATCCCATTGCTGGGTATATAACCAAAGGATTATAAATCATCCTACTATAAAGATACATGCACACATATGTTTATTGCAGCAATATTTACAATAGCAAAGACTTGAAACCAACACAAATGCCCATCAATAATAGACTGGATAAAGAAAACGTGGTACATATACACCATGGAATATTATACAGCCATAAAAAAGGATGAATTAATGTCCTTTTAAGGGACATGGATGAAGCTGGAAACCATCATCCTCAGCAAACTAACACAGGAACAGAAAACCAAACACTGCATGTTCTCATTCATAAGTGGGAGTTGAACAAGGAGAACACATGGACACAGGGAGGGTAACATCACACACCGGGGCCCGTCTTGGAATGGGGGAAAGGGGAGGGAGGGCATTAGGACAAATACCTAATGCATGCGGGGCTTAAAACCTAGATGATGGGTTGATAGGTATAGCAAACCACCATGACACATGTGTGCCTATGTAACAAACCTGCACATTCAGCACATGTATCCCAGAACTTAAAGTAAAATTTAAAATTTTTAAAAAATAAAACAGGAAATAAATCAATATTTTAGCAAATCTAAAAAAAGAAAGAAAGAAAAAGAAAAAAAGAACAGCATGCAAATCCCAGGGAAGGGTTCGGAAGGAAGAAGCAGAAAAACATCCCTCTCATTGCCCACCTCAGTGGAAAGCCATTCCTATGCATAAGCCATGAGGGAAATGAGAAGCTCTGTCTACCAAATGTCATTCTGGGGGTTTATTCTTCCACTCCTTCAACTAATGCTTTTTGAGCATGTATTATGTACCAAGCACTGCCCACAGCACTGGGACAGACCAGCAAACCCATCAGATCAAGATGCTTCCTCTCTGAAAAGCCACATCCTAGTGAGAGTTAAGTCAGTTCAATGCAGCACCTGTTTATAGAGGACCTACTCTGTGCCACTTTGGTGAATAAGATAAAATCACTTCCTACACTGGACTTACTTTGTAAAAGTAAGTTGGTGATATTTCTAAGAAAGTGGCCTATATTCCCTAAGGTGAACACCCAACCCTCCAAATAATCTGTCCAGCCGAAGGTCAGTACAGAAGCCTGAAGCACTTAGAAAAGCCACTCCTTCCAACAGACATTTTTTAGGATAGCGTGTAGTACCTAGAGCCACTGTTCTCCACGCCCTCCTCACCATCTCAGCCTCACATAACGGATTCTGAGCGCTCCTCCTGTCTATCTGATTGCATACTCCATGCTTCCCACAGGAGGGCTGCATGATTAAGTGGCATTCAATCTTCTCTGCTGGGAGATGTCAGGCTCAGCAGCATCATGACACACAGTGGGCACCCCAGCGGCTGGAGAGGGAGAAATCCTGAACAAGTGAAGAGTGGGGAAGTGGGACGGGGGTGGGGGAAGAGGCGAAGGTGGCTCCTTTTCATTCTGCACGTGAGCTTCTCTGGGTCCCATAAATTCCTCTGCCCTGTATATTTCACTCAGCTGTCTAAATGAGGTTTGCTCATATAGCCACCACTGTGCAGAATCAATCATGCCCTTCTGCACAGAATGCTAATTGTGTGCCTCTCAAAAAAAAAATGGAGCACACCACAGAGGCCTTAGAAAAAATTCAAAACCAATTTTTTGGAATTTACAATAGTTTTTAAATTGCCATGTGAAGTAAATAGTCACAAACACAGACGTGATCCAGCTGCAATCCAGGTGCCTTTTTCAAGGCTGGGGAGAGAAATATTAAGAAATCTCTTCACACTTCCATCAGTTGTTCCACACAACACTTCTAGAGCCAGCTGCTGAGCTGCCTGAATAAAGAAACCCTGAGCACTCTCAATAACTAGTGTCCTCAGTTAACTCCACACAAAACAGCCCATTCAAATTAACCTGGGCTGCAAGTCTTTGTTTGTATCTGACAGGGATTGGCTCATCTCAGAGGTAGGAAAAGAAAAAAAAAAAAGACACCTAACAAAGAGTGTCCTCCTCTTCCTCATACCCCAAAGCAGGAAATAAATGAAGCTGGTTATTACAAAAGTAAAACTAAGTAGATGAGTGACAACTGAAAAAGTATTCACCAAGTCAGCATCTAAGTGCCTGGGGCCCAATAGTCATGTCTGTTTCCACTCATATATTTTTTTCTTTATTTTACAGAGGTCACATTATTAAACTAAAGATCATGTGCTTGAAGAGGGCAGAGATGCTATGAACACACACACACACACACACACACACACACACACACACACGTGTCTCTTGCAGGGAGGGCAAAGAGCTGACTCCACAGCCGGACCCTTGAAGGATCCCATTGTTTCCTAAAAGACTGGATGGACACAATGACAACCAGATTGCTTTCCACCACCAATTTTGGGAACATGTGAAAAATACGGTTTGCTGCTTGCTGGTATGTGGTCCGAGATGACTCATAAATCTTCCTTTATCTCCTTCGTGGTGTTAGCAGAAAAGGATGAGTTGCTTTTTTCCATCTCATTCTCCCGTCTATCTGTCTGTTAGCCGTGCCCTTGAGCAAAGATTACTGATGCCCTGCCTTTGATATATGACACATCACCCACAGCAGATTTTCATCAAGTGAATTAACCTGGAAAAATGCAAACCCACCTGCCAGTTGCTTCCAAACTTTGCACAATTCCTTTGTGTACTTCCTGTCTACCATGCACTAGGCAGGAGGGTAACCAGGGCAAGCTAAAGAAATATGGAAAATTACGAGAATCTAAACTGGGGGCTCTATGAACTCACTCACTTGCTGGGAACAGGCTGTTTTGCATAAAGACTTTCAGACGGAGTTTAAATGAAAAACCCCAGCTCAACCACAGTTTAGAATGCTTTGCACCGGAGCTGGAAAATGCCATTTTCCCCTAGTCATTTAGTCTGTGTGGCTGAAATAATGACAAGAGTCTTGGCAGCCGTTGATGACATGGTTACAGAAACTATTTGGTGACTTCCAATCAATAATCTAGATGGGCCGGGGAGAAGCCTGGAGCAGGAAGGAGTGGGCAGGAAGGAGAAAGAGAGAGCTAGAAAGGGAGAGGCTAAGACAGGTAGGGAAAGCAAGCATGAAATAAATCTGGGCTTTTCTACCAGCCCCACCCTCAGCCGGGTCTCCATGCGACCAGATTCACTGGCAAGCAGTTCCTGAAGTCTCCTGATTATGATGGAAGAGTAAAGAAAGACAGCACGCTTGATACCTTGATGGAACTCCTAGTCTAAATGTTCAAACAGAAGGCTTCTTGGAAAGCATCAGTTTGCACCCCTGCATCATTCAGCTAGAGAGAGCTGAGGTTCAAAGACAGCCCCTGACCCATCCAAGGTCATTCCGCTAAGCATGGTGGACACAGGGTTGGAAACCAAGTTTCCCAACTCTAGGGCTCTATCCAATACAACACACTACCTCCCAACCAGGTTTAGGAACACCTCTCCCCTTCCCACCTCCCCAACACCTGCCAAAAAAAAAAAAAAAATTGTCCTGATTTGAAATAGCTAGAACTCATTGCAGGGAGAAATAAGGAAGACTTCGAAACTAGAACAAAGCTAGACTGCATCTCTTGTTTACTCAACTCGTAAACTGTTTTGCTCGATATCATCCTTGATTCTGATAATAAAGCCGTTATTCTTTTCAAGGTGACTTGTCTACTGTGTATAACTCCTTGAAGGCTTGTGATGAGAGAGCTATTCCTATAATTTAGTCTTTAAAAAATGAAAATCCAAAGAACCCAAACCATCAATCATAACTTCTCACCCATACTCTGATTTTAAGGGAAAGTTGCAAAGACTAGGTTTTTTTTTAAGGGCATTATTACAAATCTTTCTCAGGGTAGTCCTGGGCTTATTATACCTGTAGTTCTATCTTTACCTACATTTATATTTCTGGCCATCAGGAACAGATTTTCTGAAATGACTCCAAAATCTTTCATTGTCAAGGAAAGATTAAATTTTCTTATTCACTATATTTCCTATAGAAACAAAGGACACTGGATTTTAGAAAAACTTTTCACAAATAAAACTTGAACTGAAAGTGGTGTTTTGTAGTTATCAGTTAGTCACAAAATTAAATTATCCAAGACACCCTGTTCTCTGAGCATTCTGGCTAAATTTGAAGATAGACATGAAAAAAGGGATAATGTATGCAGACCCAGTGACCAATTAGAATAAAATAGGTCTCAAGTCCCCCAGGGAGTCCCTTTCTTTCTTGGTAGGAAGAAATGAAGCTTCCTTTCCTTGTGGTCAAATTCACACTTGTTTATAAAATGGTGCCCCACTGGCAGAGTGTGGTAGAAAGTGGGTGAACAGATTACTTTGAGGTTTCTGTGATAAATCTCATTATGAGAGGTCTCATATATATATGAGACCACATATAATTAACAATAAAATAATAATAACTAACATCTATCGAGGGCTTACTATGAGGCCAGGGATTCTAAAAACTTTATCTGCATTGTATCACTTAATGTCCCCAACAATCCTATAAGGTGAATATTCTTATTAACCCCATTTTACAGATAAGGAAACTGTGGCTCAGAGAGGTTAATTACCTCATCCAAGGATATATAGCCATTAAGTGGGGGAGCCAAGATTTAAACTCAGGCAATCTGTCCAAAGTCCACAGCGGTTTACAAGGTGAATGTGACTCTGGTTTCTTGTGTCAACATTCTGCTCAAGTGCCTGGGCACTGCACATCTTCAGTTACAGCAAGGGTGCCCAATCTTTTGGCTTCCCTAGGCCACATTGGAAGAATTGGGCCATACATAAAATGAACTAACACTAATCATAGCTGATGAGCTAAGAAAAAAAAGATCACAGAAAAAACTCATAATGTTTTCACAAAGTTTACAAATGTGTGTTGGGTCGCATTCAAAGCCATCCTGGGCCACATGTGACCCATGGGCTGTGAGTTGGACAGGATTGATTTACAGGAAAAACAAAACATGGTCTGAAACCCAACCCAGTGTCAAAAAATAACAATGCCTAATCCGCTTGTTACTGTGCCCTGCACAACTGCCTCTTTCTTTGGGAGATAAAACCTTGAGATCCTTCAAAAATTATGCCAGGCCTGGCATGGTGGCTCATGCCTGTAATCCCAGCACTTTGGGAGGCTGAGGTGGGAAGATCATTTGAGCTTAGGAGTTTAAGACCAGCCTAGACCAGCCTGGGCAACATGGCAAAACCTCATCTCTACAAAAAGTATTTAAAAATTAGCCAGGCGTGGTGGCACATGCTTGCAGTCCCAGCTACTCAGGAGGCTGAGGTGGGGGGATCACTTGAGCCTGGGATGCAGAGGTGGCAGTGAGCCAAGATACCACTGCATTCCAGCCTGGGTGACAGAGCCAGACCCTGTCTCAAAAAAAAAAAAACAAAAAAAAAAAAACAAAAGTATACCAAAATCTCAGGGAATTTGTATCTTTCTTAGGCTGCATTCTCCTTGCTTCTTAGATATCCTTCTTTTTTATTGTGGTAAAACATACGTACCATAAAATTTACCATTATAAGTATTTTTACATATATGATTCAGTAGCATTAAGTACATTCACAATATTGTACAACTATCACTATTATCCATTTCCAGAACTTTTTCATCATCCCAAACAGAAACTCTGTATCCATTAAACAGTAAGTCCCCGTTTCCCTGTCCCCCAGCCCCTGATAACCTCTATGCTTCTTTCTGTCTCTATGAATTTGCCTCTTCTAGATAACTCACATAAGTGGAATCAGATAGTATTTGTCTTTCTGTGACTGGTTTATTTCACTTAGCATAAGTGTGTTCAAGATTCATCCGTGGTGTAACACATATCAGAATTTCATTCCTTTTTAAGGCTGGATAATATTACATTGTAAATATAGGCTATATTTTGTTTATCCATTCATCTGTTGATAGACATGAGTTGCTTTCACCTCTTGGCTAATGTGAAGAATGCTGCCATGAACATGGGTGTATAAATATCTGTCCAAGACCTGCTTTCAATTATTTTGGTTACAGACCCAGAAGTGGAACTGCTGGATCACATGGTAATTCTATGTTTAACTTTTTGAGGAGGCCATCTTCAACTTTTAAAAACTATTTGAACATTTCTGAATTTGTGGTGAGTTCCATGCAGACAAGAACCTTAATTCTTAAGTATCTTTGGATCCTGAGGCCTAGAACAGTAAGATTTCTTATTGAATTCTCATTGAATATTTTTTATAATACAAAAATGGATTAAATCAAATTCTCATTCTCTTGTTGAAGGCAGGACAGCACACACTTGAGGCATCTCTCCTCACCACAGCTCACAATGTGACTCAAGTCCACACAGATCTCTCATTACCTGATTTTCCTCCATCACCAACATATACACAAGCAAGTGTATGCCCTGATGCCAAAGAATGTCAAAAGGCAAACATCAAAAGAGGTGAAAAGAAGTCAGTAAAGGATTAGCTATTTCACTGATGGATCTGAGTTCCTCATCCACTGCCCTCATCCTTCCCTATCCACCCTGCCTGCAGTGAGGAGAGAGACAATCAGAAGAGATTCCTTTAAACTTTGCCCTTGCTGAGCTTTCTATTATAAAATATGGGGACAGGGGCAGGGGAGGGTGGTGGTGGTGATGGAAGGCCCTGCTTCTGCCACTATTCGAATATCAATACCTCTTTTAGTTCATTAATTCATCAAGAGGGTATTTTTCAACACATTAAATTCAATTTCAAAAAAGAATGAGCTGACACAGTCAAATGCACACGACCAAAATCCATAGTGGTCTTCCCCAGCTGCCCTTTCCAGCCACTCTCAATCCCATCTTGGGGGTCCAGGCATCCATTACCCAGCTAATTGGCAGACCTGACTTAGGAAGGGTAAACTCCAGCCTGTCATCTGGGCTTTTCATTACTTAAGTGCATTCTGACTTGAACTATATTAATGGGACTCCAAATTTTAACTATTGATGGCTTTCAATAGGAATTTACATTTCTGTCCTCCTGGGGCCCACAAATCACTAAATTCTCACCTGTGGTGAAGACAGCCACAACAGGGAATTGGTTTCAAAGACAGAAAGCAGTGATAACCCATGCACTGCACTTTCCCATGAGCAAATACACATAATTGTCTTTTCCCCCTTGTTCTACATTAAATTTTCAACTGTTTACTACATCTTTTAATGAAAGCGGTGACTGAAAAATATAAACATGGATACATAATTCCCAATGAATTGGTCTGAGTATAACTTGTAAAAACTGGATTAATGGTACAAAGCATGTACTTTATAAAAATAGCCTGTAGAAAAAAGCATTAAGCAATTACAACTCTAGCTCTGAAGGCTCCAATATTATAGGGTAATATTTCCTTAATGTTAGACTTCATTAACCCTAAGATAATCTCTCATAAATTTTGCTGATTTTTAAGGAGAAAAAAATAAATTATGTTTATTAAACTACTGAATATGTTTATGAAAACAAGACATAATCTAGTGCCATAAACTTCTTGTCTTTATCTAAATGATCAAGGAGCTCATAAATAAAATATCACATAACAAAGTGAGTGTTAAAATTCATTACTGTAATAGCTATGTTCATGATCTATTTCATTAGCACTCCTCCTCTCCTTGGATAAATGGGCTTCTTAGCCTACAAGAAGAAAGCCATTTACAAGACAAAATACTGAGCTGCTTTTTCTCATTTTCCCTTATCTCTTCTATTCCTAACTTTCTAAATTAATTCTTCTCTTAAATCTTATTGTTCCTTACAGTGTAACTCACAGTACCATTAGAGAGAGCAGAGAGAAACAGAAGCAAAGAAATGGGTCTATAGAGTATAAGTTAATTAGGGATCTAAGTGACTGGTGATGAGATTTGATGACACGGAGCCCCAAAGTGAATTTAGAAGCTTATCTTCTTAAAATATTTGAGAATAAAATACAAATAATAGAACTCCAAGAAATATTCAGTATATCAAGCAATCTACGCAAGCTTAATAACTAAACCCCATTTCCTGTTTAACTACATAGTGCAGCACCACTGATTGTATCCATGTACGGAATTTGCTAACCTTTATCTTCAGTGATTTTGCAGGTAATTTCATTTTTATAGATGTGTGTACACACAAATACTCAGAGAGAAAGGTTAGTGCTTTCCTATGGTTTACCAAGAACAGATAGATGTGGATATATAGGACTCTAAACCCATAGGTGTAAATGTACCCATTTAAATCACCAAGTGAACTTCTTGACGAAAAAAAAAAAAAATACTGGCAAAGCAACAGTGGTTCTATGTCCCACCCCTGGCAATTTGTTTAATCTTAATTCAATAGAGTCCTCATATGCAGCATCCTCTACCCAGATAATAACCAGAGGATGCTGTTTATGATAATGGCAGAAATTAAAACAGAATTTTACAACCGCTGAGCTGAAAGAAGGCAAAAATCCCCACACGAATATTAAACAGTGTAAATAAAAAAGAATCCACTTGTTTTTATTCCACACTCCATGCCAATTTATCTAGCACTGATTTACTACAAAGACTACACTCACAAAACTCTACATGGCTGTAGATAATAAAAGTAATAATTAAACTCCACAAACACATGAGGGGTGTGGAGTAACAACATAGCTCCTGCCCTTAGGAAGCCTCCATTTGGCGGACCCAGCCTAGCATTTGCCTCACTGCCACGCAAGACGGACTGTAGAAATGCTCTACTAGAACGATAATACAGTGAGGGGACTGAGCAACGCTGACGGGTCCCAGCCGGGGCTGAGGGATAAGATGACACTGAGTGGGGTCTTCAAGAACAGACCAGATCTTGATGGAGAAGGGATCCCACAGGGAAGGAATTTCATGGGCGACATTCCTCACAGTGGGCAGGAGACTGGACGTGAGAACTTAGTTTCCGACTTTTCAAACAGACTTGGCAACAGGAGGGAGCCCAGCTGGCCCTTCCTGAGAGGGCGGGAGCACACCCAGGTGGGGGCAGCAAGCCCCCAAGCGGCACTCCCGTCACCCCCCTCACACCCTTTGCCTCCAATTAGGACACCGGCTTCAGAAGGTCCCTCTTACGGTTCACCTGCCTCACCAGGGCTCAATAAGAAAATTCCCTGCTGGCTGGGCGTGGTGGCTCATGCCTGTAATCCCAGCACTTTGGGAGGCCAAGGACAGTGGATCACTTGAGGCCAGGAGTTTGAGACCAGCCTGGCCAACATGGTGAAACCCCATCTCTACTAAAAATACGAAAATTAGCCAGGCATCGTGACATATGTCTGTAATTCCAACTACTTGGGAGGCTGAGGAAGGAGAATTGCTTGAACCCAGGAGGTGGAGGTTGCAGTGAGCTGAGATCACACCACTGCACTCCAGCCTGGATGACAGAGTGCGACTCCATCTTAACAAAAAAAAAAAAAAAAGAAAGAAAATTGTCTGCAAATCTGCCCTACAAACTTTACAATGCAGAGTAAAGTGGTCTGATTTAAATTAAAATAGCTGGCAATTATTGAGCACTTATTGTGTCTCAGTCACTGTTCTAAGTACCGTACATACCATCTTAACTCAGTGAATCCTCAAAGCAGTTCCACTATGATCTCATTGCACCCATTTTTTTAAAAGACGGAAAAGTGGTCAAGACACATGCCCAAGGTCACACAGCTGACAAACAGCCAGGCTGGGATGTAAACACGGGGGGACCAATGCCAGGGCCCCCACCCCTAACAACCGCATGTGACAGGGATCACTGCATGCTTTCCAAAACCCACTTCTTCAACTCCTGGACATATAGCTAGACGTTCTAACCTCCCTGCAGCAGGTGTGACCTGTGACTGAGTCCCAGCCAATGGCATTTGGGACACACTGCATCCCATCTCCAAGCCTGGCCCATCAAACCTCTCGTACAATTTCCTAAATCCTCCTTCTTCCCCTGAGTGCTGACTGAGAGAAAAGCACCCAGCAGAGAACCTGAGGCCCCTGGGAATGGGGAAGGGAGGTTGGGAGGGTAGCAGAAGGATAAAGGAGAGGGATTTTACGTGAGAAATAAACTTCTATTGTGCTAAGCCCTGGAAATTTGGTTTCTGCTTTCTGTCTTTGAAACCAATTCCCCATTGTGGCTGTCTCTTCACCACAGGTGAGAATTTAGTGATTTCTGGGCCCCAGGAAGACAGAAATGTAAATTCCTATTGAAACCATCAATAGTTAAAATTTGGAGCCCCATTAATATAGTTCAAGTCACAATGCACTATAGTTCAAGACTAATACATGACACAAATCTGCCTCCTAAATCATCCCTCTGGCCTCAGTCCCTAAATGATTGAGAAAGTGATTCCAGAGTCATCATCAGTAATGTGGCAATTCAACAGTGATGAAGAAAAGAGTCTTTAGAATCATTTGAACCAAAGTTGGAATCCAGGTCCTCCAGTTTACTAGCTATGCCACCTTGGGCAAATTACTGAACATTTCTGTGCCTTGGAGCCCCACATGTGATACCAGCCCACATGACTTGTACAGATTAAGAGAAAACATGTAGGCAAAGGGCTTAGGGGAGAAATGGACACATGGAAAGCACCCAATAATTCTATCCTCATCACTATTATTGTTCATTAAGGCTCTCAAAAAGAGAGCACCTTTATCAGTTAGGATTATGTTCAGCTGCATAGAACAAAAACTAAACACTAAAATATCAATGGTCGGAGCAAGTCAGTTTATTTCTCTGGTACATAAAAGAAGTCTAAAGGCAGGCAGGCCAAGGCTGATATTGGGGATCTCCAGGAGGTCATCAGGGTCCTTCTAACTCTATGCTCCACCACTCCTAGCATGTAGTCCTAGTCCTCATGACCCAATATGAATGCTGGCATTCCAGCCATCACAACCAGTTCCAGGCAGCAGACTGGGAGGAATCAAAAAAGAAAGGAACACCCGCTCTCTTTTAAGAAGACTTTCTGGAAGTCCTACGCAATACTTTGACTTAGCTGCGTGGCTACACCTAGCTCCTAGTTGCAAGGAAACAGTTACAAGGGTGGCACTATCCCAACTAAAAACCAAGGATTTTGTCAATGAAACGTTGAAGAGAATGGATATGGTAAGCAAACAGAAGTCTCTGCCCCAGCACAAAAATCAGTAAACAAAGACAAGCTACACTCTCCCTAACCAAAAAGTTCTGGTAAACTTTAAAGAAAAATATTCCACTGAGAAGCAAAGAAACATCTAGTACATATCACCACAGTTTCCACTCTTGCTCCTCTACAATCCATTCTCCACATGCCAGCCAGACCAGTACATTTAGAATGTAAGCCATAGCCCCACTTAAAACCCTCCAAAGCTTCCCACTGCAAAGCAAGTGGAGGAATATGGATTTTATTTGTAGCATAAGGTCCCAGCTGGTCTGGCCCCAGGCACGTCGCTGACCCCATTGCACACCACAGCTGCCTGCTCCCCACTGCACAGCCTGGCTAGCTTTTGATGCCGCTGCCGCGATGTTGCACCATGTACACTCCAAGGTTGCGTCAGCCTAGGACCTTTGCATTGCTTGCTTTCTTGGCCTGAATCTTGCTGCTCTTTGATCTTCTGTTGACTGGCTCCTTCTTGTCACTCAGATCTCAGCTTAAACATTATCTTCTCAGAGACTTCCCTGATTCCCAAGTCATAGCACAGCAGATCACCTTACCTTAACTCTTGGTATAGCACTCATCACCATCTGATACTTGTCTTGTTTATACCTTTGTCTCTTTCCTCATTAGAATGCATGTTGCCGTTAGAGTAATGTCTTTCTTGTTCACTGTTCAAAAACTTGCCCCCAACCCCAACTAATGGAGTTCCTAATCATCATCTAGGTAGACATTCATTCATCTAAGAAATCTTTGCCGAACACCTGCTATGTGCTAGGCACAATGACATGGTAATAAGATAGTGCCCCAAATGAAGCCCATTTGTACTACATAAGCTGACCATACCTACATTAATGGTGTTTCACTGTTTCATTTAACTAAGACTTTTTTCTGAGACCATGAGCACAATAAAGTGATGTGCAAAGAACAGAGCAAAGTGAAAGACTGTGTCTGTGTTGACAGTAGATGAAGGGAAGGAGAAGAAGTTATTTTTATGGTGTCCTAAGAACCCCAAAGTAGAAAGCAGCCAAAAGTTTAAAAAAACAAAACAAAACAAACAAAAAAAAAAACCAAAAAACTTTTCCATGAGGTCAAAAACAAAAGCTTGCCAGCACACCATCCACTATTTATTTAATCCTTGAAAAATTAGATTCATACCTATAGATACACAAGACTGTTTTCCATAGGAAATCCATAGAATAAAATTGCAGGAAAAGTTATCCAGCAACAATCTATGGCTCCTACGGACCGTGGATGGATGTGAGGCTGCAGTAAGAACATTCAGAAGATACGCAGACAGGCAGTGACCGAGAGAGAAAGAGGGGAGAGAGAGAGAAAAAATTCCTGCTAGCTGGATGAAGGAAACGGGGAAAAGGGGAGAAAGAAGGAAAAACAAATCAAAGAAAGAACAGCTATTAAAAATGCTGAGTTGAAAATGTTTCAGATGGCCTCTGACATCTAATAAGTCATCTGTCTTTCTCAATACAGAAAAGTCATTACTTACTAGTGAACTAATACCAGCAACTGTGACAAGTAAAAACAACAAAGCCCATAAAAATATAAAAGTTCACCCCGTGCAGTTAGGCGAAAAAAAGAATGTATTCAATTTTTCAGATGAAAAACATTTGAACTGACTGAATTTATTGTAATGCAACTTGTATTATATGCTGGGAAAATGAAAAGAGAAAAAATATCCACTGCTCAGCCTGTCTTCAACTTTTTCTTGGAAAACAGAATACAATACGTTTTTTGAGAACATGAACTCTTCATAGAAACCAGTCATAAATATCAACATGGCATCCTGGCTACAAGCCATCAATTCCCATAACAGAAGCATGAATTAATAGCACCATCTGCCCTGCCCACAAGACCCCTATAAAACCACCTCTTCACAGGGTATAACCTAGACCTAAGCACAGCATGAGGAATGCAGGTCAGATAAAGGAAGAACTGGAGAGCCTTCAGGCTAACCAAAGGCATGGAAGGATTTTTCTTCCCTGGGCAGGGCTGGCTGGAAGCAGGAATGTGCATATACAGAAGAATAAAATCCAGGCACAATGACAGCACAAGGATGTCATCAAGGGCAAAAGGAACCTTGCCTTCCCATAGCCGTAATTCACCATTCTGGGAAACATCTTTGATTCCTCTCCTTCATTCCCACAGTCAATGCACCAGCAAATGCTAAGCTATCTTAAAAATACAGCCTGAATCTCTTCACTTCCTTCCATCTTTACTGCCTGCTCCCTGGTTCGTAGCACCGCATCTATCCCATGACCACCACAATGACTGTGCTAACTGGACCCCCTTACCCCACTTCCATTCTTGCCTGCCTCATTTCTAACCTGCAGCCAGTGTGGCTGTGAAAAACACAAATCAGATTCTATTATCCAGTTCCTTAAAACTCATCTGGGCTTCACTGGTTTCCTATCACCCTTAGAATCAAAGCCAAACTCCTTTCTAGGCTCAACCCTCTCCACAGGCTGGCTCTGGCCTCCCTTGCCTCTGTCAGCATTCCGTTCCCCACCTTCCTAGCCAGCTCACCAGCCCCCTTTCTCCTCCTTGCACTTGCCTGGGGCCTTTGCACATGCTGTCCCCTCCACCCACACACACTTCTGAGCTTCTCACAGCTGCCTCCTCACCATTCAGCTCCCTGCTTTTTGAAGAGGACTTTCGTGGCCACCATATCAAAATTAGGCCTCTTCCTCCAAATCACTTTCTATGCCATCACTCTGTTTTATTAGAACCATAGGAAATTGTCTCTTTTAAATTTATTTGTTTATCTATCACCTGTCTCCTCTAATTAGAATATAAGATTCCCAAAGGTAAGGTCCCCACTGCCCTTAGGTACTACTTATTCTCAGCACTTTCAACTAGTCCAGTGAGTGCCTGGTATATAAGGGTTCAACAAATATCTGCAGAATGAATGGATAAGTGAGATTCCAGCTTTGTAGGGCTTTAAAAATGAACAGGGTACCTTCAGATTATCTAACTTGCAACAACACCCATTTTACATATGGAGGAAAAGGAAAAAAAAGTCAACTCATCTGCCACTACGATTAATACACAGCATGGTGCCCTCTTCTCCTATCTGAATCAGACACAATCTCAAACCACAGGCAAAGAAAACTCAAAACCTGAGGAAGAAAAATACTGTACAACCAGAAGAATCATAAAAGTAGGTGGACACAGATCAATGGTAGCTGAAAGGGGCTATGCATGACGCAATTCAGACTCGAATTGGTCTCAGAATTGCAGGAGTAAATTCAACCAAGACAAACCCAGTAGCAACAAACCCTTAAACAAAAAGTAGGCCAGAAGAGAAGAAGCTCATTGGTTTAACACAAGCTTCATTTAATGTGATCCTAGAGTGTCAACCCTAACAAACTGAGAACATACCTAAGACACAGGTTCTGCTCCTAGCTGTTTCTAACTCTCCCTAGCTCAGTTGCTTAACATCTCTGGGTCTCATTTAGGAACAAACCACCATGACCCAAAACTGTGTCATTAGTGTACACCTTCATGATGTCACCATACCAAAGTATACCACGTGTACTAATTACTGAATATTTTAACTTCAATAAATTGATGTTTAAAAGGCACATTGGCTGGGCGTGGTGGTTCACACCTGTAATCCCAGCACTTTGGGATCTGAGGTGGGTGGATCAAGAGGTCAGGAGATCAAGAGCATCCTGGCTAACATGGTGAAACCCCATATCTACTACAAATACAAAAAATTAGCTAGGCCTGGTGGCGGGCGCCTGTAGTCCCAGCTACTCAGGAGGCTGAGGCAGGAGAATGGCATGAGCCTGGGAGGCGGAGCTTGCAGTGAGCTGAGATCAGCCACTGCACTCCAGCCTGGGTGACAGAGTGAGACTCCATCTCAAAAAAAAAAAAAAAAAAAAAAGAGACACGTTATATCACTCCCATAATAGAAGCCAATCTCATTTGCCAATGACCAAACAGAATCATATGTCTAAGTATCACGAAAACAAAAAATTATTACTAAAGGCCAAATAACTACTCCTTATCAGCTACTCTGAGCCTCAGTCCCAATCTTTGTTTATATATATATATATATTTATTTATTTTACAGTAGGAAGATATTAAAGTGCAGCACCAAACTCGTCATTTTCCCCTAGATTTAAACTAAAGGATTGAAAGAGAATTGAAAAGAGAAAAACCTCCTCATTGTGCAAGTCCATGCCAGCCCAAGCCTTGCCTGCCTCTGGATGCACAGCCCACTTCAGGAACTACTGGTTTGAGCACACAATCTTGAAGGCCTCCACTAAGGTACTACCTCTCTGTGAGTGAAAATCAGTACGTGTGACCCATTAATGAGAGGAGCCGTGTATTTAATAATGTTGATGGGTCTGAAAGGGGATGTCCTAAGAGTAAATGAGAAATAAAGATCACTGCAGGGGTCTAGGGGGTGGGAAGTGGAGGATAACAGTGATGGTGAGGACCATAGCAATAGCCACCAACATTTATTTGGTGCTTACTATGGGCAAGGGCCATGCTAAGTCTTTGAATCCTCCCAACCCTTCTTTGAGGTAGATACAATTATTATTCTCATTTTACGGATGACAAAACTGAAACTCAGCCAAGAAAACAAAGTTATTTTGATGTAAGATAACTGAAATTATTTAAATTTATCCCAAATATTTGTGTCCATGACCCACAGTAAGACTCAGTAGGTTAAAAGCAGGTTAAAGTTTCTATATTCCTCTCCCTCCCTCTCCCACTCCCCCTCCCTCTCCCCAGTCTCCCTCTCCCTCTCCCCGGTCTCCCTCTCCCTCTCCCTCTCTCTCCACAGTCTCCCTCTGATGCCGAGCCGAGGCTGGACTGTGCTGCCGCCATCTCGGCTCACTGCAACCTCCCTGCCTGATTCTCCTGCCTCAGCCTGCCGAGTGCCTGGGATTGCAGGCACGCGCCGCCACGCCTGACTGGTTTTTGTATTTTTTGGTGGAGACGGGGTTTCACCGTGTTGGCCGGACTGGTCTCCAGCTCCTGACCGCGAGTGATCTGCCCGCCTCAGACTCCGGAGGTGCCGGGATTGCAGACGGAGTCTCGCTCACTCAGTGCTCAATGTTGCCCAGGCTGGAGTGCAGTGGCGTGATCTCGGCTGGCTACAAACTCCACCTCCCAGCCGCCTGCCTTGGCCTCCCAAAGTGCAGAGATTGCAGCCTCTGCCCGGCCGCCACCCCGTCTGGGAAGTGAGGAGCGTCTCTGCCTGGCCGCCCATCATCTGGGATGTGAGGAGCCCCTCTTCCCGGCCGCCCAGTCTGGGAAGTGAGGAGCGCCTCTTCCCGGCTGCCACCCTGTCTGGGAAGTGAGGAGCGTCTCTGCCTGGCCGCCCATCGTCTGGGATGTGAGGAGCCCCTCTGCCCCCCCGCCCCGTCTGGGATGTGAGGAGAGCCTCTGGCCGGCCGCCATCCCGTCTGGGAAGTGAGGAGCATCTCTGCCCGGCTGCCCATCATCTGGGATGTGAGGAGCGCCTCTGCCCGGCCGCCATCCCGTCTGGGAAGTGAGGAGTGTCTCTGCCTGGCCGCCCGTCCTCTGAGATGTGGGGAGCGCCTCTGCCCCGCCGCCCCATCTGGGATGTGAGGACCCCCTCTGCCCCCCACCCCCCGCCCCGTCTGGGATGTGAGGAGCGCCTCTGCCCGGCCGCGACCCCGTCTGGGAACTGAGGAGTGTCTCTGCCTGACCGCCACCCCGTCTGGGAGGTGAGGAGCGTCTCTGCCCTGCTGCCCCGTCTGAGAAGTGAGGAGCCCCTCCGCCCAGCAGCTGCCCCGTCCGGGAGGGAGGTGGGGGGCAGCCCCTGCCCGGCCAGCCGCCCCGGCGGGGAGGGAGGTGGGCAGCCCCCGCCCGGCAGCCGCCCTGTCCGGGAGGTGGGGGGCGCCTCTGCCCGACCACCCCATCTGGGAAGTGAGGAGCCCCTCTGCCCAGCCGCCACCCCGTCTGGGAGGTGTACCCAACAGCTCATTGAGAACAGGCCATGATGACGATGGTGGTTTTGTCGAATAGAAAAAGGGGGAAAAGTGGGGAAAAGAAAGAGAAATCAGATTGTTACAGTGTCTGTGTAGAAAGAAGTAGACATCCTGACTCCATTTTGTTCTGTACTAAGAAAAATTCTTCTGCCTTGGGATGCTGTTAATCTATAATCTTACCCCCAACCCCGTGCTCTCTGAAACATGTGGTGTGTCCACTCAGGGTTAAATGGATTAAGGGCGGAGCAAGATGTGCTTTGTTAAACAGATGCTTGAAGACAGCATGCTGGTTAAGAGTCATCACCACTCCCTAATCTCAAGTACCCAGGGACACAAACACTGCGGAAGGCCGCAGGGTCCTCTGCCTAGGAAAACCAGAGACCCTTGTTCACATGTTTATCTGCTGACCTTCCCTCCACTATTGTCCTATGACCCTGCCAAATCCCCCTCTCCGAGAAACACCCAAGAATGATCAATAAATACTAAAAAAAAAAAAAAAAGTTTCTATATTTGACTGGTGCTTTTTTTTAACCAAAAAACCAATAATTTCAGATGTTCAAAGAAATACATTTTACACTGAGGCCCAATACACAAAATAAATACATATACACATGCATATATAATACACATAAACATATACAGATATATATGTGTGTGTATGTACATATACACATATATATCTGTATAAATATATATCTGTATGTGTGTATGTATGTATACAGTTGATCCTTAAACAACATGGGAGTTAGGGGCACCAACCCTCCACAGCCAAAAATTCACATAAAACTTTTGGCTCCCCCAAAAGTACTAATAGTCTATTATTGACCAGAAGCCTTACTAATAAAGAGTAGGTTAACACGTTTTGTATGTTATATGTATTACATACTGCAGCCTTACAATAAAGTAAGATAGAGAAAAGAAAATGTTACTAAGGAAATCATGAGGAAGAAAATATAAATTTACTATTCATTAAGTGAAAGTGGATCATCGTAAAGGACATCATCCTCATTATCTTTACATTGAGTAAGCTGAGAAGGAAAAGGAAGAAGTGGGGGTTGGTCTTGTTGTCTCAGGGGCAGCAGAGTTGGAAAAAAAATCCACATATAAGTGGATCCATGCAGTTCAAACCCATGTTGTTTAAGGGTCAACTGTATATGTATCTACCTGCATGTAATGTGTATGTATGTATAATTCTGTATGTGTGTATAGATACACATACATATAAATGTATATATCAGATATAAAAGTTGCATAAACTAGTATTTGTCCTAATTATGTGCCATAATTAGATCTCTCAGTGGCTGTATTTTATTTTAGAAGATAGGAGTCTTATATTGAACATTATATTATTGAACTCTGATATTTTCTATTCTGTCCTATTTTTTATAATGTTGGTTACAACCCACTAAATTGATTTTACAATTCACGAATGGGATGCACCTCCCAGCCTGAACAACAGTGACTTAAAGGAACTGTAATCATAACGGAGCAAACACAGTACCATCTCGAGCTAGATGATGGTCAGCATCTCATGCCATCTCCCCAGGTTGTAGAAATGAGAAGCACAGGGCCTGGCCCTAAATGGTTTTTTTAATACGTAGAAATTTCTATAATTGGACTCCAAGTGTAATTATTAGGCAAAAGAACATATAATGAGTTCAGTTACATAGAGGAAATATAAGGAAAAAAGAGTTTGATAGATGTCTAAATTTTTTTCTTAAATCACTAAACAGGCCAGGCATGGGGGTTTACACCTGTAATCCCAGCACTTTGGGAGGCCAAGGTGGGAGGATCACCTGAGGTCAGGAGTTCAAGACCAGCCTGGCCAACATGGTAAAACCCCATCTCTAGTAAAAATACAAAAATTAGCCAGGTGTGGTGGTGTGTGCCTATAATCCCAGCTGCTCGGGAGGCTGAGGCAGGAAAATCACTTGAACCTGGGAGGCAGAGGTTGCAGTAAGCTGAGATGATGCCACTGCACTCCAGCCTGGGCAACAAGAGCAGAACTCTGTCTGGAAAAAAAAAATAGCTAAACAACAATAAAAGCCTGTTACTTAAATATTTAAGTATGATGATAAATAGCAAATGATAGCTCACAAATTTGAAGATGGTCGCCTGTGCAGAAAGGATTTAGACTAGCAGAGGGTGGGTCATGGCACTACTAGTTTTTTATTTATTAGGAGCCTTAAGCAAAACAATACTATTTGACTTTCTTAATGGTATTCTTGTTTTACTTTATTAAAAAAATTGATTTAATTTTTAAAAATCAATCCTAATAGCAATCTAGTGTAGAAGAGGGGACACTCGATTGGGACTCTGAAAACCTACCATCTACACACTCAGCCTGGGAAAGCTACTTGACTTCTTGGGACTTTTCTTTCTTCTCACGTAAAATGAAGGGCTAGATTCTGAAGCTTCCTCTACATCTAATTTTAGAACCCTATGACCCTAAAATATCTGATCATTTACAGATCATTTTAAGGAAAGGATACAGCATTCCAAGATCACCCAAATGGTGAAAACTCACAATTTATCACACAAAAAGTTAGACCAAAGATAGTGGTCTCACCAACACAGTAACTTAAGTAATCCCAGTTATCTCTTTAGGGGTAGTTACTCAATTGTGTTATTTCTTCTTCCTCTCAATATGGTCCCTATCGTATTTCATAAATTATAATTTTATGTATCACATTATTTTTTGCTTGTTAACCACATGTTTTTCTCAGAGATTCTTTCCTGAGTGTTTCCAATGCAGAGGCAAAATTTATTTGAATAATACCATAATTAAATCTCTTAGCGGCTGTATTTTATTTTAGAAGACAGGAATTATATTCGACTTTTTTTATTGAACTGTCATTTTTATCTTAACTGTGGCTTAACCTCGTAATCTAATTATTTTTTCTAAACCTACTTTACAGCTAATAAAAGATACGAAAAATTAAATTACATAATAAAGCATGAAGCAAGTGTAGCTATCATGAGACTCTCAGACTGAAAAACTAGCATGAACTAATTTATACTATTGAAGAGTTGTTTTTCCCCATATTAAAAAAGATTAAATAAAAAAAGAAACCTCTTTAAATGGAATAATAAATCAGCTACTCTAATTCCCATAGATATCTTCAGAACCACGGTTAAATCATCATCACAGAATACCAACTTCTCCATCACAGTAGAAAGGAATTACCCCAATAAGATCTACCCCTAAGATCTCTGTTTAAGGAAATTTATAAAAGAACAACTCCCTCTTCCTCTTCCTCCTCCTCTCACTTCCAAAGCTTCTAGTTTTCAACTCTAATATAATAAAAATTCTTTTTTCTTCCCTCTTTTCCTTTAGGATGTGTCCTAATTGTTTCTGTCTTCCATAAGGGCCATGTCAAAATATAAGCTCCCCCCCCAAAAATAGCACTCTCTACCCACGCACTCTGAGACATCTGCACAGATAAGTATTTGAAAAATGATTTTTATGATGATGAAATAAAATGTATTCACAGTGGTAATTCTTTGGGGCCATTAGGAATTCATTAAACAATGACTTAGCTCTAGAATCATCAAACCCTCTGACAAATATTTGTAAGAGCCTCTGCAAATAGGGACACCCACGCTACAAGGCAGCAGAAGCTACAAAAGTGTACGTGTGTCTCTCTAATTTACACTCAGATTTTCCTGAGTCCTGAACTAGAAGTTCTGATCTTAGCAAAGACAGCAGATAATCCTTTCTTCATGGTAGTTTGAACGAAAACAATTTTAAGTAGTTTTACGATTTACCCCTTAAGTGCAGTGAACCAAGACCACCAAACTAGTTTGCAGGGAGAATTCAGTGAGTTGGAATTGTATTGTTTCAGTTGTTTAAACCAAACACCTCTGTCAGTCTGAAATTAAATTATTTACGTAATGACCTCTTAACTAATGTTTGTGGAGCATTTACACTATATAAAACATGGCATGGCATTAGGTATGATGGGAGATACAGAAAGTACCAAGCCTGCTCCTGCTCCCAAGAGAAGAAATGTTCATCTAGCTGGTGGTGAGATGCCAGTAGGAAAAGAAGCTGAACACAGTAACTTCACAGTGCAGAAACCTCCCAAACAAATACCTTAACCAAGTAGTTGAGGTTAACATTTCTAGTGAGAAGCCAGGCTGGTATCATGTACCCCTTGAGATAATGTGATACCTGTGTGGTACTTTTCCCAAAATCCGTAACTCAAACAAATCATGAAATAACACATCATATGAAACCCACGTTGAGGCACATTCTACAAAATACCTGGCCAGTGTTTTGACTGTCAAGGTCATCACGAAAAAACAAAGAAAAGCTGAATTGTCACAGACCGGCAGAAACGAAGGAGACATGATAACTAAAAGCAGTGTGGCATTCTGGCCCCTGGGTTCGTTGCTGGAATAGAAAAAGGACAGAAATGGAAAAACCAGTGGAATCCAAATAAAGTCTGGAGTTTTAATCAATAATATTGTTCCAATGTTTTCTTAAATTTGACAAATGGTGTCAGAGCGATAGGAAATGATAACACTAGGAGAAACTGAAATTAGGTTAGGCGAATTACAGGAATGCTCTGTACTATCTTTGCAACTTTTCTGTAAATCTAAAATTATTCCAAAATATAGTGTTTTTAAAGTTTATTTTTAAAAGAAATGGGAAGATATAGGACACAGGGCACAAAGTTGCTGTAATGTAGAATGACTAAGTCTAGAGGTCTAAAGTACAGCATGAGGACTATAGTTAATAACAAAAAATTAAAAGATGCGAATCATGTTATGTGAATTTCACCCTGATTTTTTATGTATATGATGTGAATTTTGCCCCAATTTATATTATACACACACACGGAGAGAGAGAGAGAAAGAGAGAGAGAGATGATGAATAAAAGAAGATGAGTAACATGGGGGTATTAAAAAATCTACAGTTAGATTGCATCTTACAAAACTGACAATATTTGACCTTTTTCACCTATAAAACAGCATTTTCACATGATTCGACCTAACACACCTCTGTGGGCTTGGGAGACGTCATGATAAGATGGAGCTTATGCTGGACATGACAGTAACTGACATAGCAAAGAGGACACATTCCAGGAGAAGGGAACAGTGTGAGCAGAGTTGGGGACGTGCACAGTGTGGTCAGAGATGGGAGAGAGACTTGCCTGTGCCTGTGCATGTCAGCAGGGAAGTGACAGAAAGTACGCTGGCACAGGAAGGTCTTCAGGCAGGGAGATAGTTTAGGTATTCCTAAACTAGAGGATCTGGGCTCTGAATCTGAATACATAGCAAAGAGCCTGGCCCTCTCAGTGGCCAGGAATGTCCCCTGGAAAGGACTGCAGCCTCTAAGGGACAGTGACACATCAAAGTGCCTCAATGGCCACATTTTCAGGTCCCAGGTGAACATCTAGCATAACAGAAAGACGACCGAACTACAAATTGGCAGATCTAAGTCCTGATTCTGTTTCTGCCACTAATGGGGTGAGAAACCCTAAATAAGTCCCCTCCTTCTGTCTCCATCTCAGGTTTCTACCCTAAAGAGGAGGGGAGCTGGATAAGTTGGTCTCCAAGGCCTCTTCCAGCTCTAAAACACTAACTCTGATGAGGAATGAAATATATTTTCTGGCTCCTAGAAGCAACATGTGGTTCACTCAAGTAGACAGAATGATGCAAGGTCCATGAAAGCAAAAACACTGAGAATAAAAGGACTGTGTTTTTATACACAAGAGTCTATTCTTTTATGATACATGTCTAGACCCCTCTAAATATTTAAACAACAATATCATACCAGTATGAAACCTCTCTAAATCAGGCTCTGTGGTTAAGGAGGATATATGAACAGATGTGATCTTATTAAGGCCCTAATGTAACTCAAAAACAATTTGTCATATCTGACGGGTATTGTTAAATTATGTCCACCTGCCAGAGGCAACCAGAGAAATTACCAACCGCCTTTACTCTAGTGCTACTCAAAATTCTCTAAAAAGCTCCCATAGATGTGTCCAGGGTATGTATTTTTTAAAACAGTAACCTAATTGTCACCAACACACAACAGCCAATGTTTCACAATTCCTTTTCATGTATATTTTATTATGGGGCCCAACTGTTTCAACACCCTAGTGGTTCAACTTTAATGCAGCTCAGGAAACCCCCTAAGTAATATCACAAAATGCTTAACATCTGTGAAACTTGGACCCAAAAATGTTCCAATTTTTTCTTTGGGTTGTGGGGAGCACTTGGGGGTGGGGAAAGCTGGCCACAGTTTTCATTAACGACAATAGTGTTGGTGCTCACAGGTATTTTAATCACTTCTCAGGCAGGAAGAACATTTTGAGTTTACCTTCCTACATGCTCAGAATTCTTTCAAACTACCATCGCCATGCTTGCTCAGAGTCAGTTTAAACATGAACCCATTTCCTTTTCCTTCTCTAAACGTTTGCCTCATCTCTCCTTCTTGCATTACAATATTTTAATTAAGTCAAACAATGAAAGAGAGAGGAGAAAAATGAAGTGTGAAGCACGTGGTGTATTTCCCAAGCTATTTCAAAACTTCTCAGAACTCTTTGGTCTCCAGAGGTGGTTGAAATATTCTTTATCCCACGAAGGAAAGGATGAAAAATTGATCTCCTCCAAACTTCAAATACTGCAGATTTCCACAAATGCAGACTGTAGGAAAGAAAGGCAGGCTTAGGAGTTACCAGACGAAACAGGAAGCAGTTCTCAGAGGACTCACGGCTCATCCCAGGCAGCTCCACGGGCAGAGCGTGTACACAGAGCCACCGGGAGAATAAACAGCAGCTCCACTTCTAAGAGAAATCAAAGCAAATCTCAGAGAAACTGAACATGGAGTCAAACCTCAGTAATTCGGATTAACTGAGGGGAAGGTCAGGTTGGATCAGGACAAAGCCTTGATGATAAAGTTTTTTTTCTTCCACAAAGTACAACTACAATTATTTCAAGGTTCACCCAACCCATCCTTCCCACCTCATCTCTTACCACCCCCTCCCAGCTCCCTCGCTCCCTTGTGGGCAGCTTTCGTCTCCACACAGACCATAATCTTCCCCATCTTTATGCTTCTGTTCATGATGCTCCCCTTTCGCCTGAAATTCCCCATCCCCCACTGCCTACTTGGTAAACGCCTTCTCAATTTTCAAGACCCCACTCCAAATGTCACCTCCTAATCAGAATGAATAGCACTAATCACATAATGTTTTGTGCATACCGATCATACATTAAAGTGATTCTCACCTTGGCCAGCTGCTATTAAAGTCACCTGGAGAACATTTCCATACAATCCCAATCCCCATGCCAACCACCAGAAATCTGATCGAGTTGGTCTGAGGTACTCCCTGACCATTGGTATCCTTTTTGCAAGTTTCTCAGATAATCTCAATGTGAAGGCTGGGCTTCGAACTTTGTGTATAGAACTTCTCACACTGTTCAGAATGATTCACCTGTACCCCAAGAGCAGAGGGCCCTTGGCAAAGGCTTGCTGTAGGCAGGGATGGAGGACATGAGTCCTTCCAGAGGCTTCTGTAAGAAAAAGGAACTTCATGTGATTTCAACATGTGGCTGTCCCCATGTGGCTTATCATGAACACACATGTATTTTTCATAGTGTGCCTCCCATCCACCCCCACAGCACACCTATTCAAGTGTTGGGGGAGGACCCACCACTGCAGCTCAATCTGACTTCCCATTATTTCCCCACACAGTAGGCTCTTTGCCACCTGGGTGGCCTTGCCCCTCTCTCTCCATCTTGTTGAACTGTCTGCCTTGTTCAAGGCCCACTGACCATTTCGTCTCCTGAAGCCTTCCTTTGCCTGCTTCAACTCCCAAGGATTTACTTTCCCACTCAATTCCCACTTAATTTAGCCCCTGTCCTCAGATGCCTTGATTGGCTGACAATCTCATGATATGTGTATGAAAAACTTTGACGTGGAGAGAGCAAGGAACGTGCATCTTACAGAGATTTTTACTTCCTGCCTATAATGCACGTATCTTAGTCAGTACAGGCTGTTATAACAAAGCACCATACACTGGTGGCTCACAAACAACAGAAACGTATTTTTCGTGGTTCTGCAGGATGGAAGTTCTTAGTCAGGGTGCCGGCATGGCCTGATCCTGGCGTGAGCCCTCTTCTAGGTTGCTGATAACTGTCTTTGCATTCTGTCCTCACAGCGCTCTCACGGATTCCTTTTATAAGGGTACTAATCCCATCGTTCATGAGAGCTCCACCCTTATGACCTAATCACCCCCCAAAGGCCCCACCTCCTAAAACCATCACACTGGGGCTTAGGAGTTCAACACAGAAATTTGGGGGACATAAACAAATAGTCCATAACAGGAAGGTTGGCTGTGCGGCAGGTGCTCTACATGTACTTGTTGATGGAACCCACCCAGAGTTGGCCCTCTTCTTTCCAGGCCAGGTTGTAGGACACCAAAACGAAGATAAGGATTAAGAACGCGGTTGCTCTGAAAAATCCACAGCATAAACGTCACACCAAATACCCTTGTGGTAGACAAAATTCTAAGATGACCCCATAACCCTTGCTCCCTTATCCTACTTCCATGTTTATGGAGGTTTCATGCCAAAAGGGATTCCACAGATGAAGGTTACCAATCAGGTAGTAGCCTCAAGACATGGAGCTTATCTGGGTGAGTGTAACCTAATCATGTGAGCCTTTTTTTTTTTTAAAGCAGTGGTATTCTCTGGCTGGTGGCAGAAGCGTATGTCAGAGAGATCAGAAAGGTAAGGAGGAGTCAACATGAGAGAGAGTTGCTCACTTGAGATGGAGGCGGGCATGTGGTCTGAGAATGTGCCCTGGCCAACAGCCAGCAAGAAAACAGGGACCTCAGTCCTACAGCCAAAAGGAAGTGCATTCTGCTAACGACATGACAGAGCCTGGAAGTGGGTTCTTGCCAGAGCCTCCAGAAAGAAATACACAGGGGCTGACACCCTGATTCCAGCCTTGTGCTGTTTGCTATCTGTTTCCTATCTGATACTCTTTACCAGGCAGGCTTGCTGGGTTTCTCAACCTACAGCTAGTAAACAGTGTTGTTTCATGCTGCTAAGCTAGTGGTAGTCTATTACAGAGCAATCCCAAACCATCCCCACCCCACAAACTGGCCAAGTAAGAGATCTTCTTGTGACTTAATAAACATACCTTAATATATGCTTATCCTGATTAACATAAATTCCATATATATATATATATGAATGACAGGCTTCTAAAAGAGTACACCATACTATATCAATGCAATATACTCTTACTATGCCTCTCAAAGTGTCATAATGGCCCTCAAATTGAGTGCTATTCATGAGTCATTTATGAATTATTAGAAATTGAATCACAAATCAGGTCCTCTGTCTCAAGGGCTACTTACTAAGCACCACTATTTGCCAAGTCTGTTGCTGATCAACAGATGTTGGGATTCTTAGCTGAAATGCCATGAGCCTGATATTTGAAGAATACACAGCCAGGCACATGGTACAGTTTCCGCCTCTCTGTGTAGGGATAAGGGGGCCTGAGTGCTCATGCCAATTTCTTAGGAAGCCAATGACTCTAGCACTTCTTAGTGGCTGCTGTTGCCTGGAGATGGGGAAGAGACAGGTGGTCACAGAGGGGCCCTGGGTAAAGCATTATCTACATCCACTTTCCTGGCGTCTCCCTAAATCCAGACATCACACAGGGCTGCACAAAAAGTCAGCCTCAACTGCCTGAGACTGACAGCCACAACCACCCAGCCCCACCAGCCTGTGATGACCAGTGATGCCGCAAGCAGACACCCGTGTTCCCAGGAGCCATTCCCCAAGACTGGAGAGACATCACCTGCCAGGCCGCTGCCCCTCAGCCTCCAGCTCCCGTCGGTCTGCGTCAGCATTTGTCTGAACATCGCACCTCCATCATCTACAGGGGAAATTGATGTCGATGGCATGGGAGAGGAATGTAACTACAGCCTATTCTAAAAGCACGCATTTATTTTATTTTATTTCAGAAATGTATGCATTATGTATGGCTGTACATAAACGTTTTTATAGAGCCTCTTAAATGATTTACCATGAGGTATGTGTTGATTACAATCTCTGCTTATTTAAAAGAGCTTTATTTACCCCCATGGTATTTAATACATTGAGACATGTTTCAACAAACAGTGACACCAGTAAACAAAAGTTACCGATCTACCTCATGAGTTATAAAACTTGCAACATGCTGTAAACAGCTCTGTCATTTTATTTCGCATATTGCATTGTGTGTGCTGCCTTATTTATCTAGTGGTAAATCTTTATGTATCAAAAATGCTACAGAAGGCACAACAGATAAATTACCGACAGACACTAACATCTGACTAGTTAATCAAACAAATAGGACATGTAACAAAGAGAAAAGCTATAAATATTGACAACAAGCTGCTTCAGTCACAAAAACATTCAATACTTCAGTTCTCAAGTGTGAGTTTTATATCAGTTCCCTGGAAACAGTTTGTATCCTCCAATAAATTTTTACAGTTGATTCACCTGCCTGATACCCCTCAGCCATTTCCTTCAGAAGCTGTCAAACCCGCCAACGATAATATATGGCCTGACCAACAAGAACAGCTGTAGCCATTCTCTCCGCAGGTTCTTGCACCCTGTTCTGCATAAAATAATACATCAAGATTAATTGATTTCCCGTCAGTCTCACAGAACAGAAAATTAATTTTCATGTAGCTATTTTCCCCAGCATATGAATTTTGTACATGGCAAGTAATTTAAGTTTTTAATTATTCATGAGCGAGGAGGGGGTGAGGAGAAACATGATAAAGTAAGCTTGCAAAAACCCCAAGGCCAATCTCTGGGCCTGGGTTTGTGCTAAGGCAACAATAGCATTCGCTAATGCCCATATAAATAATATATGTATTAACATACATCTTAGTACAACACCAATTTCTCTCACTCTGACCCGAGACTACCAGGTCACCCTGCAGTACTTTGTCAAAGTCGCCGCACTGGCTACATGTGACATGCTGTGGGAAAACACAGAACATGTCAGCCATATTGAGGTGACCTCCGCCTGCCTCTCGCAGCGGCCACACAGCCCAGGCCTGATAGGAGGTAATTTAACGGTCAGTGTGTGAGTGGGACCAAGCAAAAGTTGCTAATCAGCCAGGTGCTACCTCAGCAAGTCTTCCATTTGCAGGTGCCACTGACTTGTGAACGAGAAAAATGTAACCAGAAAATAGAAAGAGAGCGTTTGACTCACTCTGGCCCCATCCTTCACAGACTCTCGGCAGACCAGCTCGAGAAAAACTGTCTCCTCAGGAAGGGAAAAACCACAACGTGAGCACCTCTGGCAATCAAGCATATTTGCTAAAATGCAGACAAAAATGCTCCCACAGTGCCTCCTTAGAAATTTCACTGGCATACTTCATATAAACTGCAAGACAGGCAAACGTGGGGCACTTGCCTCGAGTCATGGAACTTGATTTAACCCCATTAGGACCAAACCTAAACTTAGCATCTCACACGGCACTCTTGGGCACAGAGGAATCAGCCACCCAAGTCAAGGCGTTTTGGTCATTGATTATTTATCAATGACGTCTTCTGCCCTGAATGTTAAGATTTCATGCAAAATTGGGAGATCATTATAAACAATTGGTCTGTTCCCAGTTGCACAATTAGACTGCACTATCACCGGTTAAGAATGGCAGAAAGAATCTGATCAAATCACCAAACTTACATGGGACAAGGAGAGTCCAATAGTGAGGCAGGGAAAGGAGAGGCCTCTGTGAAACCAAAGAGTGGCAGAGAGAGAATGTGACTCAATTCCTCTGAAAGGAGAGACTGGCTTGGATGACCTGAAGCTGCAGCTGATTTGGGGCCAGCACCAGCCCCACCAAAGGCCCTACCTCCTTGGTAAGGAGGAGACAGGGAGAAGTTCAAAAACAAACATGAAAGGAACTCAAAATTACGTTTAAAAAAAAAAGGAGGAAGAATTTTACCCCAGGGGGTTAGAGGGCAGGGACACTTGGATGGGGGAAGGGGCTGCGTTTGATGAATCTGATGAAATATTAACAAGGACACAAAAGTGGAAGTTTCTATGAACATCGTTTCTTGACAGCTTGTAAAAATGGCCACTCTAACCCAAACCAGAGAGAAATCAGGAAATTGCTTCTCTCCTTAGAGTTAGCCATGCCTCACCCTGGAGGCTGGAGCAAAACTGTGCTTCCAGCGTTTCCATCATAAAACGTGTTTCTCAGTAACCAGTGAAACCTGTAAAAACTCACTTCACCCAGAAATTTGGCACCAGTGCAGCAGTGATAACTATAGGTTTTCTTAAGACTGTTCCAGAACAGGGCTTCAGGATTATATTTCTATTACCATGATGGCTCCAGACTAAGGGGCAACATGATACATCATGTCAAGCACCTAATTATCAGCACCGAAGAACAGCTAGCCAACTTAGGCTGAGTTAAGATTAAAAGGAGGGAGGCATGCTCAATTGTTTCATGTGGTGTATTTGTGAAGGGAGAGTCAATGAGGTTTGCTGAAGTCTTTGTATCTCTGGGTTTAAAAACAAAACAAAACAGGATTAGGAAATTAAATATAGCATTGATACCCCAACAACAAAGGCCTTGCTCAACCGCTGCCAAACCAACCCAGATGATGGTACTGCAACCTGCCCACATGCCAAGAAACATGCCCAGGCCCTCCCAGACTGCTGCAGATACCCATGGCCACATTCTTGGGATGGCCCAACGTTCCTGCCACGGTGATGGGGGCGAAACCACAAGGCTCAGGGAATGCCAGGGAAACTTTCAGCTAATTATTTCTCATTGCTGAGCACATCTGACGCATTCCTTACTTTACTGAGAGAGTTTTGCCATCCTGGTTGATTAGAAAGGGTTGACAAAGCCAAGCACCAAAGAAGAGCTTATCGCCTCAGGACTCTGAGCTTTAAGAAGGCAATTTAGGGAGCTGATCCAAGGAATCAACACTGGCAATCAGGTGGTATTTGAGGCATGTGTGCATGTGTGTGCGTGCGTGTGCATGTGTGTGTGTGCATGCATGTGCGTGTGTGTGTGTGTGTGCGTGCGTGCGTGCATGTGTGTGTATACAAAGGAAGGGAGACAACATGGGGTTCTAGGAAAACCTTAAGCATTCGGAATGGCCCTAACCTCCAAATCAGCCGTGTTCCCCATCCCAGCCCTGCCTTCCCCACCCTACTAAATAGCTAAATAGCTAAATAGCTGGCAGTTGGCGTCTGCATGGCAACAAAGGTGCATTTGGTTTATACCTGTTTGTAGTTTTTCTTCATCTGATATTGAAGGGGGAGGTTTGCTTTATCTTGTTTTGAAAATAATCCTATCAAGAATATAAATGAACTCATTATGCACACCATAAAAAAATATATAGATAGATGTGCTGGCAATTCTGTAACTAAAATGTAAAAAACTTCTTGAAGCCGATGCTGCTGCTGGCATAGCTTAAAGGTCTTTGTTTCTGTAAATTCAATTGAGTGTTTCTATTTCTAAGTCTGGCAAGAGGTTCTAATTATTGTTAGAAGCCTAATTAGCATTTAGTATTACATTACAACAACTGCAGCAAAATTGTACCCATTCTCCAATAAACAGTATTCACAGTATGCAATCAAGCCTCTGTACCGAGCAATGAGAATTAATAGCACCGCATGACAATGGTAAATCCTCCGTCTCCCGCTGTGTGTGTTTAATAATTTTTCACTCCTTCCAGATTGTTCCCATCAAGCACAATTCCCAAGGTCCTAATCAACCACCCTCCCCATCAATACTACACAGAGATCTGAGCACTGAAAATTATCTGCAATTTCAAAAAGTGCTTTGTTGCATTATTAGGCCACTGACCTAAGAGGTAATGGGTAAATAGTTTCTGAAAAATGTCCAAAGCACAACATAAATTAAAGCTTATAGTCTTGCCTGCTGTTCTCACTATAGCTATAACTGCAAACTATTACGGTTTTTACACAATATTCCTAACTATAATTTTACACCATAATATTGGTGCAAAGTGCCAAATGTTCTGCTTTCACGTGCCGTCATTTACTAAACGAGGAGAGTTTGGGAAAGAAGCTGATGTATCCTATCCTTTAGAATTTCTTCTGGCCCTGTCCTCCTCTCACTATCTTACCCTTTTGCCCAGCTGCCATCCCCACCACAAAAAATAAAAAGTTCATAATTAAAGTGTAGGCATCTTACCGTGGAAAGATGTAAAAAAAATTTATAAGTAACAGTGTGTGTCTGACTCTCTGTGTCTCACACACGATCCGTAGATAAAATGAGTTAGGATATGCTGCTTCTGAGGCGACTCGGGTGGACTCGTGAATATCTTGCTGAGAGGGTAGCTGATAGCGGCTTCTGTTGTCTGCTGACTGGTGATGACTATTAACAGTGTCACACAAACCCAAGGCTTGAGTGGGAACAACTCATTTCAACAATCTGAAACATGTACTCTGGGCTGATGAAGAGAAGTTTTGACCATGGAAAACAGAACCCAGAGCCTCAAATCACCACAGAACACAGGAGCAAGGTGCCTCCAGCATGGCTAGGTAGAAGGCAGTGCACAGGACAGCACAGCACTCCCCACTGAGAATATCCCTCAGTACCAATCCAGGAGTTTAGGCTGAATGTGATGTTTTTGTTGCTGATTGTTAGTTAGTTTGTTTTTCATGGGAGCAAAAATAAAAAGAATTTCTGACTCAACTCAACTCAACCTAACCAAGAAAACATGTAAGGTCATTCCCTGAGCAAAGCTAGCTGCAGGATTATGCTGTGGTCTGCCACCCTCTACTTCTCATTTTGCCATTATACATCAACACCCCCCAAAACAAAAGACTTTTATAACATTGGTAGATTAATGCCATCAATTTCTCAGGACTGACTTTCTGAATAATATACCACGTTTTTTCCAAGGTCATTACAATACCCTACTGTACTCCTCAGTCATATAGTCACGTATTAATCCATTCAATAAATGTTTATTGAGTGCCTGCTACTGTTGCAGGTACTTGGGATACACTAGTGAACACGGAGGACAAAGATTACTGCTCTTGTGAGCATATATTTCAGCGTGAGGTAGCCAGACAATCTACAATCATCATCATGAATAAGTAAATTAGAGCGAATGCTAAAAGGGGTAGCGGCAAGGGAAGGAGAAAAAGCAGAGCAGCATGAGAGGATCAGGAGCATCACAGAAGGACAGGCTGCAGTGTTAAATCGAGCAACCAGGGTGGGCCTCTATAAGAATGTGGAATCTGAGCAAATAACTAAAAACAAAAATGCTTGATACATGTCTTAAAACTCTTCAATTTTTTTCTCCCAGTCCTGGCCACTCCCTCCATCCTATTTTCTGATACCACAGCCTGCTGGGCTTGTTAGCATATACTGAGTGGACAGGACTCCCTGCAGGATGGCAGGTGCCACAGAGGGGAATCCAGGTCTGCCCTGTCCTCTGCAACTAGCATTGTGCCTAGCAAAGAGCAGGTACTCAATAAACATTCACAGAGTAAGTGAACACATGCATGAATCCATGGTAACTCATGTATTTATTTTCAAAATCCCAAATAATTCCTTATATATTGATATAATTAAGAGTAACAAATTCTTACAGCTTAAAGGAAATGAAAGGTCTAGTCTAAACAGTAGGGACCGAGACCTAGAGAGGAAGTGATATTTCCAGACTAGAGTCCAATTCTCCTGAATACTCACCCTGTGACTTTTCACTCCTCCTCAGAGGCTAAACATGGCGGGGGATGTCAGGGGTTGACAACTCTGCTTCATTCCTAAATGGTGGCTCCGGTGATTGTTTTCTCTACGCCCATGTGTGATTTCATTCTCTCTCTCAATAACTACTGGATGTTTTCTCTCTTTTGACTCAGCTCTATTATTGTTTAATTTTTTTCTTGCATATCCAAGTTCATATCATCCTGGCAAACCACATATAACACTTGAAGCAAGCAGGAGAGTTAGAAGACCACAGAACACTCCAGCCCTGAGCAGTCAGATGGCAACAGAAGAAAGGGCCTATCCATCTTGGGCTCCTCAACTAACATGCAAATCCAATAACCATCTCCCTTGTGTCTCCCACGCAGTAGAAACAGCTGGGTGAGGCCCAAGCAAAGGTAAGAATCTTGAAGGGAAAGGGCTTGAGAAGCCTCCTTCTCAAAGAAAACTTCTCTATTTCCAAGTAGGCTACTACCGATAAAAGTCCATTTCTTCACCTCCTTTAGGCTTCATGATTCATCCACCACTTTAGAAAGACAAATCTAGTGTTATGCAGATAACTGTCATTATCCCCAACATCTTTATCCCCCAACCCACTCCAACCCTACTTAAAGACACAAGACCTTAAAAGATGTGTCTGTCTCATGAGGGAAAACTGCTTCCCTTCTCTCTGCTAACTCCTGAGGAGAGGGTTCCCTTCCCCTTCCTTTCCCTTCCAGCAATGGCACGGCAAGAAGCAGCAAACTTCAAGGTAAGAAATGAACACATGACCTCTCATTCTGCCTCCATAACAGGCCACATTATCATCTCAATAAAAAGTCCCACTCATTTTTGTTTGCTCTGTGTGGGAAAAAAAAGTCAACCTGTGGCACTCATACAGAAAGGCCAGAGAGTTTGCTCATGAAGTTAGGGCAAGGAGATAAAGGGCATGTTTACAGAAGGAGAACAGTTTACCTTTTGCAGACAGATAAGCATGACAAATATGACAGTGGCAAATATGAACCATACGAACTCCTTCCCTATTCTCACTCAAACCACAGAAAATTACCCAACCTAACTGGCCTTTCTTGGATGGTAAAACACAGGAATCAATTCAGAATAATAGTAATCACAATAATGGGAGCCACCAATGATGCAGAGCTCACCACTGTGCTAAGTGCCTTCTATGCATGTTCTCTTTGATGTTGGAAACTTGGCAGAGGCCTGGGCATGGCTGTCATACTAACACATGGGACACAAGCAGTTCATCATTACATAGCCCACATATTCATTTTCATCCACCCCTGAGACATTCTTACACTGAAATTGGAGACCACTGGATTACTATGAACACTGGTCTAAATCTAAGGTGATCTTTGGGCTTATAATTCAGGAAGTATGGGGCTTGTCCTTAAATTTGGAGCCATGAACCTTTAGCTTCCCAGTGCATTTCTGTATCACCAGCAATATACTCTCAGGCCTGAGCAAGGAGACTGCTTCCCTGGACCCTCCTCAATCTTTTTCAGCTCAGCTTTTTTCAACATGCTCCTCCTCATGGGATAAGAAGTCCTCAGGGCCCAGGAGCATGCCACAGTGTGCCCTCCACCTTCTAAGTTCCACTGTGGGTATCCAGAACTCTATCAAAAGTAAGCCATCCTACAAAAGTCAACCAATATGTGCAATTCTAGTCCAGAGGGATGGCTGTTCGTGGTGAGCTGTGAACAAATAGGCAGTCTGGACATGCAGGCTGTGGTATTTCCCATCCACACACATGTGCAATGAGGATACTCAGCACACAAGAGAGGGCCAGGGCTGCACAGAGAAGGGGGATGGTCAAGAACCCAGGGGAGGCTCTCACCATGCTGCCACATTCCAGCTCCCCAAAGAAGTGGAGAATTCTAAATTGCAATTGACTTCCAATTCATTAACAAAAGTATATCTGTCGTGATAAAAGAACAGAGCATATTTTATTTAGCATTTGTTAGTTTGGTTTATAAATACTTAGACATATGGTATAGGGGCTTCCATTTGTACTCTTGCCCAAGAATCTGCAAATGTTAGAGGAGAGCACGAACCTTGCCCCAGGATTCCTACCCATGGTTTGGTCTTCCGCATCAATTGATGCTTCCTTTCCAAACATAGGCATGCTTCCCTGTAAGCATACCCAGTCGTTAGGTATCCAGATTTACACCAAAGCCACATTTGAGAGTCGGTGCTCCATCTACTAAAGGATTCCATCATTCAGCAAATCCCCCTGATGCATTTGGTTGAACCAACTGATAAAAATTTATTACACACACACAAAAAAACTCACAAATTCATATTTCCATAGGTAACGTAAAAGTGTTAGGGGAAAAAACTTAAATAATATTCCCTCTACTATTATTTCATTTAACAAATACTTAGTCACTATAAAAAGAAGGTAGAAAATGCAGATAATCCAAAGGAATAATACAAAAATCATCTTCTATAGCACTTGGCAAAATGATCCCTGTTAGAATTTAATGCATATACTTCGGATTTTTTCAATGTCATTATGAAAATATAAAGACAAAGCTATAGGTAGTTGATTTTATAAGAATCCTGTTACATTATGACTACAAACAATTATTCAGGGCCACCCATGTGCCAGGCCCTGGGAAGTCCAAAATTAGCCAGACATCATTTCTATCGTATCAGAGTTTGTGCTAGAGTTGAAGAAACCAACGTGTCAATCAGCAATTACTTTGCAGTATGAAACATGCTTTACCAGAAATCTACAGAAAGGACTATAGAGGACTTAATGGTGAGTCCAGAGATGGGAATGACTTCTTCTTCCTGGGGCATGACTTCAAGGTTTTGCCAACACTAAAATTTCAAACTCTGGGCTCCCTAATCTCATTCAACAAACATTTATTGAACATTTACTGTGGGCCAGGCACTATCTTAAGCACTGGGCATATAGTGATGAGAAAGACAACGTTCTACTTCATGGAGCTTAAACAGACAAACACATTTACAGATAAATAGTTAAAACAGTGTCATACCTTTCCCTTGGCATAATGATACACAGAAAGTGCTAAAAAACAGAGATGGGTGTTGAAGTAATAAAGGAACCAAAGGTGCATGATGACTTCACCTCTTTGCATTTCCATTTCAAAGGCAGGTGTTGTCCTTGAAGTTACCATATCAGAAAGTTGTGAAGTTTCAAAACACAACCTGGTATGTCTGCTCTGTTTCACTTAAAAAATATGAATCCAATAGGCTTAATCCAAAATCTCTAGCTCTGAATTGGGTTACCATGTGTTGCATTTGATTTGTATTTCCATCAGTATCAACCCAAGCATCCTCATACAGACACCAGCAATGTACATGATTTATAGCAAGTCAGTCAAGGTAAAGCCTATAGCTTCCCTTCACATTTTGACGTTATCAGATTACTTCAGAAGCTGGCAGCAGCTACCATAAGTAACAAGCTGTCAGTGTAAATAAATCACTCTCTCAAAAATAACTGCTAAAAAGTATAGATTAGTATGAGCAAAGGTGGGCTTAGCCTTAAAAAATGCCCCTTCTCAAGTTTCCTATATATTTAATTTTATATAGAAAAAAGAAAATAATTAATTTTCTTTCTTCAAAAAAAAGAAGGTTCAAGGCTTAAGATCCATATAAAAAACTCAAGGTGCCAAAGGAAAGTTTGTGGCTCTTGTGCATAATTCATCAGACAATCAATTTGCAATCACCTGAAAAAGCCCAGGGTGTGGGGAACAACCAGCAGGTTCTATGAAGAGCAACCCAGGCCAGGCCAGCTTAATTTCCTTCAATGATGGAGTGACAGGAAGTAGGATGAGAGACAGGAAGTGGGATGAGAGAAAAGCAATAGATGCAATCCATCCAGACTGCAGCAGTCCTGTTTGTCTGGTCTCATATGACGCGCTCATCAGTAAGCTGGGAAATCTGACCTTAAAAGTCCTCAGAGTGCTAGAGCACCCTGCCCAGAATAGGATCTCCAGTGTCTGTGCACCATCGGGGGTCGGGAGGGACAGATCAGTCACCATACTGAAGAGGTGAATGGTGGGGTCGTGGCCATTGTGCATCTGTTGATCTGTGTTGAGATATATTTGAGATCTACGTGAACAAGAAAAAGTCAGTGCTCTATAGAGCAACTTGAGTCCATATCATACCACCCAAAAAGAAAAAGAAACATGTCACTAAATTCGGACATCAACAAGAATGGTCACAGTGCTTTCAGGCAGAATACGAAAGGGAATTTTTAGTGGTGTGTTATAAAAGAATGGCACTAGGAAACATTAAACTCAGCCAGAGGCCAGGTGTGGTGGTTCACACCTGTAATACCAACACTTTGGTATTACACTTGCTCAGAGGCTGAGCAAGGCGGGGAGGTGGGGGTTGGGGATCCCTTGAGCCCAGGAGTTCACATGGAGAGACTCCTTCTCTACAAATAAAAATTTAAAAAAAATAGCCTTGGTGGTGTGGACATGTAGTCCCAGCTACTTGGGAGGCTGAGGTGAGAGGATTGCTTTAGCAAAGGAGTTCCAGGCTGTAGTGAGCTATGATCGTGCTACTGCACTCCAGCCTTGAGTGACTAAGTGAGACTCTGTCTCTTTAAACAACAATAACAACAAAAACAACAACAAAACCCAGCCAGATGCACAAGATGTCAGAATCATCCTATCACTGTTTGGTGTGGGTCAACATATAGTGTCCTGTCCTTGTTCAATCATGATTTGAAGTTACTACCACACAGATACATAAACTCCCTCACCTTAGTATTTTCATGACCCCATTTCTTTGCCTGCCCTTCCCACACTTTCATACCCTTTCATACACACACCCTTCCCACACCAAGAAACTAAACTCTCTTGGTTTCAGCAGTCACATTTGAATTATTGAGGGTGATTGAGTAATTCTAGAATCTACTAGCTTAAAGAGTTCCCATCTCAGGATGCCCCCTGCTAGGTCTAGATAAAATGGCCAAATATGCTCACGTTGTCCAAAAGAAAGATCAGGAACTCCTGAGAGGACGATGAAGGATGAAGCTGGCGATCCAGTGAGAAATCTGTCTTCTTTGGGGACTAGGCCCTACTGTGCCAATGCACCAGCAAATGAACCTTCCTTCAGATTTCAGTGGACACATAGAACTCCCTGGCTTTCCCTAGTTAACTAATAAAATGTAAACACCTTCACTCATTCATTAGCTAATTCAGTCAAGATTCTGCTATTTATATGCCCGAGTACCTGCTAACTGTCCTCCCTTCACAGCAGCTTTCTATCTGGTAAGGGAGACGACTGCATGAGTTGTTATAAAATATAACCAGTCCTGCGATGTGGCAAAAGAGAGGGCTGGGGGAGTGAGACTTAATGGGGAAATCAGGAAAGCCTTCCCAGAGAAGGCAGCCTTTTAGCTTGGACCTGAAGGTGATGAGCAGGAGGCTAATAGAGAGAGTGATATGTGCAGAGGCACAGAGGAGAGAAGGTGGGCAGGACTGAGACACGATGAGAGGGGCTCAGCATGGCTACTGTGCCACGGGCAGGGGGAGACCACCACTCTTGCCTCACACACACACAGACCAACTTATCCATCTACCCAAAAGTATACACTCAACCCCCATTAGCCACCATCCCATTAAGTCCCTTTCTCCACACAAGCTTCAAGCCTCCCAGCCCTAGAAGCACAGCACATCCACCTGCATATTAGAACACCTGAAACTCACCCTTTTCTAAGGCTCAGATCGAGTTCATGGTTCCCATCACATTGCCTCCTCCCCAGTGCTCCGTCTCTTCTGAACTAACCTAGTACCTGCATCCTGATCCACACAGTAATTCAGCCTTCTTCATTTATGAATTTCCACCATTCATTCAAGTTTCAGATGTGTCTTTTCTGCCCTTCTTGAGGATGTGGACCACGTTTTCCAGTGTCTACCACCTCTGTATATGCACCTTTCATACACACACACACACACACACACACACACACACACACACACACACAGAGCCACGTATCAAGCACAGAACTAAGCACATGATAAATGTTCAAGGGCAACATCATTTTTTAATGACAGCCCATTTCGTAAGGTTTTATGTACAATCCCTATCATTTTTCAATATAATGCACTCATCACTGTTGGTCTGGGTTATTGTTATTTGGGGATCACTTTTCTACTGTAGCTAGAGATGCTGTGTGTTTAGGAGGAAGATTATGCAGTTTAGTGTCATGGAAAAAAGCACAGGCTTTGCAGTCAAACCAACATTTCTATACCCATTTCACTGATGGCTGGCTGTGTGTCTTCTGGCAAAGTTGGGAACCTCTCTAAACCTCAGTTTCCTCATCTGTGAAATTGGGATCATAATATCCCCCAGAGGGTTGTTATGAAAACTAAATGAAATAATGAATAATTCAGTGTCTGGCTAAACGTAGCCACTCAAAAAAATATGTTCTCTTTCCCTTTTTCCCTTTATTAAGGGGAAAAAAATCAAAGATGGCCTGAATGCAAATTTGAGTCAGATGATTCCCCAAAATTGGGTAACTTCAGGAAACAAAGCCATCTAATGAAGCAAACTAAAAGGTAAGCCACAGCTTCTTACAGATATTAGCATTTTTAGTGAAGACAAGTATACAACAATAAAATTAAATTAGAAAAGCTTCAAATCATCACTAGAAATGTCCTTTCTCAGCTGCACAAAATATAAATAGAAAAGGAATTAACTGAGGGAAACAGAAATACCCACAGATTATCATCTTCTTTGTTATGTAAAATAACTTGCTAAAATCATATCTGAAGATATTTTTTGCATTGTCACGTTAAAGAACATGGTTACTGGTTAAAATAAGCATCTGTAAAATATACACAGTGTAGGTATATAATACACATTTTAAAAGAGAAAATAAAAGCAAGCGATAAGCATATGCATATCTTACTGCAAATAAAGCCTGTGACCTTTCCAAATGAAGACAAGAATATCAGTCTTGTGAATTTCTAATATGATGCCCTAACACTCATATTCCATGCAATAGATATTTTGTTTCTAACTTAAAGGCTGTTGAGGCAGCCCTCTTCACATTCCCTATTTGTCTTCCCTGGTCAGCTGAGCTCAGCTACCCAAACACACATACACACGCTCAGAGGACAGATTTGTCATGCTGACCTTTCATATCTCCTACGCTTTTTAACTGATCGAGATTCCATCCCACAGAAACATGCACACAGCATCACCGCAGAGAAGAAAAATCAGGTGAAGGATGGCAAAGATAAATACCAGAGAAGCAAGCTAGAACCCGAACGCCAGGGACATTGCTCACAAAATTATTCAAGGGAGGAAAGCCAGCTAAAGCTAGCGAAACAGGCCACACACAATGCAAAATTAACCAGTGACCTTTACTGGGAACGTCAAAGGTGAAAGCAATTTGTAAGGTAGTACTTAATAGGCACCATGTGCTGGCCTCTATGTGGACTAGAACCTTGCATAATCAGACACTGAGAAAAACAGCAGAAGGAAAATCTCCTCCACATCTGAAAGTAACTCAAGCTCTAAAGGAAGAATGATCATGAGTGTATCATTGTACCCATAACTGGCTCTCCAACTTGTTGGATGTGGGCAGGGACTGAGGATGTCTCAAAAATCCTAGAACACAGCAAGTAGTAGACTTCCTAGCCATGGCCGGCTTATCTCATTAGGCTATGAGGGCTTGCATTCTGTGAAACCGCACAGTCCTCCAAAGGAAGGCTAAGTAGGCATATTGGTCATATTTCAAACACTCCAGAAACCTCTGTATCATGAGTTTTACCACTGTATTTTTCCTCTACATGAGATGAGTGCTTCCCTCCCAGTAGGGGCCATGGCCATGAGAAATGAGTGTTTTTCCCTTTTGCCAGTAAGAAATCGTAAGACCTGGTGTAAAAACCACTCAGGCATAACAAGTTATAGCCCAGCAGGCACACTGATTAGCTAGGTTCTATAACCATAAAGTCAACAATAATCTACCTGCATGCCCTTTCTGCAGGTGGCTCACCTATGGATGCTAAGTAAGTCAGCAACAGTTCAGCCAAAATTACATGGGAGAGCATTATGTGTAAACATGAACACTCTAGCTTGTCCTTAACTATACCACTGGGACACCAGACCTGCAAAACAATCTATTACCCCCACTCACCACCAACCCCAACTGCAACTTTCGTTCTTCTCCTTATGAATTTTCCCCCACTGTAATGGCATTCCATGCTTAATGTGTCTCCCCAGTTAACAGGGCCCTTCCTGCTTTCATCCATGCCTTCCACATACAGGGCATCTTTTATACCAGGGAAGAGGTGATTAACTCCCCTCTGAAGCATGTAAACTTTAGGTACATTTTTCCAGTAGTGTTGACTGATTGCACTAAACTACTTACACTCTCTTCACGGTCCCCTTGGAGATAAGAGCCACACATTTGGAAATCCCACTCCCTAGGGGATAGGGCACCTGGTCATAGGGCAGGAGATGCATACACACACATTCTTTTTCAACTTATGACCACTGATCCAACATCTCTACTCTAGGGTTCTAGAAATGTCTCCTAAGTTTTGCTGAAATAAAAAGGCTTGAATAATAAGGCAAAAGCCCTCCCACCCAGTCAAACAGGCAAGGTAGATACAGTCCTTGGAAATGATTATTAAGATTAATGTTTTACTTTTTCTTATGGCTTGAATTTAGACTAAGTTACACAGGAACAGCCAAAACAATATTGCATCTCAGATTCTAATAGGGAGGGCTGAATCCAAATCTATCCTTAAGAAAAGCCATTACCTCCCCTGAAAGCAGCAGGTGTGAGACCTAATGGCCTGTCATAATGAAGGGTCAGTCTCTGACATTGGGACTCAACTCATCGTGTGACACAGAGTGATTTACACAACGCTACTCAAAAACGATGTAGGAAGTTTGACGATTCATAAAATCATAAATTATAAATCAATTACCAGAAACAGATTGATTCATCTCCAGGCCCATTTGCTCCCAAGGTATGAGACCTTTTAAAGGACCCTTTGACTAGAGGAGACAAAGAAGAGCGGGGCTCGGCCCCTCAGGCCACTTCTGCTGTCCCAGCCTCTCTGAGCAAACTTATTACCCTGTAAACTCCATTTTGATCCAGTAGTGGCTACTGCAGAAAATAACCGGTGGATTACAGGAATAATTTTGTTTTGAAAGAACAACAATAAAAGTGGCACTGGCCTTTGGGAAAAAAGGGGATTGGATTCTCCAGTTCCCAAAAATCTGGGTGAAAATATAAAAATTCTATAAATATTTAGGACATTTAGCCATACAGCTTTGCATTTCCTCACAAGCAGAAATACCTGTACAGATAACCAACATTTTCACAATTCATCTGATATGGTTTATGAATAACGATTTTCCAAAACAATCATCAAATACATTGTGTCCCTAAATTTCCACAGCACAGGAGTAGCTTTTTCATTCTTTAGAGAAAAATCAAGGTGCATATTCGATATTTGAGATGATAACAGTAAAATAATTCATTTTGGCATAGCCCTGGATTTGGTTCTGGAGACAGGCATCTAGAGACAGGTGCAACCAAGCAACACAGGGCTGAGAATCACACTTGTCCATCTTGTGGGTCCACTCCTAAAACCAGCAATACAAAACAGCCGACACTCTCCTATGCTGGAACTTCTCCAATATAATTGTTTTTACAGTGGCTAGAAGAATATGAAGAACCCTTTAGCTTAACCCACTCGCTGAGATTCTTAGATGAGCGTATTACAATTTTCCATTTAGAGATGGGGCAACTGAAGTCCAAAGTGAGGAAGAACAGAAAAGCCGGCAAGACAAAGGTGTGGGGGCCTCTGAATCCTGCGCTTTCTCCCCTGCACCACGCCATTGCTTAAGTCAAAGAAAATATCAATATTTCTTAGGCTACATAGCTTAAGAGAGAAATGTCTCTTCCCATACCTCAGATAAATTTTGAAACTAAGAGAGTAAATGGCAATGCAAATACTACTATTAGATATTTATTATGTTGTAAAGCTTGAAAACAGTCAGGAAAATGGAAAAGTTACTTTTTTCTCTATACAAATTTGTTAATGGGTGGCATAATGGGGAGCCCTGTTTTGCTGGCACTCTGTGAAACGTCTACAAATTGCCTCTGCAGAGCATTATAGGTTGTCAGACTAATGTAGTTGAAGATAATTTGGCCTTTCAGTGAATTGAACCTCACAGCACGATTATACTCCACAACCAAGTAGAGTGTCACAATTATTCTTTCATGCTGAATTACCATATAATGTCATGAGTCTACCTGTCATAAGTCCTGTACCCTAGTCTGAATTTTTCTTCCCTAAATCTATGGTTCATGGCAAAAAAAATAATAATTTTTTGCATCTAATGGAAATCTGATTGTTTTTATCAACAATAAATTTCATAGCAAATCAAAGGATATGCTTGGACAAACAATCCGATACTCAAGGTTAAAAAACATACAAATAATAAATTGCTGGTGTGTCATGTTCAATTTTTACTACGGCATTACACTGCAATAACCATAACAGGATCTAAATTGTTGTCAGAACATTAAACAAACCCCCATACTTCACAAAGGCATCCTGTCTGAGTAATTCACACAACGGAAACAACTATCAAATTTTCCACTGTCCCACCGCTACACCATACATCAGTGCAATTTTATGTATTTGGACAATTCGTTGAATAAATTACTTCCATCCTGCCTGCTCTTGCCACTTCTGTTAAGAGTCATATCAGTTTTAATTGTCTTTCTGTCTATATGGAGCCACTGTCTTTCCGGCCTTTTCCTGTTCTATTTCCTGAGCCCCAAAATAAACTATGAACACCCATTGGAGCTGGGCACTGGGGACACACAACTGCAAGACAGTGGTGTCCTGTCAGAGGCCAAGAGCCCCCTCCTTCTCCTGCTGCATGACAGTTGCTGAATAGTGTTTGGGACTGTGACAATACATAATGTTTGTGTGGGATCACGATGTCTTTCAACGTCATAGTGATCTAAAAGCTAACGGTATCAAAGACCCCACATTCTGCTCTGTTACCATGCAGTTGTCTACTTTCTTGGTTCATCACAACATTCAGCCTGCCATGGAAAATGGGCTCAGCCTGGGTTAAATGTCCCCAGTTCCATTCATGGTGGGATTCCAGCTCACCAGCCAGTTCATGGCAGGCTCCTCAGGCTGTTTCCCTTGGACAGGCTGCTCCCAAGCAAATGGCAAGCTCACACTTCCAGGCTGAAGATCTAACCTTCATTAATGCCCAGGGGCACATGCCAAAGGTACAGTTGTAGAACAAGTAACACCATAATGGGCACAAATAAGCTTTGTCTATACAAAGTAGAGTTAATGACTTCCCATCGTGTTTCTCAACACCTTCAATAGAAGACTAAATTGACACTGACCAAAGGGAATCAGATCAATTGGATGCAACTCTGTTTCCTAAATGAGTTCCTCTTGGGTTGCCTATAGTTCAGCACAGGTATTTATATGACCAAAGTTGACCTCCCAGGCTATATAAGTTAATGAAAAGAAATATGAGTAGAAACTCCTAGGCAACTCAAACCAACTTGGCTCCTGTTTTAAAGTGATTTCATCACCTATGTCACCACAGCCAAATAATTAATCACACACTGACATCTCATCATACTGCCTATCCAAAGCCTGCTGCTGCCAAAGAAACCATTTTATGCTGAGCTACTTTTGCTGTTTCCAACAGAAAACTCCCTCATTTAACTGACCCCAAAACAGATCCGCCATATACTAAACATCGCCCTACCATACAGAGTCAGATTTGTGGCTCCAGTTGGCCAGTTTTTGCTTCTCAGGGTAACACAACAGAAGGAAACCCCATTCACGGAGGTTAGCCCTGGACTTGGTGCCCCCATGTTAACCTGGTAGACTTGCTGGGGAGTAGAAAGTAACTCTTCATTTATAAGCCCAAAAGCAATAATAAACATAGAACTATGATTTACTCTGAATCTTTCTATTATTAAAACACTTTGTCTTATAGTTTTATTGATTTACAATCTGTCCTACTTACTTTTTTAGCATCTGAAAACAATCAAGGTACAAAGCTGCAAAATGTTTGGACATTAATTGTTAGGAGACAGAATTTTATTCCAAGTGAGGGGTTTGAGGCCTCAACAGCAATGCATTCTGGTACCAGAATGATTTATGGTCTTGTAGCAATAACGATGCACCAGGGCCATTAACATATTGGCAGGCCCTAGGATGGATTAGTGGCATTGATTATTTCATGGGCCACTGATACCCATTTGTTACGAGGAGTTCAAAGATGGCCTCTCCCCGACTAAAATCTTTTTATGAGCAGACAGCATTTTAAGTATTAGGAACCTGGGATTTGGGCCATTTTTTATAATCTTGCCGTCACCTCACCTTAGTAGGCAACCCCAAAAAAAAGTGTCAAAAAATTAAAGTTCATTCTTCACCACCAGCCTTAATTCCTCAACTCGTCATAACCACGTCTTCTTTAAAAATTAATGATTGCCAGCATTTAGCCACTGGTTGTTGCTACGAAGATCTATGCAAAAAGCAAGGATCCCTATAGAGTGTGTGATATATGGAATACTCTTTATTACTACAATAAAACTTACTGACATTTCAATACTTCTGCAAATAGCATTATAGTATCAATCTTCTGAATTAGGTTGAAAATTAAGTTGTAAATTAAAAGAAAGTGTACTTTGGAATACAACATGATATGTCACCTAGAAAAGGACCTTTGTGCATAATGGAATGGAGCTGGGGAACACAGAGATGAGCCCAGCACCTCGGCAGGGCTGCTTGCATTCTAAAGATCCAGGTTCCAGAATTCACCCAGAATCCCTAATAATCCATCACCAGAGACTCTATTTTTCCATTGTAAAAGTCAAGGGACTTGACCACAGCTGTTTTTGAATAATGTATTATGAAACCCCAAATCTTAATATACTTTTCTCCTTTGCCACATTCTTATTGTAAATCTTAAGTTGGGCACCTTTGGAATAATAATTGCCTTATAAACTACACAGAAATTACACATACATTATGCTTATAATGTACGTATACATATATAAAAACTAAATCCTTCTCTGTGTCATCACATACAGAATTCCTCTCCATCCCCACACAGACCCCACTCCCCAACACCTACCCGGTCTTCAAAGATGCTCAGAGCAGAAAGCTAAGCAGGGCACTAGATGACAATTCCCAGAGCTTGGATGGCTTTGAAACTGTTTGGTCCAAAGGCTAATGTCACATACTGTAAATTACAAACAGTCTCAGATTGGAGCCAGAACAAAATGGTTATGCAAAAGACCACTGGCTTTCAAATATGTATTTGTTGAAAAGTCAAATGTCTTAAATCATTTCCACCTATCTTCCACGGCATTCTGTGTACCCACAAGATGGCACGGCATAGTTAAAACAGAGTCATTCTGATGATTTGAAATACCCTGATGAAACCCAAACTAACCCCTACCCAGGAATGACTTCCCATCATGGGTTCTCATGCTTGCTTCCCAATTTCTTTAGTTTAGCCGAGAAGCCGTCTTGGGTAGGAATCTGTTTCTCTATACTCCACCACTCCCCCAACTTCCTGCATTGTCAGAGGTCTACACACACTGGACCAAGGAGAATAAAGAGATTTCATCTTGAGAGCCAACTCTAGTCACCCAGTAGATGCGAGCTGTGATTAAAAGGATTCTGAGACAGAGTTCTGAATCCACAGCAAAAGATGCTATATTTAATCACCGACTGGGCTCAAAGCAAAGGAGTGGAAGAGTGGTCTAAGTGCTGATGTTCACAACTCTGAATTCAGAAGTCGACACAATTTCACTGACTAACCTGAAGACTACTCTGTTAAGCTCGCTAAAAAGTAAACTTCGAAGGCATTTCCACTCACAGAATGGGCACAGGAAAACAAAGCTGCTTCTCCAAGAAAGATGTAGCACAGACTATGCATGAAATAATTTTAGAACTGGAGAGAATCATGAGATGACCTAATGCAAGCCTTTTATTTCATAGATGGAAGAATCACGATATGTTGTTAAGTGACTCACATAAGATTATGCAATTAGTGATGGAGAAATGAAATCCTCAGTCTCCTGCCCGTGTGTTCTCTCCGTAATGCCACGATGCCTCCTTTTCACCCCATCTTATTTGCTGCTTATTTTCCCTTCCTTCCCATGTATATAATTTTCTTATTTTACTAAGATTTGATGTGCCGTCTCAGGATTCTCAAATTTTGGATTATGTAAGACATAGACTCAATAATCTATATTACTGCAAATTTAGGAAAACAATCTTAGAGTATGATGTATGGTAATTCAGGGTTAAGTAGAAAACAACACAAGAAGTTTGCCGTTTCTCTTGTTAAATTTTGGGTTTTATTTTAAATAGAGAAGAAAGATATTGTAAATGTGTACTTTAGGTACACAGAGGCACTTTGGCTTCAATCTCTGAATTATGAGGGCTCCACGTGAACCATCCAACATTAAAACATCCAGGGAACATCCCCTGCAAAACTCTTAGATTATCTCCTACCATATCCAGCTTATAAAGTAATTGGGAAAGTAGGCCTTCCATTTCTTGTGGAAATTAAAGTTCTTAAAGACTCTTTACTGCTCTCTGTAATAGAACCGACAAGCTGTCCCCTCAGACTGGGTAGGCCATGGCCATCCCACGGCAACAGGAGGCGGAACACTTCATTACCTCAGCCCACAATCCCACAATGCTGTGCAAACCCTACCTTCTCCCTCAACATCCAGAAACAGGTTTTCAGAAAGATTCTGCTTCTTGGCCCCCAGGGAGAATAACACATGACCAACTCTAGGGAAAATAACCTCTTTCCTGTTCAAAAGTTAAAAATTAAATCCACCCTGGAGAAATACTCTACGACTAAGAAACAATTCTGGGACACCACTACAGAATGTAACAAGTGAAAGAAGTTCTCTGCAGGTCTAACTTAATTTAAACATGGTAAATTGTGAAACTTCTTTTTATTCACATCATGGTTAAGATGGAGAACAGCTGGTTACCTTGTCACACAAAACCACTCCTGGTACACCTGAGGAATATCCTTCAAGCTTCTCTTCTTTAGGCAAATAATGCCAACCCCAAAAAGCTCTTCAGATACATCATCTCACCAATCATTGTTACTGCTATGGTTCCTCTGGACTTCTGCCAAATCTGCATCCTTCTTAAACTCAGTAGTACATATGGCATGACAGGGCTGGGTGTTAATTGAAGAACAGCTTAACTGTTTGGACATGTTATGCATCTATTACACAATTGTCAATCTTGCAATGTTTGCTGTAGGACTATATCTTTGGGGAAATTAATGCCAAATGAAAATTTACCCTAATCTGTTTTTCTTTTTAACTCTCTTAGGGATCTTTCTGATGATTTGTTAATCTGCTTCACTTTATTCTACAAGCTCAAGTCATATAACCGAAATTAACAACTAAGACCCAGGATAGGAGTAAATGGTTATTGACTGAGATATTTGTCCTCTTTTAGATATTTATCCTTTGTATCTACAACAACCACTCATTAACATGACGGTTAATATGACTATAGTAACCAAGAACACACAAACATGGAAGTGATATTCAACAACTCATTATTCTTATGTATTCAAATTCCACTTTTAATTTTTTATACCTTTACTAAATACCTACTCTGTTTTTACAGTAAAACCTTATTAAATCACCTAACACATTTGGAAGTTTTGAAAAGGCTGAAGTTGAATTCTGTCTGATTTCTGATGGAAAACCTAACCAGGCTCATGACAAGTGTTTCATAAATTACATGTTGACTAAATAAACAAATAATGGTGCATTATGAAATCCTTCTCAATTCTTCACTCTCCTGCTCCTAGGCCCTCTGCCTTGTGAGTTTGTACTTCCTACCACCAGAGTATCTATCCCTAACCCACTGATGATGATCTTGGCCACAAGACTTCATTCGGTCCTGGAATGTAGACTGAAATGACAATGGGCTGGCTGAGTCTAGGCCTTCCTTGAGGCCTCACATATTTCCTCTGCCCTCTCCAAGTCTCTGACCTGAACTGAGAACAACTTGCCTGGAAAGCCCATTGGTTCCAGACAAAATAGAAACACCCAGAAGAGAACAGCTCAACCAACCCACAGACCTGCAGGATGAAGCAGAGTCTCCACGGCCAATCCACAAACTGTGAGCATGATAATAATTGCTGATCGAGTGCCACTAGGTGTTGGGGCATTTTGTCAAGCAGCATCATTGTGGCAACAATTGATAGATAGTAAATGGTGCAAATAAGATTGAAGGGTCATGTCTGAGCACCTTCAGAAAAATCAGTATCCATTTATACAGGAAAAAATGAAAAGCAGATTACAAAGCACTCTTATAAACTCACTTAATTCATCCACTAGGAAGCTTTCCTTCCTCACTAGCTGGGGACTACATTTTGAGGCAATAAAACACTTTAAAAATCTAAAAATAATCATAATTAATGTTATGTCCAATAAGTAGGGCAAATGTTGGTGCGATATGGCTGAACTAATGAACTACTCGGTGGTCAGAAAATACATGCTACAGACTATATAATGAACAAAGAATATTTCCATCATTCCCATCAGAGGACTTGTTAGCAGGGGCCCAATTTCCATGAACACTCTACCCTCTGCTGGTTCTGAAGATGAACACATGTGCTCTGTTTTAAAGGGGAGGAAGGCAGCAACTGCAGCTTGTGCAGGGACATTAATGAGGTAGCTGAAGTCATCTGGTGAGGTTAACCACATGGAGCATCTACAGCCACTCATCACCCTCCTTGCCTCCTGGCCCACAGATGTCACACCAAGAGGACATCGAAGGACAGCATCCCCAGAAGAGACAAGCTGCAGCAGGAAATTCTCCTCCCAAAGCTCCTCGCTGTGCCACCAAGGTGGCCTCTGCAGCGTGGCAATAAGGGCCGTGCCATTAAAGGCAAGCTTCCGTTTTATGTGCTCAAGCCTTCTGTTGCAGGATCCCACGATTCCCCAGGAAGCCTGATTTACCATCCCATCGCCCTGTTTTTATAGGGCTTGACTCTGCAAATGGAGCTGATGGAGACCTCAACCATGAGTCACTGAGTCCTCAGGTATGACTGCAGATTTACAATGCCTGCTGAAGTCATTCTGTCACACTCACATCTTCTCAACGTGCCCCTGGGGGGGACTCCCCAAGGCTTCAGCTGAGCTCCACTAGCCCTCTTCCAACCCCCTGCCCCAAAATATTTTCCTCCTCTGAGCCTAATTTCCCTTAGCCCAGACCTCACAATCCAGGAAGCCCTGTAAGGATCTGAGGGCTACTGGTGCAGACATGGCAGTCACATGCAGGAAAGCTCATTTGAGGGGTGGCTGGTGAGATATTATGGGGAGAGAGAAAGGGGATGGGAAAAGAGAGAAAAGAAAAAGTGACTCTGAGTCATGTTGGTGAGATTTTTCACAGCTAATCACACACAAGACTGATTCACTGCTCACTTTGCTGTGCTCCCTCATTTTTCATATCATACTTTTCGCTGCCCCATCAGCCTGTTCCACCAAGGTCAAATGAAGGGAATGATAGCTTGCACACCACACTGAGATTTATTATAAACGGAGTCACTCACCTTTTATGTGGAGTAAATGGGCTCCTGAAATTACCATTTATGAAGATGGACCTGAGCAAAAGAGACACATGAGAAGGAGGCAGGGAGGAGGGCCCTCCCAAGTGGCACCATCGAACCCCCATGGTCTCCTTTCCTATGCACAGAATGGAAGCTGAGGCCACCCACTAGCTTGAACCTAAAGGTATGCAACACTTTTAATCAATGTCAGAGTTGTAGTTCCCCCTTTGTCTTATTGAACACAGAGTGTTGAAGAGAGTCTTGCAGGCAAAGAAACATTTGAGCAGATCTTAATTCAAATGCATTGGACAAAAAGCATTGTTCTGAGATTTTTCTACCCTTTAGGATGCTTTAGATTGCAAGTAACAGAATACCCAACTAAGGGTGGCATAAACAACGAGGGTTTATTATATAGCAACATAAGAAGTCCAAAGATAAAAGGTTTCCAAGGTTAATTTGCCAGCTCATGATATCGCCAAGGACCTAAGTGCCACCCTCAATTCAAAATCTCTCCTCAGGGGACAAAGAATTGCAAAAGATGTCAGTCACTTAACATTTCTAAGCTTTAGTATCCTCATCTATGGGAGGAATGGAGGTAGACTAGATTAACTGTGTAGCAGTAGAGTTTACTTCAAAAGAAAAGAAGAAAGGAAATTCATGTGCAACCCTAAAAGTGGAGCTGCTCTGGTTGTAGCAGGTGCTTAGCCCCAACAGTGGGTCCTGAGGCTCCTTCACCACTGGAAGGCTGCATCTTCCAGCATGCCTCTTCTAGCACTGATAGATTCTAACATTCGTGATTCTAAAGTAGATGATTGTGATACTGATGTTGTTAACAATACTGAAAGACTGTAATGATTTAATGAACAATTTACATTCTCTAAACTACTCATATGGAGCAGACATTGGTCTTCCAAAACTATGATCAATCAAGTGCTTATAATTCAAGAAGGGAGGAAAGAGGAGGGAGGGCGGGAGGGAAAAGGGAGGGAAGAGGAAGGGAAAAAGGGAAGGAAGGAGAGACAGATAACTCTCAGTCATTTAAAAAACTACAATAAAATATTATGAATTATCAATTAGATCAAAGTTCCTCACAGCTATATTTATATAGGTAAAAAAAAATTAAATAGGCTAAATGCCCAAAAATTTAAGACTGGCAAAATATACTTGGCTAAATACTGTGCGTCTCTATTAAATACCATGTTTCAGAAGAATTATTAATGACATGAGAATATGCTCAAAATACATATTGATATGTGCAAATACATATTGCAAAGTAAGATTATAGAATGATCCTAGTTTTCAAAAATGTCACATATATATGTATTTAAAAAAAAAGGCAGTTAAGATTTACAACAAAATGTTAGTGGTGGGACCTTCTGGTAGGAATACAGATTTTTTTTTATTCAGAAGTTTTTGATCTTTGCAAACTTTCTACAGTGAATATATATTGTCTTTATAATAAGGAAAAATGATTGAAATAAATTGAGAGGTATAAAACAAAACTATAACAAACTTTCTTTTGTTTATTACCATCCAACTTAAAGACTGAAAAGTCCAAGAGATTTGGAGGGATGCACCAGTAAGATCCATATTGACCGTAAGAGAATACACAAGGGGAATGGTACGCTGCCCGCACGTACCGCAGCCCCTCACCGTCTCAGCACCACTGAGGAATCGGGCTCCTGCACTTGGAGACCAGCCTCTGTGAAACACAGGTGTAGTGAGTCATGAGATACGCTGACAAACGGGATGTGAATATCATGGAAGCTCCAAAACTCCCAGTAAAGGCAAAAAGAAACCAGTTCCCCTTGACCTGTCTCCACATATCATGGCTCTACGTGTGAGAAGAGTTATCACTCTTTCTTCAAAGATTTCCAGGAGGGAAGGAAGGAAGGAAGGAAAGAAGGAAGGAAGGAAGGAAGGAAGGGAGGGAGGGAGGGAGGGAGGGAAAGAAGGAGGAAGGGAAAGAAGGAGGAAGGGAACAAAAGAAAAGGGAGAAAGGGAAGGAGGGATGGAAAATGTAACCCTCATAATTAAAAAAAAATCAAATTGTTATTAATTGCCAATTAGATCAAAGTTTCTCACAGTTACATTTATATAGGAAAAAAATTTAAGTAGCCTAAATGCCCAACAGCATGAGACTGACAGAGAAAATCTGGGAGACTGCCACCAACTGGGGAACGGGGATACCCCAAGTTTCCATACTACAAAAAGAACCAGAAATCTATGTGATCTGTTCCATTGAGCTGTTATTTCTGGGCCATGTATGAGCCAGCTTTAGTAAACTTAATTCTACCACTTGTCAAAATTTTCAACCTTTGAAAAATTACTCAATACCGGGATTAATATACAATATAATATCCAAGCAGTTAGCCAGCTCTGAACTCATATCATCCCCAAATGACGCTGGATGTGCACAGGAGGGTAGCATGGCTTCCAGGCTGCCACAGCCTTTCATCTGCACAAGGAACATGGGTGTGAGCACGAGGACAAATCTACTTTTGAACATTGTCAGAGTGATAGATAATCTATGCCATATCTGAAAATATGTCTCATGGAGCTCCATGCAATAGATAACTTATTAATTTCTTTTTTTAACTCCCATTCATCATTTCTAGCAAGTCCACAGCCCTTCTCCCAAGACCTTGGCTTTAATTGTGAAGGCAGCTGTTCATGCATTCTGGGGGCCTTCTAGGGCTGAAATTTCTTAGAACTCTGTTCCTACCTCAGATAACAAGTCTTTGTTTGGAGGGAGACTTTATGGAGGAGAGAAATAAGTGGCACAAGAAAAATACCTGCCTCAAAACCAGGTGTGTGGACATGTAAACCAGCAAACTTTAAGAAAAATAAAATGTTGTTGTGACACAGAGCAAAACAATTCAGGGACTCTTCCTTTTGCCAGGACATTTATTTGGGGAGAGAGGAGAGAGAGAGAGGGTGGGAGAGAAGGGAGAGACAGGGAGGGAGAAGGAAAGGGACAAACCTTATTCTGGGGTGGAAAGTGGATTAAGGAAGTACTAGATCCATCAGCATCAATCCTAAAATACAAAGTTTCCTTCACTGTATTCCCAAAGGAAAAGAAGACTCTCAAACTTTATAAGATTCTAGGTTTCTTGAATGTATTAAAAAGTCTGTGGCTCATTTTGAAACCACCACACTTAAGTTTAAATGGTACTAACCTGGGATAAGTTCCCTATTCATTTTTCAAACAATTCTTGTGTTGTTTTGTATTTTTAGATTTCTATTTTGGAATTTTAAAAACACTAATTCTTATTCAAGACCTTTGAATCAACTGGTCTCAGGAAATTGCATTCTTTACCCATGTAGGGAAACAAAATCTTAAATATAAAATATACCTTTAAGTGTGGCATTCAGTTACAATAATTTATCTTCTGCTGTTTTGTGCAATCAGCGATTGCATTAATTTTAACAAATCTCTCATAGCTTTTCAACCACAGACTCTTATTCTCTGAAATAACCATTCTGTAAATAATAAATCTATTGTAAAATATGCAATACTATACATTAAAGATCCACCTTTTCTTTCTCTCCCAATTAATTCTTTCTTTGCCTAATGTAACATATTTGGGGTTTGGGTTAGAACACATCTCCTACCTTAAAGTAAAATGTTACAGATTAAATATTGAGTCACTTGGTAATATGCACAGACTGGGTAAAGGTAGAAAGTCACTAACTTTTTCCTGCACAAAAGAAGTGTGCATTACTATCACTATCCCATGCCTCCCTAAAGCAACAATAGATCCCTTTCCAGAAACATCATTTTCAAAAGGAGCAGGTAAATATTATTACTTGCTATACCAAGGCAACAATAACTGATTAAGGTAAATTTAGTGGAAACATTAAAATAATGGCAAGGGAAGGAACCATATTCTGCAGAAACCCTGTGTGAACTTATTGGAAATAATCAGCCGCTCAGTTTGAATTAAATGAGTGTCAGTGAATGTAGTTGGGGGGCTGGGGGTGGGGGGACGCTGAAAAAGAAAGCCTGGCAGACCCTGGCTGGAATCTGCAAGCTTTCCTCTGCCACGGCTGGTAGGAAAATCTGCAAAGATGCAAACGGTCCTTGGGTGTTCAGTTAGCAGTAAGTAAATTGCTGTGGGAGCTGAGGGCGGGCATACTTTAGCAGGCAATTCCTCTCTGTCTTTCATTCTGTTTGTCTGTGTTAAATTCCCCCTCTGCCCTCATCCATTCTCACATCCAGTTCCCTGCTTTGTCCATCCATCAATCCCCTCACTTTGTCAGTGCTGACTTCATCCCGGCTCTCACAATCACATTGCAGCCATCCCGAGGCCACGAGGGACCCCACACCACCCCCCCAACCGCCCCCACCCGCCCGCTGCCACCTCCCTGCTTCCGGATCCGCGATCTGCTGACGGAGGGCCCAGCCGGCCACGTGTCGTTTTCTATTGCACAGACCAGCAAAAACACTAATACTCAACCTGATTCCTATCGTCCTGCTTTTCACCTTTCCTATCGAGGGGAATGGAAGAGAGAAAGACGCACGGAGGGAGAAACAAGGGGGGCGGGGAGGGATGAGGTAGGGATAATGGAGTGAGATGTTTGCTGAATTTTCTAAAACAATTTGCACACCAGTCAGGTGGAGGCTCAATCCAGCTTCCCATACCACACATCAATAGAAATCACAGGGAGAAAATGTAGCACTAATTAAGGGTTGATAAGCTGTAGTCAAGTGCAGTTTATGGGACAAAGCGGGAGACTACCAGGCCTGTGCAAGCTGAACTCCGTAGGGCAATTTCATCGCCAGCTAAGGATGGAAATTTTTCAAGTTATATATATATGTATACATATATAACATATATACGTGTGTGTGTGTGTGTGTGTGTTTTACCTTCAAAATCAAACAGATAGGCTGGGAGAAACATACTACATGATCATTTTTATTCAAAAGATCATTTGCAAAACATTTCACGGGGTGGGGGAAAGCTTATTAAAGAGCAAAAAATAGTTACCTAGCAACAAAACTATTTTAAAACAATCTTCAGTGTTCTGCCTGAGTATGTGCTTGTAATTCAAAGGTGTATAATTTGAGCACCCACCAAACTCATAAAATATTTCTTTTCTGAATTTTAAACTTCTCTTTTCTTACCCCCTATTCACAATAAGCTATGATTAGGATGATAAAAACTTTCAATGCTATACATTTCTTTAAATTTTACTCTTGGAGTGGAAAAAAATGTTTTTAAAATATGAGCAATAAAATTAGTAAAACTATTTACACAACTATGATTAAAATGACTATGCTTTAAAGGAGCTCAGTGGGGTACGTTCTTCTACACAATGTTCCAAAAAAACAGGGAATTGTAACTAGTGATAATTATACCTAGCATTTGGGAGGTACCTGCAAAGCATTTTCATGTATGTGACTTGATCCTTGAACAGTTCTCTAGGGATTAGTACCTGCTTTTTTGCAACTAAGAAAGCTGAGGCCCAGCAATTCAGGAACTTGCCCCCAAACCACACCACTGCTAAGTAAAGGCATCAGGATTTAAAAGTAGCCATTAGGATTCCAACTCCTTGTCCAACAGATGGGCACATCCCATCACCTCTCCCAAAAGCTTCTTTCTAATTTAAGAAAGAAGCCTGAAAGATCCACTGGGAATCAGTCTCTTGATCCAAAGGACGACCACCAAACTTTGAGATTGATGTTTTAATACATCATTCCAAATTCTTATTTTGGGAGACTATTCACTTTTTTATTGAATAAAACACTGTGAGACCGCTTCCACAAACAAACCAAGAGAACTTTCCAGAAGGCTTTGAGAAATGATAGTGGAACAAATATGTTGCCTTTCAAGGCAATGACTTTGAAGGACTAAGCATTCACTCAGATGTTTAAGTTTTGGTGTCTCTGTTCAGAAATCAATCACAGCGTCCCATTGCCACACCTTGCATCACTGCAAATTTGAGAGGCAAACTGCAAATGACTAAGCCAGGCAGATTCACCCACAGGATAAAAAGAAAAGAGGAGAATTGGGAGCATGCAAGACCTCCCTGCGTTTCAGTCTTCACACCACTCCTTGGCCACACATTTAACCCAGAACCTGCAGCCACAGCTCACTTTTCGTTCCTTTTGTTTCTCGAACCCACATGCCCAGATGGGCTCTGGTTATGACAGAAGAGACCAGGGGAAGCGGGGGGAAAAAGGCAGCAGCAAAAAGTCTCCTCTGCCGTGCTCCTATACACATCAGACATCTCTAATTAGACAGCAACAAAATTTTATTAATAGGATGGACATTATAGAATGAGCTTGTTATAAATGGGCCCTGTCAGGGCCTTATTCAGCTACCAAATGAGTATTCTCAGTTCAGTGCTCTCATCTGAAGCATCACGCCTAGTACTGGATAACAAATGATTGCTATTAACCGTATTGTTAGTAATGATGGCTGAAAACAAACAAAAACCCATAAATAACAGTCTACAGAAAAATTAACCCATAAACTTGATAGATATCCAGCTGAGAAATAATAAATGACACTTTGGGGCCTGCTGGGAGAAGCTAGTGGTTTTTGTTTTCCTCTCTGTCATTAACACATTTTCTGTGCTAAAAATTAGATTCTGATATATAATTATCAACGCTCCCAGATATTAATTCTGCTATTGCTCCCTCGGTTTCTCTTCTGGCTGGGCTATAATGTTATTCACAGATTACTCTGAGAAAACACATCAAACACTTAACAGAAGAGGTCAAAGTGACAAGCAGCTTCTGCTGACAACACCAACCTGCACCGTCTTTTTTACCAGGGATACAAAACAAATTTCTCATATTAATTAACTAGGGTTCCCTTCCAGCCACAACAGGCCTGTACAATGTGATATGAGCTAAGCAAATTCCCTACTTCTCTAATGAAGGCTGCCAAGGGAGGTGAGGAGCAGCAAAATTATCTTGCATCTATAGCACTCAAATCCATATTCCTTAATGCCTTTCAGGGAGGAGACAGGGTTCAAAAGAACTTTCCAACTGCAGAGCATCTCTTACCTTGAGCCCCTTCCTCTTAAAGGGCCGAGTGGAAGGGGAAGGACATACACACACAACTAAGCATGTGAGCAAGAGACCTTCTCCAAAAGGAGCTGGAATTTCAGCCACAGAACCTGCATTAGCACTGCCACTGAGAAGGACCTTGGCTTCCCAAATATCATGACTTCTGCACGATTAATTGACCTTGACTGGAATATGATCTCACCTGCCAATGGCTTATATTTGTCAGAAACCACCAAGAGATATGAAATGCACAAGGCTCCTCAATGGATGGACTCATGTCCTATAAGCAGAGGAAGACACACACACACACACATGCACATACACAGACACACACACACACACGTACACACAGACACACACACATGCACACACACAGGCACACATACGCATGCACGCACACACAGACACACACACTTATGCATGCACATGCACACATCATACCCTCATGCAAAAATGTAAAGTCCTCATCACCAGTGTTAGCATCATCATTGCAATCTACTCTATAAATTTATTTTCCTGTTGTCTCTTTAAAAATTTAATTTCACAGAAAATAACTGGGGAAAACCTTTTTTTAATAAAAAAAATTAAGGTGCTTAGTTTTGAAAACATTTAACATAGAATTGTTATGTTCAGTTAAAAGTAAGATCATGAAATTTGAGACAAAAGATGAAGATGAGAGTGGGGCGAGGGAATCCATGCAAATGACAATGCAAATAAGTGAAGAAATAAGCAGGTATGGAATCCATTTCCCAAGCCTGTCCTTCTGCCAGGAAAAAAGAGGCAGCAACTTCCTATTCCTATGCAAATGCCTTCAAACACAAGTTCTTTTACCAGTTAGGAAAAACAAAAGCAAAAGCACGAAAATTCTTCAAAATGAGGCCATATGGTCAAGCCTCGCAAACACAGAGCAGGTGAAAATAAAGAATGCTGAGAGCTGCTGCTATGGGAAAAGCAGACAAAACTGGGTGGGGTGTTTTGACCACTAATTTAGAAACCCTTGCTCGTTCCAAAGTTGCAGGATGTTCCTTTTTTCCTTTCAAGCTCCATCAAGGCCCTGGGTGACTGATCATCTAAATAACATTTTTGAGGTGGGATTTTTTTTTAATTGAGCCAATGATCTCCTATCTCCTGTGCCTTGTTGTTAACCCCATGCCTCATCCCAGGGATCACATCGCTTTGATGACGAGAGCCTAAACTGCAAATCCCACACCTCCCATGCACTCCATTTTCTCAGTATCTGGCATTGCGGTATTAAATAACTATAAAACTAGAAAGCCAAAATAACTAAATCACCTGGCAGCCAATTTCTGAGAGTTAAACCACAAACCCGGAAAATGGTGGAGTGTGTTGAAATAATGTAAAGGAAACCCATAAATTCAAACTTTATGTTCTGTAAAGAACAAATATGAAAAAGGCATCAAAATAATGAAAGATTGTTTATGTATTCTGGCATGAAATGGGAATGTGTTATGAGAGAGAGAGCAGTGGCGGAGACAGATCGACGAAGCTGACAGTGTGGTATTCATCCTGCGTGGTGGAGCAGACGCCCTGCTAGTGGCAGCAGACAGCGCAATAAATCAAGGGCTCTCGAAGCTGTACCTACAGCTTATTACATCCAAGATGACAAATAAATAATAATCCCTGTCAGAGCGGCCCTTTGCTCAAGGATTGAGCCTGAAACCTTTGGCTCATCACTCCTCATCTTAAGTGAAAACACTAGAACTAGGGAATTGGAGGCCACGGTTTGCTAAGCTCATGAAACACAAAACAAGCAGGACCCAGGAACTAGGACTGAACAAGAAAGGTCAAGAAGTAAGGAAGGATAAACATTTAAATAATCCTGACCGAGAGGCAGCAAAGTGGCCGAATGAATGTGGGTTAATATGTCCTAATCATCAGGGTGAGGCAAAAAAGCCCCAGTCCCCGTCCCCACCTCTAACAGGGAAAAATACCAGACTGAGGTTTAAACACAGTACTGGCAGGAAAGGGGCAGGGCCATAGAGACACAAGGACCCAAACAACACGGCCACCAGCCTCCAAACCTCTTACAGCCCTGTCCGCCTTCCCATTTTATTTAAGACCCAAGTCAGTGGTAGAAAACCATCCTCCCCATGTGGGAATTCCAGCTCTCTCGCAGCCTCAAAGGGGAGAAGACACTGCAGACCAGGCCCAGGCAAGATGAAGGCTGAGTCATAAAGCCCTCCCTGGGTCTCCCTGCTCAGCATCCTCGGTCACCGGCTTTCATCTGCATTTTCTAACTGGCTCTTCCCTGTGGGGAGGATGGGGACCCTTGCTTCTAAATCTGCCTGGCATCCATGGGTGTTATGACCTTGGATCGGTCCCTTAACCTTGAGCATCACCCTTTTCATTGCTCCTTGCTGGTCAGGCGGAGGGTTTCTGCAAGGGCCCTGGATGGTTCTTTCAGAGCAGCCTTCAGTTTCTGTGGGCCCCACACTTACAGTGGTTCCCAAATTGGCTTTCCAAAAGCAAGGCCATTCTCTTTTCTCCCCATCTGACACATCTTAGTTCCTCCACTGCCTCTTGGAAAACACAGAGGGAGATAGTAAAATCTGATAGGGCCAAAGCGGTCTGGATGCCAGCTCCTCCAGAGGTATACACACACAAACACACCATCCTAACATGCCCTAAACATCCTACCTACTGCCTTTCAGCCAGCCTACTGCAAATCTCCAACGCCCCAAGGCACTAAAGCAAAACTATGTATTGTGACTTGAGAGAATTGCATAAAGAGGGGTATGCAGAAGGGAACAACAATCACTACAAAAGCTTAAGTTCCAGTGGTCAGAATAAGAGTTTCTAATATTACAAAGGGGAAATGGCCACCATCTAATGCTTATCCAAGAGTATACTGAGGTCCCCACCACCACTTCATCTATCTACATGTCTTTAGACAAAGGGTGCATGGCAGGGTGGACCTGACTTCGAATTCTGACTCCGTAAAAGCTGGATGGCCTCAGGTATAAACTCACTGAGTTTCAGTTTCCTCATCTGAAAAAAAAAAAAAAAAAAAGTGGTACCAATAATTCTCAACGTATAGGATTGTCTCGTGATTTAAATGAGGTTGCATGGTTGATGATCCCTAACATACTCTGCAAGCTCAGCAGATGCCAATCCTCATTCTGTTCATTGCTCACCACATCCAGTTTGCTTTTTCCTGAATTCTATTACCTACTAAAGCAGAATTTTAAGTGAATAGTATCATCCACATGACTTTTGATCCTCATAAGGCCTCAAATGTCCAAAATTCTCTATAGGAATACAAGCTTCTTATGAAAATCATTTGACCCTGGAGTAACTACACAGCCCAAAACTTTGGAGAAACTTATCTAAGACTTTTAAAATCTTGTGAACTATACAAGTAATGCAAAACAATGGTGTCTCATCAGCCCAATATTTCTATACCTGGGATTATATTCCTAAGGAAATAATACAAAATGTGGAAAACGTATATGCAATACATGAAGACATACATTATACTGCTAAAATGGCAAAAAAAAAATATGTGAGAAAACTATATAGTCCATAGTGGGGTTTTAAAATATGTTTAAAATTATTTTTAAAAAGAATGGAATCCTTGTTTGATAGAATAGTATGCAGTCTTCAAAAATGATAATAAAGACAGTGAAGCAACATGGCAAAAAGTGTATGATCTCCTGTCAGGTGAAAAAGGACACGAAATTGACACTTGGCTGTCATTTTACCTATACAGCGTTATGCCTCCAGAAAAAGGAATAGACACAAATAATAAAAGTTGTGATAATGCGGCAAGATTAAAGACCACTGTTGTTATTCTTTCATTTCTCTCTCAAACTTTCTGTGGTTATGTTTCACAGAGCTTTTGTAATTTAAAAAATGATTTTTAAAAATGCAAAAGTAAAGAAGCTAAATGAATTAAAAAATAGAAAACTGGGAGCAAAACCTATAGCCACCAGGGTTTCCCAGGCTCCCACTGCTTCTTGGCTTTCAAGACAGCACTGCAGGGACGCTTTGTGGGATGAGGGGAAAGGATGGAATAAGAGCCATTTTGAAATGTTGCTCTCCTGCACTCCCCATCCTCCTTTTCCAGTTATTCTCCCACACATCACCACCTACTCATCATCATCGCTCACGCACGGCTCTAGCCTTGACTCTGCCATCATTCGGCCCCTCCTCCAAAATTTCCAGGTAACTCTCCCACTTCTAATGAGAAAACTCCAGTTTCTCCTTTCTCCAGTCTGAGGGTTCAGAGCCTCTCCTGTCCACTTTATAAGGTCCTGCCTGCTTCCACCCATTTAATGTTCCAAAGACCCATTTCAAAAGTGAGCCATTGAGGACAGCTGGAGATGAGATTTTTAAATTGGAGAAAGGCTTTTCCTGTAATTACCCTAAGCTCTGAGCCCTTTCCTCACCCAACTGCCCAGAGTTAGACTTCCCATCCTCGGGTCTCCCTCCCCTCTTATTCTCTGAATTTAGTGGGGGAAACCCTCAAAATTAGTAACTCAACTTTCTTCATAAACATCTCAGCTCAACACCATTGCTGATACTTTGAAGACTGGGGTTTTGTTACCAGAAGACATCTGGGGGCCTTGAGCTTTTATGAAAGCAAGGAAAAGAGAAAATAACACACTGTGTCTCGTTCCACGCTAAATGCTTCAATATATACTTTAACTCTTTAGCAATAACAACAACAAATTCATAAGCCAATCACACTTTCCCCATCCCACTCCCAGCCCCCAATAGTTCACCTTCCATCATCTAGGTAAAGACATTCTCTTTAAGACTCATATTCACACTGTTTAGTTACAGAAACCCTCTACTTGTGGCAGTTTGAATTTAAGGTCTTAATTTATTCTCTGTGTATTACCCTTTCCCTCTCCTCTCTCACTGTTCCCTTAGAGGCAATCTAACCCAATAAACCAGTTCAGTTTACAGATGGGAAAACAGAAGTGCAGAAAGGTAAGAAACTTGCCCATGACACAATTCACGGCAGGGCTGAGACCTGGACCCACCTGGCTCGGGCTACTGGTCTTTCCACTGCACCAGGCTGGCTCCAGCTACTGGTTTCCATGCAGTAGAAAAGAAAAGGTAACACCTTCCCAATACCTCATAGAAAAGTGTGAAAGATGATTCCATATGGCCAACATGAGACCAAGACTCTATCACTAACTCTGAAAAAGAACTAGCTTCCTAAACTGAGGGTCACCTCACGGCCAACAAAGGTCACCAGGAACTTTTTTGAGGAGTGGGGAGGTGGATAATGGTCCTGCACCATGACAAATTCTTAAAGCATGCCATTTCCAAGATTAACTTTTAAAACTCATCATTTGAGGTATGTTTGGGTTCACTGGCTTAAAATGGATTAACAAAAGGTATGAGTACAAAATAATAATGCAATCATTTAATACAATAATATGATCACTACATAAAGGACTTTTAAAAAATATAAACATGACAATTCTGCTAATACATATGATGTACATTTGCAACAATACAAGAAAGCTGAAAGGTGGTTATTGTTGAACTGAAAAAGTCCCAGAATCCCACTAAGAAAATGATGTGAGACAATAATGCATATTTCAGGTATACACTATAACTGACTTAAATTATTATGGATGTACTTCATACTTAATTACCTTTCTAAAATATGTCAGAGTATTTTGTCATAAACTCTGCAGAGTCTGCTGTACCTCTACTAAATACTGCTCTGAAATGCAAACCCTTTGCTAATGTTTTTATTTGAATAACTTATTACCCAATATAGCAAGCGTCGGCACATTTTATAGAACCAGAACTTGGCTCTCTGAAATTCCTCCTACCCTAATGCCAGTCACTGTTGGGAGCATTTAGTTATAAATTGTCTTTCAATAAAAGTAAAAGCTCCCAAAACAACAAAATGAAAAGACACAGCAGCTTAAATCAAGGGAAGTCAATTTCCACATGCCGATCCTAAATATTTCATGGCCCTATTTTATTCTGACATTTGTAGATGACTAAAGTGTTACAAAGGAAATAAAATGCTGATTAAAGAGTTCGCTGTCATAAAGGTTACTGAATTGTAAATGGCCCTTTCCATCTTCCTGTTAATAGGTACCCAGCTGTAAACATCATGAAGGATGTGACAGGAGGGCGGCTTCCCTCCTTTAGGAGCTGTATATACATTAATCACTGAATCACCAAGCCATGCTTAATTGCAAGCTGTATATCACACAAATCCATGCTAAGTAGAAGGAAACTCATTATTGCTGCTTCATAACTACTGGGTACTTCTCATTTTAACCTCCTCACACCTGGGACACTTTGTTGCTTTACAACAGGAATGCAGGAAAGGTATTACACCACTAATTACAGCCCACACTGGCACCTCTATCTGCTGCCTGGAAGAGAAAACGGAACTCTCTCAGATCGGCAGATCTGCAGTTATCCCTGGTTTCTGCCTCATTGCTGCTAAGTGAGTTTTTATATGACGCTTGCGTCCCCCAATCCCACCCCTTCTCCCTTCTTCCCTTCCTGGGAAAAGCGTGTTGAAATCCATTACTCGTTGAGAGTTTACAGAACTGTTTAAATGATAAAGAAAAAAAAACTGCAGTATATTTTGCTTTGACAAAATTATTGATTTAAATCCCATACAATAACACAATACTATTTAAAGGTCAACCCAAGAAAAATGAGTTTACATCCAAACAGAGCCGAGCTTATCTGTCATGAAAGTGTAATGATGTGTTTATTCCCTCACTAGGGTGTATATATTTTTCAGGAAGATATAACAGTCTACTTGCAGGTGAAATCTGCTCTTAAATGGGAATTTCAGGAGATATTTACATTTCAGATGTTGGGGCTGATATCTGTAGTCCTGAGACCCATTTCTGTGCTTACTAGTCAGTTGAGTATTTATTTTCATCACCTCAAAATTATTATTCTCACTCCCAGGTCAAAAATGAGACACACACATGAAAACTATACCACAACTCATAAGGAATCACTTAAGAAGCCTAAGGCTGCAAACCAAATGCGAAGGTTGCCACTGTAATTGCCTATAACTCTTACATCTTTTATTTGTTTTTACATTTCAAAAATATGGCAATAAAAATAATCTATTTGTTATTTCTAGAAATATGTCATCAATGAATCTGAATATTTGTGGGGTTTTTTTCCCTTTCCAAAGGCCAACTGATGTATGATCTATCCCATGAACACCACCATCCTTCCACAGTTGGCCTCGGTACTCAGACCTGGGCTTCACTGAATAGGGTAAAGGGGATGACAGAGTGAAGAAAGGAGACCCAATACCCGCATCTAGGTCTTTAGTGGGCCCCTAAAGTCTTGGTCCACAGCCTCTCTGATGAACTCACTTCAATCAACGTGTATTAGGTGCCAGCTACTATGCTAAGTTGTAGGGGTACAAATCACACAGTACCTTCTCTCTTGAAAAGCTTCATCTATCCAGTTGGCAAATATTGACTGAGCACTTATCATGTGCCCAGGTAATGTGCAGTGACCTCTGAGAGATGATGGTCTGCAGGGCCAACAGAAACTGAATATATAATTACAAGTTAAATGACTGTGACGAGAGTAGACATTCAAGATGCTCTGGGAGCACATCGCAAGGAAAGCCAAACTAGTCAACAGGGTGCAGGGAGTGCCTTCTGGAAGAAGTCACGTTTAAACTGAGACTTGAAAAATGCAAAGGTGTTAGCTAGGTGAAGATTGAGGATGTGGGAGGTGCAAACAGTGGGAATGGCATGTGCAAGGGCCCAGCGGTAAGAGCCTTCTGCAGAGAAAAATCAGAGAAACATGCGGCCGAAGCATTAGGAGGGAGGAGAAAGATAAAATACTGCAAATAATGGGAAGCGATTAGAATCTAAGGGAGATTGTTGGGAGGTTGTAGCCTGGGAGTGACATGACAGTATAGAAAATGGATCAGAAACAAAGGTTATTGAGGGAATTCCCCTCCTAGGAGGCTATTAGAGTGGCCAGAGCAATGAAACAGAACCCACTACTCCATCATTACCACTGCACAAGAAGATTTCCAGAAACTGCCCTTTGTTCTTGTGTTTTAAAGACTGAGCTGACTCAGCTCATGATTCAGCTAGTGGGGGTCTGCTCCCCTGTTTACAGGTGCTGTTTGACTAAAGATTATCACTGCTCAGAAACTCTTATTACCTCCCTTCAGCACCCACCGACCCACTGGCTATTTTCCTGTCATTATTTGATCTGTCAAAAGATGAGTGCATTATTAGATCTATCAAAAAGAGAGAGAGCTTCCAAATCCAGGTAGCTTATTGCTAACACTTGGAGTGAAAGCTGCTTGTGTGTCTTGGATCAGAAAGGAGACTGAAGCTATTGGCTAAAATCAGGCTGGAGGGTTGTTGAAATTTAATTTATCTGAACATCTATCTCCCTGTTCCCCAGGATCATAGGTGTGGGCATCTTGATTGTCCAAAACCAGTTAGTGTATGAATTTTATTTCTATTCCAATACTCCCTGTAGGGAAGAGGAGTTGTTGCTCACAAATATTCTATTGTGGTATGGTTGGCAGATTCTCACAGCCTCTCGCGTTCAGGCAAAAGCCTAAAGCTGCCTGCCACAAGAAAGCTGAGCACAGTCCTACAGCACAGCCCACCACAAAGGCCTTGGACTCCCCTTCCCAATGCCACCTGCTACCTGACATCCAAGGCCAGCACAGTCACACTCAATGCAGGAGTTCTCTATCGCACTTTCTGCTCCCCATCCCACTCCAATGCCGAGGAGATGAGTTAGTCCAACAAGTTTGCCATTAAGTCTCACTTGGTACTCTTCAGTAAATTGTGAAACAGATGATTTGCATAGTTCTTCATTTAATGACTGCAAAGTGGAATGATCACATGCTTTGGAATCGAACACACCTGGGCCGACAGCTAAGCCCTACTATCAGCCATGCTTCCCTGGGCCTACTGCTTAACCTAGGACCCTGTTTTTTTCATTATCCATCCATCCATCCATTCACCCACCCACCCATCCATCCATCCAACAAATACATATTGGATGCCTTCCATGTTCCAGGAGTTTTCACATTTACCTCTCATCTTGGTAATAATCTCTTAGAGAAAGCTCTCCAAACTTGCTCGCTCATGTACCCCAACATGATGTTATTTATAAATTATCTACACCATTGTACCAATGTATACATAAAATATACACAACATACACATTTTAAGAATGAGAAAGGAAGGCTAAGGCAGGAAAATGGCGTGAACCCAGGAGGTGGAGCTTGCAGTGAGCCAAGATCGCGCCACTGCACTCCAGCCTAGGCGACAGAGCGAGACTCCATCTCAAAAAAAAAAAAAAAAGAATGAGAAAGGAAATAAAGATTTTATAGGCAATTATATTTATTAATGATGCTAAAATTCTTTGCACTCACCAAATAATATATATACTGCTTTATATTTTTTTCATTAGACAGATGTCATATAATGATGCTTCATTATTTTTTAAAATATTGGTTTAATATTTGGTAAAAAAAAAAAAAAACTCACACAAAGGTTTAATTCTAATTTCAGTTTAAAACTTGACTTTAATAAATGAATCATAGCTCAAAAGTCACTTAGGTATATGTATTTGTTTCATATGGCTGCTGAAACAAATTATCCCAAACTTGATGGCATTTTTAAAAACCAGAAATTTATTCTCTGATTCAGTTCTGAAGGCCAGAGCCTGAAATTAGTAACATGGGGCTGAAATCAAGGTGACAGCAGGGCCACACTCCCTCCAGAGGTTCTAGGAGAGAACCCATTCCTTCTTCTTCCAGCATCTAGTGGTTGCCAGCATCTCTTGGCTTGTGGTAGACTCACTCCAATTTCTGCCTCCATGGTCACAAATGCCTTTTCCTCTTCTGTCTGTACCAAATTTCCCTCTGCCTCACCATTAGGAGGACCCTGGGATTGTATCTGGGTCCCACCAGAATAATCCAAGATAATCCCCCATCTCAAAATCTTTAACCTAATCACATCTGCAAAGACCCTTTTTCCATATAAGGTAACATTCACAGGCTCCAGGGATTGCGACAACATGCCTTTGGGGGTCCATAATTCAGTACCACAGTACGTATGGAAGAAACCAATCAGTAGATGAGTGTATTAAATCATGATACTCTTTTTCAGCCTCATTAACCAGTCACACTCAGATTATTGTTTAAATTCAATGGGTAAGTTTCCACATTCCTTGATGTCAATTAACCAAAATGTATGGCAATTTTATATTTTTAACAAATAAATTCAAAGCCCACTAAAACTCTTCTTTGGGCAGACTTTTTTAATGGCTAGAAAATTCATTTTCCAAATTTAAAGTAAGCAGAGATAAGTGTTTTTATAGATAACACACCTAGATAGTTTTCAGCATTGAGCTCACATGATGATGAAAACCTTTCCAAACATCTGTTTTCAAAATGTTCTCTCCATAGCAGGATTTTCCGTCAGAAGGCATTATTTTCAAATGTATTTTTGGCCAAACATATCTGTGAGGACTTCTAGTACTGTTAGGCATTAGGGATGAACAAATTCAGAAAGTTTGATTTTTTTTTTTTTTTTTGAGACCAAGTCTCACTCTGTCGCCTAGGCTGGAGTACAATGGTGTGATATTGGCTCATTGCAACCTCTGCCTCTCAGGTTCAAGTGATTCTCCTACCTCCACCTCCCGAGTAGCTGGGACTACAGGCACCCACCACCACACCTGACTATTTTTTGTATTTTTAGTAGAGATGGAGTTTCACTATGTTGGCCAAGCTGGTCTCGAGCTCCTGACCTCAGGTGATCCACCCGCCTCAGCCTCCCAAAGTGCTGGGATTATAGGCATGAGCCACCATGCCCAGCCCAGAAAGTTTGAATTTTTGTAAAAGAAAAACTGAGAACTCATATTTGTAACAACAACAAAAACGCAAATTCTTTCTCATGACATAATTGAGGAACCTCTGTAGAAAGATTTTTCTATTCAATCCCCAACTCATAACCATTATAAAGGTTCTGCTTTTTGAGGGTTTTTAAAAAATAAAATTAAACCTATTACTGACATCTTATAGCCAGAAACTGTAATAAAATTTACAAAATGCTGAAGACAAAAAAAAAAAAAGAGGTGAAGGTGTCACTACGGACCACTGTTGAAGACAAAAAAAAAGAGGTGAAGGTGTCACTATGGACCACTGTTCAGAGTTCCCAGGTGGCCTCTGGAACCACCCCTGCCCATGTGCCACCTGTTTATGTGCTAGACACCTGCACCAAGTGAGGGCACCAGTTCAGTCTGACTATTAAATACTGTTTCAGCTTATTCCCTGCTCATCTGTAGATTATAAAAATTAACACTGTCTTTCAGCACAGCTGTGGTTCTAATGAGATATTCCCTGGGTACAAGTTCCTCACTGTAAGGACTATGGCCTCTGAGGTAAGGGCCAGTGTTCTTACTTTGCTGGTGGGGAAAATGAAGCCGAGAGATGCTAAGGGAGTTGCCTAAAGTAGCACAGAGAGTAGGGGTCGGAGCTGGGGTTGGAATCCAAATCTGATTCCATGTCTAGATCACACTGCACTACTCTGTATCTCCTCCCTCACTAATGGGGTGGGAACAGGGAGGAAGGAAGCCCCGTGGAAGGGTTCACCTGCCAGCTCTGAGGCCAGACTGCCTGGATTTGAACCTTGGTTCCATCATTTCCCAGCTATGTGACTTTATACAAATTATATTCCATAACTTAGTTTTCCCATTTTCAAAAGGGGGATAATAAGAGTATCTACTCCAGAGGGCGACTGTAAGGATGAAGTGTATTAATTTAAATAAAGCACTTAGGATGGCAACCAACATGTGAGCAAAAGCAAGCACTCAGGTGTTAGCCATGCAATGATACCTACTTCAAAAGCCAGTTCTAGAGCGCGAATGAGACACACACACACACGCACACACACACACACACTCTTACATGCACATAATACAGAGAGAGAGAACGAGTTGCCCACGTGTTTCTAGCATATAATTTAATGAAGTTAGCTTTTCTTAAGCTTTTGTTTTTTAATTTCTAATGGATCATGAGTATCCATTAGAGCTGATAAGTCATAGAGCTGATAAGGTCCTTAAAATGGGTAATAAAATCTCTTTCTGATGCCACAAAGGCATACTGCCCTCCACCTGGTCTCCCATAGACATTAGTGACTTAAGAATCAAATGCCAAAATCCTGGGTTATAACACATGCCCTGCTGAAAAATACTTATGTCCGTAATTCTGACCTCAAGAAAAAAAAAAAAAAGAATGCTCCTCTAACAGGAAGGTCTACCCTGGTCTAAAGTGAACATCATTTGGAAAGTACAACCCCTTAGCTGCTAACAACAAGTATTATAAGGTTTTCTGTCTCTGTCTAAAAACCTGGAGCCTATTCACTCTCCCCTAATGTCTGAAGGAGAAACTTGAACTACTTTAAAAAAAAAAAAAGGTAAAATAAACCAGTAGAAATGTCAACCAACAGTGTCTTCTAACTCTACTGAAACAGACAAATTAGAAAGTCAAATCATTCTCTAGACCAAATCACTATATCCCTCACACTCTTAAAGGGGGCCAGGTATATATTATGGGCAAAAAAATCAATAAACATTTTATTTGGTGGAGTTCCTACTGATCTCACCTCCTTGAGGTGACTCTGCTGAACATCTCCTCACTGCCTCATGGCCACCACATGTACCCTGTGTCATACTTGTACAATTCAATGCAAACATTCAGATTCTAGTACTGGAAATAAGAATCAAGTGAATCTGCAGGAAAATGATATTATGATGGCCAAGGAGAGGAGTCTAGAAAAGAGAACATAAGGAACTAAAAATGGACATAGAGTACCTGGACAAACTGAGATCTGCCAACGAAGGACTGAAGTCAGTGGAGGGGCAGTTAGGCCTTGCATCGCCAGCACTCACAGGTTTCATAGCAATACACACAAGGAAGTTGGGGCTTCCAAGATTACACAGGAGAGGCAGAAGGAGGAAATCACATTGAATTCAAGTCAAGGAAACCAGATTGCATCTCCATCATGCTCCTCTCCAATGCTATGAACTTGAGAAGTTATTTCCCCTTTCTGGATCTTTATTTCCTCATCTGTAAAAGTGAGAGGGTTGAACTGACTCATCGTCTTACAGCTTTTCTGCTCAATTATTATACTCAATTATTATACTCTTCAGTCATCACCAATCATGTACCGCTAAAGCTAATAACACTATTTTTATGTTCAGAGAAGGTTTTTAATAAGTATCTTTTGTGAATAACCAATCAATAGTTATTAAAGCTGCTTACCAAATCTTTCCAGTTCTCCCCTTTTTGAATGACAATGTAGAATGGGGTCTTGTGACTAGTTCTGCCCACGAGCTGTGGCACATTTAATTGCCAATGCAAGACCCTTCAGAGCTTTCTTTCCCTTTGGCTCAGTGTCCAGCAATGCCCAAGATGTTGACTGCTCCGCCATCTTTAGCCCCTATGTGACGAAAACAATCAGAGTCCCTCTGCCAATCCACAATGTACACAAAGCATAAGCAAGAAATACATCTGTGCTATTTTATTCCTTTGAGATTTGGGGGTTGTTACTGCAGCATAACTTAGCTGAACCTAACTGATAAACCAATAATGGGCAGTCTGAAATTAAAATTATCATTGTTATTGTTATTATTTACCCTACTATTATACTACCTGTACTAAACACTCTTATCTTTTTGGGTTTTTTTAATTTTTTTAATCTTATCTTTTTGTAACTGTTTTCACTTCTTAAGGTACAGCAGGTACCATATACCCGGAATATACCTGGAGCCAATGACTCACTTTTCAACGTATATGTCCATTATTCCACCAACTTCTCAAGGGTTCTCCTGCAAAAAGTAATGGCCCTTTCCAGTAAGAGTAGAGAAGAGGTATAGTGGGTGGATGAGAACACAGCAAGCATACTTCAGCTGCTTTCAGTTTATAAAGAATAACCTCCTGATGCAGCAGACTCTTAAGAGGAAAAAAAATCAGGCCACAGAAGAATATGACAGAATGTTTTAAACAAGAAACTGCTAGTTATGGGTAATGTAATATTACAGGCTAAGACACAGAGACTTTGCCCACAAAACCAAGTGAAGAAGAGACACACCACCTCCTGCCTGGACTCTGAATGGGAATAGCTAAAGACTTTTCAGGTCAGTTAGCAGGGATTATTAAAGGGAGGGGGAGGGAGATACAGCTATAAGGGATGAGTTTATGAGGCCTTGTCAGAAAGGAAAGAGGAAAAGGAAGAACAAAGGGATACAAGCTTAAAGATACAATTTTTCAAAAAGCTCTGGGGCAACAGAAATGCAGAAGCAAACAAATGCATATGAGATTTAAGAAGCAAAAAAAAAACTAGTTTTTTTTAATCTACAATTTTTAAGACATAAGAGAAAGAAAAGGGTAAAATTAAAGCAATTGTATTTTAATGAACTGATAGATAATTTGCTGTCTGAGGCTTTTGGGGAAATGGTGTTAAGAAATGAACTTTAATAGATGTTATCCTTTAAAAAATGTTATTTTTTTTAAAAAACCAGAATCAAACTCCTGTAGGGTATTTCTTGCTTTAAGGAAAAATTTAAAAAAAGCAAGACACACCACCCACCCCTGTCTTACTGGTTAATCACAGAACTGCTGTTTGACAGAAAAATGGTCAGTGAGACCTCGACTCTCACCTACTCAATAGCCACTCCTCATGTCCCAGATGTACAAGCCTGACTCACAACAGGCAAGTGGTGTGGCAAACTCACACCCAGGATGCAGACACTGTGGCTCCCACTGATGGAAGAATGTGCTGATGAATTAGCAGTCAGACAGTGACTGTCATTGGTAATAACTTCTTATTATGTCAAGGAATTTACATGCAGATCAATGTGAGCAATGTGCACTTGCTCATCCCCACCATAAATCACTATCGATTGGCACACCAATTCCTCGACATAATTAGGAGCTATAGACAGGGTTGCAATATTATCTTAAATACTGTGTCACTACCCTCCATATACAGCCGATATTTCAGAAAACGCCACACTGCTCCTCTTACTACACATGACGCTGCTTCTATTGTTATTTGAGGTGGCAGATGGGGGGAGATAAGTGAATAAAATGTCCCTGTGTGCAAAATCTACCTGAGAGATTCCCCGTACTCTATTAGAGATTAAAAAGTGGGAATTCCTCCATATACATATTGAATTCCTGTGTGCAAATGTGAAAGTTGGCAACATGCTGCTCTTAATCTGATTTATGCACCAATTTATTTTATACATTAGGCACACTGTATGCAGGCTGACTGATGCATAAAAATTTCATGCAAAAAAGGACTCACTCCCATACAACTGCCTTTCAGTTATTATTACCTCTTGTGGTTTGCATCCTACGGTGGGTAGGACAAATGACTCCATATACCAAATGCATTTTGCCCACTATACAAACATTTTGATCTGTTTCTATTTCCCCTCGGCTCCAACTCTAGAGAGCTAAAAATGCTGCATCTCAACTTTCTGAAATCCTTTAATGCTACAAAACACCCACTTATGCAAAGAACTTCTCTCCATGTTCACTGTTTAACTGTGTATTATAAACACACAAACATGCACACTGAGCCAAGCAAACAGAGACAGATATATGCATACCCATGGCATGCCTGCCTATTTCTGGTTAATTTTTTGTTGTCAAACATTTTTTTCCTCTACATATCATAATCACAATGCATTTTGCATTACTTTTCTAATTACCTTCCCAGGAATATGTTCCCCAGAACATTATTAACAGCAAAAATTCAAACAAACAAAAAAGCTTTTGGGGTAGGGTTTTTAGTTAAGGAAAAACCAGCTAGAAAAAGCATCTTTCTGTATTTTCCTTTTATTAGAGGTCTCCTTTCATCCAAGAAATATGGGGCCTGAAATAAATTGTACCATCCTGCTTTTTTTTATTCAAATCCTTGCCAGAGCTAGGCAGTATGCTAATGAAAACAGGTTGATAAATGACTCCCTGATATTTTCCAGACATTTTTCTCTCAGAAGTGCTCTAAACTGATGTAGCTCAAAGAGAATAAGGCGCATTAAGTCATTATATCAATTTTTGTTACCCAGATACTTCAGTCCCAGTTAAGCGCTGACAGCCAATATAAAACAAGGCAAGGGCATCATACGACTCCATCGATCAAATCTTGTCGTAGATAGATTGCCTATTACACAAATAGAACTTGCGGATTCAGTTTGTAGTTTTATGCTCTCCAATTAAAGGATAACAGGGTACTTTCCCATAAATCTGCTAATTGCAACTGAATTAATTTAACAAATTTCTCCAAGCACAGAGGAGAAAGCGATTGGTTAAGCTAATGTAAACTAGCACAGGTTGTCACAAAGAGGCTCCCATAACATCCTTTTGCTATACCTTGATTGGGCAAGGTGTCACAAGTATTTAGCTACATTGTGGTTCTCTGGCAACAGACAGCTGACAAGCATAAAACATTGCACAAATAGGAGATAATTTATTTGTGGTACTTTTTTCTCTCCCTCACTCCCGATTCCCCCCACTCAAAGGATGAAATAACTCCCTCTTTGCATCTAATTAATGTTTCTCTCCAAGCGAAGCTGTTTTTCTAAATCAAAATTACACCAGCCAAGCACTATATTACAGAAAGGGGTCCCTCCACACCACTCAGCCAACAGGACTGATGGGCAAAGACTAGAATGGCTGTTCGCGGCATTTCAGAGGAGGATGTAGCTCTATGCTCCTGAACAGGGCAGGATGAATACAACACAGGCACCCACTCTCACACATTCAAAGACACAGCTAACCATAGCCCAGATGCTAGAATCAAAGCAGATGATCCCAAGCCATAAAATCATGCATCACTTGAGAATTCCTCAACTGTGATGCTCAGCATTATAGAGGCAAGGTTGTGCTGACTGCACACACACGTGGCATTCTGGTGGTACTCCTCTGCCATTCTCCCCTCTCCACCAGGCCTCTCTACTACAGCTAGGGATGCCGGAAACACAGCAACCTCAGACAGTGAAACAAAGGCGACTCATAGGTGAGCAAAAGGGAGGAACACTATTCATACTAGAAACCTATTTTCTGGATTTGGTGGAATAGGCAAGATTCTATCTCTCATCCCATTGTGCCTACATACACATACACACACACACACACACACACACACACACACACACACACACGTATACATATGTATATGTGTATATATGTATACATACGCATATGTGTATACACACATGTATACATATATACATATATGTATACGTGTGTATGTGTATGTGTGTATACACTTGTATATACATATATGTATGTGTGTATATATATATGCATATATGTGTATATGTGTGTGTATATATATGTAGGCACAATGGGATAAGAGATAGAACCTGGCCTATTCCATCAATACATATACATATATATACATATGTATATATGTATGTATATATGTGTGTATATATGTATATACTTGTGTATATATTTATATAAAATATATATATGTATATATATATATATATATATATATATATTTTTTTTTTTTCCCCCCAGAGACAAGGTCTTGCTTTGTTGCCCAGGCTGGAGTACAGTGGCACAATCATATCTCACTTTAGCCTTGAACTCCAGGGCTCAAGCAACCCTCCCACTTCAGCCTCCCAAGTAGCTGGAGCTACAGACACATTCCACCACAAATGGATACTTTTTTTACTTTTGTAGAGATGAGGTCTCACTTTGTTCCCTAAGCCTGTCTTGAACTCCTGGCCTCAAATGGTCTTCCTGCCTTTGGGAGCAAAGCACTGAGATTACAGGCATGAGCCACAGTGCCTGGCCATATTTCGAATGTGAGTCTGCAAAATACAATTGCTGTGGCCATACTTGGCAGGTACCACCTCTGGCTGAAAGGGGATAGACTGTTGTTCCAGAAGGAGCAATGGAGGGAGGATGAGCAGTCTACAACACCGGGTTAAAAAACTTCCTTAGCTCAAATTAGTGGTGGGCCTCTCCAACACCTCTCCTTCCTCTTGTCATTACAGCTGAAAGCTTTCTTGATGAGGAAGCTGACTCCTTTTAATCAGAGAAAAAACTCAGAGCAGACCCTCTTTCCCAAAGCACATTCCTAATAACTCTGTTTATCCATATGAGCTTATGTTGATAGAATGAAATTGGCCACATCACCCCAATTAGACAGTAAACTATGTGAGAATGAGAACCACATGCCTTTTGTGCTGTGGGCACAGAGCAGTGGGAACAAGGTAGGCTGCCTCTATGTGTACAATAAACACAACTTTAAAACCAACTGAGTTATCTGGCCAAGAAGTAATAGGATTCTGCAAAGGGAAAGAGGGAATGGGTTGAGTCTAAGCAAGAAAGTGTAAGCTGCTGATACCTATGCTATATTAGTTAGCCACTCAGTGCCTAACTGGAAAGAAAAGTGGCATGCACACACAAAAAACAGCACAAGACCAGAAAAAGATATATATATATATATACACATATACATACATACATACACACACACACACATATATGTGTATATATATATGTGTGTGTGTGTATATATATCTATGTACATAGATATATAGATCTATATATCTATGTATATAGATATATAGATCTATATATCTATGTATATAGATATATAGATCTATATATCTATGTACATAGATATATAGATCTATATATCTATGGCAGATATATATCTGCCACATCTGCAATATATATATGTGTGTGTGTGTGTGTGTGTGTGTGTGTGTGTGTATATATATATATATATTTTTTTTTTAAGAGACAGGGTCTTGCTCTGTTGCACAATGGCTCAATCATAGGTCACAGCTCACTGCAGCCTCAAACTCCTGGGCTCAAGGGATCCTCCCACCTTAGCCTCCCAAGTAGCTAGGACTGTAGGTGCACACCGCCATGCTCAGCTATTTTTTTATTTTTTTATTTTTTAGAGAGAGAGACAGGTTTTTGCTATAATGCAAGACCAGGCTGGTCTTGAGCTCTTGACCCTAAGCGATCCTCCCTCCTCAGTTTCCCAAAGTGCTGGGACCACAGGCATGAGCCACCATGTTCAGCCAAAAAGATATATTTCTGAGTGAAACATATTTATGTATAAACACTGAAAGTTAGGAGACCTGTGCTGGGCACAGTGGCTCACGCATGTAATCCCCACAACTTGGGAGCTCAGGCAGGAGGATAACTAGAGACTAGGAGTTCAAGACCAGCCTAGGCAACATAGCAAGACCCTGTCTTTAAAAAAAATAACAATAAAAATATAAAATTAGCTTGGCATGGTGGCATGCACCTATAGTCCCAGCTGCCTGGGAGGCTGAGATGGGAGGATTGCTTGAGCCCAAGAGTTTGAGGCTGCAATAAGCCATGATCACGCCACTGCATCCAACCTGGGTAACAGAGCAAGACCCAGACTCTAAAAAAAAATTTAGAAGTCAGGGGACCTGGGTTATAACCCCAACTTTGCCACTGACTAGTTGTGTCACACTGAGATAACATCTCTCTCTCATCCATATAAGGAGGATATAAGTAGATCTCAGAATTAGATCTCATGAAAGCTGGAAGATCATGCCACTGTTTCCCAAACTGTAGTGGCATTTGGAATCAATCTCTAGGGTTTCTCTCAACTTTTTAATAGAATACAGAATAGAACATATCAGTAGCTACAAATATTAAGTATTGTTTTGTGACAGGACACCACTGATCCAGTTATGTAAATATCCATGGGCATGCAGGTTGTAGAGGAAAATACATTCCTTAATGTTATTCACAGTCAAAAAAAAAAATTTACAACCAAAGCCACCAATCTAGTCCAATGTGAAGATTCTGTGGCTCTACCATCACACATGCATGTGGGGAACTGCCTGCAAAGGCTGGGAGAACTGACGGGCTGCAGCCTGGAAAGGACCAGTGCAGGCGCCTTCCCTCCCAGCAGCAATGCCCTGGTCATTTCTGATGAAAATGATAGACTGGAAAACCTCTCGTCTTGGGAGAGATGCCTGTCTATGTGCAGATAATGAATGGACTCATTTCAGAAAGGGCCCCAGCAAAGCCCCTGCCCCCAGCTATTGGTGTGAGTTGCATACTCAGTTCAGAGCAAGAGGACACAGGTCTGCACACACATGCTCCCCACACAGAACCTGAGCACCAGGTGCCTTGGAAATATGCAGAATTCCAGCCAAAGGAGATAACTCACATCCGATGATAGGGAGGGCAAAGGCTGGCTCCCCCAACAATTGTGGGACAAGTATTTCAGGGATCCCCTTACGACTCACATGCATGTAGATTCAATAGCAGGCCCTACTAAGGGCCTAAGAAAGGGCAACCTAGAGAATAATCAGGTCAGCCTCGAAGAACCTACTGGCCACCTCTCAAGAATCCACCTAAAGATGAAACAGAATCCACAAATAACCCTCAAACCCTTTGCTTCAACAGTTATGCAGAGCCTACTGCTCAGCAATTATTTTTACTGTGCCTTGTAATGAGTTAGGATCCGATGTGCCGTTGGAAGGAAATCTAAGAATAAGAAGTGATTTCCTATTATAAACATGTAGGGTTAAGGCTGAGCTTCTGAAGAGAAAAATACTTCTTTAGCTCAAAGATTTTCTATTACAGGCATACCTTGGAGCCATTCCAGGTTTCGTTCCAAACCACCACAGTAAAGCAAATATCATGATAAAGCAAACAATCCAAATTGGGTTTTTTTTTTGTTTCCCCATACATATAAAAGTTATGTTACTGTAAAAAACATAAAAAGTTATTATACTGTAGTCTATTAAGTGTGCAATAACAGTATGTCTAAAAAATGTATATACCCTGATTTAAAATACTTTATTGCTAAAAATGCTAACAATCATCTGAGCCTTCAGCAAGTCATAATCTTTTTGCTGGTGGAGGGTCTTGCCTCAGTGTTGATGGCTGCTGACTGATCAGGATGTTGGCTGCTGAAGGCTGGGGTGGCTGTGGCAATTTCTAACAAAAAGACAACAGTGAAGATTGCCATATCAACTTCCTTTCACGAAAGAGTTCTCTGTAGTGTGTGATGCCGTTTGATAGTATTTCACCCACAGTAGAACCTCCTTCAGAATTGGAGGCAATCCTCCCAAACCCTGCTTCTGCTTTTTCAACTAAGTTTGTTCTAAATCCTTTGTTGTCATTTCAACAATGTTCACAGCATCTTCACCAGGAGTAGATTCCATCTCAAGAAACTACTTTCTTTACTGATTTAGAAGAAGCAACTTCTCTTCCATTCAAGTTTTATCACAAGATTGCAGCAATTCAGTCCCAGCTTCAGGCTCCACTTCCAATTCTAGTTTTCTTGCTATTTCTGCCACATCTGCAATTACCTCCTCCACTGAAGTCTTGAAGCCCTCAAAGTCACCCATGAGGTTTAAAATCCACTTCTTCCCAGTTCCTGCTAATGTTGGTATTTTATGATTCCTCTCATGAATCACAAATGTTCTTCATGGCATCTATAATGGTGAATCCTTTCCAGAAGGTTTTCAATTTACTTTGACAGATCCATCAGAGAAATCACTATCTATGGCAACTAGAGCCTTACAAAATATATTTCTTGAGTAATAAGACTTGAAAGTTGAAAGTTGAAATTACTCTTTGATTTATGGGCTGCAGAATTGTTGTGTTAGCAGGCATGAAAACAACATTGATCTCCTTGTACATCTCCATTGGAACTGTTGGGTGATTATGTGCATTGTCAATAAGCAGTAATATTTTTAAAGAAATCTTTTTTTCTGAGCAGTAGGTCTCAACAGTGGGCTTAAAATATTCAGTAAACCATGTTGTAAACAGATGTGCTCTAATCTACACTTTGTTGTTCCATTCATAGAACACATGCAGAGTATATTTAGCATCGTTCTTAAGGACCCTAAGATTTTGAGAATGGTAAATTGAGTATTGACTTCAAGTTGCCAGCTGCAGTACCCCCTAAAAAGAGAATCAGCCTGTCCTCTGATGCTTTGAAGCCAGGCATTCACTTCTCCTCTCTTGCTATGAAAGTCCTAGATGGCATCTTCTTCCAATAGAAGGCTGTTCCAACTACATTGAAAATATGTTGTTTAGTGTAGCTACCTTCATCAATGATCTTAGCCAGATCTTCTGGATAACTTGCTGCAGCTTCTACATCAGCACTTGCTGCTTCACCTTGCACTTTCATGTTACAGAGATGATGGCTTCTTTCCTTAAACCTCCTGAACAAACCTCTGGTCTCATCTTTTCTTTTGCAGCTTCCTTACCTCTCTCATCATTCATGGACCTGTAGAGATTTAGGGCCTTGCTCTGGATTAGGCTCTAGCTTAAGGGAATGTTGTGGCTGGCTCGATCTTCTACCTAGACCACAAAAACTTTCTTCATATCACCAATAAGGCTGTTTCACTTTTTATCATACATGTATTCACTGGAGTAGCACTTTGAATTTCCTTCAAGAACTCTCCCTTTGCTTTCACAACTTGACTAACCAGTTGGCATGAGAGGCTGACATGTTGGACTGTCTTGGCTTTTGACAACTTCCTCAGCAAGCTTAATCATTTCTATTTTTGATTTAAAGTGAGAGGTATGTGACTTTTTCTTGCATTTGAACACTTAGAGCCAATTGCAGGGTCATTAATTGCCCTAATTTCTATATTGTTTTGTCTCAGAGAATGAGGAGGCCTGAGGAGAGGGACAGGGATGGGAGAATGGGTGGTTGGTGGAGCAGTCAGAGCACACACAGCATTTATTCAGTTCTCTGTCTTATATGGGTAAGGTTCATGGTCAAAACAATTATAATGGGAACATCAAAGTTCATGGATCACAGATCAGCATAATACATATAGTCATAATGAAAAAGTTAGAAATATTTCAAGAGTTACTAACATGGGACACAGAGCCACGAAGCGAGCACATGCTCTTGGAAAATGGCACCAACAGACCTGCTCAATACAGGGTTGCGACAAACCTTCAATTTGTAAGAAATGCACTATATCTGCAAAGTGCAATAAAACAAAGCTCAATAAAACAAGGCATGCCTGTATTTGAATACCTCCTATATGAAAATGGCTGTAGTTCATAGAACATGTGGAGAATATGATATTATGAAAACAAACAACTATAGGGGTACCATTAACGAAGAAAGTAAATATAAGGGTTAGGAACTATGCAGTCAGCCAACCAATATTTAATGAGCACCTGTTATGTGCCAGGCACTACACATTCGAATAAATGGTGAAGAAAGCAGATGCAGTGCCATCTCTCAGGAGTTTACAGTCTGGTTGGGAAGACAGCCATTAAGTCAGTCTTATGAACAAGCAAGCACCATGGAGAAAACACGAGGATAATATGGTGCTCTTTCTTAGTTTGGGGGAAGGCCTTCCTGAGAAAGCCTCACACTTAAGCTGAGACCTAAGGGATAAACAGGAGAAGGCCAGGCAAAGAATGCAGGAAGAAGACTCTGGGTAGATTCCCGGCCTCACCACCCAGCTCTCCTCTGCCTTTCCACTCACATGATCACATCTCTAAATGCTCTCATATGCCCAGCTGGTACAATCACATCACCTGCCCTCCATCCCCAGTGGCCCTCTGTCCTCCCTGACTAAGCCAGCCCCTTTCACACCTCTCTACCCTGTTGTTCCTTCAGCAGAGAATGTTTCTTTGCAGCTTTCCAGCTTGTTCAGGTTCAAATCCCAACTCTCCCACTGCACAGCTATGTGACCTTGAACAAATTCCTTCGTCTCTCCATGCCTCAAAGTCCTTATCTGTAAAACAGAGATGATAAGGGCCCCACCTCATATATCTGGTATAATGATTAAATGAGGTGCATGTAAAGCACTTAGAACTGTAGCTGGCATATAGTCAAGCAATCGATAGATACAAGCTACTATTATGTTGTTGTTTTTGTTTGTTATTGTGATTACTATTGTTTATTTTTACTTTGTTTTCCATATCCCATACTCACATGCAAAAGCCAGCTCAAACTCCTTATCTAACAAAGCTATCTTGACTTCTTCTGAACAATAGATCCACTGCAAATATATTGTACATACTTCTGTCATCGCCTTTATGACATGATGCTGAAATTATTTATGTATCTCTTTGTCCCCTGGACTTCAATCCCCTCAAAATCAGGGGCTATGTCTTCTTTATCTTGCTTCCTCAGTGTCTGGAAGTCGACAAGCTCTCAATGACCACATGAGAAGATAGATGGATGAATAAATGGATATGAATAGGCAGATAGGTGGGGCCACCTGGAAAACTCAGCTTGGCCCTCTCTCTTTCTCTAGAGAGGTATCCCTACATGTACTTGAGCACATGGGTGGATACACTCCCAGCCACATCTTGACTCTGGCCTGGAATGCCACTGCCCATGTTTGTGACCACTGGAAGAATACCTTGTGATGTAAATCTGCCCTTCACAGGCCAGGAGAACTCTCCAAATTCTCAAATCCCCAAGGAGAACAAATGTCTCTCCCTGAGACATTCCTAAACACAGTGAGGCACCTTTTTTTTTTCAAGCCTCTGGCTGAAATGCCTGAAAGTACCTTTCTATTTGTTGGTATCATTATGTATATAGTAAGAATCCCAAAGCAGGGCATGACTGCAGCAGCTTTACATCCAACAAAATCAGTATCTGTATTATCTGAACTCAGAAAGATTATAAAATTAAATTTAAGTGACTCTCTTAACTACCAGAAGGAGAAAAGATCCAATCTGAAAACTGAAAAGGGAAAAAGAAATCATTGCCCCTGTTTGGTAGGCATTTATTATGTAAATAAGCAGAGGGCATGTTAAGAAATACAGATGCCTGGCCACACTTGCAGAGTAATGATGACAAACTGGGAGAAAGTGGAAAATATTTTCTCTTTGGTGGGATGAGAGGCAGCTGCATTCGGCTGCCTCACTGAGCTGGGAGGCCTGAGGCCACTGGTTCAAGCCCTGAAATATGTGTTCCTGGCAAGGGATGGTGGTCCATTAAGCCCCAAACAATTTCTCTTTGGCCCATTCTTCCACTGCAAATCAAGATGGCAGGTTCTGAAGTCCTTGGAAAACACCCCATCTTAAATTAAAGAAGGAGTTATAATGTCACAAGAATATTGAAAGCAAAGTTAGACTTGTCTGAAGTCAAGTTGATGGCAGGCTGGAAGGGAGTCTTCATTAAGCTACTGCCTCCTCAGACTACTTCATAGGCAAGAGGTTGAGTCAGATGGCCACAGCGGACCCAAACTGCTACTTTTTATATTTATTTTTATTTAAGACTTAGGAATATCTGGCTAAGAATTTTCTTACCACTAGTCATTTCCCAGAGTGAACTCTAAAGTTAAAGGCAGGGTCTACTCTGAAATGGCCCCAAAGGTGACATTCATTTTGATGGTGTTATTGGGAAAAGAAGGGGAGTGTGCGTGAAAGATGTAACAACAACGCACAGCAGGTGTCCAGAAGTCTAGGCATGAGAGAAAGCCTCTGACCTAACTCAGCCTACAGGGTCTACTAAGCTTAAAGGTTTCTTAAAGAGACTCCATGGACCCTCATGTGAATCTATTTTACCATTTCTCTCACTGGCTGGTAGATTTTTTGGAGAGAGGAGACATTGATAATGCCTCACACTGCTTTCTAATTTATGTTTTAATTTATCTTTACCCAACAAAATACTTCAGCCAAATTGGAATGGCAAAACATCCACTGATTTCTGGGGCACAGGAAATAACAGAGCTAATCTCCAAAGATCTTCCAAGGGTCCCCTTAAAAACATGTGCATGTCTACCCCAGATAAGAATCAGATCCATAAAAACCTATAAAACTCTGGTGGGGCAGGAGGCAGCATTCCAGAATTGCAATGAACTTCCCACATAGACCTAGTCAGAGGCAGCTCTGTGAGGTGAGGGATGGAGTCCTAAGACTTACTAAGCCCCATGCTCAGCAAAGTGGCTAGCACAGAGTAGGTGTGTAATAATCTTTCAAGAATGAAGGAAGATCTGCTTAAGTCTCTTTGCCAAGCCAAGGCTATCCAGAGCAGATCTCCTCCACATGCACAAGTCCACCATGATAATAAACTCCAGAAAGACATAAGGCTTGCCTTGGCCAGCTTTCAGGTAAGGTAAAGGAAAGGAAATGAACACCACCTAGGAACCTTGCCTGACACCAAATACTGAGTGCAGGATATTTTATTCTCCATTAATTTGAATATACAGTATTTCTCTATGATTACTGTAGCATGCAATGTTCTTATAAGGTTATGAACTGGTTTTGCATCATTCCATTGCTACAATTTAATACTGTACTGAGTGTGATATATCTCAGCCATGATTAATCCTGCCCAGTTCTCCAGCAAGTTTCTATAAAAACCAACTTGAAATACAGGACTCTTAAAGCCCTTGCCAAATCTGCAAGATGTGATATTAACACGGCTCCCAGCCAGGCAAGCGTGTCTAACTGACGCTGAGACGATCTACATGTTTCCCTTTGTGCTCTGTGAGCAGCTATTTATCCTACCATGAGAGCCTAGGAAATTTGGTGAGTGCTGCCTTGGCCTGGTTTACAGCAGCATTATTAATACTGCTCAACAACAAAGTAAAATTACAGATAAAATCTGAATAGGCCCATTATTGTTTTTAGAGGGAGCTAAATAAGCTATATAATTTGTTTGGGCCTGTAGAAAGCTCAGCCCAGCACTCCAGGAGAGGAAATGTACATCGCGGCCAACTAGCTACAGGAGCTCAGCAACGTGTAAATCCCCACCTCGAACATCGTGAATTAAAGCAGATGAAAGTTTTAAAATGTCAGGCAAGTCCCTGGGGATGGATATGCTTTATGTTTTTTATACAGTGAACATTAATTTCAAATGGAAAGGGAAAGCAGCCCTCTATCTCCAGCCATTTGCTCCATTTTTTCTTAAGTTCCATGTGTCCACTTTTAACAGGCCAGTCTCAGGGGGATTGATGCTGCGCTGAGTCAAACAGTCAGGCTCAAGGTAAAAGGAAAGTCCTTGTGAGGAAGAAAATAAAACTTCACCACCCCCTCCAAGAAGCAGCCCCCAGATGGAGCAGTTGACTTGCAACTGGACACATAAGGTTCAAATCTAACCTCTAACACTTTCTAGGCACGTGGTCTTTGGAAAACCTAGCTTTGCTGATGATCGTTAATTTCCTCCTTCACAGAGTTATCAGGTCTATTAAGTAAATAAAATAGTATAAGTACATATACTATATAATACATAATATAGTGTCTACATATATGTATATTATACATGTGCACACACAGATATGTGTATATATTGGTATTGAGTGTGTGTGTGTGTCTGTCTCACACACACACACACCCCCACACACACTCTTCTGGTTGTTGCTTTAACTCCTTAAGAGCTATTCCTCCTATTTAACTTCTCTCATGCATTCCTGCTTTTATTTAACTGTTCTACAAAGAAAACAATATTGCCATTCATTGTTCATTCATTCATTTATTCAGCACATACTGAGGGTCTACTGTGTGCCAGATTCTTTAGAACCCAAGAGAAAACAGGATGCTATCTTCGCTCTCAAAGCGTTCACAGTTAGAGTAGTGGTTTTCTGCTGCGTGGAATGTTTACTCCTAGGTAGAATTCTGAGTTTAATCCTAGGTTTAATTTCAACCTAGGTCTTGCATCTCACCTGGCAGATTCTGAAGTCCTTGGAAAACACCCCATCTCAAATTAAAGAAGGAGTTACAATGTCACAAGAAAGCTGAAAGCAAAGTTAGACCCGCCTAAAGGAAGGTGGTGATAGGCTGGAAGAGAGTCTTCAATAAGCTGCTGCATCTTCAGGTTAGCTCATGGGCAAGAGGCTGAGTCAGATCACAAGTTTAATCCTGGGAAAAATTCAAAAGCGCTTTCTCCCGGTTTAGGTCAAGAAATTGGCTTGATAACATGATGATGATGAGATAAATAACTCAGCACCCTGACCTAAGAGTTACAGGGCCAGAAGGCCCATATTGTTCAGCAAACAGTCACTCGTTTCCCCTCCTACTGTGGGCAGAGTTTACCTCCCTGCTCCACTGATACTGGTCTAGGCCATGAGACTTGCTCAGGACAACGAAATTTCGCTGTGTAATGTGCGCAGAGGCCCTAAGTGTGCTTGTGCTATTTGGCGTGGCTCTGGTACTCCACTGATCCACCATGAGAAGAGCATGCTCCATGCGACCTCTGTCCCTGAAGGGTCAGCCTGTGCCCCAGAACAAACACACATGGTGGACACCTGAAGCCAACACACAGCCTGGCATCAAGGCTGGCTGTCCTGCACCCTGGAGCAGAGCCACCCGGCCTAGATGAGCCAAACCACCGTCAACCTGCAAATGCCTCAGCAAGAGAATAAATGAGGTAGTTTCTTATGTAGCATTATTGTGGAAATAGCTGACCAATATAAGGACTAAGCAGAATCTCAACCAGAAAATGACTTCCTCCTCAAAAGCAATTTGGCACAACTTAACTACTGAAGCATTAAAATGAGATTATGGTACAAAACATGCTCCTCATAGCCAAATCAATCATTCTGTCTTAACTCCTCTCTTCTTGGTTTCAGCTCTCTCTGCATTGAAGGAAATTAACACAAAATAAGTTGATCTTGATGAGTATGACTCAAATCAATAATGTTAATTGGGCTCCTGAGCATAAGGTAAAATGACTTCAAATCAACAAAAGGTTAATATACCTTTCCCTTCATGCAGCACCGCCTATGATAAATCTATAGTGGTCTGAAAGTTCCAATTTCATTAACAACGTATTTAATATGCTAAAAAGACAGGAACTTTCTCCCTACAAAATAATTCTCTCGGTGCCCACCATCACGTTAACTGAAGATTGCAGAAGGACATACAATTATATGACTAAGTTACACCTGAATAAGGGCGCTTGTACTCAATGAAAACTTTTTTTAATAGAGATTGGGTCTCACTATGCTGCCCAGGCTGGTCTCAGACTCCTGGGCTCAAGTGATCCTCCTCCCTTGGCCTCTCAAAGTGCTGGGATTACAGGTGTGGGCCACCGCACCCAGCCAAGACTTCTTTTAAACTTTAATTTTATTATTATCTTCCTGTCCTACCTACTTCCCCTTCCTCGTGGAGGTATATGGAATTACTTGATATTTTCTTTTATAGCCTATTTCATTCTAGGTGGCATTATTATCTAGCAAAGCAAAAAATCATTCATCATTCTTATTGAGCATATACAATATGTAAGAAGGTTTGAGATGTGCTGGAGTAGATAGGAAGAGAAATATATATATATATATGAAAAGTAAAGTAAAACACCACTACAAGGTCCCTGTCCTCAAGAAACTTCCATATAAAATAAGCAATATAAACAAATCATATTTACCAGACAATTGTTGGCCACCTCCCTTTTATCCATCCCCCCTTTCCTTCTTCTTAACATTTTCCTGGTCTTCCCAGATTTGGTTCGTGTACATTCTTCTGTCCCAGAATGGAGTCCAACTGGCTAAATCCTACCAGCATCCTACTGTTACTCCTGGCCACAGTAACTGTTTTGAGGATACGATGTTATTCCATTTAGACTTATCAGGCTAATGAGATTCAAATTTGGGGGATCTTGTTACAGCACTAAAGGAATTGAACTTTGTCTCTCCTGTCAGATTTGAACCAGGACACATCTAATCCTAAGAACTGTTTATAGTCACCTTGCAATGGGGCAAAGCCCCCAAATAAGAGGAACTTCACTGAGGAAGAGTTGCTGAGAAATGGAGAGATACCAACTAAACCTAGTCAGACTGACTGCGTTTCTGGCTCATGCCTTGTTTAAAACCATTGCTACCATGACAGCCATTTTTTCTTTAAGATAATTTAAGGGTTTTTTTTTTATTTCCTGTGACTTACAATTAAAAACATCCAAATAACACAACACGCAACAGAGCTCCAAAGAAGGAGATGTTATTGTGGACTAGGAAATTAAATCTAAGCCACATCAGAAGTAGGATTTGCCCTGGACCTCGAAAAAAATGATACACTTTAAATTAGTGGGGAGAAGGAGACTGGTGACAGAACAGAATGGAATGAAAAAACAAAGCAAACCTACTAACTAGATGATGCCATCAGAATGTTAGTATGTGGTCTTAAGGATGTTTATGACAATGTTATTAGCAATAACAAAATGCCATGCATGTACACCACATGTCACTCTCTTGTTTAATCCTCACAAATACCCCAAGAGAGATGCATGGCCAGCCCCAGAATAATACCGATGGAGAAGGAGATCCAGAGAACCTTCATGACTTTTACAATGTCACCAAGCATTGGTTTAGGCTTACTCAGACCTGGATGAGAATTCCGGATCTGCCACTAATGAGCTCTCTGAATTACCTTTGGCAAGTTACTTCAAACTCTCTAAGCCTCAATTTCTTCAAATTAGGTATAATAATAATGCCTACTCTCTGAGGTCGCAGGAATGAAATAGGATAATGCATAAAAAGTGCTTACCACAATGCCTAGCACAACGTATATGATCCATAAGTATCATTATTTTTGTTGTTTTAGAAAAGAAAAACAAGGTTTAGGACTTAAAGCCACAATAGTGGAGAATCAGGAGCAGTGGGTAGAAATTACACAGTGGGAGCTTTAGGCTCAATATAATAAACAGGTTTCAAATGGTGCTTTCTAAAAACAGAACAGATTGCTTCAGAAGGACTGAACCTCCAACTCTGAAGGTCTTCACTTAGAGGAGGAGGGCTCTGTGTTTAATGATGGTGAGGTAGGGACTGAGCATCAGGAGTGTGATTTAAGGATGTGGCCCCAGGGACTCTTTCGTTGCTGAAACCTACCATGCTATGAAATACCATTGTCCTGCCCGTTTAATTTCCAGTAAAACCCCAGATCCACTCCCCACATCCTTCGAGTCCTTGGTCCTTAACAAGACTGGAAATCACTTGTACATTAAAGAAATGAGAGACAAATTTGACTGGACTCACTATACCCGCACTATCTTCCAATACTACAAAAAGCTAATTTTGACTGTCACTTACTGGAAGTAAAATGACAAATATCTGTAATATCTGTCATGTTATGAATGCTTTACAAAGACTTATGCAGCTGTCAACATTTTGATGACTTTAACAAGAGAAAAGCAAATGAAGAAGAGGAAACAGCATGTCTGTGGAGTGCCCAGTTGCCAAACTTCTCTACTACTTATACTAATAAAAATCGAATTACCTTCATAAAAAATGCAAACAAGGAAGACTTCTGGAGAAAACCAATAAAGGCAAATCTGTTAATAATCCCGCCAGTACTATAAATGAGAGCATCAGGATTAGCTTCAATATCTCAGTAGAAAGTGACTAATTCTATTAAGGGACATGAAGTCTTTATTAAACTTCTCCCCACCATCACAGTATGAGAATGAATGTATAAAATCCCCAGCACAGAATAACCAATCTTTTTATAAGCGGTTCTTGTCTCATAATGGAAGACAATATACTATATAAGTAGGTGACTATGCCTCTCATTTTGACTAGGAGAGTTCTAGTTTGTATCCATTATATTGCCATAATTATTAGTAAAGTATACTAGTTTGGATAATAAATTATGGTGTGTGTATATGTATATGTTTAGCTATATACGTGCAGGTATGTGCATGTATCTGTGGTTCTGTACATCTGTGTACACATATATGTATATGTATGAATATTTCTGTGTGAATGAGTTTGTGTATGTCCTTTTTCTCCCATTTCTAAATAGGTCTTATCAATAACACAGTTTAGCTTTGGGAAACACATGTTACATTTTACAACAAGGATTTCAGTAGCTACATGACACTGAATCTTTACCATCCAATTAAGCCCAAATAAATATGGGAGGTAAAAATATCCTTATGTTTCATTCACATTTTTATTTGACCACCTTAATCGCATATAAACTGAATGCTACCAACAAAATGACTTCTCTGGGAATAGGGATGGGTGGTCCAATTTTTAGTTGAGGAGGAGGATTTAACTCAGTGCATAGTTGGCCTCAATATAAGACTCCAAGCCAAAATCCACACTGTTAATCATCAAGCAGTTTTTGTTTTTTCCGTAATTCTGCTGTTTCTGCAACATCAGAGAAGGACAAAACAGAAAACAAGAAATAAGAACAACCGGTGTGAGACTGGGTTTCCTCAGTGGGCTTGAGTGATCATTTTTTGCATATAAAAAGTCTTCAGTTCCCATATCTGCTCTTTCCACACACATTTTTTTAGGTATCTCCTCGATGCAAAGGGTAGTATGCATTGTAGACTCAGTGAACTGTAGCTTTTTTAAAAAATGAAATAACAGAAAATCCCAGTTATTAAAAATGAATGGTCTTTTTTTTTAAACCTGATTCATCTCTGTGTGTGCCTTTTGACTGGGATATCTGCAGCTACATTTTTTAAAATCCTCACAAAAATTCTCTCCCCAACTTCTTCCAGACTGAGGAAATTAAATCAGATGGGAATTCTGACAGCCAGCCCGTGTAACTCTTCTGGGATATCTCCAAACCAAGAATATCTAAGCCTCTTCTTAGTCTATAAATTAAGTCATTAACAAATATACACAGTTTGGGGAGGAAAGAAATGTTCTGCAACAAATCAAACTCCATGTAGCATAGGGCACTGGCCCTATTCCCATGGAAATAAATACATTCTATGACAAACCAACTTCTTTTCTGCAATGCAGTCCAGAGATAGCACTTTTTTTGGTGTTCCTCATAAATCTGAGAAAATTAAAAGTGAATTTGTCATGATATTTTTATTAGTGGCTTTAATGCCATAAATATTAAAATATTAGTAAGGGTAGACCTGGTGGTACCACTGGAAAAAGAAACTCTCCAGGCTCTCATGGCTTGGGCTTTGTGGAATAATAGACACAAGTGCAGAAGCAAGGTGGGGCCAAAGGTGGCAAATGAGAATGTGAAGAGCCACACCTCCACCACCATGGCTGGAGATACATTGGTCAGGTATCTGCTTATGAAGCCATTATTGAACTGTAAAACTATAATGATGGAAGCATAGAAAATCACTCCTTCAGAGAATTTACCTAAGAGAGGTGTCATTCAAAAGAAACTGGAAAAGAAGCTAGAGTGGGTGGCCAGAGCAAGCAGAAGTGTGGCCATGCACAGCCAAATGCCATCACGAACCAAAGACAGAGGAATTGTTTTGGAGGAAACAGGAATTCCATGGCAACCCCAAAAGAAACGTTGCCTTTGAGATGGGAAGTGATAGTGTTTGTGTTTGCCCATTGCAGGTAGCTGATGTGATGTGGCCTAGTACAAACAGAAACAGTTCAGGGTAAAAAGAAAGTCCTCCAGGAGCTGTATTTTCAGATGCAACCTGGAGATGATGACAATGTCAAAAATGCTAGAATTGTAAAAAATTACGAAGATCATTTCATCCAAACTATCGTTTAGTTTAAGACACACATCCTGCAACATCTCGTTCAGCTTCCAGTCAGACACAGGTTTAGTCCTGACCACAGATTAGGAAGAATGTCCAGAAGTCTAAACAACTCACTTTCTGGAATCAGAGAAGAAAACACCTTCCTCAAGCCAAGTGTTCAGGAGTAAGGCCACACCCAGGAGCCAGGGTAGCTGCTGGGCAGAAGTATAGCTCAGCCTGGAATCAAAGGCAGTAACCTGGGATTCTTTCCCCAGAAAGGGAGCAAGTTCTTAAAATGTTTGAGACCCTCTCCCCACCACACCTGGGAGTGACACCAACCAAAACTCTCCCCTGTCTACAAGATCTTATATCACTGAACACCCAGAAGATCTTAAAACCTTCCATCTCTGTATCACTATCCAATCCAGCAGGGAGACCACAGTTGGCCAGTGTGAACTGCAGGCCATACATTGAGAATTAGAGTTCCAAACTAAAGTGGGCAGAAGAAACACTGGACCTTGCGGAATAGATCAGATTTCAAAAGGCTCTAATCCAAGGAGGCTTATACAAAATGAAGCAGATACGCCTGTCCTACAAAGAGAAACAGATCTAGAACAAGACCAACTGTAAAAATCAACTGGTAAAGATAGTTTTTCAAACAAACAAAAAAAAAAAAGTTGAACAATAGATTTCTGGTGCGACCTTTTCATTTTATAATCAGGTCTACTGCAGCCCAAGAAGAACATATAACTTGTCCAGGGGTACAGGTAGTTAGTGACAGGAATGGCATAAATCCACAAAAAAGACCTAGCTTCGTATAATCACCCCATGCTGCCTCTGGAAATTAAATCTGTAAGACTCTTATCAGCTATTAAGGTTACATATGTATCCTAGTCCACAGGACTGCTTTTCATAGTTTAACATTTTCTTTCAGAGTCAAACTTGTGTCAAGTCTCAGGTCCATCCTGCCCACTTGCTCATGGGAATCTCCATTAGTATAGAATATAACTGATCAAGGTTTCAGCTTCTTCTAGGAAAGGACTTTTGAAGAAAACATACCATAAGATTCTTTTAGATCTGCTAGCAACACCTCACAACAGAGAAGAGCAATTAGTAAATGTACAATTAAGATCCTGCTCACACAATACCACTCCCAGTGTTGAGTATGTATTTGCTGTAAGTAAAATGTTTTGCTTTCCTTTGTATCAGCCATGCCCATAAATAATAGACTGTATTTGAATTCTATAACTCCCTCTGAATTTTACTATACTGAATTCAACAAGAAGAAGACATGATCCCACCAGCATTTTCAAGGATTGAAAACTCTGATCAATACACAGACCTGCAACCCAACCAACATTGATTTATTCTTCACAATTACGTGGAAATGAAAAGGCTGCTGCAAAAGGCTGTCCTTTCCCTTAGAAAAAGAATATGTCACTGTTGTCATTATCAGGTGGTCATCTGATTGAAACCACAACGAAACTTACATATGTCAGACATGGCTCTCAGCTCCTACTGTCCTTCTGCTGTCCCCCAAAACCCCTCCAGCTGATCCCCTACAGAAACTGGATGCCTTAGCATACAGATTCCAACCACTGAGCCCCAGCACCCAACAATTCTGCTACTCTGCAGAATTAATAAAAGCAAAGGCAAGGAGTCAAGGAAATCCTGACTCCCAAAACTCCCTGCTCGCTTATCAGAAAAGTGCCCTCATTTGAGCAGTAACCTCAATACTGCAAGTACTTCTAAGTGAACAGAAAGGGACAATTATCTGAAGCGGTGGCCTCTTTAAGGATCGCATTATTCAAGGCAGAAGGCTCAAACAGTAACATTCAATCACCGGGTGATAACACTTAGTTAGAGAGCGATAATATTCTCTTCTAAGGAAAAAAAAAGAAAAATGGAACTCTAGGTTCTCCATATATTTATATATCTGAAGGAAGCCATAAGAAGAAACCTGGATGAGATATAAGAAATTGGAGCTTTCAAACATGCTCTTTCTACCTTATCACTCTTATCTGTTATATATATATAAATAACAACTGCATTTAAAGATAAGGGAACAGAAAGGTGTTGTGCGGGTTGCCCAGATGTTCCTAAAATCTGCTCCCTGTTAAACTTATCTCCCCAGAACTAAAGACACCTCTAATCTTTTCTAATGGCTTAATCAAATGAAATAAATGTCTTGGTATAATATCTTCTTTAAAACTTATATTACTAGTTGCACACACACGCACAAGCAGAAATTTTTTAAATATCTATCCAAGGAAAAACTAGTCCCAGCATTAAAACATTCCATATATTTTCTCAAAGACAGCAAGCTGGAATACAAGCCAGTTGAGATGTTTAGACAATGTTTCTCCTTGTTTGCTTTATCCCCAGACTTTTCATCATCTTCAAGGAAGGCAACAGTTCCTTTGGTTCATTACTTCAAACATTTGTTACATTCCTACTATGTGTCAGGCAGGATGCTAAGAAAGGAGGAAAAGAGAAAATAAATGGGAACACAATACAAATAGGAAGTCAGAGAATGGTTTGAGAGAGAAAAGATGGGAAGTTATAAAGAAGGGCTATATAAAGGGTGAGAAATGAGAATAAAGCAAGAATATTGACTATCTGTCCAACTGAGGTCTCAGCCCCTAGTCGCATCCCTAGACACAAAAGGTCAGAGTGCAGAGAAAAAATATTCTACACCCAATTTGTTACCCTTTTGTGAGCTGGCTTCACATTTCTGCTCAGCAATTTATCATTCCTGAACACAGAATTGAGAGTCAAAATGTCCTCAGAGAATACATAGGTTTATATCCACGTTTAGCCCAAGACTAGGAGCCACCAGAGGACAGGGTCCAGGTCTCCTGGGAGTCTCAGTACAGATCCAGTCCCATAGAGGCACTGAGCAAGGGCTTCATCATTCCATACTTTGTGTTTATGGAAATATAGCAGTCAAGACACACAGCATCAAATATTATGTATCTGGTTTTTTATCTGAAAAATGAAGGTATTAAACCTTCAGGTGACCTCTAAGGTCTCTTCTGATTTTAGCATTTCAGGAGCGGTATACCATCCAGCTAGACCTATGCAGTTTTTAGATTTCTTCTACTTCGCATTTTAGGTGGATAAGGAGGCTTGGGTGACAGTTCATGCCTCCAAATGATTTTACCTTCAACCCCACAGCCCACTTGAAAGGTTCCATAGAACATACCCTCAAATGAAGCTGATAATCCAGCAAACACACACTCTCTTGTTTTAAAAGAATGTGCTGAGGAAGCACAAGGCCTCTGTCAGGTCCTACACCACATACCAGCAGCAGGAAGCGGAGGATGAAATAAGCTGGGCTGACTCTCTGCATCATTCCTATGATGACATCATTCACTTTCTTAAAAGGAATTATAGTCTTTAGAGATTTAAAAAAAAAAAAAAGGCAAACAGTTTGGATTATCACATCATCAGGCAGCCCGAGAGGAACTAGGAACCATTAAAAGCCAACGGTGGAAGGAAACAATACAAAGGGTTGGGCGCAGTGGTTCAAGCCTGTAACCCCAGCACTTTGAGAGATTGAGGTGGGCAGATCACTTGAGGTCATGAGTTCGAGACCAGCCTGGCCAACATGATGAAACCCCGTCTCTACTGAAAACGTAAAAATTAGCTGTGGCACCTGCCTGTAGTCCCAGCTAGTTGGGAGACGGAGGTGGGAAAATCGCTCGAACCAGGGAGGCAGAGGTGGCAGTGAGCTGAGATGGAGCTCCAGCCTGGGCAGCAGAGTGAGACGCTGTCTAAAAAAAAAAAAAAAAGCAGGGAAGGGAAGGGAAGGGAAGGGGAGGGGAGGGGAGGGGAGGGGAGGGGAGGGGAGGGGAGGAAAAGAAAAGAAAAATACAAGGAAGTGTCTTAGCAAACAGAGGAACAGGAGGTCCCAATATCAGGAGCTAAGGTTTCTACAGAAAGGGAATGTATCTTGAACGAGAAAACCAGTGCCTTCAAAGCAGCCTTGCAGACACACACACAGAGAAAATAATATTTGAGTCATTATTGTCACTTCCCTACAAAATCTGAAAGGGGCCTATCCTTTGCCAACATGCTTCCCTTTTTCCCCTTTTCCGGGCTTGTCTGGGTAGACCACGGAGCTCTCACAAGGCCACTCATCTCAGAGCCAAAACATTCTTCCTGGATGGCCACATATGAAAATAAAATAACCTATTATAAGATTACACTAACAAAGTTAGAACCCACTCATTTGGAATTTATTTCTTAGACATGTGATAACTTTCAAGTTTCTTCTAGGTTTTGTCCCAAAGTGGCTTGAAGGAAATGGAGCTACTGCAAGTAAAATAAGGGGTCTGTGCCCCAAACCCATAAAGAAATAGAGTAAGTTAGAAAGGTCTTTCTCATTAAAAACAAAAACTTAACTAGAGAACGAGTCAAAGGATAGCTATTGGGTGGAGAGAAAATCCTGTTTAAAAAACCATTTACCTTTTAAACTTTTATCATCTCTTTATTGCACAAGCAATACATGTGAAACGGTGTCCTCTTGAAAGAAGAGTGGGATAGGAATCGTCAAGGGAAGATGCACACGGGCTTAGGGGTTTTTTTAATTATTATTATACTTTAAGTTCTGGGATACATATGCAGAACGTGCAGGTTTGTTACATAGGTATACACGTGCCATGGTGGTTTGCTGCACCTATCAACCCATCATCTACATTAGGTATTTCTGTTAATGCTATCCCTCCCTGAGCTCCCCCACCCCACGACAGGCCCTGGTGTGTGATGTTGCCCTCCCTGTGCCCATATGTTCTCATTGTGCAACTCCCACTTATGAGTGAGAACATGTGGTGTTTGGTTTTCTGTTCCTGTGTTAGTTTGCTGAGAATGATGGTTTCCAGCTTCACCCATGTCCCTGCAAAGGACATGGACTGATTCTTTTTTATGGCTGCATAGGTGTGTTTCTTAAAGAAAAGCTCAAGGAGATCTACGGTGTCAAAGAAATCTTGGTAAGAGGAGCTGTGACAGGAATCCCTGGAGATATCTGGGGTTATGACCAAGAGTCTTGGAATACTCAAACCCTATCCTTATACCAGGCAGCAGTACAGTCCTGAAAACTAAGGGCCAAAATATCCCTAGTAGTGAAGCTAGGTGATGGGCACATGGGCTTGTTTTGTACAATTTTCTCAATATTGCACATTCAAAGATTCCCATAATAAATTTAGACTTAAAACTCTTGAAATGCTGAAAGGCAATTTATTTCTCACTGCTTTATTTGAGAATGCATTCCCAGCATCCTCTGATCTAGAAACTCTATAAAACCTCATCACCCCCAGGCACAATCATGGCCACAATGAGAGGACCAGGGGCAGACAACTTTCCCAAGAGGGACCACAGAGATTTGCTCCCCTCGGTATTTTGAATCAAATTCTAGCTCCAGGTAGTCTCTAGGGAAGAAGAGAGATCGTGCAGACTGGGAACTTGCTGGTCAGAAGGGAAGCAAGGGACTGGCAGAGGAGCAAAAGAAGCAGAGGCATGAGTCCGCAGAGTCCCCTGAGGTAAGGGAGCGGGCACTCCACCCCTCAGAAGGCCCAGCCACACCTCCCACCTCAGGACCTAGGAGATGCCCCTTTACCCATTCCTGTCTGCTCCCTCTCCTCTCTTGCTTAACCTGAATTAAAACTTTTCATAAACAATACAAGCCCAGGCTAAGACAAACGGGAAGGAGAGAGAAAGAACCTAATGGTCAACGCACACCAAGCTGGAGACATCAGCACCTAAAGGAAGAAATGCCTTTCCTCCCTCCCAGAGGCCTCCTTGGAGCCAGGATGGGAAGGAGGACTGGGAAAAGCCAGCTCCTCACCATCTACATGCATTCTCATCTAGCGAGCCTGCTTCACTTTTCTTCATGCCTCACAATTTCTCTGCAGAACCTAGAAAGGAAGTTTATGCAGAAAATGAAAAAGAAAAAGCTAGCCATGTTTTTCTATTTACTTTTAGAGTATTTAAAAAAAATGCTCTGGTTAGAGGGAGGGTGGTGGCAGAAGATCTTAAAGCTTTCTTCCCTTTGTGCCGTTCTGCATCCTCTGACTTCTACAAAAAGAGATCTCGCACATTTCAAAGTCACTTTAGAGCTTACAAAGTAAACATACATTGCAAGTTATTCATTTTTGCTAATGAAGGAGATTTCGTTTTCCTTCCCAAAGGTCACTTACACTGTTAATATTCTGAGAACAAGTAGCCAGTGACAAAGTAGGAACATTACTGACAAGGCTTTATAAAGACGCAAATGTCTTCTTCTATCACACCAACTCTATTTAACATCAAACAATGTTTCATTAGCTAACAAGACATTTGCTTTCAATGAATGGAAACTATAATAAAGAGTTGCTATATTTTTAAAAATAATGAATGTAATTTTGGCTCTATTTTATGTTGCTATAAAAAAGGGCCTTAAGTGTACTTCTCATCTGCTCCTTTTCTTTAACTACCATAATTTATGCAGATAAATGTTGAATGGATTGCATCAAGAACAGTCTTTGGATTGCTAACCATAAAAGTACTTAGCTATCATTTTCTTTTTCTCCTATTTATATGTCTTTATATTACAAAAATCAAGTTACCAACATTAAAAATGATATAGTGTCACCAAAAAGTACTGAGGCGTAACACCAAATAATAAATTATTAGTCTTTGAAGGTTAAAGCCAAGTTTAAGAGATAGCAATGCTTTTGTTACACTGGACTTCCTTCAAACTGCAGTTGACTGAGGGAAGCTTACAAGTGACAAAAATTGACAGTCTGCTAACATTATCAGCTGCAAATTTACTGTAAAAGTCTAAAGTACTGTCAAGGGCAGATCAATGTTTGTGATAATTCACAAAATAATTTGGCTTTACATAACAGGCATAGCAGTATGTGACTTAGAAATGCAACCCTTGGTGTCTAAATGCAGACCTGGGGAGGCCATGTATGGTTTTTTCAGCCTTTCTAGAACCTCAGCCTACAACAGGCTCAGGTTAAAGGATTAAAACAGGCTTCATCAAGGGGACTCTCACAATCCCATTCCTTTACCCACTTCCCCCAGAGAACCTCATAGGGAAAAAATGGTCTATCCTTTGAGAAAATACTGCTCTGTCCCTTATCATGCCCAAGCACAGACCCTGATGCCAATAGTGTGCCACAGTTAAAGCAAACTCATACCCTCAGGAACGAGGGTGACACCAATTCATAGATGGAAAACAGAAGATACCTTTGTGGGACTTTGTGGGGATCCCAAATACAACATAAGGGGCTAAATATGGTAGAGAGGAAAATGCTGGTAGCTGACAACTTGCCATGTATCAGCATCTTAAACCAAAATGAAAGCCCTTCAGAGTCAAGACATTGCTTAAGTGCTCATTTGCCTTGAGAGACATTTACAAACTTGAGCCACAGCTTAGTCCCCACTATATGATAGAAAAGAAGGAATCTACCAGACTCTAACCTCATGAGGGCAGGGAGCAGTGTCCAGCACACAGTAGATACATTAGGCATATTTGCTGAAGAAATTAGCAAAGCAGCAATTTCCAATTAATTTATTCTCTGGAGTCCCCACATTCCTCAGCATCACAAACTTAACACAAGAACGCTCTAAGAAAGTTGAGGTAACCTGTTTTATTAACTGTGTGTTGCTAGATTTCTAGTTAAAAGTCATATTTAAATTTAAGTGAAGTTTAGCACTAAAGTTCCTACTCCCTTCAGAATTAATTCATTCAAAAAAATTTTTCTTATTAAGCCCCAACTCTATGTGAGACAGTGCTCTGGGGGCTTGTGATATATCCATGAAAGGAGAAAACAAAGCCGACAAAAAAGCCTTGTCTTCATGGCATTACACTTGGAGACAAAACCGAGAGTGGTTGTATAAATCACCGACCCAACCAACAAATGTTTCCTGACAGCTGGTGCAAAATGGCAGACATGGGCACTTGTCCATACTTCCCACATCTGTTCTCATGGCAGGCCTTGAGCATCAATTAAGATACACCTTCATGGAGGCAGGCCTGAGCATCCTCAACACAGCATCCCAGGTAGCCACTTCCAATGGGCCACAGAGGAAATGTGTACTATGGGAATCACAAAAACCTTAAGCCACAGATGCAGCCCACAGTAAGCCTCCAGTCTGAGAAGAAAAGAGCCTTACGTGGTCAACAGAACACCAAACTCCTGATGCAAAGCGATGGGAGGGCAAGAGATCCAGGCAGGTATGGTACAGGTCACAAGGATTATTGGCAGAAGTAGATTTGCTAAGAAGCTATTGAAACCTTGGCTTCAGGGCCCTCTTTGCACCACTTGCTTATAGGGCCATGGAAGAGGCCCCAGAAATTTTGTGTATCGGATTTTGATTTTGGAATTAACCAAAGGAATGGAAGAAATAGGTGTTAGTGTGAGTGGTTGCTGTTGATAGTAGTGTAATTTTTAAGGACTGAGGATGGACTTTCTTCCAAATTGTTGATTCAAAAGCTTCTAATCCAGGCTAGCATTAACGGCAGAAGTCCAGAAAAACTCTGCTTTAAAGAATGAACAGAAAGACATGCTAATTAATACGTTTTTTTCATCTGTAATTAAAATAAGGAGTTCAGACCAGATCATATTTATGGTTCCTTCTAGCTTTCTATGATCCATAAGATCCACTGTATTTATGGTTCCATCCAGCTGATTCTAGAAATAGAGGAACAGGGCCCAAAGCCCAAAGTAGAAGAAGTGAACATCCTACCCAACAGTGACAAAGCCTGGCAACAGTAGACCTTCAACTTAAAACTAGCCTGGGTGCAGTGGCTGATGCCTGTAATCCCAGCACTTTGGGAGGCCAAGGTAGGAGGATTCTTTTGAGGCCAGGAGTTTGAGACCAACCTGGGCAACATAGCAAAACCCTGTCTCTAAAAATAATTTTTAAAAATGTATCAGTGTTGTGGCACAGGCCTATAGTCCCAGCTACTCAGGATGCTGAGGCAGGAGAATCACTGGGGAGGTTAAGACTGCAGTGAGTCATGATCGTGCCACTGCACTCCAGCCTAGGTAACAAAGTGAGGCCTGTCCCAAAAATTAATTTAATTTAATTTAATTTAAACTAAGTCCCACCCAGTAAAAGAATCCATTTTAACCTATGTTCATAAAATTTTATTCTTACTTGGGGGGGGGGGTTATAAAATCATTAGAAAAGGACAAATACCGCCAAATATAGGAGTGAAGAAAGTAGAGAAATAATATATATTTCATTATTCCAATATGTTTATTTCTAATGAAAGTTGTATTTCAATATTATAGCACACAGTTTCAAAAAGAAAACATTCACCTTTAGATTCTATGACTCTTGGAAAATAAAGCATTACAAATATCCACACCCATACACGCCACCCTCTTCCTTTTCATCCTAGCTGCCTTTCAGGAAAAGAGCCAGGTAACTGCAGTTAACTTGTATAACTGATTGATTACACCATTATTTATTTCTCAAACCTGGGTCCATGGGAACCTGCAGATAGGTGAATTTTATAATTTTAAGCTTAGGTCCTAATTATGAATTTTAAAAATAATTAAGTAGTACTGGACCCATCTGGCTAAAAAAGCACCTTATCACTACTATGCAGTACTGGTGCCTGTTTTGGTACTTGTCTTATTCTTAATATGATGGTCAGCATGTTGGACTAATTAATCTCAAAAAAAAACCAACCATCTACCTAAACAATGAACTCTTATTAAATGGTCCTTATACTTATAAATTCTCTCTTGCCCCCAAAATTCAAAATTAAAATATAATTTCATTTGAATTAGCTTTTGTTTTTTTCAAACTATTTAGTTCATAGTTAGTGACTTGACACTAAGAAAGCAATAGTACAAGGAGTAATGTATCACAAGCGCATAATTTCTTGTCTGAAATCCTGTGGTCATATAAACATACTGCAATTCAGATATTTTTTCAGATCTTAGAAAGGTAATATAGTTTATATACTGTATAACTATATACAAAATTCAAAATTAAAATATAATTTCATTTGAATTAGCTTTTGTTTTTTTCAAACTATTTAGTTCACAGTTAGTGACTTGACACTAAGAAAACAATAGTACAAGGAGTAATGTATCACAAGCACATAATTTCTTGTCTGAATTCCTGTGGTCATATAAACATACTGCAATTCAGATATTTTTTCAGATCTTAGAAAGGTAATATAGTTTATATACTGTATAACTATACAGTATATGAGCTAACATCCCTAGCAGGTATTCATATTTCTAGAGTGAAAGATAAGAATTTTCATGCTGTTAAAGGGTCAAATTTTTTTAAATCAGGTAAAATCATAATTCTTACATAAATGTAAAATGAATACATGAAAAGATTTTACTGAATCTTTTAATTAATGAGAGAGTAAGACATTGTATCAGTTCAAAGAAGAATTCAAAGTAACACACATATACAGGCCATCTGGAATACTGAAGTGAATTTACAAATGGATATAAAGCTGGTATCCACAGGACAAGAAACAATTGCATAATACAGGGCACACAATTCATTTGCATTTCTAGAGGCAAAAATTTTTTTGCATTATTATCAGTTTCCTACAACTTACAGACTTGTAAAATAACTCAAAGACAATGTAAGGCATAGATAAGCTAGAAGGATGCACTAGACAAGACATCCAGGAATCTTTTCCACCAATTTCAAATTCTTTCACAATTTTTCCTGACATTACTAAGTGGGATGAATGAAGATTATAATTTCACATCACTTCAGGTCAGACTTTGTTCTAAACTAATATAGAGAAAATTCATTTTAAAGTTTTGTTTTCAGAACTTTGGGATTTTGGTCAATTTCTCATGAAGATGCTGAAAGCATTTTTTTTATTATACTTTAAGTTCTAGGGTACATGTGCACATGTTCTTATCATTTTAACCACCATATCTTACAATGGTTCTAATATTTAAAAATCAATTGATATTTGGAGGCAAACAATAATGAATGAGGACATTATCTCCCACCAATATAATGTCATGTCAGAGTAAAAAGAATAAAGGTGTGTTGTATCAGCCCACCAGGCTTCAGCCCCACCTGTCAAGTTACTCAGTGGGGGAAATCGCCTGTCTGCTCTAGGCTTCAGTTTCCTCATCTGTAAAGAGATCTGAAAAGTCACTTCAAATTCTAAAAGGCCAGAATTCTACCGCTGACAACAGAAAGCTAAGGGACGATGATGTGGCATGTGAAGAAACTATTTCATCAGGTGCCAGATAAAAATCTGCAGGCTCCTCCCCTCTGTCAAACTCCAGTGCAAAAATTATTTCTTCTATGGAGGCTTCTTTAATAAATCCAGACCAAAGTTCAAATCCCAGCTCCAGTAAGTAGTAGTTGGATGGGCCAGGGAAAGTCACTGAACCTCTTCTGAGTCTCAATTTCCACATCTGGAGATTGAAAATAGTATCTAAATCCCCAACAGGTGCTGGGTCTGTCTGGCTTCTCCATTTCCTTACTTTCTCTTCTAGTGGTTCCTTTATCACATCTCTCCTCAAAAATTCTATATGCAGTGGACACTCTAAGCATTTATGGTTGAATTACTTTTTCCAGATATTCAGGTAGATTTCAATGTGTACATCCTGTTTCTTCACAATCAGATACCATGCCTTCAATCTTTTTCATCCTGCCACAGTGTTTCAGGCATTTTTGCCTTTAATCATTGTATTCCTTCACCCTGAACAAACTTCCTTCTCCCATCTTTTCCAACTCTTCCTCCAAACTCCAGCTTAGGAATCACCTTTTCATGTAGACTTCCCTGATGCCCTCCAGCTGGGTTAGTGCCCTTAGCAGGAGCTCCTAGAGACTCCTAAACCCCTTCCCTCCTGACTCCTCTTCCTCCATCATAGAACACAGTATAATATGGGCTCAGGATCACTGTGTGCTCTTTTAGAACATGAGTTAATCCAGGCAAAGTCAGACTATCACCCAACTTTGTATCCCTGGCACCAAGCCCATTGCCTGGCATACAGTTGGTAGTCAATATAAATTCTTGCAGAACTGAATTCATTTCCTCTCTACTACCTAATACAGGGATTGTGAATAGATAAATGATGCCACTGCCTGACTCTGCAAGGAAGGAAATGGAGAGATTTCTGTCACTTGGGTTTGTCATTGTATGAAAGGTAAGTGGCACACAGTTTTGGATTCCAGGGAGAGACAGGCAGGACTGGTTGAGAAAGAGGAGCCAGTCAGCCCAGAGACAGAACACATGAGTCAGCGATCTAGACCAAGGATAAAAACAGCTACATTTTCTAGAGTGGAGGCTGGACCAATTCCCAGAGGTTAGAACAGTACTGGCCAAAGTAAACTTTACGGACTATTCGATATCCACAGGAGGGTCCCTGATAGAGTTCCTGAGAAGAGACAGATAGGAAAGACTGTATACCCTACTCTCCTCTTAAAGACACACATGGGCCCCTGAGTATATTCTAAGGAGCCCTATAGTCAAGACAAGTGTTGAATTTTGTTTGACGTGGGGCTCCCCAGCAGTCCTCGCCATGGAACCCATCCATTTTAGGATTCCTATAACACCATGCTGTTGGGAATAGGGGTCTAAACTAAGCCCAGAGTTAGATCTACATAGGGAATACACACATTAGGAAGCTCAGGCAAGTGCTAGATGGCAGACCAAGTAACAGAAAAGAACCAGGACAAAAAGCCCAAAGACTGGACAATGAAGGCCAAGTCAGAACCAGAGAGGGTGAGCTGGTGCTACAGATAACCCTTCTCTGTAGACTGTGGGTATCTGAAAGGCAGACACCCTGCTCAGGTCATCCCTTTATCTCCAGGGCTTCAACATAACAGTCTGAACTGAGAGAGTTCTGGAGATCTGCAGAAGCTGGAGAATGAAATGGACCAAGATAAGAACACACTCGAGGCCTTATATTGGGGTTCTCAACCCTGGATGAACATTAGAATGACTTGGGAAGCTTTAGAAACTACAGATTTCCCAGGCTCCCACCTCAGACTGGTTAAATTAGACATTGGTAATCAGAGAATCCTTTGCTAGACAGAGGACTTCCATATACTTCCTATAGGAAAGTCTCACAGGCCAGTCTTCCACCATAGCAAATATGGAATCCACTAACAGAAGTACAGCCTTGGCCCATTAAGGGCGGGGAGGAGGAGAAGCTGCTGGCAGACATAGGGGTCTTCAGCCCCATCCCAATCCCTGCCCTAAGAGTCCTCTACAAAAAATGCCACAGATTCTCCCAGAAAATGCCACTCTACTCTAGACTTTCCCTAAAAATAGCTTGGCTTCCTTGGAGGGGTCAGATCCATGGCCTTCAGAGAGAAAAGCATAAACACAACTCTTGCCAGACCAGGCTCTCAACACTTAAATCAGCCTGCTCTGAAGTCCAGACAAAGTTCCAAGAACAAGAAGAGTCTTCTATAAAGAGTTTAACAGCAGACCATGGTTACGCAAGGCACCCAGTTCCAGCTCTCAAATGCTTCATGTCCAGAAGTTCAAATTAATTACTCCTTTACCAAACGAAAAGTGAGTTATGTCTTTCTGTCACTGCAGCCAGGATATTCTCCAGGCTGCCAAAAACATGTGCATACCCAAATACCAAAACTATGTAGGAAGGCTACAGAACGTCCTCACCAAAGACAAGACAGAATTTTCACTTCATAAATCAACAAGAGACTCCAAAAAGGCAGCCAGTTGAAAAGACAAGCTACACTGATGAAATATTTTCTTAATTCACCTCATTCAGGGTAATTGCGCTTTTTTAACTTCATGAACAAGTAATTTTTAATGTAAATAACAAAGCCGGAAAACCACATATTCTTTTTGCATGTGGGATGATAAAGTTTTTATCTAAATTAATTAGGTGACTTTTCACTAGTAAAGATTTGTTGCTTTTACTTCAGACTTTGTTTTCAATAAAATTCCTTCCCACCCAGACCCTCACCCCACTGTTTAGATGAAATGGAAGGCAGTGGAGGTTAGTTCTAATGTGTTTCCGTGTCGCTTTCCGAAGGATTACCAATAACGAAACCTGTAGTAGCATCCGTCTATGATCTACTCAGCTTCCCTTAGATGGGATAGAATGCAAACCCCAAGCCTATTTAGATGTGTTTCAGATTTATTTCATCTCTACTTCATCAGAGCTGGAAGTGTCAACCAAAATTCTACTGTGTGTATTACCACCATACAACTTTACACTTTGCAGTTTGCACTTTGAAATGTAAAATGAATGACAATGAATGGAAAACTCAAGCAATTTTGGCAGAAAAAAAAAAAGCAGCTAAATTCCTCCCCTTTAAAAGTAGAACATTCAATTTGGCCAAAAGAAAAGGTCCTCAGTTTACATTTTTCCTTCTGTTTCTTATCTCCAGGTTTCCTATCCTACTTAGGAGGCTGAAAGTACAGGGTAGGGGGAAACAAAATTACTTTCACAGGCTGTAATTTGTCTGGTATACTGGAACTGAGAAACAGCCTTATGAAACCCAAGCCTCAATCCATTTTATTATTATCATTATTATTATTTTAGTTTTGAGCACTCCATTTTTTTGGAGTAGAATTTTTTCAGCTGTTTTAAGCAACTTTTTACAAAGTTCAATGAAAGGGGTCTTTAAAGTCTCAATTTCACTCTTCCCTCCATAGGAAAGGCCAATCTGTACATCATGTGTGTTTCTTTTGCCTGGATAAGGGTGCCACACTTGTTCATGTGTATATATCACCTGCCTGAAAATTACCTTCCAAATTACCAAAATATTGCTCATCTAGCCAAAGAAAAAAATATATATATCTCACATTCATAGAGGTGACACTCTCTTATCACATCTCCAGGCTTGGAGGGAGGACCTTGGTTCTCATCAACCAACTAGCTCCTTGCTACTCAAAGTACGGTCCCTGGACCAGCAGCATTGGCATTGCTTGGTAGCTTTTTAGAGATGTAGATTCTCAAGTCCCAGCCAGACCTCCTGAATCAGAAATCTACATTTTAGCAGGATCCCCACCAGATAAACGTGCATGGCAAATCGTGAGAAGAACTGGTCTGGTACAAACTCCCACTCACGGCAAGAAATAGTATCTTCTCTGAGAAGTTCCCTCAGCCTCTGTTGGGATCCTTCGAGAGTCGAGGCGTGCAGGTCTGTAAAACCCTAGCAGAGGCCTTTCTGGGTTTCAGCAGAGTAAAGCAGTCATTCCTCAAACCAGGCAGCAACTGGAGGAAGCACGGAGGGGCGGTGGCAGGAAGGGCCTCCCCCAGCCCGTGTGCCTCAACACAGCAGAGTCATTAATTAAGATCCGCCTGGCTGCTGGCAAAGCAGTCACTCTGGCATTCCCTGTCTGCCTGGGACTGGCGTGAGGTGTGAGAATCTGGGTAGCCTTCTCTGTGGCTCTGTCCCGCTGGCGTTGATTGTGTATGATTAATGATTTAAAGGAATAAAAAGAGAAAGGTCAACTTCTGAGTTCAAGACAGAGCAGCTACATAGGGAGTAATTAAGATACTTGTGTAAGCATGATTAATAAGCACAAACTGGCACTCTGGGCAGTAAACAAGATGCAAGCAGATGGTTAGCATGGAAAAGGGTTTTTTTCTTTCCTAAAAGCAATTTTTCAGCAGCTTGAAACTTGGCTTGTGAATTCTTTTCCTCCCCCAAGTCTCAAAAAACTCATTATCTCCACAACCTTAAAAAAAAAAAACATGGTGAACACCTTCAATGCTCATTCATTCTCTGTTTTTGAAAAACCTTATTATTTTATTTTATTTTTACAGATAACTAGAGTTTGCTTGTAAAGTGGCTGCAACTCATCTTTGTTTCTCGCTGCCTTTCATGTCAGGCGTCCCATGAATTGGTGAGTCTGACAAGGTGGTTCACTGCGGAGCCTTTTAACTCCCACCCAGCACTTCTCCCCCCGTCCTGTGATGGGCAGAACAGAGGCATCAATGGTGGCATTTCTGGAGAGTGCTGGCAGGCAGGTGTCAGAGCCGTCCGGCAGGCGCCCCTCACAAACACTAATCAGCCCTGGTGTTCTTTTACAATCCATATCTAATTCGCAAGTTTCATTCTTTCTGAAAAACAATTACTAGGTTTTGAAGTTCATTGTGCATTTACTCAACTGTCTCTTCACATTAACGTAAAGTGGGAACAAGAAAAAATAGAGTCAGCAGGGAAGGGACATCAAAAGATGTTAAGAGTAGATGAAGGCTTTATTTTAAGAGTAATATAATTACAGATGTGTGCAATATTTTACAATAAATGGAACACAAAAGGTGTATCCTGTACCTTCAAGATAGTGTGTGTGTGCCTGTGTGTGTGTAAAGAGAGAGAGAGAGGGAGAAAGACAGAGACACCCAGACACACACATTCCTATGGGGATGGGGAGAGAAAGAGGGAGAAAGAGAAAGTCGCCTATGACTTAGGAAAACAAAAAGTTCCTCCTAGGATCAAGAGTAAGGTATATGCATCTCACTTAGTGAAGAGCAAAAAAATCATAGGGCAATGATGGAGGAGGAAGCCTTGGTTTTCTCCCTCTTTGTTGAAAAGAGAAAGAAGAAAAAAGGAGATGGAGAAAAAGAAAGAAAGGAAGTGACAGATTAAAGAGAAGGAGGGGGAGACACTTAAGATCTACTCTCTTAGCAAATCTCAAGTGTACAATACAGTGTTATAACTATGGTCACCATGCTGTATATTAGATCCTCAGAACTTACTCATCTTATAACTGAAAGTTTGTATCCTTTGACCAACAGTTGCCCATTTCCCCCACCTCCCAGTCCCTGGTGACCACATTTCTATTCCCTGCTTCTGGGAGTTTGACTCTTTTAGATTACACATATAAGTGAGATAATACAGTCTTTCAGTGTCTGGCTTGTTTTACTTGGTATAATGTCCTCCAGGTTCATCTGTGTTGTCGCAAATGGCAGAATCTCCAATCATTTCACAATGTATATGTATATCAAATCATCATGTTGTGTGTCTTGAATATACACAGTTTTTATTTGCCAATTCCACCTCAAATAAAGCTGGGGAAGAAAGAAAAAAAAAGAGAGGAAAGGGAGGGAGGCAGGAAGACAGAGAGAAGGGGAGAAAACAAAGGGAAGGGAAGAAAGCTGGGTTTTAAGCAAAAACTGGAAAGACACTTGCCAACCTTGATGAAGAAAGTAACGTAAACTGAGAGTGCCTCTCCTGAATTTCGGTTCTTGAACTCCCTAAGAGGCACCATGAGTTGACACACCTGGATGACTCTTGCCCTTGAGCAGGGGCAGACGTGCACTTTGTGTCGGCAATGTGCCATGCGTCTCCCCAGGCTGGCCTCAGCAAAGAGCCAGGTCTGTGTTTGCCCTTCTCAGCTGGTCCCAGGGGCCATCTACCTCATCTCCTGCCGGTGGGGCCAGGCCCATCAAGCTTCTCCAGCCACCTTACAGAATTTGGAGCCCAAATGATTGGGCTCCAAACCTGAGCCCACAGCACTCAGCTTGAATGCCCCAGGACTGGGAAGGACAGGGGCAGTGGCCCCTGCACTTAGGTAGGCACATGGCCTTAAAAACAGGTGGCTGACTGTATTCTCTTCTTTACCTCCACCCACCAAAATAGAGGAGGACCCTACATTTCCCCCAGTGAAAATTCTATTATCACCACAATGTTTGGTCTCACACCTCAAACCTTTTATTTTTTCTCTTATACTGAACATCATCTTAGTGATTCTGACTCAGCATTTTCCAAAGGTGTTAGAAAACTAAAAATTTCCAGAGATGAAAATGTTTGGAATACAGTAGGTTACTCAAAGTAAAATGGGGTTCTTTCTGCAGAAATCCTCAGTCCCTCTTAGATGCAAATGTGCTTTGGGAATTGTCCATGGGGGACTGACCTGACTTCAGAAGCCACCCCGCTCCAGAACTTGGGTTCCATAGAACGTTCTTTGAGAAACAAAGATTCACATAAAAAAAAAGAAACCTTTTGCTATTTGAGGTTAGGAATTAATTTACCCTCTTTTTCCTTCCCTAGTCTGAACACTCCAGTCTTACAAGATTTTCCTTCAGAGATCTATTTTCTACCCTTTGAATCATTTTTTTCACCAGCCTTCCCTGCCTCCCTTTTTTTTTTTTTTTTTCATTTTCTTTGAACTCTGGTAAGCAACTCTAGAGTTCCAACAAGGATCTCATTCACACAGCGTGCAGTGAAAAAGGCTTTGCACGTTTCATTCCCTTTAACACAGCTCCGGACTACACTGCGGTTTTTCTTATTCACCCCATATTATCTTCAAGTAGAGCCTGAGGTGTCTCTCCAGAGCATTCATATCCCTTATTTTTATGTGCTCCAAGTCAATTAGCAGCAATTTTTGGGATAGGTACAAAAAAGTCTAAACACTGTGAAGCCAGAGAGAAGGGGAGGAAAGGAAATGCCCGCATCCAGCAGGGTCCACATTCCCAGCTCACATCTGTCTCTCTCGGGATGCACTGTTTAGAGGAAGGCTTACAGAACCATGGCAGAGCATACACACTGATAGTCTCCACAGCCCAAAGGACAGTAAAAGGATAAAAATTAAGAAAAAGAAATCCACACATCTACTGTCTTTCTTATTAGAGTCTATTCTTAGCCTAGGACCCGTTACCCTGCACCGAAATTGCTTAAACAGCCTCCCCAATTTGCCCACCAGTTTGCCCCCCAACTCTCTCACCCTGGAAGCAAACCTAAATACCATTACAGGTCAAATGCCATTTCCACTACTATATGCCTCCTCTATTCAAAAACACATTGACTCTTCACAACAATCCTCAAAGGTACATACTGGTGTTATCCCCATTTTACAGATGAGAAAACTGAGAAAGCAGTTATGTAACCCACCTAGGGCCACACAACTAGAAAGTGAGGGATCAGGGATTTGAATCCCAGGCAGTCTGGTTCCTGGTTCTAGCATTAGTGCTTGCCTGGCTGCTGTGGCTCTCTAGTACCTGGCCCTACCCAACTGTCTGATCATGAATTTCCAGCACACCATTACCCAAGCGCCTACCACGCTTTCACCCTTGCCTTCCATTCTCCTCTCTGATTGCCTTATGAGGATCAGCTCAAATGCCACCATCTTTAAGATCTTTCTGACCACTCCAAATGCCACTGTCATTTCCTGTGAACTCTCACAGCAGGTGGTCCATTTCACCCAGCTCAGTGCTAAAGGACACTAAGTCTCTTATTTTTCACCATTGTTTTCTGTATGCTGGTTGGTTTATCTCAACTGGACTATAAACTCCTTGAGGCTTCAAATACCTGCTCATAGACTGAGTATGTAAATGGACAGCCTTCTACTGCTACCCAATATGTTTTGACCATGCCAGGATTTCCCTGGTGCCAAGTCTGATTCCAAATTTTCTTCCATGCTCCTTCCTCTCAAGCCTATGCCTCCATTTTATTGTCTCTCGGGCTGGCTCACAAATTGAAACAGAACATGATGCTTAATTTTACATCAACCCGTTAAGCCGCTTTAAACACTTTAATACTCCCCAAATGTAGTTAAATATATGAACTTGCACTTAGAGTTGTCAACAACACATTGATGATTTGTTTTATAGTTGCATGTTAATCTACAATCTGTTTAATGCAATCCAATACATTATTCCGGATGGTGATATATAAATTTAAGTCTTAGGCCATGAAATATCATTTAGGATTAAGATTCTAATCTCTTAACAGAGGAGATACCTGCTCACAAAAGCAAGCAGCTGAGGAGAGTGTCTGTGTAGAAAAGGCATCATCATTGTCTCCTCCAACAAGGAAATGAACGGCAGGGCATGCCAGTCCTGGAGGACAGGAATAATGGGGGACAAACAGGGGCTTGGGGAGTCATCTTCCTGCCTCCAAGCAAAGACTCCCTCACTCAATCAGCCTTACAAAAGAGTTTAAAATTCAGTAACCCAAAGCACGGGGACTGCTACTCTTTGTCACTGAAGTCCTCAAGTAAGAGAACAATAAAAAAACAGTAACAACAGCAACCAACAATAGGTAATTCATAGAATGGAATCATAGGAAGTGGGTACTTCTATTATTGTACAGATTGCACAGATAAAGAAACTAAGGCACAGAGGGGTACTTTAACTCATTCAAGGTCACACAGCCAGAAAGCAGCATTGCTGAGCCAAGCAATCTGGCTCCAGAATCTGGGCTCTTAGCCACTACCTACTCTGCTAATCTCCACACAAAACATTAGTCATCAGGCTAATTTCCAGGCTAAAGACTGGAAGACCACTACAAGTACTTTCGGATAAAATAATTGTTCAAAAAACTACTATGGGAATGAGATAGAATGTGAACTATGGTGAACAATTAAAACACAAACTAAAAATATAAGATATGCACTATCCTCAAAAAATTCACAGCTAATGGAAGAAATGAGGCAACCAAGACGGGATCAGCAGAAGGTCACTCCAGTGCAAACAGATGGGTCACATGAGGGGAGCTCCAGGGAGAGAAGCAGATGACCAGGTCACAGAGGGGACAGGCTGGAGAGAGACAGTGGGATGAGGGATGTGCAGGTGAAGGGGCCCAGGCTCCACACACGTTTGAACCAAACATCCTTATCCAGACCCACCCTAAAAATATGTCACTGACCAGTACATGAAACATCTGACAGGCAGAGACACCGCGAGGCCCAAACCTTTCAGGGCAGGGGAACCAACCATGGCTTTCTCTCTGCCTGGAGATGTTTCTCCTCCTCTGAACAGACATCAGTCACTCTAGCATACTGCCTCTCTCCACAGAGCCTGGTCCTGCCCAGACCTCAGGTTCTGGTTCATTGTGACTGACTCCAACATCATCAGATGCTCCATGCCTGAACCCACCCAAAAACTGACTCTCCCAGACTACAGCATGGCTGAAAGCTCTCAGGACACCACAAATGATCAGTTGGGCCTCAAAGATGTGGATAGACCATGCGATGGTCTCCTGATGGTCTCCACATGACCAGATGCATGGCAGGCTGGCCTAGCAAGGCACCTGCCAAGGGAACTGGCAATCCCAACAGGATGGTCAACCTCCATGAACTGCAGCCATCACAACCTTTACCAACTTTGTGCTTCACTGTTTAGAAGTGATATGTATCTCAGAAATGTCAAAATCCTTAGAGAAGTATGGTGATAAAATGAATAGGCTGTTTGCTCTCCATACTGATACACCCAATTTCAGACTGTCAAAGTGCTTTTAGTTATAATAGGAAATGTACAAAGTTAGCTTTGCTTGTTTTGACAACCACAAAAAGGATTTATCAGTTACATGTACCCGTTAAAATGTCGAGGTTCTCAAAGTAAAAATGGATTATAGCCAAATCCTAATATTATTAATGTTTTCATGATAACAAACACACATAACTTTTCAGACAATTCTCCTCGCTGCCTCCGTGGGGAAGAGTTTTGGAAATCCAGTCCGCTTGCCAGAAATTTCTGTTATTTTTATGCAATAAGTCAAAAGAAGTCCATAAAAACTAGAGCAAAGTTAATTTTTTTCTGTTTCGCTTCCAAAAGTGTCACATGATTGTGATTTCAAATCCTTGAGCTGTAAGGATTTCTTTTCATTGTCTTCTGTTGTCTTCTCAAAGACATGCTTTTCTCATTCTTGCTTTCATTGCTTCAAATATATGAAACTCCCACCATTTTCTCTGAAAGCTCCTACAAAGGCATTGTCAGATTTCTAATTCTGTCAAACTTTCTTTTAAGTTGCATTACTGTGCGGTGATGCTGGTGTTCACATCTGTGTATGACTGTGGTTTGGTTTTACTTCTTGTGCTAAACTTACCCTAAGACAAACAAACTGGCAAATCTTCATGCCAGGAAATATTTCTAGAATAAAGAGAAGGAGAGGGGAGAGGACAAGAGCCAAACAATGAAATACTCCAGGTATTAAGGAAAAGGGAAATGACTCAGAACTTCCCAATTATAGAGTTGAAAGCTAAATCTGGTGGCCTCCATCCTCCCATTTGTATTGAAGCTCCATGAGTAAAATTCAACTAGTAAATTTAATATACTCCTGGGTAAGAACTGTTGGTGGCTCCCATTCAACTTATATAAACTGAGTAGATTGATGAGCATTATCTTAGTCACCCTCTAAGACAACCTTGTAAAGATGTAATGTCTCCAATGTACAAGTAAGGCTCAGAGACATTAAGACACCTACCCACAGTCATACAGCCAGTAAGTGATAGAGCCAAGAACTGGACCTTTCAACCACCTCTTGCTGAAATGATCTAATTCCAGATTAAAATTACTATATCACCAAAGGAAAAATCTTTCAACCAAAGATCTGCTTTCCAGCTTCACATTAGCCCATCCCTCCGCCAAAGAAGACAACACATTAGGGGCAGTGCCTGATCACGAGGGGCAGTGCGCTGACTATGGGTGTGACTTCCGGCACTGGGGACCAAATGTCCACATAGAGGCCAACCCGGGGACTTTACTAAACAAATGCTGGACAACTACAAATTTCTTAGCAGACGTAGAGAAGGCTGAGTCAGAGAGACGTGGAAAAAGGGTATACCTAGCAGGCAACAAAAATGAAAGGAATGCCGATGACATTTTTTTGAAAACAATGTCCTGTGAAACTGATGTACAAACACAGGTTATTGGGCTCAAGTTTCAAGGAGTGCATTTTCACACACAAGTATAAGATCATACTTAGAGTTATAAACTAAAACTAAAGAAAAATCTCTTGAAAAGATTAGCAATATAAGTGTTTGTGATTGAAGTTATGTCTAGATGGCTCTTTAGCGAAGCATACGTACATGTGTATGTTACACAGCACATGCAAGGGCAACCCACAGGCACTCTCCCAAGACTGTCCAGAAAATTATATTTTCATTATTACAGTATATTGTATTCAACTGGATATTTACATTGTTACCCTGCAACTCTCTCTCACTCCCCACTGCTTTGGGGAAGGGGCAAATTTAATTAATTTCAAATTAGATTTAGAGTCCTCCTTTATCAGACTTGAATACACCTCTACCTAAACAAGAAGGGGACAGGAACTGAAAATTTTGACTTTTCCTTCAAGAGACCAGACCCTCACCCATCACCTCGAAGTGACAATTAGCAGTTTCTGCAGCACATTATATGAGAACTAACAAGGCAAAGGAATTGAGGGCAGGTTTTTCTCTTCACGATCCTGTCTGAAGCTTAAAAGAAAGCCTGAACACTAAAGAATTCTGAATCCATGTCAGCTCAATAGAGGGCTAAGTCTTTTATCTTCACCTGGAATAGGAATGAAAGAAGAAAAACCCAACAGTTCATTCACTTCCCCAAAAATATTCTCTGCTTCAGTCTTAGAGAGCTTGGAGTCCATTAAAGCCAGAGTGGGTCTCAGAAATCACCTAATGTGACCACCTTATTTTAAAGGGGAGCAAACCTGAGCCCAAAGAAGTCAAGCAACTTGCCCAAGCAGAGAGAGTGTTCAGAATCAACATCTCTGGCCTTTAGTCACCACTTCTCTAGCAGAGGAGGGAAATAAAAGTATGAGCTTTACTCCAAGTGGTAAGAACTTTTGCCCAAATTTTTTTTCCAAGTGCTTGCAAAATTCTATATCAACATATGAATTATGTTTAAACTAGAAACAGGCATTAATGGGCTCAGAAAGAAGTGATCAAAGGGGACCCTATTTTCACAGAATGCTTCCTGGACAGATAGAAGAAACACACACACACATCCCCCAGAATACATGTCTGATAGACCCAGATATGGCATCTCCCACTGACTCCCTCAAAGGAACTCACCGGAAGACACTGCAGCCGAGGACAGTGGACTGTACATTTTATGAGAAAGTCAGTTCTAGACCCAAAGATTAAAACAAAGTACAGGCAGCTCAAAACCCAAGAGGGAAAGCTTAATGCTTCACAGAACTATTCACAGACAAGTTTAAAGAAGAAGCAGTTTATCAGACAAAATAGTTCTGCAAAGCACTGTGATATAGTCAGAAAAACAGCTAGTTCCCAACTAAGTTTATCTGCCCTGACAGCTTCTGTCTTGGCCTGGCAGAGGCTGAGTGTCTACACAGTGAACATAAAGATAACCTACAATGGCTACACATCCCCATCCATTTGCCAAAGGTCACTAAGGATTGAGCATTTTGCTTCAGTGCCTCCACTAATCCAAAGACATGCCAATCTGCTTACTGTTACACAACGTCAGGAGGTTTGGATTTTACTTATCGAGGGATGTCGGACTTGCTTTGTCAGAACTTGGTGGCTATTAGCACAAGGCTGAGTGCCCATGGCTGCAATGAATTTTTTAAAATTATCTGGTTTTAGGATGCCCAGGAAAGAGGACCTGACTAACAAGATGGTGGTAACTATTGTTGGACAACATTTCGCTTTGAGAACATAAAAGCCAAATGGTGAAGCAATGAGAAATTAAATTCATGGCCTGGAAAACAAGCCAAGATTTTAAAATGTCATGTTGATACAGTAGGTGCTCTTGAGAGTGGGGTAGAAAAGATGTCAGGAACTGGATTGATTGCATTTTCATAGCAATACTGTGTGATGGAAGTGGAGAAGTGTCAAGTCTATTGGTACCCTTAAGTGCTTTAGGGGCTCATACCATATCTTTCATCAAAACCCTATACAATGTAAAAAACCCACCATCATATAGCTCAATGTGCTCAGTCACCAAGGCCTACAAAAGACTCTTCCCATAAAAGCCTAAGCAAGATTGGCTGGGTCCTTATGCCTTCCTTTTGGGCCACCGGGAGGTGCTGTTAACAGCAGCATGGCTCTCAACTGACAGATAACTTGGAAAGATAAAGGTGACTATATTCCCTCTTCTAACACAGCTTGAAAATCTCCTCCTAGTACGCCTAAGCCAACATGATTTGGCTTATACACAGATCCTAAGAGGAGCTAATATTTTTCCTTGAGTGTCCAGAGAATGGATGAATAAATGAGCTTGTTGTGAGAGACCACAACACTTCCTATTGACTTCCAGCTGCAGCCTAAGAAGACTGAAATGCACAGAAATCCCTAAGTGGGAGAGTATCCAAGGGCTTATGACAGTGTGCACAGTCTTCAGGGCTGAGCGATACCCTCAAACATAACCCTTTAGAATCACATTTTCTGCCCAGATCCTAGAGCATGGAAGCAGCTTTCTTCTTGAGCCCAGGTTTCGGGACTCATGGATTTACCTCACAGCTCACTGGTAGATGAGGTATACATGATTGGTGCTTAGGGATATATCCTGTCTCTTGCCATACAGCAACATTTTGGCATAACAGCACACAGAGTACAGAAACCTCACTGTGAAAATATACACAAGGCAAGAAAGAAGGAAGACACGGGCCTTTCTAGGGCTAACAGAGAAGAATGTCAGGAGAGAAAAAGACAGAGAAGATCAGGTAGAAAATGGTGGAGAGAACATTTTGGGCCAAGTGTTTTTTTTCTCTTTTCACAACAATGTGAATGACACAAAGAGGCTTCCCTGACCTGAGGAGAGAGTAGGCTGCCCTTTGATGCTGGGGCGACCATCTATAATGCTGATGAGAGTTCTCTCTGGCCCTGTTTGCCCACCATGGGGGCTCATCCTTTGACCGCATCCTCACCCCGGTGCTGACCTCCAGTTTAGTCATGGGACTGCAGGAAGAAGGGTCATCTGAGGGTCAGGAAGATGGTGGCCCTCACACTCACCAGAAATCTGAGCCTTCCAGTTAGAAAAGGGCCCTCCCTCCCTTTCCTTTTAAAGACTTGAAAGACCATTCCAAGTCTGTTTTCTCTGTTGACTTTAAAATCGCCAATACTATCACCTTTCCTTTTCAAAAGTTGGGCAGAGAGGCAAAGAATTGTGGTTGTGACCTGTTCCAGGGTCAGAGCCAAGAGTAGACCCTGCATTGCAACTCCTATCTAGCGGTCTAAATGTTTAAATTCTGCTATCTCTCAACCTTATCATGAAAAAAAAAAGTCAATAATTTAATGGGGGAGACAAAAAATAATTTTGTTATTAAAAGAATAGAGAACCTAGAAATAACTCTTGCATAGATGGTCAAATGATTTTGACAAGGTTACTAAGACAGTCTTTACAACAAATTGTGCTGGAAAACTGGACATCCACATGCCAAAAAAGTGAGTTGGACCCTTACCTAACACTATCTACAAAAATTAGCTCAAAATGGATCAAATAACTGAGCATTTAAGAATGAAAACGATAAAACTTTTAGAAGAAAACATAGGGGGAAAGCTTCATGACACTGGATTTGGCAATGATTTCTTGGATATGACACCAAAAGCACAGGCAACAAAAGAAAGAAAATAGACAAACTAGACTTCATCAACTAAAATCTTGCACATCAAAGGACACTATCAACAGAGTACAAAGGCAACCTATGGAATGAGAAAATATATTTGCAAATCACATATCTGATAAGGGATTAATACTCAAAATAGAAGTCCTAATGCTCAACAATAACATCAACAAAAGAAGACTCAATTCAAAAATGGGCAAAGGACTTGAATAGACAGTTCTCCAAAAACATATGCATATGGCCAATAAGTACATGTAAAGGCATTCAATATGACTAATCATTAGGGAAATACAAATAAAAGCCACATGAGATGCTACTCATACTCACTGAGATGGCCATCATCACACACACCCAAACAAAAAGAAGAGTTGGCAAGGATGTAGAGAAATCGGAAAGTTGTGCAGCTGCTATAAAAAACAATATGGCAGTTCCTCAAAGAATGAGAAATATAATATGACCCAGCAATTCCTCTTCTGGGTATACACCCAAAAGAACTGAACAAAGAAACAGGAAGAGATATCTGTGCACTAATGTTTACAGCAGCATTATTCACAGTAGACAAAGACAGAAGTGGTCCAAGTCTCCACTGATGGGTGAACAGATAAAATATGGTATGTACATATAGTGGCATTATTTGTAATAGCCAAAAACTGGAAATAATCCAAATGCCTATCAACATATGAACAGATACACAAGTGTTGTGTTCAAAAAACAAAGTGCTGAAGAGGTATCTGTACACTCATGTTTAGGAAAGCACAATAGCCAAAAGGTGGAAGTAACCCAACTGTTCACTGATGGATAGATAAGCTAAATGTGATCTATACATACAGTGCAATATTATTCAGCCTTAAAAATGAAGAAAATTCTGACACATGCCACAATATGAACCTTGAACATAGGCTAAGTGAAAGAAGCCAGACACAAAAGGATAAATACTGTATAATTCACCCATATGAGGTACTCAGTGGTGCTCAGTCGAATTCAGAGAGCCAGAAAGTAGAATTGTGGTTGCTAGGGGCTAAGGGGAGGGAGGAATGGGGAGTTACTGTTTAATGGGTTTCAGCTTTACAAAATGAACAAAGTTCTGCAGATGGATGGTGCTGATGATTGCACAATATGAAGGTACTTAATGCCACTGAACTGTATACTTTAAAATGGTTAAAGTGGTTTAAAACAATGGGTTACATGGGACCACAGCCCATGTAACAGGAGAAACAATCATTCCATAGCCCAGTGCACTGGAAGTTCGAGTTTTCAACTACTCAGAACATCTGTTTCTTCATTTTTGATATGGGAATATGCCCACCACCCAAATGAGACAGAGCACCAGGGAGTCCTGGTATCATCCCTAACACATGTTAGGCATTCAATAAACCTTAGTTACCTGCTCCTTCCCCAGAGCAAATACTCTCTGTTTCCAACTTAGAAAAGTGAAACTTCCTTTTTTCTTAATTGTCAGGTTTGCTGTGAGGTAATTGGCAGCTTCCTTTGATTTCAGGATTGCTCTAGATGTTTTGCACAGAGAGGCTCCAGAGTCTTTGTAGGGCTTGATGGCCAGATAATGAGACTGTATTTCTGCTCACATCCCCAAGCAGACCAGGACCCAGGCCCACGTGGTCCATATTTGCATATGTGGAGCAGCACAAAATCTGAATGCAAGTAATAAATTTCCTATAAGAGCCCCCTGCACAGTCTCTACTTAGAAAGTCGAAATAGGACACAGGAAAAAAACACTTTTCCCGGGTTTTCTTTGATTCTCAAGCAGATAATTCTGCTCCACTGAGCAGCCCAAGTTGTAGGGAAAGGCACACCATGCTAGCAAGAGGCAGTGTGGCAGGGTGAGAAGCATCAGGTTTCAGAGACACAGAACCTTGGTTAAAACTCCAGCTTGGCCACTCACCATGATCTAGGGCAAGTTCTCAAACATTCAGCCTTGTTATCCTCATCTGTTAAATAAAGAGAACAGCCCCTGCCTAACAGGGTGGTTGTGAAGATTACTTAACTTAATGTACATCCTGATATAACAGTTATGAGAAAAACAAAGTATCACAGTATGAACATCAGCAGGTTCCCTGTTATATCCCTAAGCCATACTAGCTGAGCCACCCAAAGGGAAGTTGTGCTCCCTTTCTGAGAAGTAGCATTTGGTATCATTTGGAGGCAAGGGTGGAAACCATTCCTTTCAATACCCCATCTTCAGGCAAACCACAACTGCGAGCTCCAGAACTTCACTCTCCTGACTCTCGTGGTTTGGTGTGGGTAGGGGTGGTGGGTGAGAGCAGAAGTGGGCAGGAGTGGGACCAGAGAGAGACTAAGAGAGACCTAGAGACCAGCTACCTTGGTCCCTCTCTCCAAGTCCAATTCCCAGTCACCAAGAGGGCCAGCTATATCTTTGATTTTCGGTTCCATGAGATAAGTCAGTGCCTTTATAAGTCCTTTATTTATGCTTAAGTTATCTCAAGTTGGTTACTATTTTAATGCAATTAAGAGTCTTGACCAAGACACAAACCCAGAAGCCATACCCATACAGGGGTCACAAAAAAAGCTCTTACCTCTTCTACCTGCCTTCTCTCTTTGTCACATCAGCACACATCAGTGGGATGTACATGACCCATTCTGCTCATTCACCTCTTTGTTCAAGAGCATGCCTCCCTTTCTCCCCTACGTACACACACCACCACTGCCACTACCGCCACTCTATCTTGGCTAATTATACAAACTGCCAACAGCAATGTGCTGGTATTAGAAGCATGGAGTTGGCACCTCCCTCTGCATGGTCCCCAGCCTGTTTGAGTCTCCTTCATGGGGCTGAAAACCACCCATAATTACCTCCATCACAGCCAAAGATTTTAGTAACAATAGAGCATTTAAGTCTTTAGGGTTTTAAAAAAAAATTGGACATGGTTGCAAGAGTTCCAGCTCAAAGTTGCACTTTGTACACACTGCCTCGGGATGCACTTCCTACGACTTGTTGCAGCTGGTGAAGGAGGGTAGGAGAGGAGGCAAGCAAGGCCTCAGGAAAGTCTGGCAGCAAGAGCCGGGGAGGTCCGGGGGAAAAGCAGCGTTGGGCAAGCTCCATCTCCCTAATCTGCATGGGACTGCCGGCCAAGTTTGCTCTCTGAGCTGTGAGAAGGACCAATTAATTTATCAATCTGCACCTCTTTCTGCCATAACATATTTCCCTCTTGCCAACAAAAAATGTGTCCATTATCAGGCAGGTCCCTGTCCTCCTAAGCAGCCCATACGGCTGTATAATTACACTTCTTTCCTTGACAACTTGCATGATTGTTTTCCTAACAGTATATTACTTCGTTAGTACCTTCCAATATACGTTATTTTTAAACTGTCACTTTTGCCCAACTCATCCCAATTCGCACTCGTCTGTTTATCATAACAATCATTAATAACTGTCAGTCCACGCCATCAATGTAACGAACTCACTCCCTCATTAGCATGTTCTAGCATTTGTTCCGTAGAGGGGGCTGATTATTTTTTACAACAGGCCAAGCCAATTACTTTAGTGAAATGGAATCACATTAATCAAAACTTAACAAGGTGGCAAATTTAAAGATATCAGATTGCAAAAGACAGCATAACTAATATGTCAGTGTCAGAGGTAGCGTGTAGGTATGCAGCAGCTGTACTAAATATATCTCTTCGCGGAGGCCACATGAATTTTGACGTTTCATATGATCTGACAACTACCAAAGTGATATTATAGAAGGCAAGAGCCCGGTGCTGCACGGCTCACGATGACTTTTGTAGATTCTGGCAAGGGCAGTGTGAGCAGAGAGGGAGGTGGAAGAAGGGAGAAGAAAATGGTGGCCGCGCCTATCCAGGCTGGCAGACGGCAGTTCATCATGTCTCTCTGTGCCAAGGCATTTTCTTTTATACTTTAAATGATGATAGTCATCCATCACCGTCTGACAACTGCATCAAAACCAGCTGCAAAACATGCAAAGCCCAGCAGTCTAAAACATGCTGACACAACCAACAGAAAAACAGATTTTAAAATTTATTTATTTATTTATTTATTCCATAGGAAAAGAATGTGGGGGGAGGGAGAGAAGACCCAAGAAAGAATGGGGGTGAGGATGGAGGTGGGGGCACAACACAAAATGTTTAGGAGTACAGATAGAGGAAGGAAAATATCACGGCAGGAAAGGAGCAGGAAAAAAAAGACAGGGAACAAGGAAAAGAGTGAAATGGAGACAAAGATAGAGAGACAAAGAAAAGGGGAAAGAGATGAATAGAAAAGGCAGGACACAGAGAAGGATGAGAAGAAGGGAAAGAATAAATGCAAGTGGCTACCAGTATTGGCAAGAAAGGCAAGTGGAGACTCTCTTGTAAGTGGCTGATTCTACCCCAGGAATATTCCACCAGGCTGACCTCATCTCTCTACTCCACCAGCTAGTGCTTCAGTCCAAGCCTTTCTTACCCTCCTGCCAGAAGACACCAAGTTCCATGTAGGTCTTTCCCGCCTGCGTCCACCCCTTAAGTCAAGTTTCCCCCACCAGGACTCTGTTACACAGCATTGCTACTATCACCCTCCCAACCCATGGGTTCCCCCGACCCACAGCATCAAGTCTAACTGCAGTAAAGCACTTGGCACCTCCACCACCAGGCCACGTTCTAGCTCCGACATTCACAGTTGATTATTCCTGCCCCCACCCCCCACCAACCCACCCTCCTCTCTGGCCTCTTCTACCACCCACAAGGTAGTTCAAATCTCTGTCCTGACATTTACTAGCTGAGTGACCTTGAGTCAGTTACTGGACCTCTCTGAGCTTCCATTTCCTCATCTATAACAATGGGGACAGTATCACCTACAGTTCACAATTTATCTTTAAGAGTAAAATAAGTTGCCATGCACGGTGGCTCACGCCTGTAATCCCAGCACTTTGGGAGACTGAGGCGGGTACATCACCTGAGCTCAGGAGTTCAAGACCAGCCTGGCCAACATGGCAAAACTCCTTCTCCACTAAAGATACAAAAATTAGCCGGGTGTGGTGGTGCACATCTGTAGTCCCAGCTACTCAGGAGACTGAGGAAGGAGAATCGCTTGAGCCCAAGAGGCGGAGGTTGCAGTGAGCTGAGATCGTGCCATTGCACTCTAGCCTGGGAGACAGTGACCCTGTCTCAAAAAAAAAAAAAAAAGAGTAAAATAAGTAACACAGAGAAAGCACCCAGAAAGAGGCTGAACACATGAATAGACACCACTCCTAAGAGTGGGCCTTGAGGTAGAGACTTTGTGTTTATTCATTTTTTCAATTAGGACAGAGTAAGCAAGCTCTGGAATTCTGCAGAAGTGAAGTAGGGTAAAGCCCTTCTTTGCAGTTCTCATTCATGAGGTTTACATCCTTTCCAGGACCTCTAGCCACGTATTTAATAAACTAGAGAATCAGTTGGCGGCATGCAGTGGATAGAAGAGGGCCAGTGTGATCTGCAGGCTTTTCGGGGATGAGCTAGCACACAAAAGCCTAAGGGTCCAGTGTGACACATCTGCCTGCATCCTTCCCTGGACCCACAACCCAGCCGGCTCAGCCACCCTGCTGTGACTGTATTTAATGAAGCCTGTTTATTTATTTACTTATTTTGAGGAAGCCCAGAACCAGGTACACCATGCTGGCAAAGACCCCATTGTATAATGTGATTAGATTCAGTTATATCACACAGTTCATGAAATTGTGCTATGATTCATTTTTACAACTTAAATAGCTATTTGGTTGGGTTGCCAGGTTGAACGTGATAAATGTGTATGATAAAACAGAACAAAGAGAAGGGCCAGTGCCTGTAAACTAAAACATTAGTCAGTGTATTAACCCCTTCCCTCCTTAATTGTGATGCCTTCCTGAGGGCAGCTGCCCCACAGTCATCCTCCTTCAAACCTTGTATCTGGTATCAGAACGGTGCCACTGCCAAAGGTGATGATTTACCCCTCTTCCCAGCAAGGAAAAAGCTTTTTCCAGAAGGGTCACCATCCATTCTATCTTAATCCCTGTCTTGGGATAAGAGGGAAGCTACAAGTGTTCCTGGGTCCTATTTCAAAGTCTAATCACCTCCCAGATCTCCAGCTTACATTCTAATCCTGAATCCCATGTCTCGAACATTTAACTCATGTCCAACTTAACATTCAGGGAAATCATGATGAGATATTCACATGCCACCTAATTATTCTTAAATCACAAGAAATAAAGCTGCACTAAAAACAAATCAACATAAAACTCTGCTGAAATAACTTAGGGGGGAAAATACAGGACTCACATCACTCATATCAGTGTCTTTCACATTGCATAAGAGTTTTTTCTTACTGTACCAGGGTACCTCTCTATTTAAAGATATCCTAAAGTAGACTCTCTAAAAAAGCATATCATCATTTTGTAAATTATTTTTTTAAAGAAAATTGGATTTTAATTTTAAAGAATTGCATCATTCTAATGTTGGAAGAGGTCTTACCAATTAACTCCAGCCCCAACTCATTTTTCTTCATTTCACAGAACAGAAATCTGATGTGGCATATGTTCCAAAGATGGGTATCACACATCTCACAGCAATATGCCCTTCTAGAATGTGACATTGCCATTTCCTTATCTGGAGGTAGACTAAGTCCTTCCCTTGAAACTAGGCAGGCTGGCATTACTGTCACCAACAGAGTGCAGGGAAGTTACACCAGGTGACTGCTGAGGCTGGACCATAAAGGGATGTAGCTTCCATCTCATTCCCCGGAACACTTGCGCTTGGAGCCTGGAAGAGGACTTATTGATCTTCTAATAGGGAGTATCGCAACTTTACAAAGGAGGAACTGAGATTTAAAGAAGTTGCATTATATTTTCCAATGTCATACTGCTAACAAATGAATTTAGAGTCCATTTTCAATCCCTTAGTTATTTATTACACAGTTTCTTCCAGAGTTAGCATGGACAATAATGACTTGAATCAATTAACCTACTCTCTTGAAATCAGAATGTGTGTATGAATGAGTGAAATCAGTTTTAACAAAGTTTAAAAAAAAGTGTTAAGAGAAATTGTCAAAAAAAAATTTTTTTTTAATGTTTTAAAAAGTCCTACCGTGCTGAGGTGGCCATGAAGCCAAGCCCATGGAGAGACATTTCAGATAATCCCAGCCCTTAGCATCAAGTCATCTTCAGTCTTTGAGTCCTTCCAGCCCAGGTCCAAGCTTGTGGACCAGAGACAAGCCACTCCACTGTGGCCTCTCCAAATTCCTGACCCACACAATACATGTGCTTATGACATGCTTGTTTCAAATCCCTAGATTTTGAAGTAATTCAGCAAAAGATCATGGGAACACTAGGAAGCCTGAGGGAGCAAAGGCCATGTGAGAACCAGAGCCTGGGTCTGCTAACTCTAGAGTTAGCACTGTTTCCCCTTTACTGCCCTTCTGGTGTGACTTTCACATAAAGCAAGGTGTACCTATGCCACATACACCAACTTGCTATACCAGTAAATAAGGCAGGAACTAAGACAACTTTAGCCAAAAATTCATCCACTGCATAGGGAATCAGCAGAGGTTTCCACTGCCCTTCAGACTGGGAAAACCTCCCAAAAGACCAGCCAAGAGCTAACCCTACAGTGACCAGAAACAGCAAAAGTTGGGTATTTGGGGGATCCAAGCAGAAAATATATTCACTACCCAACAGTCACTGACATTCACTGGCCCGATGATTTGTTCCCAAGTATAAAATTCCCTGAAAAGCAATCACTACCACAAACGGAGGCCCTTATATCACATCTCCCACAAATTCCACTTTACTTCCAGCTTGGAGAGTATCAACAATCCCCCAGTTTGGTCCTCTGGACATTGAAGTCAGGGATTCAAGTCTGGATACTCACCATGGAACCAACAGGGAAACGTTCATGCTTAGCAGACTTAGGACTTGAGACTGAGGCTCAAACAGATGAAGACCACTACATCTTACAGCTGAGACTTTTCTTCTTTTCATATCTTTCCACGTGAGCCTCACACCAAGATAAACTTTCAGATCCACCCTGTTCATGAATCTGCGAAGAATCTGTTTCTTTACCCCCTTCTCAGCCAACAGAACCCAACGTAATGGTCTTTGAAGGAAAGAGACCCTTGGATGAGCTGCTTCTTAGTGGTTGAGAATATCATCCACCCCATGTTTGCTATGTGAGGAGTTATGAGTACAATACACTTTCTCTGCACATTTATCATAACTTATTTCCAGATCCAAAATTAAACTTCATGGCCTGACAAAGAATATTTATCTTTCTTCTTTTTTTAAGAGGTAGGGGTCTTGCTATGTTGCCTGAGCTGGACTCAAATTCCTAGGTTCAGTAATTCTCCCACCTCAGCTTCCTAAGTTGGATATTTATCTTTCTGGTAGATTTATTTAAATGAAATCTACCAAATCTATCTAAATCACGGCAAGGGCTTTTTGGCTCACACCTGTAATCTGAGCATTTTGGAAGGCCAGGGCAGGAAGACAGCTTGAGCCCAGGAATTCCAGACCAGCGTAGGCAACATGACAAAACCCCGTCTCCACAAAAAAAAAATTTTTTTTAAATATAGCCTCAGGAGGTCGAGGCTGCATTGAGTTGTGATTGCACCACTGCACTCCAGCCTGAGTGACAGCGAGACTCTGTCTTTAAAAATAATAATTATTAAATCACATTTAACCATTATTTAATGAACTATCTTTATTAAAAATAAAAACCAAAACTATAAACTTCAATAATATCTGTATATATATATATTATATATTAACATATCCACATATTAATGTATTATTTGAATTTTCTAAATCAAGACCATCCTGGACAGCTCAGCACACAGATACACCTTCTGTAGGAAGCCTTTCATAGTAGAGCAAAGGAGGACCGATGGCTCCTCCTCCCATCGTCTAACCAAAAATACAGAATTTCATCTGTTATTCTCTTTTTAACCTCCCAAGGGTGCACTGGCCCTTTCTCCTCCCTTAAGCAAGTCACTTCATCTCTTTCAATCTTAGTTTTCTCATTTGTAACACACTCAGAGAGATAAAATGACACAGAGCTCAAGTTCACAGAGCTTGGCAAGAACTTAAACCCAGGTCTCTGACTCTCCATAAAGTGTTTTTCCACCTCTACTTCCTTGTGTGTCTTAACAGTGGTGTATTCTACTGTTGTCATCCTCTTCACCAGGGCCCTGCAATCACAGGTGGAGTGCAGTAAAGCCCAAGTAATGCGGAAGCTGGCAGAAGAATCTTGCACCTCAGCACATCAATGCAAGTGGCCCAGGCCCCAAACTGAGAATCCCCCACTCAGACTCTCAAATACCAAACTGGCATGGGGGAAAAAAATATAAAATATCACTTGAAGGGTTTTTGTTTTGTTTTGTTTTGTTTAAAAAAAAGCTTCCCTTTGAACTCAACATAGAAAGTCAGCTGAGGACAGAGCCTATAGCTCTGCTCTCCCCAGCATTTTCACCTTGCAACAGACACTCCCCAGCCTGACCGCTATGGGAATGCAGAGGCTGCAGATGGGAGAGGGGCCTCTAATTTATTTCCCTCCCTGATTTATTTTCCCCCCTGCACATCACTTTGGTATGGCAACAATGCATAATTCGATTACACGTGATATATAAAATCATTGCAGCTGTTGAGAAATATTCACAGCAAGAGAATTTCAGATCTAAACTCAGACACAGATACACAGAATGCAGACACACAGTCAGACTTTGTGAACATCCTGCTAAAATCACAAAGGGAGGGGAGAAGGCAAAATGCTCTTCTGTCTGCTGATTAGTATTTCCAGTGTTCCTATCTGCATCCACTGTTCATTGTCCATAAATGCAGATTTAAGAGTACCTCCTTAGAAAGAAAAACATCTACCTGCCTAATGGGGGGAAGCAGCATCTTGGGGTGAAAATGATGGCAATGCAACAAAAAAATCAGACTGTGTACCATTTAATTTTACTTTAAAAATGCTGCTATGAAACCAGGTGCATTTAATTCCCTTTAAACGCCATGTAAAAGTTTCTCTCCCGCCTGCTCACTCTGTGGGCTACATACCATACCTAAGATTAATCCCTCAGGAGTTTTTTATTTCCTGTTCTGCCTATCTTTCATCTTCACCCCAGACTAAGCAGATGGATGTGAATTCAAAGTTTTCTGATCTTTAGCACAAGTTATGGAGGGTTATCTTTGGCTGTATATCTTTCTGCTGGCAGTGCTCCCTTGGTGATGAAGGATTAACCACCCCAGCTGTCTCTTCCCAGAATGATGCAGTGCCGTGCTCCTCAACACGACAGCATCACTTAATCTTAATGTCCGCTCTCCGAGCGCAGCCGCGCAGGACAAAGCCAATCAACATCAGATGCCACCAAGATGGACCTACTGCTTGGCCCTGGAGTCTCTCACCCTCTCACTCCTATTAATCAACATCATCCAACCCAATCCCAGAGTTCACTTCTCTCAAACCTAAGTTAAACCAAGCCGGGGTCCCTGTTAACCATCTGAAGCACAGGGCGGGAGGGGGCTGGTGGGAGACAATCAGCCGCTTCAGGAGCACTGCACGCCAAGCCGCATGGCTGAATGAGAGAACTTCCCTCTGCCCAACTTCTTCACGGTGCCAACACTGGTTCTGGAGCACTCAACATGTCTAAGTCTAATGAAATTCACCCATTTGCCATAATAGAGACTGATCTCAAATGAAGCCTACCTGTCTTCCAGAGACCCCAAAAGAATCTGAAGAAAGATATGTGCCCATTCACAGCCAAACTGTTTCGGCTCCCCTTCCCTCATCTCCACCCTTACCAGCAGACCTGCCTCTGCTTACACTTGTAAAGCCAGGTCTAACACATTCTACTACTTTTTGCACAAAAACACTTAGCCTTGCCACAAACAGCACAAATGGAAAGTCTGACCCAACCAAAAAAATGCCTTGTTTGGGTGACTGATATACCCACAAATACATTTAATCTGAAGAAGAATCCTATCTTCCCTACATTTTTAAGTTTACGTATCACAGGTGGGGAACGCAAAATGGTACTCTCATGGTTTTCTCTAGCTCTGAGCAATTACAGTAATGTACCTCCCTTTTCTTTCTTAAGAAAGGGAACAAAAAAGTCAGCCTAGATCTCAAAGGCAAACGTAATAAAACAGTAAATTATTGCTGGAGTTTACTAAACAAATGCAACCTAGTTAAATTTGGAAAAATCTTCACTTTTGCTTACATTTGCAATTTTACTGCTGAACTACTGGTATTTCTTACTTATGCAACATTAAAATGTATAAGAAATCCTCTTGTGTGCTATATCCAGCATCTACTCTTGATTTATAATACCCAATTTAGGGGGGAAAAAACACAACTAAACCTGATTTAAATCACAGATTACTCTGTAAAACACAAGCAAGGAACTATTCCAAATCCTAAATGTAATTTAAACATATTTATATTTTACAGTGATATATTTTCCCCATTCCTTGTCTTACGACTGTAAACTTTCTATAATTATATAAGCAATTTCCCTAAGGTCACAACATTGATCATAGTTATAAATTGCTAAAGTACAACAACACACAGTGTGCAGCAAAATATATGCTGGACATCACAAACGGTTTCATCAAATCAGGAATGGGTGGGGGAAGCAGAGCGAGAGAAGAAAGAAAGGAGACAGAGAAAGGGGAAAAAGTAACAAATTTTCCAAGAAGTCATTACACAGTGTCACATCCTCTTCCCCAAAGCCGTTTGGAACACAGTTTTTACAAATTGGCTTGCAGTAGGGCTTGGTTTAATTTTTGATGCTATTCTCAACCTTTTGCCTATTGCTCTGAAAGCCGCTTGAGAAGGAAACCTGGGAAGCAAACTCCAGCAGTCACTCAGTTAAAACAGGAAAAACCAAGATGATAAATCCCACACCACTGAAAACCTGCCTTCTGCCATCAACTGTAGATTCTCAAACCGTGTTCCTAGGAACCTGAGGATTCCATGGAGACACTCTCTGAAGCAGTTGGGATTCAAGCTTTCCACCCCATTCTTTAGCCAGAGCATCTTCTCTTTGGTCTGTATCCTGTATTGGGACTCTGTGGAAGAAATCTTACTTGGAAAAATAGTTTCAAAGGTTAAAATAAAGAGGAAAAAAAAAGATTTGGAAACGACCACCCCATGATGCTGTCCTCATGAAGGATGAGACCTAAAGGGAGTTATTTGAGGGTCTCTGGCTGTTTGTCAGTGCTGCTGGTGTTTAGGGGTAACACTTAATGAGAGAGGATTCAGGTGCTCTCTGCACACCATGCAAATGGGGTTGCTGTCAGGCGCCTCCAGCGTCCAGGTTCCTGCCAGCCGGGCTGACAGTCCAGTCACCCCTCATAGTTAACAATGCCACATTCCACTCTGGGCAGCTGCCTATTAGGAAGACAGCTGAGACCCAGAGGGGAGGCAGAAATCAACGTGTGACAGACACTCCCGTGATCAATGTAAAATAATCCTAAAAAGACCTGTGCTCTCTGAAAGCTTAGGAACCAAGTGGTTCCAATTTTTCCTTCTCAACATTTTCCAAGGAAGGCTAAGCATCTCCATAGCTCAGGATCTTGGTGCAGCTTTCCGAGAAAACTACACAGCTACACACTACATGCTACACGTGTTTTCCAAGAGGACAGCCAGTAAGAGATTAGTCTCCTGGAGCAAATGATGCTCCCCATGTCTCCCTCCACTCCATACCCCTTCTCTCTACTCATCTGCTGCTGCTTCTTTATCCTCTTCCTCCGCCTCCTCCCTCCCCCTCTCTGTCTCTGCCTCCATTTTTCTATGTATGTACTGTCAATAGCTCCCAAATAAAGCACATCTGCCTTCCTGCAACAGCACAACTTTCCTTGACCACAGGTAATATTCACAGTATTTAATGGACAAGGCACAGACCTGGACCAATCAGAACAGAACTGGCTACAAACAGTTCACAGTCACACACAAAGGTGAACGGAATCAATGTAAGTCATGACCCAACACCAAAAGAGAAACTGTAGCGTCTATCAGTTAACCTTACAAGCTTCAAAGTCAGAGAGACCCAAGTTCAAATCTCCACTCTACCAGTTTCTGTAGAACCTCAAATTGCTCAATTGTCTCCTCCAATAGAGTAGGCATAATAATTCCTACATGTGAAAAGTAAATGAGTCAATGCATATAAAACTAAAAGGTGGCATACTGTAAGTGTTCAATAGGTTAGATAGATACTTTCCCTTCAGTTAACTGTTTTTGGTTAGTTGGTTGTTTTCTGTTTTTGTTTCTTTCAGATTGCCTAGATGTGTGATGGATACCCAATAAACAAGTTAAAAAAAAAAAAGTCTTTGCCAATTCTGGTCTTAGAAGAAAAAGGAGAGATCTCCCGGCCCCAGGTGGACTCCACAGAGGGTGAATTCTTAAGAGTAGCTAAACTGCAGGTGGAATGAAGGCTGTTCATGACGCTGGGCTCTCACCCAGAAATACAGCAGGGCTGATGGCCTTTACTGGATTTTTATCACCTAATGAATTAAGAATATCACTCTATATCAATTTAGAAAATTCTATGTATAATTCATCAAAAAAGCTTAATTTTTTATTATTTCTTATTTTATAAATAATACATCTCATGAAAAAAAATGAAAAAAGGCAATTAAAATCACCTATAATCCTGTTGCCCAAGTAGTGATAATGATATCAATAGCTAATATTTTACTGAGAGCTTAGCATGTACCAGCATTGTGCTAAATGCATTACCTCATTCTCTAATTTAATCCTCACTATTGTTTGGCATTGGAAAGTGAGACTTAAAGTGGCTAGGTATTAAAAGGAACAAGATTACATGATTTTAAAAATGAAAGGGAAAATTTAATAAAGAAAATAAAGTGGCTAGGTAATTTGTTCAAGGTCAAATTGCCACACCACTCCTAAATGACAGCATCAGGATTTGAATTCAGGTCTGAATCTAAAGCTTATGCAGGAAAGTTCCATGCAATATTTCTTTCCAGGAATAACTGATGTACTTCCTTCAACTCTTTTTCCTGTACCTACACATAGGTACATAGGTGGATAGGTAGATGGATACAAAAGAAATCCTCACTGAATTACTTAAACATTTGCATAGGATTAATCAATAGAAATATACTAAAATTTTATTTGGTTCAGATACAAAATCTTACGTCCTATGGACCTTGAATTTCTTAAATAAGATGGTTTCTGTAGCACAATTGTTCAAATCTCAAGCACAAGGACTTCCCACTCCAGCACTAACCATTGAGACTTTGGACATGGCTTCTCAAAAATGAGTAAACAGGGTGCAGTACGAGCCCACAACCACAACCCATGGGTTTCTTAGAAAATACAGGAATGCAGACCAATCGTTTTAAAAAAAAAAAAATAGCAAGGAAAAACATGAACTTGACAACATAACATGCAGGGGTAGGAGCCTCTGCACAAACAATGTAATCAGGAAAATAAGTGTGGGCATCCTTTTAAATGTCAATAACGACCAATTTTTTTCATCCTTCAAATCAAATGCATCTTTTTTCATCAATCCCTGTAACTGTAGAACCAGAAACATTCCACTTTGGGCCCATTCATCTCTTTCCCTTGTGGGTGATGGTTGTGGCCCTAATTATGGACAGAAATTAGGCCTCCTGGTACATGTTTTTAAGGCCAGAACCTTGAATTCTATTTTGGGGGGACAGACAGACTCAAATTTCTCCAAAAACTGAAAGACTTTGAAAATAGAAACCACCCAGCAACCAATAGCCTCAACTCCTCAAAAGTCATTAAATAGAGAGAAGGGAGAAAACAAGGCCATCATACCATGCGAAAGGCCAAATCCTGCTTGCAGACACTCAGGCACAATTCTCGGGGCTCTAGTCCACCCTGGCCTGAAGGTGGCTCATTAAAAACTTAAATAATAGTAACTGCTGGCAAAGAGTTCCTTAAAGACAGCTGAGGTCCAGCCTGTCATTTATCAATTACTGATTTACGAACTCAAAACACAAATGTAGTGCAAAGGTCATCAGAGCCTGCATTCCCTTGTTCCCATTTCCTGGAAACTGCCCCAAACAGGTCCCAATTTCCTAGGCACCCAGAGCAAAGCAAAGCAGCAATTTCTCACATTTCTCTTAAAAAAGTGTCAAGGAATTTCATGGACCCTTAAGAGATGGGAAGACTACCTTTTCATGGGATTTCAACTTGATAAATTTGGACTATTTGGGAATATGGTTGTTTTCATCCTTTTTTCATCTTCTTTCACCTTTTCAGTAATGTTTTATAGTTTTCCTCATATAAATCCCCCATTCTTTCTTCTGAATTTGTAGGTATTTGTTGTTAGTGTTAATTGGAAATGAGACATATCCACCCCTCCCCTCCATTTTTGTTTGCTATATGAATTTTTCTATATTTTAACTACTTTATATAACTCTAATTGATTTAATAGTTTTTGAGTTGATTTGATTGGATTTTCCAGATTAGCAATGAGTTCACTCAAAAATAATGATATGTTTATCTCCTCCTTTTCATTCCTTATACCTCTGTTTTCAATTTCTTATCTTACTGCATTAGCTGAGGCAGGGATTGCAAGCTCAAATGCCCACTGGGGCGGGCAGGTAACATACAGAGTGAATTGAGCCAGGTGAGGACTGGTCACCTGGGGAATGCCACTCTGTGTCTATAGGCAGCAGCTGCCACTCTGTTCTGAGGTTACCCTCAGGAGAAAGAGTTCATTTTCCCAGATCTTCAAAAGAAGTCAGAGATAAGGATTTTGGGGGGAGGCAGGTGAAACCTCCAGTTCATTAAAGGTTAGCAACTAATTTTTAAAAATTGTAAACTTAGGGCAGGAGAAAATAGAATGCTTAATGGTCAGATTCATCACAAAAGGCACCAATAAACTCTAGGCAAGATCTTCCAAAATTAAGAAAGTACTGAATTTAAATCATAATGGACATGGCCACCCTTATCTCCACCCTGACTTTCTCTAATATAGGGCCACAAAAGAAGATGTCTGCTTTTGATTTGAGGTAAAGAGTCTGTATCGTGTTAAGTCTCCAGTGCTAGTTTACCGGGATATTTTATCAGAAATGAATTTTGAATTCCCTTAAGATAATTTGGTTTTCTCCTTTGACCCTAAGAGATTGTTTATATTAATAAATTTCCTAAGATCAGAAAGTTAGAATGAATGCTTAAAACAGCACACTGTGGGTGAAGCCACTATAATGTGTGCTTCCAAATAAAACACGTAAATAGATATTCCTTAATTTTTTAACTCTTTGGTTTTATTTTATTGACTAAACACTTGGTTCTGACTTGCTTTCTCACCCATATTCCAACAACTTATTCTAGTCTACTGTAATCCCAGTTATAAAACTGTCACTGACATCATCTGTTGCAAAAAAATTATTTACAACTGGATCCATCATCAACTCAGTCTACACTACCAGCTTTGAATTCCAAAGCAATTCCACACCACAATCCACATCTGTATTCTCAAATCCACTTTGATACAGTTTCCCAAGTCCACTTTGATACAGTTACCTCTTTAGAAAGATATTAGAATGACAAATTTTCTGGAAACAGGTTTTCTTCGGGGCTGGGGCTGGAAGGACATTAAATTAAAAAGATGGACCTGGCTTAAGACAGAAAAGACATTCAGTGCATGAATGTAAAAACATCACTAAACTTGACTTACAAAATTGTTAATTATGTATTTGACAGTGAATTATCACAAACAGCTGGGACTAAAGAATACAAACCCACACAGGGAGTGGAGAAAAGTACACTCAAATTCATACAAACACTATCAAAGAGGATGTTTAAACTCAGCTTCTGCAGTAACAACGTCTTCACTTACACAATGGGTTACTCACTGCCACCAAAATTCACAAACCAACTATTCCCAGGTTTCTAAGTGCAGGCTCTAAATTGGACATTCTTCTCCCCATTTAGAAAGTTACGCCATAAGGTTTGTGGCCACTAGAGAGAAAGAACCAGGCCAGGATCTAAAAGAATGTGCGCACAAAGGCTGTGAAAAGAAAAGCCGTCACTTTGCGAAGTTTGGTCTTAATTTTTTTCCAGACTATATGTAAATACTCTCAATGCCTTGGGAGACAGCTCCAGAGAAGTTTCCTGAGCCTGACATCCCATCTCCTCTCAAACACACGCTCAAGCCCTCCCCACATCTTCTGCCAGGAGTCTGCTCCCCTGGGACCCCCTCCCTTAACCCACAGGGAGGAGCCACTGTCAGAAACACTTGCATGGAGTTGTCGAGAAAATCCTTACAGCAAAGTCAATGACAAGGCAAAAGCCCAGACCAGACATCTTGGGGCAGACGTGGCTGCCTGGCTCTGAACACTGGGGGAAAGACTCTTGGCAAAAAAAAAAAAAAAAAAAAAAAAAAACTAAACTAAACTAAACAAAAAAACTAACCTCACTCTTTAGGGACATGTTCAGCCTTTCTGCATCAGAAAAGACACAGGCTCTCCCTACACTTGATACAAAGTCAGCATGGTTCCCTCTCCACAAGGCACATATCAGGGAAAAAAAGAAAATCTGATCTTTTTTTTAATCCCCAGCACATTTTAGCATATAACTCAGGTGAGAGTCTGAGAGTTGCAAGCTTAGATAAAATATTAAAATATTTCTCTAAACGCTAAACTTTCTAATAAGTCTGAGAGTTTATTAGGAAAGCCATCCCTGATACTCAATCTTGGCTAACTTAAGATGGTAAATTTCAAAGTCCAAAGGTTAGAGCCTTCAAGGAAAAAAAGAAAAAAGAGATAACACAACACTCTTTTCTTTTTAGATGGGATGATGAGACATCCTCGTCTGCCTCCAAGTATTTTTAGAAAATGCTGAGAACAACCAGATTGTAATTTAAGCCTCTCTGAAAAGTAAGGACCTCCAATGGACAGCCCAATACCTTTCCCTAATCATCTTTCCAAAGATTTCCACATCATAGACAAAAGTTTAAGAGGCTGATATCCCTCTGACTCTATCTCAAATTCTCTCTGTGGAAAGGCACTAGAGTAACCAAGCTCCCAGGGGATGGTACCAAGCTGACTCTTCTCTGGGATGCTGTCTGCTATGCAATGTAGAAGAGCAGAAGTATAAAGGTTGCCAGAAGCACAGCCAACGTCTGGGAATATTAGGAGCCAACAAAATAATAGGGAAAGGATCCATACAAGGACAGAACACATTATGGCATCCAACACTGATTTTAAAAATAACCAAACAAACAAAATCATCATCCCAGGCAGCCTAAGAGCAATGTGTCCAGATGCCAGAATAAGGGAATCAATTTAGGGCGGGTCAATGGAAACAGCTTTACCCTCCAGAAGACCATGGCGAAAACCACATCAATGCCAGTCATAGGAGATCACTCTATTTTGAAAAATATAAAACTGTTTCATTGCAAATCTATGGAAACAATGTCACAGGGGCCAAGAGCTGTCACTTCGAGTCAAAGAAGGCCCACTTCACTGTGGCGCTGATGGCCAGTGATGTCAAGGCGAATTACACCCCGACTCACCAAGAGAGAAATCAAAGTCAGGAGAGGAACATTCAGCTGGAGACACACCCACAGGAGTTTGGAAAGCAACACTCCGTCCAAGCTGTGCTAATCCATCACAGGCTCACACAAAGGACGTGAGGGTATTTCCCCCCCATCAAAAATGGAAAGGACCAATAATAAGATCACACTAAGGGAGATTTGGGGAGTTGATCTTATGGCCAAAGCACTCTATTCCTGGCAACATGTTGGGTGGCGGGGCGGGGGGGGTGCAGTGAGGTTCACTGCCTGGACATTAGAAGGGGAGTCATGAGCAGAAACTGCAAAAGATAGAGAAACTGCAAAAGAAGCTGGGGTTCTTTTCTCCAGGTGGCTGCAGTGAGGTCCCACAAGCTACCTGAGTAGAGCAGCAGGGGAGGTAGAAGGGATATAGGACTTAGGGTGAGGAGTACGAGGTCTTGGGCATGTTAAAAACTCTCTGGGCCATAGTTCAGTGATAATCAATGAGAAGATTCTGTGGAAACATGGGATCACAGCTAGAAATTTCCTTCCTAAGAAGAAGTCAGCAGGAAAGTCACAAGGTAAAGGCAAGTTCAGGCCTGGCTCTGGGGCAGGAGAAGAAAGGAGCAGATCTCACACAGATTCCAAATAAGTCACAGCCATTGATAGCCATGAATGTGAACCAAACATGAGGGACGAGGAGGGAAGCAGGCCCCAAGTAAACAGACCATGTTTATATCCACATAGCCAGGCCCAGGGCAAACTCCGGATGGGGAAAGTGGCAAGTTCTTCAGCTCCTTTTTCTAGAATCAACAATTAGAAAAACTGCTGATTCCAAGAATGAAGGCTGCCCAAGTCTTTATTCAGTCTGTGCATGGAAAGGGATGGTTAAATGTGTGCTTACACCTTAAGAGAAATGAAGAGAAGACTGCCAATCATTAAATGTCTTTTGAATGCTATGCCTTGTGATATATATGTATGTTTATGAAATCTCATTTAATCTAACCAGTCACCCATTTTGTAGATAAACAAAGCTGACAGAGAGATTTGGAAATTTTCAACACACATTCATCAACAGTCATGGCTACTGAGTATGATGGAGATTAAGCCTGTGAGAGCCTCATAGAAGATTTCTTCTTGGGACTCTAATATCCCTTCTGGAAACCTGGCACTACTAGGCCCTGGAGCTCTCAGTCTGGGGAAATGCCTAGAAACTGCAAGACAGACATTTATATTATGCTTGCTTGCTTGCCAGAAACTCAACGATGGAGAGGCCATCTTGGTATTTGCATTGCCCGCAAAAACCAGCGAAGACTGGTCTCCGAAACTATGCTAGTCCTTCAAAGAGTGGAGAGGGAAGCGGGGGATGGTCTTCCTGCTTTCTGCAATCACACCATACCCACACAAATACAAGCCCTGGGCATTGCAACAGAACCAGCTAATTCTGCCTTAACAATGAGAGCCACAGAGTGGCCCACCCAGCCAGGAGGAAAATGCAGCAGGAGGGCCGTGGGTCTGCCAACTCCACGAGAAGGGATCACCCCAGGCCCAGGCCTTCCATCAGGCAAATTTTAACTTGGGATATAAAAATGAAAAAGTGCCTTTGTTTAAAAGGCTCCTAAAGCTCCTGATCACGATGATTTATGTAAATAAAATGTTAAATTAAAATGTAGGTGTTAATAAAATTACATATATGATGGAATGGCTGTTCTTTTTAAAACTGATCTGCAATAAATTTTCTAAATTCTGATTGCAGATGATTCAGGCCTTGAAAGTTTTGCCAACAATAGCCAGCAGAGGTCTATTACTGAAGTGGTATTAATATAGCTATCATCACCAATTCAAAGCAGATAATAAAGGACTGACACATTTATTACCATTATTAATTAACAGTTTTCTGAGATGGAATTAAATCAATATGCTGCTCTGATATCATTTTAACTAGTTATGCAAATCAAACATTTAGAGCCCATGAACAGATATAAATGCCATTCAAAATTCACTTCACACTTATTACTGTAATATCAGAACTTTCAGGCTTTGCTAGTAAAAAAAAAAGAGGACTTAATGCTCATTTAATTACACTCAGACATAAAGCTTATGGAATGAAAGTTGAAATAGCTGATTAGTTAGGAAGTCGTTGTGAGGCTATAACACTCGGGATAGACAGTGAGATAATAACGTGAAAATGCAGGGCTCTGCACACAGCGATTCTGGCAGATCCTATTAGAAAGAGCAATGACATGTGTAGGAGAACATGTTTTAAAATTACAAAGTTGAGGACCCTTTCTTAAATCCAGAAAGGAGAAGGGGAGGAGGAGGAAGAGAAAGAAAAAAGAAAAGATTGGGGAAAGAAAACCTACAATTCATCATTTATATTAATAGAAAACTTCCAGCTTCACTTGCCCACCATTTCTTCCCAACTAGATGAAGATGATGACTGCAGGGCCTTTTTCATACTGAATGCTAAGTCAACCTCCCAGCTTTTCTTCTCAGATGAGAGGAGGTCTCTGCCCCAGGGCAGTATCTGGGGAGTCACAGTGAGGTAACTGAGTGCTCTGTGGCCAGCTCTAACAAGAGCAAGAAGAGAGGCAAAAGGCTTCTCACTTACAGGTTTGGGTTACTGTAAGTGTACGTGCTTTTCACATCTGGAAAAGCAGTGAAGCCCTGAAGAAGGGGAGACATTAAAAATGCTACTAGAGGGATTTAACCCATCTTGGGGTCCATGGCTATTTGGGCAATGAGGAGGCTGCTGGCTTTCTTGGGTACTCTAAGGCAGTGATGCCACGAAGCAGTGTGAAAGGCAAGTGCCCCAGCCTGCACCTTCTCAGCATTACTCAGGTGGACTTTTGGAAACCAGTGGCACATGCATGGCCAGCCCCACTGAGGAGACACAGCAGTTCTAATGGGTGACTATGCTGGAGGTCTGGTGGTGCCGGCTGTCAGAGGCTAACAGTGCTGGGGGTCCCCTGGCTTTGGCTTGCAGAAGGGAGCACAAGCATTCCACTGATGTTTGCTGGGCTTTCAGCAAGCAGAACCAAGCTGTGGAGACTTCTATGAAAATGACTGAATTGTTTCGATAGTTTGCATTATTAGTCTGGGCAATACCTCACATCTCTTTCTTCTCCAAATCATATTCCTATCTTCACTGTGAAGTACATTTGATCCTCAGTGCAATCAGGTTCATAGCTGGAAAATGAATAGTACATAGACCAGCAGAAAATGTAGTGTAATTGTTCTGTGATTCAAAGGAACAATATAAAAAGGAGAGAATGAAATCTTATTATCTTTTCTACACCTTCCACCCTCAAACTTAGCATTTTTCATAATATAAAGCTCAAGTCACAGACCAGTGTCCATCAGGTTGTGTTGCCATTTGCCAGGGAATTTTATAAATTTGACAAACAGAAAAGTTAAACTTTATGCACTATCATCCTACTCTGAGAGTGGACAATGTAGCTCTCAGTATTAGTAGTTGTAGGTGTAGGGAAATACACAGAAAAAAGATTGGAAAGATACATAAGAAAATCTATAACAGCAGTCAACTCAGTGTAGTCTGATTATGGATGATGTTTTATTGTCTTCTTTGTACTCAGATATATTTTCCAAATTTCAACAATGGCTCTTCTTCCACTGAAGAATATTACTGAGGGCTAACCACTGGCCAAGCACCATCCAGGATGCTGGAGATATGTTGACCAAGACAGACAGGATCCCTGCCCACTCAGTGAAAGCAAATAGGAGAGACAGAGAATAAAACAAGCAATTGCAAACATGATTATTTTTGCGATTTAAAAGATACATATTTACAAAGCCTTTACTGTTACTACATGAAGAGTCTACATATCTTTTCTGGGTCTTGAATACATCTGAAATCTCCCAATTTAGTGTTCATATCTTCCCCAGATTGGAAGCAAGCCCATAGCAGGTGCCTGGGGCTTCAGAGATGGCGATTTTCTTCTCCTGTGGTAGAGGTAGATTTCTGTTGGTAGTGAGATCCAAGCATCGTGGTAGACTGTCTGCTGTGCTCTCCACTCTTGCTTTTGATTGAGTATTGCCCACAGCAGTAACTGAGGCCCTCTGCCTTTTGTCTCACTGACCTTCTGTGGAGTCTGTATGGACTGTGTTTGAACAGCCAGACTCATCAATCCCATCTGTGGCCCAAACCTTCTCCACTCCTGACTTTCCATCAGTCCCAAACATGAAGCAAAACTGCCATAACTCATCTCTTTAAAGACCTATGATCTTTTCTAAAAATCATCTTTTTCCATATCTTCAAATATCTGGAGAACAGAAGAACACAGGAAAACTGTTATAGGGGAGACAGTTTCCAAGGAAAATCCCTCTCCCTTCCACCTGCTTCCCACTTTGTTCAGGAAATTCAACCCTTGGCTCACAAATAATATAAAAAATCACACTGTGTGTCTGAAAACTAATATGTGTAAATAACTATTTGAAGTTGAATTTTAGAGCTCACTGGTAAGTAAAAGACATAGAAAATAAAATACAAGCTCAACTGATAGGTCACTACTTTAGATGAGAGAGCTTGTTTGCAAGGGTAAGCACTGGCCATCTGTCAGGCCAAACCTAAAATAGTCTTTGACTACTATAGCATGAACCAATGCAGCCCTTCCTCCAGGGAGGGCTGAGAAGGTGGGATCAATAAATGAAGCATCCAGTCATGAGGCAACCATCACTTCAGCTCAAGGGACAGCACAGCATTAGTGGTAGTAAATTAGTGTCAAAGCCCGATGGCTGGAGCAACAACTAGAATGTCCACCCAAGATGGGGCTGTAGAAAACCAGACAGGGATGCTGTCACCAACACAGAAGAGTGACCCTCCAACCTTAGCCTGTCCACTTCTCTGTCAGTCAACATAGCCCAGCAACCATCAGGCCATACAGGCAGAAGATGGCTTTGCTGTCACATAAACAACTGTATGTTTTTCCCTCACTGTGGGTACCCAGGGAAAGCTGTGGACAGTGGCATGCTCTCTACCTCCCTGTTTGCACTGTAACCTGCCAAATGGTAGATTTTAGGACTTGTCATTGGAACAGGAATTAATACGAAAACATCCAAAACTCCATGAAGCCTACTCACCCTATTCCTTAAACACTCTCCAAGAGGACCTTCCCCTCCCTAGCAACTTGGTAAGACACTTGTCACCCCAGCCTGAGGTCAAAGAAGAGCAGTTCTTCTCTTCTTCCTCAATTCATAGTCTCCCTTTCCTGGTTCCACCCCTACTTGATGTGTCAGCCCCAGGTTCTCTGCTAGAGCACATTTATTTGCCCCCTACCCCTGACCAGCACAAAAAACCACTCAAAAGTAAAGGCAGCAAGAAAACCTCTAGCTTGTCAAAGGATTGTGGAGAGGAATGATGTCGGGCTGTCATTCCATGAGCAGCTGGAACCAAGGACAATTGGTTATCTTACCACGCATGCTGTTCTCAGTGGGGCTGAGGCATGTCTGTGCCACGGGTAGGTGGTGAGTAGCTAAAATAGAGCATCCTCTTGGCCGGGTGTGGTGGCTCACACCTGTAATCCCAGCTCTTTGGAAGGCCAAGGTGGGAGGATCACTTGAAGCCAGGAGTTCGAGAACAGCTTGGGCAACATAGCAAGACCCCGTCTCTACTAAAAATTAAAATTAAAAAAAAAAATAGCCAGGCATGGCCAGGCATGACTGTAGTTCCAGCTACTCAAGGGGCTGAGGCAGGAGGATCACTTGAGCCCAGGAGGTCAAGGCTGCAGTGAGCTATGATCATACCACTGCACTGCAGCCTAGGTGACAGAGTGAGACCCTCAAAAAAAAAAAATACTCTCTCCACTTTAAAAATTAAAAGTATACCATGTAATAAAGAAAAACATGGATGTCTTTAAAAATCCTTTCTCTATGATACTTTTCATAAAATTGGAACTTGAGAAGGAAAAGATTGTGGGGGGATAGGATGAGAGAACAGTAACTATTGAAGTATTTTACAGAAAGGAGAATGAGCAGATATTTGTGTTATTTTTAAGCCTAGAAAGAGAAATTAACAAGCTGTAGCAAGAAATCTACAGGTTAGAGACAGAAGATGAACAAAGATAAATAACTAGATATTTTCACCTAGATAAATAACTAAGGAAGATACAAAATTACTTTTACCAAATAAGTGGCACCACCCTGACTCCCTCCAACCCCACCCTACCCTGATCTACTCTAATCAGCCTGGAGTCTTGAGAATATCTCATTCTGAGATGCAGTACAGTGCATAGGAAAAGACAGAAACGGACTCTCGGGCTTTATGGCCTTGATTTGAATCCTGTGTCTCCTATCAGTTGGACAAGTCACCTAAGCTGTCTGTGCCTCAGTTTCCTCATCTTTAAAATGGGAATATTGATAGTCCTCTCTCACAGGGTTGTTATGAAGATTAAATACAGTTGGTGCATGTAAAGTGCTGAAAACAGTGCTTGTATGCAGCAACCACTCAACACACCATTAACTATTATCACAGCATCACTACCATCAGGAAGGTCCTTCCCACTCAAGCTCTGCCCCAACTCAGCAGCAGTCCCACTGTCACTACTGAGTGGCTGGTGTCTGCAAAGCTTCCAGGGCTGAGACTAACTATGTGATTCTACCACAGGACTATCCTGCCCAAACTTATGAATGTGCAAACTTCCCTGAATCCGACTGTCTGAAAGAAATTTTGAAGACTTGGTCTTGTGACTCTTTACATAACCAATTTATAATAATGGGGCTTTTTCATGGCCCACAAGTCTCCTGGATTGTTATTAGTGTGCCTTGGTTAGGAAGCTGCAATATGATCCTCTGACTAGAAATACTGGCATAATTTATTGCATTATTACTCCACTGAACTGAAAGCAATTAATTACCTGGAGCAGGATGCACAAGTGAAAATTTATCAGAGGAAAGTGATGAAAAATGTGCCCACTGCTTTAAAGTAATAGGTGCTTAATGGTTTTTTTGTTTGCTGGCTAATCTCAGGCATTTTATAAACAACTCCAGCTTGGTTATCAGTTGTGAATTCCACAACCCCCGCTTTTGCCCTCTTTATATTATTCTATCATCCTAGATCTCCCTTGAGGACAGGAAGAAACATCTAAAATATTCACTTAAAAGCATAAGAGAGACTCCATTCCTCTTCTCCATGGTAAAATTATTAATATAATGTAGAAATATGTGATAAAATACATTCCCATGTTTATCACCCATGTTGGTAACACACATATATCTGCCTGACTGATACCTCTTTTTCTCTATCACAGCATTTTACTCTAAAACTTATAAAACCTATCCTGGATAAAAAGACATATTCTAAGGGATATGTGTATATTAACTATTCTCTCCAACATCTCATAAGTGACATTCCCACATAAAACCTATATCTCAAAATCCTCAAATATGATCTCCAAGAATTTTTTCCACTGACCCCTCCCTTAGTCTTTCTCCTAATTCTGTCATCGACAACCAAGATCCAGAAAGAGAGAAGAAACAGAGCCAATAATATGTTATTGTATTATTTATAAGTTTCATGTGCACATGAAGGATAGGAACAGGGCTAAATTCATTATATTTGTTTCTACTTTTCAGAATTATTCACATCTGTATGATTCCGTAATTGTTTCTTCTATAAAGTTATTGGAGTAATTTTGCTCCGTATATTCCCGATCAATTCCCCCTCTCAAGTGCACAGTTGAAAAGTGATATTTGAAAACGGCCTCTGATAGATTGCATGGTTAGTCAGCAGCAGAGACAAACAACCTAATCCAGCACAAATTAGTTCGGCTGCCAGCGATAGTTTTATACAAAGATGTAAATTATGTTGTCAAAATCGGTTGCTTTCTAGCTTGCTGCTCAGCTAAAAAGAAACCACTTTGGCTGATAAAGATGAACACTAAGCTTCCCTCTCTTACAAATTTGCAAATCTGCCATTTCAGCATTCTGTTAGCCACAAACAAACAGTCTGCTATAATTGCTTCTTTTCTTCCGTGGTGGTATTTTTCCTCCTTGTGCTGTTCTTCCAGGCTGCTCTTGAAAATAACAACAACAAAGACCAAAAACACCACAACAATAAACACTAGCAACTCTCAGACTCGAATTTAAGAAAACGCTGAGCTCCTGCAGTCAGTCCCTTTCACCCCTTCCCTCTGGAGTCCTCAGCCTGGCCCATTCACTGTGGCTTGAGCTGTGTGCAGACCCTGACAATGTCACTCCACAATACTGCTATCTAAAGGACTGAAAGGGTAGGAAAAATTCTTGGCTTTAATGGAAATGAAAATATTCTTACAGCTTTGAACAAGGATTGTCTTTGACAGTAGCCCATCCATTCTTCTTTATTTTACAAGCTCCCATTCCAGGAAAGGGAGGGGAGCAGAGCCCACTTTCAAGGGGCCCACGAAGAAAGCTCTGCCAGGCTGCCTGTGTTAAATTGGAATCAGATAGATCTAATGCTGGACTGAAAATAATAATGCATTATAACAGTAATTATATCCAGCATAAATCAAATAAATAAATTATAAATTACAATTACCCTTTAAAGTTGCTAGTCTCACTGTTTGCTTTACAATTAACTGCAGGTGCTTCAGCATGTTTTATTATGGCCCCAGAGTTATATATTTGAAAGAATGGTACAGATGATTCCTGTTTATTTGTTAAATTAAAGCATTGTTGGTAAAATTACGGCTTAATTAATATTATGGGTACTGTATAACAAAATAGTTTACCTTGTACATAATTTATTTCCACATGCATATCTCAGCCCAGACCCATTACAGCTCTAAGGCAGCTAAAATAAAATATTCCTCCTTTGCTGGCATTTTTCTAAATAGCAGTTCACTAAATCAATATTATTCACTTGGTATTTTTAAAAGCAGTGTATCTTAATAATTACACAGCATTAGAGTAGGCAATAATTTTACTTGCTAAGCATATTAAATTTAGCAAACCATCAGTCAAATAGTTTGTTCTTTCTCAGAATGGGTAAGCAGTGAGTGAGTTTGGAATCATGTTCCTTTGGTATAAATGTCACATAGAGTTTAAGAATGCGTCTGTGACTCCCTAAGCCAGCCCAGCACTATATATCTTTATTAGTTTCAGTGGTCAATGCAGTGACCAGTTGTTTATTCTCATTACTCAAGACAAGGTGAGCTACTTGGTAGTGACTGCAATCACAGCTAAAAACATATGACTTTGCAGAAAGTAAAAACGGTAGATAAGGCTACATGCACAATGGCCCAGATGCCTGCTCAAAAGGGGGATTGGAGGAAATAGGAGAAAGAAGATAATTACACACACACACACCATTTTGTGCACATGGACATCTGATCTGTCTTGATCCTCTTATCTTTGGGGTATCATATTTTTTCACTGTTCTTAATTCATTATAAAACACCATTAATTTCATATTTCCCCCATCTTTGTCTATGTCTGAATTTATTTTCAACTTCACAGAAAATGCCTTAAGAATCTTCTCTCTTCTTATACCATCATCTCTAAATACATTCCCCTAAAAAAATTAAATGCACACATGTATGCATACACACAGCTACCTTTTCAGCCAATTTATTCACTGTATAAACCCAAAGCAGGTGAATTGCGCCTGAGCTGTAGGCAATTGCCAACACTATCAAGTCACTATTTGATTTATGCATTTAAAGATACTGAGGCCCCCGGATTATGTGTTTCAGAGAAATGGCTAAAACCCCTTCACAGTTATAGTGGTGAGAGGCAGAGAGAGTCGAAAATCAGCAAGTAACACTCAATCTGCTCAGAAGAATAATAGCCCACACCTTCATCTTCCTCATTTTATCTTTCTACTAGAGACAGCCCAGACTTGTTCTATGGAACCTGGGAGAGACCACATCAGATCAGGGTCCCAGCAGAACCTCAGAGCAGTGTCCCCTCAATCTAATACAGTCAAAGTCTAAGCCACGCTCAAAGGTGGCTCAGAGAGCTCACAAACCCAAGAATTGTCTGGATGAACTGCTGTGCCCAGGACATATAAACACCAGTGGTTCATAGGCCTCCCCCTCTTGCTCCCCACAGACCTGTTTCCACCACCAGGAGACGGCAATTCTCTGGTATGTGCCCAGTGACTGCCAAGGGACACACGAAGCAACACTGGGCACAGTAGCTTATCCAGGAATGGAAAAGGAATAGCTTCCTGGGAGACTGAGAATGGGGAGGAAAAAGTCATTCATTCCAATCCACCAACAGAATATTTTTTGATTACCTACTCTGTGCTGAGCACTGCATGAGACTTTGTGGAGAAAGAAGTACAAAGGCAGGCACACACATGTGTGGAAAAGGATAACCACAAAGTCCAAAGTGAAGTTCAAAATAGCAATAGGAAGCAGCACAATTTGCAACTGCAAAAATACAGAACCAGCCCAAATGCCCATCAATCAATGAGTGGATAAAGAAAATGTGGTGTGTGTGTGGGTGTGTGGGTGTGTGTGTGTGTGTGTGTGTGTGTAATGGAATACTACTCAGCCATAAAAAGGAACGAAATAATGGTATTTGCAGCAACCTGGATGGAATTGGAGACTATTATTCTAAGTGAAGTAACTCAGGAATGGAAAACCAAACATCGTATGTTCTCACTCATATGTGGGAGCTAAGCTACGAGGACACAAAGGCATAAGAATGATACATTAGACTTTGGGGACACGGGGGAAATGGTGAAGGCGGTGAGGGATAAAAGACTACACACTGGGCACAGTGTACACTGTTCAGGTGATGTGTGCACCAAAATCTCAGAAATCACCACCAAAGAACTTATTCATGTAACAAAACACCACCTGTTGGCCAAAAACCTATTGAAATAAAAAAGTTAAAAATTAAAAAAGCAAAAACAAAATGGCAATAGAATAGAGACCACAAAGTCATAAGAATTAATTGCCAAATGTAATACCCACCCTGCCATTATTACAGGAGTAACTCACAGTCACTAAGATGGGGCACTTAGGGAAGAATTTACAAAGAAGATGGATTTGAACCAGGTCTTGAAAAGCAAGTCAAAATTGGAGTGATGGAGTGTGACAAGTCACATTGCTTAAAAGGAAAGGGAAGTCCATTCAAAGTGAGCAAGACTGTATATACCAAAGACCAGAGGAGTGAGATCACAAGGCATCAACCTCCAAGAACCACTTCTGCACAACCAGGATCATGCATTAGGGCACATGAAATAATACTAACCTAAAATGACTGCTGTAGAAGCCCAACCCCCAGCCAAAACCCACAGCAGAACCAATAACAATCAGCCAGCTCCTAAACCTGAGACCTATCTACATACACCTAGGTTATCAAGGCTGATATTTTTTAATGAAATGTTCTGTCTACATCACAAATTTTAAATGAAAGTGTGTTCAGTTTTTGCATACATGCCTGAATTGTACAACTTTTATTCCATAACAGGTACATCTCTTTCAATATTTTGCTTTTCTGATACTGTTAATCAAGATTAAAGTAAGCTAAAAAGGGACTGGCCTCCCTGATGAAAACATGACCAGGCCTGGTCTGTGAATGTTCCAACTGTCCTTCCAGGGAGCAGGCAGTGTGCACTCTCAGGCTGTGCATTTTGGAGGGCCTGTTCGCAGTGTGCTTGCCCAGGACTCTTGCTGGCTGCCTTGGTAGCAGACTCTGCACCCAAGATGAGTGTGGATGACACAACATGGTAGGAAAGCTGGGCTAATGCTTTTAGGACCAAGCATGACTAAAGAAAGATAAGAAATTGAGCATCATAAAATGACTGAATGCACTGTGCTAGGCCCTTGAACATACACTGCTACATTTACAGATGAGGACACTAAGACTGAAATTAAGCAATTTGCACACAAGGGTCACACGGCTATGACCAGAGTGCAGTCTGGCTATGACCAGAGTACAGTTTGCAGAGGCCAACTGTAAACCCAGATCTACCAAACCCTGAAGTAAACGCTGCCTCCCCACAGCTTGTACTTCAAGGAGAGTTGCTGTCTCACAGTGAGCCAGTGTGTAGGATGGGATCATCTTCAGAAGAGAGAGACTGCGATGCTGAAGAAACGTTCAGAGAAAATGAGCTAGAAATACAGGTTGGGAGATGAACACTACACCATGGGTATTTTTCTCTCAGTCTCAGCCCAAAAATAGAACCTTTGGGGCTTTGTGTGTTTGCCCTTCACCCTAGAGCATGTATCCTCTAACATAGCAATGAACTACAACTGCTGACACTGATTAAAATCAGCAGTGTGTACTGCAAACCTACTCACGGGCTATGAATGACAAACTCTGGGAGGGAAATTTCCCTAAGATCTGCAGGTAGCTTCCCCTTGAGAGTATCCAGCAGATACACAAAGGAACAGTACTCTAAACAGGACAACAGGATAGGGGGTATAGACATACATACAGTTGACCCTTGAACAACATGGGTTTCAACTTCATGGGTCCACTTGTACATGGATTTTCTTCCACCTCTGCCACCCCTGAAACACCAAGACCTCCTCTTCCTCCTCCTTCTCCTCAGCCTACTCAATGTGAAGATGACAAGGATAAAGACCTTCATGACAGTCTACTTCCACTTAAGAGTAAATATATTTTCGGCCGGGTGCAGTGGCTTACACCTGTAATCCCAGCACTTTGGGAGGCCGAGGTGGGCAGATCACGAGGTCAGGAGATCAAGACCAACCTGGCTAACACGGTGAAACCCCGTCTCTACTAAAAATACAAAAAAATAAAAAATAAAAAATTAGCCAGGAGTGGTGGCACGCACCTGTAGTCCCAGCTACTTGGGAGGCTGAGGCAGGAGAATTGCTTGAACCTGGGAGGCAAAGGCAAAGGTTGCAGTAAGCCAAGATCATGCCATTGCACTCCAGCCAGGGCAACAAGAGTGAAATTCCATCTCAAAAAAAAAAAAAAAAGAGTAAATAATTTTCTCTTCCTTATGATTTCCTTAATTTCTTTTTTCTAGCTTACTATTTATAAGAACACAGTATATAATATATATACAAAATATATGTTAATCTACTGTTTATGTTATTGGTAAGGCTTCTGGTCAAAATTAGGCTATTAGTAGTTAGGTTTTGAGTCAAAGTTTATGTTAATTTTATTAGATGTGACTACACAGGGGAGTCAGTGCCCCTGACCCCCACATTGTTCAAGAGTCAAATATATATATATATATATAATATATATGGTTGATATATATATAGTTAATATATATATGGTTGATATATATATAGTTTATATATATAGTTGGTATACATATATAGTTGATATATATATAGTCTGATATATATATATATATATATATATAGAGAGAGAGAGAGAGAGAGAGAGAGAGTCTGGTAAAGACAACTACATAAGGATAGGTGCTTACTATGAGGAAAAAAGTAAGAAAAGAAAGAACTAAAGAGAATGGATGTTGGAAGTAAATTTTTCCATCACTTTTACAGTGTTATTTTGTAATGAATAGCATCTTCATAAGTCTGTAATTACTTACAAAGAGAAGAAAATGCCAACTTAGAGTCAGGACAGATGCAGAAAAATGTTAAACAACAATACAGCAGGTGAACTGCATCATAAGACAGCAATACAAGAGCAGTTTCAAGTCAGTCTATGATTAATTCCCAAAGAATATCCCTTAGATGAGTACAGTGTGTTGATATTCACAAAGCTTCTCTACATTCATCACTTCATCCTGTCTTCCTAGGAGAGAGGAAAGATGTTTATTCTCAAAGTTCTCATCTTCTAGCCAAGGCGACAAAGGCCTAGCGAGGTTGATTTGCCCAAGGTCAGTCTTCTGTAGCGCCAGGTCTCCTACTGCTTACTCCACCCTAGTGACTTCTCTTCCAAAGGAGCAGAGGCTCAGACATGGATAGATTGTGGTGTGAGGCTTTATGGAGGAAACAGAAATGGTGCTTGACCTCAAGAACTGCAAAAGACTGAGGGAGAAAGGAACCCATGGGGCAATCCAGGGAGATGGAGCAGTCCTGAAAAATGAGCAAGAACAAGTTGTGACTGTGAGGTGATGCAATGGTTTGGCTGGAGCAGAGTGTGTAGACAGAGAAGTAGCAAGAGAGAAGTCCAGAAAGAAAAGACAGAGGGGAGCAGTGAGTGCCAAACTAAAAAGATTACTTGGTTCTACTAGTCGGTGGGAGCCACTGAATGTTTCATGAGAAGGAGAGCAGCATAATAAAAGCAGTGCACTGAGAATACAAATTACTTCATCAGAGTGCAGATTTACAAAACGACTTAACATAGAAGGGGACACTCAAACATTCTGAGTTGGCCAAATTCTCCCAATAAGAGTGAGACACAAGCTGCCACCATGTACTCCCAACCAGCCATTTGCTAAATGATAAGAGCACACTCCTTCCACTTAGAGGTTGTAAATGGGAAACCTTGGCAGCCGTCCCTATGTGCCCTTATGCTGCCACTTGGGCCTCCCTGGGCTTCTCATTCCCATTGCACTGTCCCATCCAGAACTGTCCAAGATCTGGATCTTACCTGAATGCCTCATATCTAAATGCACATACGCCTTGGAGGTGACTACAGTTTATCTGATAAAGTAGCTCCAGCCAAGGCCACAATAGCTGCTAAAGCTACAGAGTGCCTTTTTCCCAAATGCACACTTTCATAGAAACCATCTGGACCTTAATCCAGTGGTTCCCAAGCACTGAGGCCAACTTAGGTCATCCCTAGCCAGTGACTTTAAGGTTTTGTCTTTATGATAGTCTACTTCCACTTACTAGTAAATACATTTTCTATTTGAAACCACTGAAACTGCAAAGAGGAAAACAGGAATTTCAGACACCCTGGCAGAGAGAATCTGGTGATATATTCTAGCCTTTCTAAATCCCTTCAAATCAAACCATACAAGAAGTGCTCTATGGAGTCTTAGCACTATGGGTCAGGTGTTCAGATTTCACCAATGTCATGCTACAAAGCTACTGATTCACATATATACAACTGTCTTCATAAAGATTGCATAAAACCAAATTTTGAGATAACTCAGACACAACCTACACTGAAATTAGCTTTGCTGTATTATCAGAAAATAGTCAAACATAGTAAAGAAGATAATACAAAACATGTTTAAAGTTCTAAGAGAAGCTCTATGTACATACCAGGCATACCATTTAACTCATAGACTCCAATTATCTGGGGTGGAGATTAACAATTTTTGGTCATCTGGGTACCACATCACAATTTTTGCCATATCTCTATAGCAGCTGTACTATTATGTACTTAATATTTTTTCCTTTAATTGATTTACTTTTCCTGTTGATATGGTTTGGCTATGTCCCCACCCAACTCTCACCTTGAATTGCAATAATCCCCATATGTCAAGGGCGGAGCCAGGTGGAGATAATTGAATCAAATAAACACCACCACCACCACTACTACTACTACTGCTGCTGCTGCTGCTGCTGCTGCTGCTGCTGCTACTGCTGCTACTGCTACTATTACTGTTCTCATGGTAGTGAATAAGTCTCATAAAATCTGATGATTTTGTAAATGGGAGTTCCCCTGCACAGCCTGCCTTGCCTGCTGCCATGTAAGACGTGTCTTATATCCCCTTTGCCTTCCGCCATGACTGTGAGCCCTCCCCACCCATGTGGAACTCTGAGTCCATTAAGCCTCTTTTCCTTTATAAATTAAAGAAACAGTCTCTGGTATTTCTTTATTAGCATCATGAGAACAGACTAATATACCTATTAATTCAGAAATTAAAATATGAAAGTCACAGTCATAAATCGATAGCCAACATTATTTAACAAACACAAATTTTAAAAGTCCATTCAGTATACTGCCTAAAATCATTTCCTGTGACACCCATTATCCGGCACTTTGGGAAACACTGATCCAAAGCCAACCATCTCATCTGACAGAAGGAAATGGAGTTCAGAGACATAAAGTAATTTGACTAAGGTTACACAGCCTTGAAGTCAAAGGACCATTAACTCTGCTCTCCTGGTTCCTTGCTCATTAATGTTTTTTCCAATACCATGACTATTCAATGGATGTATTAATAGCATATCACAGCCATATTTCCATTAGAATAAGTACTCTACTCAACAATATTTAGGGATTCTAGTTCAAATAATTGTGCTCATATCTGGGAGTAATTAAGGATTTTTTCCTTTTAAATGCAGCTGTCATACAGACTTTTCATCAGGTTGAGTATTCCTAATCTGAAAAACCCAAATCTGAAATACCCTAAAATCCAAAAATTTTTGAGCACCAATTTGATGCTCAAAAGAAATGTTTATTGGAGCATTTTGGATTTCGGATTTTCACATTAGGGATGCTCAACTGGTAAGTATAATGCAAACATTCCAAAATCAAAAATAAATTAAAAATCAAAAACACTTCTGGTCCCAAGCACTTTGGATAAGGGCTACTCAACCTGTATGTGGTCTTGTTTTGATGTTGGCTGTCACATTTTACAAAACACTATGGGTATTTTTAAAGACATTAGTATCTTGAGCAGTCAGATATCACACATAATGACTCAGTTATGATTTGTCATTGAGAGCTAGAAAACCACTGCAGTCTTCAAGGTCTCTTTCCTCAAGCCCAAGTCTTTAATTAGCAGAGATGAGAGAAAGGACAATGGCCACATCCTTCGTTAAACACCAAGAGTCACCCAAGTTGACTGGGCAGAGTCAACTGATCATAAGCCATGGCTGTTCTTGAAATGCCCCACTTAGCAGTGAGGGAGTCCCCAAGACATGGTCTAGGCTTGGTGAGCACCTAACTCCATCTCCCCAGGGAGAAGCCAGCCTCCTCTTTTCCAGCCACTGAACACAGATGTTCCACAATGGGCACATGCCTCCTATCTTGCTGGTGTCCTCAGGTTATAACAAGGATATCCAGTCCAGGATTCCAAAAGAGAAGGAAAAAAAAAAAACAAACACCACTGATATCCACAAAACCTCCTTGTATATTAAACAGTGCATCATGAGTAACACAGCTATTATTCAGTGCATGCATCACAACTGTGTGCCCATGTTGTGTTGTCAGATAAATATATAAACACAGGGACTGAAGTGCCCCCTCTCCTCTCCACCATCCCTTCTAGGAAGAGGAAAGGAAGTTGGGCTGGGATAGAGGAGCAGAGAGATAGCAGGAGAGCAGGGAGATTCTGGAGGCAGAATGAGAGGGGAGAAAAAGAGTACTGGGGTTTCTTTCTTCCCTTTTCTTCCCTAGTCTGTGGCATGAAAAAACAATGGCTTTTCTGAGGCACTGTGCAGACAAGGCAGCTCTGAAAAAAACTAATGGCCGTGATTAATGACAATGGGCTGGAGGAGAGTGGGGACACAGCCGCCACATACATCATCCCTTCCCGTCAGTCTCTGCTCCTCCCTGCCCCTCTTCCTCCTACCAGCAAGGCATTATAAAAACGTCTTATCTGCTCTGGATGCTTATTTTAAAGCTGAAATCACAGCCAGACCTCCACCCAAAAGAAAAACAAAGAGTGAGAAAGAATGGCCAGAAAAGGATGGTGCTAGAGGAAAGTAAGAGAGGGAAGAGTGAGAAAGAACGAGAGAGGGAGAGAGACAAAGGGGTGATAGGGTGAACAAGAAAATGGCATGTAAAATAACTATAAGATATTCCAGGAGAAAATGTGCAGGCTGTAATCATTCAAGATTTCAGCAACTTGACTCCTCACATGCTGAAGCCACATTTTCAAGGTCTTATCTGCCATATGGTTCCCTGTTTGGATGATTTATTAGGTGCAGAAAGCATACTGATAAATTTTACTGCATTTCCCTGAATAGGCAACCTATGGTGTCAATAACAAAGCTCAGGCGGCTTTAATGAAAACTGCAAGCACCAAAGGGTAACCATTTATTTATGAGTCGCTATAGTATTACTAGGACAAAATTTATCTTCCCTTCTCACGTACTCTGTAGAAACCGAATCTGGTCAAAGTAACAGAGATCACATCCATATGTCAGTGGTTTGCTAACATCTCCCCTGCACGAAACACTGGCTGTTGCTCTGGAGAAATTGTTTGGTGACCCATTTTGCATAAGAAATCTTGTTTTTGTGAAAAAACAAGATGAAACCTGGAGAACTCTGCAAACACCATACCATTAGCAATCACACCTAAAGGTGCTGCAGAATCCTCTTGGTTTTCTTTACCTAGAAAATGAGACAGCTGCCCCAGGGGTAGGGATGAAAAAAGCGAGAGTGATGTGCAGATAAGGAGGACAGAGATTTAGAGATACTGTCTGATCCATAAATATTTTAAGTGTACCAGTCCACACAACAATGTTCCCCTCCATCCTCTCCGTTTCTTAGGACACCACTCATTGCCTGGTCTCCACCCCTATCCCTCACTGCCCCTAAAATGCCTCTTTTCTTGGCTAGTAGCTATCTGCAAGTCTGATGTATGTGTTATTTTTATAACAGAGAAACAATCCAACTTTTTAAAACTCCAAAGGCAGCAAAACTAATGACCAAACTCAGGAGGAAGTGGGGGGGATTGTGGAAGAAAAGAGGAAGAAAGCCAGATAGTGCTCTTACTGTTTAATCCTGAGCCACAGTTAACTGCTACAAAAAAAAAAAAATTGGCAAGGTTTTCAAGTCTACAGTTTTCCCCACTGTGTAACATGCCTGTCCTGAGTGAAGACAGCCTTGCCCAGGAACGTCAAAAGAAGGAAGGATAAAGAAGAAGTTCAACCACAATAGCATACGTTTGAGTAATGCTCTTAGCACAGCAAACCAACGAAAGCAATAGCAAAGTTGAAAGGCTGGGCCAAGTCTTTTGACATGAGCAAAATCTCAACCTTCCATTTTTTTTTCCCCACCAAAGTTAATACTTTGAAAAATGTCTCCACTAGATTATTTTACCCAGGTTTTTTTTTTCATTTTACACTTTATTTTACACAGTTTTTTCCTTGTTCTGCATCAATATTTTCTCTAATACTTTCACAGTGAGAGGGCATGAAAATCTGTGCTTATCAGTTCTTATCCACACTATTGCCTCTCTAAATCCACTACTCAAAAATATATTTTTATATATTTATATATACAAATATATAAATATATAAATAAAATAAGTAAATAAATAAGCAAACTCTTTGGAAATCAGAACAAAAATAACATTTTATAAAAGCCTCTTTCCACATCATACATAATAAACAAAAGTCATCTTGATCAGTTCAATTACTGACATTGCTGCTTTTAAAATCTGCTTAGTAAAATGGCATCAATTAAAGTTTAATGTCTTATAAAAGATCATTCAAGTATTATAGTAGAATTAAGAGGAAATAGGTACTGCTTGGGATCTGGCTATATTTTTAGAGTTTCTCAACCAGAGAGATTTATAAGAATATTCATTATTGCCTAGATTGCTTTCAATTCAGCCACTAGTTTATTAAAAGAGGTAGGCTAAAGGGCCCAGCACGGTTCAGAGCACATTCAACCAGCTGCATTTTCAGTTTGCTAAATATTTCAACTAGTCTTCAAAGGCACTGCATAAGTAAAACCTCGCACTTATTTTTCTACACACTTCTCCTCTTAATTTTTAACCCCCTGGGTATTTCCAAAGGAAATCTAATCCACATAAGTCATTCGTACCTAGCCCACACTAAATGGCATTTGAATGAGTTATATTGTTCTAGAAACCCCATTCACCTTTTCTGTTGGCCTTTTATTCTCTGGAGGTCCCAGTCTGGGGCAAATCAACAAAACTGAACCTTAAGGCAGCAGAGGGAACTGGGGAATAGGAGAAGGGGACCAAAAAAGTATCAACAGGGAGGACACCCAGCCAGGGGCTCCAGGGCAAGAGGAAATCTCCTTTTGCAGGCCTGATACACAGGACCAAGTCGAACAGTTGTTCAGGTTGTGCACTAGCTGACGGCATTTGGCCAAAAGGACAGGTGGAGACTGAAATCCAACCTATACTGTGCTTGCCAAGCTCAATTTCTGGCCAGGGGTTACATCCACCCAGAGAAGGGGAGCACATTTCTCTACTTCTCCCAGAAGCACTGTATGGGCTAGCTGCTGATAAAGTCATGTTAAGAAAACAGAAGTAAGCCAGTCACAAAAGGACAAAAGTCCTGTATGCATCCATTCATATGAGATAACTTAGAGTAGTCAAACTCACAGAGACAGGAAGTGGAATGGAGGCTGCCTGGGGCTGAGGGGAGGAGGGGAGTGGGGAAATAGCAAGTGGCTATTTAATGGGTATGGAGTTTTGGCTTGAGAAGATGAAAACAGTTCTGGAGATGGATGGTTGTAACGGTTACACAGCAATGTGAATGCGGGTAATGCCACAGAGCTGTACACTTAAAAATAGTTTGAATGGTAAATTTTATTACAATAAAAAGGAAATGAAACCAGAGTCAAGCACTGGCAGCTACACACCCACTGTGGACTCCGATCAAGGTCCTGCTCACAGATCGACTTTACAAGCCCATGCCATTGTCCAACAACTGAGAGTAGATCAGGGCTGCACTTGCCTCCACAAACGCCCAGCTACACAGGACCTGTCCAGATCATCACTCCTAATGCCTACCTTCTGCCTCCAAAGGACACCAAAGAGGCAGGGCTTCTCTCTAGGGGTCCTTGCCCCTCTCACCCTGTGCTCCCCCTGTCTGAGTGCCCCACCAGCTCCAGCCTCTGCAGCAGCCTTCCCTGTCCCCAACCTCATACCACCCCAAACCCTGTAAGAGTAGAGGCATGCTGTCACCCAAGTCCACCTCCCCTCAGCAGAATAGTTCATTACTCCACACACATTAAGTTTCCACCAGAACAAGGCCAACTCAGGAAAAAGAAAAATTTACGACTCCCATCATTTGGAATTTGCGGTAAAATTTAGCCTACGTTGGGCCAAAGAAAGGGTTTGCTATGAAAGCTCACAATGTAAACAAGACTTGAGGGAAAAACATTCATACAAAGAGAATAAATGATTCTTAAAGGTTTCAGTTCAACAATACATTTTAGGGAACATGTATTGCCTATTATAAAGACATTAAAGAAAATACATTGTGTCAGGACTGGGGAACCTGGGCCTGCCTCTGCCACCCGAACATGGGCCAGTCCCATAAAGTCTCTGGCCATGATCACAGTTCCCTCATCCATGGAGTTGGACAGAGACTCTCTAAGGTCCTTCTGGCCACGATGAGACTATAAAATTAATATACTGTACTTTGTATATTTACATACATGAGTGTATGTGTGGTGTGTGTGTGTATGTGGGGGTGTGGTATGTGTTTGTCTATGTGGTGTCAGGGAGTGCTGTGTGTACATGTGGGGTGTAGGGAAGTATGAGGAGGAATGGTGTGTATGTTGTATGTGGGGGTGTATGATGTGTGTGGGGTGTGTGTTTGTGGTGAGGGATGTGGGAGGTGTGGTGTGTGTCTGTGTCTACATGAGTATTAATGAGGACTACTTCTCAATAGAAAGAATTTGCCAGTTATTTCAAAATATTTTCTATACTTAAAAGTGATAAAGCTGGAACTAAATAGTGGTGACAGTTGCACCACCTTGTGAATGTACTAAATGCCACTGAATCATGGCACTTTCAAATGGTTACAATGGCAAATTTTATGTTACATGTATCCTATCACAATTTTTTAAGTGATAAAGCTGTATTTCTTTTTTAAAAAATTAAGTATGTTCACCAGTTCGGAAGCTGTAATTTACCCAGTTTGTCCAAGTTAGCAGGATTTTGCAGTCCTAGAATATACTATACACTCCACCTAGAAAAGCTTCTAGTGTAGGTCTGAGATCTTTGGGATGTGCCACACTTGGGCCAAGTCCTGGAGACTGGGCATTCTTTCCCTTATTGGGCCAATAAAGTCTAACAGCCTCTTCTTCTCACTAGGGAGACTACATCCCTGCCTACTGAAGACCTTCTGGGCAAAAAGGGTGACTGTGGATGCCTGCTCCCACAACAGGACCACACAGAGCACGCATATCGCAGCCTGGTTCCACCTGAGGCTCACATCATGCTCTGTAATTGCAAGACTCATCATAGCACACACTCAGGGCTTCTCAGCTCGCCCAGGCTAGGGCTCCTTCCAATGCACTACACCTGTCCACAATGCTTACCACCTGGCAAAGTATTTTATTCTAATTTTGCAACTTTTTAAGAAAATGAAATGCTTACATCAACTTAATCAATTTTCTTAAAAGGGGAAAGATGCTGAATTCGCCCAAGATGCCACATTTACTCCTTCTAGAAGTAGGTGCTGGAGAGCAGAGATTGACCACTAGGAAGGCCAATGGACAATGGTATGGCCACAGATATTGTTCAAATGAAGCTCATTGGTGATTATTTCTTAAACGTCACTTTCAAAAACTAGAGTTTTAAGTTCCAATTAATTGCCATTGACAAGAACCCCAGTACTTGACACTTCACTCATGAACAGCCCTACAAATTAACAGTGTGGGTGTGGGTGTCTTTACAAAGCCCATTTCCAAGCAGCGGCCTCAAAGCTTCATACCAAGCCTCCTCAGGGAGTTTTTCTTTGGAGCCTCCTGTTTCTAATACTTTGGGCTTGATTCCTTGATTCTAACCCCACCTCCCAACCTAGAGAGTGCTGGCTGCATGCTAGCACAACCCTGAATGCTAATGACCTCAAGGGCAGCTAGTGTTCAGTTAGGTGCTGTGCAAGCTCCATTGTGGCCCGTGAACAAACTAGGGAGAGCTGATGAGAAGATGTACACTCTTTGAGAGTACGTGCAGGTGACGAGAGTGAGTATAGTGAAGGGTCACTGCACCAGACAAACTGTTGGTCGTGTTGAAGTTCTCTGGAGACCAAGGCTTGGAATGTGGCCCTTGATCAAGACAGGTGACCCAGGCAGAGACAGTAACCAAAAAGGGATTCTTTGGAAGAAACAGTGAACAGAGAGGAGCTAGACCCTGGTGTGAAGTGCAAACATGATCTGACTCATCAGCCTTATCCTCACTTAAAGGGTTATGCCCCCCACTTCACAGTTGCAGGCTCACAATATACCACTGCTTCCCAAACTAACCAACTCTGGATCTGTGTATAGCAGATGCAAAATAAACTTGTGGCCTTGTATGGCTCTTGGGTTTTGTTATTGTCAATATATACAATTTATATATATTTAAGGTATACAACATGATGCTTTAATATACATGTACATTAGTGAACTGAACATTATAGTCAAACTAATTAATGTAGTCTTCTCTTCACATAGTTACCATTTTTTGTGTGTGGTGGGAACACTTAAGATCTACTCTCTTAGCAAATTCCTAGTATACAGTGGTATATTATTAACTATAGTCACATGCTGTACATTTAGGTCTCCAGAACTTATTACATCCTACATAACTGAAACTTTGTACCCTTTGACCAACAACCTTCCCATTTCCCTGGCCCCCCATCCCCTGGTAACAACCATTCTAGTCTCTGCTTCTATGTGGTTGACTATTTTAGATTCCACATATAAGTGAGATCATGCAGTAGTCTTCTAAGTCTGGTTTATGTCACCATGTTCTCCAGGTTCATCCATGTTGCAAATGGCAGGACACCCTTCTTTTTTTAAGGTGGAATAATATTGCTTTGTGTATGTGTGTGTATATATATATATATATATACACACACTACAATTTTTGATCCAGTCATCCATCAATGGACACTTAGGTTGTTTCCCTCTCTTGGTTATCTGGGTATATATCTGATGGAAATAAAATCAGTATCTCAAAGAGATATCTGCACTCCCATGCTCATGGCAGCATTATTCACAATAGCTAGGATATGGACAATGGATTTTTAACCACTCCAGGCAACCACTTCATGTTTGGATACCTAACAGAAGCAACCAGAGAGCTGGTTAAAAATAGAAAATCTTGGGCTCCAAAAAAAAAAAAAAAAAAAAAAAAACCACTGAATCAAAATCTCCAGGAGTGGGGCCTAGGAATCACAATTTTTTAAAGTTCCTTGGGTGGTTCCAGTGCAGCCAGTCATTTGGAAATCACTAAGTCACCTCACTTGCTTGCACATGAGGAATGAAGACAGTGCTGTTGTTACAAAACCAAAACAAGGCAGTGATTCTCCCTTAAAAAGAAAAAGATGCTCATCTGTAATGCTTTAGCATTTGTTTACAGATAATTAAATGTGGAGGAAAAGAAGGTTAGGACCTGAGAAAATCATGTGTTAAAAACTAAAAGTGGAAGGGCCCACTATAAATTAGAGCACTACAAAATTATCACCTGTATCAATAGAAAAATATAGTTCAATATAAGAACATCCAAAGAAATACAGTATTACATGAAATGGCTTCCCATCTGTAGTAGCTTTAACATAACAGAATTAAGACAACAAATCTGCTGAGGGGAAAATATCATGTAGGTCAATTTTATTCATTCGAATCTAACAGACTAGAAATTTGAAGAAATTTTAACAAGCATTTACTTTCCTATCGTATGTCAAGAAAGGCCTTGTTCATAAATACAAGATAGGAAAGACTTTCAGAAGATAGTTAAAACTCAAGAGGACTGTTCTGAAATGTCTTGATCACTTTGGAAGTAACCATTTCTCTAACATTTTGTAATAAAATGCCAAGTATTTTTAACTAGTCATTAAAACTGTTCCGGGAATTTCTATTGTAGACTTTGATATCTAATTCAAGTGGCTGCATAAATTTGGAAGCTACAAAATCAATTTTCCATAAAATATCATTTGGGCTTCACTAATCCAAACTGGCCTCCTTCCTAATTAGGTTGAATTCATGGGATTTTATTGTAATGCACTGCCAAATCAAATTGTTAAAACTGGGAACTTTGTGCTATTTTGGATTATCATAACATCCTTTCCCTCCATTAGCAGGGATGGCCAGAGGTTGCTAATACAATAAATGTTTAATGGATGGCAACACTGTCCCTTGCCCCCAGAAATAGAGATACAGACATAAAAATACCCTCAGATCTGTTTGTATCCATGCTTTCTGCCTTCTCTCTTGCTTGTGGCAAACAGTGAATTTTCCCAATATAAAGAGACATGCCAATCGACTTACTCAAGCCAAAGGTAAACAGAAAAGAAGTGAGAAGAAAGGGATGAAAAAACACTGCGGCAGCTCTGGGAGACATAGTCTTCTGTGCCAAGAGACCATCACCTCCTATAAATGTCCCCAGTCCTTTAACATTTGAAATAGAAAGGTGCAGTGGAAATGCAGGCTTCTGGAAGGGCACCAATAGAGCCCATGTAGCCCGGAATGGACTCTGCCCTTAACTAGAAACTGGGAGTCAGTGAGAAAATAGAACCTCGGTTCTAAAAATAGCCCACTTATTTTCATTTCTGGTTTCAATACCTTCACTGCACCTTTGTTTTAAAGGCATTACAGGAGTTCTGACATTTTCTTTCCATTTCTGAATCAACAGAGAAGAAATTCAGCTACATGGTAAGAGAGTTAATATTCTACCTTCTCGCACACTTAACACAGACATACCCATGCAAGAGCACATGTTAAGACTGGCCTCAGTTTGGTTGGGTTTAAGAGAAGGAGTTACCAGCAGTGAACTTTACTTATCTTACCATTAGAAAACAGGGTTGGCCAGGCGCAGTGGCTCATGCCTGTAATCCTAGCACTTTGGGAGGCTGAGGCGGGTGGATCACTTGAGCCCAGGAGTTCAAGACCAGCCTGGGCAATATGATGAAACCCCATCTCTGCAAAAAATACAAAAATTAGCTGAGCATGGTGGTGCACACCTGTAGTTACAGCTACTTGGGAGCCCAAGGTAGGAAGAGCATCTGAGTCCAGGAGGCAGAGGTTGCAGTGAGCCATGATTGCGCCACTGCACTCCAGCCTGAGTGACAGAGCAAGACCCCGTCTCAAAAAGAAAGAAAGAAAGGCTTATTTGGGAGGAGGTGAGACGGCAAGAGAGTACTCAGTTCCCAGCCGCTGCCATCACTCTTTCTCCTTCAACTGCTCACACAAAGAACTTGGCCATTCAAGCCAAAGAAATGTAGATTTCTGTCCCAGCTTCACCATGACCTTAGATAAGTTAATTTCTGCAACTCAGTTTCTTCATGTTTGAAATACTGATAATTATTTTCATTCCAATCACTCTTAACATTAGAGCAGCGGCAGGAGGGGTTAGAATGTGCCCAGAAAGGATGCGTTAGGACAAGGGTCCTGCTGTCACTCTCCAATCAGATCAAAGTGTTCCATCAGTGGCCTTTCAATATGTTTAACTTCTCTTTTTCTTGTCCTTCGACTGCTGGGGAAGAAAATGTTTTAGTTAAGTATCCCACAATGTACAAACTTTCTAGGTGCGATTCTCTGCTTGGGGCAAACACGGGAAATTTTGGAACATATCCAGATGGAGAACAGGCTGACTCTTGACTGAAGACTGGTGTAAACTACAGTGTGGAACAGACTGTCTTCTATATTCAAACAGCTCCTATCATCTGAGCTATCAAAAATCCAACCAGCGTCAGGGAGACATTCAGGAAGAAAGGACTCTCATAAAGAAGCCACTCATAATCAAACTTGGAGAAATTGATTTAGAATTCAAGTCTCTATATTCCCAGTCTTGAGACTTTTCCACTGCACAGTATTTAGTCATATGAACTGTGTGGCATTCCCAGTTTATCTTTGTTACTCTTTTAGAATCCAGGAACCCAGGTTGAAACTAAGCAAGTTGTCCCAATGAATTTCTCCTTTTCTACTTGTCAAAGTCAAATAAAAAATATAGAGACAAATCTCTAAACAAAACATTTTGTTTGGGAAAACTGAATTGCAATTTGGGGCATACACAGACTGCGGTGGTCTTCAGTATGTCACAAGAACAAAGAGAAGGAAGGTTGGGGCTCTATTAAAAAAGAAATGTTATGTATTCTTTTGAAAGAAAACTCATTGGCACTAGTGAAGTTTTTTGAAGTGGGCAAGCTCTGATTGGTAAGTGGTGGGGCAGCAGGTAACACCAGTCTGAGAGTCACAGCAGTTCATTTCAGCAGCTACTAGGTTAAACTGTTCTTAAAATCATAGTATTTTGGCAGTTGGCTTACAGTATCACCCCTGGGCAGGCATTTGTGTCCTGAGTCCTTTTTCTCCTCCAGTCTCTCAACTCTAATTTAGTTGGGTTTGACAAGATAACTCCAATTCATATAATCAGTTTTTACATACTCAATACCATAAACTTGTGTAAGCAACATAGCTCATTTCAGTTCCCCAGGACTCATTCAAGGATAAACTTCAGAACAGTTGCCGGGAACTCTTAGCTCTATCTAAGAAGGCAGTAGTAAGGAATAACTGGAAGACGGCAGAGGTAATAATGATAAACATGAGCAATGACAAATAAATTGAATTTTTGTGTCCCAGTGGGTCTGAAAAGCATTCTGGCCCCACACTAATACTCCTAGAATTTCATATCTTTCACTATATTTCACCCCAAGGAAACTCAGCATTTCTACTGTAACAGATAATCTGTATTATTTCTTCTTGACTCTCTGAAATCCCCAAATTAAATATGAACCTTTTCTAAGAAACAAAATTTGTCTTGACCTCCTTCTTCTTGGAAATGGGCTTGATCTTATAAAATCCAAATTGCAAACAAAAAAAAAGAATGGTTAACTGATTGAATTTTAAGATTAAAGGCACATTGGGGGGTCACAATCCAACTGATATAAAATTGGGGACTGGAGAGGTCAAATGACTTGCTCATCATTACAATGTATGGGGAAAGGCTAGAACCCAAGTCTCCCAGAACTAAATTCATTGTTTTTCTCCTATCATCCCACACTGCTTAGAAAGCTAACAGTTCATGGCTAGATTTCTAAGAGCTCAGCTGATAGGTATCAAGATCCTTGGCTGTCCTCATCAACGCAGTACTGGTGACACAGTATTTATGCATAGGGAACAATAATTTTATGATCAAAAAAACAAAATTATGCCTCAATTCTTTAAAAGCTTGAACAACCTATCAATGTCTGAATTGCCTCCTTGACCAGGCATGATTCTTCATTGCCATGGGAAGAATTCTTAATCTAAGGTGCTTTATCTAGAGCCCCAAGAATGGTGTTGAGGGGAATCCATGAATCTCAAATTAAATGGAAAATGTTATGTTAATGTGTATTTTTCTGAGACTAATGGCCAGTTTTCATCAGATTCTCACATCTTTCTCCTTAAAATATTGGGAATCACTAACCTAATACAATTATTCCCTCTCTTTCTTATGCTTCTTATGAATTTTACAGTGTTCCATTTTACACTTCCATTCTCCTAAAAGTGCTTTATATGATATTAGAATTAGTTAAATAATATTTTTCAAGATTTTAAAAAACACTCAGACTTCTACTAGAAAGCTGCAAGTCCTGGATAGTAATTACTGGCAAAGTGTCTCGTGGCCCTGGGTACTGCCAATAACTGTAGTTGACAGAACTATTTTAAAAAGTACCTTCTTAATAATGAAACAGACCCTAAACTTGACTCAGTTTAAAAGAGAAGCTCCAAAGATGAGATTTTCATGATCTTCCTTCTTCACCCGAAATCCACTTTATAAAATACTGACTTAAAAAAAAAAAAAAACTTTAAGATGAGGCTGACTATATCCAGAATGGTAAGATCCTGAAATATATAAGCCATTGCTATTAAGCATTAAGATATAAGGGCCCTCTTTAGTAGAAAGCTGGGTTACTGTATAGTTGAAACCTAACTATCCATCATAAACATCTTCAATACATTTGAAATAGCAGGGCGGACAGGTTCTCTCACATTGAGGGTCATTTATGAAGCAATCAAAGCCTGTAGTGGGAAAAAGAAGTATGAGGAGGGACAGGGCTTTATAGAATGAATAACTTTTCTCATTCTCAGTATTTCTTACGTTCTTTCACAACAAATTGCTTGGCTTTTGAGAACAGACTCATAAAAGAAGTGAAATATATTTTTCTATCCTGAATCTGAACTTTTTTTAATATATAAAGTTGTAATGACCCTTTCCAAACAATATGAGCCAACACTTCAAAAATTTCCATTGTTTCAAAGACACAAATTACTTTGTGCATCTATGTCTATCAAATGAATGAGGAAGGAAAACACATGAAAGTCATCTGAAAGACAACATCTCCTAGGAGTTATGCTTGGAAGCTGGAAAAGCCCAGTAATCCCCCTACCTAGATAAATAGAGTTTTCCAAATGACTAGGGGGATCAACAGTGGAGCAGGGCCAAGCATTTGAATGTTATAAAGGAGACTCCGTATTAGACCTTGGGGAGAGAATCCAACATTGAGCTCCTTTATGGCTGGCCGACCTCTCTAAGACACAGCCCTACCTTGAGTGGAGAGGAACCAAAATAAAACAATATCTTCAAGCAATTTACACACAATTGAAATGGAATTTCTCCAAGCTCAGAAAATTTGAAGTTTATTCAGTCCATATGCTATCCCATCCCTTCCCTTTTAACAAGTAACTTAGAGACAGGGAGCCATTTCTTAGTCATTCTAGATCAAAATCCCTCCTCCCTTAACTCCAAATCATTAGTGACAGTAACGGTGCATCATTTGGAATATTTGGGGGGGGTTATTTTTTCCTCCTAATAAGAAACTCACTGGCTGCATTTTTATAAATGTCTCAGGAGCCCTACTCAACTCTTCTTCCATTAGCAGCAAACATGAGGCACATGATTTGACCCAGCACTGAATTCCCAAAAGCAGGATTTAGGGAAGCTGACAATAACTCAATCGAGTGATTATCAATCACAGAAGATAGTATTCTGGAGGAGAAAAGATATCGCACAGAGTATTTTTCTCATTAAGAAAATAAGCTTTTGAAGTAGTATACATCACTTTCACTACATAAGTCAAAATTCATACATGTACAGAGAAGATGATATAGCAAGGTCAAGTCAGAAAAACCCTATGTCAAATACTACCTTTGCCAACTGATCCTGTGCAAGTTACTGGTAATGATAATAATACCACCTAGCTCATAGGGTAGTTGAGATAATTGGGATAATACACGTAAAGCATTGAACACAATGTATAGCACATGATAAGTACTCAATAGATGTTAGATAAGCTATTGTTATTATTAAATTTTTTATTACCAAAATTTAATACCAAATTACCAATGGAAAGCAAGTCCCTAATGTTTCTTTCCTTGATTCTGCCTATAATTCTATTTTTGTATATAAAAATTCCCTTATTTGCACCTTTGTTTCCACCCAGAAAAAACAAAACAAAACAAAACAAAAACTCTTTTCCCTGGGGAAGGCAGGTACTAGAACCACACAGAACACTGTGAGAGTATCCATTATTCCCATTGGTATCTCAAGAATTGGATTGTTCTGAACCCTTTCATTCTCTCCTTGCATCTTCCATGGTTGTTCCCAAGGGGTCAAATTAACTTACAACAAAATCAGTGTCCCTGTTTCCTCACTTTAAGAAGAAGAGTCAGAATTCCCAGGCCAAAGAAGTCCCTTTGAGCAGCTCGGAGGCATCTCAGACCAACAGGCAAGAAAGAGCAGCCATCCATGGGACAAATAAGTGATTTGCATTTCCAAGGATGTGGGGAAACATATTAGTTATAATTAGCAAACACGCAGAGTCCCCGTGACAGCTTCACTTTACAAACCCTTGAATGTTTGACAAGAAAAGGTCATGTTTTGTAAAATCCTCAAAAGGTCATTCAATAACAAATCACATGAATGAAATCGCAAGGGTTCAGGGAGGTTAACAGAAACACCCCAGGCAGCAAAGTGCGTTTTCAAGGTAAACAAGGAAAGAGGGAAAGCAGCCTTGGCTCAGCTCTGGAAGAGGAGAAATACAAGCAATCTCTAATTTACCAAACACTATAATTTCAAGACATTTTCTCTGCACTTGGTGGTTTAACAGTGAATGCTATTTCTCATGTTCAGCACACTTGAAGGATTAGTAGATCATAGCCCAGCAACATTTCAACATTTCTTCAAAAGGTCCAGGCAGAACTTAGCCCAGGCTTTCTTTTAGATTTTTTATTTGATAAATCTCATGGGTGGATTCCACTTAATACAAATAGGTGGTCACATGCATGGCATGGCATACACGTCCCTGTGGATGGTCTTCATGCAGTATACCCCACACTACCCCTGCCCCACAAACCCCAAATCTGGGAACTTTAGCCCCAGAAGCCTTTTCTTCTGGCACTTTGACCTGCTCATGACCTCTTTCTTCCCAGGTCTATTTTCCTCTTCAACAAGAGCCAGCACCACATCTCTCACAGTCAGGAATAACAAAGGCTTGTTTATATAGGGTAATTTAGCTACAGGATCAGTGGCAAGAGGAGGATGATGTATCTGATCCACAGGTCAAAAGCACAATTCAGAAGTGCAGGGCTGCCAGGTTTAAGGGAGGGCTCCCTAGGGGACAGGGCCAATGGACTGACCACCTTCCAGAAAGTACAGCCAAGGCAAGCGAAATGGGGAGCATCCTCTAAGCTGTTTCAGATTTGGGCATGCCCTTCACACGCAAGGTGTTGGATGTTAAGACAAAGAATGCTGTGGAAAGAAGATGCAGGAGCCTGAGGCCAAGCAGATGGGTAGCACAGACTTACTTGGGGGGAAAAAGGTGTCATCCATCAGAGCCCTTGGAAAAGGAGACAGCATCTTAAGAAAAGACACTGGCAGACCTAGTGCCTGACTTACTCTGTGACCTTAAGTAAAGTAATTTGATCTTCCTAGGCCTTGGTTTTCCCATCTGTAAAATGGGTTATACTTATTCTTGCTTACTGCCCTGGGTAAGGTCAGGGTATAACAAAGTAAGAAGTAACTAGAGAAAGCTATGGATTATTTTACACCAGGAAGGGCTTGCAGTGCAAGTCCTGACTCTTGTCACCACTCATTTCTACATCCTACTCCAGCCTCAGAATCTTATGGAGAAACCACTCTCTAGGGTCCTGCTCTCCCCATTATGGTAGCCACATGTGGCTATTTCAATGTTAATTAAAAGCAAATAAAATTTAAAATTCGGTTCCTCAGTCACAGTACCCACATTTGAAGTGCTCGATATCTATATGTGGCTAGTGGCTACCATATTGGACACTGCAGATGTAGAACATTTCCATCATCACAGAAAGGTCTGCTGGGCAGCGCAGCTTGGATCTACATGCTATGGATGGAGGACAGCCCTGCCAACCTTTTACCTTCTACTACCCGCCGTCTCCATGGACATCCTGCTTTGCCCCAGCTGCCTGCAATCCATACTCACCATAAGACCATCCTCCAGACACAGCCCTGACTGATGGTTTCCAGCATGTACCTCTCACCCTACAATTACCTGTGGACCATAAAGCCCTCACCAGCTTGGCGGCTGTTTGATCCGAATGACGGTCAGAACCAGGACACCTCACTTAGTCTTTCTTGCCAGCGATTTTAGCTTATTTGCCATGAGTACAGGGTATAATTAATATCACACAGGAGCCAGCATTGTCATTTTTCAAATCATTTCCCTGGAAATGTTCTACACCTCTTAATGGCCCTGCTAATGCTGTAGCTGTCATGTTTTGGACAGCTGCACTTTTACAAGACAAACTCTGTAGCGCCAGGAGACTCTCTGCAGACTTTTTAGCTCAGAGGCTCAGAGGCCGTGAACGCCAGCCGGTAATGGCTAGATGGAAATCTTAGATTAATTTTTTTACCTCTTGGTGCTGACTGCTCCTCAAGTGTCACCTTCCCATTTCCATCCCCAGCCACCTCTCCCCTTCTTGGCCTCTTCCCTTGCCCCTGCCCCCACCTCCTCTCCTCTTTGCCACCTGATGGACAAGGAATGCACAAAATCAGCGGAAATCATACAACTGATTAAAGCCTGGACACTCTGTCCAAAGGTGCAAAGGCTTAAACATCTAGACAGAAGCCCAGGTGCTTTGCTAAATGCCACATACATTGAAAAAGTAAGGCCCTTCATGTCTATTTGATTTTATTTTTCAGAAATATGCTTTTTTGCCCCCTCCATAACTTCTTAGCAAAAGGTTCAAATTTCTCTATATACTAGGTATGCGTAAGAAAGACCGCGGAAGGAGGAGAACGAAAGGAGTTACATATGAAGCCTCGCAGGAGTCGTACGCGAGGCAAGCAAAGACGATCTGAACCACACCAAATATTTACTATAGAATGAAGATGCTTTTAAACAAATGGAGAAATTCACCAGATTGTTTTGGGTAGTAACAGAGCATTTTCCTGATGCTTTTTTTTTTTCTTTAAATAATTGAAGTAGAAGGAGATGTCATGGACAGCTCTCTCAGAAAACATACTACATCGTCCAGCACTGTCCAGGAAAGCCCTCTCAGCTGAGGCCTTCTGTCTTAAAAGAGAGGTAAGGCCAGGCTAGGGACACGACGACTCTCTTTTTTAGGCTAAACAGCATCAACCCACTGCTTCTTTAATATTGTGTTTATTAGCGAGCCATAGCCCAGGGAGAGACGAGCACACAGCTTCCTTTCACGCTGCGTCTGCAAAATGCTACCGAAAGTTGGACTCATCAGTGAAGCAGCAGGTCCCTTGGTTGAAACCAGCCAGGCCAGAAAAGTGACATGAACAGGATGCTGCTAAACATGCACAATTCGAAAATACACACTGTATTCTCTTCTGCATGATTTGCTGCCATTTAAAAGACAATAAACAGCAACTTTAGATTGCTAACAACGTGTCATTTAAGGTTTGCTGTTGCTCAACATCAAGAAAAATCAATGCCGGCTCTACGGGGGCAGCAAACCCCGAGAACTGAGCTCCATTTCAGGTCTGTTTGAACTCATTTCCTCTCTCCATGGCTGCCCCCTTGTACTCCCCCTCAGGCGTCCCCTCGCAGCAGGCTGACAGCTTGACACATTGACAGCTCCCACTGAATGACAACTGATTTGTACAAATTTCAAGCCTTATAAATCTACCTGTCACAACAACAACATAAAAGCGCCCAGGCCCAGCAGGTAATTCAGAAAAAGCTTCCCTTGACAGCACTTTCTGAAAAGCAATGGCGTGCCTCCTGCCAAAAATTCCAACTATCATCCTTGTATAACTTTGAATAAAAATTCAGGGCCCATTTTCTTGCCAACAGGCTACCAATCGTCTTATTTAAAGATTAAAAAAAGTGAATGGGAGAGAGGGGGATAAAACATCCCCACAGTTTCATTTTAGACTGATATGAAAGTCACACCACCTGCTACGCCAGGATTACCACACCTTTTTTCTCTCCCGTGCTCACAAGGAGTAAATGAGGGAGGCTTTTTACGGTATTTAAACAATATCCCAGATTGCAGGGGCTGTGCCTCCCAGTCCCCTCCTGGCTCACCTGGGGCCAGTCCAGCTAACAAAGCAAGATGTTTAGACTGGTGGGGGACTGGGTGGAGTGGGCAGGGGTCTGAGGCCACTGGCCATTGTTTTAACTACCCTCAAGATTTCTCCAAAACAAAAGCCCTGCATGTGTCCATAGCCCCACCTCCCAGACCACTTTTCTTACTAAAAATGATCACGTTACATCAAGGTATTCGTTCATCAGATACTCATTTCATTCAAATCAACAGCAGACCACATGATGTCATCACTGCATCTTTATTACAAAAGAAGGACTGGAGTTGAGAATTTGGAGATGATTTTTAGGCATGGTTTTGTAATTAAGTGGACCCCTGGAAAAACAAACAAACAAACAAAAACTCTCTAGCCAAATAAGGAACACGGGACTCAAAGAGAGAAAGCAAGGGGAAAGGGAGAGGGGGAGAGGGAGAAAAAGAAACTAAGTACATGAGCCCTTAAACAGGAAAGAGCAGTTTACAAAAAAAAAAAAAAAGAAAGAAAGAAAGAAAAAGAAAACCTCTTTATCTCTACTATTCAAGCCCCACCAATTCCACTTACTGTGGAGGAATGTGCAGCTTAAAAGTAACTGGCACAATTTCTCATGTATCACATTTGCTCATGTAAAGTCACTCAGATTTGTTAAAGGATATAGAATCCCAGCTAGATATGAGAGTAAGTTCCAGTGTTCTATAGCACTGCAGGATGACTACGGTTAGCAATAATACATAGTTTCAAATAGCTAGAAGGAGGACGTTGCATGTTCCCAACACAAAGGATGATCAATGTTCAAGATGATGGATATGCTAATTACCCTGAGCTGATGATCACTAGACATATGTGCTAAAACATCACTATGTACCCCATAAACATGTACAATTATTATATGTCATTTTAAAAAAAAAAAAATCTCAGTAGACTCAGATGGAAAAATGAACTTGGTGTTTTGCCTTTGAGGGTTTGTTGTAAGTGCACGTTGAATGGATGTGTTGCTAAGGAGACTCCTAGGAAGAAAACATGGACCAAGGATGAGGGCAAAGTGACTGGCCATCCAACTAACTGGACAAACTCAGAAGCAACAATGGTGCCAACAAAGCATCCTGTCACAGTCACCTTCACTCCTCAGCAGGAGCAAACGTAAGGGCGGAGAGTGCAGATACCAGGACTGGACATTTTCGTTTTAAATCCTGGCTTTTTTACTTAGGAGCTATGTAACATTGGGCAAGTGATATTTATACTCTCTGCTTCAGTTTCACCACCTGTCATGTAGGGATCATAATCATATCTACCTTGGAAAGTATGTGGGTGAAATGCCTGTAAAAATTTAAGTTTACAGTAAACAGTATCTTCATTTATTCATTCACATAGATAATACACACAGATACATACACACATATACACATGCAAACAAACATACAACACTAGAAGTGATGACTGCTATAGCGAAAAAAAGCAGATCATCATATTATCATCACATTATTAGTACTCTCCAAGATTCCAGATATAATTACTTTTTTCTCATAGAATATAAGCTTCCAGTATAGTAAAAAGAAAAAAATGAAGAGAATCATCTCTGAAAATGTGGTAACCTACTTGGTTAAGACATACAGATCAGAGATCAATGTAGCTGGACTGAATGTCTTTCCTATGCTATCTTTTATGAATTTATTTCCTAGTCTTTTCAACTTGCTTCTTCATTATGACTAAGGAAACCATCTAGTTTGTGTTAAAAATATATATATTAATTTAAAAGCATATAATTTGCTTTTAAATTATCATTCTTAATTTTAAATTTTCACTCTTAATTTCTGAGTGATAACACCACTTATCACTCAGAAATACTATTAATATGTGGATTATAAAATTATAATTATATATATTATAATTATATGTGGATTATAAAATACATACTCATAATATACATACTAATATATAAACATACATAAATATGTATATATAAAGAGAGAGAAGACTCTGGCCCAAAACATAGCTGTCAGTATTAGATGGCTAATTTAAGATTTAGAGAAAAGAATAGAATGTCTATAAACCCAACTGAACTCTAAAATTTAGATGAGATTAGGATTATCCAAATTAGATGAGCTGAGATCCACCTGGTAACATTCTTGTTATTATCCTTCTCAGTTTGGTTAATGTCAAGACTGACATGAGCTGACTGAACTTCAATTGCAACAGGGAACCACACTCAGCAAATCCATCATTTTGTAATTATTTGTATGACCAAAAGTGAGTGCTTTGATTATGGGCCATTAGTAAATAAAATCAGGTTGGAATTTCACAAGCATGTTTGGATTTCAAAAGATTTGTATTTCATGCTCAAAAGTCAAAATCAAACAAAATTTTCACATAATAAAATTGATAAAGCATAAGCCAAAACAACTACATAGTGAACCTTTACATAATGAGATAGAGGAAGAAACAAACAACTACCTATAAAATTGATAAGAGAAAGATAATTTACATAAACTAAATCAGCCTTTTTCATCTTTCATCAATATATAGTGAACATATGCAAACAGATGAGGCATGGATAGGAAAAAACAGGGAGTCTCACCTAAAGTTCATCTTCAAGCCAACATTCACCCAGAACAAGTACATTAGATCATTCCTATGTTAACCCTTCTCTATTCAACAGCATGTGTTTGGCCTAACAAAATGATGAATAATATTTTTGTTAACTATTGCCTTCCAGACATCAGTCACTGAGATTTAACAAACGCTGTCTCGCATATGCTAGGATCCCCCCTACTATGACCAATTAAATAACAAATCATTCAGTGGAGAACTTCAGGGCTGACAAAGGCATATTAAGTACAGTGCTGGTTGGTTACAGCTACACTGGCCCATTGAGAGTTTGCTCAGAAGAAAATACAGGACACTTTCAATTGCAAACCATATGATGCCTTATGTGTATTTTGTATTTATATTTGTGTAACTACTTGTTTCCCAAGAAGAAAAGGCAGCACTTTGAAATATACCTGTGAAGTTCTTTTTTCCTGAAAGGCCCCTCACTGAGCAGCTTGTTTCTCCATTTCAATAAGGGCTAAACCTGGGACCTCAAAATGTTGTCCACCTGTTGGCCATCAGCCCACAGAGGCTGACAGGCTTCAGACCCAAAGTGGTATTCCCTGGTGGCCTAGGAGAAAGCACCAACTACCGTTCACTGAGCAAATGCTAGGCCTCTGAGCAGCATCCCGGTCCCCCAGAGCTGGGCCCTCTGGTTCAGGGCAGCCCTGCTGAGCTCTCTCAGTGTGCTCTTCCTTAGCCCATCAACAGGGGCACCCGGGGCACCCTGATGCTACATTTTCGGTCTTCCAATCAACACTTTGAGAAGAGTGGCCAGGTTTCCATGGCCCAGGGATCTGTCTACATTTACTGGGACAAAAGGACCAACTTCACCCAATCTTACTCACAGAACAACTGGTCAAAAGGTGTTTTTCTACCACCTGAGATCAGATGTCAAGCACACACTGCAGGGCACCAGGCAAGGTTGAGGATCATCCCGCGGCAGCAGCAGCTCCTTTTACGGGAAAAGTCAAGGGTCTGGGGCTGGAAGCCGCTTGGCCAGGCACCCCTCTCTCAGGCTGACGGCCACCGAGAGTCCAGGCATGGCTTGTCTGGCGCCCCCAAGGGGCAAGGCGGGAGAGCTGGCCAGGAAATAAGGGCGACAGGATCCACATAGCCCCTGACGTGAACTTCCATGGAATCAGTAAATTTTTACCACTTAGGACAAGCCATGTTATTTGTAACTGTCAGAGGAAGGAAAATCTGTAATTGTTAAGGGGGATGAAGCCTGTGCAAATTCTTTCCTGTGCAAAGTGAACAGTCAATCACTTTTATAAGGACAGCAACAACTGAAACTATCCATTCGTATACTTTTCTTTAGTCAACAATATTACCTTTAGTAATCTGGGGAATGTGCATCCATAAATTACAGAAAGTGTTATTGCATTGCTGAATAAACAGCAACATTTCCATCAGCAGCAGCAGTGGCAGCCCCACAAAGGTATAACAAACAGACTCAATCATTTTCTTGTCAAGCTTTGCAATGACTGCAGAGTTTACTGCTGGAGATAATGTTGCTTTCCTCAGCATTGTGTGCCAAACTGCAAACTGCTTATTAAAACAAAACCTCTTTTTCGGAGCAGCATGAGTTGGATAATCACTTATTGCACTCAAGAAAAAACAGGTTTGGTGCCCAGAGGAGGTTAACAATCAGGCATATGTGTTAACATTTGGTTGGTAAAAACTGGTTAAAAAATAAATTATCCAACGTTGGGATGGGGGAGGGAATGAGCTAACTTATTAACATCGCTGCCCCCAGGTTGACTCTTTTCCGCATGACATCATTCCGTTTTTTGACAATGTGTTTCAAAGTGCTCAACTGGCCGGCTTGACAGAACCTTTGGCATGGGTGTTCAGCAGAGAGGAGGAGGGGGTGGAGATGATTATGGAAGGAAACCAGAAATGAAATGCAGCCTGCTAGTCTCCATGAGAGGAAATCTCTGGAAGAAACTCGACTCCAGGCATAGGAGATAAGACTGAAGAAAAGGACAGGAGGGAAGCAAGTAGACTTTAAAACTAGGCATCTGTGACTAAACTATTTCTGAAGACAGCACCTATTATTACTCTTTGAAGAAATCGCTTGACATAACTAAGCCAGCAATAGCACTGAAAAACCATCCTCAATTTTCCTCGCTTAAAATAGATTGACAGCCATTTTACCGAGACTGAGGAACAGGAGAGCTGAGCCGAAGCCTGGGGGGCTGCCGCGTCAGACGCGGCTCCGCGAGGAAACCCGTTATGCCCGACGACGGTAGAGCTGCCCAGTGCTGCTTGGTGGTTTTTTCTGTTCATACCCATTACCGATGAATTAATATCAAAGGAGGTGACCCTCTCCCCTCGCCCCCGCCTCCGCCGTCCCGATGCCACGGATAGCCTTGCCGTCCCAGATCTCCGCGGTGGAGGAGGAAAGCCTATACTTTGCACGTCCTCTCAGAACAGGAAATGAGACTGTGAAGACTTTATTACAACTTCGGGCAGCAGATGAGGTTTGACTCCTATCGCTGCCCTAAAGTGAGAAGAAGAAAAAACACAAACAGACAAACAAAAAGCGCCACGCGTCTAGGGTAGAAATCAACTCCAGTAACTGTCATTCAACCTCAGCAATGCTGGGGACGGGCAGAGGCAGGGCAGCTGTGTACCACATTCCTGCCAGGGCTGGTCAGGCCCCGGCTCTCACCACTCCTCCTCCCTGCTTTGAACCTGTGGAACAAAGGGCCCTTGCACCCCAGCTCATTCCTCTTTGCCACATCAGGGCCTCAAGTCATGCTGTCCCCTCTGCCTGGGTTGCTTTTTCTCCCTCTGCTTGGGTCACTGTTCACACCACTGGCCACTTTCCTCAGGGAAGGGCCCTCACTGCCCACACACCTAAACATGCCCCCTGCTCCTCCATACCACCCCCACCATCTCCTGACACTGCACTTCTTTTGACTTTTCACAGAGAAGAGTAAATCTCACCTGAGATTCTCATTTATGAATTGACTGATACGTTTTTCACCCCTCTCCTCCACCAGAAGGTAAACTCCACCAAAGCAAAGATTCTGTTGTACTCAGAGCAATATCCCCAGCACCTAGAACTGTGCCTGGCCCTATAAATATTTGATAAATTACTTAAAAATTATCCCACAGTTTCAGAGAAAATATCCTTATAAACACAAATCAGAGACCTCTGTCAGACTTGACCCATGGTTTCTGAGTGCAAATGAGGATTCCCGATTACGGGGAGAACTGCGAGGAAACTTCAAGATGACATCTTTATTCTCACATCTCCAAGAACATGCAGAAAGAAGTTACTGCTCTTATACTGAGGGTAAGCATAGAAATTTGGGCTTTGTTTGTTTAAAGTACAAAGACGAAGGAAACTGCTCATGACCTAAAATAAAAAGACCTCAGGAAGGAGTTAGAAAGCCTGGACTTAAGACCCACCTCTGCCACCAGATATACCTGGGGCACATCAGTCACTTGGGGTACATTTGTACAACCGTGAGGATACAAAGCCTTGCCCCATCTGTTTTTAACTGCTATTTCTATTGTGCAATTACTAAAACAAAGAAATAAGAATACCCTATCCATGTACCCACCCAACTTTGTCAAGTCTTAACATGTTGAGCCATATTTGCATCAGATTATGGGGTGGGGGGGCAGTCTTCATTTTGTTTTTTGGCTTTTTGGTTTTGTAGAGATGATGTCTCACTGTGTTGCCCAGGCTGGTCTGGCCTCAAGCGATCTTCCTGCCTAAAGTGTTGGGATTATAGGCATGAGCCACCATGCCCAGCTCCAGATTGTCTTTTAAGAAACAAAACACAAAACTATAGAAAGAAATGACTGCTGACCTGGCGCGGTGGCTCATGCCTGTAATCCCAGCACTTTGAGAGGCCGAGGTGGGCAGATCACATGGTCAAGAGTTTGAAATCAGCCTGGCCAACATGGTGAAACCCCATCTACTAAAAATAGAAAAATTTGCCGGGTGTGGTGGTGCACACCTGTAATCCCAGCTGCAGGAGGCTGAGGCAGGAGAACCACTTGAACCCGGGAGGCAGAATTGCAGTGAGATGAGATTATGCCACTGCACTCCAACCTGGGTGACAGCAAGATTCCATCTCAAAAAAAAAAAAAAAAAAAAAAAAAAAAAAAAAAAAAAAAAAGACTATTTTATTGTGAGAGTTAGGAGTTAGGTACATCTCAAGTCTTAAAAAAAATATTTAAGGCATTATTAAATGCCATATATTATAATAGCTACCAACTTCCAAGGCATTTGTTATCAAGTCTCACATCTCCTACCAGCATTTTAATTCTCTTTTCACTCCTCTTCCATGTCCCGCACTGTGATTTCTTTTTGTTCATTTCTCCTCATCTCCTATCTGACTCCCCAACTGTTTTCACAGTTGAGTCAGATGATGTCATATACCAAATTAAATTCCAAATAACAAAACTTTTTTTAAGGAAACCATAAAAGTACTAGAAGAAAGCCAGAAATTCCATTTACCATAATGAAAAATCCAAAACCCATAAGATAAAAGATAATGAATTCAATTGCATAAAAATCAGCTTCCGGCTGGGTGTGGTGGCTCATGCCTGTAATCCCAGAACTTTGGGAGGCTGAGGCCAGAAAACTGCTTGAGCCCAGGAGTTCAAGACCAGCCTAGGCAACTTAGTGAGACCCCCACCTATAGAAAAAATAAAAAATTAGCCAGGTGTGATAGCACATGCCTGTCGTCCCAGCTACTTTGGAGGCTGAGGGGAAGGATTACCTGAGCCCAAGAGGTCAAGGCTGCAGTGAGCCCTGATTGTACCACTGCACTCCAGCCTGGGCAACAGAGTGAGACCCTATCTTCAAAAAAAAAAAAAAAATCATCATCTTCAGATAAAGCAAAATTTTTGCATGACAAATCAGAAAATAAAGCAAACAAAAAGCCACTAAAAATGAATAACCAAAAATGTGAACCCAAAAATGTGAACAAGTTTACCATTCAATCACATAAAAAGGACCAGTTACATACCCATAGAGTACACACATGCACAAACAAAATTAAACACACACCAAAAAATACACATATATACACAAAGAGCTCCAAAAACTCTCTCTCTCTCTCTATATATATATATTTTTTTTAGACAGGGTCTCTATCTCCCAGGCTGGAGTACACTGGCATGATCTCAGCTCACTGCAACCTCTGCCTCCTGGGCTCAAGAGATCCTCCCACCTCAGCCTCCTGAGTAGCTGGGACTATAGGCTCATACTAACACTCACAGCTAATTTTTGTTTTGTTTTTGTTTTTTTGTAGAGATGGGAGTTTCACCATGTTGCCCAGGATAGTCTTGAACTCCTGAGCTTAAGCAGTCCGCCTGCCTCAGCCACCAAAATTGCTGGGATTACAGGCCTGAGCCACCACATCCAGCCAAAAACAATTTTAGAAAGACAAAAACCCAAAGAAAAATGGGCAAAGGATATGATCATGTAGTTCACAGAAAAGGAAATACAAACACCTATTAAATATATAATAGAATACTTAATCTCATTCATAATAAGAGAAATGCAAATTAAACACTAAGAAAACATTCTTTTACCTATCATATTGGCCCAAATCCAAAAGTTTAATAACATGCTCTGTTGGTGATGCGGTGGAAAAACAAGCATGTCCCTAACATTGCTGGTGAGAGTACAAATTAGTTCAGCTCCTGAGGAGTACAATTTGGCAATCTCTATCAAAATTACAAATGCATATTCCCTTTGACCCAATAAGTCAATTTCTGGGAATTTATCCTACAGACATACTTGCAAACATTCAAAAATGACAGTTTAAGGTAACTCACTACAGCTCTAATAGTGAATGGAAGAAAACAAGCACAATGTCCATCAACAGGGATTGAATAAACAAATTAGGATAAATCCATAAAATGTAACACTATATACCTATAAAATTTTAATGAGGAAGCTCTCTATGTGTGGAATGGGAAGGTATTTTTGTTATGCAAAAAAGCAAGGGCACAAATAATAAGAAAAGAATGATATCTTTTTTATAAATGACAAAGACATAATCTATATTTAATATGCTTGCTTATACATATAAAATTTTAGAAACTCTGAAAAAATACAAAAGAAACTAGTAATAGTTACCTTTAGGGGTTGTCATGGAAACAGGGAAGATAGGGAACAGAATGGGAGGAAAACTTTTCATAATCTTTCATCTCTCTTAATTTTCAAATCATATGGGAGTATTACCTATTCAAAAAATGAAACTGATAAACAATAAATAAATAAACCTCCACTCACAGAGTGCTAGGATATTTTAAAAGTCAAAAAAGCGCAATTGAGTTAGACCTGCATGCCCAAAATAGGGAAGAGAAGGCTGTGAATGGGAAGGAACTCACATGGACCAGGCAAGAATACAGCAGGGGTGGGGAAGTTTCTATGCATTTTGGACTTAGACTGAAAGGAAAATTACACAACTTAACATATACAACCCAGCATGCTTTTGACAAAAGGACTACAAGCCCCTCGTTGGCCCCTTTTCTTTCTTGGCCATTCCTTCACTTTCTGGAGGTCATGGTAGCACATTTCCCAAGTCCTCTTGTTTTCTGCCTTTGCTCCAGTCCTCCCTGCTGTGTCTTGCTCACCTCCCTCCTCCCAGCTCCAGCACTCTGTTCTATATTGTAACAAACCTCTCTCACTTCACACCTCTGATATCCCACAACTCACTTGTAACCTCATTCAACCTTCCTTCTCTCAGATCTTGCTGGCTTCACAGCAGGTGAAGCATGGTGCCCCCTTGAGATTATCAGTGAACAAAAGAACCAGATCAAAGGGAAACAGGGTCCAGTTTCACCAAGAAAATATAAGCAAGAATCCTTTATCATTTCTCTTTATCCAGCATTCAGTTGTGCAAAAAGAGGCCTTGGACACAAGATTTTAGGGGTTATACAAGAAACAACCATCACGCACTGCCTCTTTAAGATTTCCAGCTCTGCCCACTGTCCCAGTGAAGGGGTGAGCCTGAAGGGACACACTGGAACCAGTCAGTCATGCTCCCGACCTTGGCTGATTGGACCAGGGATCGACAGGCACTCTACTGAAGGGTGGCCATCCATAGGGACCAGCACTCTATCACGTTAGATTGGGGCCACCCATCTTCCAGCTTCTCACAGTATCTTTGGATCCCAATTCTGTCATTCAAAGTTACTGATTCTAGATTCTTTCCAGGTTCAAGTTATCTAAAGGTTTGACCAGTACGTCATCAACTGCCATAGTCGCAGCAACCCTCATAGAGCCACGGACAGAGGACCACAGTATCCCATTAGAGAATAAAGATATGCCATTTAGTCTATCCATTTTATAATACACAGCCTTTTAAATACAGTTTTCTGGATTACATGTATATAAAAGATGGGTTAGCAAAGTGCTGTTAAATACATGCATTTAAAGACTTCAATTAAAAGATAACAATGCATTTTTCTCAGCATATTATTTCTTTTAAGAAGCCTCTAGAATACTCAATAGGTTCCCTGAAACAGAAAAAAAACAAAAACAAAAACAAACAAACAAAAAAACGCAACCCTGGATATTATAATGCATTGTGAATATCCTTTTCAACCCACTACCAAAAGCTACTATGAATGTAAATTTCTGTTTAGCCTAAATGCATACCAAGTTCTATATTGATGGAATCCAAATGAATGAGATTTTATTATAGATGAAATATAAATACTGGATTATCTGACACCACACACACAAAATCAACTCAAAATAGATTGAAATGTAAGAGCCAAGACTGTAAAACTCCTAGAAGAAAACACCGAGGAAAGGCTTCTTGACATTGGTCTCAGCAATGATGTCATGGATATGACACCAAAAGCACAGGCAACAAAAAGAAAAATAAACAAGTGGGACTGCATCAGACTAATACACTTCTGCACAGCAAAGAAATCAATCAACAGAGTAAAAAGGCAACTTATAGAATGGGAGAAAATATTTGCAAACCATATGCCTGATAAGAGGTTAATCTCCAAAATATATAAGCAACTCCTACAACTGAATAGTTAAAAAAAAAAACCTAATAACCCAATTACAAAATGGACTAAGAACTTGAATAGACATTTCTCCAAAGACAGCATATAAATGACCAATGAAAAAAAAATGCTCAATGTCACTAACCATCAGGGAAATGCAAATCAAAACCATGAGTTATCACCTCATACCTGTCAGGATGGCTATTATCAAAAAAACAAAAGACAGGCCAGACACAGTGCCTCATGTCTGTACTCCCAGCACTTTCAGAGGCCAAGGCAGGTGAATTGCTTGAGCTCAGGACAACACGGTGAAGCCCTATCTCTAGAAAACATACAAAAATTAGCCAGGCATGGTGGCGCATACCTGTGGTCCCAGCTACTTGGGAGGCTGAGGTGGGAGACTCCCTTGAGCCCAGGAGGCAGAGGCTGCAGTAAGCTGTGATCACACCACTGCACTCCAGCCTGGGTGACAGAGTGAGATCCTGTCTCTAATTTAAAAAAAAAAAAAAAAAAAAAAAAAGACGTGTTGGTGAAGATGTGAAGAAATGGAACCCTTGCACAGTGTTAGTGGGCATGCAAAACTGTATAGCTTCTATGGAAAAAGGTATAGAAGTTCCTCAAAAAATGAAACATAGAACTATCATATGATCCAGCAATCCAACTTCTGGGTATTTTATCCAAAATATTAATAACTGAAATCAGGATCTTGAAGGGATACATTAGCACTCTTATGTTCATTGCAGCAGTATTCACAATAGCCAAGATGTGGAAACCACCTAAATGTCAATCAACAGATGGATAAAGAAAACATGGTATATACATACAATAGACTACTACCCACCCTTAAAAAAAAGGGAGGAAATTCTGCAATATGCAACAACATGGATGAACCTTGAGGACATTATGCTAAATGAAATAAGTCAATCACAGAAAAAAGAAGACTGCATGATTCCACTTATGTGAAGTATCTAACAGTCAAGTTCATAGAATCAAAGAGTTGAATAGTGGTTGCCAGGGGATGAGGGGAGAAGGAAATGAGAAGTTATTAATCAATGGGCATAAAGTTTCAGTTAAGAAGGATGAATAAGCTCTAGAGATCTGCTGCACAACACTGTATCTACAATCAACAATAATGTATTGCACACCTAAAAATTTAAGAGGGTAGATGTCATGTTAAATGTTCTTACCACAATAAAATAAAATGTATAAATAAATAAATAAATAGTGCCAAGTGTATGACATAAGTAGAAGTTTCATCCCTGTTGGTAAAAACACAAATTGACAGAACTACTTTGGAAAACTGTTGAGTGGTATCTACTAACACTGACCATGCACATACTTTATGACCCAGTAATTCCGCTCCTCAGCATGTACCCAATGGACATGGGTACATTCACCAAAAGACAGACAAGAATGTTCATAACAACATTATTCAAAATAACCAAAAACTGCAAACAACCCAAATTTCCAGATTAGCTTTTTAAAATTTTGCATATCCAAACAATGGGACACTGTATAGCAATGAGAATGCCCAAACCATTGCTACATTAACATGGATAAATCCAACAGATATTGTGTTGAACAAATGAAGCAAGGACATTTTGAGCAATATGCTATATGATTCCATTTACACAAAGTTTTAACAGGGGCAAAACTAACTTCTGCTGCTAGAGGACAGGACAGTGTGCAGCTGCCCTTGGTGAGAGAAAGGGTACAAGCGGTGACTGGGACCAGCAAGAGGAGAGGTCTCTGGTTCTGGGTGCCAGGAATATTCTATATCCTAACCTGAATAGTGATGACACTGCTGTGTTCACTTTGTGATAATTAATCGAGCTGGACACTTCGGATTTGTGCACTTTTTTGGATGTATGTTCTATGTCAGCAAAAACATTTATTTTAAAACATTTAGGAAAAAATGTCTGCAATTAGTCTTCAAAGCATCAGGTACCTGAACTGCTGCCCCAAAGTTAGAGGGACCCTTAATTCCTATCATTAGCTCCTGACATGTCCAAATGATTCTTTGGCTACTTGTTAATAATGGAATCAAAAGGCACTAATCTCATTATCGCCTGTCAGCAAGCACTGTCAGAATGCTGTTGGCCATTAGTTGCCTGCTGCTACAGTCAGTGACTTGCAAAGCACCCAAAAGGAGACAAAAAATTACCCACAGTTTAGTTTTTCTGTCTCATATATCTTTCACCACCCCATGCCAAATCCTTCACAGCCTAAACCACATGCTACCTTCTTCAAGAGACCACCCCAGACCTCACTAGCCCAACAAAACTCCTATTCTCTGAATGATTTCTGCATTTATTCATTCACTCATCTACCCATCCACACATCCACCTAAACATTCACTGAGCACCCACCATGCACCAGGCTGTGTCCTCAAAATACAAATTGAGTAAAACATAATTCCTTTCCTGAAGGTGGTCATGTTATTGTATGGGGAAAAAGACACAAAAAAAGGCTTAGAATGATAGACACATACATGGAGAGCAGTAGAAACACAGGAGAGGAACACGTAAGCCAGTTTTTTCTAGGGGGGAGGTAGAATAAGGAGACGATTCCTAGCAGAGGTTACTCAAGCAATATGCCATGAGGAATGAGTAGAAACTGGCCAGTCAAGTGAAGATGCAGGCAGCTCCTAGCCTAGGGAACATCATGAGTAAAAGCACAGAAGCAATAAAAGGCCTATGGGGAGCAGGGGGTGGCAGGGGAAGGGGCTAGCTGTGGGAAAAAGCAGCCCATATTGTCTTAGAGTAAAGTCTGAATGAGGGCAGGGAAGAACAGGCGAAAAACAGATCACACAGGTCCTTGCGAACCACGTGAAGGACATGAGACTTCCTCCCAGAGAGGAAGGACAGTCCCTATGGGGGGGCTGGGAAGGGGAATGACCACATCAAGTCTGTCATCAAGGAACTGTGTGGGAGACACAACTGAGGGCAGAAGAGGCAGGGAGGCATCAACCATAGGCCTGCTAAAACAGGAGGACAGCCTGAACCAGAACACCTCGAGTGGGGATGAAGAGGAGACTAATTCAAGAACTGTTTAGGTGGTAAAATTGGGACTTAATGACTGATTTGGTGCAATGTGAGACTGGGGAAGGAGAAAGAGAAGTTGATGAGAACTGACGGATGGGTGACAGCAATTGAAAAAAATACAAGAGGAGGAGAAAGCTGATGGTGGGCAGGAGGAAAGGCAGTGAGGTCAGCATTAGAGGTTGATAGAGTTTGGATATTTGTCACCACTAAATCTCATGTTGAATTGTAATCCCCAATACTGGAGGTGAGGCCTGATAGGACATGATTGGATCATGGGGACGGTTTTTAATGGTTTAGCACCGTCTTCCTTGGTCACAATAGTGAATGAGTTCTCATGAGAGTTGATCATTTAGAAGTATGTAGCAGCTACCCCTTCTCTCTCTCTTCCTTCTGCTCCCAGCCATGTGAAATTCTGGCTCCTCCTTTGCCTTGCACTATGATTGGAAGGTTCCTGAAGCCTCCCCAGAAATGGAAGCTGCTGTGCTTCCTGCACAGCCTGCAGAACTGTGAGCCAATTAAACCTCTTTTCTTGTAAATTACCCAGTCTCAGGTATTTCTTTATAGCAGCATGAAAATGGACCAATACAGAAAATTGGTGCCAAGCAGCAGGGCATTGCCATAAAGATACCTGAAAATGTGGGAGCAACTGTGGAACTGGGTAACAGCCAGAGGTTGGGAGAGTGTGGAGGGATCAGAAGAAGACAGAAAGATAAGAGAAAATTTGGAACTTCCTAAAGACTTGTTAAATTGTTGTGACCTAAATGCTGATAGTTATATGGACAATGAAGTCCAGGCTGAGAAGTTCCCAGGTGGAAATGAGAAACTTATTGAGAACTGGAGCAGTTGCTTTTGTGATGCTTTAGCAAAGAGCTTGAGTACAAAGAGCCTGCCCTAAGGATGTTGAGAGTGATGATTTAGGGTATCTGACAGATGAAATTTCTAAGAAGCAAAGTGTTCAGTATGGCCTGGCTGCTTCTAACAACCTATGCTTATATGCACGAGCAAATAAATGATGTAAACTAGGAACTTATATTTAAAGGGAAAGCAGAGCATAAAAGTTCAGAAAATTTGCAGCCCGGCCATGTAGTAAAAAAGAAAAGCCCATTTTCAGGGGAGAAATTCAAGCAGGCTGCAGAAATTTGCATAACTAAAGGGAAGGCAATTGCTAATCACCAAAACAATGGGGGAAATGCCTTGAAAGCATTTCAGAGGCCTTTGTGGCAGCCCCTTCCATCACAGTCCTGGAGGCCTAGGAGGTCAGAATAGTTTCGTGGGCCATGCCCAAGGCCCCCTGCTACCCTGCCCAGCCTCAGGACACTGCTCCCTGTATCCCAGCCACTCCAGCTCCAGTCATGGCTAAAAAGGGCCCAGGGACAGCTTGGGCCACTGCTTCAGAGGCCGCAAGCCATAAGCCTTGGCAGTTTCAAAGTGGTGTTAAGCCTGTGGGTGCACAGAATGCAAGAGCTGGGGCTTGGGAGACTCCACCTAGATTTCAGAGCATATATGCAAAAGCCTGGATGTCCAGGCAGAAGCCTGCTGCAGGGATGGAGCCCTCATGGAGAACCTCTACTAGGGCAGTGCAAAGGGGATATGTGAAGTTGGAGCCCCCACACAGAGTCCCCAGTGGGGCACTGTTTAGTGGAGCTGTGAGAAGAGGGCTACCATTCTCAAGAACCCAGAACAGTAGATCCAGCAAGAGCTTCCCCCCTGCCCCTGAAAAAGCTGCAGATACTCAATGCCAGCCCCAGTAGCTGTGGGAGCTGAACCCTACAAAGTCACAGGGGCAGAACTGCCCAAGACCTTGGGAGCCCACCCCTCACATCAGTGTGTCCTGGATGTGAGACAGGGAGTCAAAGAATACTATCTTGGAGCTTTAAGATATTTTTTAATATATATAAATTTCTGGGGTACATGTACAGAATGTGCAGGTTTATTACACAGGTATACACATGCCATGGTGGTTTGCTGCACCCATCAACCCATCATCTACATTAGGTATTTCTCCTAATGCTATCCCTCCCCTAGCCCCCCACCCCCTAAAAGGCCCTGGTGTGTGATGTTCCCCTCCCTGTGCCCATGTGTTCTCATTGTTCAACTCCCACTTACAATTGAGAACATATGGTGTTTGGTTTTCTGTTCTTGTGTTCGCTGAGAATGATGGTTTCCAGCTTCATCCATGTCCCTGCAAAGGACATGAACTCATCCTTTTTTTATGGCTGCATAGTACAATGACTTATAATCCTTTGGGTATATACCCAGTAATGGGATTACTGGGTCAAATGGGATTTCTGGTTCTAGATCCTTAAGGAATCACCACACTGTCTTCCACAATGGTTGAACTAATTTACACTTCCACCAACAGTGTAAAAGTGTTCCTATTTCTCGACATCCTCTTCAGCATCTGTTGTTTCCTGACTTTTTAATGATCACCATTCTAACTGGGGTGAGATGGTATCTCATTGTGGTTTGGATTTGCATTTACCTAATGACAATTGATGATGAGCTTTTTTTCATATGTATATTGGCTGCATATATGTCTTCTTTTGAGAAGTGTCTGTTCATATACTTCACCCATTTTTTGATGGGGTTGTTTTTTTCTCATAAATTTATTTAAGTTCTTCATAGATTCTGGGTATTAGCCATTTGTCAGAAGGATAGCTTGCAAAAATTTTCTCCCATTCTGTAGGTTGCCTGTTCACTCTGATAATAGTTTCTTTTCCTGTGCAGATGCTCTTTAGTTTAATTAGATCCCATTTGTCTATTTTGGCTTTTGTTGCCAAAGCTTTTGGTGTTTTAGTCATTAAGTCTTTGCCCATGCCTATGTCCTGAATGGTATTGCCTAGGTTTGCTTCCACGGTTTTTATGGTTTTAGGTCTTATGTTTAAGTCTTTAATCCAACTTGAGTTAATTTTTGTATAAAGTGTAAGGAAGAGATCCAGTTTCAGCTTTCTGCATATGGCTAGCCAGTTTTCCCAGCACCATTTATTAAATAGGGAATCCTTTCCCCATTTCTTGATTTTGTCAGGTTTGTCAAAGACTAGATGGTTGTAGATGTGTTGCATTATTTCTGAGGCCTCTGTTCTGTTCCATTGGTCTATATCTCTGTTTTGGTACCAGTACCATGCTGTTTTGGTTACTGTAGCCTTGTAGTATAGTTTGAAGTCAGGTGGCATGATGCCTCCAGCTTTGTTCTTTTGGCTTAGGATTGTCTTGGCTATGCGGGCTCTTTTTTTGGTTCCATATGAATTTTAAAGTAGTTTTTTCCAATTCTGTGAAGAAAGTTAATGGTGGCTTGATGGGAAAGGCATTGAATCTTTAAATTACTTTGGGTGGTATGGCCATTTTCATGATATTGATTCTTCCTATCCATGAGCATGGAATGTTCTTCCATTTGTTTGTGTCCTCTTTTATTTCCTTGAGCAGTGGTTTGTAGTTCTCGAAGAGGTCCTTCACATCCCTTTTAAGTTGGATTCCTGGTATTTTATTCTCTTTGTAGCAGTTGTGAATGGGAGTTCACTCATGATTTGGCTCTCTGTTTGTCTGTTACTGCTGTATAGGAATGTTTGTGATTTTGCACACTGATTTTGTATCCTGAGACTTTGCTGAAGTTTTTTATCAGCTTAAGGAGATTTTGGGCTGAGACAATGGGATTTTCTAACTGTACAATCATGTCATCTGCAAACAGAGACAATTTGACTTCCTCTTTTCCTAATTGAATACCCTTTATTTCTTTCTCTTGCCTGATTACCCTGGCCAGAACTTCCAATACTATGTTGAATAGGAGTGGTGAGAGACGGCATCTTTGCCCTGTGCTGGTTTTGAAAGGGAATGCTTGCGGCTTTTGCCCATTCAGTATGATATTGGCTGTGGGTTTGCCATAAATAGCTCTTATTATTTTGAGATACGTTCCATCAATATCTGGTTTATTGAGAGTTTTCAGCATGAAAGGCTGTTGAATTTTGTCAAAGGACTTTTCTGCATCTATTAAGATAAACATGTGATTTTTGTCATTGGTTCTGTTTATGTGATGGATTATGTTTATTGATTCACGTATGTTGAACTAGCCTTGCATCCCTGGGATGAAGCCGACTTGATCATGGTAGATAAGCTTTTTGATGTGCCACTGGATTCGGTTTCCCAGTATTTTATTGAGGATTTTCACATCAATGTTCATCAGGGATATTGGCCTGAAATTTTCTTTTTTTGTTGTGTCTCTGCCAGGTTTTGGTATGAGGATGATGCTGGCCTCATAAAATGAGTTAGGGAGGATTCCCTCTTTTTCTATTGTTTGGAATAGTTTCAGAAGAAATGGTACCAGCTCCTCTTTATGCCTCTGGTAGGATTCAGCTGTGAATCCATCGGGTCCTGGACTTTTTTGGTTGGTAGGCTAATAATTGCTACCTCAATTTCAGAACTTGTTATTGGTCTATTCAGGGATTCAACTTCTTCCTGGTTTAGTCTTGGGAGGGTGTATGTGTCCAGGAACTTACCCATTTCTTCTAGATTCTTTAGTTTATTTGCATAGAGGTGTTTGTAGTATCCCCTGAAGGTAATTTGTATTTCTGTGGGATCAGTGGTGATATCCCCTTTATCATTTTCTATTGCATCTATTTGATTCTTCTCTGTTTTCTTCTTTATTAGTCTAGCTAGTGGTCTATCTATTTTGTTGATCTTTTCAAAAAACCAGCTCCTGGATTCATTGATTTTTTTGAAGGGTTTTTCGTGTCTCTATCTCCTTCAGTTCTGCTCTGCTCTGATCTTAGTTATTTCTTGCCTTCTGCTAGATTTTGAATTTGTTTGCTCCTGCTTCTCTAGTTCTTTGAATTGTCATGTTAGGGTGTCAATTTTAGATCTTTCCTGCTTTCTCTTGTGGGCATTTAGTGCTATAAATTTCCCTCTACACACTACTTTAAATGTGTCCCAGAGATTCTTGTATGCTGTGTCTTTGTTTTCATTGGTTTCAAAGAACATCTTTTTTTTTTTTTTTCAAAGAACATCTTTATTTCTGCCTTCATTTCATCATTTGCCCAGTAGTCATTCAGGAGCAGGCAGTTTCCACGTAGTTGTGAGGTTTTGAGTGCGTTTCTTAATCCTGAGTTCTAATTTGATTGCACTGTGGTCTGACAGACTGTTATGATTTCCATTCTTTTGCATTTGCTGAGGAGTGGTTTACTTCCAATTATGTGGTAATTTAAGAATAAGTGTGATGTGGTGCTGAGAAGAATGTATATTCTGTTGATTTGGGGTGGAGAGTTCTGCAGATGTCTATTAGGTCCACTTAGTCCAGAGCTGAGTTCAAGTCCTGGATATCCTTGTTAATTTTCTGTCTCATTGATCTAATATTGACAGTGGGGTGTTAAAGTCTCCCACTATTATTGTGTGGGAGTCTAAGTCTCTTTGTAGGTCTCTAAGAACTTGCTTTATGAATCTGGGGGCTCCTGTACTGGGTACATATATATTTAGGATAGTTAACTCTTCTTGTTGCATTGATCCCTTTAGCATTATGTAATGGCCTTTTTGTCTCTTTTGATCTTTGTTGGTTTAAAGTCTGTTTTATCAGAGACTCAATTGCAACTGCTGCTTTTTTTTTTTTTTTTTTTTTTTTGCTTTCCATTTGCTTGGTAAATATACCTCCATCCCTTTATTTTGAGCCTCTGTGTGTCTTTGCACATGAGATGGGTCTCCTGAATACAGCACACCAATGGGTCTTGACTCTTTATCCAGGTTGCCAGTCTGTGTCTTTTAATTGGGGCATTTAGCCCATTTACATTTAAGGTTAATATTGTTATGTGTGAAACTGATCCTGCCATTATGATGCTAGCTGGTTATTTTGCCTGTTAGTTGATGCAGTTTCTTCATAGCATCCATGGTCTTTACAATTTGGTATGTTTTTGCAGTGGCTGGTACTAGTTGATCCTTTCCATGTTTAATGCTTCCTTCAGGGAGTCTTGTAAGGCAGGCCTAGTGGTAACAAAATCTCTCAGCATTTGCTTGTCTGTAAACGGTTTTATTTCTCCTTCCCTTATGAAGCTTAGTTTAGCTGGATATGAAATTCTAGGTTGAAAATTCTTTTCTTTAAGAATGTTGAATATTGGCCCCCACTCTCTTCTGGCTTGTACAGTTTCCGCTGAGAGATCTGCTGTTAGTGTGATAGGCTTCCCTTTGTGGGTAACCCGACCTTTCTCTCTGGCTGCCCTTAATATTTTTACCTTCATTTCAACCTTGGTGAATCTGACAATTATGTGTCTTGGGGTTGCTCTTCTCCAGGAGTATCTTCACGGTGTTCTCTGTATTTCCGAATTGAATGTTGGCCTGCCTTACTAGGTTGGAGAAGTTCTCCTGGATAATATCCTGAATACTGTTTTCCAACTTGGTTCCATCCTCCCCGTTACTTTCAGGTATACCAATCAATGTACATTTGGTCTTTTCACATATTACCATATTTCTTGGAGGCTTTGTTCATTTCTTTTCCCTCTTTTTTTCTCTAATCTTGTCTTCTCACTTTATTTCATTGAGTTGATCTTCAATCTCTGATATCCTTTCTTCCACTTGATTGATTCGGCTATTGATACTTGTGTATGCTTCACGAAGTTCTCGTGCTGTGTTTTTCAGCTCCATCAGGTCATATATGTTCTTCTCTATACTGGTTATTCTAGTTAGCAATTCGTCTAACCTTTTTCTCAAGGGTCTTAGCTTCCTTGCATTGGGTTAAAACATGCTCCTTTAGCTGGGAGGAGTTTATTATTACCCACCTTCTGAAGCCTTCTTCTGTCAGCTCATCAAACTCATTCTCCATCCAGTTTTGTTTCCTTGCTGGAGAGGAGTTGTGATCCTTTTGAAGAGAAGAAGCATTCTGGATTTTGGAATTTTCAGCCTTTTTGCACTGGTTTCTCCCCATCTTCATGGATTTATCTACCTTTGGTCTTTGAAGTCGGTGACCTTCGGCTGGGGTCTTTGAGTGGACATCCTTTTTGTTGATGTTGATACTATTCCTTTCTGATTGTTAGTATTCCTTCTAACAGGCCCCTCTGCTGCAAGTGTGCTGGAGTTTGCTGGAGGTCCACTCCAGACCCTGTTTGCCTGGGTATCACTGTCAGAGGCTGCAGAACAGCAAAGATTGCTGCCTGTTCCTTCCTCTGGAAGCTTCATCCCACTGGCTGCAGTGGCCTTACTGAGCACCTGCCAGATGCCAAACAGAGCTCTCCTGTATGAAGTGTCTTTTGGCCCCTACTGGGAGGTGTCTCCTGGTCAGGATACACGGAGGTCAGGGGCCCACTTGAGGAGGCAGTCTGTCCCTTATCAGAGCTCCAACGCTGTGCTGGGAGATCTGCTGCTCTCTTCAGAGCTGCCAGGCAGGGACATTTAAGTCTGCTGAAGCTGCACCCCCCAACTGCCCCTTCCCCCAGGTGCCCTGTTGCAGGGAGGTGGGGGTTTTATCTATAAGTCCCTGACTGGGGCTACTGCCTTTTTTTGAGAGATGCCCTGCCCAGAGAGGAGGGAATCTGGAGAGGCAGTCTGGCAGCAGTGGCCTTGCTGAGGTGTGGTGGGCTTTGCCCAGTTCGAACTTCCTGGTGGCTTTGTTTACACTGTGAGGGCAAAACCACCTATTCAAGCCTCAGCAATGGTGGATGCCCCTCCTCCCACTAAGCTTGAGTGTCCCAGGTCAGGCTCAGACTGCTGTGCTAGCAGCTAGAATTTCAAGCCAGTGGATCTTAGCTTGCTGGGCTTTCATGGGGGTGGGACCCGCCAAGCCAGACACTTGGCTCTCTGGCTTCAGCCCACTTTTCAGGGGAGTGAATGGTTCTGTCTCACTGGCATTCCAGGCGCCACTGAGGAGTGAAAAAAAAAAAAAAACTCCTGTGGCTAGCTCGGTGTCTGCCCAAACGGCCGCCCAGTTTTGTGCTGGAAACCCAGGGCCCTGGTGGTGTGGGCACCAGAGTAAATCTCCTGGTCTGTGGGTTGTGAAAACTGCGGGAAAAGCTCAGTATCTGGGCCGGAGTGCATGATACAGTCCCTAATGCCTTCCTTTGGCTAGGAGGGGGAGTTCCCCAACCCCTTGCACTCTCCAGGTGAGGTGATGCCCCCTCCTGCTTCGGCTCACCCTCCTTGGGCTGCACCCACTGTCTAATCAGTCCCAATGAGACAAACAAGGTACCTCAGTTGGAAATGCAGAAATCACTCGCCTTCTGCATCAATCTCGCTGGGAGCTACAGACTGGAGCTGTTCCTATTTGGCCATCCTGAGCTTTAAGATTTAATGACTGCCCTTCTGTGTTTCAAACTTGCACTGGGGCCTGCAGCCCCTTTCTTTCGGCAGATTTCTCCCTTTTGGAATAGGAGTATTTACCCAATGCCTATACCCCTATTCTGTCTTGGAAGTAAATAATTTGTTTTTATTTTACAGGCTCATAGGCAGAAGAGACTAGCCTTGTCTCAAATGAGACTCTGGATTATGGACTTTTAAGTAAATGCTGGAATGAGTTAAGACTTTAGGGGACTGTTGGGAAGGCATGATTGTATTTCAAAATGTGAGAAGGACATGAGATTTTGAAGGGGCCAGGGGCAGAATGATATGGTTTGGATATTTGTCCCCACCCAATATCTCATGAATTATAATCTCAAATGCTGTAGGCAGGGCCTGGTAGGAAGTCCTTGGATCATAGGGGTGGTTTCTAATAGTTTAGCATCACCTCCCTTGGTCGCCATAGTGAGTTCTCATGAGATATGGTCATTTGAAAGTGTGTGGCAACTCTCCCTTCTCTCTCTTCCTCCTGCTTCCAGCCATGTGAAGTGCTGGCACCTCCTTTGCCTTCCACCATGATTGGAAGCTTCCTGCAGCCTCCCCAGAAGCAGAAGCTGCCATGCTTCCTCTACAGCCTGCAGAACAGTGATTAGTGAGCCAATTAAACCTCTTTTCTTTATAAATTACCCAGTCTCCGGTATTTCTTTATAGCAGTGTGAGAATGGACTAATACAGCAGTTTTAAATATGAGGTGCCTGAAGGGACTTCAGGGAATATGTCTAGCAGGACAGTTAAACACCTGAGTCTGGAAGTCCTGGAAGAAACCTTGGCTCAGGTAAAGACTCATCAGTGCATACTAATAACTGAAGCCCCACGGTGGATAAGATTACAGAGTACAAGTGTGAAACTGACAGAGAGCTAAGGACTCTTGGTAATACCAACATTGAGGGGAGGGGAAGAAGAAGGGCCTATGAAGATGACAGAAAAGGAGTGAGAAGAAAGGTACTCGATGAGCCAGGAAAATGATGCCAAAGCAGTGGGGAGTTTTAAAACATGAGTGACTGACCAACAGGCCCAAATGTAGTGGCCATGGGTTCAGAAAGGTTAGAAATGAGATCATTCCACTGGGCTTGGCAATTAGGATATCACTCACCCCTTTAGTGAGAGATTTCAAACTTCAATTAAGCTCTAGCAACACAGCAGATTACACTGTATAACCTATATCACAACACTCTTAAAGAAATCTGGATAAAACATAACTCTCCCCTAAAATCTTAGTACATAGAAGAGCATTGAGAGAGAGAGAAAGAAATTACCAAGTAAGTGGGAAAAGAAGACTAAAATCAAAGCCTATACCACAGGAGCCCATGGCAATATCAGACCTGGATATAAGCCCTAGGATCTGGGTGTTTAATGCCTTCAGAGGGATAGGACATGCTGCTTTGAATTCACACAGTATGGGGAACTGGAACTAAGAGCTCTGCATAAAGCTGGATATCTAAGGGCTACCCAATATATAAAAAGGGGGACAAAAGAAACTCTACTAGTCCAGGAGGCATGCTGTTTCTCATGCCTCTGGGCAGAAAAAAAAAAAGGCCTTCTGCAAGAAACAAAAACCCCAAGCCTGTTCTATTAGTGTATGTAAAGTCATGGTATTTGAACTCCAAGCTGAAAAATTGCATAAAACTGGTATTAGATCTATGAAACTCCTAATTTTCAAAAATAGTGATCCTTCCAGAACCCAAGACCTGTGACACACCTCTTAACAAATATAAACTCACAGTTAAAAAAACAAAATAAAAATTATAAACCACACAAGGAAACAAATCACTATGAAAAGAGTCAGCTAATCAAGTAGAACTGAATGTTATTTTTTAAATCTGAAACAAGTTAAAAAGGCATAGGAACCATTAGGAAATAAGACACAATGGGGGAAACATTTTTAAAAAGAATAAATAGAACATCTTAAAAAACAGTCTTCAAAATTAAAATATGATGGATGGGCTCAACAGAATATAAGATACAACTGAAAGGAGAATTTGTGAATCATAGGCTAAAACTGAAAAAAATGATCCAGAGCTCAGCATGGGGAGATAAAGAGATGGAATATATAAAATAAAGATAAATTGCTAGGAGGACATAATAAGATCCATCACACATTCTAATAGGAATTCCAGAAAAGAATAAAGAGAAATAGAATATGACAATAATCAAAAAGAGAACAGCTGAGGATTTTCCAGAACTGGGGAAAAATAAATAAATACATGAATTCTTAGACTGAATAAAGTCATTTAGACCTAAGTATTTTAAATAAAACAAATCCACACATTGATATGTAATATTATAATGAAAAACCTGAAAGGAGAAAAAACATCTTTAAAGCAAATAGAAAAGATTATCCTCAAAGGAATGAAAGACATACAGCAAACTTCTTACCAGTAACAGCAAATTCCAGAAGACAACAAAATCTGTATTAGTCTGTTGGGGCTGCCACAACAAAACACCACAGACTGGGTGGCTTAAGGAACAAACAGTTCTGGAAGCTAGAAGTCCATTTACTCACAGTTCTGGATGCTAGAAGTCCATGATCAATGTTAAAGAAAATTTGGTTTCTGATGAGGGCTCTTGGATTGTAGATGGCTGCCTTCTTGCTGTGTCCTCACATGGCCTTTCTTTCCTCTATGCTTGCATAGAAAGAGATAAACCTCTGGTGTCTCTTCTGCTTCTTATAAAGACACTAGTACTACTGGATCAGGGCTCCACCGTTATGGCCTCATCTAAACTTAATTACCTCCCTGAAGCTAGGGCTTCAACATATAAATTTTAGGAAGAAACAATCCAGTTCATAACAGAATAGTATCTTCAAAGTGTTCAGAGAAAAATAGCTATCAGCTAGAATTCTATACCCAGCTAAACTATACTTAGCCTTCAGCAAGAAAGCCAAAGTAAAGATATTTTCAAATAAAGTTATAAAATTCCTACATCTAAATAATCACTGAAAGATGTACAAAATTAATAGTGTACTTGGCAGAAATCGAAACTTAAAAGAGTGAATAGAGGAAGCAATAAATCAACTGAATTGGTAAAATAGTCACTCAACAAATATCTATTGAGCACTCTCTCCTATGTGGTAGGCATTGTTCTATCTGCCGGGGGTGCCAGAAAGAATAAAACAAAGCCTGTGCTTTGTTACATACAACCTGGTAAATGGCGATAACTGCACTGAAGAAAAAAAAAAAAGCTGAAAAAGAAGACAGGGAATAGGGGTAGAGTTTTTATTCCATGTTGTTAAATCTATATAAGTGTTGATTATTAAAAAATAATAACAATCCAGGCACGGTGGCTCATGCCCATAATCCCAGCACTTTGGGAGGCCAAGGCAGGTGGATCATGAGGTCAAGAGATCAAGACCATCCTGGCCAACATGGTGAAACCCCGTCTCTACTAAAAATACAAAAATTAGCTGGGCGTGGTGGTGTGCACCTGTAGTCCCAGCTACTCAGGAGGCTGAGGCAAGAGAATCGCTTGAACCCGGGAGGCAGAGGTTGCAGTGAGCCAAAATTGTGCCACTGCACTCCAGCCTGGTGACAGAGCGAGACTCCATTTCAAAATAATAATAATAATAATAACAGTGGGAATGTTAAGAGTTTAAAAATAAAGTATTCTAGATCTAAAGACTAAAGCAACAGGGATCATTTGGATCAGAAAGGATTAAGAGGCTCAAAACTCAGTGCTGGGGAAGCAGTGTCAAGTCTCTAGATCTTTCCATATTTTCCCTCTCCCACCCTCAGTGTGCCAGCTATCAGACCTCACAGTGGTCAGATAACTAGAGTCCCAAAAGTCTCTTGTAGACTTGACAGAATCTAATGGAAAAGTAGAACCATCTGTTACTTGTATCTCTTCTTAAAAGCCAAGGTACCTTTCCCTGAAGCCTCTTAGCAGATTTTCCCTTGTGCTCACTGATCCAAACAGTGTTACGTGCCCATGACTAAACCAGTCACAAGCAAGGGGAATGGGATCCTAACATCGGCCTTTAAATAATCCAGATTTAACCGCCAGAGTTGAGTATAAGGTAGAGAAGTGGAGATGTCCAAACAAAAGCACAGCTTTTCCCAGCAAGGATGAAAGAAATGCCTACCAGGAAGATCACACCCAATGTTCACTCCATTTGTCATCTGCCTGAAAACTCACCACACAGTGGTGACTACATGACACCTTAATCCACACAATGTGTTCTCCACACAATGTGGCAGAACACTGGAAATTTTTTAAAAGAACCTTATGTTAACCTAATTCCCTCTATACATCCAACTCCTTTAACCAAAGCCCATAGCATGTGCTTATGAGCCACACACATGTTAATTGACCTATATCTCTACTACACTAAGTCAGTAACCAAACTATAAAGATAAAGGACCATCCAACTATTCTCAAATCAGTCCTTGAAGATGGCAGATCTGAACACCTCCCATGCAGTAGCCCAAACCATGGGGTCAAATTATGCAGATATTTAAATCTTCCTAGATGCCCCTATCCAAACTCTCTCTCTTCAGGCTATGTAGCCACTTCCAGATTAGCTGAAATGTCAAAGAAATGTGCCTTTGACTAACTACCATTTTCAAATTATTTCAACATTATTAGATTAGAAGGAGGTTGTATAAATGACTGGCTAAAGTGGATTAAATACTTTCATTGCTACAATGAAAAAATGAAATTATGATAATGGAATTTTACGGCCAAAAAGGACTTCTCAGAGTATTTAATATGATTCCCACATTTTACAGATGCAACTTTCTGCAAGTCAGTAGTACCAGGACTGGCAATTTGACAAAAGAAACCTTTTAAATATCTGTTACCATGCTGCCCTGGGAAAAAGAGCGTATACATTAATTCAGCAGTTCTCAGATTGCTCCTTGGCCCTCTGAAGCTCGTCTAGGAGTTCTAGGACTAAAAACCCCACTGTTAAATACAGTTAACATAAACAGTTCAGATAAATACACTGAGTTTATGGTTTCCCACATCACTATTTAGATGTATGAAATAATTTTATGATAGTTCCTTCCTCTACTCCCTGCTCAAACCTATTACATCACACCCAGTTCATATAAATTCTAGAAATTACATTCATACTAAAAGCACCCCAAGAAAAAGAAAAGAATATGAATCTCATAAGGTAAATAAGGGAAGCCTCTGGTTTCTCTCCTGTCCACCACTGTATCCCCAGGTCCAGCAGAGCTCCTAGCAGGGAAGTCATCAATAAAGGTATTTAAGTAAGTAAATAGATCAGTATAGTGCTTTTAACCTTTCAAGATACTTTCAAAACTATTACTTCAAACCCATAGTCTCTTACAATCTAGGAAGAATCCATTTATTTACTTCCATTTTATAGATGAGGAAAAAGAAAGTGACTTAGTGACTTGCCTAACGTCATGTATCTCTAAGGGCAAAATTGGGACTAATGCCTGGCTTTCCTCATTGGTGTTCCAGCTATTGGGCCATGAGTGCAAAACAGCACTTTTTAAACTGAAAATGGCCATATAAATATAAGCTATTGCTAATATACTGTGTACACCCCAAAGCAAAGCAAAAGTCTCCTGTGGGTTATCTGCTTACTTTGTTATCCATGCCACTTCAGTCTATCAGCCTGGAGAACAGCATTGGCCATGCCTTCAACAAAACTGCCTCCATATATGTGAACTATCCCATCAGCAAAGACATTAAAATGTGGTTTCTCACTGGCAAGCTGAGCACAGCTCACCTCACCAGTCTCCAAGCAATCCTGAGTAACTTTTGCAGCACCTTGATCTGATTTGTGCTAAAACCAATCCCTTCAGCTGAGCACAATCAGAAGGAGAAAACAATTGTGTGATTCGTCTGCAGGCACTCCACCAACTTGGATCACTTTCCAGCTCATTTTAGCTGGGTAAATAATAGCTTGATATATAGCACCTGCTAAGTGAAATGAAAATGGAAAATGTTTCAAAGGATTTTTGCTTAATGTCTTTATATCACTGTAAATGTATGAAAATTTTATATCTGGGTTTTTATTGCTGTTGATTGCTAAACTGACAGGGGAAAATAATCCAAGCTGGCACATTAATGAAACATGATTTTTTTCCTAAGTTCTTTTTCTTTTATAACAAAGCTAAACACAATTAAATGGTAAAAGCCACTACAACTTTTAACTCTTGAAGGACTGAACAGTAAGATATCAGAATTTTACATGCTTTTTTAGCCACTTCTCCCTTGTCTAGGAAACCCAGTGCTTTTTTCTGACATAGTGGCATGCCCAAACCCAGCCATAGGTTTTCAGGTTTGACCTCTCAACACCACTACTTTGTTGCTTTTAAAATAAATGTGCTTTCAGAGCCTTCAGAAACATGTCTACCCATTCCAGAGAGCTATGACAATACAGAGAAAGAGAGAAAAAAGAAAGAGTCCCAGGAGTTGTGGGCATATGCCAGGAGAGGCCCCACAGAGAAGAGACGTGCCCTCAAGAAATAATGCCAACATTAATCCAAGTCTCTGAAGTGGATTGAGCCCCACCAGTAACAACAAAGAGGAGCCCAGCACCCTTCCCACAGTGCTCTGTCACACAGATATTTATGAAGGGGTTGCCTCAGAAGCCCACATTCATCCAAGAGGTGGTGTCAGTGGTGGAATTAGTCACACCTGCCAGTGAATAGCATATAACAGCTGTACAGACACAAGTGAGTTATTGGTCTTGGGCTACAATCTCCCAGGAAGCAAACTATGCAATTTCTGCTGCTTCCAGGCCAATTGAAAGGAACTTAAACTTGCAAATGATTAAGTGTCTTAATTGTGTCATCTTAAAGCTTTAAGAATACCAAAAGGCTGGGAGAAACCCAGCTGGGGCATTCAGATGCCTGACCCTAAATTTTAGCAGCCATGACACCTTTCATCCTACTTCTCCCTCCTCTTCAGATCCTATACACAGGTTCTTACTTGCCCAAAGCAAGCTAGTTAGTAGAAGAGGCAGCCCTAGAAACCAAGGCTTCTGACTCCTAGTCCAGCATTCCTTCTTACCACAGTGTTCTCTTGTTTTTATATAACAGGAAAGGGAAAACTAGGAGAATAAGTATATGTTTAATTAATTTCTCCTAACATTTAATTTTACGAACACAGCCTGTATTTACAAAGCACCTGCTGAAAATCCAACCCTATGCAAGATGCTGGAATTATATAAAAAGAAACATAACATGCAGTAGGTGCCCTCAAGGAAGTTATGTTCTGAACCAGGAGGCAAAACTTACATTACACTAACAACATTCATTCAACAATATTTATTAACACACACTATGAGCAAAACATTGTGCTAAATGTCTTCAGAGAAACTATAATAAGACAGCAATTCCCCTCCACGAAGGAGGCTATAACTGGGTGAAGCTGGGTTGAAAAGGACCTCAAAAGCTACCCAGTAAGCTCTTCACACTCAGCCATACCCTGGCCAAGTGACTCTGGTCATGCTTCCCCTAAAAAGACTACAATTTGTCTACTTTCTAATTAAAATGTATGGCCCAGAATTGAACACGATATCCTAGGTGTAGCCTTGCTCCTTTTTCAAGATAATGTGCTTGTGTCATTGAACCTACAATTTCATGGGCTTCTTAAACACTCAAACAGATATTTGAAGACACCAAATACAACCATGTTTTCTCATACATCACCCCTATTCTGGTACTTTGCTTTAACAAAGCAAAGTGGGCCCAAGTGCAAGTATAATCTTCTTAAATTTTATCTCTTCTGATTTGTCCCATAAGTTCTAACTGATAAAATACTGGGGGATCATGATTCTATTACCTGATTCAACTGCCCTTTCCAGCTCTGTGTCCCACAAATATAATACATGCGTTTTCTGTATCTTCACCTAAGTCACTGGTTCTTTTGCCAAGAATCAGGCACAAAACCAAGTTCCTCCAAACCAACATAGCTTCATTTAGGTGCCCTCTTTTGATAGAGTTGTTTGGCAAAAATCCCGTTTTGAATGTCTTCCTGAACTTTAAATGCTTGGTGCTTAACACATTTTCCTTATCTGTTAAGTCAAAAAACCAACAAAAAAAGGAAGATCATTTGGCCTGATCTATTTGCAACCAACCCAAGACTGGCTCCTAAACAACTGCTAGTCACTATCCATCCCTGTGATAATTGGTATTAGAATCTCACTCCAGATTCTAAAAGTAATCATTAGTTAGTAGGGGGATGCCACAGAAAGGAAATGGGCCACAGTTTGGCCTAGCATAGAGCACTTGCAGGGAATATTGGAAAAGGTGGCTGAAGGAAGGCAAGGGCACCTGAATGTGGAAGGCCTTGATGCCTGTGCTGAACCGATCAGACTTAACTCTGAAGGCAACAGAAAACAGTGCTTTGGAGCAGAGTAAGGGTATGATTAGAATATCTAGAAGAAAAAAAAATAACTAATAGCAGAGGACAAGAGAGAGAGAGAGAGAAGACAGCAGCTAGAATTACAATGATCAGGCTCTTAGATGGTTCAGGAAAGAGGTTGAAGTAACTTGATAAATAGTAAATGAGAAAATTAGAACATAAGCCAATGATGAAGGTATAATCTGGTGACTGATAGGTAGGGAAGGAAGCAAGGGAAGGGGAAGTCACTGACCATGATGAGGCCCCCCATGGGATGTCATTTACTAAACAAAGGAAGGCCAGAGGAGTAGTGGCCTCTCAGAGTAAAGGAAAAGATAAGTTGGTTTGGATGGAGTATTTCTGAGGTTCCAGAAGGACAGCCAATGTCTAGAGCTGTCCAGACGTCAACTGAAACAGTGGAACTGGACCTTGGGAGAAAGAGAAAGTGGGGCTGAAGACAAAGTAATGGAAATGTCTGTATTTTGGAGTTGATAAGAAAAAAAGCAGCCAGAAAATTACCCGGGGAAGAAATGGCCAGCAAACTGGATAGAGAAGCATTAAAGAAGTCAAAAGGAGAGAAGCTTTGAAGAAGAAAAGTGTGCAAATGGTAGAGTAGTCAAGGAGAAGGCAAAGAGAGAAATTGCCATTGGAGTTTGTGCCTAGAAAGCCATGTGAGGCCTTTAAGAAAGTATTTTAGTCTTAGCAGTGCTTCTTAGACTTTTATGTGCCATTAATCACTTGGGAATCTTGTTAAAATGAGGATTCTAACTCAGTAGGTCTGGGGTGGGGCCCATGATTCAGCATTTCTAACAAGTTCCCATGAGATACCCATGCTGCTGGTCCACAGATCACACTTAGAGGACCAAGAGTAAGGAGTGAATGGGAGGTGAGCATGTGAAGAACACGAGTGGACATAACTCTTTCAGGAAGTTTGGTAGAGGAGAAGAGGAGAAGGAACGAGCAATGAGACAGATAATATAAACTGTGAGTGCTGTGGGAATCAAGAATCAAAAGAAGAAAGCATTGATACTGCTGTGTTTTAAAGAAGCCCTCCATCCTAAAAGCTTACCCAGAGAACTTTGATAAGTGTGTTAAGGGGAAATCCAGTACATGATTTCAGTTCCTTACAGGATCTCACTCTGTCACCCAGGCTGCAGTGCAGTGGCATGATCTCAGTTCACTGCAGCCTTGACCTTCCAGGCTCAAGCAATTCTTCCACCTCAGCCTCCCAAGAAGCCGGGACCACAGACACATACAACCATACCCAGCTAATTTTTAAATTTTTTATAGAGATGTGGTCTCGCTATGTTTCCTAGGCTGGTCTTAAACTCCTGGTCTCAAGCCATCCATCCACCTTGGCCTCCCAAAGTGCTGGCATTACAGGCATGAGCCATTGTGCCCAGCCTCCTCTGTCCTTTAATCATACATGACCCCAATGATTTAGAGTTTAAAACTAAGTAGGAAGTACAGAGTTTCACAATGAGGTTGACCAGCAAAAAAATAACATACCTTTCCATGACTTTATTTATTGGCTAGTAAAATATGCCACTTGTTAGCCCCATTCCTTCTAGAAGAGCCTTCCTGACTAGAGGGCTCCTCCCACAATGCAGTTCTCTCGCATACTTCAGCACCTCCAAGTCATCTACACCTGTTTGATTAGGACTTAGCCTTTGTTGACAGACTTTATCTTTGAAAATGCCCTCAGCTGTGCCAAAAAGAATAAGTTAAGCAACGGATTAACCAACACACTCTCACTGATGCAGTCAAACTGGCACCCAATTAAGAGGCCAAGAGCAACAATTTCAGGTAGGCACCCTCCATGAATGGCTGCCAACCTGCCCAGGTAATCCCCAGTGAAAGAAAGCAGTATTCAGCCCCTGTTCTGACAACTGCCTTGGTGCTTTTAAATGGAAACTCTATTCTTAAAGGAACTTTCATGGAATCTTGACACAACCTAGGAAACAAAACCATTCCCCCAAACCCACAAAGAACCTCCGACCTGCCAAGGTCATGTGACAGTTCTGAGACAAGTCAGGACGGCATAGAGAATCTCCCCATCTGGGTGGTACCAAAGCTTTTGCTTCTAGAGTTGAGTAGAAAATCTTTGTGGACTATTTCCATTCCTTGGATCAGTCAATCAAAATGATCACATGAATTTTTGAGAGAGAGGTTGCCAGAGAGAGGACCCAAGGGATATTAAAATAAAAAGACCACATGATCCTAAATGGACCAACCAGTTTAAAAGGGAAATTTTATACGCAAAAATAATTTTTCCTGACATTTATGTAAAATCATGGAATTGCAGAATGTTACAATCTGGTGAATCCCTTACAGATCAGCAAAAAGATCACCTTTGAAGCTTGTGAAAAATATAGATGTCTAGGCCTCACCCCATACCATGGTCATACTGACCCAAACTCTCCAAGGGTGTCCAATTAACTCATTTTATTAACAAGATCCAGAGAAGCTAACTTTCCCAAGACAACAGGTTTATTTTAAAGTCATACTCCAGAGAGGGCAGCCAAGATGGCCGAATAGGAACAGCTCCGGTCTACAGCTCCCAGCGTGAGCGACGCAGAAGATGGGTGATTTCTGCATTTCCATCTGAGGTACCAGGTTCATCTCACTAGGGAGTGCCAGACAGTGGGTGCAGGACAGTGGGTGCAGCGCACCATGCGCGCGCTGAAGCAGGATGAGGCATTGCCTCACTCGGGAAGCGCAAGGGGTCAGGGAGTTCCCTTTCCTAGTCAAAGAAAGGGGTGAAAGACGGCACCTGGAAAATTGGGTCACTCCCACCCTAATACTGCGCTTTTCCAAAGGGCTTAAAAAACGGCACACCAGGAGATTATATCCCACACCTGGCTCAGAGGGTCCTATGCCCACAGAGTCTCGATGATTGCCAGCACAGCAGTCTGAGATCAAGCTGCAAGGCGTCAGCGAGGCTGGGGGAGGGGCGCCCACCATTGCCCAGGCTTGCTTAGGTAAACAAAGCAGCCGGGAAGCTCCAACTGGGTGCAGCCCACCACAACTCAAGTAGACCTGCCTGCCTCTGTAGGCTCCACCTCTAGGGGCAGGGCACAGACAAACAAAAAGACAGCAGTAACCTCTGCAGACTTAAATGTCCCTGTCTGACAGCTTTGAAGAGAGCAGTGGTTCTCCCAGCACGCAGCTGGAGATCTGAGAACGGGCAGACTACCTCCTCAAGTGGGTCCCTGACCCCTGACCCCTGAGCAGCCTAACTGGGAGGCACCTTCCAGTAGGGGCAGACTGACACCTCACACGGCCGGGTACTCCTCTGAGACAAAACTTCCAGAGGAACGATCAGACAGCAGCATTCGCAGTTCACGAAAATCCGCTGTTCTGCAGCCACCGCTGCTGATACCCAGGAAAACAGGGTCTGGAGTGGATCTCTAGCAAACTCCAACAGACCTGCAGCTGAGGGTCCTGTCTGTTAGAAGGAAAACTAACAAACAGAAAGGACATCCACACCAAAAATCCATCTGTACATCACCATCATCAAAGACCAAAAGTAGATAAAACCACAAAGATGGGGAAAAAACAGAACAGTAAAACTGGAAACTCTAAAAAGCAGAGCGCCTCTCCTCCTCCAAAGCAACTCAGTTCCTCACCAGCAACGGAACAAAGCTGGACGGAGAATGACTTTGACGAGTTGAGAGAAGAAGGCTTCAGAAGATCAAACTACTCCGAGCTACAGGAGGAAATTCAAACCAAAGGCAAAGAAGTTAAAAACTTTGAAAAAAATTTAGACAAATGTATAACTAGCATAACCAATACAGAGAAGTGCTTAAAGGAGCTGATGAAGCTGAAAGCCAAGGATTGAGAACTACGTGAAGAATGCAGAAGCCTCAGGAGCCAATGCAATCAAATGGAAGAAAGGGTATCAGTGATGGAAGATGAAATGAATGAAATGAAGCGAGAAGGGAAGTTTAGAGAAAAAAGAATAAAAAGAAACGAATAAAGCCTCCAAGAAATATGGGACTATGTGAAAAGACCAAATCTACGTCTGATTGGTGTACCTGAAAGTGACGGGGAGAATGGAACCAAGTTGGAAAACACTCTGCAGGATATTATCCAGGAGAACTTCCCCAATCTAGCAAGGCAGGCCAACATTCAGATTCAAGAAATACAGAGACCACCACAAAGATACTCCTCAAGAAGAGCAACTCCAAGACACATAATTGTCAGATTCACCAAGGTTGAAATGAAGGAAAAAATGTTAAGGGCAGCCAGAGAGAAAGGTCGGGTTACCCTCAAAGGGAAGCCCATCAGACTAACAGCAGATCTCTCAGCAGAAACTCTACAAGCCAGAAGAGAGTGGGGGCCAATATTCAACATACTTAAAGAAAAGAATTTTCAATCCAGAATTTCATATCCAGCCAAACTAAGCTTCACAAGTGAAGGAGAAATAAAATACTTTACAGACAAGCAAATGCTGAGAGATTTTGTCACCACCAGGCCTGCCCTAAAAGAGCTCCTGAAGGAAGCACTAAACATGGAAAAGAACAACCGGTACCAGCCACTGCAAAATCATGCCAAAATGTAAAGACCATCGAGGCTAGGAAGAAACTGCATCAACTAACGAGCAAAATAACCAGCTAACATCATAATGACAGGTTCAAATTCACACATAACAATATTAACTTTAAATGTAAATGGACTAAATGCTCCAATTAAAAGACACAGACTGGCAAATTGGATAGAGTCAAGACCCATCAGCATGCTGTATTCAGGAAACCCATCTCACGTGCAGAGACACACATAGGCTCAAAATAAAAGGATGGAGGAAGATCTACCAAGCAAATGGAAAACAAAAAAAGGCAGGGGTTGCAGTCCTAGTCTCTGATAAAACAGATTTTAAACCAACAAAGATCAAAAGAGACAAAGAAGGCCATTACATAATGGTAAAGGGATCAATTCAACAAGAAGAGCTATCTATCGTAAACATATATGCACCCAATACAGGAGCACCCAGATTCATAAAGCAAGTCCTGAATGACCTACAAAGAGACTTAGACTCCCACACAATAATAATGGGAGACTTTAACACCCCACTGTCAACATTAGACAGATCAACGAGACAGAAAGTTAACAAGGATACCCAGGAATTGAACTCAGCTCTGCACCAAGTGGACCTAATAGACATCTACAGAACTCTCCACCCCAAATCAACAGAATATACATTTTTTTCAGCACCACACCACACCTATTCCAAAATTGAACACATAGTTGGAAGTAAAGCTCTCCTCACCAAATGTAAAAGAACAGAAATTATAACAAACTGTCACTCAGGCCACGGTGCAATCAAACTAGAACTCAGGATTAAGAAACTCACTCAAAACTGCTCAACTACATGGAAACTGAACAACCTGCTCCTGAATGACTACTGGGTACATAACAAAATGAAGGCAGAAATAAAGATGTTCTTTGAAACCAACGAGAACAAAGACACAACATATCAGAATCTCTGGGACACATTCAAAGCAGTGTGTAGAGGGAAATTTATAGCACTAAATGCCCACAAGAGAAAGCAGGAAAGATCCAAAATTGACACCCTAACATCACAATTAAAAGAACTAGAAAAGCAAGAGCAAACACATTCAAAAGCTAGCAGAAGGCAAGAAATAACTAAAATCAGAGCAGAACTGAAGGAAATAGAGACTCAAAAAACCCTTTAAAAAATTAATGAATCCAGGAGCTGGTTTTTTGAAAGGATCAACAAAATTGACAGACCGCTAGCAAGACTAATAAAGAAAAAAAGAAGAATCAAATAGACGCAATAAAAAATGATAAAGGGGATATCACCATTGATCCCACAGAAATACAAACTACCATCAGAGAATACTACAAACACCTCTACGCAAATAAACTAGAAAATCTAGAAGAAATGGATAAATTCCTTGACACATACACCCTCCCACGACTAAACCAGGAAGAAGTTGAATCTCTGAATAGACCAACAACAGGCTCTGAAATTGAGGCAATAATCAATAGCTTACCAACCAAAAAGAGTCCAGGACCAGATGGATTCACAGCCAAATTCTACCAGAGGTACAAGGAGGAACTGGTACCATTCCTTCTGAAACTATTCCAATCAATAGAAAAAGAGGGAATCCTCACTAACTCATTTTATGAGGCCAGCATCATCCTGATACCAAAGCCGGGCAGAGACACAACCAAAAAAGAGAATTTTAGACCAATATCCTTGATGAACATTGATGCAAAAATCCTCAATAAAATACTGGCAAACCAAATCCAGCAGCACATCAAAAAGCTTACCCACCATGATCAAGTGGGCTTCATCCCTGGGATGCAAGGCTGGTTCAATATACGCAAATCAATAAATGTAATCCAGCATATAAACAGAATCAAAGACAAAAACCACATGATTATCTCAATAGATGCAGAAAAGGCCTTTGACAAAATTCAACAATGCTTCATGCTAAAAACTCTCAATAAACTAGGTATTGATGGGACATATCTCAAAATAATAAGAGCTATCTATGACAAACCCACAGCCAATATCATACTGAATGGGCAAAAACTGGAAGCATTCCCTTTGAAAACTGGCACAAGACAAGGATGCCCTCTCTCACCACTCCTATTCAACATAGTGTTGGAAGTTCTGACCAGGGCAATTAGGCAGGAGAAGCAAATAAAGGGTATTCAATGAGGAAAAGAGGAAGTCAAATTGTCCCTGTTTGCAGATGACATGATTGTATATCTAGAAAACCCCACTGTCTCAGCCCAAAATCTCCTTAAGCTGATAAGCAACTTCAGCAAAGTCTCAGGATACAAAATCAATGTGCAAAAATCACAAGCATTCTTATACACCAATAACAGACAAACAGAGAGCCAAATCATGAGTGAACTCCCATTCACAATTGTTTCAAAGAGAATAAAATACCTAGGAATCCAACTTACAAGGGACGTGAAAGACCTCTTCAAGGAGAACTACAAACCACTGCTCAATGAAATAAGAGAGGATACAAACAAATGGAAGAACATTCCATGCTCATGGGTAGGAAGAATCAATATCGTGAAAATGGCCATACTGCCCAAGGTAATTTATAGATTCAATGCCATCCACATAAAGCTACCAATGACTTTCTTCACAGAATTGGAAAAAACTACTTTAAAGTTCATATGGAACCAAAAAAGAGCCCACATCGCCAAGCCAATCCTAAGCCAAAAGAACAAAGCTGGAGGCATCATGCTACCTGACTTCAAACTATACTACAAGGCTACAGTAACCAAAACAGCATGGTACTGGTACCAAAACAGAGAGATAGATCAATGGAACAGAACAGTGGCCTCAGAAATAACACCACACAACTACAACCATGTGATCTTTGACAAACCTGACAAAAACAAGAAATGGGGAAACGATTCCCTATTTAATAAATGGTGCTGGGAAAACTGGCTAGCCATATATAGAAAGCTGAAACTGGATCCCTTCCTTACACCTTATACAAAAATTAATTTAAGATGGATTAAAGACTTAAACATTAGACCTAAAACCATAAAAACCCTAGAAGAAAACCTAGGCATTACCATTCAGGACATAGGCATGGGCAAGGACTTCATGTCTAAAACACCAAAAGCAATGGCAACAAAAGCCAAAATTGACTAATGGGATCTCATTAAACTCAAGAGCTTCTGCACAGCAAAACAAACTACCATCAGAGTGAACAGGCAACCTACAAAATGGGAGAAAATTTTCGCAACCTACTCATCTGACAAAGGGCTAATATCCAGAATCTACAATGAACTCAAACAAATTTGCAAGAAAAAAACAAACAACCCCATCAAAAAGTGGGCAAAGGACATGAACAGACACTTCTCAAAAGAAGACATTTATGCAGCCAAAAAACACATGAAAAAATGCTCACCATCACTGGCCATCAGAGAAATGCAAATCAAAACCACAATGAGATACCATCTCACACCAGTTAGAATGGCGATCATTAAAAAGTCAGGAAACAACAGGTGCTGTAAAGGATGTAGAGAAATAGGAACACTTTTACACTGTTGGTGGGACTGTAAACTAGTTCAACCATTGTGGAAGTCAGTGTGGCGATTCCTCAGGGATCTAGAACTAGAAATACCATTTGACCCAGCCATCTCATTACTGGGTATATACCCAAAGGACTATAAATCATGCTGCTATAAAGACACATGCACACGTATGTTTATTGCAGCACTATTCACAATAGCAAAGACTTGGAACCAACCCAAATGTCCAACAATGATAGACTGGATTAAGAAAATGTGGCACATATACACCATGGAATACTATGCAGCCATAAAAAATGATGAGTTCATGTCCTTTGTAGGGACATGGATGAAATTGGAAATCATCATTCTCAGTAAACTATCGCAAGGATAAAAAACCAAACACCACATGTTCTCACTCATAGGTGGAAATTGAACAATGAGAACACATGGACACAGGAAGGGGAACATCACACTCTGGGGACTGTTGTGGGGTGGGGGGAGTGGGGAGGGATAGCATTAGGAGATATACCTAATGCTAAATGACGAGTTAATGGGTGCAGCACACCAGCACGGCACATGTATACATATGTAACTAACCTGCACATTGTGCACATGTACCCTAAAACTTAAAGTATAATAATAAAAAAACAAAAAAATAAAAATACAAAATAAAGTCATACTCCATCTCATTTCAAAAAGATATAAGACAGAAGTCACATGACTGATAATGACTGAATCAATGACTGAATGTAGACCCTTATATAGGATTCAAGTCAAGTAAACACTGAAGAATAATTTTATGTTATCCAGTGCAAATTTTTATTGAAACACATACAGTTTTGCTCTCCTGGCAAAGTGCTTGGAAATAGCATTCTTCTCCCACTATGCCAGCACCCTCTTGGCCACACTTAACCCCCAAACTGCCTTAGTTAGACTAATTTTCAGGGAGGTACTTCTAAAAGTTTTTTAGCAGAGATCAGGCAAATCAGGCAAGGAAGACAAGGACCAAAAAAAAAAAAAAAAAAATCATACCACTGACAATCACCTAATTTACTTTTTTTTCTAAGTTGTATACATTTCCCAATCCTTTCTCTGGAGGAGGGTAAGGGGGCATGAGTGTTGTTTGTCCGATGAAGCAGTGCAGTGCATACCCTTTCCCTCATCAGAGAACTACGAAACATTTCGCTGGCTACATCCTCTATGCCAAGGGGTGTCTTGGAAGATTTAGACACAACTTAGTAAAGTCACTCATGCCAGGCCTCCTTCATATCAGTCTGAAAGGACACATCAAAACACCTTGGTCCTTGAAACCTCTTGAGGACGCAGATGGAAGACAGTGGGACTTAACAGATCGACATACAGCTGTATACATTATCTAGCTTTAAAAGAAGAGGAAAAGAGCTTAGCGAAAACAGAGGCACTTGCTTAAAGGGTGGACAAATCGCAGCTGGGCAAAGCAGGAGAAAAGACATGTAGGCATCTGGCCACTCGCCTCAATCCCAGCTCTAGCTGATTCTCAATATTGAAGGAGAGCCAGTTGTGGCTCTCACTGAAAACTATGTAGAGTTGGACCAGGGCCAGGAGACCTGGACAAACCAGAAGCCATGCCTCACATCTGCACTAAGAAAGTCATTTCCCTTTATCTTGCCCATAGTATCAATGTTGCAGGGCTAGAACATGGGTTTTCATAGCCAGGCTGCCTCCCAAAATCCCAAAGCAGTTACACAGCCATTTTAACCTCCCTGAAAAGTAAAAAGTCAGGCTTTATTGGTCTCATTTCAGTGGGTGTTTAGTCCATTAATATTTAGTGTAATTATTGATACAGTTCTGAGTCAAGTCTACCATTTTACTTTTTTTTTTTTTTAATTGAGACAGAGTCTCGCTCTGTCTCCCAGGTTGGAGTGCAGTGGCATGATCTCAGCTCACTGCAACCTCTGCCTCCCCAGTTCAAGCAATTCTCCTGCCTCAGCCTCCCAAGTAAATGGGATTACAGACACCCGCCACCACACCCAGCTAATTTTTGTATTTTTAATAGAGACAGGGTTTCGCCATGTTGTCCAGGCTGGTCTCGAACTCCTGACCTCAGGTGATCAGTTCACCTCAGCTTCCCAAAGTGCTGGGATTACAGGTGTGAGCCACCATGCCTGGCCCCATTTTACTTTTGTTTTCTGTTTGTTTCTAATCAGTTTTATTCCTTTCTTCCTAGTTTCTGGCCTTCTTTTGAAGTTTTTTTTTAGAATTTTAGTTTAGAATTTTGAAGTATTTTTTAGAATTTTAGAATTTTAATTTATCTATAGGCTTTTGAGTAATACCTCTTGCACTGCCTTCTAGGAACTATTCTAGTATTACGATATACATTATTAATTTGTTGCAATCTGCCTAAAGCTAACACTGCACCACTTCACATAAAATGACAAAAAAAAAAAAAACAATCATGCAACCACATGGGTCTGTTACCCCACCCCTTATGCTTCAGGTGTCATATATACTATACATGCATACACTGTAAACTCCAAAATACAATGTCAGAGTTCAGGGGCTAAATAGCCATGTAGATTTTTTAAAAATCAAAGGGAAAGAATAGTCTTTTTGTTGTTGTTTACTCACATACTAGTCACAGCTGATGCTGTTTGCTTGCTGAGGATAAGTGTCCATTCTTCAACTGGAAGAACCTCCTTTACCTGTTCCTGGCACGCAGATGTGACGATTAATCATCTTAGTTTTCTTCTACATGAAAATGTCTTTATTTCACCTTTATGCTTGAAGGATACTTCTGGATAGAGAATTCTAGATTCACAGAGTTTTCTGGTTTTTCCTATCTGTATGCCCTTGAAAGATGTCCCACTGTCTTTGCTATTTCTGATGAGACATTAAGGTAATTCAAGTTGTTGTTTCCCTGGATGCAATGTGCAACTTTTTCTCTAGTTGTTTTCAATCTTGATTTTTTTTTCTTTTTGGAAGTTTAACCAAGATGCGCCTGGGTGTGGTTTTCATTAAATTAATCCTGCTTAATGATTGAGCTTCTTGACTCTACATTTATATCATTCATCAAATTTGGGATATTTTCAGCCATTATTTTTTCATTCACCCCCACCCCATCCTATGACAACATGTATTAGAGCTTCTGATATTGTCCCACTGATCCCTGCATCCCTGTTCACAATTTTTTCAAGACTGAATAATGTCTATTGATCTTTCATTAATCTGACTCTTGCGCTGTCATCTCCATTCTACCATTAAGCTCATCCAGTGAATTTTTTTGTTTGATATTATAATTTTCAGTCCTAGAATGTTCACTATTTCTCTGCTGGGATTTCCAATCTTTCCCTATATGATGAGCAAATGTATTTCCCTTTATGTCCTTGGGCACACTTATAACAGCTACTTTCATCAAATCATTGCTTGCTATTCCATCATCCAGGTATTCCTGCAGTTGATCTCTGTTGATTGTGTTTCGTCATGCAGTAAGTAATTTTAGGTTGCATCCTGGATCTCTTGAATGATATGTTGTAGAAACTACAGCTTCTCCTAATTTTCTTTGAAGTCACTTTTTTAAAGCACACAGTTAACTTCACTGAAATCAAACTGCAAAACACTGTCTCCCCTAAGGTAGGCAGCAGTTCATATTTCAGTTCAATTGTTTCAGCCTTATCTAGCCAGTGTGGAATCTGCACCACACATGAAGTTCAAAGTCCAGCTTAGATTTAGGTAGATTTTATACATGGAATTTGGGGCTCCACTCTGTGGCTCACTCCTTTCAGAGACCCCACTCCTTCCAGCAGCTAAGGTTGTCCTGAACTCTAGTCTCTGGTTATCCAAGCCAACCAAGATACATATTTTCTATCAAGTTATCTATCTTCCCACATGGCACAGACTGAAGGCTGTACTCAAGAGAAAAGCTGTAGAAAATGAGAAATTCACCCTAAGCCTTTCCCTTCTTCCAAGAGTCAGCTCCCCTTCCGGTAGCTGCCTGCATCTTCTCCCTTAGTAATCATGTAAGAAAAGTGTGGTTGCTCCATAGTTTTCTCTAGAACTCTCTCATAGGGCCATGGAGAGCAGACAGCCCAGGGCCCACCAAACTCCTCCCCATCAGAATCAGAGACTGTCCCTTCTCATCAGATACCCATGGATGCTTAAATCCCAGCCCCTCAGGACTAACTGAAAAGGACCAGTAGATCATCCTGTCCCATCTCCTATGGAGGAGAACAAGAATCCACTCCACCCTGGCTGATATTCTGCTTAAATCTCTCTACTGACAAGAGTATACAACTTTAAGGAAATATAAAAAGAAAAGTAAATGACTTGGACACATTACATACTTCATTTCTTTGCATCTACTCAATCATCCTTTAACGAAAGTATTATCATCCTCATTTTACAGATGAGGAAACTAGGCCTCAAAGAAAGATGTTAACTTGCCTATGTTCTCTCTTCTAGAAAATAGTACAGCCAGGTTTTGAATTTTGGTCACTACAACTCTAAAAGCTCACATCCGTTCCACATTGTCTATCCCACTTTCAACGTCTTTAAACATTGGCAAGTTCTTTCTTAGATTAAACTGAAGTCTGCCACCTTATAATTACCATCATTAGCTGTAATTCATAATTCTAGATTGGGAGCTCCTAAGAGTAGTGATAGGAACTCATTTGTCTTTGCATTCCTAGTACCTAGCACAGAGGAGGGGCTAAATAACTGATCGGTTAATTGATTAATGCCATTAGAAATGTCAGGTAAAAGTCTACACCTACCTCATCACATCAATCTCACAGCTATGTACAGTGACTATCATACACCATGTTCCTCTCTCCAACATCATTTCTCTTCTGCAGTATAAATGTTCCTTGTTTGTTTCATTGCTTCCCATTTGGAAGGATTTCTAGAATCCTCCTGATCACCCTGGACACACTGCAACTGACCAGTGTCACTTAAAATATCATCTAGGAATTCCATTACTTCTCAGGATGCAGAAAACTACAAATAAGCATCACTCCCATACTAAAAGGAAAAAGCCAGATAATCTACAAAATCATAACTTTTCTCCAACCCATCAGAGAGCTGAGGTTGCAAGGCAAATGGTGAACTTAATTTCAAAGTGTGACTAGTCCCTCCAAGAACAGATAGAACACACAAAGCATTTCTTCTTTAGCAGAGGACAGATTGAAAAGGTAGCCATCAAAAAAGTAAATAAAAAGAAAACAGCTAACATTTTAACAAATTTTTTAATGTTGGATATGGGCTAACAAGAAAGTTTAGAATTCCCAAGAGCCCCAGCCACAAGGAGAGTCTGCACTCACTCCTCATTTTTTTCCCCATGGTGCTCACAAGAGAGATTAAGACCAAACAACAGATAAAAGAGAGCCCCCTACACTGTGCACAGGCATGAAATCTTGCCTACTTCCCAGGCCCTTCTCTCATAAAAAAGAGAAGTCATAAGCCACTAAGGAGGAAGCCACTTCCTCCTTAAAAGGTGCGCTTTAACTAAAGGAGAGATAGAAGCAAAATATGTCTGCCTCTGGGTGAAGGGGTAGAAAACCTTTTCAGTTACAGAATCTTGCATAGATATAGAGGCCTGCTGCCCTGGAGGAGGGACAGAAAATGCTCTCCTACCCAAGAGTCCCAACAAATATGAGACAGAAAAAGTCTCATACCTGGGACCCAGATACACAGGGCCTACCTAAGACTGAGATCCTCCACCACACCACAAGCTTCACACTGAGTAATAAGCAACAGCAGTCTAGCCCTCAAAGAGGGGCAACAGCATTGAGAGAGACCCATTCTCTAGAGTAAGCATATGGGACCAGCTGAAAGCTGAGGATGAAATGGAAACTTGAGGAAAACCCTTCATCTCTCCAGGCTCACCACTAAGCAAAGGTAGCAGCAAGCCACCACTGGAAGAATTTGAAGCTGTCATAGAACAAAACTCAGATCTAGCTCAATTACTGACTGCATTGACTCAACTACCCACACTAACATCCCAACAGAAGAGTCTCCATTTCCAAGCATAAATACTATTTGCCTCAGTCTCTACTGTTCTTTTATATGCATTATCTGGCATTGAATCAAAAATTATCAGACAAAAAGCAAGAAAAAAAATGAAGACTCTTGGTCAAAAGATAAAGTAGTCAACATTACCAGAAACAGATGTGATGCAGATGTTAAAATTATCAGATAGGGACTTAAAATAACTATAATTAAGTTTTTAATCTAGAGAAAAAGGTAGACAACATGAATGAATAAATAATTGTAAAAGAGAAATGGAAACTTTTTCTTTAAAATGAGTCAAATGGAAAGGCTAGAAATCAAAAGGATAACAAAAAGGAAGAATTTCATCATAAGGTTTATCAACAAACTGAACACAGCAGAGAAAATGATTTACAAACTTGAAGATAGGTGAGTAGAAATGATCCAAAATAATAACAAGGAAAAAAAAAAGCATATGAGAGCTATAGGATAATAGTAAACAGTATAACATATATTTTGAATCCCAAAAGTAGGAGAGAGAGAAAAGGAAGCAGAAAAAAAAAGTTTGAAGAGATAATAGCTACGAATTTTCCAAAATTAATTAAAAAGAGCAAACCACAGTTCAAAGAACCTCAGAAAATCCCAAGTAGGGGATGAGGGGTAGAAGTGGTCAGGCACTTGTATCTTTGATTTTCAGTAGTTTACTATGATGGGGTGGATGGCACACCTCATCATAGTAAAACTACTAAAAACCAAGGATACAGTGAAAATTCTGAAAGCAGCCAGAGGGGGGGGAAAAAAAAAAAACACAGAACAAAGCTAAGAATGACAGCGCACTGCTCAACAGAAAGAATGCAATGCAAAAGAAAATGGAGTGACACCATTAAAGCACTGACAGAAAAAACTGTCCACATGGAATTCTATACAAGTGAAAGTATCTGCTAAAAAATGAAGGTAAGATAAAGAATTTTTCAGACACACAGAAACTGAAAAAATTCATTGCCAACATACCATACTATGATGATGTTAAATAAAGACCTCAGGCAGGAGTCTGGTACTAGAAGGAAATTCAGATCTACAGAAAGAAAGAGCTCTAGAAATGATTAAAATGTGGATAATAAAAGACAGATTGTTTTTATTTCTTTTATTTTTTAGAGACACGGTCTAACTCTGTTGCCTAGGCAGTGTCTAACTCTGTTGCCCAGGCTGGAGTGCAGTGGTGCAATCACAGCTCACTGAATCCTTGACCTCCTGGGCTCAGGCAATCCTCCTATCTCAGTCTACCAAGAGGCTGGAACTACAGGTTTGAGCCACCACACCCAGCTAATATTTTTTTTAATGTTTTGTAGAGAATGGGTCTCACTATGTTGCCCAGGCTGGTCTCAAACTCCTGGCCTCAAGCGATCCTCTCACCTAAGCCTCCCAAAGTGCTGGGATTACAGGCATAAGCCACAGTGCCCAGCAAATTTTTTCTTAATTTTAGCCTCTCAAAAAAAATAGCTGACTCAATGTGGCACGTATACACCATGGAATACTATGCAGCCATAAAAACGGATGAGTTCATGTCCTTTGCAGGGACATGCATGACGCTGGAAACCATCATTCTCAGCAAAGTAACACAAGAACAGAAAACCAAACACCACATGTTCTCATTCATAAGTGGGAGCTGAACAATTAGAACACATGGACACAGGGAGGGGAACATCACACACTGGGGCCTGTTGGGGGATGGGGGCTAGGGGAGGGGTAGCATTAGAAGACATACATAATGTAGATGATGGGTTAATGAGTGCAGCAAACCACCATGGCACGTGTATACCTATGTAACAAACCCGTATGTTCTGCACATGTACCCCAGAACTTAAAGTATTATAAAAAATAAATAAATAAATATCAAGTAAGCCAGGCCCTCCATGGTCTTACTTTTTAGTGCTTCTACACCTACATATCTCCTGGTAAGGTTGAACCACACTTTCTTTTGTTGCTCTACTTGTGTTCATACTGTTCTATTTCTGTGGAACATCCTTCCTCAAATCCTAGGTTAAAAAAAAAAAAAAAGATAGCTGACTGCAAAATATATTTAGTTTGCAAATAGATTAAACTAGAAAATATTTAAACAGAATATTTTCATTTTCCTATTAATCAAGTAAAAAAAACATTTTCCCAGGTTAAAAAAAAAAGATAATTGCTGTCTAAAGAAAAGATAGTACCAATGATCAGTAGAGTTTATAACATATGTAAAAGTAAAATGTAGACAATAGAACAAAGGATGGAAAGAAGAAAATGGAAGAGTACCATTGTAAGATTCTTAAACTATAAATAAAGCAATGTATTATCTGAAGGTAAACTGTGTTAAATATATATACTGTACACCCTAAAGCAATCACTAGAACATTTTTAAAAGGAGTAAACTTATAAGCCAGTGGTGGAGATGAAATGAAATCATAAATATATACAAATAATTCAAAAGAAGGCAGGAAAAGAAGGAAATAGAGAACATATAAGACACATAGAAAACAATTTGCAAAATGGTAGACTCAAAACCAACTATACCAATAGTTACATTAAGGATAAATGGCCTAAACATTCCAAATTAAAAAGCAGATATAATCAGACTCGTTATGAAAGCAAGACCTGACTATATGCTCTCTAAAAGAAATTCATTATAAATATAAACACAGAGACATATATTAACAGTGAAAAAATAGATACAACACAAACATTACACAAAAACTCCAGTCTGTATAATAACATAATACAAAGTAGGTTTCAGAACAAGGAATATGTTTAGGAACAAAGACTCAGTTCATCAAGAAGATATAACTAATGTATATGTATGCATCTAACAACAGAGTTCCAAAATACATAAAGAAAAATCTGATCAAACTGAAAGAAGTAGACAAAAACCAGGAAGAATAGGAGACTTGAATACTCCTCTCTTAGTAATTTATATAAAAAGTAGATCAAAAATAAGTAAAGATATAGAAGCCTGAACAACACTATCAACCAAATTGAATTAACTGACATCTATAGACGATTCCAACCAACAATAGCAGAATCCACATTCTTTTGAAGGGCCCATGGAACATTCACTAAGACAGACTAGTTTCTGAGCAAATGTTTATAGCTGCTTATTCAAAATAGCTAAAACTTTAAACAGTCCAAACAGCCATCAAATGGTGAATGTGTCAAGAATTGTGGTACATTCACACAATAGAATACTACTCAACAATAAAAAGAAACAAACTAGTGATACATGCAACTACATGGATGAATCTCAAAAGCATTATGCTAAGTGAAAGAAACTAGGCACACAAAAGGGTGAATACTGTATGATTCCATTTTTATGACATTCTGGGGATAGGCAAAGCCACTGAGACAATAATTACATCAGTGCATGCCATGAGCCAAGGAAGGAGAAAGGAGATTGAAAAGTGGGCACAAGGAAACTTTTTATGGCGATAAAAATGTTACGTCTTGATTATGATGATGGTGGTTACATGACTGTATGCATTTGTCAAAAATCATCTGTGCACTTAGAAAGGGAATTAATTGTGCATAAATTATATCTCACTAAATCTGACTTCAAAAATAAAAAATAACCTGAAGCAGTGGCATGTACCTGTAGTCTCAACTACTCAGGAGGCTGAGGCAGGAGGATCACTTTAGCCCAGGAGTCTGAGGTTGTAGTATGCTGTGACTGTGCCTGTGAATAACCTAGACAATGTAACAATACCTTGTCTCTAAAAATATATACAAATAAATAAAATTAAAAACAAATTTAAATACAGTGGTCTGTTGGTATGGGAGATTGGTTCCAGGACACCCCACAAATACCAAAATCTAAGCATGCTCAAGTCCTTTACAGGCAGCCCTTCATATGTGCAGGATCTGCATTCCAGATCAAACATCCCAATATTCAATTGATTGAATATTCTGAGCAAATATTTATTGCTGCTTATTCAAAATAGCTAAAACTTTAAACAATCCAAACAGCCATCAAATGGTGAACGTGTCAAGAATTCTGATACATTCACACAATAGAATACTACTCAACAATAAAAAGAAACAAGCTAGTAATACATGCAACCACATGGATGAATCTCAAAAGCATTATGCTTTTGAGTGAAAGAAACTAGGCACACAAAAGGGTGAATACTGTATGATTCCATTTCAGATTGAATATTCAATTTGTAGTTGGTTGAATTGGTGGATGCAGAAACAGTGGATATACAGGGCCAACTGTACCATTATCCAAGATAGGAAATTGTAGTAATAAACTAATAACAGTAATAATAAATAACTCTTAACATGGTCAGATCAGCATAGGTCTTGACTAACCTTCCTGGAAAAGACTTTTTGAGGAGTTACCTCCTTCTGTTGCCTCAAATGGAACTTCACTGAGCTCCTGGCTCCATTACAGATAGGTCTATACAACCCGAGTATGTATATTTCCGACAGATACTTAGATCTTTTTTATAGGCCAGAGATCAAAGAGATAAGAAATATTACATATTTCAATAACATGAAGGAATATGAAAATTCATTTTCATGTTTGTAATGAGCCACCCAGCATCTGGTTCTGAGTTGTTTTGCTTAAGAATGCAGAGAGTTCAAAAAGGAGTTCTGAGAAGCAGAAGACCATCTGGGGCTCCTGTGCTGAAAATAGGAACTACCCCTCATTGTTTAAGATACTGTGGGATGTCCAGGTCAGAAGGAACCTAATTAGCGAGGAAGGAGGCCTAGGCTGGGTCCTACACTCCCAGAGTATTAAAATTAGAGTTCCTCACTGTTGCATGGGAAAGGAACTCCCAAAACTCTCCCTTGGGCAAATTCAGGACACAGAGTGGCCTTCTAGCATAGAAAGATGTTAGCTAATGCTACCAGTACCTTGCTTGCTTGTTTCTTCCAAGGGAAGTCAATACTGGACACTATTTTCATTGCTAAAGGTTAATCTGCAAAAATATTAAATGCCATCTTGCTCTAAAGAAGATTCTTTGGAAAAGTTCACAACATTGCTACCAAACCCAAAATAACTTCCTTAATCATCCGTTAAGGGCTCCCAATAGGCCACCTCTAGAGAAACATTTGTCCCTGGAGTGTTGTGTTTTTTTTTTTTTCTTTTAAATGCTGTCCTTCACCACTATGTTTATACTTTCCACAAAGATACAGAATGATTAATGCTGAAAAATAAATATGAAAAGCCTTACAATCAAATTAGGAGAGCGCTTGATAAAATAAGCCCTCTTCTTGTGAGTAATTTGAAAGAATAACTGTTTTTCATTACAATCTCAGCTCCCAGCAGGTCCTACATAAACCAAGCCAGCTGCGGTTCAAGAAAAGGTCCAAAGGAGGACCCACTCGAGGTGAGGATAAATCACAATTGTGATCACAGACCAGGTTTCTATCTTTTTTATTCCCTTTAATAAATTGGGCTTGACCTGAAACTCCAAGAAAGTTAATTTATAACAGCCAAAATAATTTTTTTTACGTAACAGCCCACCTTTCTTTTTCTTTTAAACTTAAACCATTATGACAAATGGAGATTTATTACATACCATAAACACATGTGGCTTGAGCACTGGTATTTAGTCTGGAAACTCAGATGGGGCAGTAAGCTGCTGCTGCAATCAGGAAATGCCATGTGACATTCTTGATAAAGACGAAACACACACACATTCCACAGCACTTATTGTGGCCACAGTGGTTTTGGCCATTGTGTGGGCACCACAGCCCCAGTGCAGGGCTGTGAAGTGAAAGATGATTCAGCAGACGAAGGAAAGATACTCCTGTCAGAGCCACAGTCACTTGAGTCAGAAAGGTCTTCACAAGGGCCACCAGAGTCTTTAATTAGAGATGAGCAAAGAAAACCAGCTTCCCAAGACATTTCTCCCACATAGGCCTGGTCTTCTCCTCCTTATCCATGCCTAAAATAACCCTACAAGTGGTTCGCATGTTTTGGTCCAGAGATACTCAGTAATGCTATACAGAACCATCCTGAAACATGAAGTTGGGTGCACTGATGAATAAATAGAATCTTGGGTGCACTGATGAATAAATAGAATCTTGGGTGATCCTTCTTCTCCCTTCCCTTGGCCAGGCTGAAATGATCTATTTCTTCTCAACTGATCATTCTTGTAGTCCTCACTGGCAACAAGCACTTGGTGATTTATCAGCTAAGCAGGGTTCTCTGGAAGGTCATATTAACTGGTGGTTAAAGACATGAACTTTGGAGCCAATCCTAGCTCCACCACTTTCCCAAACCATCTAAACCTAAGTTTTTCCATCTGTAAAATGGGAATATTGAAGTACCCTATGTGTCTGTGGGGAGGATTCAGTGAAATAATACATGTATATCACATAGATTTACATAGATTTAACATTATTAAAAATGTAGAGATTCACTATCATAATCTGAATAGCCACTTAATGGTACAATTAATAGCTATCAGTAATGATTATTATTAATAAACTTTCCATATGTGTAGGTCTTCTCTCCGGACTACAGTAAAAGTCCCTTGGGGGCAGAAACTCCATTATTACACTTCTTTTGCCTTGCTTATAATTCCAATGCATAAGCAACTTATTAATGAATACTCAATCACATCACTTCTACCATTAAAAAGATTTTATTATAATTTTGTAAAACAGAAACTAGCAGAAAAAAATACAGATAAAAAGGAAAAACTGCAATCATCCTTGATCCCAACACTAGAAATAACCAGTTGATATTCTGATGTATAGTCTTCTCTTCTTTTTTTCTATGCATACATATGTTTATTTCAAAATACAATTGGGATCAATAGTGTACACAGTGTTTCATAACCTGTGTACACATATTTTTAAGCTTATGAATAGTTCATAGATATTTTCCTCTACCATTAAACATTCTTCAAAAACATGATCTTTGAAGGCAGCAAGGTCTGCTGTTCTATGGTTACATCCCCCACTGTCCTCACCCACCATCTTGCAAATGGAGAATGCTTGAAACACTAGAGCTCAGTAAGATCACTGAAACCAGAAAATGTGTGTGGAATCAGTTGGCACCATGCCCAACACTGGTCAACACTCAGTAAATGTTCTCTCATTCCTCCTCTGGGTGTCTATTGTCTTTAAAGAAACTTCATGAAAGATTCCAACTTACACCATAAAATAAGGCTTCCCAGCACCAAAAGAGCAGAAGCCCAAGACCTTCTGGATAAAGCTTCTGCTCTTTCCATTTGGTTCCCGGCTCAAGATTTTGGATAACCATCATAACAGAGTTCCTGTGAGTTTCATGGTCGTTATAAACTATAATCCTACTTAACTCTTCCTAAGACCTTCCAGAATCCAGAGCTCTCACATTGGAATTTTTGTCACTAAATATTTCTCTAATTATTTCAGACATGTTGGACTCTCCTTCCCAACCAGATTTAAGTTCTAGACCATGAAGCTTAATACTGTAAGCTGAAACAAGCTTAATACTGCAGAGAATACAGGACTTAGGGTCAGGAGACCTGGGTTCTAGTCCCAACTTTGACTCTTACCAGCTATCATCATTTTGGGTAATCTCCCCTCTCTGGGGCTCAGTTTTCTCATTGGCAAAATGTTAGTAAGATGATCTCCAAGATTCATGTCACCACCTTTAGGACGGCAACCAATTTCTACATAGTTGTCATATATTAACTAAGGTCTAGTGTAAGCCAGACACCTATTATGTCCACAGTGTCCTATGATATCAGTACTGTCACTTGTCACATGTAGCAGAGAAAGAAACTGAGGCTTAGAAAGGTTAAGCAACAAGCCCAAAGTCTGCAGTATAACCATCATCTTGATCCAAGTGTGTGTCTAAAGCCTATGGTAACAACCAGGAAGCTGCACAATTCTCAAATTTTTTTCTTTCTGCCCAACCCCCCAGACCAGCTCCAAACTCTCCGTAACACTTGATTAACAGATTGTAGTTTCTGACTTAATTGATGGACTTTTACCAAGATCTCATTTCTATATGTCATAGTGCTAAACAAAAAAGACATTTCAGACGTGATAATTATTTGTTGTGGGAGCTGTCCTGTGCATTGTTGGATGTTAAGCACATTCCTGGCTTCCCCGGACTACATACCAGCAGCAACCACCCCACCCCAAGTTATGACAAATCAAATGTCTCCAAAGAGTGGGGGAGAATGCCTCCCCACACTGAGAACCGCTTCTCTGAAACAAAACATACTGAAAACACAGGAAAAATAATAAAGACAAAAGAATAAAAGCATTGGGCTAATACCTACACAAATAGTAAAAACAGAAATGTAATCAAATAATTAAATGAGATTCTAACAGCACATCCCTACTTTAAAACATCTGACTTAGTGGTGAGCTTGCACTAAATGAGAATAACACTACGATCAAAAGGACAAGTTGTATACCTTAAATGTATACCATTTTTATTCGTCAATTATACCTCAATAAAGCTCAAAAATGAAAACATTTCGATTGTTTCTCCTTAAAATGAAACATTGCTTATTATAGAGATTTCAAATCATGCAGAAAAAAAAAACAAGAAAGTTTTTTAAACACACACAAAAAAAGAATAACATTACAGCAATGCAGCAGGAAGTGTTTATACTCTTGCCCCAGTGCTTAAGGTCAGGGGAGGGCCAACTCTTTGACAGCTGGGATCATGCAAGAGGCAGTACCTTCCTCTCTAAGTCATAGCAGTGAATAGGAAGACAAGAAAAACTGTCTTTCGAGCACCCTATATCCAAGTCAGAATTCTGAAGGTTTTTTCCAGTAGATCCAATGCTATAATGGTTAGGTTCCCAGGCTAGCCTAAAAAATTCCACTTACCCAAAATAATCCTTTTCATTTTGCAGAAATAAATTTTGTGAGATAGTTTAGAAACCTACCATCATTTAGTCCTTCATTTTTTAAGAATAATTCTAAATATGTACTACCAATTAACAATAAATGTAGGGAGTTAGGGACTAAATGTAAGGTAAATAAACACAGCCAAATCTTTTCTCTACCTATTCTCCCAGAAGCTCCATTAATACTAATCTGTATCTTTTCTCGTAGGTTCACCATCAAAACTTATCAAATGAGTGTGAAGACACACACATGGACACAAACACACACACAAACGCATGTGCACGAAGCTTCATTTCTGAAGTGAATCTGTAGTTGAGTTTTTAAGGATGTCCCTGGCACTCCTTTGAAGTTGGTTCTTGGTGTGAAACGATGGACACAGGTGGGGTGAGGGACCCCAACTTTAAACATGCCAGAAAGCACAAGCCACAGCAAGGAAGCACATTCAGCGACACTTGTATCAGAATTAGTAAGTTTCTGTCACTGAAAGGAGTGAAAATCCAGAGGAGTGAAAATCATCAGGGACATTTCAGCTTACTGTCATGTTTCATAGACAAAATTACATTCCAGGAAGAAAGGAGTAAGGGGAGAAGGGAGAGGAGGTGTAGGGAGGGAGGAAAAGCTGCACAAAAGTTCTGAAATATATCAATGTCCAGAAATGGGAAAGGAAAAAAATAAAAATAAATCTTTGGAGAATTTAAAAAACATGAAATAAAATATCTATCTTATTTCAGAATCCTGGAGTAAATAATATTTCTGATGTTCCCATAGAGAGTCAAATCCGGCCAGCAAAACAAACACAAATACAAATAAATACTGGGCTGGTGAATTAGGGAAGGTACACAGAGGAATTTAAAAATAGGACGAGGGTTTTGTTCAGAAATGGGATCCTTCCTCTCTCCTCCTCCCCACTTCCATTTTTTTTTCTTGAAGTAAAATCCATTATTTTGAAAACACCATTAGAAATCCTAAAGAAATAGCAAAACACAGTATTGTGGTATTCCAAAGTAATATCTCTTGTTTATAACCATATAAATTTAGCCCCTGGCACTACAGGGCTTATATAATAGAATAGAGTTATTTTAACAGCGCCCTGTTAAAGAAGAAGCAAAATGTTCAGCTCATTTTCTCCAGTGGGAGGGACCCATGGCCTCATGCGAGAGAGGGAACATGCCTAAGTCATTACTGCGGGAAAGCAATCCGTCAAAGCTGGGTTGCTCTGGCATGGCCAGCACCACTGGTGAGATCAGAGAGGCAGCCTCTGCTTGCAATTACCAGGGAAGGACCTTGGCTCTAGGCAGCCTGCTATCAATTACTACCCTGGCCTCGCGCTTGGACTTGTCAATTTCCCAGTGTCTTCTGTTTTGTAACAGTAAGAAAAAGGGCTCCTCCTGACTGATTCTTGGAAGTTTCTCATGTGTTGTGTCACTCCTCGGTGTCATTAACAATTCAATTAAAATTTCACAGCACACAGGCAGGCTGCGCCGGACAGTGGCAGGAAGGGGCCTGGTAGAGGAGATTTCCGAAGGGCCTGCAATGGGGCCACGTTGGATCAAGCGAAACCAATCTTGAAATTTCTTTGATTTCTCAAGTCAGGCCTGCATGTGTCTCCCATATGACATGACGCTGGCTGTCATCTTGACAGGACGACATGTTTGATATTCTCACCCCATTGGGGGTGTAGTGATGGAAAGGAATTTTAGGCTGGCTAGAAACAAAAATCTTGTACTATTTCACTAAATGTTTTGGCTCCACAATAGATAATTATAAATATTCGCAATCAGCTCTCTTAATCTGCAGTGAGTTCTAGAAACTTCTTTTTCTCTATTTGTTTTTTTATTGGGTCCCTCTATTTTCTTGCTTTTCAGAGTGGGGTTGTCTAGAAGAAATGAGAGACAGAGCATCAATCACAATTAAATTCTTCAGGAAGGTAAGATGACTAGGAATGCTAAACAGGATGGCTGGAAACTAGAAAGACTTGCTACTGTCATTATTAACTCTGTGAAAGTGCAAACACTCCTTTGTCTTGCTGAATGATGGAGCTACACATGCTCACGTGCTTTTAAGCGTCCCAAGGGTTTAGGGAAAAACCAAAAAAAAAAAAGTTTCAGGCTTAAGACTTCTGAGGCAGCTTTCTCTCTAACCCCCTCAATGAGTTTAGTCATGCAAGGAAAGATTCTTTAAAGTTACCAAAGACTTTGTTTAATGCCCAAGAAAATGCAGACTGTCAGCACCCTTTGTCAGGTTTTGGTGGCTTAAGCCCATTCTCCAATACACTGGTGACCCTCCACCCTCATTCACTAGTTTCTTTTTGACATCAAGCGCTGGATAATTGTTTGATTTCCTTCTAGGTAAAAGGAGATTAAATGCCCAGCTGCAACAGCTGACATACAAAAGGGAAAATATAGTTTAACCACCATATTTATCAAGATAATTTTTCTTCCACACACTGATTAATAACATTAGCCAACATCCCCTTTGGCTTGGGGAGAGAGAGGTGGGGAGAGACATGTCCCCCTCAGAGTATCAGAAACAGGAGTTGACAGTTCAAGGCAAAAATGATTTGCATGTAAATTCTCATCAAAAGCAAGTCTGCACCCTGAAGTTGTCAAGTTTTGCTACCAATTTGACACTTAAATGGGCTATAGCAAAACTTGATTTAAACTGAAGAGGAAAAAAACATGGCAACTCAATTACCCCCTAGCAGATCGGATCTGGCAGCTGAGGTCAAACTTTTCACCCTGCCATTACATTTCTCAATACCTGATGCTTTAAACAAACACTATGTATTCCTCCTACAATCCTGGAGGAAAACGCATTTCTCAGGGCTCCCTACTGTGCCCCAGATTAAAAAATAAATTTCACTTGTGTGGGATCTGGGGCCATTTTCTCCATGTAAATTTCTGAATAAATCAGGACTTAAGAAATGGCCTTTTGCACTGGGAAAAATAGTCTCTGCTTAAAAAAAAAAAAAAAAAAAGTTTGTGGGGAAGATTTGTGGAGTATTAAAAGATGACTTAAAAACAAATATTCCCATAACATTAGAGGCAAAACGGTGACCTGTTTTTAGTTTGCTTTTAATATATTTCATATTTGAGCTTAGGCTGAACAGCACATTAATTCAGCAGGGAGAAAAACAGCTAGCTAGTTCCAAATCGGCTCCAAATTTATGGAGGACAAAGTATCTCATAAGGCCCTGGGACAAAGGCTCAAATCCAGGAAAGACCCAGTTGGCCTCTGGGAATTCCGTCCCACCAGGGTTTGAATGCTGCGGTTGCCTAGGCTATTCAATCCCTGCAAGAGTTCTCATTCCTGCAACAACTATTTAAACCAACAGTTGTTAAAACTCTTCTTATAAGTGCCCTAAAGCAGATCCAAAACTGTTTTTTTCCTTTTTAAAAAAAAAACAACAAAACTTGTTTCCCTAAGTTTGTTTTAAGCTCTTCCTGTAAAAGCAATGAGTTTATTGACTCTGCATTCACCATAATTTCTAGTTCTTATAACAGGTAGCCAGGTAACACATAGGGAATTATTTTACTTTTTTAGCCAATAAACACATTACATATTTACTGGATGCCAGGCACTCTTCTGAACACTAGGGGCCCAAACATGAGTAATAGCTGCTTACAGTTGGGAAGACAATCACATACACAACTAATTACAATAGTGTGGGATAAGCACTGCAAGAAAGTAATATTCAAAGTATATGAGAACACATTTAACTAAGGGATTCAGTCTGGGGGAGTGAAAGTTTCAAATTCCCCTGGTGACTGGGACTTTACCTATATTGGCATCCAGCAAATAGTGGAGCAGAGTGCTAGTGGGGAGGTAAGATCTTTCTACAGAAACCAGCCAAGTGGAAATAAGAAAAGCCTGTTTGGCCAGGTGCTAGATAGGGGAAGACAGTATGGTGATAAAACGAGAATCCTATGGCCACACACATGGGACAAATGTATGAAATCACATTCCTCTTGTGCCTGGTCTTCCTATAAGCCTATCATGCCAATCCCCAAACTTGGAGCATGCCCACCATTGGTGTTGTACTTGCTTTGCTGTTACTCAAACATGCCAAGCTTGTTCTGGCCCCAGGGCCTTTTCACTTGCTGTTCCCTCTGCCAGGTTCCCAAACCTTTGCACAAGCTATCTCACCTTCAGCTCTTTGCTTAAATGTCACTTCTCAGAGCAGCCCTCCCTGACATCTCTACCTAAAATACGCTCCCACACCCACTTCTGAGGCACCTAACCCTTTACTCCTGCTTTATTTTCAATATGGTATAATGTTGCTACCAGAAATTTTATTATCTGTTATTATTTCTGCTCCTCACTAGATTATAAGCAGCATGAGAATCAGGCCTATACCCCCAGATCCTAGAACAGATAGTAATAGGTGCTCAATAAACATATAGTGAATCTGTTAATAACCTTTAACCCCTGGGTGCTGATAAGCTAATATCTCTGAATTAATGCTATAAAGAAAATTAAAACCCAAAAGACTCTGACAGACTCTGACTTCTAAGCCCTTGCATCAAGAACAAATAATGCTATAGGGAGTGAATGCAAATGTAGCATTTTTGAAATCTAAATACAGCCAGAGGGAGAAAATCGCCAATACATCAACAATAACAAAAACAACAAAAAAACAGCCATTTATACTAAGCCAAATCTCTGAGATCTTTCTGAAAATATATATTTAACTCTAACCAGGTTCCCAGGCTTCCTACAAATCACCACCATGCAAGAGAAAACCATGTGAGAAGTTATGTTCTGCTTCTGAACATTTAAGCATTTTTATCAATATTATTTGCCAGTATAAACATTTCCCCCATAACTTAATATTTAAAATAAGAGTGCACCAAACCGAGGCTTATAATGTGCAAAGGAAAGAGTTCAGTCTAAGGTATTCATGACTTCAGTCATTCTCTCATAAAACAACAGATGAAATAAAATGTATGACATTCCCAAAGAGGGAGTTCCTCATGTAATTCATCTTAAAATGCAATGTTCTGTCATCTCAAGTAACACTTACTGAAAGCAACCATCAATACTTTTTGTCAAAAGCCCGTACTCTGTGTAAAATGTTCCATCAATCTCTATTTACATAAAACAAAAAACTTTCAGTGTGGTTCTAACACACAGCCATGGAGGGTCTCCATCTCCAGTTTTCATGCTCTGCTGAAAAATAATTTGACTGACACCAGAAAAATAAAGATGACCCTTAAAGGAAAGCTTTTAGGAAAGGGAAAGCTGCAAGGGAAAATGCCTTACATTGTTGGACACAAGTCCTATTGAAGAGAAGTTTTTTTGGTTTTAAACCATACGATATGTATTCTCTTAAAATAAAAAATTCCATTCTGCCAGGAAATCCTCTAAAAAGCTTTCACTCAATTGCATGCAAGCAACACTAATATAGGGATGGCACCCTGCTGATTCTAAACTTGAACATGCAACCTGTACCACTCTATTCCAAGACAGAAAATTTGGCATTCAGTACTGTAGAATGTGAATATCACATGAGGCTAGCAGAAGGTCATTGCCTGGGGATGTTTATAAAACACACAAATTAAGGTATTAGCCTTTCACCTTGGGGGTCTGAAGATCAAATCCCAGCTTAGGTAACATGCATAAAGTCTCTCTGCCAGCCTTTTCCTAATACTTGCTTGTTGAAATCACACAGACCCTTTCCTCTGACCCAAGTTAACAAAGGCATAGATGAGAAAGCTAAGAAATGACAGGTCAAAGCCAAAAACACAAAACAAACAAACAAACAAACAAACAAACAAACAAAACTACTCAATGCCCATCTGAGACATTTTCACTTCATGCTCAGTGAAGTGCCATTTTTTGCCATTTTTCACCCTTTCCCTATGATTTGAACAGTCTACGGGTGAAGATTACATAAGAGACAACACTGCCACTTACATCTTTTGAATCGCAAATAGAAGATGCATTAGGAAATCACTTAACCTTTCCTAATTATTCCTTACATTCACTCACTAGGCATGCTATGTGAAATGCGGTAGAGGATGCAGCAGGTGGCCAGATACAGTTTCAAGTACTGCTGCAGGGACTCGGCCAAATCGCTGCACCGCTTTCAGTCTCTGTGTTATGCAAAGCTCCCTGGGCAGCACAAAGCTTCTAGGGTCTTCTAGGAGGGGAAATGACAACATAGCAGATAGGGTCTTGGCTCCCCTTCGATGCAGCGGCCTCATCAGTATCTGCTTTATATCTGATGAGCTAACAAAGCTTCAGGTTTCATTTGCAACTGTGTCCTCAGACCTCAAAATTCTCTCCAGCTCTAATAGTCCCCAACCGTATACTGTGGTGGAGCAGGAACACATATACCCCAAACAGGTGTGATGAGCCCTCAACTTTGGGTTAAAGAGGACAGAGAGAAGAGCATACCTCAGTAGAGTCATGTGAGCTGTGTGTGACCCACCAGGGTATATACACGGTTAGGATTTTCAAGAGGTAGAGGCTGGGACTTGATGGAGGACAGAAAGAGCATCCTATAGAGGGGACACACAGGACAAGCACAAAGCCAGGCCAGGGGGCATGTTTGAGAAGTATGGAACATCTCTAGAAAGGAGGGGAAAAACAGATAGGAGTGATTAAATGCCTGCATGCCAGGCTGAGAATTCTAAACTCCCTGGACCCAAGAGGTACTCACTCCACCCAGTCATGAATGCAAATGCTCTCCCCGGCCCCCAAGCAACCCAAGCTCACTTCAATACTTTGATCACATCTGCAAATCCCTTACACATTTGTCCAGATCTGAACTTCCATCCTTACGGGCCTGGCTCAGGCCTCATACATTTGGTAGTCAATACAGGCTTTGATAGCAAGGATAACAAGGATAAATTATGCCAGGCACTGTGCTGAGAGCTGTACAGTCAGGGTCTCATTTAATCCTGACAGTCAGGGATGTAGGTACATCACAATGCTGTGGGAGAGAAAATCAAGGCTTAGAGAGACTTAACAACTTGCCTGATGTCACACAAAGCTAGGCAGAATCAGAGCAGAACTTAAACCCAGAAGTACCAAGCCTCTCAGCCACATGGCCTGCCTTAGGAGTATTCTCAGGGGCTGAGCCAGAAGTAGCCACAAGTGGAATGCCTCCAGGTGATGGAAAAGATGCTTCCATCAGCGGTTGCACGTTATAATAATGAGGCAATGACAAGGCTTTGAGCTAAGTGGAAAAATCCTTCCCCCAAAAATAATGAACACAAAGTAAAAAGAAAGCTCTTCAGCATATAGTGTGACAGAAGAAAATAGTCTCTTAGCTAGTTTGGGCATAAAAGTTCACTCTTGACCGGAACGTAAGGCAAGGGAGTAGCTGAAATACCAGAGCATCTGTGCTCCCTGGCAATTCTAGGTCTAATTACCAACCACCAGTAGGATACCTGTTATTTGTCCAGCATACGATGGGTGGTATGGGGGATACAATGAGGACACTGTTTTTGTCCTCAAAGTTCTCAGAGTTAAATGTCAAGCAAGCCTGATCCTAGATCAAAAATGCTTCAGTAGGCCAGGCACAGTGGCTCATGCCTGTAATCCCAACAATCTGGGAGGCTGAGACAAGAGGATCACTTGAGGCTAAGAGTTCAAGACCAGCCTGGTCAGCATAGCAAGACCCCCATCTCTACAAAAAAAATTTAAGAATTATCCCCAGCTACTACTAATTTAAGAATTATAGCCCCAGCTACTCGGGAGGCTGAGACAAGAACCCAGAAGTTCAAGTATACAGCGAGCTATGATCACACCACTGCACTCCAGCCTGGGCAGCAGAGTGAGGCTCCATCTCCTAAAAATGCTACAATAAAAGAATAGCAAGTGGGTGGAGCAGGAACACATATACCCCAAACAGGTGTGATGAGCCCTCAACTTTGGGTTAAAGAGGACAGAGAGAAGAGCATACCTCAGTAGAGTCATGTGAGCTGTGTATGAACCACCAGGGTATATACATAGTTAGGATTTTCAAGAGGTAGAGGCTGGGACTTGATGGAGGACAGAGAGAGCATCCTATAGAGGGGACACACAGGACAAGCACAGAGCCAGGCCAGGGGGCATGTTTGAGAATATATACAATATACAGTTGTGTAGAGCAGTATGGAATGGACCCCGAGTACAATAGCTGTTCTGAGAAGAACCTGAGCAGCTAGGAAAGGCCTGGAGTCATGTGAACCCGCCCTGCAAGGATGGTTAAGATCTGGGTAGACAAAAAGAAGGCAATACAGAGCAAGCAGAACAGCAGCTCAGGGGCCAATGTGAGCAAAGCCTGGGTGGGAGAGGAACAGAGCGACGGCGGCATGGCTGAGGCAGAATGACAAGCAGCCAGGTCAGACAATAAGGAGGTGGCTTTCCCCTCCATCCCACAATCCAGAACACCAGCCAACCCAACCTCTCATTCTACAGGATTGCATAGAATAATTCAGAGTCTTGCTCAAAGTCATACAGCCAATTTAATGGCACAGATGGCTCAGAAGAGCTCTAATCACTGCCTCCTGGCCTGGTCCACTTTCCAGTAGACCACACTGCCTCCTCCCAGAAGCAGAAGCAACACTTGTTCCTCCCAGGGCAGGGGGCATCCGGAACCTGAGGCAGAGCAGTTCCAGTTGTAAAGATGAGTCCACTTCAACTTTATCCAAAATGGCTACAAGGCCCTTACCTGATTTTCTTTAGTCACACCCAATTTTTTTTTAAGGTTTTATTCTGAAAACCTTGAATAATAAAGTTCTCTTCAAGGATCACTTCAAGTTCTTCAGAAATGATCTAAGGGTTCTTTGGTCTGGGTGATTTGCATTAGTTGGCTCATTGTCTGCCCCAAAATGCACTAGGAACAGAAAAGAAATTGAGATGGGAAAATAAAAGAGCAAGAGAGTCTCTAAATTTCAGTTTTTGCCTTTCACAGAGGGATTCATGGCTTGAATAACAAATCTTTAAGCTGCTGCTGACAGTGCACTTCATAAAAGGACGACTAGAGAAATAAATAAATAAATAAATAAGAAGTAAGTAAGTAAAAGAAGCTGAAGGAAAGACAAGGACCTCAACTGGAATTCTAGGGAGGAAATTAGAAAGCAGAAAAGGCTTACTATTTCAGGTTGTTGATGGTGTGTCAATCCTGAGAAGAAAAACTTGGTTGAAATCTTTGTGAGAATGTTCCAATCACAGTGCAATCCTGATATGGAAAAAAAAATCCCTGAAAAACAGGCTAAAGAAAGCAACAAAAACAAAAAATCCATGACAATGAATTTCTAATTTAGAAGATAAAAAGAACTGTCTTTTACCAAAAATAGTGAAAGATTGTAAGACACATTCACAAAATATTTTTCTACAACAAGCATAACACTAAGCCTCTTCATGGTGGACAGAGACATCATCAAATAAATGTGTTTTTATTTATTTGGGGTTCTGAGTTTTGTTTTCGTTTTTTTAATGAAGCTTATGGGTATAGAGAAATTCTGGTGTATAGTTTAAGCTCATACTAGCAAGACTTTCCCCTGAATCTGACCCTCCATTACCTAAGTACAAACCCTAATTAGGCTTAAAAGGGGAGGAAGAAAGAAACATCATATCTATTTCCTTAGGAGTCTTATTTTGGGATTCAAAATTCTTCAAAAAACTCAAGCTTGAATTATTCAGCCATTTGGTGGTTTGAGTCAAGGTTTTATGAGCATTTTCTGTCTATCAGCCATCACAAGTTGGGGAAAAGAAGACAAAAACATCGTAATTCAGATGCTATTCTGAGGCTATGTCTATGTCTAACAATGTTCAAAGGCAGCTTGCCTGCCAAGAACATTTTGGAAAGCAGTCCTTGACTTAAAAGCTAAAGATCAGAAACTATTGTCATCTTCCATTCTTACTCCTCAGGTTGACTCATAAACCTAGAATCCCCCCCTGCCAAATATATGCACCCACAATATTGCCGAGAAAGCAAAGTTCTAAGAGTCAGGACGGCTAGAAACAGTCTTAAATGCCACCCAATTCAATGGTAGCATTTTTCACTGTTTTTTCTTAACTTCTGTTTTAAAGTACACCACATGACAGCAAGTCCCAGGAGGACCACTGTCCACCAAATGTGATGGGCAACTAACTGCCACACACAGCACTTTGCACCCAGTAGCTGTTCAAAGGTATTTGCTGAATTGAATCTCAAACAGACACAGGTTTGCATTATAAGCACCTCACAATTGCGCATCAGGGCACTTGAAATACTCACCCTCATATATTATATTCCCTGTAAAAGACCTAACTTATGCTACATGTGCAGAGACCTTTGATGTAGAGAGCATGAAGAGAGCCTGTTGATGCCAGGAATGGCCAAGAGAAGGAAGATTGAAACTGGGTTCTATAGGACACCATCTGAGCCACTGGATCCACCCACCTGCCCCGAACGCTACCCTAACACCTAGGCAATAGATTTCCTTTACTGTTGAAACCAGTTTGAGTCACTTGCAATATAGAGTCCTCATATGTTGCACATATCGCATGTACATTTTATTTTGTCTTTTGACAAAGTCCCCTCCAAACGTCACCTCCTCCAAGGAGGTGCAATTAATTGTTACTCTCTCTGCACTCTGTGGAATATCGTTGACTCTCTCTCTCCTCTCATCCTCTGAGTGGGCCCAACTCTCCCAGTGATAGCAAGGGAAAGGAAAGGCTCACTCAGCAGCAGACTGCTACAACTGCCTGATCCCAAACACAAGACACCAGAGAATAAGCTTCAAAGTTTCCCACTCCATGATTTTCCAGAAAGTGATGTCCTCTTGCACATCAAGAGACAAGAAAACATAGATGTGCAATGACATAATTTATTATTTACCTACTTTTAACCAAGTCAGTGGGAGAAACAATAAATATGAGTATGCCCAGAAGTGTCTCTTACTCAGACCCATAAAAACTCATTTATAAATAACTCAAAATTTCCACCCAGGATTGATGCTTTCTCTGCTGCACGAAACTCTCCCAGGCTCCCTTGTCAGCCTTTTCCTGAAGTAGATCCAAAGAGACCCTGGGTTACCCCACCCCTAATTGTTACCTATTTCATTTGTATATAGGTTTTCCTCATTAAAATGTCATTATAAAATGAGGAGTCCATTTTAAGGGTAAACAAAGAGTGGTATCTAAATATACTAATATCTCAGCCTTTACTGAAACTAACTTTTATGTAGTCCAACTCCTACCATGTTCTTTGTTATCCTCTCAGTTGAAAGAACGCAGAATATTCTACAGCTCTGCAGGTGACTTCTCTTTCCATAAAATCTCACTAACTAGGATATGCTTTTCAAAATTTACCAGCCTAGTACCTTTCTTTTCAACTTGCTATAAAATGCATTCTTTGAGTAATAAGGCATACTCCACAAACGTGGCTGTGTTCTGTCTTGTATTAATATTATACTTAGCTATTTGAGGTTTGTCACTCCCACGAGAGAGTGAGCCCCTTGATGGCAAGGACAAACATCTTTTAATTGCTTACAGTGCCCAAAACCAGGCTTCATACAAAACAAACCAGTAGTTTCAAACTTGAATATACATCAGGATCAACCACGGAGCTCATTAAAAATACAGATTCCTGAGTCCCACCCCAGGGACTCTGAGCCACCAGGTCTAGGGTAGGGTCAGGGAATCGACATTTCTAACAAAGTGGATCTGAGTGATGCAGGTTGTCTGCATCCTACTGAGAATGACTCAAGCAGAACTCAGTGTGTCTCAACCATACTGAGAATGACTCAAGCAGGACTTCAACAAAAAAAAGTCTGAAATGAATAAGAGTACAAAGTTAGCTAGAAAGATTTTCCAATGTCACCACCAGTCCTCTCTCCAGCATGCACACCTGAGGATGTCTCCCGAATACACCTCCAGCCCCTAGAAAGCAGAGCCTGATGTTTGGCAAACTGGTCTCTCCCAACAGCAGAAAAGGCACTTTCCCCAAGCCCTTTCCTCTGCCTTCAATGTGTTAACACCCAGGCCCAAAAATTACATCTGGGGACTCAGAACCCCAAATGCTCAAAGATAGCAAGCAGCCTGGATCAAAAATTCCAGAATTTGGCACAAGAAAAACATGGAAACTGAGGCTGTGGAACCATGATGGAATCTGGCAACCAGGAATGCCTTTGTCACCTCTCCCCAAGATCTTCGGGATCTGGCTGAAAAGTCAAACTTCTAGCAGGCAAACAAATCTGAGATGTTAGGAAAATAATGAAGACAGCAACAAGACAAATAACAGCCCAAGAGGTCATAAAAGGGGACACTGGTTTCCTTTAAGAAAATTTTTAAACACCCCCTTGTACTGCTCACTGGCTCTTTCCTTTTTTTTTTTTTTTTTTTTTCTTTCTTTCTTTTGAGGTAGAGTCTTCCCTTATCTGCCAGGCTGGAGTGCAATGGTGCAATCAGCTTACCACAGCCTCAAATTCCTGGGCTCGAGTGATCCTCCCACCTCTGCCTCTTGAGTTGCTAGGACTACAGGTGCACACCAATTTTTTTTTTTTTTAAGAGACAGGGTCTTGCCATGTTGTCCAGGCTGAGCTCAAGTGACTCTTCTGCCTCAGCCCCACAAAGTGCTGGGATTACAGGCAAGAGCCACCGCACCTAGCATCACTGATTACTTTCTAAGGCCAATTCCTTTTGGCCTAGCTGGACTGTAAATTCCTTGTGGGCAGGAAATGTATGTCTCATTTCTTGTATCTACATTAAAACTGAACATACACTAGGTGATTAAAAGACCCTGTCCAGAGAACAAGAGTGCTGGCTTTAGAGCCAGAGAAAACCAAGGTCAAACACCACCTCATTTTTAAACCCCTGTGGCACTTACAACCAGGCTTTGTACAAAACAAACCAGTCATCACCACATATTCTTGTGCCAATCACTCAGCTCCTGCTGCAAAGCAACAAAGGATGGGAGTACAGGGTTGGGAGGGTCTGGCTGTTGAGACCCTCAGGTTTGCTCAGACTCTGCTGACCCTAAAAGGCCACACTCACCACGAGTCTGTGAAGGAAGGGAAACTTTAGTGCAGCTCCCACTGCTCCTGCTGTCCAGCTGTCCTTCCCTCTTTTTTGGAATAACGCCTCATCCTTCAGAACTAACCTGCATTGTCCAACAAGTTCTCCTCGACCACCTGACTGTGTTAACCACCCCCTCTGCCACCTCTCTTCAGCACTCGTCCTGCTGTATTATACCTCCCTGTGGTCGTGTCTGTCTACCCACTGGCTAACAACATTAAGGAAGAGCTGGTGATATCCCAGCCTCCACTGTAACCCTAGAGACCAGCACAGTGCCTGGCACACACAGACACTCAAGAGACATGCCCAGTGAAAGAGCAGACCTTGCTTAGCCTCTATCTTCCCAGATGTGAAATGTGAGCTGTTGTGACAACAGATGATATATAACACAGCCTGAAATAGTCCCCATTCAATAAATTATAAATATTCTCATTGAGATTGCTAATAGTGAACTATTAGTTACCAAAAAGCCCATAGTGCCGGAACTATAGACAACAGAGTTCAGTACAAGGGGCAAGGAGCCCAGGCACCAGCAACAATGGTTTTCTGAGATCCTGTCCTCCAGGATCAATCCCTGAAGCCCACCTTTAGGTTCCACTCCCAATAAAACCACTCAGGAATGGTGAGGAGAGGAATGTCAACTCTTTGTTTCAAGTGGCCCCATGTTCTTCCCCAGTCTCAGTGAGCCATTACCTGAAACCAAGGGCCTAGTGGGAGGGAATGCAGAGAAAAGCCATTCCCACAGTGAAGGAGTGAGGCAGGCTGATTTATGAGGAAGGATTCTAAAGAAGTTAAATACACACCACTTGGCACAGCAACCCAGGGTGAGGAATGGGGGTGCCCTTCACAGCCAGGAAACATCAGGGATGAGTCAACACTGAGGTCAGCAGCAAGGAGGGGGCAACACAGGTCCCTCCATTCTGGGAAGGACTCACAGGCATTCGTCACTTGTCAACTGACCCAAGGTGCTCCATGCATTGCCGTCCCTGAATTCCTGCAATTCTGTGATGCAGTTAAGAACTCCTCCCTTGGGAGAGTCACTGTGAGCATTACTCCAGGGAGACTTACCGAGAATTCCCATCCATCATTCTCATCAATCAATGTTATTTTTTTTTTTCAAATTCTAAATATGATCACTGTAGAAATTTGAGAAATATAAACTATATAAAGAGGCAGGACCCATAATCCCACTGGCATGTTTCTCTCAAGGTTTTTAATCTGTTTTTAGCCTTCTTCTTTATTTTTTTTACAAAGTTTTATATATTTTTTAAAGAATATATAAATATGTAAAATAAATATGTAACTACCTAAAATATATGTATGTTTTAAAGAATCAAGAAATTCTATGGTTACAAAAATAAATCTCTATTCCCTTTCTTTCCCCCTCATTTCTCCTTCCACCATCTCTCTGAGCTGATGCTTTGGTATTTTCCTCCATGTCCCTTGATTTTTCAGTTTTAGGCATTAGCCATTGATTTCCTACTGTGGTTCACTCTTCCTGTGCCACAAGCATAGACCCTTTCTATTCCTGCCTCCATTTTTCCAATATAGATACGTTGTATTTGAGTTAGACCATATTTTGTGTTCATAATTATATTCCTCATGCTATAATTGTGTAAGATATAAAAAACTAATTCTTTCCTACACGTTTTTTATTTTCCCAGGAGTTAAGAATTCTCTACTGATAATTCAATAACAATTTCTTAGCCAATTTTTTAAGTCACCTCTCAAGATGTCCAGATGCATCAGGTGTTACAGCACCTTCATCATGCTGGGGAAGATGCTCCTGGAGCTTTCTCTCCCAACCACTCCAGGCTGATGGCACTCCAGGCTGCCTTCTGGGATCTCCCTCGCCCATGACCCTGGAGATGCCCTTTCCCTCTAATGAGAACATCTCCTTTCTGGTTTACTCTCTTGTTTTCACTGAACTCCTCCTCCAGTAGTTACCTAAGATGGTAAAATTTTTGAGACATTTCATACCTACAATTATCTTCACACTTCCCTCAATCTTGACTGCTTCTTTGGCTGGTAACAGACTTTTGGTTAAGGAACTTTTCCTTTCAGAATTCTGAAGGTGTTGCTCCAGTATATCCTAGCTTCCCATGTTGCCATTTGGAAGTCTGAGGCCCTTCTGAATCCCAATTCTGTATGTTTGCCATGTTTTTCCAGCTCCTAGTATTCTTAAATTTCACAGCCATGTGAGGTGGTGTGAGTCTATTTTAATGGTAGACATTTAGTGGAATCTTTCAATCTGGAACCTTTTGCCCCTCTGTTCTAAAACAATTTCCTGAAATAATTCCCAGTTATCATTTCTTCCTTTTACTCTAGAACTTCAATTATGTTGGACCTCTGAGACTGCTCCTTTTTTCTCCCCTCTCTCATTTCCATATCTTTGCCTTCTCTTACTCTGCTTTCTAAGAAAATTGCCTCCTGTACATTTTTCATTTCATGTGTTGAATTTTTAAGGGCTTTTTTCTTATTCTGTACATATTGCTCGTATGATATGGTATTCTGTTCTTGTTTCAGTGCTATGCTATCTCGTTTTATCTCTCCAAGGATATTAATACTAGGTTTTTTGTGTTTTCTTCTCCCAGCATAGTCCCTGATTCCTCCAAGTTTCTTCCTTTCTTTCTTGTTTATTCTGATCTCTGTCATTCATGCTAGAGGTTTCTCATAAACATCAAGCAATCCTTAAATTTCTGCCCACATTTAAGAATAGAGAACTATTCTCTATTCTTGGCTGGAATGGAAAGGGCTTGTCATCTGGAGTTTCACAATAAGGTGATCTAGCCAGACCAACTAGTCGTGAAGTTCAGGGGAAGTACTTTCAATTCTCCTTTTGGTCTGGTCAATGTCTTCTCAACCCCTGCTTCAGGGATAAAGGCTTGGCTACCACAGTCGTAACAGCCAAGGAGGCAAAGAGCATTGGGTGAAGAATGTCCCAAAATCCACTATGTGTATGTTTGATTAATATGCATGTTCAATTACTAGTTGCCTGTGGTGAACCCCATCCTCAACAATTTTTGGGATTCCCAAGTCCAGACATCCTCTGGCTTATGCTCCCAACAAAAGAAACTTTCAATCTTTCTCCAGAGTGTGGTAAGCAAAGTTGTCGAATGAGAGATAGCATCTGAAGTCTTACAACTTTCAGAGATATTTTCAGAGGTACTTGTGCTACCAACTCGCAGGCATTGGGGAACTATCCAGTATAAATCAGATTGGTTCTCAGCTCTCCCTCCTGCTGATATAGGTTGGGTTCAATTTCCCTTATCTACTTTCCAACTTGCAAAATTCTATTGTTGGCCAGGTGCAGTGGCTCACACCTATAATCCCAGCACTTTGGGAGGCCAAGACAGGTAGATTGCTTGAGCTCAGGAGTTCAAGACCAGCCTGGGCAACATGGCGAAACCCTGTCTCTACAAAAAAAACACAAAAATTAGCAGGGTATGGTGGCATGTGCCTATAGTCCTAAGTTCCTTGGGAGGCCGAAGTGAGAGAATCACTTGATCCCAGAAGGTCGAGGCTGCAGTAAGCCAAAATCCCCCCACTGCACTACAGCCAAAATTGTGCCACTGCACTCCAACATATAAATATATAATATATAATTACATATTATTTATAATTATATATTATATATTATTTATATTATAATTATTATATAATTATATTAATATATTATATAACAATTATAATATAAATTATATATGATTTATATTATAATTATATAGTATACAGTATATTACATATTCTATGTTACTGGTGCCTCCATTCTTGTAAACTTCATCCTGAGTTTATGCCTTTTAAAGAGTGAGACCCTGTCTCAAAAAAGGAAAACAACAAGGGTTAGTGAAGATATGGAGAAACTAGAACTTTCATATATTACTGGTGGGAATATAAAATGGTGTGCTGTTGTGAAAACAGTTTGGCAGTTCCTCAACAAATTAAACATAGAATTATGATATGACCTATCAATTTTATTCCTAGGCATACATCCAAAAAATTGAAAATAGGTGTTCAAACAAAAAGCTGCACAAGAATGTTCACAGTAGCATTATTCATAATAGCAAAATGTAAAATCAACCCAAAACCCAGATATCCATTATCTGTTAAATGTATAATGGATAAACCAAATGTGGCATCCCTACAGTGGAATATTACTCAGTCACAAAAAGGAATGAAGTATTGGCATATGCTACAACATGGGTGGACCTTAAAAATAGTATTCTGAGTGAAAGAAGCCAGACACAAAATACCACATACTGTATAATTCCATTTATGTGAAATATCCAAAATAGGCAAATTTGTAGAGACAGAAAGCAGATTAGTGGTTGCCAGGAGTTAGAGGGAGGGGAGAATGGGGAGTGATGCTTAATGCATATGAGGTTTCCTTCTGGAGGCATGAAAATGTTCAAGAACTAGATGGAGGTGGTGGTTGCACAACACTGTTTGCTTTAAATGCTAATTAATTATGTACTTTAAAATAACTTAAATGGTACATTTCATATTATGTTTTGTTTTTTTTTTTTTTGAGATAGGGCCTTGCTCTGCCATCCAGGCTGGAGTGCAGTGGTATGAACACAGCTCACTGAAGACTTGAACTTCTGAGCTCCAGCCATCCTCCTGCTTTAGTCTCCACCAGAGTAATAGGAACCACAGGCATGTGCCACCACACCCAGCTAATTTTTAAATTTTTTTTTAGAGAAATGGAGTCTCACTATGTTGTCCAGGCTGGTCTCAAACTCCTGGGCTCAAGCAATCCTTCCACTTTGGACTCCCAAAGTGCTGGGATTACAGGTGTGAGCCACCACACTTAGCCTAAATTATGTATTTTTTTAACCAAACAATTAAATATGACTGTCACTGCCTCCATTCTTGTAATCTCCATCTTGTGAGTATATGCCTCTTTTTGTACTGTTTTATAGGGTTTGCAGGGAAACAAAAGATTCGTGGGTTTCATCTGTCATTCTCACCTGTATTATTTACCTGCCAATCTCAGCCTTACATTATTTAAAATATAAAATCAACTGGGCACAGTAGTTCGTGCCTGTAATCCCAGCACTTTGGGAGGCTGAAGCAGGAGGATTGCTGGAGGCTAGGAGTTTGAAACCAGCCTGGACAACATAACGAGACCCAATCTCTACAAAAAATTAAAAATTAGCTGGGTGTGGTGGTACATGCCTGTGGTCCCTTCTACTCTGGAGGCTGAGGCAGGAGGATCCCTTGAGCCCAGGAGGTTGAGGCTGCAGTGGGCTATGATCACACCACTGCACTCCAGCCTGGGTGACAGAGTGAGACCCCATCTCTAAAAAAGAAATGAAAATAATAAATAAATAAATAAAATAATAATAATATATAAAGTCAACAAATATTTACCAGGGGTGATAGAAAACATAAAGCACTATGAGGCAGAATCCTATCTTCAAGGAGTTTTACAATCAAATTGGAATTTTTTTAATATAATGAAAGAAAACCATGTAATAAATAATTGTGGTCAGAATGGCTCAGACAGTATGTGCCATGGAGATCAAAAGAAAAGGTTGTAGCTGTGGATATTACGAAAGGCTTTATAATAAACACTGAATCAGAGTTTGGTAAGAAATACCCTAAGAGAGAAGATGATTTGAGGAGTTTGGGTAAGGAATGAGATAAACATAGGAAAACACAAATATACTAGGCTATGGTAAGGATACCAGCTGGGCCAGTTTGTAATGAACTATATTATTTTTAAAAAGTGGTCTGGAATGAGGTTGTAAAGAGCCTATTTGCCCTTTTCTCACAAAAAAAAAAAAAAAAAGAAAGAAAGAAAGAAAAAGAAAAGAAAAAGAAAGCCTGCAGATACAATTATCTCAATCCCAGTCTTACCAAGTCAGTTAAGCTGTTTGCATTAGCCAACCCATTCAGAACTCTACATACTGGACTTAATCCTGGGCATTTTCATTACCAGCTCTAGAAAAAGAGAAATAGCCCAGATCATCATAAACTACATACTCCAATCTGCTTCAGAATTTCATTACCCTTGGCAAGGCAGACCTGGGCTCACATCCCTGCCCAAACTTCCACACAAAAGGTACTCACAAACCACACTTACCTCTCACCCATCATTCTGAGTCAGCCCTGAAAGTAGGAGCAAATAACACCTGCCAACTGGTAAGCAAATAACCGCCAAAGGCCTGAAATGCCCTCTCCTTCTCAATTATATGGGGATATCAGAGGATCCAAGTGAGGATGCTGTATAGCCAACAGATGGTCTACAGGAAATTTGTCAATGGGCTGGGAGCAAGGGTAAAATCATCACCCAAACCTCTGTACCCAGCACTGGACTTCCCAGCTATGAGTCAATAAATAAATTATCTCTAGGGCTTTGGCAAATGTATGTTGGGTTTTGGTCACTTGTACCTAAAAGAGTCCTAATTCATACATACCCCTAACTAAGTCCCACCACCACTGGACTCAATCATCTTACACTTTAAAGCACCTCCAAACTCAGGTTCCCTTTAAATCAGCTAGGCTGTAGGCTTCTTGGGTATCTTTCTATCTCCCCCACATCAGCTTGCACATCTCAAGTACTTAACAAATGCCAGATGGATGGATGGGACAAAATTAACAAAAGAAAGACCAAAAAAATAAGAACAAAAAAATACTAAAACTTCTCCCCAATTTCCTGTTTATTCATCTTTCTTTCTAAGTCCCTTAGAATAAGATTTCCAAAATGTCTTCATCTGATTACTACATAGGCCAAGTTGTGAAGAAGACACCATATACACAGAGAACTCCATTAGGGTGATCTATACCAACTTCTCATTTCCTACCCCAGTGACCCTGGGGAGAGCAGCAAAGGAGAAAGGAGAGCCTAATTCCTATGTATGCCAGGCACTGTATTAGGTGTTTTGTAAATATTCTCTCACACCAAGACGCTAAATTACATCACCAAGACCCTAAATCATCACCAAGACCCTAAATTACAGGTTTATTGGTCCCCCATTATACAGATGAGTAACCCCAAGACCCAGAGAAGTTAAAAATCTTGCCCAAGATCACACAAGTAGGCAGAGAACAGATTCAAACTTGAGCAGGTCTGTCTCCACAATCCACTCTACCTGAAGGTCAATTATTTACATGGATGAATGCCCCCATGATAAGAGTTGGGGCCCCAGAAAAGACCAACCAACCTCTTCCAAAATGTCTCTTCCCCTGAAGCTAGAAATTCTCCCACTATAAAGTCGTTCATTGGGTTGCTTTGTCCAAGACCCCTCTATAATCTTATTAATAATAATTTACATTTGTATTAACCCTTCATTAGTCATGAATCATTTTCATGTAAATTCTTTTGTTTGATCTGCCCAGCAAAACCCATAAAGTTAGGAATGTTATCCCCATACTGCAGATGAGAAAACCAAAGCTCGGAGTGATAAAAAGGCCTATTCAAAGCCAAGTCACTGACAGTTGACATCCTGAGTCTTCCAACTCCACGTTTTCAGATGCTTTTTCTATATAAAAATTATCAACTGGGGTGGAGGCTGACATTTTATCAGACACTGAGGGGAATGGTGCCTCAGGAAGGGGCAGAGAGAAGAAAGGATGCAGGGAAGAAGGGAGAAGGATGGCACAGATGGAGAAGTCTGCCCCGGCCCTGGACTTGAACTGAACTTCGATGCCCAGGTATTATTACTGGAGTAGCCACACATCCCAGTCTGGGACAGTTTCAGGTTATGCCTGTTTTTCCAGCATAATTATTATAGCTCCCTCTTTCGTTTTCAAAAGGGTCCTGATTTGGACAATAAATTAAATAGCCATTTCTGTTATTACCCACCACAGGTAGAGACTGGAGGAGGTCCCCATACACAGTCCCCACATAGCTCCTGGCTATATGGATTTCAAGTGAATGCAGTAGAATCTTCTTGTTCCCCATTTCAAGTGAAATTAAAAACAGCATTAGAACAGTTCACACAGAGGCCCCCGGGCAGCAGAACTGGGCGCCTGTTTTATGAGCTCTTTTTCTCCTTTGGTAATTACTGGCTGCTCTGCAAGCTTAGCACCAACCCCCACATAAGCCACCATGTAGTTATGGGATGACATGGAACAAGGACGTCCTCAGTATGACACAGGCATTTCCAGCAGGATGCATGCACACATGCTCATGCACCCATTCTCACAGGCTCTCCACCCAGGGAGAGCCAGTAGTAGCAGCAACAACCTATATGTGGACAGTACTTTACAGTTTGTAAAGCTATTTTACCCACATTACTCCATTTGCTTTCCAATACCTTCATGAGGAAAGAGGGCAAATGATATAAGCTCCCATTTACAAGTGAGGAAACTGAAGTTCAAAGAGGGGAAATGATTGTCCAAGGCTGCACTACTGGGAGGAGGCAAAGCTGGGGCCAGGCCAGGTCATCTGATTGCTGAGCAAATGCCATCTCCTTCACCACATAGGCACCCAAGCCCTCAGGCTCAGCTCAGAGCCAGCTTCTGCTGTGGGGACCACTAAGGGGAGACCTTTAGCATCCTCTACCAATGACACTTCCAGGGCCTGATGTCATGTATTCAGCTGCATCATCTGCGTCCTGCTTGCCCCAGAAGTTCAGCCCTTTCCCCACCTCTCCACATACCTGCCCTTTTATTTTAGTTTAATATCAATTCAGGTAGTGTTTAGTAAATGACTTCTCTATGCTCAGCCCCAAGGCAATAGAAGGTATGGGAATCCCATGTTGTAGAACAAAGAAGGGTGTGGGACTTGGGCTCCTGGGACCCAGGTCCCCTCTACCACTCACGGATGGGTGACTAGGACAATCTGCCTCATCCCTTTGTGCTTCCATTTCCTTCTCTTTAAAACAAGGAGGTTGAACTAAATTAGAGGCTGCAATCTGGTGGCCAGGAAGGTGTACCACTTCCACAGATGTCTTGAATCAGCCTACATAGCATTTTTATGTTATTTTTTAAAATCCGTCTATACTACCACCACCATTCCTAATTATCTTACATGAAACTACTTTGCTCTTTCATGTTCTCTGCACAGAGACTTCTGAATTTGCAACCCCTATACCAGATGATCTCTAAGTCCTTCCCAGTCCAACCATCTGTGTTTGGCAGTGGCCTCAGACTCCCAAATGAAACTTACTAGCCACATGACCTCAATGAGTATAAGGTCTGCCTCAATGTCTCCACCTGCTACCTCAGGATAGTCGCAGTATCTACTTCACAGGGCTGTAATAAGGACTAAGTGAGTTAATACATGTGAAGGGCATAGAACAGCGCCTGCTTCAAGAGGGGTGCTGTACACGGATTAGCAATCACTTTTTATTACTCCCACCATTGACACCACCACTGCTGCCCAGTAAAACAGTTAACAATGCAACACAGAAAATAAAGAGCCAAAGTGAACAGATCAAAGAATAAGCACTTTAGAAGAGACTGACTCTCTACTCATTTATTCTAAGGATGTATCAGGATCAAGCTTTCTCTCCCTCCCTTCAGTACTCTGAGTGATCCTTCTAGCTTTCCTTTGCTATGTTTTAATTGAGATAAAATTAATATAACATAACATTAATGGATGGCCGAATAGGAACAGCTCTGGTCTGCAGCTCCTAGTGTGATCAATGCAGAAGACAGGTGATTTCTGCATTTCCAACTGAGGTACCTGGTTCATCTCATTGGGACTGGTTGGACAGTGGGTGCAGCCCACGGAGGGCGAGCCAAAGCAGGGCAGGGCATCGCCTCACCTGGGAAGTGCAAAGGGTCAGGGGATTACCCTTTCCTAGTCAAGGGAAGCCATTAGAGACTGTACTGGGAAAAACGGGACACTCCCAACCAAATACTGCACTTTTCCCATGGTCTAAGCAACCGGGATACCAGGAGATTCTCTCCCGTGCCTGGCTCGGTGGGCCCCACGCCCACGGAGCCTTGCTCACTGCTAGCGCAGCAGTCTGAGATCGACCTGCGAGGCTGCAGTCAGGCAGGGGGAGGGGCGTCTGCCATTGCTGAGGCTTGAGTAGGTAAACAAAGCAGCTGGGAAGTTCGAGCTGGGCAGAGCCCACTGCAGCTCAGCAAGGCCTACTGCCTCTATAGACTCCACCTCTGTGGGCAGGACATAGCTGAACAAAAGGCAGCAGAAACTTCTGTGGACTTAAACGTCCCTGTCTGACAGCTCTGAAGAGAGCAGTGGTTCTCCCAGCATGGCGTTTGAGCTCTGAGAATGGACAGAATGCCTCCCCTCAAGTGGGAGCCTGACCCCCCTGTAGTCTAACTGGGAGACACCTCCCAGTAGGGGCCGACAGACACCTCATATAGGTGGATGCCCCTCTGGGACGAAGCTTCCAGAGGAAGGATCAGGCAGCAATATTTGCTGTTCTGCAATATTTACTGTTCTGCAGCCTCCGCTGGTGATACCCAGGTAAACAGGGTCTGGAGTAGACCTCCAGCAAACTCCAACAGACCTGCAGCTGAGGAACCTGACTGTTAGAAGGAAAACTAACAAACAGAAAGGGGAATAGCATCAACATCAACAAAAAGGGCATCCACACCAAAACCCCATCTGTAGGTCACCAACAGCAAAGACCAAAGGTAGATAAAACCATAAAGATGGAGAGAAACCAAAGCAGAAAAGTTGAAAATTCTAAAAACCAGAGCACCTCTTCTCCTCCAAAGGATCACAGCTCCTCGCCAGCAACAGAACAAAGCAGGACGGAGAATGACTTTGACGAGCTGACAGAAGTAGGCTTCAGAAGGTCAGTAATAACAAACTTCTCTGAGCTAAAGGAAGATGTTCGAACCCATCGCAAGGAAGCTAAAGACCTTGAAAAATGGCTAGACGAATGGCTAACTAGAATAAACAGTGTAGAGAGAAGAACTTAAATGACCTGATGGAGCTGAAAACCATGGCACAAGAACTTCACGAGGCAGGCACAAGCTTCAATAGCTGATTCGATCAAGTGGAAGAAAAAATATCAGTGATTGAAGATCAAATTAATGAAATAAAGCAAGAGGACAAGTTTAGACAAAAAAGAGTAAAAAGAAACAAACAAAGCCTCCAAAAAATATGGGACTATGTGAAAGACCAAATCTATGTTTGATGGGTGTACCTGAAAGTGACAGGAAAATTGAACCAAGTTGGAAGACACTCTTCAGGATATTATCCAGGAAAACTTCCCCAACCTACCAAGGCAGGCCAACATTCAAATTCGGGAAATACAGAGAACACCACAAAGATACTCCTCAAGAAGAACAACCTCAAGACACATAATTGTCAGATTCACCAAGGTTGAAATGAAGGAAAAAATGTTAAGGGCAGCCAGAGAGAAAGGTCGGGTTACCCACAAAGGGAAGCCCATCAGACTAACAGTGGATCTCTCAGCAGAAACCCAACAAGCCAGAAGACAGTGGGGGCCAATATTCAACATTCTTAAAGAAAAGAATTTTCAACCCAGAATTTCATATCCAGCCAAACTAAGCTTCATAAGTGAAGGAGAAATAAAATCCTTAATAGACAAACAAATGCTGAGAGATTTTGTCACCACCAGAACTGCCTTACAGAGCTCCTGAAGGAAGCACTAAACCTGGAAAGGAACAACCGGTACCAGCCACTGCAAAAACATGCCAAATTTAAAGACCATGGATGCTATGAAGAAATTGCATCAATTAACGGGCAAAATAACCAGCTAATGTCATAATGACAGGATCAAATTCACACATAACAATATTAACCTTAAATGTAAATGGGCTAAATGCCCCAATTAAAAGACACAGACTGGCAAATTGGATAAACAGTCAAGACCCATCAATGTGCTGTATTCAGGAGACCCATCTCAAGTGCAGAGACACACATAGGCTCAAAATAAAGGGATGGAGGAAGATCTACCAAGCAAATGGAAAACAAAAAAAAGCAGGAGGTGCAATCCTAGTCTCTGATAAAACAGACTTTAAATCAACAAAGATCAAAAGAGACAAGGCCATTACATAATGGTAAAGGGATCAATGCAACAAGAAGAGCTAACTACCCTAAATACATATGCACCCAGAGTCATAAAGCAAGTTCTTAGAGACCTACAAAGAGACTTAGACTCCCACACAATAATAGTTGGAGACTTTAACACCCCACTGTCAATATTAGATCAACGAGACAGGAAATTAACAGGGATATCCAGGACATGAACTCAGCTCTGGACCAATTGGACCTAATAGACATCTGCAGAACTCTACACCCCAAATCAACAGAATATACACTCTTCTCAGCACCACATCATACTTATTCTTAAACTGACCACAGAATTAGAAGTAAAACACTCCTCAGCAAATGTAAAAGAACAGAAATCACAACAAACTGTCTCTCAGACCACAGTGTAATCAAATTAGAACTCAGAATTAAGAAACTCACTCAAAACCCACAACTACATGGAAACTGAACAACCTGCTCCTGAATGACTACTGGGTAAATAATGAAATGAAGGCAGAAATAAATATGTTATTTGAAACCAATGAGAACAAAGACACAGCATGTACCAGAATCTCTGGGACACATTTAAAGCAGTGTGTAGAGGGAAATTTATAGCACTAAGTGCCCACAAGAGAAGGCAGGAAAGATCTAAAATCGACACCCTAACATCACAATTAAAAGAACTAGAGAAGCAAGAGTAAACATATTCAAAAGCTAGCAGAAGGCAAGAAATAACTAAGATCAGAGCAGAACTGAAGGAGATAGAGACACAAAAAACTCTACAAAAAAATCAATAAATCTAAGAGCTGGTTTTTTGAAAAGATCAACAAAATTGATAGACTGCTAGCAAGACTAATAAAGAAGAAAAGAGAGAAGAATCGAATAGACACAATAAAAAATGATAAAAGGGACATCATCACTGATCCCACAGAAATACAAACTACCATCAGAGAATACTATAAATACCTCTAGGCAAATAAACTAGAAAATCTAGAAGAAATGGATAAATTCTTGGACACATACACCTTCCCAAGACTAAACCAGGAAGAAGTTGAATCTCTTAATAGAACAATAACAGGCTCTGATTGAGGCAATAATTAACAGCCTACCAACCAAAAAAAGTCCAGGACCAGACGGATTCACAGCCAAATTCTACCAGAGGTACAAAGAGGAGCTGGTACCATTCCTTCTGAAACTATTCCAATCAGTAGAAAAAGAGGGAATCCTCCCTAACTCATTTTATGAGGCCAGCATCATCCTCATACCAAAACCTGAAAGAGATACACACACAAAAAAGAGAATTTTAGACCAATATCACTGATGAACATCGATGTGAAAATCCTCAATAAAATACTGGCAAACCAAATCCAGCAGCACATCAAAAAGCTTATCCACCACAATCAAGTGGGCTTCATCCCTGGGATGCAAGGCTGGTTCAACATAGGTGAATCAATAAACGTAACTTCTATCACATAAACAGAACCAAAGACAAAAACCACATGATTATCTCAATAGATGCAGAAAACTCCAACAAAATTCAACAGCCCTTCATGCTAAAAACTCTCAATAAACTAGGTATTGATGGAAGGTATCTCAAAATAATAAGAGCTTTTCATGACAAACCCATAGCCAGTATCATACTGAATGGGCAAAAACTGGAAGCATTCCCTTTGAAAACTGGCACAAGACAAGGATGCCCTCTCTCACCACTCCTATTCAACACAGTGTTAGAAGTTCTGCCCAGGGCTATCAGGCAAGAGAAAGAAATAAAGAGTATTCAATTAGGAAAAGAGGAAGTCAAATTGTCTCTGTTTGCAGATGACATGACTGTATATTTAGAAAACCCCATCATCTCAGCCCCAAATCTCCTTAAGCTGAGAAGCAACTTCAGCAAAGTCTCAGGATACAAAATCAATGTGCAAAAATCACAAGCATTCCTATATAGCAATAACAGACAAACAGACAGCCAAATCATGAATGAACTCCCATTCACAACTGCTACAAAGAGAATAAAATACCTAGGAATCCAAGTTACAAGAGATGTGAAGGACCTCTTCAAGCAGAACTACAAACCACTGCTCAACAAAATAAAAGAGGACACAAACAAATGGAAGAACATTCAAGGCTCAAGGATAGGAAGAATCAATATCATGAAAATGGCCATACTGCCCAAGGTAATTTATAGATTCAATGCCATCCCCATCAAGCTACCATTGACTTTCTTCACAGATTTGGAAAAAACTACTTTAAAGTTCATATGGAACCAAAAAAGAGCCCGCATTGCCAAGACAATCCTAAGCAAAAAGAACAAAGCTGGAGGCATCATGCTACCTGACTTCAAACTATACTACAAGGCTATAGTAACCAAAACAGCATGGTACTGGTACCAAAACAGAGAGATAGATCAATGGAACAGAACAGTGGCCTCAGAAATAACACCACACAACTACAACCATGTGATCTTTGACAAACCTGACAAAAACAAGAAATGGGGAAACGATTCCCTATTTCATAAATGGTGCTGGGAAAACTGGCTAGCCATATGTAGAAAGCTGAAACTGAATCCCTTCCTTACACCTTATACAAAACTTAATTCAAGATGGATTGATGACTTAAATGTTAGACCTAAAACCATAAAACCCTAGAAGAAAATCTAGGCAGTATCATTCAGGACATAGGCATGGGCAAGGACTTCGTGACTAAAACACCAAAAGCAATAGTAACAAAAGCCAAAATTGACAAATGGGATCTAATTAAACTAAAGAGCTTCTGCAAGGCAAAAGAAACTACCATCAGAGTGAACAGGCAACCTATAGAATGGGAGAAAATTTCTGCAATCTACCAATCTGACAATGGGCTAATATCCAGAACCTACAAAGAACTTAAACAATTAACAAGAAAAAAAACAACCCCATCAAAAAGTGGGCAAAGGATATGAACAGACACTTCTCAAAAGAAGACATTTATGCAGCCAACAGACACATGAAAAAATGCTCATCATCACTAGTCATCAGAGAAATGCAAATCAAAACCACAATGAGATACCATCTCACACCAGTTACAATGCAATCATTAAAAAGTCAGGAAACCACAGATGCTGGAGAGGATGTGGAGAAATAGGAACGCTTTCACACTGTTGGTGGGAGTGTAAATTAGTTGAACCATTGTGGAAGACAGTGTGGCGATTCCTCAAGGATCTAGAACTAGAAATACCATTTGACCCAGCAATTCCATTACTGGGTATATACCCAAAGTATAATAAATCATGCTACTATAAAGACACATGCACACATATGTTTATTGCAGCACTATTCACAATAGCAAAGACTTGGAACCAACCCAAATGTCCATCAATGATAGACTGGATTAAGAAAATGTGGCACATATACACCATGAAATACTATGCAGGCATAAAAAAGGATGAGTTCATGTCTTTTGCAGGGACATGGATGAAGCTGGAAACCATCATTCTCAGCAAACTATCACAGGGACAGAAAACCAAACACTACATGTTCTCACTCATAGGTGGGAACTGAACACTGAGAACACTTGGACACAGGGCGAGGAACATCACACACACTAGGGCCTGTCAGGAGGTGGGGGGCTTGGGGAGGGATAGCATTAGGAGAAATATCTAATGTAAATGACAAGGTGATAGATTCAGCAAACCAACATGGTACAAGTATACCTATGTAACAAACCTGCACATTGTGCACGTGTACCCTAGAACTTAAAGTATAATTTAAAAAAAAAGAAAAAAGAAAAACATAAAATTAATGGCCAGGCACAGTGGCTCATACCTATATTCCCAGCTCTTTGAGAGACCAAAGCAGAAGGATAACTTGAGACCAGGAGTTCAAGACCAGCCTGGGCAACATAGCAAGACCCTGTCTTTACTATTAATAAAAATCCAAAAACTTAGCTAGGCATAGTGGTATGTGCCTGTAGTCCCAGCTACTGAGAAGGCTGAGGCAGGAGAAGCACTTAATTCCAGGAGTTTGAGGCTGCAGTGAGCCATGACTGTGCCACTGCATTCCTGCCTGGGTGACAGAGTGAGACTCCATCTCTAAAATAAAATTTTTTTAATTAAATTAACTACTTTAAAGTGAACAATTCCCTGACATTTGCACATTCACAATGTTGTGCAACCATCACCACTATCTAGTTCCAAAATATTTTGTCACCTTGAAAGAAAAACTCATACCCACTACCATTCATTCCCTACTCCCCACCACCATCCACCAGCCCCTGGCAACTACTAATCTACTTCTGTCTCTATGAATTTACCTATTCTGGATATTTCCTATAAATGGAATCATAAAATACGTGCCATCTGGCTTCTTTCACTTAACCTAATATGTTTAAGGTTCATCCACACTGTAGCATGTATCAACACTTGATTCTTTTCTATGGCTGAATAATATTCCATTATATGGATATGCCACATTTTTTTTTATTCATCAGTTGATGACCTTCCTATGCTTTTTTCTGCTACCCAGAATAGAAATTCTAAAGAGTCATCGGAAAGGCCCAGTCACCTTCACCGAGACTCCTTTCAGGCACAGCCTCTGACCCTGTCTTAGTCTGTTTGTATTGTTATAAAGGAACACTCAGGTTAGGTGGGTAATTTATAAAGAAAAGAGGTTGATTTGGCTCACAGTTCTACAGGCTGTACAAGAAGCATGGCAGCAGCATCTGTATCTGGTGAGGGTCTTGGGCTGCTTTCACTCCTAGCAGAAGGCGAAGGAGGGCCTGACACATGGCAAGACAAAGGAGCAAGAGGAGGAGGGAGATACCAGCCTCTTTTTAACTATCAGTTCTCCAGGGACTAATAGAGCAAGAACTCACTCATAACCACAAGGACAGTATCAAGCCATTCATGATGGATCCACCCCAAGGACCCAAACACCTCCCATTAGGCCCTACCTCCAACACTGGGGACCAAATTTCAACATGCAATTTGGAGGGGACATATCTCCAAACTATATCAGACCCCCTACACATCCTGAACAGACACTGGAAGGACCACTGCTCCAGCCTCTTCAAATAAGGACTGTGATCTTCCCCAGACCAGAGATGGGAACAGAGGACATTTGGAGGCTGACATTTTGGGCTTTGTTATGGTTATTTAAAAAAAAAAAAGAAGAAGAAGAAGGAAAAAGGAGGGAGGAGGAAGGAAGAAGGAGGAGGGGGATGAGGAGAAGAAAGGAAGAGGAAGAGAAGAAGAAACTAAGAAAAGTGGTAGAATCTTCTCTTGGGAACCAAGAAGAAGAAAGGAAAAAAAAAAAAAAAACAGGTAAAGGAGGACTGCCTTTGAATCTGTACCACAGACAGGAATGAAGCTAGGCTGTAGTGTTTAGGTTCTGGAGAACAAAGAAATACCCCAAAACAGTAATAATCACTCTTTGATTATAACAACAGTTAAGGTGATTCCAGAAGTTCAGGAAAGCTCCTGAGAAAACTACGAGGAGAAATATGTCCATGTTTACCACCTGATGTCTTCTTGCCTACCATTGTAGGCAGAATAATGTGCTTCCTGCCAAGATATCCACATCCTAATTCCTGAAGCCTGTGATTATGTGACCTTACATGGCAAATGGGACTTTGCTGAGGTGATTAAACTAGGATTTTGAGATAGGGAGAGTGTCCTGGATTACCCAGGTGGGCCTAGTGTAATCACAAGGCTCGTTTGTAAGAGGCAGGCAGAAGGTCTAAGAAGAAGATGTAAAATCAGAAACGGAGGTTGGAGTGACACCGGGCCGAGAGCCAAAAAATGCTAGCAGCCTTAGAAGCTGGGAAGGCAAAGAAACAGATTCTCCCCTACAGCCTCCAGAGGGAAGAGGGCCCTGCTGATGCCTTGATTTTAACCCAGTGAAACCCATTTCAGACTTCTGACCTCCAGAGTTGTGAGGGAATACATTGTGCATTGTTTTTAAGCCACTGAGTTTGTGGTACTTTGTTACAGCAGCAACAGGAAACTAACACAGCCATATAAAAGACCCAGCATTCCTGCAGTTCACCAGTCAGTCCCCAAAACACAGAGAGGCACACTGAGAAGCGATATGTTCTCCACAGGGATGATATTTGTATGGTGGTGACAAAAATGTGACATCTGTGCAAATAAGAAAGCAAGCCAACACGCACGCAAGAAAGCGTGATAGGAAGACACAGAGACAGAGACAGAGACAGCAAGCATGCACGTAATGGAATGGAACGAGAAACAAAAATCAACCCTGAAGTTTGTTACACCGGAGTGGGGGAAAAAACTCCTTCAATCACAAATTTTTCACATCTGCCACAAAGCATTTCACAGCACCTTCAAGTCAGATGGCCCTGGTGAAAGGTTTTAACAAGTAACTACCCCAAGTGGTAAGGCTCAGAAAATGAACTTTCAATTCTGTTAATTTTCCAGTTAAACAATTCTGATTCTCTCTACAGGGAGGGAATTAAACTCCCCAAACCGAGAAAACCCCCTTTTTCACATAACAACTGATATGGTAAAGATAAAACTTGGCTATGTAATGGCCTCATTACTCTTGCTGCAAACCATCTGTCAAATTTTGTTTAACAAGTAGGGTAAATTCAAGAGAAATAAATAACAGTTTTCTGCAAACCCTCATGTCCACACAGGTATACTTTAAATGAGCTATGCTTGACATAAAGCACACATGCACACTTACTTTCTCAATTTCCTGGCAATGCACTCTTGCTTAAATACACAACCATCAAGCAGAGAGAGAGATGCAAATCATTCCCACCGCAGCCGCTGCTGCTCCTCCGCCCATTTCATTCCTCTGGGAACTCCGACCCAAACCAGTTCTGCCCCTTCCCAGCTGCCAGTTCCCAAGAACCATCACGACTCACTCGCAGCCCTCCTAAAACAAACAGCACATAAATCAGCAACAAAAACTAACTCAACTTCAAACCAGCCCGGTCCAACATTAATAGTGCCTTTGTTGTCAATAAACCTATATTTGACTTCTCCTATTTTTATGTGTATTTTATTTATAAATTACTAATGCTTTTCCTGGAGCAAAATGGTCAAAGTAATACTCTACACAGAGCCATACTCTGTCAGCTGGAGAAGGAAAAAAAAAAAATAACAGCTCACATTGATTCAAGGGGAGAAAACGATTAGCTGTGAATATACAGGAATTTCCCAGTTCTGATCACCAGCACCTACACTTTCCATCCCACCTACCAGGAGGGAAGCAGCAAGACATGGACCTTTATGGCACAGTCAGTCAGACTGATGGAAAGTGGAAGTCATAGCTCTGAGGACCCGTTCAACCTTGGCTTTGCCTGTTTTTCAGAGACAATAGTATTGATGTACTTGTCCAAACAGATGAAAGTGTAGATGATGTGGTGTTGGTGGTGCTAGTAGTTTTATTGCCAAGTGAGAACCTACTACAAACCTGGTACATGACAGAACCTCCTTGCCCCTTAGAAATGTGAAGAACTTCCAGAAGCAATAGTTCACTCTTCCCCAAACTTCAGACCAAGCTAGGACATGCTGCTTGCTGGAGCAGATGAAAGAGTTAAGCCACTTACAGAGGGAGGCAGAAGAGGAGGAGGACAGGATTTAACAAGAAGTTCCAGTTCTTTCTTTGCCCAGAATCCAGAAGACCCAATTCTCTCTGGTGGGGAGCTCATGATCTAGAAGGTTTGAAAGGGAAAGTGCCTCATATGAAGGGAACAGAAGAAAAAGACAACAGTCCAAGTGTCTTGAGCCATCTGGCTTAGGGGAAACTTTCTCCCTCTGATTCCTGGTTCAACTGGTTAAAAATATAGGTTATTTTTACACAACATGGGAGATAGTGAGAACCATTATGTGGACAGGTAACATCTGTCATCTTGGGGTGGGGGACAACAGTGCTGAAATGCCAAAGCCTTTCCCAAGCTGGGCCAATTTACAAAGAGACACATGGGGTCCTACCTTCCGAACATCACAGGTGCACTCCCAGTAAGAGCAGGAAGGTATCTGAGAGACTGTGTTCAGCCCCTCACTTAATCCCTGAGGAAACGGGCTCACAGTCCCACAGTATGTTGAGGGGTAAAGTTGCTACCAGAATCCTGGTTTCCCCACTCCTCCAATATTCTCTTTGGTTTTTTGTTGTTTTTTTGAAGCAAGGTCTCACTCTATTGCCCAGGCTGGAGTGTGATGGCACAATCACAGCTCACCGCACCCTTGACCTCCTGTGCTGAGGCAATCCTCCCACCTCAGCCTCGCGAGTAGGTGGGACTACAGATGCACACCACCACACATGGCTAATTTTTGTTTTGTTTTTGTTTTGTAGAGATGAGGTTTCGCCATGTCGCTCAGGCTGGTCTCGAACTCCTGGGCTCAAGCGATCTGCCCACCTCAGCCCCCGCAAAGTGCTGGAATTACAGGTGTGATACACTATTTTTAATCCATAAAAGGTGAGGCTCTTCCCAAATCAATACAGTAGGTGCCAGTGTGGGCACAGAAGGGAACAGAGAAAAGGGGGACTGTTACCATGTCAACTGCCTTGTTTTTCCTCCAGGCATCCAGCTATGGAATGGGCAGGTACAAACTCAGATCAGTGGCCTGGCCTTTTTTGGATATGTGTGGCTATTTCAGAAAAGGATGACCCACTCTCCTGCCTCAGGGACTAGGCCAGCCCCACCCTCCCTGGGCTTGCTCATCTCCTCCCACTAACTTCTCTTCTGCCTCCATGGCCAACACCCCCACCTCTTTCAGCCTTGCCTCCAGACCAGCCTCCTCCTTCCCCACAGGAACTGTCACAGACCACCATCCATTCAACTGGCCAAGAGAGCAAACCTGAGTTTGCTGTCTCAAGAGGCTTCAGCTTGGAGCTGGTAGATTTCATCTATCCAAATCTCAATCACCCTTCAGAACTCAGCTCGAATTATATTTCTTCCCCCAAGAAGCCTCTCATACCCTCATGTGTTAGAAATTTTGGATTACTCCACCCCCTCTAGTGCTCTTAAGCAACCATTAACACCCAACATGTCAGGAACAAGTTTTAGTCCAAAACTACAGTGTGTAACATACAAGTCCTCTTCCCAGGGACCCAACAGCATCTATGCTTTTCTTCACCTCTGACTCTCCTCCCCAGAGTCCAGGAAATCTCCACCTGGTATTCAGAGTCAGCCAGTTCTTCTGTCACCATGCATTCTTCCAAATCTTTTTTCCTTACATTTGGGCTTAAATTTTTGTCATTCAAAAGCCCAGATAGGACTCTCCTCTCCCCTATTTTCTGTCATGCCATCACTTGTGGAAGAAAGCAAGCACCAAGTACCCAAGTTGAGGGAAAGGAAGGAATGGCAAGAGGTCCAAAGAAATGAAGATTTTCAAAAGTAAAGGGAAATGCAAAGCTCAGTGATTATCTCAAATTAAATATCCTGTCACACAAACATTTATTGATTGCCTCTTCTGTGCCAGGTACTCTGCCAGGCATTTTTGTTTCTGGTCTCCCATTTGAACTCAGGGCAACCCTGTCTGTTTTGGAGGAAAAAATAGACTGGGTGGGCAGATGACTTCCTCAGAGTCACACAATCAGTAGCCCCACATGCGGTCTGCCCTCTGCCTCAGACAGGCTGTAAGAGCCTCAAGACTGGGGCTGTAAGTTCATCCACACACCGGGAGATAAGGTGAAGTGGTTCAACATGAGAAGTGAGCAAATTCAGATCCCTTATTTTGCAGATAGAGAAACTGAGGCCAGAAAACTGAAGTGACTTCCCAGTGTCTCCTGACCAAAAGAAAAATAAGCATTAAATGAAGAGAAAGGAAATAATGAAGTGGAAAGGATAGTTGACCTCAAATAGAAACATGGATGCTAGTCCCGGTTCTGCCACCAATCAAGACAACCCACCTCTCTGGGGCTCAGTGTCATCTGTAAAATAAGGCCTGGAAGAAATACAGCAAATCATGGTGTCAACAGGTATCAGAGACACCCTTCTGGCATCAGTATTCTGTAACTCTCAGAGAGCCACAGTCTTAAAGTCTTTCTAGACACAATCTTAAAAGTAGAAGACTAAATAATATGCACATGTCACATCATACAAAAACATGCTGTGGAAGCAGAAAGTAAAAGGAAATTTTGAGCATAATATGAGTTTTGAATTTAATATTTGCTTATTTTTTTCTTTTTCCTCCTGGTAAAATTGCTTAAGAGTGTTACACACACACACATATACACATATACACAGCCCATTCGACCTCTCTAGCCACGTGGGTTTCTGCTCCCAGACAACACTGCACCACGAACGGGGTAGGAGATGTCAGCCAGCAACGGTGGCCCATGAGGGCCAACAAACAGCAGCCAAGCACTCCCACTGTCACCACCCTAAAACACCTGGTCGAGTCTGATTAATGAGATGAGGACCAGATGCTTAAAAATGTCTGCTAAATTAAAAGAAAAAGAAGAAACAAAGAGAAAAGGAAAGGAAACCAGAAGCCTGCCTTTAATATAGTGCACTTTGTTATCTGTAATGTCTTTCAACCACAGATAACAGAATCAACCACATGGAATCTAAGATGCACGCCAGGTGAAAAAACACCATAAAGACATAATAAAAAGTTCCACCAGTGCCCATAAATTGCTGGGGGACTGTTACAAGGGCAGAGTCATAAATTCTTAATGTTTCCCAAATTAGAGGGTACCAACACATATGCAAATATATTTGTGTGGGTAATTGAGGACTAAAAATCTTACATTAAGCACAGCTACCTCCTTCAAACGCTGTTAGGGGAGCCTCTGACAGGCACACTCATACAGCACACACTGTAGGAATTCAATTTGGAAACCATCATCTAAAGCACAGAGGAGAACAGGAAAGTCATATTGCTATAATGCTTAGATTATCAATCATCTTGACAGTTTATTGGCTTTATCACCACACATACCATTAAAATGATGTCTGGCCTAGACTGTCAGGAGCAAACATTAAACAGACCAGGATTAAAAAGCAGATCCCAAACAGCACTCCAGTCAAGTTTCTCTTCCACTCTGAAATTAGTTAGAGCTGACTAAGAAACTGGCACTAGACTTTGAAGAAATATACAGCCCAAAAGGCTGAGAGTCAACTCAGACCTGACAAGCTGATAGGTAATGTCATGTTATGGCAAATCTGACTCTCCTGTGGTTGATTTATCACGTACTCTGTGCAACAGAATGATTGCTAATGGTGGAAGGGAGAGGGGGGGAAAAAAACACCACCATAATTTGCCTCTTCTTGCAACCAAGGGCTTGTATCAAAAGGGCCAAGCCAGCTCCCTGAAGTGGGGTAGGAATGCTAATAAATTCACACTACTGAGCAAACATATTAACATTACCCCCACACAGGTTATTAAAGTAATTTTACAGATTCAGAAGAACTGAACAGGCAGCAGAAGAGACATTCATAATTCAAGAGCTCTAGACAGCGAAAGAGTTACGAACCCTATACGTTTTTAAAATGCTTCTGCATGTGTCACTTTGGCAAGGAAATCTCAACACAATTAAAACTATACTAGCACATCAATAGGGCTCAATTGAGAGCTGTGTACCTGCCTTTTACTAGGCCAGGGCTTTATAGATGCCTCAGGAAGAAAAGGGAAATAGGAAATTCACCGCTAATTAAAGGGAACCTTCTGTGCCTAAGGACAAATGGTGGCATTTCTAAAATATATATAAAAGAAACACATTTCCAAATCTCTGCCAAGGGTTTGGCTTTTTCACAGTCCCTAGAACTATTCTGTGTTTGTTTGGAAGTTACAGAGCTATTCTGTTTGTGATTAATAGTTTGCTTTCCAGTACAAATAAGTCATTAAGAAGGGTAGGGTGGGGCACAGAGAGAAGTGACAGAATAGGAACTGGCTCCGAAACAATGCGAGTAAAAAATTCAGACCACATTTTTCAATCTTTCACTCCATTGCTTATTTACCCAAGTGAGGTTCCCTGCCTGTCTCTCTGGGTGACTTCAACATGACCCTTTAAGTGAAAAAACTCATTGGGACACCATATCAGAGGCCCTTTCTCTACTTCCTTTCACCTAGCTGGGCTTTTTGGTACCTTGAAAACTCAGCTAATTCATGATTAAGAAAAGAATCTGGAAAATGATGGCACAAAAGCAGCCAGGAGGCATGAAGAAGCTGCTTCAGGAGAGCTCCTGCCCTTGCTGGGGTACCCCTGTGACACTCCAGGGTCGCCCCCAATAGGCTGTAGTGCCATTTTGTGATGCTTCCAGCCAGCCATCTTTCTCCAAGCAGTGCCATCCTGTTTTGTTGGTTGTACGCTGGAGTGGAGGAACTGACAATACACCATTTACCGAGGGAGAGTCACTCCCTGTACAACAGATGTCACCAGGAAAAAAAAAAAAAAGATGCCAGAACACAAGGCTTGTACACTGCTGAGCAAACACTGAATTTTGCACCTGAATGAGCATCTGGGTTTGAGAGACCAGGCAAGACCCACCCACATCCCCAAACACGCACTCACCCAACCACAGCACAACTCTCCCCAAGGGCCCCAAGAGAGCTAAATGGGGGAAAGGCAGCCAGCATCCAAGCTCCTCACACCAGGAACTTCCTCTGCCATTGCTTCTGGCTCAGGTTTCCAAAGCACTTTCACTAAGGGTGAAGAGAGAACCTCCCACAACAACCCCCTCGTGCCAGGAAACCTGAAAGAATCTCTGCTTTCACACTCCAAGACACCAGGCACCAAGATTTCCATGGGGAAAGACATAGCAGTCAGTGAAATCAATCATCATGGTCACTGGGCACCGGCCAAGGGACCAACATGGCGCTGAACTCTACAGGGGATACATGGGACTTTTAAAGCATGGTCCATGTCTCTCCACCAAGCCTACAACCAACCCAATTGGGGACCATGATTGGTTTATCACCAAGTAGATGGAGAGTTTCATGGTTTGCTCTCGCCACTGGCCCATGAGCTCCTACAGGGCAGGGACCACATCTCACTGATCTGCTATAAGACACCAAAAAAAAACAACAGAAATGAATGAAAAAAATAAATGAATGATTGATTTTTTAAGAAATCAAAAAATAATAAGCACAGGGTAAAAAGGCAGAACTGTTAGTTGGTTTGGAAATCCCAGCTTTGCTGCCAGTTCAGGCCATTCTCCACTCAGTGACTTAGAGAAATCAGACAGGGGAGTGGCAGGAAGTGGAACAAATGTGTTCTCTTTTCTCTAAGTCCTCTCAGAATGCCCTCCTATTCCCCATCACACCTGCGTAATGCCATGTCCATCTTATCCTGAGAGTCTATGTTTGGGGTCACTCAGCCTGGTTGTAATCAGAAAGGTAAAGCAGGACAGGATTAGTGGGAGTACTACTAAGAAATGAAAAACCAGAGGTTTATTTTAGCTTGTTCTACTTATGGTTCATTGACTTCTGCCCTGAAAACAGCTCCAAACGACTCCCAGGGGTCAGCCAAACACTAAGTTCACCGCAGGTTTTCTCACTATGAAACTAATAAGCCTTAAAGGCTCTGTGTTTGTATTTTAGGTGCTACTACAAGAGGGATGGAGGAGGAGAGTTAATATGGCCCATAGTAGACTCTTAATAAACATGTGTTGAATGAAACTGAGACACACAATAGTAACTTGGAAAGTTAAATAATTCAGCATGAGACACACCATCAGCATGAGAACTGCTGTCATTACACCATGTGGTGACAGGGGCAATAAGTGTTAAAAATTCACCTAAAGGAGCAGCTGGAGTAGGGGTGGAGGGATCAGGGACAGCTTTAAGCAAAGGGTAGGAATCAGCTGGTCAGGGAAACATGAAAGAAGGGCATTCCAGGCAGGAAGAATATGGGGGGTCCATGAGTGCAGCAAGTACATGAAGTGGTAGAATAAAGGGTTCATGGAGGGAAGTCAAGGGAGCTGAGATGGGATGCAGGAGAGACTGTAAGGATCTAAACAGCACAAAATGAACATCTAACCCTTGCTCCTGCTCTTCTCCTGCCAACTGGTCCTGTTCCACGTTTTCTGTTTAGTGACTGTGCCACTGTGGTAGAGATTGCTGGCTGTCCCCTGATTATCTACAACTATGTGTGGCCATGAGACTCAGTTCTGACCCTTGGGATGTAAGCAACTTCTGGGTGGTGACCTTGAAGGGAAAAATCTAGAATGTGAACATACTAGTGAGCCAGCTATAACCATGCTAAGGACAATGGTCTAGAGATGGCAGAGCAATAAAACAGAAGGATTCTAGAAGTACAATGCCATGAGACCACCAGATCAGCCCTGGAGTGCTTACACTTGGACTGAGATGAGAGCAATCCATTTCTCTCTTGTTAGCTACTCTTGAGTCCTGTTTTAACAGCCAAACCTGTGTCATAACTAAAACAACCCTTATTCATCCCATTTCCAAGCCAGGCACTCAGGTGTGATCCTGGACTCCTTCCTCTCTTTCCCATAACCTATCTCTCACCTAGTTCTTCTGATGTTAATCTGTATCAATCACTCAAACTTGCCCTCTGTACTCCATCTCACTGCAACAGCCAAGGATGACATGATCTACCTACACCTACTCTGACCTCCCCCAATCCATTTATCCACTCTGTAGCCAGAGTGATTTTTTTCTAGACACAAATCTGATAAAAGTCCCCTGATTTAAATTGCCAATGTTTCCCACTGTTCTTAGGGTAACAGTAAAAATCTTTATACACACCTTACAAGGCTCAGCGTGGTAATCCCTACCTACCCCTCTTATGCCACACTCCATACCAACCTTCTACTAGTTCCTAATGCTTTCTCCTCCCACAAGGCCTTTGCACATGCTGTTACCACTGCCTAGAATGCTTTTTCCTCCCCTCCTTGTTGAGATAAGTCCTACCTATCCTTCAGATCTTAACCTAATACCCTGCTTAGAGAAGATGACTCCCCCCTATTACTACAGACGTTATTACATGCATTTATCCTATGAGGCTGTCTTACAATATCTCCATTTGTTACTGGCCAAACCTTTGATATGACTTATTTTTCCATTAATCTAATAAAATATGAAGTGGATTTTACATTTAGTTGATTCATGCCACTTCCTCCCTGCCCCATCCCCCCAAACCCCACTCACAACTGAAAGCTCAGCAAGGGTAGGGACATTCTTGTGTTGAGCTCCCTCCTGAATCCCTAGCACCCAGCATAATGCATGGCACATAGAGGCACTCAACAAATATGGGGTGCCGTGGCTCACGCCTATAACCCCAGCACTTCAGGAGGCCAAGGCAGGTGGATTGCTTACGCCCAGGAGTTGGAGACCAGCCTAGGCAACATGGTGAAACTCCATCTCTACAAAAATAATACAAACATTACCCAGGCACTACTCAGGAGGTTGAGGTGGGAGGATCACCTGAGCCCAGGAAGGTCAAGGCTGCAGTGAGCCGTGATTGTACCACTGCACTCCAGAGCCTGAGTGGTAGAGTGAGACCCTGTCTCAAAAAAAAAAAAAAAATGGGATTAATAAATAAATGACCTAACACACAAATGAATGAATGGATGGCCCTGATATCTTCAATTCCTTATGCTTCATTAATACCCCTTATTATCTGGTATGTGGCTAATCAAATACCCTTACACTTCCAGATTGTTGACCTTTCCAAATGAAGCCAAGACTCTCACAACTGAATATGGAATAAATATCCCATCTGTTCTCCCTCTCTCAGGTTCTTCCCCCATAAAGACAACCTACTGTGCGAGTGTAGTTTCTTATATACTTTATTCCCAATATAACTACTGTAATATCAAAAAAAATCCCAGAGGAACTGAGTATCACTAGTACTTAATGACCCATTAGACAGCCACCTTGATGCAAACCAGAAGGTGGTTAATGCTCTAACAAACTGATTCTAAACCAAGGTAACAGAGGGTGACAAAGGGATTGCAACTTCTATAAACCAATAGTCATGGTTTATAACACTAATATTTTATTAGCCTAATGGAAAATAGGGCATACCAGATTCATGACCAATTATAAAGCAAGAAAACTAAATCATGGGGGCTGTGGCCAAGTTCCCCCTAAATGTCTGAGTCCACAGGCCTAATGTCATTTGAATCCCCATATTTTTCCTTTAAACATCCACCACCACCCCTGCCCTGCACACACATACAGCAGCAACAGTCTCCAGCATGAGAAGCCACAACACCCAAACTGCATAATGCAGTGTTCTAGAAGAAGCCAATGAAATTTCCCTAAAAGTCAGCTGGCTTCACATTCATGTGCAAACTTATTTTTTAAAGAAGGCAAGCACAACTGCAGTACCTGTAATAATAAAAAAAAAAAAAACAGGCTATCAACTAACAGTGGGCAGCCTCATGTCCAAAATGGACATTCCCTAGAGAATGCAGTCCCTGCCTGGCTTTTGCACTTTTACATGGTGAGCATTAAAAAGGCTTCATGCACCTGTTGCCATCTCACCCTACCACAGGTGCTTCAGTGTTTTGAGTCTCAGGTTCAGTGTGAGAAGGGAAGCAAATGATACAAATAGGTGTTGCTGTGGGTCACAGGGTGGTGTGGGCTGTGCAGGGGGTTTTCAGGCCACACAGGAAAGAGAAGAAAAGGTTGCCTCTACCTGGGGACTGCAGGACTGGACAGGGAAGAACAGCACCAGTCAGGGCAAGAAGGAGGAGAAGTGTGCCTGCAAAACTTCCATGACATGGAGGTTTACCTATATAACAAACCTGCACGTGTACCCCAAACCTAAAATAAAAGTTAAAAATAAACAAATATAAAATAAAGAGAAAGAAGTGTGTACCCACTAGTGCCTCAGGAGGCCTCTGAACCCTTTGGAAGAAACAGCAAGAGTAAACTTAAGCCCATACTTGCACCTGCCTGAGTTCAAGGGCCAACCAGGCCCTGAGGCCAGGATCAGCTAGAGGTGAACCTGACACGAGTCATTCCCGAAGACATTTATTGTACCAGATTCTTCCCAAAGAAACACTGGTGATTTAGCTAGGGCTGTTCCTCTTCTCTGTATAAGAGTAAACAGAGGCCCTTAGGATTGGCCCCATTAATTCAACTCAGAGATCAATAAAAAAAAAAAATCTAAAAGGCAAAAAGGTATATAACTTGTTCTCTGGACTGGTTGGGTCAACAATAATCCTCTCCCAAACTGTGCCCAACAACAGGGAAATGGTGAAATAGATCATGAACAACAGTCAGTGTTGCAGAAGCCACAGGGCTCACCCCTGTGCTGCTGCTGTCCTCCTCAGCTTCCTGGGCACGCAGTTGGACTTAATTTCCCAGCCTCCTTTCAGGAACAGGCTTACCAATGAAATGTGAAAGAAAATGAGGTGTGTGACTTTTGGGCTAAGACAGTTAAGAGTGGCATGCCTTCTCCATGATCTCTTTCCCCACTCACCAGAACTGAGACAGCTCCAAAGAAAGAGGGGAGAGCAGAGCCACAAGAGGAACACAGCCTGGGCCCCTGAATGATGGCAGGACACACAGTTCCCCTCCTGACCTCCCTGCACTTCACACACACTCTACTTTCATTTAAGACAGCACAAACAGGCTGGGTACAGTGGCTCATGTCTGTAACCCCAGCACTTTGGGAGACTGAGGTGGGAGGATCACTTGAGGCCAGGAGTTCAAGACCAGCTTGGGCAACATAGTGAGACTCTATCTCTAAAAGAAAAAATAAAGAAAGCAATAAATAGACTTGGATCACGTTAAGTCACTAAGACCTGGGAGCAGTTTTAAATAGCAATATCTTCCCTGACTAAAAGAATAATTCAAATGTCATTAGCATCTGGTCTGAGACCTATTTCGGTTATGTATATTTGTAGTGCAGATATACCCTCTTGATTATTCTGGACTCTGGTTATAGTTAATATTTGGTTTATATTCTCTCCATTGGGTTATTGAATCAAAATTAGGATAAAAATTTCACCATAGAAAGCCCTCAATATGGAAAAGCCACCAGCAAACATTCACAAGATGACCTCATTCCACGTCTATAAACAGGCCCACACCACCTGCCTTTCTTGCTCCTTCTGGCCTCTCTTTCAATAGACAGGATGCACAAGGAATCCAATACTTTTACAGACATCTTAGGTCAGTTAACAGTAAGAAGAAAAAGAATCATTTAAACACACACCAGGAAAGTGTGGGAGCAACTGGGAACACATTTTATAAGAGTATAAATATGAATTCCTTTTAATGGAACAAGTTGTCATCTACTCCCTTGTCTGAAACTACCAATTAAAAATACCAAAGAAAGAATTGTACATATTCAGGACTATTATCATTGATTAAAACAGAGTAAACTGACTCCTACTGGGGTAATAGGTGGGAAAAAAAAAGGCATTTTAAAACAAAACAGTATCCCAACACCCTGATTCTCTGAAGTATCCCAGAAGGCACACTTTGTGGTAGCTAAAGCCTAGACTTGCATTCCTTCAGAGATGTCATAAATGACTGACACCTGCAATGGGAAAGTCTGTGTCTTGAAGCAGAGACAACATGCAAAGAAGAGACTTGAGAATCTGTCCAGGAGACTGACAACAGGTTGCAGAATTCCATTCTGGAGTTGGGGAAGCCTGCTATCCAAATAAACAGATTTGGATAGGCTTTAGGTCTGTGTCCCCACCAAATCTCATCTCGAACTGTAATCGAGCGAGGGACCTGGTGGGAGGTGATTGGATCATAGGGGTGGCTTTCCCCCATGCTGTTCTCATGATAGTGAGTGAGTTCTCACAAGATCTGACAGTTTTATATAGGGCTCTTCCCCCTTCGTACACTCTCTCCCTCCTGCCACCATGTAAAACGTGCCTGCTTCCCCTTCTGCCATGATTGTAAGTTTCCTGAGGCCTCCCTAGCCATGCAGAACTATAAGTCAATCAAACCCCTTTCCTTTATAAATTACCCAGTCTCAGGTAGCATCTTTTTTTGTAGCAGTGTGAAAACGGACTAATATACTCAGATTACTAAGTATTTACTGCATATCTACTATATCACTTGAATACCTGTTGTAGAAACTGAATTTGACTATTTCAGAGCTGAAAGAATTCTTAAGAGATCATCTGTCACTTCTCAGCTATGAGACCCTTGCTTGACTCCTCAGCCTCAGTTTCTTCTGTAGAGCAGAGATAATAATATTCTTCACCCTATGATAAAATTCTGAGAATATTATTATCTGACAGATGCAAAGCACTTAGCGAAGGTAGGCCCACAATTTATCTTAGTGGTCATCAGAAAAAGAGTTACCATTAGAAGGGCTCAGTTGTGTGTGTGTGCATGTGTATTAGCAGTGTTTCAGAAAGGTCTGGGTGTCACTGGAAGACTCCTGTAAGGAGCAACAGGGGTTCAATCAGGATGGTCTCCAGCCCCCTACCTCAGTCAGAAGCAGCTCAGTGTGGGGCTATTTGACATATTAGGGTTCCACATAACACATCACTCAACTAAAGGGCTCTATTGCTTAGCAGGAAAAAAAAGTGTAGAAAACACTGATTTAAACCCCTCCTCCCTTTTCTCAACCGATGAGGAAATGAGGTGTTGGAAAACAGAAGTTAATCTAGGTTTCCTGGCTCTCAGCTCAACTATCTTTTCATTGAATCAGGCCGGAGCTCAGAAGGGGAAGGAACCAAGTTTCTTCTTCCAGCCAAACCTGGGGATCTGGTCTCCAGACCTTGGCTCTAGACACCTTGGTACCTTAGGGGAGAAAGCAGTGTTACCCATCACTGCCTCCTACTGAGATGAAAACAACCCCTCCTATGACCACCCCAATGCTATTGTGAGCACCTCCCCACACACTGTGTCAGAGGAGGCTGTCTACACACCGAAGGCACTGCTCAGGCCAACTCCCAGCCCAAGTTTTGGTACTGGGAGAATCATAGCCCCGATTGTGGCTTTAATTATAACCACAGTAGCCAGCAGTTATTGAGCATTTGCTTTTTGCCAGGCACTATGCTAAGCACTGCACACCCCTTACTTCATGTAAACTTCAGGACAGTTCTGTGAAGTAAAGTGCTATTATCATCTCCATTTTTCAGAAAAGACAGTCAAGGCCCAGAGAGTAAGCACCTGGGCCTGCTCATCCCGCTGGGGAGTACGAAGCCAGACCCTCACTCCAGGCAGCTTGGCTTCACTTCCCATCCTCTCTTCACTAGTCCACATATTGTTCCCCAATCACAGACCCACAAACCTGGAAAAGATACACAGGCAGGGAGAGATGAATTCCACGGACTAGGCAAGGATAGCTGTATTTTAGGAAGCAGGGACAGGAAAATAACTGGAAAGCTAGAAGACTTTTGAGTTAGAAACTGCACATCTCAAGCAAGCTGGGATGCAACACAGAAGCGTCAGCACCTCTTTCATCAATCTGGAAAAACGACCAGGAGGAGGAGGAATTTCAGAGGGTGTCTAGATTCCAGGCTCCAGGCTGTCTCCATCACCTCATTCTCCACCACCGCCCTTCCCTCCTGCCTCCAGGTTCCCAGCCTGTGCATCCAGATCAGCACCTTCTCACCTGGTCCTGCACACAGTAGGCACTCAAACACATACCCTCTTTCCACCTGCTTTTTCTCCACCCACAGCGTCTCCTCCAGTTCATCCTCCCAAAACCAACTCACTCCCCCTTTAGGCTTCTGAGACGGAGAGGATTCGTGGAAGGCCAAACCCCTGCTAATACTTTGCCAACTCACCCCATCCTCCCCTCCCCTTTATATTCCCCCATTATTCCTGGATCAGTTTCCTCACCCTGTGCTAATTCCTCTCCCTCTCCAGTGTTTATACCCTTCAGATATTTGCAGGCTATTATGGTGTACCCACTTAGTCAAGCAGCACACATTAAATTCCTTTCATCTTTCCTCATAAATCAATCCCTTAATCCTTCCAAGCCCTTTAATCATACTAGCCGCTCCTCTCTGAACTCCATCCAGTTTCCCCAAGTCTCTGATAATGTTGTGACACAGGGCTGGATGCAAGGTTCCAGCTGCTGACTCACCAAACTCCTTAAATGTCAAGGGACTTGATGCACACACACGCACGCATGCACACGCAAACACTCGTGCACACACACACGTCGCTCCATCTGGGAGGTGGAGCTCCCAGCTCCCAGAATACAGCTATCCTTGCCTAGTCCGTGGAGCACCCTTCCTGCAGCCACAATATCACAAGTGACTGTGGGTATCTATATGGACACGGACACTCTCAAGCATTTTCCTGCCATACAGAACTTAAAAGGGGGAAAAAAAAGCTGCAGAAAGTTTTATAGCCCCATAAGATTTTGACTAGCTATTCCCACACATTCCCTAAGTACAGAGATAATGCCTCTGAGATCAAAGGGGACTTAGGGACCAAGGAAAATGTCATATTGGAGCACCACAGGCAAATTAAAACCACAACGAGACGTCATCATACACCCAACAGAATGCCTACAATGAAAAAGACTGACAACACCAAATGTTGGTGAGGACACGGAGCAACCAGAACTTCAATACTTTGTTGGTGGAAGTGAAAAGGAAACAGCCGCTTTGGGGAAAACTGGAAAATTCTTATTAAAACTAAACGTGCATCTCCCCTAGGACCCAGTAGTTCCACTCTCATGTATTTGCTCAAGAGAAGTGAAAATATATATATACAAACAAAGGCTTGTATATGTGTTCACAGCAGCTTAATACCTAAAATCTGGAAACAGCTTAAGTGACATTCAACAGGATTCAACAACAAGAAGAACCAAACTACTGGTACATACAACAGGAATAAATTTCAAATGCACTGTGCTGATGAAAGAAGCCTCACGTACACAAAAATATATACTATATGATCTTAATTGTGTGAAGTCGTAAAACAGGCAAAATTAAGCCATGGTGGAAAAGAAAAAAAAAAAGAGCAATTGCCTATGGAGGGGAGGGAGCAGGAATTAGCTAGGAAGGGACATAAGACAACTTTCTAGGTTGAAATCAGGATCTACACTTTGATAGGGTTTGGATTACACAGGTGCGTGTATTTATCAAAACTCACAGAATGGTACATTTAGGGTTCATGCATTTCTCAAAAAAAAAAAATATCGAACTCTAGAAAATGATAGGCATGCTGAGTGTTCAGGGTGAGGGATACTGATGTCTGTAACTTACTATGAAATGCGTGAAAAAAGCAAGATGGATTGATGGATGGCTAGAGGTGAAATAAAGCAAGCAGAACAAATGTCAATGGAAGAATCTCAATAGTGGGCATATCCATGTGTCCACTATACAATCCTTCAAACTTTTCTGTATGATAGAAATTTTTCATTAAAAATATTAGAGTTAAAAAAAAACTGGATCTTTCTATTCTTGACATCTTGGAAACCATGGAGCTGTGAATGCCACCCTGACATGTAGCATGATTTTATCATCTCATCACTATCTCAACCACCTGCTTTGTTCTGGGTGTGGCCAACTCTCCCAGTCACCCTTCCCCACCCATGCATATGTCTTTCATTCCCTTTTCTTCATTCTCTGTCAATCTCTAAATCCCTTTAAAGAAAAGAAAAAAAAAAAGCTAGGCCAGGAGTTCTTAATCTAGGATTCCTGAGGGGAGAGGGCAGGGGGTGGGGTCCACAGGTCATATATACACATATGTGTATATACCCCTCATGTATACACATATGTGTATAGACCCCTCATGTATATACATATGTGCATACACCTTATGTATAAACATACGTGCATTTTTCTGAGAAGTGGGTCCATAGCTCTGTTAAGATTCTCAGAGATCTATGGCCCAGAAAGGCTCAAAGTACAGCTTGAAGTCCTCTTCAACTGCACTTCCGAAAGTATGCTAGGTCAGTTCATGCTTCCAATTTAGAAACCACCTGTGTTTCTAGTTGTAAAAGCGCCTTCTCATGGTATACCCATCTCACATAAAGGGAAAAGGGGGCTGCTTGAAAAATAATCCTGTGTTCCTGAAAAACATCTCTAGCCATGCACAAAAAGATGAGGGTTATTAAATGTAAAATAAAACAAAATTAAGATATAGACTATTGCTCAAGTTTTCAAGTTTTTGAACATAAAACAAACGAAACATTTACTAAGCACTTAGCATAGTGATTGCTTACAAGAGAAATTAACTTTTGTTGAGGACCTACTATGTGCTAAGCACTTTACATGTGTTCTCATTTAATTTCATTCTCCATTGAATTATATCTCACTAGCTCTGTTTTATAGATTTTTTAAAAAACCACTGAGCCTCAAATAAATTATCCCCCAAAAGTCATCTAGCAAGAGGATTTGAACCCAGGTCTCTAGACCTCCAAAGTCCAATCTCTTCAAAGCCTCTTTAAGCAAAAATTTCATGTACCACAATCATAGTTCCTAGATCTCTGTTTAAAACTCCTGGATTTCAAATATTGTCTCACTAACTGTAAAAGTGCTCAAAATGACCCAGAGGTACAAACATTCCAGAATGCAAACATTATCTGCTCAGACTACCCTTTGTCTTCAGAGGTAGCACAACTCATCAGATTACACGTCCCAATTCCTGATTTGGAAAACTCCACTGCTGCCAAAGGACAGAGAGCAGATGGGCTGACTTGTAAGAAGGGACACAGCAATGTCATCTGCAACATCATCCTGCCTCAAAGCACCTTTTTGCTCAGTGGAAGGGCCTGTCTTTCCTAGAGCTTGGGGACCACCACAAGCAGCACCACCTGGGTTTGCAACAGCTGGAACTATAAAAATCCAGCCACCCCGAGGCATTGCCTTCATCTTCTATCTGAGAATTCTTTAAAGTTAGTCTGTTCACAGGAGGGTGGATGCATGACACTGGCCTTGACTTTTGGATTCCAGGGACTTCTATGAGGTAAAGTGTATTCATCCCCATAAGTGGCAGGACTCTGGATCTCAAAGGGGTTGCCCTTTGGCCCAGCTGCCCGCAGGCAAGAAGGGGAGGGAAGTTTCTAGAGATAAGTGACAGTCATGATCCAATGAAGGGCAAAAAGCTCAGAGGCTTCCAAGAACCATTCCCAGCTGTTTGGTCACTTTTTCCTCTGTACGGCAGGCCTTGATGTTTTAGCTGCATGAAAATGTTATGCAGAGGAGAAATGAAGACTTGGCACTCAAAAAATGGTCCCCTCCATGCCCACCATCTTAATATCGATAAAAGCAGGTTAAAACAAACATCAAGGGAAACCTTGAAAGGGGAAGAAAAAAAAAACCATAAAAGGCCTGTCTGAGAAATATATAGAACTAGGGAGGGGCATTTCAACTACAGCTTGGAAAACAGAAGGGAGGGAGGGAGAGAGGGAGAAGGAGACAGAAAGAGAGAGACAGGATACAATAGATGAATGAATTGATAGGCAGAATCTACAGGTGGCCTACCCCAATATCCATTCTCCCCTTCTCCCTCAGGAAAAGAACCTCAAATTTTAGCAGGGCACATTGCCACCCAGGTAAAAGACTGCAATTCTCTGCCTCCTTTGCAGCTAGGTGTGGCCTTACATCTGGACGGCTACATAAGATTTCTAAAAAGACTCCTTAAAAGGCAAGAGCAAATGTCCTTCTTTCTGCCTTTCTTCCTGCTGCCAGCCTGGAATGTGGACATGATGGCTGGACTTCTAGTTGCCATCCTGGACCATGATTAGTTCAAGATCCCATACCCTAGAGACAGCAGAGTAGAAAGCTGGAAGGAGCCTATCAGCCCTAGGCTGTCAGCCTCTAGGCCTCTTTTACATGAGAAAGAAACAAACAGGCCAGGCACGGTGGCTCACGCCTGTAATCCTAGCACTCTGGGAGGCCAAGGTGGGTGGATCACTTGAGGCCAGAAGTTCAAGACCAGCCTGGCCAACATGGCGAAACCCCATCTCTACTAAAAATACAAAAATTAGCCCGGTGTGGTGACACACACCTGTAATCCCATCTACTCCAGAGGCTGAGGCATGAGAATCTCTTGAACCCAGGAGGCGGAGTTTGCAGTGAGTGAGATCACACCACTGTACTCCAGCCTGGGCAACAAAAAAAAAAAAAAAAAAAAAAGGAACAAACATAAACCTTGTTTTAGCGGCTGGTAACTGGAGTTATCTATCCTATGCAATTGAACCTAATTCTAACTGATACAGAGAAGTGGATGGGTGAATACATAAATAACATCTCTTTAGGAAGTTGTTTCAACAACCGCTAGTGGAAACCACCACACCCTAATCACAGCTCTGGTCTCTAACTAGCCCCAACTACCCAGATTAGAAAGGATTGATTACCAAAGGTAACAGCCACCATATCTCTAAAGACAAGAAGTAAAAGACCACTATTTTCAGGCTACTAAATCAAAGCCATCATTTCAAGCAAATTCACCTGTTCAGAGCATTAGGCGGAAAGAAACATGGATTCATCATTAATTAGGCCTCAGCAGCCCCACTTCATAGCATATGAACTTTACAATGCCTATTTTCACTTAAGGAAAATTTAGAGAGAGAATTGATGCTTTAAACAAGTAAATTTGGCTGGGCGTGGTGGCTGACGCCTGTAATCCCAACACTTCAGGAGGCCAAGGTGGGAGGATCACTTGAGCCCAGGAGTTTGAGACCAGCCTGGGCAATACAGTGAGACCCTGTCTCTAAAAAATAATAATAATTTACACACACACACACACACACACGTAAATTTCAGACAAGTCAGTCACGGAGAGTCAAGACCAGGAGCTACCTAATTAGATGATGGGGAATAAGAAATAGGAAACTGTGACTAGTCTTTCCAGGCACTCTTCTCCCCGGAGTTATGACTGAGTGGGATAAAGAAAGCTTCCTTGAAATAATTTCCAAGACCAAGCCTGCACCCATGGGGATGTCTCACCACACATGTAATTCCAAGGCCACAGTCAGCAGTTACCCAACAGCAGGGAAGATGAGGCCAGTGTTCCAGGAGGTGCCAAATTTTAAGGATGTGACTTAACCATCTCAACCAAGAGAATGACGGGGTATCTTCCATTACACCTCCAACAGTCACAGCTTCTCCCTAGCACTCTTCAGAAGGGTAGCTTCAGAGCGTGGTGGCCCATCCTGTGTGTCAGTCCAGGGATTGAGAGAACATACCTTCAACCCACAAGGACTGTGGGGGCTCCCTCGGCTTCCCATATGCCATTTTCCCACTCTGATTTCATGGACTTCACACACACACACACACACACACACACACACACACACACACCCAATCTCAACCCTCTATGGCTCTCTCTTCACGGAGATCCCAAAGAGCCAAAACTTGTAAGAATTCCGCTCACTTCCCAACCTAGGAAAACTTGTTCTCCAAGGATATCCAGGAAGGGAAAGCCATATTTTAGGATCTCGAGGTTGGATTTTGGTGATAAAGTTTTAAATTGCTGTCCATTATTAATCTTAAACTCACAGCAGTCAGCCCCGAGATATGCAAATATAACAATTCATAAAAACAGCCCCTTTGTTAGTTGTGCTTGAAGAGCTTTTAAAATATAATTGCAATGCAGTGCAAAGTAAAATAAAAATTCAGATTTTCTTTTACCGAGGCCATGAACAATACTGTCCCTTTTACAGCAGCGGAAAGCCTCAAGACATCCGTTATATTCCTTCAATGAGCTTTGTTCAATAAATGCTAAGCCTTGAAGCTTTTAAATGTATTAAAGTGATTATGATATCATCACTCCAAAGGCACTTCAATAGAACATTAAGACAGAAACAATTTTCCTCCACACAAATGGTATAACAGTAACAAAAAGTTGATTAAATGCACATTGTATCAAAAATATTTTTGGTATTTATAGACATATGTAGATAACATTAACTGTAACCCACACCATGGGCAGGGAACAGAAGAGAAAATAATAAAAGCATTAGGGGGAGAGCAAATTTTAACAATAAATCTTCAAAACTTAAACTGTGGTTTGACTGTGACTTTGCTTGTGGATTTATAGTCAAAGTCACACTACATAAAAGAGAATAAGGCTCAAAATTAATAAATTCTAGAGGAGAACAAGTCTTTCTTTCCTCTTCTCATAAGCAAAAATATATTCCCCACTCACATATGCCATACTTCCTTAAATGCCTCAATGTGACGACTAGCAGGAAATGTGAATCAATTTATTTAAAACTTCATTTAACATACTGCAGGCAGGCAATGACTCCACAAGGGGCAGATACCTAAAGCGTCAAACCAGGAGGTATAGAGAGGTTAGGAAGGAGGCCAAGAGGTGGGGTCAGAGCAAAACCGCAAGATGTAAGATTCTTTCTGTTGCAGGCTCATTACAGAATGCTCTTAGCACAGATAAGGGGATTATGAATTCACATGTGAATTCATCCCCTATTAAACTTTCAGCAAAAGGGTCAGTTGGCTGGAATGGCAAAGCCAAGGCACCATGGTCACATGCCAAGGCAGAAATTACTCGTAGGCTCTCCTGACGGATGTAAGAAAAAGGGGACATTTCAGCCCTTTCTCTGAGTGTATCTACATTAACATCTACATCTGCTCAGTTCTGTGTCCTGCTATTTTGCTCAGCTTTATCTTGAGGGCACTGTTCCCAAGGCATTTAAAACTTGACCATAGCCCTTTCCATGGTGGTTATTTTTTGTAACAGCTGTTTATATAGTAAGGATATCAACCCTATGCTTGTCATAGTTGTTACAAATATTTATCAATTGTTTTGCCTCTTACATTTGCTCACGGAGTTTTATAAGATGAAGGAGTTTCCCATCTTGAAATTAAGAAAGAGGAACATATTCCAAGGAACAAAGGGAGGCCTCAGAGAAGACAGAGGAGAAGACAGCACATTCTCAAACCAGTCAAGACCAAATCCCTACATCTGACCAAGTGCCATTCAACTTGTCTTATCCCCTAGGCGAAAGAGAAAGTGTCTATGTTTCTCAGTGGAAAACACTCTATAAACAATGCTGACTACACAAGAAAAGCCACTGACAAGGCCTTTTATTACCCAACTTGGGGCCCTTGTGATTTTCTTTATGGGAGAGTATCCTTGTCCATCACTCCAAGCACTGCTCCCTGGCCCTGGCGGCTTCTTAAACCAGCCCAGAGAAAGTAATACATAACAAAGGGCCAAGAAAAATGGGAAATAAAGACCATACAGTGGGTGACAAGTTCCCCCACTCAAGCAACTAGCCAGTGCCGCAGGCCAGAATTGATTTTCTATACGACATCAGAAAGGATTACCTCTCCCCCACAATACCGCCCAGGGGGATGGAGTGCAAATCATAATTAATTCAGGCAAATTCAATTCTGAGAGTCCGAGTGACAAATACTTTCCTTATAATATAAAGCACAGTCTCAAAACATCTTAAAACAGTTGGTGGGAGCTATAGCAACACACTCAATGCAATAATGACACGAAGCTACATAATAAAATGCCTACAACCAAATAATAATTCTTCCAAGTCAGGAAAGAATATTCTTTTAAAAAATAAATTCAAGCTTCAAAGAAAATGCATTTCCATTAATAATGCTGCCTCTCCTTCCTTCCTGATGGTATGGGGTATGTGGGAGTGGTGGTCAATTTAATTCCTTAACTATCTTCGTCCACTAGACCCACAAAAAATATTCTCTGTGTTAGGGGAAAAAATTATTATTGTACTCCTGATACAAGGAATCAGATGGGAGAGGAGAGGTTGATTCCATTGCCAGTGTGACCTAAACCCACAAGAACCTAAAAACAGCATAACAGTCAACAACACATTAGCCACATCAGCAGAGGCGTATTAGTGATACCCATAATTCAAAACAGACAAAACACAATTTCTTCTTGGTTTCAGAGTCTAGGCCATTGAGTGGTAGGGTCACATAGATGGAAAAACATTGGATCAGCAGGCAGATATCCCAAAATCTAGTTGCAATCCCTGAACTAATCAACTAGAGGCCTTGGGATAATCAATGCCTCTCTGGAGGGCCTGAGTCTCCTCTCTAAAATGAAATGGTTGACTTTCATGTCTCCATATGTTTGTTCAATTCTAATATTCTATGACTGTGTGATTATTACAATCTTCCTAAAGATATTCTGCTTAGAATTAGGTTAAATGAGTTTCTATTCCTTGACCCCAACAGCTAGGCAAGGGTGAAAACACGCTGAGTGAAAAAGAAGCTGACATTCTAGAATTCACAATTAGAGGGTTAGCCCCAAAGCAGAAAATCAGAAGTTGACTCTGTGTGTGTGTGTGTGTGTGTGTGTGTGTGTGTGTGTGTATGTGTACATGTCATATATGCACATACATATTCTTGGCCAAAATACTTCTCATCATCACTAATTTTTATTAAGTGCCCATCAGGGAACACCTCTATTTAGTTAATTATATGTGTTCAGAAAGGTTGATAGGAGTAGACTTTGAAACCAGACGACTGGCTCACATTCCAGCTCCTTGGGCAAGTTACATAACATCTCGGAGCCTCTATGTCTTCCATTTAGAGAGTAGGAAAGATAATAAACAGTGCCTTACACATAGGATTATTGTAAGACACAAATGACATGAACCACATAAAGCAGGCACAGTAACTGCTATAATCATTATTACTTACCATTACCACCACCACTACTGCCTCTATCAATATCCCATTGGGTTGTTCTAAGAGTTAAATGAGAACACATATGAACTATTGAGCGCCAGTACCTGATACATAGTAAAAGATAATAAATATTGCCATTATTCTTATTACCCATGACATTCATCCATGGAACATTATTATACTACCCTCATCAAATAAGCTCGTAGCATTTATCTTAAGTCCAATCCTTGTTTTTCCCCAACAAGGACCATTTTCAATGGAATAGTTCTAGCACTCAAGCCCCCTCAAGCACAAACTACAAACCCCAAACAATCTAACACTTCCTGGTGATAACAAGGCTTGGGGAGAGGAACCAAGGAGTAAAAGTTGGAAGACTTATTTTCCTCCTCTGAAATATAAGAAGGTAAGAGCTCATGAGGTCAGAGCCTACTTCAAACTCCGACATCGTACAATCCTACTTGCCAGCCATTAAAAAGTATGGCTCACATACAGGGCCCAACTTCCTCTCACACAAGTCTTAATGTTTGAGAATCCCAAATAAACAAGTTGAAATCCAAAGGACTAACTTTCACATACAGCTGAAAGCTGTGGGAGGTTGTTAGCAAAATCTGGGCTTGGCCCAATTTTGTTCTTCATATGAAATAATGAGATGAACATTTCTGGACACCAAGTCACAGAGACCAGTCCAAGAATTTTTCAGCTACCCCCTTTAGTTTCCTTAGAACAATATTCAGCAACACTCCATTTTATTGTCATCCTCAGCTAGTGAAATTTTTTTTTTTTTTTTTTTTTACTAAAAATCCAAGGGGGTTGACATAGTTTTGCCCACAATGGGGTGACTGCTGTACAGTGAGATGTCCTAACTCTTTACTCCATGGTCGAGGCGGTTCAGCAAGGAGGTCCCTCTCTGGTTCTTACAAGGCACATGAAATAACAAGTAGGCATTACATGCTCCTTTGGTTGTAACCTATGTAATTTATCTTTCTGGGAAAGGTGCACAAGGTCATAGAGGGACTCATGTAAGAACTCATGTGAGGACTGAGATAACTCGTCACAAACGGTCACAGTTTGCCAATTTCAGTTGGTTCCCACGAAGGGAAAGAAAACTGTATGCTGAGGGTTAAGGGGGCTCTTGGCCATAAAGGGGAACATAAGTGACTGCGCTTCTGGGGAACAGGAAGGCAGTATTTTAGCATCCCCACCCAGTGCCTCTCCTTTCCATACCCACCCTCAGCCACAGCGCTGCCACTCATCTAAATTTTCCTTTGGCTTCAAGAAGGATGTTGCTGCTGATGCTAGACCTTTGAAGAGCAGCATATTCCAGAACCATAGGGACAGTGACAGACACTCCCCTCCTCACCTCTGCCTCTTGCTTACTTAGGGCCTGAAAAGTGAGTCTCAAAAATCCGATGGGCACAAAAGAGGACATGAAGAAAAAAACAACAATGCTAACTTTTTATCCTTATTATTTAGTTACTTTATTAGAGTTTTCCTAACTCCTCTGCACAAAGGGAAGGGTAAGCTAGAGAAAACTAAGTGGCTTTGTCATCAAAAGCCCTCACCACACTGGCACACAAACACCTGTCAGTGCAAAAGATGCCTCTTTATCAAGCCTTCATACCTACCAGGAGCCAAGCACACTCTGAGCTTTCAGACTATTTTCTTCCAATGTTTTGAAGTCCCTTTCAGTTCACATGAAGGCTAACGATTTCAAAAAGGTGGGGAAAAGAAAGGAAAAGTTCTTTTTTTTAAGAAAAAGGAAAAGATACTGTGCCATGATTATGAAGTCCTAAAAGCCTTTTAGCTGACAGCATAGGTTTTGTTGAAAAGCCTCTAAGAACCTCCACTGAGAGACACAATTCAGCAATAAAACAGAGGCAGGGCATACACCATTTAGCATCCTCAGCCTCCCAAATTCAGTACCCCATTTTATGCCATAAGTCAGGTTTCTCCCTCAATAGCCCTTTGGAACTCTCAAGGTCCAGAGTGGCATCAAACCAACTGACACATGAGTTGATACATCATGTGCTGCCAACAGAGAAATTAGTCTGTGCCAAACTCAGCACAATCCTGCAGTTCAAACCAGAATTTCAAAAATAGCAGAAGTAGCTCAAACCCTCAGAGTGACCCATGCCCCATCTCTACCAGTCCACTCAGGATGCTCCATTCTCAGGGCCTGCATGGAGCGATGACTCCCCAGCTAACAAAGCCTGCTCTTCCAAGAGCTTGGCCGACCCTGCAAAGCCCAGACCACTCACACACTCAGCACTTGGACACTGAGAGTGCTTGCATGAGACAGCACTGGCTTGTGGAGAGTTGTGGTCACAGCTCCATAAACCTACCACTTATAATCTCAGTAGCTACTGCGCTGCCTGCTATTCTGCCCAGAACGCTGGGTCCTAGCTGTAAGAGAATAGGAAGGAGGGGTGGGAGGAGAAACTGTGACCAAGATTGTACTTAAAAACCTCCCACACCTCCCACACATCCCAAACACGAAACCATGATTTCATCAGCACATGTAGCATTTGGCTTGGGTGTGTGAAATACCAGCTTTTGAGTGATGGAGCACTCACCCCTATTTCAGACATACCTTTTCTCTGAAACTATTACACTCAGAGAGCTTCAAGTCCTGGCTCCAGACCCATCCATCTAACAACAGAAAGCACCTCTCAAGCTCCTTTCTGACATGAGCCCATCATTCACCATTTGCTGGTACATACAGTTTTTGCTGACAAAGCTCAATTACTAGAAAAAGCTCAGTAAGTAAAGCTGATTTGAAATAACTATATATTATATGGAGGCTGGATGAGGAAAACTGATTTGAAGTCTAGAAAATCATCATATAAAGAGGCTCGAGAAAGAACTGCTTAATTATTTAAATACCTTCACTTCCTACCAACCACACATCATTTGATTTATCAACAGTGTTAAATATTTGGTAATTTACTGGGGTCATCTGACAAAACAACTCCATATAGCAAGTACATATCAGACACTGTAATTCTTCTGTTGAAATCCCTTCGTCTCCCTGATTAATGTTCAAAAACTGAGCTAATGCTATCAAACTGAGGTGCGTGCCAATTTCAGCTCTCCAGTAAAAGTGCAAAGCTGAGAGCACACCAGCAGGGTGGCCTGAAGAACAAATTATCACGTGCTATCCTCCACTGCTGCAAAGTAGTCTGATGAGATGGCTGGGATGGTCCCAACAAAGATGCTTATGCAGAGTCAACTGAATGGAGACAACTGGCCCCATGGGACCCTGACTCAACTGCTACAGCCATCATAGAGAGAAAGCCCAAGGAGGAGGGTGTGTGCCTTCTCCCCAGCATGCCAGACTCACCCTAGGCCCAACTTTGCTCATGTTGCCCCCCCCAGACCAGAATGCCCCTTTACAAATTCTCTAGCTCCTAACATCTACTTGCTCTTCAAGACTCATCTCCTGCATAAAGCTTTCCTTCCTCATCCCACCTCAAAATGCTCTCTCAGTCAACTCCTATGCACTACCAGCATTTTGTGGAGCAAGATCAAATTGTCTCCTTAATACATTCAAGGTGAAATTTACGTCCTCTATATAGAATCTGGAGTTCTTAGCATAATAATGAATAACAATGCCTCTGTAAGCACTGGGCCATGTTAAGTCAAGCGGATCAAAAACAAGAACTACAAGAAGTGTAATATCAATTCATCAGGATATCTGATAGATTTTGAATGCTATAGTGTGAAAATAAAGATACAATTTTTTAAGTGCCTATTTATAAAACTTGACCATCTACTAAGTAATAAAAAATACCTAAATTCCAATAAGTAGAAATAATGTATATATAGATCACATTCTCTGATCACATTTCACAGAAATTTGAAAACACTCTCTTCAACAACTTTTATGCAAAGAGAAAATTAAAATCAAAATCCCAAAATACCTAGAACACAAAAAATGCAAACACTGTGTATTAGAACCCATAAGACACAAAGCAGTACTCAGAGGAAAACTCACAGCTTTAAATACGCACAGTTCTAAGCAAGAAAGAGTTAAAATGCTTAAATGAAGTGAGCAGCTCAAAATCAAAAAATAAAAATAAACAAGGAAAGCAAAGAATTGGTAGAGATAAAAACAATAATTAATAAGAAATTATAAAATAGCAGCTGGGCACAGTGGCTCACATCTGTAACCCCAGCACTTTGGGATGCCAAGGCAGGCAGATCACTTGAGGTCAGGTGTTTGAGACCGGCTTAGCCAACTCAGCAAAACACTGTCTCCACTAAACATACAAAAATTAGCTAGGCATGGTGGCACATGCCTGTAATCCCAGCTACTCAGGAGGCTCAGGCAGGAGAATCGCTTGAACCCGGGAGGCGGAGGTTGCGGTGCACTGAGATCGCTGCACTCCAGCCTGGGCAACAGAGTGAGACTCCATCTCAAAATATGTATATATATATACACACACACACACAAAATTAGCTGGGCATGGTGGCACACACCTGTAGTGCCAGCTGCTCAGGAGGCTGAGGAACAAGAATCACTTAAGCTCTGAAGGTGGAGGTTGCAGTAAGCTGAGATCACGTCACTGCACTCTAGCCTGGGTGACAGAGTAAGACTCTGTCTCAAAAAAGAAAAAGAAAATAGTGCTAAAAATAAATCCAGGCATCATTAAAATAATAATCAACTACTAAACCAAAAATCAAGGAAAAGAGCAGAAAGTATAGTCAAAATAAGGATGTGACTGTATATAGAACCCCAGATACAGAATAAATTAAAAGACATCAAAAAGATGTTTTTTCTCAACTTTATTGCAATATATTTGAAAACCTGGATAAACTGGATGTTATCCAGCAAAATATAAATCATCAAAACTAAGTCCAGAAAATACTAAAAGTTTAAATAAACCAAGTGCTATAGCAGATATTGATAAAGTTAACAGAGATAACTAACAAATGCCTGGCCCCAAGTATTTTACAGGTAAGTTTTACCTATTCCTTCAAAGAATGGATAACAAATTCTATCTGAACTGTTTGTTCTAGAACATAGGAAAATATTTTAAATAGTTTTACCTTTCTATACTTACAAATGTAAGTATAACATTGTATTAGTCTGCTCTGGCTGCCATAACAAAAGATCACAGACTAGGTTGCTTACACAAGAGAAACTTATTTTCTCACAATTCTAGAGGCTAGAGTTCCAAGATCAAGGTGCCATCAGGGTTGGCTTCCAGTGAGGCCTCTTTTCCTGGATTGTAGACGGCCACCTTCTTGCTGTGTCTCACACAGCCTCTTCTCTGTGCATATGAGGAGAGACAGAGCTCTCTGGTGTCTCTTCCTCTTCTCATAAGGACACTAGTCCTATTGGATTAAGGCCCCACCCTTGTGACCTCATTTAACCTTAATTACCTTCCTAAAGGCCTCATCTCCAAATATAGTCACATTGGCAATTAGGGCTTCAACAAATGGATTTTGGGTGAGAAACAATTCAGTCCATAATAAACACAGAACAAATCCTGAAAAATGCAGCACAGTAAAAGAAAACTCCTGCCAATTGCTCTTATGAAAACCAATGCAAAAATCTTAAAATTTTAGCAAATAGAACCTAGATAACCATTAAATATATTAAATATTATATCACACTTCATAGAAATTTTAAAACCCTCTTTTCACAGCTAAGTAGTGATATCACTACTAAGGGGGGGTTTTTAAGAGGATTTATAAGTACCTCAATATTAAGAAATCTAATATTGTTTATCATATTAGTAGGTTAGAAAATCTGGGAAGGGCCAGGTGCAGTAGCACATGTCTGTAATCCCAGCACTTTGAGAGGCCAAGATGGGAAGACTGCTTGAGCCCAGGAGTTTGAGACTAGCCTGGGCAACACAGCAAAATCTCATCTCTACAAAAAATACAAAAATTAGCCAGGTGTGGTGGCCCATGCCTGTAGTCCCAGCTACTTGGGAGGCTGAAGTGGGAGGATTGCTTAAGCCCATGAAGCAGAGGTTGCAGCGAGCCATGGTCAAGCCACTGTACTCCAGCTTGGGTGACAAAGTGAGATCCTGTCTCAGAAAAAAGGGTGGCAGTGGGGAGGACCACATGGTCATGTCCATAAATGCCAAAAAAGCCCTGAAGTTAAAGTAATACTACCTGAAAAATCATTAAAAAAAAAAAACCTCTCCATACTAGCCAATGCAATTACAGAAGGAAAAAAAATGAGAAGCATAAAAATTAGAAAGAAGCAAAATGATTTTTTTCATATGATACAATTATACGCTCCCAAATCCCAGGAGAATTGAAAAACTTTTAGAGAAGAGACAGTAGTAAGGTGGCTTATTATAAAATTAGTAATTTAAAAATCCAAGTTTTACTCTTTATTTGATTTTCATTCATTCCATTTCATTCAATTAACTAGGACTTACAAGCCCTTTTATTTTTGCAAAGCACGTTTCACAATGCTATGAAGTAGGTATTAATCCTGTTTTATTGGTGCAGAAAATAAAGGTCAAGAAGGTCAAATCACTTTTCATGGTCACAGAGCTAGTAAATATGTGTCCTTTGACTCCAAGCCCTATATTACTTCCCTATAACAAGATATCTTTTCCCTCTCAAGACAGAGATATTAAATTCTATGGGTATTTTTGTCAACTCAGCCAAAATTAACTCCTAAACCAACAGCAGATCTTAAAGGCTTGATCTCTGTTTCTAATGTAGAAATTATCTATGAAAATGTACCTATTTGTTCATGGGGAAAATGATGAATGTCATACACAGCAATCTATATAAAGAAATGATGGGTGGGGTGTGGTGGCTCACACCTATAATTCCAGCACTTTAGGAGGCTGAGGCGGGTGGATTGCCTGAGCTCAGGAGTTCAAGACCAGCCTGGGTAACGTGGTAAAACCCCATCTCTACTAACTAAAATAAAAAATTAGCCAGGTGTGGTGGTGCACACCTACAGTCCCAGCTACTCAGGAGGCTGAGGCACAAGAATCACTTGAGCCTGGGAGGTGATGGTTGCAGTAAGCTGAGATGGTGCCACTGCACTCCAGCTTGGGCTACAGAGTGAGACTCTGTCTCAAAAAAAAAAAGAAGGAAAGGAAAGGAAAGGTTAACTAAGCTGAAAATGTGATTAACATATTTTTGCTTCGAGATTGCAAATGGAATATGTTTTCCCCATGATTCACACCACTCTATTGCAAACAACATTTTATCAAAATTTCTTTTGTAAATTACAGAAAACATGCATTTCTAAAAAGCTATCATATTTGTTTCAGGTCAGTGAAGTATTATAATTGAACTTAAAATGTATCCTTATACCCCTGGCAGTGGGCTGATTTCGCCAGAACCAGTAAACTCCTACGATAGGGACATAGTTGAGCTGACACAGACTCTACTCAGTCACTTAACAATTATGTGCTGCACATCTACCATGGGTCAGACCCTGTGCAGGAAGCCAGGAAATACGCGCACAGTAACAGACCTGGGCGTACCTTCACAGAACTTAAAATTTAGTTGAGAAGACAGACATAAATAACATCAATATATATAAAACTGCAACTATAGTGGCTATTGAATCAGCCATCTACTGCCAAGATGATTCTGCCTAACAAGCTACACCAAAATTCAGTGGTTTAAAATAACAATCATTTATTCTCCTATATCTGCAAATCGGCTACAACTTGGCTAGGCTAGGTGAAACCCAGGTTGCAGACTGCAGGGCAGGCTTAGGTCTGCTCCACGTGAGTTCATGGTGAGGTCCAGTCTCAGAGCAGGCAATGGCAGAAGCTCAAGAAGGCCAAACAGAAGATGCAATTCTAAGGTCTAGCTCAGAACTGGTATGCTCTTCCCTCCACCTATGCTTCCCTGGCCTGAGCAAGTTCCGTGACCATGCCTAACATCAGTGGTCAGGAGTATACACTCTGAGGGAGGCACTACAAAGCCACATGGCAAAGGGCACAGATACAGGGAGGGAGAATAACTAGGAACATAACAGAATCTGCCACAGCCATAAAAGAGAGGTGCGTGATGTTATGAGAACACCTAACGGAGAGATTTGGTCATGTGAGGAAGGTCAGAAAAGACTTCCCTAAGAAAGTGTAGCTGAAACTGAAATCTGAAAGACAAGTAGGAATGAAGCAGGTGGAAAGGTGGGGGTAAGAGACTTCCAAGCAAAGAGAACAGCATGTGCATAAGTCCCCATGGGAAAAGGAGACATGACCAGCTCAAGGCATTTAAGAAAGAATGGTGTGGCTGGGCAGAGAGAGGGAGAATGTGGTACAAGATGAAGAGAGATAAGGAAGCAGAACCATGTCAAAGAGTTTGCCTTCATCCTAACAGCATAAAACCATTAAAAGATGCCGAGCAAGAAAATCGCATAATCAGATTTGCCTCTCCAAAAGATCTCTCTCTGAGGAATAGAGGATGCGTGAGTGGACCTCTTAAGAGGTTACTGCAAAAGTCCAGGTGACAGATGACGATGGCTTGGACTAACATGGTTGTTGATGAAGATGAAGAGAACTAAAAGTGTTTAGAGGACATTATGTGGACAGAAAAGCCCACCATTCTATCAAATCTTTCTTCCCAAGGTCACTACCTACCTCCCTACCGCTAAATCTGATGGCTATTCCAAGAGCTCATCCTGTTTTTCCTCTTTGCAGCATGTGACCTTAATGAACACTTCCTCCTCTTTAAATTGCTCTTTCCCCAGCCTCTGGCAAAGCACAAATCTGCTGGTTTCCCTCTACTCTCCAGTTGCTCATCCTCAGTTCATTCCTTCAATCCTCACATTCACCCTATAATCTCTTCTCACGCTAAACTGCCCCACCCAACCCCAAGCAAATTCATCCACTCTCCACTCCCATGCCCTCAAAACCTCATTATTCTGATTCCTTCTGAGACTTCACTCTCAACCCTAGAGCTATATATCTACTGTGTCCTGGACATTTCCACATGGATGGCCCAAAGGCACCTCAAACCCGATGAGTCCTAAATGCAATTCATCTGCCCCTCATCCCCTCCATCCTGAAAACCCTGTTCCTCCCCAGCTTCCCCTTCACACAGATGGCCTCCATCTTTGATGCAGTTGTTCCAACAAAAAACCCAAGAGTCAGCTGTGACTCCTCCCATGCCTCACCCCTCCACATCCACTCAACACAAATACCATCAAAACCACCTCTAAAATCCCCTCAGGTTCATCTACTCTCCTTCCACACTCCACTGCTCCAATGCAGGCCTCTGCCTTGTCTTGGAAGACTCTACAACCTCCTAACTCATCTGCTAACCTGCACCCGCAGCCCATTCTCTCCACAACAACCACAGTGATCTTTCTAAAGTACAAACATGACTGTGCCACTCTCCTAAAACCCTTGAAAATGGCAAGCCCTTAGCCTATGAATAAAGTCCAGATGCCTTAACAAATGGTTTACAAGTCCCTTTGTGATCTGGCCTCTGCCTTCCCTGTTTGTGTCCCTTGAATACACTTGTTCATTGTCTGTTGTGTTCCCTCTGCCTGAATCACTCTTCAGCTCCCAAGGCCACCTTACTTGGCCAACTCTCCTCACTAAAATACAAGCTTTATGAGGACAGACATGCCGCCTGCTTTTTCACTGCTGTTTCCCAGTGACTACCCAGTACCTGTTTGTGTCCCTTGAATACACTCGTTCTGCCTGAGATCTGGACATCGTCTGTTGTGTTCCCTCTGCCTGAAACACTCTTCAGCTCCCAAGGCCACCTTACTTGGCCAACTCTCCTCACTAAAATACAAGCTTTATGAGGACAGAGATGCTGCCTGCTTTTTCACTGCTGTTTCCCAGTGACTACCCAGTACATGTTTGTGTCCCTTGAATACACTCATTCTGCCTGAGATCTGGACATCGTCTGTTGTGTTCCCTCTGCCTGAAACACTCTTCAGCTCCCAAGGCCACCTTACTTGGCCAACTCTCCTCACTAAAATACAAGCTTTATGAGGACAGAGATGCTGCCTGCTTTTTCACTGCTGTTTCCCAGTGACTACCCAGTACATGTTTGTGTCCCTTGAATACACTCGTTCTGCCTGAGATCTGGACATCGTCTGTTGTGTTCCCTCTGCCTGAAACACTCTTCAGCTCCCAAGGCCACCTTACTTGGCCAATTCTCCTCACTAAAATACAAGCTTTATGAGGACAGAGATGCTGCCTGCTTTTTCACTGCTGTTTCCCAGTGACTACCCAGTACATGTTTGTGTCCCTTGAATACACTCGTTCTGCCTGAGATCTGGACATCGTCTGTTGTGTTCCCTCTGCCTGAAACACTCTTCAGCTCCCAAGGCCACCTTACTTGGCCAACTCTCCTCACTAAAATACAAGCTTTATGAGGACAGAGATGCTGCCTGCTTTTTCACTGCTGTTTCCCAGTGACTACTCAGTACATGCACAATGGCTCTATAAAGTGAGTGAGTAAATGAATGAATGAATGAATGAGTGGCTCCTTCAGGATGCCTCTTCCTGATGCCCTTCCTTCCTCCCAAGGTTGCGTGTACTTTTTTTTTTTTTTTTTTAGACAGAGTCTCACTCTGTTGCCCAGGCTGGAGTACAGTGGTGCGATCTCAGCTCACTGCAAGCTCTGCCTCCCAGGTTCATGCCATTATCCTGCCTCAGCCTCCCAAGTAGCTGGGACTACAGGCGCCTGTGACCACGCCCGGCTAATTTTTTGTATTTTTAGTACAGGCGGGGTTTCACCGTGTTATGTAGGATGGTCTCAATCTCCTGACCTCGTGATCCACCCGCCTCGGCCTCCCAAAGTGCTGGGATTACAGGTGTGAGCCACCACACCAAGCCGGTTGGGTGTACTTTTCAGGTGTTCTCAGAGCAGCCTAAGCTTTCCCTAAGCGTCACCTCACTATACACTTGGCCGCAACCTCCCAATCCACTTACTAAAATGTAAGCTCTGTGAAGGCAGGAACATTTTCTGTTGCAGGAAGGAGCCCTGGGAGCTGGAGGAAACCAGAAATGGCCCTGCCTTGAAGGAGATCCCTGAAGGCAAGGAAGCCAAGAGAGAGATTAAATGAAGCCAAGAAAGAAGCTGGGGGTGCAGGTCCAGATACAATTAACTACATACAAGTTCCCAGGGTACACAGAGGATGTACATGGCAGGGCGGGGAGTGAGGTCAGCAGTCAAGGAGTAGTGCAAAGATCAGACTGAAGTCAGGCATTGAGACAAGAGAGCTCCATTTCTAACTCACCATCACTGTTACACAGAGATACTCTTTTAGGCAGGTTCACACAGGTGGGACAATATCTCCATACCTTGTAAAAATGCACCAATTTCCACGGAAATCCTTATGTATTATTGAAAAAAATGGTCTTTTTGGAGACTTTTGCCCATTGCCATTTCATTTCAAGGGGACAGACTGCATTTAAATTAAACCTGAGGTGTATGTGAATGCCTTTTATAATGGACAGAATTTCATTAAAATCAGTCAACTTCCTCCAAAGTTATTAAAGAACAGCCTTTTAAATGCAAAATACTAAGTACTTACATTGAAACAGAAAGCTTAATTCAGTCAAATATAGTAAGGTGACCAGGGACAAGGCAAAGCAACTGTAGAGGTGAACCCAAGCAAAATCAAATATTGAAACTAAAGAAGTTAAAAGATTGGAGATTCGCTGTTGACAGGCAAAAATATGGCCTACTTGGGTCTTCAATCTCTAGGCTATTAACAGCAGACAATGCAACATCAGTCACCAAGCCTGAACCAAGGACCTTTTGCCTGAGGTTAGGTTTCCAAAGCATCCACTCAGCACATTCAAACTCTTAAATATGATGTTCTCTTTGCTATTTTTCTCCACCTGACTTGGAGCAAGTTGTAATCTTGGGGGAGAGCTGCCTCCTCCCAAGGTGAATGCTGGTAGCTTGGAGCTGGTGATCAGCTGCACACAGGCTTAAAGGCCTCCTCCCAGGCCTGTGGTCCTTCAGAGCAATGGTCTAAATGAGGCACGGCTCAGAATCCAGAAAGGAGGCCTCAGCAGAGGCTGTGCCTCGGGGGCCACGGAAGCAGTGGCAGTGACACAGCTGCCTCTGCAGAAGAGGACAGGAGTCTCCTGTGCTGCAGCTGAAAGGGGCCATGTGGATAAGATAAGTAATTAGAAGAGGAATAGTAATTACCACAGATATGACAAGGAGGCCTGCATGACAGGGAGTTCTGTCAAAGCCCATAATTCTTGCAAATGAGCAGCAGTGCCTGGGTGACACAGTCCTCCCTCATGAATTATACAGATGGCCACACATGGTATACCCTGAGTGATGCTTAGCCCAAGGGGACTGCTTGTGGTGGGAACAGCAGGGCCCCAGAAGCCATACAAGCCTCGTGGGCCCCAGGGGCTATACAAGCCTTGTGTCCCCAAGAGGTGGAAGCAAAAATCCAGCCTTCATCACAGCAGTTGCGCCTGGGGACTTGGCTGTCATGGGGGCCTCCCAGAACATAAAAGGCAGCTAAGCAACCATGCACAGAGTTAAGGAGAAGTTCATGGAAACGTGACATTCAGAGTGAGCCTTGAACATGTAGGTGTTTGATTCAGAGTGAGCCTGGAACATGTAGGAGTTTGACAGGCAAAGGTAGAAATAAGGGCTTTCCTAGGGCAAGGGTATTACGGGCTGAATTGTACCCATCCCCCAAAAGAAATTTGTATGTTGCAGTTCTAACCCAGATTCTCAGAATGGGAGACAGGGTCTTTAAAGAGATAACTAAGTTAAAATGAGGTTATTAGGGTGGGCCCTAATCCAACATGACTGGTGTCTTCACAAGAAGAAGAGATTAGTGCTTTGGGAGGCCGAGGCGAGAGGACTGCTTGAGGCCAGGAGCTCAAGACCAACCTGGGCAACATAGCAAGACCCCATCTCTAAAAAAATTAGCTAGGTGATGGTATACACCTGTAGTCCTATCTACTTGGGAAGCTGAGGTGGGAGAATCACTGGGGCCCAAGAGTTCAAGGCAGCAGTGAGCTGTGTTGGCGCCACTGTACTCCAGCCTGAGAGATAGAAGGAGATCATGCCTCCAAAAAAAAAAAAGAGAGAGAGAAAAGAAGAGGAGGAGGAGGTGATCAGGACACAGATAGACACACAGAGGGAAGGCCATATAGAGACACAGTGAGAACACAGCCTTCTGCAAGCCAAGGAGAGAGGCCTCAGAAGAAATCAATTCTCCTGACACTTTCATCTTGGACTTTGAGCCTACAGAACTGTGAGAAAATAAATTTATGTTGTTTAAGCCACCAAGTCTGTGGTATTTTGTTACAGCAGCCCTAGAAAACTAATACAAGGGGTCCAGCATAAACAAACACCAAGAGCTGGGAAAACACAAGACACACTGAGTCAGTTCATGTGGCTGGAGCTCAGGTAAAGAGGAAGCTGAGCTAGAAAAGTCATCTGCTGGCTCCAAGGTTGGCCTAGATTCTACAGACACCAGTTTTGAGCAGGGAAGCAACTTGGATCAGACCGTGACTCTAGGCAATTCCTGCTTTGTTGGCAAGGTGTAGGAGATAGGGGCAGACATGGCGATCCTTAAGGGTGTGAGAACATGAACTCAGAGGTGAACCTAGGGCGTCAGGAGGATGGCTGCACCACTAACTGAGATAAAGGAGACAAGAACAAATTTAAGGAGGAATTAGATGGGCTGAGTCTGCAAACAGTTGGGGTAGGAGGGCAGGGCAGCATCCACCCCTGCCTCACGTCCTCTGGAGAACTGATGTTACTACACTCCCTCACAGAGCTTGGGGCCACACATGTGCAAAATATTTCTATTTAGGGCCCCAAGTTCACAAGCAATGATTTTTTAAAAAATTAACTTTACATGATGCCATAAAACCAATCAACTTAACCCTAGTGCAATTGTCTTGAAAGAGAAACCCAGTGAGAACAAGACTTGGATCACACCACTTTAAGTGCAGATTCCAGCAACTCCTGAAAGGCTTGGCCTCCAATTTCCATTCTGATGGGTCAGATTAGAGAATCTCCAGTGAAGCTGTCAGAACATTCTAATGTTTGCAAATTGTGAAAGTTCAAGCAAGAGTCAACCATGTGGGAAAGAAGGGAGGGCGGCTCTTAGAATGTTGTGGTCTTGGACCACTTAAGAAAAACAATCAAAAATCACTTTCAACACCCACGCCTTCTTTCGGAAGGAGAAAAACATTAAAAATCACTGCCTATTGGGGGGAAAAGTGGTATAAATCATTTTATTTCATGCTCCATCATTTACTCAGCACAAACTTCAGTGACACCTCCTGATTAGGTTTAATTTTAAGCCAGCAAGAACACCACATAATGTATTGTCAGAGAAAGTTCCATTTCTCTCCAAGCCTGATGGGTGACTATTGTAATGTAAAACCCTGGGATTTAAATAACACGAGAGGATTCTATTATAGGAGAAAGGTTTATATTTTGGAGTCTTTTTACTTCAAAGGAGCCTAGATACCAAACCATGAATTACCTGAAACAATGGGCTTCAACGATCAGCCCTTCACCGGTTTCTTTAGCAAAGACTACTTTACTTGACTAATGAGCAGGACTCAGTGATCCAATTATCTCTCGGAAGCAGTCCCAGGTTCTTGAAATCAACACACTGGTTAGGAAAATTGGAGCAGGGAGGAGGACAGGCTTACCCCCAAAACAGCCCCTGACTCCTGCACGACTCCTTCCTCACCCAGGCTCCTGGGTCCTCCCCGTCCATAAGGCATGGGCTCTAGCCACCCAACACCCATGCTAATCTCCAGGGACAGCCTCCCAAGAGGCCTCACAGGAGGACCATCTCCCCAGGAAACCCAGAAAGGAAGCAACTGGGACCAGAGGGAGAAAACTGAAGCACTATGGCCTCCTGGGTCTTCAGAATTCCACATGTGCCCAACCAGGGGTGCAGCATCAGGCCCCATCAGATGCTCATCTCCAGTGCTCTCCCAGGACCCCAGCAACAGCATGGGGCTCTTATGCTTATGTCCTCAGAGGAGACTAAGTGTTTCTCAAGAGAAACATTTGAACATGACTATGTGCAGGTGCTGGGCTATGGATAACTAGTTTCCACCTTCAATGAACACAGAGTATGGTGGGCAGACAGTGAAATACAGCAACACCGGCCCTGCAGTGAGATACACACCTTTAAAGAGACCAGCGCCAAGTGTTAGGGACAATTTCCCGTAGGAAATGACACTAGCAGGGGTCTTCAGGGTCACACCTCAAGGCCACATTTCTCAAATTCATCAAGTACTGTGTCACACACTCACATGCACACACGTCTTACAACCCACTGAAGGGGCCAGCCCCCAAGAAATAGGACACAATACAAACTGCACTGGTATTACAATGAGGGGTTCAGGATACATCCCACTCTGACTACCCTCCCAGATATAAAGCAAACTGCCTTGTACCAAAGTCACCTGACAGAGGGTCTGTTGTAGTAGCAAGTCTAACCTGTACTGCTAGGGTCTAGATGTTTGCGTCCCACCTTCCCTGAAATTCACATGTTGAATCCTCACCCTCGAGATGATGGTATCAGGAGGCAGAGCCTTTGGGAGATGATGAGGTCATAGGGGCAGAGTCTCATGAATGGATCCACAAACAGACCCCTTGCCCCTTCTGCCATGCTAAAGTGAGAAGACAGCCATCTATGAGAAACCAGACACTGAATCTGCCAGTCCCTTGATCTTGGACTTCCCAGCCTTCAGCACTGTGAGAAATAAGTTTCTGCTGTTCATAAGCCAGCCAGTCCATGGTATTTTGTTATAGCAGCCCAACTGAGACACATACACAAACAAGGCTGGTTTAAAGAGCAGGAAACACTCACTGCCTTACTTCTTTGTGACAGTTCATCCTGATACCAGGTATTCCTGCATTAATCACAGGAATCCTTGATTTCAGAAGAATTCTGGCTAAGAAATCATCTAACCATTAGAAGAGATAATAGTGGAGTGGGAGGAACAGTGTATGCAACTGCATGTTCTAGATGATATTACTTGGAACGCAATGCAAGGAGATGTTGTCTCACGTGGTCCACAAACCAGGCGTATCAGCATCACCTGGGAAGTTGTTAGAAATGCAAACTCTTGGACCTCACCCCAGACCTACCAAACTTGATACTCAATAGGATAGAGCCTAAGATGTTTTATTTCCAACAAACCCTTGGGTGATGTTGATGCCAGGGATGGGGCACAGACTGAGAACCACTGCTCTAGGGCAAAGTCACCTTGGTCCCTGGTGAGATGATGACCATGATCATGATGACACAAACAAGAGCAGCCACTAACACTTACTGAGCAGTTTCCATAAGTCAGACACTACACAGGCAGCCTACAAGCATCACCTCATTTAATCCTCACAACCAGCATGCCACAGATGAGGAAACTGAGCCACAGAAATGTTAAGGAGTTCACCCAGCATCATGGTAACAAACATCCATGGAGCTGAGATTTGAACCTGAGCAGTCTGCCTTTGGAGCCCACATTCCTAAGTGCACTTTCTGCAGATGCACCAACTCCACCTCCAAATGCAGGCTGCTGAGCCACTGCTGGGAGATTGCACCGCAAGACTGGCATGCAAGGCTCTGGGAGATCCTGATGTAGAGAAATCACTGAACTTCGGAAACGCATCACCTCCAGACACACTTATTTTGAGTAACACTTACTGTCATCTCTGTAGAGTACCCATCTCTATATTCCTTTAGCTCTTCAGCACCGCCCCCTGCTCCCACCACACAGCCCTTACCACCTCTGGAGCTTTCATCCTTGACTCTGTTATGACATGTTATGCTGGCCTCTGCAGTAAAGCTCCAGGTTTCCCCCCACTTTGGTATACACCTTTGATTGGGCCCCACTTTGATTTACATCCAATCTCATATCACTAGCCCAGAACTAGGTCATAGCAAAAGGAAAGAACTCCATAGCTTCCCAAAGCTTCCCAAACAATCTGGTGTCAAAACAGCTCTCTCTCCTGGTCCATCATGGGGGAAGAAGAGATGCAAACCTCTAGAACTGTTGCACAGACCAAACCCCATGCTAGGTAAACCTGATCTGACACTCAAAGCTAAAGGTGACCAACACGGCAGATCATGCCAATCTCCTTCTCATGCCAAAGCCCTCTGAACCCTGAATGCCTAAGCCCAGATCATTCAATTCTAAGATCTGGCCACGCCCACCCTCCTGCTTCCTGTTAGGACCTCAGCAAGAGAGGGAAACTGAAGAACAAAGACAAAGAACAGATGTAGGGCTTTGCTCTAGCTCAGGGCAAAAGGCAGCTTCAAGATGTTTCCCCTCCTCTCCATCTCTTGTCAATACCTGACCCTTGCCAAACTGCAGAGATCACTCTTTGAAATGAAAAGCATACACCATATACATGATGGACTAGATTTTTCTGTCCTGATTCAGCAGTGCACAGGAGGAATTTTCATCCCCATAAAGGAAACTGTCCAATAACGCAACTCAATAACCATTGAATGAGCAGCTACTATGTGCTCTCTATTTGCCCTGCACACTGATCATAAAAGGGAATGGATAAGAAGTTAAAGAAATTGTCCCTGCCATTTGGGAGTTCTGCCACTTACATGACACTCATTTCCTCTTGCCTGGGCTTGGGTAACTTTGAGCAAACAACTTAACCCCTCTTCTTGTAAGCAGGGGATAATGAATCCCACCTCAAATGGGTCGTTACGAGGATTAAATGAGACAAGAGCTGGACAGTGCCTGGTACATAATGGGCGCATAAATGGTAGGCCCTTCTGCCTCCTTCATTACCTGGTTTTGGGGAGACAGGAATTCATATGACAGTCTGCAATTTGGTGTCAAGTTGAAAAGGGTGGAGTTTCAGGGAGTTTGGGGCAAGGAGAAATCAACATTGGCAGAGGGACTGGAGGCTATAGATGTTGAGCTGATTTAAAAGCTGGACAGAAGTGGGTAGAGAAGACTTGGAAGAGGGAAGGCAGGAAGGATTTTAAGCATAGAGAATGGATTTGGGACTAGGGAGTAAGACGATCAAACTGGTGGGTAAAAAGAGACCTGGCAGATGATTTTGGCTCTCCCTGAGGAAGAGGGGAAGATGAGGGGTTTCTGAAGGGCCCAGCAAAGAAGTATGTCTTGAACCAGAAGCCAGAGGGTCAAGGATAAGAATCCAAGCTCTCCTTCTATGAGCCTTCCCTGACACAGGGAGACACATTCCCCAAACATGGAGACCCTCAAAAGGCTACATCTGCACCAGGCCAGCTGCTCCTTTTAGGGGACAAGAGGGAGTTTCAGAACTCACCACTCGATTTCCAACATCAAAGAAATTAGAAATAAACATTCAACTTTTCAGGGACTGGTTTACATTAAAGTACGTCAGCATGAGGTAAAAAATCATGTAGTCATTTAAAAAGATTATCATGAATATTATAGAAACACAGTGAAATGCTTTTGATACATTAAGTGAAAAACAACAGAACTCAAAACAACGTATGTAGCATTATCAAGGGATTGGTTTGGCAGAGGGAGCACAGGCTCGGAACAGACAGAACCCAGGTCTAATACTGGGACTCCACTACTTAGGAGCTGTAGGTCCTTAGGCAGGTTTTGCCTCCATTTCCCTGAAGATCAGAGGGAGATCGCAGAAACAATCCCTTAGGGTTGCTAAAAGTTTTAAATGCCTGGTTTGAAGCTGAAGTTCAACTCCCCCAACTCCTACAATGTATGCAGGGTGAGACACGGCTCTTTGGGTAGAATTATGGTTTTCAACAGAAAAAAAAAAAGGTAAGCTTTTTAAACACAGATGAACTTCCTGAAGGCAGGAGCTGTGTTTTGCTTACCAGAACCACACCCCACTCACACCCCACCCCCCCGCCAGAAAAAAAGCTGAATTAAGGTGATGAAATTATAAGTGGTTTATTACTACCACTACATATGGTTGTTAAAAAGGCAGTTAGAAAACGTCTGTCCCTAGAAGACACCAAGAACGTGACTGTAATCATTCCTTCTCCTCTCTGGAATCTGGCTTCTTTGCTCAAGGCAGAGAGCCCAGAAGCAAGCTCTGAGCTCACAAACCAACCCACCCATGAGGGAGGTCAGCAGCAGCTCTGCACCAAGCACATGTGCTGGGCCAGGGCTGCGGATTCAACAGGGAAGACCCAAAGCTTCAAAGACTTCCCAATCTGGAATGAATCCTTCAGGTATGGGAAAGCAGGGCAGGGCTGGCCTAAGTCACCAGTGCTGACACCTGCAGACATCTTCACCATCACCTAGGAAGTAAGCGGCCCTTCTCCTCGGAGAGGACCCCACAACCTTATGTACCCTGGGACGTGACTGTTCCAACGGACAATGAGTGGGGCTGCTCAGACTGAGGGCACCTACAAGGAGGGACCTGCCCTGCAGAGAAGTGAGCTCTGGCACTGGGAAGGACAAGCATCATCCACGCCACAGCCAGCACAACCAACTACCTGCTCCATACCACCACTGGCCCAGCCCACATCTCAGAAGGATACCCTAGACCCCTCTTCCTGATGGCTGAAATGCCTTCAAACGCATTTCCGTCCTTCGGCTTTACGGGTCTTTGTTTTCTTGAGACTGAGTCTCGCTGTGTCTCCCAGGCTGGAGTGCAGTGGTGCAATCTCAGCTCACTGCAACCTCCACCTCCTGGGTTCAAGTGATTCTCATGCATCAGCCTCTCCAGTAGCTGGAATTACAGGCACCTGCCACCACACCCAGCTAATTTTTGTGTTTTTAGTAGAGACGAGATTTTGCCATGTTGCCCAGGCTGGTCTCAAATTCCTGTCCTCAAGTGATCTGCCTGCCTCGGCCTCCCAAAGTGCTGGGATTACAGGTGTGAGCCACCACACTCAGCCTCACCTTTATGTTTTGATCTTCACTGAAATGCAAATAAATGCAACGTAGGCAGAACTTATTCTGGCAACTCAACCCTAATACAAAAGGGTTTCTGACCTGGTCCTCAAACCATGTTGATGGTGGCAGAGGAAATGCAGGAAGGTAGTAGAGTCTTGAGGAAAAGAGGGAAAAGTATTATTAAAGGGGAGAGGTGCATCCAAGAACCAGAAGTGTGGGGCCACCAAAGACTAGTTCTTAGACTCCTTCCTATTGCTGATTCAGGGTTAGTGCCCTGCAGGTGGTGAGCCACCACACACAATAGACAACCAAGAGGAGAGAAGTCCATGGAGACCAACACCAAGCTCTGCACCTTGTTTGAAGCTTAAAGCACAGTTACTATGGTTCCTAGGCCCAGAAGGCCGTGTGCACCCATAGGCCTCACACTGGATCCCTCATCCCATACCAGTCTCCAGGTTCTTCCAAGCACGGCAGAAACACTCACCCCTCTGCAAAAGTCTAGCATTGTTCTGCAACTCCAAGGAAAGCAAGGAAGTCTCTGGCTCCCCTCATGCTACCATCCTCTTCCACTGCCCACCACTTGATACATGGGGTGGCACACCCTTCAACAAACACACACACACACACACGCACATACACTCACACACATGGGCAGCCAGTGCAACACTTGCACACCCACCTTAGCTGACAGGAAGCTAAAAACAAATGCAGGATGAAATCAGTCATCAGAAAGGGGTTGGGAAGGAAAGGGAGATGTGGAAACAGAAAGCAGCACACGCTCTAGGTTCAGCTCTCTTTAGAGCTGAATCTCTTTAGAGCAAGGCCCCAGAAGCTGCCAATGTCTTTGGTTGCACTGGGGGCCAGTTAGGGCAAATAACTGAAGGCATTTCAATTGGTGATGCTCCCCCAGTGACTCACTGTTTCTTTATTGCAACATGCTCTCTATAAAAGCCATTTTCCTCTCACAGGATCTGCTTGGGCAACATGTGATGTCATCATAAATCATCTCTCTCTTTTTTTTTCCTTTAAAATGTCAGCAGATTTCTTGGAGTTTCTAAAAAGCCAAGAGAGCCAGCACCATCTCCCAGTTTTGGCAGGGAAACCCATTTTCTTTCCCAAGACGTCTGTCTTCACTTTTTCCCCATGCTCTCCCATAGGAGCTCTGCAGAGATAATGCCTTGAAGAGCACAGAAAGTTACAGAAAGCATTTATGAAAAAAAGCTTTTCTGTCTACTCTTTCCAAATGCAGGGCCTTTCTCTTGCTCCCTTTTTTCCTCTCGTCCTAGTTTGGTGCACTTCCAGGGGAAGTGAATGTATAGCGAGCACTTTTAAACAAGGTCTAATACAATCCATGCCTCCAAGACATGAGTGCCATTAATCAGAACGAAGCCTTTGTGCAAGAGAGGCCACAGGCTGGACGGCCGCCATGGACTAGTAATGCAGACAGGCCCCTATCTCCCCACTCCACCCCCAGCAGGGCTTGGCATTCTCTTCCCACCCTGACCCTTCCCAAATCCTGTGCCCGACAGCCCCCCGCAAAGACCTGTGAAAACCTACTCTGGAGAAAAAAAAAGTTTCCTTTTATTCCAAGTTTATTGGACCAAAAAGTGACTAGCATCACTTCAGGTGCAGAACCTTAAGAGCAAAAGAAAATTCCAAACCACCTCTAACCCATGAGCACTGGGGCCACAGCAAAGGGGAGTCTACTGCTGAGGTGTTTGTTTCATCACCCTGGGTATCTCTTAAGGCAAATCTTCCTTCTGGAAGGGCTCTTTCCAGAAAGATCTCTGTGATTAGATACTATAGCTGCCCTGTCCCCTACATGCAATGACCACACAATAACAAAGAAATGAAGATAGCATGGGAGTCCTAATGGTCCTTCTTTTTACATCCTTTGATATGGCCAACAGTCTTCCCTAACCCCGCCCCGCACCCCAAAAAAAGGATTCAGTTAACTAAAGACCACGGGAAGCAAAGGAACTTATGTATGGGGGAAACCGACAACCATTTATGTGAAGTCCTTTGGGGCTATTATCAATGCCCCAACCTCTCCCCTAAAATCAAATACTTTTGCCTGGTTCCAGACTACTGATGCTCCATCATTAATACTTCAACCATTAGGATCAGTTATGGAAACATGCAGATAATCCTTGGAGATTATTATACCACTATCAGCCATTTCTACCTAAGTATGACTGAGCAATACTTTGCGACTTTGTGTGTGTGTGTGTGTGTGTGTGTGTGTGTGTGTGTGTGTGTGACGGAGTCTCACTCTGTCACCAGGCTGGAGTGCAGTGACGCGATCTCGGCTCACTGCAACCTCCACCTCCCGAGTTCATGCGATTCTCCTACCTCAGCCTCCTGTGTAGCTGGGATTACAGGCATGCACCGCCAGCCCCAGATAATTTTTGTATTTTTAGTAGAGATGGGGTTTCACCATGTTGGCCAGGATGGTCTCAATCGCTTGACCTCATGATCTGCCCACCTCGGCCTCCCAAAGTGCTGGGATTACAGGCATGAGCCACTGTGCCTGCCCAACTTTGCGATCTTGATGTCTGGTATACTGTCCTGTCCCCACAATTTATCCACACACAAGCATGGGGTCTTCCAGGAACCCATCACTTTAGATACTTGTTGGGGAGGCCACACCCTTTGTTTCCCTCTCCTACCCAATTCCTTATCTTGAAGAGAGGTAAAACGTGGGAAAAATTCAGGAGGGAAAAAGAAGAGAAAGAAGAGCAGGGGCAAATAAGAGGCACAGAGGGCGAGGTCTTCTTCTTCTCAAACACCTAAGACAGTTACTCACACAACTTAGACACTCAGTGTGTGCTCTCTGAATAAACAGAGACAACTAGGGGCCAAATATTGTGCTGGTCAAATAATGGCAGGTGGGGAAGTCACTCACCAGGGCAAGCCAAGCCTTGGCTGCAACTGTTCCACCCTTCCCTGCCATGGCTCACACTTGCCCTTCTGCCTGAAATGTCCTCCTCAGCCTCCTGAACGGTTCAGCCTACTGGTCGCTTCAGACTCTGACTCCAGGACCCCTTTCCACCCCCTCCAGGATGGGCCGACTGCCATATGTCCACGTCGTCGTACTTGATGCATCCCTCAGGATGTCCTCCCTTGGCTGGGTTGCAGTCACCTATTTCTTCATGTCTCCTCTATTAGGTGTTAGTCATCTTTGCATCTCTAATGCCTAAGCCCCCACATCACACACAACAAGCATTTGGTAACTGCTGAATAAATCAACTGAGTCACTGGAAAAAAAAAAACTGCTAAATCACCAACTAAACCTATTTGAGTTTGGGGTTTGGTTTTTTTTAATTTTTTCTTTCCTTTTCAGAAAGATTTATTCCCAAAAGCTAGAAAAGGAGAATCTAGGGAAGAGGGGAGGGTTTAGAGGTGGGAGAGATCCAGGTCAAATATGAAAAGGGTAGATTCAGTAGGGGGAGTTTCCTTTCTGTGACGAAAGGGCTTTCTGGACTTGGTCCAAAGGGATCAGCCACATCACCTCAGATGGAAAATGCTGAGGAGGGGGCAGGGCACAGCCTCACCTATCCAAGACACTCCAAGCCCTGCACCTTCAGGAGGGAATGAGCCCAGACTTTTTATCAATCTCTGCTGGCTGCATAGCTGGCCAGGGTAGCTCGAGATGGCTTCGGTGGATGAAAAAGAGGTTGTCTATAAAGGTATGTTAATGCTCACAGAACAGCCCAAGGCTGGTGGAAAACCACTAATTCCCACAGCACCCAGAGAAAGCAGGGGGCAACTGAAGAACTTATCAGGCAAAGAAAAAAGGTACCATAGAGGCTTCCCCCACAGACCCACCCCATCCCCCTGGAATGATGGTTCTATCACTACAGACCCAGGAAAAACCAAAGATGGGAAGGGAATAAAAATCTCCCCCAAAATTAAGCAACAGCCCTCCACATCCTCTCCCATCCAACACTTTACACTACCTTTTGCAATCTCCCAGGCTTGCTTCTGGAAAATTTCAAAGTCACCACCAACCAACCCTTCCTGACGCACAATGGCATTTAATAATTGCTTATGGTTCTCGCCTGGGAAGCCAGGCAAGCACCCACAATTCATCACATGTGTGACCTCTCGAACCCTAGCCCCCAAATGATTTTCACTCACTTTAATCTGAGTCCGATTCAAAACAGATCTGCTGTCAGCAGCCTGAATTCTGTAGCCCCATGGATGGGCAGTGCCTATGGCTAATCTTTTAGTGCCTTAATCATAAAATACAGCACTTCCCCAGCTGTTTTCACCCAAATAGTCAGAAAAGGGGGTGAGCAGGGTGTAAGAAATGATGAATTATGAACTCCAAAGTAGTATTTCATTAAGCAAGATTGGACGCTAAAACTTTAACTGTGCTCTCTGCAATTGAAAGGTCATTTTATAAAAATCCAAACTGAGAGAATTTTGAAGTTTCTACATTTCACAGGGGAGCCTGCTACCATATGCCAGATTGGGGGAAGGGGGGAAGGATGAAAGCAGTGGTCAGCATGAAATGTTTTTTAAACCATGGCCACTTCAGATTTTTGCAACGTGATGCCAAGCATGTTCAACAGGTCTACAAATGCGCTGCATTCGCCTAAATTTAGTGGGTGTTAATTGAAATCAGAGCTGCAGTCATTACCACCGACATGTTTCTAAATACTACCCAATAAATTTTTCTCTGTTTCAGATTCTCCGTGACAGCTGGCAATGAAAAACCAAGAGAGGGCACGTAAAATGGTCTTCCTATGTACCTAGTCCCACAGTATGCATACAAAAGGATGTCTGCATGTGGATCTGGCCTGTGTCTGCATGCACAGACCTGTGTATGGATAAACACAAGATAGATGTGCGTGCTTTGCCCATTTTTAGAAGGCGAACAGAAGACATGTGCAAGGACACACGTATACTCTGGCAACTTCCTTTTTACTAATGTACCTCCACAGAAAGCAAAATGGGCCTCTCTCCACGTGACAAAAACATTCCATTCTAGTTTACAGTGACAAGGGTTTCTGCTACAGCTTAGATCGCTTTTTCAGATGAGATGATTTTCTTCCTCTCTGGCTTGCCTCATCCTCTTCAGGTAAGCCTTGTTTTGCTTTTAAAAACAAAATTAAAGTTTCCTCCACAGCAGAGCATTTAAGGGTCAGCCAGGAAAAGGTCTGTGGGACACAGAATCTGAAAGGAAGAAGGAAGAGGCCCCAGGGAAGGAGCGAAAAGTCTGGAAAAAGAACCATCAGCTTTCCTGAGTTCCCTCAGCAAAATACCAGTTTCATCCTCCCAATTACTCATTAGTTCATTATTAGTTTACGTGAAAAGAAAAGAGGTGGCTTTGTGCTCTCTTGAGTCATGGCTCCAGCTGAAATAAAAAAGAAAAGGGAGAGTGTCTGTCCTTGAGGCTGCACATATTTTGCCCTTCCTTGATCCTCTGATGATAATTTGAGGACTTCCCCTGATCCCAGTAGTATTGTCTAACTTTGCTGGGGGTCTATTCCATCCGAAAATAAACACTGCAGTCAGCTCCACAGCAGTGTGCCAGGAGGAACCTTGGAGGCAAATATGTTTACCAAAGACTAATGACACCAAAGGACTCCATTTTAGCCCCAGCAGCAGATCCTCATGCCGTTCCTTTCTTCCTCACATATATCCCATCGATCTGATTATCCAAATGAGTATCAGCTACAGAGCCTTATTGCTCCTCTTGGCAAAGTTCCTCCCTTCCTCCATCTCATCCTTTCCTCTAGATTTGGTATATGCCCAACCCTAAGCATACAGCTAACATGTGTGCTTACATACCATACACATAAACTAGTGCACAGTCTTGCTACATGCCTATCCACAAACACACCACTCGAGTATACACAAAAACACATAATTTCTGCTAACACAAACATTAGTACATGTCCTTCTCACCACAGTGAGCACATGTGCACAACACACACAGCCAACCCCTTCGAAGAAGACTAGGTAACTTGGACTTAGGAGAGAGGCCTGTCCCCGACCCCTACAGCCCCAGAGAACTAGAGAAAAATCAATGGATCCCAGCCTGCTCTGAAGGGACTAGAAACATTTCTACAGAAATAATTTTTTGACACAGAAATCATCCAGAACAGGATGGGCGCAGTGGCTCACGCCTGTAATCCCAGCACTTTGGGAGGCCGAGGCGGGTAGATCACCTGAGGTCAAGAGTTCGAGACCAGCCTTGCCAACATGGAGAAACCCCATCTCTACTAAAAATACAAAAATTAGCCGGGCGCAGTGGTTCATGCCTGTAATCCCAGCACTTTGGGAGGCCGAGGTGAGAGGATCACCTGAGGTCAGGAGTTCGAGATCAGCCTGACCAACCTGGAGAAACCCCATCTCTACTAAAAATACAAAATTAGCCGAACCTGGTAGCACATGCCTGTAATCCTAGCTACTCGGGAGGCTAAGGCAGGAGATTCGCTTGAACCTGGGAGGCAAAGGTTGCAGTGAGCCAAGATCGCGCCATTGCACTCCAGCCTGGGCAACAGAGCAAAACTCCATCTCAAAAAAAACAAGACAAACAAACAAACAAAAAATTAGCTGGTGTGGTGGCATGCACCTGTAATCCCAGCTACTTGGGAAGCTGAAGCAGGAGACTCCCTTGAACCCAGGAGGCGGAGGTTGCAGTAAGCTGAGATCCCACCACTGCACTCCAGCCTAAGCGACAAAAGTGAAACTCCATCTCAAAAAAAAAAAAAATCATCCAGAACAGTGTAGCCCACCCGAGCATCCAAAGACTCCTCTCAGCTCATCATCCCACATTGTCTACAGGAGCCTCTCAGACAGTCTGTGGGAGGAATGGACTGAACTCCTTGACGCTCAAGTCAGGTCTAAGCAGCAGGTCAGCATCCCCTGGGAACTTGTTAGAAACTCAGTCTCAGGCCCAACCCCAGACCTACAGAATTAGACACTGCATTTTCACAAGTTCCCCGGGGATGTGTGTGCACGCTCAAGTTTGGAAAGCACCCCTTAGAGCCCACCCATCCCATACTCAAGACATGCCCAGCTGAGGTCACCCTGTCCTCACCAACTCTAAAATTCCAAGCTCTCCAGCTCGGGCTGAAGCAGAGAGAAGAGGATGCAGGAGCATTCCTCCACCCTCAGATCCGCTGCCTCCTCTCTCACCAGCGGCAACTGGAGTTAACAACGGAGCCTCAGGTGTCCAGAACTCGCCTGCATCTAAACCCACCAGGAGCTCAGTGATACTAACAGTTTGCTCCCCGCTAATTGTCTCATCACTCTACAACTGCTGCTTTTTATTTCATTATGCTTCTCATCAGTCTCAGATAGGAATATAACCGAAAAAGAAATTGGAGTGGAACAATTTCAATATCTCAAAACACATGCAAATCAACGCCCAGAATCCTACCTGGAATGTTTTTATTGAGACAATTCTGTACTTGTCTGAGAGATGACCTTATAATAAATAAATTCATATCTTGCAAAGGTAGATGTTCTCCCCACCTTATAAAGCTAATTATACCAGCACAACATAACATTTTCCTAAATGCCTGATAACCTCATCCTGTTACTCAGGAAATATTATTTTTAAATAGGTGTGATAGATACAAACTGAAACACTCAGATTTCAATTCCAGCCCCAATTCCCGGATCCCCTCTCTGAGTAATTTAAGGACTTCCTCCAGATAGTTTTTCATATTCTTTTAACTGACATTTTATCTTTATACAGTATCTCACAGAATGAGCACGCACTAAGACAATGACAGCCAAGAAGGCCTGTCATTTCTCATTCCGACAAAGACAGATGTCTTACACTGGCTTATGCCAATAATAGATCCAACAAAAAACAAAAGAGACTACACCTGCCGCTGATGTAAAGGCACCAATTCACATTTGTGACACTCATTTGTCAATTAACAGATTTCTTCCATTGTTGACACACGAGACTTAAAAGATGTGGGCTCGAATGTGATGAATTAAAAAAGACAGATGAGTAAGCTATGAGCTGCAAAGTAATGCTATAATGTGCTTTAGATATGAATATCAACTGACACCCCTGACAGGCCATACAAGGTTTTATTTCATTTTGCACTGTATCCAGGCTTCATACTTTGTCTTCTTTGTTCGCTTTTCATCAAGCTCCTAACATCTCATTCTGACAGCCAAAGACATTTAAGGCACTTTCGTTTCAAATGCAAGTTAGCGTACTTGATTTGTCATTAAAATGCAAAACGATTGCCATTGCAGGTAAATGTAGGTATGCTTAAAAGGTTGGATCTGCAAAGGAAAAGCTGAAAATGGTTTGAGTTGCTTGCTCTGCCTCCTTCACTAGCCTGGCCGCCACCTCATAGGGCTCTGGCCAATGCCCCCTTCGACAAAGACCTACCCAGAGTGAGCCTTAGGAGTTCCCTGTCCCAGCAGCGGCCTCAGAAGTGAGCCAGCCTTGAGTGAAAAACAGCTTTCCCCTCCCCACGAGGTGTTCTGCAGATCTGCAAGTTTTCCTGTGTTTGGACCAGTGTAAGCATACACAAGCATTCCCCTGTGGAGAGGAAACACGGACAGGCTTGTATCAAGATGCTCAAGATTATTTTTCTCATTGAGCTCCCATCCTCCATCTCCTATAGAGAAGGAGAAAACTCCAACCCTTAGACTCTCCCTAGGAGAGATGGAGGAAGAATCCAATAGGGGTGATGGGATTCAGGACAGGCTACCCCCAAAGTACCTTGGCATTTGAGAAAACAGCAGAAGCAGGCAGGTCTCTCTCACCTTCCACTGCCCTTCTCCCCTAAGTAGGCCATGAAACCTAGGAAGATCATTCTCTGATTTTTTCCTGCCTTCCACCTCTGAAAAAAGAAGACCTTCATTAAAGAGGAGCCCTCTCTATACCCAAAGGAAAAAAAACCCTTATCTTTGAAGATCCAGGGACACAGAGAAGAAACTGGACAAATAGGCCTTGCTAAGTTGCTTCCATATCAACAGATCATGCTTTCTTTTCCAATCACACTTCTCGACAATGAGCCACTTCTCCATCAAACCTAGCATAACAAATATACAGGTTTACCTGTTTCTTTGGGTCTTCATTTCTGAAGACTCCTGTGTCACGTAAAATTTCTATTAAATAAATTGGTATGCTCTTATTAATCTGTCTTTTGTTATAGGGGCCTCAACCACGAACCTAGCTATGGCTGAGGATAGGTATTTATTTTCCCTTACGAGGGCTTCATGGGAAACCTTTTTTGTTATAATGATCTTTAATTCAGTAATTTCACTCTTTGTGAAATTATCTTGCTGAAACAAACAGAACAGTGAAAACAGTGAAATAATGATTTACAAACAAAGATGTTCATCACAGCATGTCTTAATAACACCAAAAAGTGGAAAATATATAAATATGTCAATCAATTAGAAAATGGGTAAATTATGGCAGATTTATGTGAAAAGATATTATGTAATCACTAAAAAACCAAATTAACCAAAAAAAAATCATGAGACATTAAGAGAAAAAAACAGAAGTCAAGACCTTTTATACAGGCTGATCCCAATTTTGTAAAAATTGTTCAGCATAAACATTATGGATTATTTCCTTTGGTATGTTTTTCTGTATTTTTAAACTTTTTATAAAAGGAATATTATCTTATAATCAAAAAATAAAATTAAAAGCAGTTTGAAAAACTAATTTTAAAAAGTAAAAAATTATTTGGCCTAACTTCCTATTACATCACACCAAGCCACCATTTGCACTTTCTGAGCCCCAAATTTCCTTCATTAAAAGAAAATGTTAGACCAGTGTTTTTCAAACTGTGTTCCATGGAACCCTAGGGTACCACAAGGGGCTTTCAGAGTTTCTCCAAATGATTCATTTGAATTTAACTTTTAAATTATTTTAACTATTTAAAAAACATAATTCAAAAGGCAGTATGTACTCCCAAAGACATACTACACCAAATTTTAACACACTAGAAGATACTGGTATATTAACTTACGCAATCACATTAACTCACTTTTCAAAATACAGCTTCTTCTTACAATTATTTAAACAATAATCTGATATTACAGGATGAACTTTAAGGGGAAAATAAATGTCACTATTTGCAAATACTTAACTGAGTGTATTGACATTTAAATATTGCACACTCAAACCCAAATACAAGAATAATCTGAATGCTGGGGCCAGTATAAAACTGCATTTTGTCTCTAACCTTAATACCAAACCCAGTGCTATGGTTTGAATGTGTTCCCCAAAGTTCATGTATTGGAAACTTAATCCCCAATGCAACAGTGTTAGGAGGTGGAGCCTAATACGAGGCATTTATTAATAAGAGTGATGAGGACTCCACCTTCATGAATGGAGCAATGCAGATTATAAAAGGGCTTGAGGCTGCAAGTTCAATCACTTGCTCTCTTGCCCTTGCACTTCCACCATGCGATGATGTAGCAAGAAGGCCCTCATCAGATGCAGCCCCTAGATCTTGGACTTCCCAACTTCCAGAACCATAAGCCAGTACATTTCTGTTCATTATAAATGGCCCAATCTCAGGTATACTGTCTAGCAACACAAAATGAACTGAGACACCCAGTGTTCATCTGAATAGTTTCACTGTTTTTGCTGAGCTTAAAAAATATATATATTTGTATTCCATAATGGGCTTTCTATAATTTGTTTGACAAGGATTCTGCTGCTAGAAAAATAACTTTGAAAAACCACTGGATTAAACCAACCTAAGGTCCTTTGGAAGCGTGTGCTTTTGTGCAGCATAGCATAGGGGATCCCAGGAGAAGTTGAGCACTGTGATAAAGAGGTATGGTTGAGGCCTCCCTTTCATGATGCTATGGCACAATCATGGCTCACTGCAGAATTCAAAACTCCTGGGCTCAAGCAATCCTCCCACCTCAGCCTCCCAAGTAGCTGGGACTATAAGTGTGTGCCACCATGCCTGGCTAATTTTTAAATTTTTTGTAGGGACAAGATCTTACTATGTTCAGCCCAGGCAGGTCTCAAACTCTTGGCCTCAAGTGAGCCTCAGCCTCTCAAAGTACTGGAATTACAGGCATGAACTACTGCACCTAGCCAATCTGACTAGTTAACACTCTAAAAGCAGCGGGTTTTTTTTCCTAATATTAAATCAATTTCAAATTTCCACATTCCATCTTGCTGCGTACTGCCTGTGATTTTTACAATCATCTTCTGTAAAGAGGTTCTAACAAGTCCTTAAAAGAAAAAAAAAAAATCTAAAGCAGACCCTGAAGTTACAACTGAACCATTCAATTCAAGGTAGATCAGAAATTGCATAAAATGAAAACTTTTAGTAAAGACAAAAAAATCAGATGGGAGTTTTTTTTATGGTTGTAAAAATAGCCGCTTGCTCCTTGCAAGGTCTATGATCTTCCTTTTGATACTACATGAACCAGGAAGATAACTGTTCTCAAGCCCAAGGCAGGAAGAGTAAATTTAGTTCCTCCTGCTACCTGACGGAAAGCTTGTCCCATCAGGTACAGTCTGTGGAAGAGCAAATTGGGGAAGGGTGGGGTGCATCTATGTTGAAACTGCTGTAGAGGGTTAGGTGATAAAATTCTTCTCTGAGCTCAGAGGTACAACTAGATAAAAATCATGCCTCAAAATTGTTAAGTAAGATATGGAATTTTACTCTGACGTTTGGCTTTCTTAAAATCTTACTATAATGACATACCTTATTTAGTATTCTATCACTGCTAATAATCATCATGTTTATTTTGTTCTAATGAAGATTCTGCTTCCTCCCTCTTCCCTTTTAAAACATAATTGAATTGGAAAATGTTATACTCTCAGTTGTCCTTGCCCAAGGGAAACCTGGCCATTCAGACCCAAGTCCATAACTTTGCAATCTACAGTCTGGCAGGAAGTAGACCCCCCACAGAGCCCTAACTTTGCAAAACCAAACCTATAAACAACCAATGCCATAGGACCCCAAGCAAAATAATCTTAAAGATAAACCTGCTCAAAGTCAAAAGAATCAAAAATGAAATAAACTACTTTTGGGATATCTACTCTTTCAGTATATCTTCTACAGGAACAAAACTCTTTTACATTTAGTATTTCATTTGGTCTTCACAACTCCTTCTATCTCCCATTTGGAGAATGACAACAGAGATTAAATGACCTACTCAATATTTCACAGACGATTTGTGATGGAACAAAGACAAATACTCAATACTCAATACTCAGGCATCCTGTGTCTTAATGATCTCCTTGATTTTCTACTAGATCATCCTCCAGCCAGAAATACCCCAGCTTCTTGGTCTCCAACAATGACTCTGAGCTTCAAACTAGCAAGAGTTCAGTTTCTCAATTAAAAGTAAAAAGAAAAAATGGCAGTAATGCATTAGAGTTATGTAGTGTTAGTGATTTAAAGTGCATTTGCATTCAAATCACCTCTTTCCCCTGGAACCCAGAAACACTCTGAGGAGTGAGAAAAGAGGACAATATTCTTTGCCTGTAACTGATGGAAAATGCCGTCCAGATAAACGGCAGCAGCAAGAGGACTAAAACATATCTGAGATAGAACCAAAAACTGGTGGTCCATAAAGGAACAGGACAATAAAACTTAACCTAATTTTCTATAGACTTTCAAAACACTATTATTTAATGTACAGCCTCAGTGCCTACAGTTTTATCTCCTCCTGAAAAAATGATAAGGTGAAATATAAGTTTGGGAAGAAAATAAAACAACAGCAGCCTTAGTTGTCTCCCCCGCAACTCCTGTCACTCCAGGGAGAAGGTTTGATGGGAGAACCCATACCTCGAGTCCTTACTTGGCTGTCCTCCCTGAAAGACTCTGGCATGGCCAACTTCTACATCCCAGAATCACCACTACGCTGTAGGGGTTGTCCCCTTTTCATGAGCCTGGAAGACAATTTTCCTCTTCTCAGTCAACCTATACTAGTTTGCCAGATAAAGATCTTAGGACAACAATGAATTTGAATTAGGGGAAACATGCATCAAATAGAATACAGTATAGGAGCTAACAGTCGACTTTGTAGTCAGGCAAAGCTGCATTTAGATCTTGGTCCCCCCACTGACCAGCTGCATGCCCTTGGGAAAGCCTTTTAACCTCTGCACATTTTTGTTCTCTGTCTTTAAGCTGGAAAGAACACCTTGCTTGCCATAAAGATTCAAGAAGGTCATCAGGGAAAACTGATAGATGAATGGGAGTCACCAGTACCATTACCTCTTCTAGAATAAGCAATTACCATGTTTTTTTTAAAATCCATTTTACCGCCACGTGAGGTGACTCATGCCTATAATCCTGGCACTTTGGGAGGCCAAGGCAGGTGGATTGCCTGAGGTCAGGAATTCGAGACCGGCCTGGCCAAAATGGTGAAACCCTGACTCTCCTAAAAATACAAAAATTAGCTGGGAGTGGTGGCACGCACCTGTAATCCCAGCTACTCGGGAGGCTGAGCCAGGAGAATCACTTTAACCTGGGAGGCGGAGGTTGCAGTGAGCCAAGATTGTGCCACAGCACTTCAGCCTGGGCGAAAGAGCAAGCTCTTTTTCAAAAAACAAAATAAAATAAAATAAAATCCATTTTAGCAAAAGAAGAATTCCCAGGTTAGATTGTGTCTTCTGATAGAGGGGCACCTACCTAGTGTGTAACCCTGTCCTGGGCACTTCTGAAAGAGAAGCTGTTATCCCATCCTGGAAAAGCATACATTTCAATGGGAGACAGAGTTTCTGCAAAGGCCCTAAGGCACTCACAGAATCAATAATCTACCAATTCTCCCAGGGAAGAATGTACCCCTAAGTGCTGGCCTTGCAGAAACACTGTGGCATGAAAGAGTGAAAATAAATGCAATTTCTGAAAGATGAGGTTTCAAGTTTTGGTTCCTCCCCTTCTGAACGAGCACAGAGCCAGCCCACAGGGCCTTGCTGGGTGTGAAGAGGCACATGCTTGTGGCAGGAGTCTTGGAAGAACTGCATTAACCGTGACCCTTCTAACAGCGTAATTGCCGCGTATATGTGTCAGGGCCGAAACGCAGGCCCTGCTCAGCCTGGGAATGGGCTGCCCTCCACCCGCTGGAGGTGGCTTGTCTCCCCCGCAACTCCTGTCACTCCAGGGTGAAAATTTGATGGGAGAACCCATACCTTGAGTCCTTACTTGGCTGGCCTCTCTGAAAGACTCTGGCATGGCCAGCTTCTATGTCCCAGAATCACCACTACGCTACACAGCAAAAGGGTTTATGTCTTTGGGTGTGGGAAGAAACTTACCCTGTTCTCCAGTTTCTCTTGTGGATTCCAACCCACCCCTGAGGGCATACAGATCAGGTTCTCACCATTCCTACTCAGGAAAATCCTGGCCCCAAAGCCCTGATGTTGTACAGGCTCCGAAGTCTTAAGGCAGCATGGAAAATCCTGCCCTCCCTCCAGGAGGTGGCTCAGGTCTCAGTTTCTTCATGAAGTTTCTTTTGAAGATGCTCTCCCTTCTGACAACTTCTTGGGCATGAGAACCTCTATTATACTCCTGGCAATTAATTGGACTGTGCTATCCTGTGTGTACATAAGGTATGCCCCTGTCTAGGAGCCAACCCAGGTCTCACCTGGGTCATTTTACCTGCTTTGCTGGGCTGGCTGGGAACCCTCTCTCCATGTATAGCTCCCCAATGCCACTCACTAGCTCAAAGACAATAAGCTTCCCAGGCAGTAGACAGAGTCGCTATGTTCCCCAGTAGGAGAGAACTGAAAGGTTCTCAAAGTCCACAGGGAGAATCTGACCATGGCCCCATATTGTTCTCTAATAATTTCACCTGTATTAGCCTTATCTCCACATTGAGCATGTGAGCTTTCAAATGGGGAAACATCACAGGTGTAAGGTCCACGTGCTGGGAACCCAACTCGGGGCCTTTGCAGGAACTCTGTCTCTCGATACCTGAAGGTATACAACAATACCTATGTATCTACAATAAACAGGAGGAGACCTGCAAGGGACAGTGGTCAAGTTCTCAGCCTTTGAGTATATCTGAAGACAGTTCTGGGGAAATCACGCTATTCTGGGCAGTTCCCACTCTCATTTAGTCAAAGGATTAGTCTATTGCCATGCCTGTACAAGCCATGACAAGACCCTAAAGAAAGACCACCTAGCTCAGGTGCCTCCAAGGAGGGGTCCCGTTGTACCAGGCAGCTAGAAAGACCACTGTAACCCTACTGGCATCCTCCAAAACATAAGTGGCCCAGGCCTGACTTCTACCCACCAGTTAGAGGAAGAAGATAAGAAAAGCCTTGGTGTGTATGGTTAAATTTACCCCTACTGTCATTCTTCTGTGCTTCACGACACGAGTTGGAACAAATACAGTGCTCCTCAGAGGCAGAGCACTTGACGAAAGACTTTCAGGAGCCACTGCCAGGCTCCATTTTTCTATACCCCAGGTAAGGCTGATTTTTTTCTTGCCAAAGCCCAGCCTGAAAGAATTGAATTCAGAGTACTGATTTGCTATATCCAATTACAACTGGAAGAATGGTTAGCTCTCTGTGATATTGGTCCACCTCAGGCATCTGGGAAGAATTCACGTGAGCCAACCAGGACAGACTCGTGATCCAACTGCCAGCACAGGTGAAGATGGCTGCCGCCCAGGCTCCTGGCTCACAGCACTTTCGGAGGAAGCACTTAGAAGGGATAGGGAATACATTCTGAAAAATAAGTCACTGGAACAAAATTAACACCCCACCAGGCAATTCCAGTGCACCCTCCCCACCTTAAAGACTGTGTTGGGACTCGGAAAACGATACCCCAGAGTATGGTGCTTTGGCATGCTGAGTACTTGGAACTAAAGGAGACGGGAAGGTCTCAGAGGCTGCCTCGGATGCAAGGCCTCTCTGACCGTCTCCTGCCCGTTTTACTACCCCAAAGTGAGAGTTGCAGAAGCCAGAATTCCTCCTCCCCAAGGTGGGTCTGTAGAAAGTAGAACCCCTCTCCCCCAAAACAAACCATAAAACCTAAAAATATTACTCAAACCTTCCCCCACCTTTCTGTGTAGGAGCTGGCTACAAAGAAATTCTCTGACCTACCTTGTCTGATAGTTGGTCATAAGACCCTCATTCCAGAAGCGTCCTGCCCTATAGCCAGGAGGAAGGATGCTACACAGAGAAGCCAAGAAGAATCCAGGCAGGCAGTCCTTGCTGGGTTCCCTGCCCCCTCCGTCTGTTACCATTAGATCATACCCTTTTGTCCAATGACATTTCTACATGGCTGTCCATTCTTCATCCAACCTTAGCATAGAAACAGATCATATTCCCTGGGTTTTGGGGCCTTCAGTTCACAAGGTTCCTGTGTCACATAAAATTTTGATTAAATAAATTTGCTATGCTTTTCTCTTGCTAACCTGTCTTTTGTTACACAGGTGTCAGCCATGGCCCCTATGATGGGTGAGGAAAGGGATCACAACTTTGTACCCCTACATATGACATGCGAGCGAGTGGGCAATGCCCAACCATCTATCTCCTCAGAAGTCAGCAAAAGCTCTTAACACACCCCATCCCCTCTCACCTTCTGCTCCACCAACCCCCAAAATGCATTTTAATACATTCAATCAACAGAGCTGAAGCAGAACAAATGTTAAAAGAAAAAAACATATTAGGGTTTTTGAGGAACAAAGCACCTCAAAACTCACATATTTAAACCTCTAGAGGGTTGTATGTCTAAGTGAAATAGAAAAGTCTTCGGGAAAAAAATGGCACCTTTGCAAACAGCACTGTATTTGAAAAGAATACATCTAAATGATCCCATGCTTTCATTTCTTTAGCAGTACGGGGACAAACTAAAGCTAGCTTCAATTAGCACAACTTTAATTTTAAAGGAATAAAAATGAAAAGAAGCTTCCTGTGCCATCAACCTATGTTTTTCCCCACTCATGTTTGCTATGAAATTCAAAAGAAAAGACAGTGTAGGAAACCAGCAGCTAGGTAGAGACTCCAGGCAGAGACAAAACTACTATAAATGCCACATTTGGACAAAGGTCAACCGCCAGAGCTCTTCTTCACACATTTTCTCTCTCTGTCTCTGAAGGCATTCACAGAAGGATGCCCTGTTGGAGGTATACAATAATATCTGAAATTTATCTTTTTTGGGTAAACAAAGCTGCATATATGACTCATCTGATTTCTCTTTGACCCATATTAAACTAAATCAGGCTGAAGTTCCAGGTAACATTACCCCTCCAGCCACCCCAAATATACAAGTCTTTTCCTCTCAAAAGATCCCCACATTTACTAAAATAATTTGAGACTCCATCGGAAAGACCATTATGCTTGTAAACTTTAAATAATTTAAATGCTTTCTTGTATATAAATATTTCATATCAGAAATTGATTTCCAAATCAAGTGACCACACTAAGCAGTGTCCAAGTGCATCCCAATGAAATAAAATACAGGCAGCTTTTTTAATGCAGTTGGAAAACTGAATTCCACATGAGGTCATGAAGGATTATATGCACAACACAGAATTAAAATTGCTGCCTCAAACTCCCTTCAAGTCAGGCTAGAAACCTATCCAGTGAAATCTCCAGGAAGAAGAGCTAAACAAATCTTTGCTTTGCTAAACTGCTGAATTTTCAGAGGAATAACCTAGGGTGGTGGTAAGGTTGACAATGGATACTGGATACATTAAAAAAAAAAAAAAAAAAGTCATATCCTGAAATCACTGAGTTTTAACCTTGGGTAAGACAAGGGTAAGGCTTTAAAACCCGATCCAAAAAAGGCTCTGGCCACTAGCCCTTATCTTGTGGCAAGAAGCAAAGGGGAAAAAAAAATCCTGTTCTAAAATTTGCAAGAAAAAACAAGGCTATGATGTGACCCCAAGTCTCAAAACATGCAGTTTCTCCCTTAGCGGCGTGAACAGCAATCACGTTGAAAAGGGTGAACAAAGAACAGAGACGCGCGATAAACACCACTAACCAGGGCTCCAGGCAGCACAGAATAAACCAGCTCAAAATAAATGGGCATCGAGACGCCAACAAAAACTTTCCACGCAGCCTCAGGAGTGTGACAGCCCAGGACCCCAGGCAAATCCTGAAGTGTAGTGAAGGAGGAAGTGAGCAGAGGGTCTGCACTGGAGCCCCTCCCTTGACCTCTCCAACAACGCTGGCCACTTCTTTCCTCCGTCCCTTCCTTGGGTACTGAAAGAAAAAGGCATAACAAGACCAAGTGGGACTGAACCAAGGAAAACATGCCCACTTCTTACACCAAGCCAACGGCACAGAATTGAGCAAATTAGCATGCACATATAACCCCCAAATGTACTATCCAGCACAGCACCACCTCACCGATGGAGACTTAGAACACACACATACACACACACCAAAAAAATGCTTTTTTTTTTTTTTTACCAGAGCAATAGCTGAGAAGAAAAAATTATAACTCCTCAAGACGTAGCGAAAGCTAAATCCTGCCTCGCCTTAGCTGCAGCATTCAGCTTGATGTAGCTAAATTAACAAAATGTTCCCTTGGCATTTAAAGTCTCTCTTTTCTTTTTTTCCCCTTAGAAGCAGGGTAGGGGATGAAGTGTAGTAAGTCAAAAGCAACTTCAAAACAAAATCAGTTATTTGTAAACAATCCTTGTGGGGAATTTTTCTCCCCTCCACTTCCCCTACCCCAAGAAAAACAGCCCTGCCAGTTGTAATAGAAAGCCAAGTAAAGATAAATCAATTAGCTTGCTAATTTCTCCCCTCTCATTTATTTAGCTCTGCACTGTATTTGTCGTAATTGACTACAATTATGTTAATTACTAACTCCAGTATAATTACTATATTTATTGTCATTGAGCACGCGATGTACCCACAGCAAAGCTGGCATTTGTCGGGCATCAAGAAAGCAAACTGTCGAGAGGTGATTCTCGGCAAACTGGCGGATGTGGCTTCAGCAAATGAAAGGGCAAAAGAGATTTCATGCAATGTTAGTTTGAAAGCACCGGTTCATTAAGGATATTAATTTTCTGATAACTACACATTTAAGCATGACACACTCACGCAGTATCTACAGGATTTCGCAATTATTAATGCGTGACAGTTTCAAATGCTAAGTGAATCAATTAAACAGCAGCATTCACAATTTGAGAAGAGATAACTGCTTCATAACTACCTAAGACTACAATTTTCACATGACAAAAAAGAGCCATTGAGGCGCCTTCAAAACCTGACAGGTCAAGAAAGAAGTTTGAAACAAAAGCACCTTACAACCATCATCTCTCCTCTTTACTTGTCAGATCAACTTTGCTAGTGTCTCCCCAGAAACGGCATCACATGCCAGCTGCCACAAGGTGATTTTTCATGTCTTGTCAAAGAAATCTTTTATTCTATTTGCTCTGCATTAACATGTTACATTTATTGATCAAGGGCCTGTTCGGCAGCCACAGCAGGGCACTGAGCTCTCCATGCCTACGGGGCTTTGATGTCCCGGTGACATTCGAGCCCGAATAATGCACATACTAAATGGATTTAATGCAGAAATGTGTTTGGGCCTGACAGTTACATTAATAACAGCCCCTCACACTGATAAATATGCAATTGCTACTATTAAGAGTTACCCAATTATGGGGAAAATATTTCTCTACCTTATAAATAAATCCATCAAGGAAAAAGAAAGTTTTAACAATGGTGCATTTTCTTAAAACACTTCTCCAGCTGCAGGAAACGGGCCGTGTGGGGGTTAACACCGCCTCTCCTGCCCTCCCTCCAATTGTGTTTAATAAGTCTTGCTTTATCTCAAGAATGGTTTGGTGATTTTTTTTTTCTTTTAAACCTCTTTTGTTGGTCTTCCCTGTTCTACCCGTCTCTTATTTCTTCAGAACCAGAGAAAAAGCAGACACCCAAGAGACTGAAAAATTGGGTTCTGTATAAACTCAGCAAGGAGCTTAGGGGAGGTGGTGCAGAGGTGGGGGCAAGCAGCTGATCTCCATAATGATGGGTCTGGAGGAGGAGCTTTAAAAAAACACTCTACGCGAAACCTGAACATGTGTGTGTCTCTCTCTCATTTAAAACCCTAAGTGACCTTGTGCTAGGACAGTGATGGGGGTGGGGGTGTGAAAGGGAAGAGAAAGCAGCTGGGATGGAAGAAACCTTTTATTAGAAAAGTCTCGGCCAGGGAGAATTTGTAGTTATTATATCCCTGCAATTAAACACAGACACCCAGCAAAAAGCATAATCGCTCCCCTTTCATCATCAAGGAGCAGGGAACAGCTGAAATCACCAACACTACAGTCCCTGAGGAGAGGAAAGAGGCCTTTCAGACGGTGGGTGTGTGCAGGCAAGTGAGTTCATGTGCAAATACACACACACCCCCACGCACCTCTTCTTTTCCCTTCAGACTCAAAATTCAAGCATGCAGTTGTCCATCTCAAGGTCCCCCAGTCCCAAGGCTGGCACCACAGTCAGCAGTTGTTGAGCCATTTGTCCCACGGCTGCGATCTCTGATCTGAACCACATCTCACAGAGCAGGGGAGAGGAAGAAAGAAGAAGATAAGTTCTCTGGGAAACTCCCACCTCCCAGGCCTCATGAGGTCCTGCCTCGCCAAACTTTCCAAATCAGAAAGGTTTTAGAGAAATGGGAGAGAGCAGGAAATGCTATATACGTATGACTTCAGGGCCTCTAGGGTCTTGAACTCAGAGCAACAAAATCTACTCAGACCCTGGTATAGTGACTTCCACAGGCTTTAATGATTCAAAAAAAAAAAAAGAAGGAAACTTCCCTCCCAATCCCCACCCAAAAGTAAATACAGGCTTGGCAGTAGCTGTCTTCTCCCACACACAGAAAAAAGATTTACACCATGAAAAGCAGTTTAGGATAACTGTAAAGCTGAAGTCAGACCACTGGGGCCATTTATCCCAGCTCTCCCATTTAACCATCAGGGTGGTCTCAGGCAATTACTCTGCTTCTCTGGGCCTCAGTTGCTTCATCTGTGAAATGTGGATAAGAACAGCTCCATTCTCAAAATGTTGTTGGGAGTAAATGAGATAACATATGTAAGTGTTCTGCCCAGCCATGGCATGTAGTGTATACTTGATAATGTTGGCTGAAAATAAACACGACTTCTTTTTTTTTTTTTTTTTTTTTGAGATGGAGTCTCACTCTGTCGCCCAGGCTGGAGTGCAGTGGCACGATCTTGGCTCACTGCAACTTCCGCCTCCTGGGTTCAAATGATTCTCCTGCCTCAGCCTCCCGAGTAGCTTGGATTACAGGCGCATGCCACCACACCTGGCTAATTTTTGTATTTTTAGTAGAGATGGGGTTTTGCCATGTTGGCCAGGCTGGTCTTGAACTTCTGACCTCAAGTGATCTGCCCACCTCAGTATCCCAAAGTGCTGGGATTATAGGCGTGAGCCACTGTACCCAGCCTAAACATGACTTCTGATGTCATCTGTCTGACTCTCTGTCCCTGGACTCCTTTGGAGAGTAGAGCCAGTCTTCTCTCTTGGTATTATTGGCAAGTCTGCTTTATCATGAAGCTCATCAAGAGAACCATTCTGCCAGCCATCTCCAACAGGGCCCCAGAGGTCTTTCTCAACAGGCTGCAGTTGGCATAGTGGGGGAAGGATTCCTTTCATCCAAAGCTGTCCTATGCCCTGACAACATTTGCCATCCCTGGCCTCACCCACTAAATGCTAATAGAGCCCACCCCCATCACTGTGACAATAAAATGCCCTCTATAGTAGCAGAATTTCCTGGTTGAGAACTTGAAGGTCTAGCAAGTAGAAAGTCTGAAAGGGTTAAATTCTCCAGTCTCCTTCCTAACACCCCCAAATCACCACTGCTCCTAACAGCCACCCTGACAATGTGGAAGGCAGCACCACTCACATGCACGATAATGTCCTCAGAACAGACAGCAGGGCAGAGGGAGAGGGTGGGGCAGTGCGGCCCAAATTCCAACAGCTCAGGGAGAGAGAGAGACTTTACAAGACAGGAAAATAAACCCCAAGATTCTGGGACAGTAAAATGGGTGAGAGGGGAAATAAAAAGCATTATACAAAAGTCTAGGAATGTCTTATCTTAGAGGCAAATGCTGCAGAAAATATGGAGACAATGTTTATGAAAGCACTTTCTAAATTATATTGCAAGTTACAGGGATCATCATCATTCAAGAAAGTGAACCTCAGGGAAGTCCTGTGGCCCCTTAGCAACTCTCTCCAGTTGCCCACCACCTCCTGGGCCAGTCTTACCGTGGCACAAAGTATCATTTTCTCTGGGTAGAAATCCAGGAAGTCAGGAAGCCTTAGGGAGGAGGGAGTGCCACAAAAACCACCCTCACATTGGCCTGAAACCTGCTGCCTTAGTGCTCTTCCCTCCCTTATGGAGTCAGATTTTTGTTTGTTTGTTGTTGAGACTGGGTCTTGCTCTGTCACCCAGGCTGGAGTGCAGTAGCACAAACACTGCAGCCTCTACCTTCTGGGTTCAAGTGATCCTCCCACCTCAGCCTCCCAAGTAGCTGAAACTACAGGTGCATGCCACCACACCCAGCTAATTATGTGTATTTTTTGTAGAGATGGGGTCTTGCTATGTTCCCCAGGCTGGTTTCAAACTCCTGGGCTCAACTGAGCCTCCCAAAGTGCTGGGTTACAGGTGTGAGCCACCACGCCCAAGCTAGTCAGACTGTTTTGACACTTCTACAGGCAGGGAGGTCACTCCAGAAAGTGCAAGTAAAGAGAATCAAAGTCTTCTAAGTGAAACTTTTTTCTTTTTTTTGAGATGGAGTCTTGCTTTGTTGCCCAGGCTGGTGTGCAGTGGTGTGATCTTGGCTCATTGCAACCTCTGCCTCCTGGGTTCAAGGAATTCTCCTGCCTCAGCCTCCTGAGTAGCTAGGATTATAAGCACCCACCACCACGCCCTGCTAATTTTTGTGTTTTTAGTAGAGATGGGGTTTCACCACGTTGGCCAGGCTGGTCACAACTGAGACATTATACATCACCCACCACGTCATTTTCCACTTCATCTTTTCATTGTATGTTCTGGTGGTAGCTGGAGACACCAGGATGGCCAGTGATATTCTTGGAACAAAAATATTTTTTTTTACTGCATTGCTCAGCTTAAAGAGAACACTGGTTCTAACATACATAGAACCTTGCCTCCTAGGAATCAGTCAGGATATATCAGTGCCCTAGAACTACATTGAAAATTCACTAACAATTTATCTTCTAAAGTCTATCTTTTCTACCATCACCTCTTCTGCTCAAGGCTTACAGACATGAGCTCTGTTGCCTCCCCTACCCCAATATCAGCATGCTTCCCAAATAAGACCACTACATTTGAGGTTGGAAATAAATATGAATAAGGCCCTTGGCTGCAAAGCCAGTATTTAATGAAGACCCACTACCAACAGAACATGTCCTTTGAACTGTTCTCCTGAGAGTCTGGGTGGGGAATTTTCTCTCCCCAATCCCACTGGAACATGATCAAATATATGCTCCTAGCTGGCAGGGATAAAAAATATATATGAGGTGAGCTGGTTTAGCCTATGGAATATCAGGGACAGTTGGAAAGCTAAGGTATTTATATTAGTTAGGATAGGCTAGGTTATGCTGCATTAACAAGTAACTCCAAAATCTTATAACACAGATGTATTTCTCATTCAAAATCTATGTCCACAACAGATAAGCAAAGGGTTATACTCATTCCAGTCAGAACCCAAGACTGATGATCATATTACTAAAAGACGAAGTGGCAAATCATTTACTGGCTCTTACAGATTCTGCCCAGTGTTCATACCAAAGAACGCTGAGATATGCAAACACATTATGTGTGGAAGGAGATGAAATCCTGACTATCTGTGAGGAGCCCCAATGACAACCATAGTGAAATGGCCCTCATGGAGGGTCAAGCCCAGGCTCTTAGCCTCACTAGCACCATCTTCTAAGCGCTATGTTTACTAAAGACCCATTATATGCCAGGTAATTTAGAAGGCACATTACACACAGCACTCAACACTTCCGCAATTAGCCCACAGTCAGTTAACCAACAGGTGAGTGACAGAAGCAGGGTTTCAAGCCAGGATGGTCCAACCCCAAAGCCTTGGTTCTTTTCATTACACTGCCCATCTTCCCAACAGAGCAGCAAGTTAACAGCCCAGCTCTGTCTAGCAGTTCATAACAGAGACACAGAAAGTATGGTGTGTCTGTCCTCAAAGCAGCTCTGACAGTATTCCAGGTGTCTGCCTCATTGCCTGCAGCAGGGGAGAAAGGGCAAGGCCACTGTTTCTTTTCTGAAGTTTCCCAAACTCCAAAGCCCTTTACCCTCATCCCGGCCAAAGCCAAGGAAGCAACAAGCAAGCTCTACCTAAGAAACTTTCTGCTAAGCAATTCTCCAGCCCATGCATTTATCAGAGTGATGCAAAATAAGATGCAGCTGCAAAGAATTTAATTTTTAAAACATAAGCTTCCTGTTGCCATAGATCAATTAAACCCTCTCGCTTTTATTGCCAGGTTGACATGGGAATATTTATCACTGTTTGCCATGGGAGCTCTGCTCTGCCTGCTGTGTTCAACAAGCTAAGCAGGCAGCCCACTCAGGGCCCCTGGGGGAGGGGAATGGGGCCACCAAGGAGAACTCTGCCCTGCCCCAATCAGGGGAGATGGGAAACTAAAAAGCTGGAACAGTTCATTAAAATGTCCTCTTTGCATTGAGCAGATTAAGGAACCAACCCGGCTAAAGCACAGAATTATCTTTACTAATTAACAAAGGAAAGGTAAAATATGAGCAAGCTCAAGGAAGAATTTGGGACCATGGACATTCAAATACTCTTGGAAGAAGAAACTGGTATCACCTCTCCAGAGGGTAATCTGACATCTGTACCAAAGCTGCCCTATTTTGTCTAGAAATTTGTCAAAGCAGCTAATCAGAGACATACTCATTAATGAGTATTACAAAGATATTTATATTAGAGCTATTTATAATAGTAGAAATTTGGAAAAAAAAAACAAACTAAATGTCCAACACTAAGGAAAGACTTGAGAAACCTTTAACAATTGTGATACAGGCTGGGCATGGTGGCTCATGCCTGTAATCCCAGCACTTTGGCTGAGGTTAGAGGATCACTTCAGCCCAGCAGTTCAAGACCAGCCTGGGAAACATAGGGAGATCCCACCTCTACAAAATTTAACAACAACAACAACAAAATTAGCCAGGCATGGTGGTGGTGCACACCTATAGTCCCAGCTACTCAAGGGGCTGAGGTGGGAGGATCGTTTGAGCCTGGGAGGTTGAGGTTGAGTTGCAGTGAGTCATGATCGTTCCACTGCATTCCAGCCTGGGTGACAGAGTGAGACCCTGTCTTAAAAAAACATTGTAACGCAGTAAAGTATTTATTGAGATGGGGAAATGCTTCCAACACAATGTAAACAATGGCATCATTTTTTAAAGTATTTGGCATTGTAAAAGACTAGGAAGACAATACAATGATAACAATGGTGATTTCTGGTTGGTAAGATTATCAGTGACTTCAGAGGAAGATGGTTTCCTCCATACTTTCTCTGGGTTTTCCAATATTTCTATATTAATTACTGTTACTCTTATAAAAATTATCTTAAAAAATAAAGATCTTAAATACAATTTCACACTAGACATTGGACTCACATTCACTAATGCATTCAATTTCAAGGGACAAAATGTCATGCCCCCTGCCTGTTACCTGATCAGCTCCCTAAACCCTCTATCCTCATTCCAAGGTGGATGGCAAGACCCTGACCCTGAGAATTGAGTCCAGAGAACTCAATCCAGTTCACAGTCACTATGGCTGACTTGGTTCCTGGCTGATCACAGCAGGAAGAATCAGATCCAGGCTGAAAAAGCAGAAAAGAGGAACGTGTGAGCCTTTTAAGGGAGCCAGAAATTTCATTTGGGCCTGTTTTCTTGCTTCCATTTCCAATTTCTAACGTGACAGGGTACACACTGGCTCCAGTAACTTTAATTCTCCCCCAGAAAAGAGTCACAAAAACAATACAGCCTGAAATCCATGACCTTCTACATGGAGAGGTCACCAGTTTACTGTTGGACAATCCAACTAACACAGAAGTGGATTTGCCATAGTTAATGCAGGAAAGAAGACTCTGACGTATAATGAGAAGAAAAAAAATACATACAGTAACTTCAAACAAAAGTCCAGAACTTATAAGTTCATAACTACCCTCCTTTCCAGCATAAACAGGTGGCCATAGTAGAATCAGCAGAACTATCTCTTTTATGAATGAAATTAACAATGATTGTGGATGGATAAGAATGAATGACAAGACAACAAAGAAGGATGTTCCTTATATGAGTGGTTGAAACCTGGTGCCTTTCTTTTAACTAACATCTTGGCAAGCAGTAAATACAAATCCAGCCACATAAAAAAATTCACCCAAGCAGATCAATAATAGGGAGATTAAATAAATAATCAAAAATCTCCCAACAAAGAAAAGTCCAGGACCTGATGGCTTCACTAGTGAATTTTATCAAACATTTAAAGAATTAACATCAATCCTTCTCAAACACTTACAAAAAATTGGAGAGTAGGGAACACTTTCAAACGTACTTAACAAGACCAACATTGTCCTGATACCAAAGCCAGACAAGGACACTGCAAGCCAATATCCCTGATGAACATACAAGCAAAAATACTCAACACAATCAGCAAACCAAATTCAACAGCACATTAAAAGAATCATGCACCATCATCAAGTGGGATTTATCCCTGGAATGCAAGGATAGTTTAACATACGCAATCAATAAATGTGATATACCACATTTATTGATATATAATATATACCACATTAACAGAATAAAGGATACCATATTAACAGAAAAAGCATTTGATAAAATTCAACATCCTTTCATAATAAAAACTCTCAACAAATTAAGTATAGAATGAATCTACCTCAACATAATAAAGGCCATATATGACAAGCCCACAGCTAACATCACACTCAACAGAAACAAATTGAAAACTTTTCCTCTAAGATCAGGAATAAGGATGCCCACTCTCACCATTTCCATTCAGTATGGTAATAGAAGTCCTAGCCAGAGCAATTTGGCAAAAAAAGAAATAGGAGGCATTTAAATTGGAAAGGAGGAAGTAAAATTGTCTCTGTTTGCAGATGACATGATCTTATACATAGAAAACCATGAAGACTACACCAAAAAACTGTTAGAATAAACAAATTCAGTAAAGTTGCAGGATACAAAATCAACACACAAAAATCAGCTGCATCCCTATACACCAACAAAGAATTATCCAAAAAACTTAATCCCATTTACAATAACATGAAAAAATAAAATATTTTATAGGAATAAAATTTATTCCTATAAATTTAACCAAAGAGGTAAAAGAGCTGTACAATGAAAACTACAAAACATTGATGAAAGAAACTGAAGGATACACACATAAAGGAAGATATCCCATATGACCTAAAGCAATCAACAGTTTCAATGCACTCCTTATCAAAATTCCAATGGCATTTTTCACAGAAATAGAAAAAAAAATCCTAAATTTCATGTGACACAAAAGACTCCAAATAGAGCAATCTTGAGCAAAAAGAACAAAGCTAGAGGCATCACACTACCTGACTTCAAAACATACTACAAAGCTATAATTATCAAAACAATACATACCGACATAAAAACAGACATATAGACCAACGGAATAAAATAGAGAGCCCAGAAATAAATCTGCATTGACAGTCAATTGACCTTCAACAAAGGTGTCAAGAACACACAAAGGGGAAAGAACAGTCTCTTCAATAAATGGTGTTAGAAAAACTGGATATCCATATGTGGAAGAAAAAACTGATCTCTTATCTCACACCATATACAAAACAATTGATCCCTTTTCTCAGATCATATACAAAAATCAACTCAAAATAGATCAAGAACTTAAACATAATGTAATGTACAGCATGGTGGCTATAGTTAATATTACTGTATTGTATACTTGAAATCTGCTAAGACAATAGATCATTCATGTTCTCTTCATACAAAAAAGGGAACTGTGTGAAGTAAGGGATATGTTAATTAGCTTCAGCTCAGTAATCATCTCACAATGTATGCATGTATCAGAACATCATGTTGTATGCTACAGATACAACTTTTAGCTGTCAATTATGCCTCAATAAAGTTGGAAAAAATTTAAAAATCATATGTTAGTATATGCATGGAATATCTCTGGAAGATGACACAAAAACTGAGTAACAATACTTAGCTGTGCAAAGGGAAACTGGGAGGCTAAAGGACATGGTGTAAATGAGACTTTCTTCTCACTGCATATTTGCTCCTTCTAAAGGTTGTGCCATGTGCCTGTATTAGCTATATAAAAACTGAATAAACAGAACTCCTTGCCTAAAAGTAAACTTTGCCCTAAAACACAAATGGACTGCAGCTGATCTTGCAACCTAGAGGAGTGCAAAGTTTTTATTTATCAAGGTATTGCTCTGTTTAAGGCAATATCCTGATATAACTCTTTGGAGGAAAAAAAAAAAGAAAGAAAGCCTGTAGAGATATTCTAAAAGTAGAGGAAAGGGTTAATTTTTTTATATATAACAAAGGAAGAATTTTGTGCTTCTGAGGATAGCTCTGGAAAGATGGTAAGTGGCATGGAAAAGAGAGAAAGGGCCTGGGAGAAAGAGGCATTAGTCACATGCAGGAGGCCTGACCCTAATTAGAAGCACTGCCAGGGAGAAATTCTCTGTGGCAAGGAGAACCCAAAAAATTTCCAGAAACAGTGCTATCTCAACCTTATCTCCTGCTGTGTGCCACAATTACCACCCAGCCCTCTTCACTACACCTTCAGCTGGCAGTACAAGTCAATACATAATAACATGGTGTTGGGCTTTGGAGAAATGAAGGGTGTGTCCAGAGTGGGGCCAGGCAGGCTGCTCAAGAGGAAGAATAGCAGACAACAGAGCCGAAAGATGGTCAGGGAGCTGCGGTGTGCCGGGTGCAGGGCAGCCTGACTGGGAAACATGCTCCCTGCAATCCCACGGATATAGTGAGGGGCAGAGGGGCCTAGGTAGAAACTTTCTATAGAACATGGGATGTGGATTTACAATATTTCATTTGGATATCATGATCCCTGAAGCCTAGAGAGCTTGGGTCATCCACTCCATCCCCACTCATTTGGAAGGTAAGTTTAGAATCTCCTGTCTCTTCTCTTCTCCCTATTTTCCCCCTCTCCTGTTTATTCTTTTTTCTCTTTCTTTCTTTCTTTTTTGAGACAGTTTCACCCTTGTTGCCCAGGCTGGAGTACAATGGCACGATCTCAGCTCACTGCAACCTCTACCTCCCAGGTTCAAGCAATTCTCCTGCCTCAGCCTCCCAAGTGGCTGGGATTACAGGCACCCACCACCATGCCTAGCTAATTTTTTGCATTTTTAGTAGAGACAGGATTTCACCATGTTGGCCAAGCTGGTCTTGAACTCCTGACCTCAGGTGATTTGCCCGCCTTGGCCTCCCAAACTGCTGGGATTACAGCTATGAGCCACCACGTCCGGCCTCTGCTTATTCTTTTTTTAAGAGGAATTAGCTAAGCATCTAAAACATCTTAGATGTTGATTCAGCTGAAGGCAAAGATAGAGACCAGTGCCCAAATAAGCTCGAATCTTCTTCTAACACCCAAGAGAAATAGTGTTGCCTCCCCTGCTCTTCCCTCCAATTAGGTAAATAAAGAAGGTCAAAGGTGATCCAGTCCCAAGCACACCCAACTCAAGTCAGGAGTGCTTTTCTCCATTCTGGTCTGCAACTGACTCCAGTGTAACCAAGTTCTTAAACACAAACTTTTTCTGAACCTTAGACCTCACCCCTCCACTCCTCATCCCTGCCCAAACTCAGCTACTGTCCAGTGTGGAGTTCACACACTGACCACAACACGGACAAGAACAGGCTCCTGACCAGATGTGAAACCAACTCAAACTCAACACTACAGAAATGTCTCTCCTCTCAACAAAGGAAAATACAAATCTTCAGTGCTCTCCCTCTGAATCCACTTTTCAGCCACCCCCTTACGAAATTTTCCTGCATCTAGTATGTGTCATTTCCTACAATAAATCCATATAGATCCAGCCCCTCAGAGCCAACAGCCCCTTCTTGCCACACATACACACCTCCCAAGGTCCAGTACCTCCTCTCCCAAAGAAAGGCAGGGCCCCTGGACATCACAAAGATGGCTGTGTTTCCTCAAACCCAATAGCCCAGTCCCATGATCCACATGCACTGATGCTCCCTCACGGGGTCCAGCCTCCTCAAATCCACATCCGGCTCCCACTAACTACTCAGGGCAACCACAACCCAAGCTCCAGTGCCCTGAGCCCCTGGGGGCTGGTCACACAGGAGGAACTCCTTCCATGCCCAGGAAAGGAAGCCTTTTGCCTAAGTCTGCTCTGGGAAGCTGGAGCACTCAAGGCCACGCACTCGGTCCTCTCCTTAGGTACTGGAACAAAAAACACATCCTTCATTTCTCTAGAGTCAGCATGTATTTATTTGGCTTCCTCTCATCCCTGTGTACTACTTTACAACTTGTCAGTTTCCACCTCTCCCCAGATGCACACAAACCCTTTGGGAGTAAGGAAGAATACACAGACAGCGGCCACTCTCCATCCACTACAACCCTCAGGGTGCCCCTTTCCTGGAAACAACACAGCTCTGTGTGGCCATGTGCTCCCGAGCAGCATCCAAGGAGTTCCGCTGGCTGACCTCAAACAAATCCTCTTCCACCTCTCGTGCCTTATTACCCTGAGTTGTGTTCATTTTCCAGAGTTGTGTTCCATTTTCCAATTACAAATTCCTAATTCCCAAGTATCCTGACTCAGCTGTGGGAAATGAAGACTCCAAGGCCTAGAAGCAGGAAAGTGCTTGGGCCCTGGAATGGAATTCAGGTTCTTATCTCTCCTTTGACCCCAGGACAGTCTGTCCCACTCAGAGGGCAGCACAGCTCTCAAGGAGGGCATGGAGGAAAAAGCCCTGGGTGGCACCAGCTTGTTAGGAGGAAAAGCAATCGTCCTGCCTGACCCCTGCTCTTATCCCACTGACACCTGCTTTCCAAGTACCTCTTACTTCTTTCCTCCAAGCCCCCAAACCAGGCGCAAGGCATAACCTTTTAGGGAGAAAGGAAATAACTGCCTGTATTCTCCACTGGAATAATATACAAGATCACACTTACCTTTGCCAAGACTGGAACAGTTGTCAGAGAGTTTTCCTCCCACCCACTCCACACCAGCAGTATTTAAATTGCTTTGAAACACCATCCGGGAGAAATTATCATCACAAATATTTAAAGCTCCCATTCATAAAAAGACAAAAGAAAGAGAACACACACATACACACACCCTACCTGTGACTCGACGAATGTTTTGGGACATGTGTTTATCCTAAGAAAGCACACCTAGACACCCCAAAACACTCTTGCAGGCTTCATCTCATTCCTTCCCCAAGAGTATTCTGACCTGTCTGCACAGGTATCCGTGAGAAATGAAAAGAACACAGTGAAAATATGACGGCTCTCTCATAGGAACTCGTGTGAAATGGATGAGGCTCAATATGCTGCCTGCCTCTTCAGCAGCACAAAAAAAGGCAGCCAAGGAATCACCGGACACAGTGAAACCTTTGGGGTGTGATTCCACGCATCTCAGAGCCTTCTGCTGAATAAAAGGACAACCCATGTGGAGTTGGAACATTTGACTTTTATCTGCTTGGCCCTAAAGTACCCAGGAGGACTGGGCCTCCCAGGCCTGGCCTACATCTTGTGAAGGTTACATACCTCAGAAGGTTAAAGCTCAGATCAAGCCTCTTTGCGAAATGTCCACAGTCCCTGCCAAGGTGCTCTGGAATTTCTCTGCAGTCCTGGCCTATGTAGGACACCTGGAAATTAAATGGAACAGAAACAATGTGGCAAATGGAAATCACCCAGCTGCTCCCAACCCTGAAATTACTGATCCAATGATTGCTTCTGCAACTTGAAACACATGTTTCTCACACACAAAAAGGCCACACTTGTGACTGTTTCCCTGATCAAATCAGCTTTGGGGGCTCCAAGGACTCCACCAACAGCTCCCCTTTCCTGGTGCAGTTAACATGATGAAGACTAATCCCAGGACAATGGAAATTGGACTAAAATTGGCCAGATTCAGGTGTCCAAAAGAAACCTGAATATCAGGGCACATTGATATAACCGCAACAATCGCCCTCTCACTCAGGGGCTTTTGCAACAGTTGCTCCTCTGCCCCTTCTTCTCCCTCTCCTCCACTGCCCTCCAGTACCCTGGTATGCACATTACCTCATAAAAGACACAGCAGATGCACTTACCAGCATCCAACCTTCAGGGTGCTGGAACAAATAGGGTTGGAAAAGAAAACCTCCCCAGACCACAAATCCCATCCAGTTGCCACTGTGTACAAAATGCCCTCCACACCCAAACAAAGCTGATTTGAAGGCAACAGGGCAACAATGTGTGTCCGGGGCTCCTGAATGTCCCTCCTCCAGAGGCCCTTTGGCAGTCAATCCCACTCTGTGCACAAAGCTGTTTCTTTGGGCATTCTTCTATTTATTACAGATTATTTATTATTAAGTACCTGTATGTGCCCAAATATTAAAAAGCTGAACTGAACTGAATCTGAACTGATTCCAGAACCTGTGAGAAGGTCAGTGGACTTTCTCACTACCCTAATCACCCAGTTTTTGGAACCCATTTTTACAGACAGCACTCTGTGGGCAGATTGGCAACTAATCCTCAAACCATAAAATAAACCCATGAGGCCGAGTTGACCAGTGGGCCACAATGCATGCTGTTTCCCTAAAATACAACATGCTCAACCCCCAGCTTGAAATTCAAGCCCAAGACACGGCTATAACCTTCTTCTGGTTTCCCTACAAATCACATTCTTCCACACATATAGACAAAGATCTCTTAGAATGAGAGAGAGAGAGACTCCCCAGGAGGGTGTTTCCTCATGGGAAACAAGACTATGGTGGCCATCTTACATCCTCAGATATTAGGTTCAACTATGTGAACTACCAATATCCAACCATTTTAGAACCACAAAATAGCTCTTTTACATGGTGCAACCTAATACAAGCTGCACTGAACCCTGACACCCTCAACATCTCCAGTCATCTCTCAACCTTCTCCTATCCAATGAGGACAAACTGCTGACAATGCAATATCCTATATCCACTCTCCTTCAGTAACTTCATTCTAGGAGGAGAGAAAATAAGGAGAAAGGATAGAAAAATAGCTGACTCCAATAAAGTAATTTTGACTCAAGAAGATATAGGCTAAAAAATAAAGGACTCTAAGTTCAATCTAGCAATCTCTCCTCTTTCTACCTGGGGTCCATCTTTCTTCACAGTTCCTTGTGTAATAAATTAAGTTCTGCTTCCAAGCTGAGACAGAAATCATATGCCAAAGAGAGACTGTGGCTATAAGGCCCTATTCTATCTGGGGACTTCGATTTCCCTCAGGATCTCTGCTCAGTCAGCAGCTTCTTGGCCAGGCGCGGTGGCTCATGCCTGTAGTCCCAGCACTTTGGGAAGCCGAGGTGGGAGGATCATGAGGTCAGGGGATCGACACCATCCTGACTAACATGGTGAAACCCCATCTCTACTAAAAATACAAAAAATATTAGCCGGGCATGGTGGGGAGTGCCTGTAGTCCCAGCTACTCAGGAGGCTAGGGTAGGAGAATGGTGTGAACCCTGGAGGCGGAGCTTGCAGTGAGCCGAGATTGCACCACTGCACTCCAGCCTGGGCGACAGAGCCAGACTTGTCTCAAAAAAAAAAAAAAATTCAGCAGCTTCTTCTGTATTGTACGTTCACAATGAACCCCAGGTCCATGGCGCTCACCAGAAAATCCATCCCATTCACCCCAGCCTGCACTACTGTCTTGCACATATTATCAGTCAAGACCTCTGTGATATATATAGCAGAGACGTTGAGTTTTAGATGCAGAAACTGGGCTCTTTCCTCTTAGAATGGCCAAGGACTAAATCTAATAGACACCCAGTTTGTCAAAACTTCTGATGTTTTATACAAGGAAACTAAGACTCCAGAGCCCTGCCCAGCACAATACAGCTTCTTAGTGATAGAGCCCAGATCAAGTCCTATGCCATAAATAAGGACTTCCAACTTGGGGGCCATGGAGTGCTTACAAATCCATGTGTGGGTGTGAGATTTCTCTCTCTCTTTTTTTTTTTTTTTTTTAAAGAGATGGGGTTTCACTGTGTTGCTCAGGCTGATCTCAAACTCTGAACTCAAACAATCCCCTCGCCTCAGCCTCCTAAAATAGCTGGAATTGCAGATACAAGCCACCATACCAGGCAGACATGAGTTTTCTTGATCAGCAAATGCCAGTGGTGCATCTATCATCATGTTTTGGCTTCAAAATGAGTCTTCTGAGCTGAAAGGGCAAGAACTTCTCCCACGGTGCTACACTGAGGACCCAAGAAGAGTGTTAGAGCCTGGGAAAAGAGAGGGATATTTGCTTCCCTTTTTCTTCTGTAGGAATTCCATTCAAAGGAAACAGGAGCACCAAGGAGAGCTATCATAAAGCATTTGGATCACTCACAACATCTGATGAGACTGTCAGCAGCCTGTTTCAGTACATGGTCTTAACTATACAACATCCCAGGAAGACTAAGAAAAATACAAGTTGTTCTCACTGTTCTCAAATGTGAAGACCAAGTCTCAAAAGTTTAGCATGAGAACCAACTCGATAAGTAATCTGCATGCTTAGATAACTCCTGTGGTAAAGTAGAAGCTTTTAGAGATGTGAGTTAAGCCGACCAGGCTGAAGGGCTCAAATCAGCTGGAAAAGGCTTAAAAGCAGCAAGCAGCCACTGCCAGACATTGCAAGCAATGCTTGAAACTAGAAAAAAGACTTAAGAAGTGCTTCTGAGGGAAGACATTACCTCTCAGGATGTCAGGAAGCTTCTTAGAGCACAGGACCACCTAATGTAAGATTCAAGGCCAGAAGAGCCAAACCAAAAATAGTTTGCTTCTTCAGCAAAAGGGAGACGGGATACAGAGATTAATAGATCTTAAATGGCACAGAAGCAAGAGCATATCCAGAACACCATTGCATTTAGTCAATTACCTTGACTTAGACTGCATTGAGGAACAAAGATTCAAACTTATAATTTCTCTATTTTCTATAATTTGTACCCTAAGACCTCCACCCTGTGTGGAATAACAGGAAGGGACACCATTACCAGGCAAATGAAAATATAACAAGTTAAAGACCCCTACGGAGAAGAAACTAGAAAGGGAAAGGAGAGTGTCTGGAAGGGGTCCCCACCTATGTACACACCCAATCCCTCCAAGCCGAAGCTGCAGAAAATAACCAAACTGCAGAAGACTGCAGGTTTCACTTTGCGTTGGGACTCTCTGGCTCCCAGGGCATTTCTGGAGATGATGAGTTTGTCAACAGTCAGATGTTGAGGAGATTATTTTTTGATGCCTACCCCTAGCCAGGGGTGGGAGATCCTCGATTTTAAATTTGTAATACTGAGCTGGGCACAGTGGTGCACACCTGTATTCCCAGCTACTCAGGAGGCTGAGGCAGGAAGACTGCCTGAGCTCAGGAGTTCAAGGCTGCAGTGAGCTATGATTGCGCTACTGCATGTCAGCCTGGGCAACAGAGCAAGACCTTATCATTCATTCATAAATAAATAAGTGTATGTGTGGTACTGGAAGCTGTCGGAGTAGAAACAACCATAGGTACAAATCTGATTCCCGGTACTGCCACTGCTAGCTGTGTTGTCGCGGATGAGTCACCATCTTCGAGTCTGTTTCCTCTTCTGCAACTGGGCTAACACTAACTCCTCCAAAGGTGTTAAGAATAATGTAAAAACCAACATTTATTAAATGCCTATCATGTGCTTGTTATCTATTCAATCCTCATGAAACAGCCCCATGCATATTATCGTCCCTATTGTACTTACAGGAATGCGATGAGCTAACATATTAAAAGTGCACAACACTGTCCTTGGCACCCAGTGGCCACTCTGTTAAACAGCTGTTGAATCAGACCACTCTCCCCACAGAAGGGATTCATTATTCCAATATCTCTTGGGCGCAAGATTTCAGTGCCCAAATTCCAAGTTTGTATTTGTGTCTACGATCGTATTACGTTGTCATAAGCTAGAGGAAAGAGAAATGACTTAATGCTGAACATAAATGATGCATTCAAGCCAAGAGAAGCCAAATGAAGTCAGACCCATGGCAAATGAAAAGCCTTTTGCAGAGAAAAGCAATAGGAAGACTGCAACATCCCCAGGCATGTGGCATCATAGGCCTGTGGAGCTCCTAAAAACCAGCTCCACAGCAGTCAACCCATAGTGGCATTAAAAGCAGTGACCTAACTTCAAGCCACGCAGCATTCATCTCATTAAATTGTTTAATTGCATAGGGTTTTTTTTTCTTTGCACTTAAACCATCCCTTTATTTGGGATTTATAGGTCTCTGGATATGGGAAAGTTGTCTCTGGCTTCATGTTTTTATATTTGAGTAACATTGTAATAAAAACTATATTCACACTATGGGCTCATGGGAAGTTTTGCGGGTTTTATTTTCCTCCCTTTAAGAAGGATCTACTAAAGTCTGACAAGTACTGTTCCATGCTACCCACATCCAAGGTGCTACCTCTTAAAGCGGCCGCCATTAGAAATCGCTGGGAGCAGAATGTAGAAAAAACAAACAAACAAACAAACAAACAAAAAAACCACCTCCGGGGCCAGACACTCAAATCCACTAACCTGGGCAGTTTAGGAAATGGGGCACTAAGACTCCAGGGGCATTTTCCCAGCCTACCTTCTTAGCTCCTCCCCAGGCAACTCGGTCTAATAAAACAGTCCCCAAGGGCCTAAAATGCCTCACCCACACTTCCATGAATGCCCTTGGGCTGTTTGGAGTAGGCTAAGAACAGGGGCTGCAGGAAAAATCGAATCTAGGAAACGGAGGAAGAGCAAAGGGAAAGGAAGCACAGGAAAGTGCTCAGCCCCATGAACTTGTAGCAAGGTACACCGGGAGAACACCAAATCTGAAACGCAGAGAGACCTAGGGTCTGGGGGGCAGGGAACCCTCCTTCTTAGGTAGATACTCCAAGAGAAGGAAAAGACCCTCTTGTCCAGCCCCTCCCTCCAGGCAGTAAATTAACTCCCAGAAAAAAAAAGCCCCTTTCCCCGATGGCTGAACAAGACCCGTCATTTTTAGCCTCTCCGCAGGCTGTTAACTCACTTCTGAACTCTGGTCTTTCTCCAGCTCTCTCCTCCCAGGCTGTGGGTCAAGGGACAGAGCCAGCATTCCTGAGCAACAAAACTGTTAAATGGGGGGTGCACAGAGACAAAGGAAAGGCTAATTTCCAACAACACCTGGCATGGTGCCTGGCATACAGTAGGCACTCAATAAACATGTGTACCTGATGAAACGACAGGACTCTGGAAAAAAAGAAAACAGGCAGCGGCTAGTTTAATGGGCTGCACAGTTGGCCCTCACTGCATCTGTAGGAGCTGTAAAAACCCCTAGAATCTCCTCTAAGGAGGAATCATTCCCTTCAGCCCAAAGTAATCTCAAAATCCAATTGTGCCTGACACTACCTGCCTTAGGCAATCCAAGAGGAGAGCTTCAAAAACTCAGAACTATTTCTCCAGGGTGTGCAGGGAAAGGTGGGAAGTAAGAGGGCTCTGGCTTCATCAGAGCAGAGAAGAGGTTAAAGACAGAGAACTGGCTTTTCCAGCAGGTAAGAAAGACACCTGGTCCCAGAGTGGCTGGGTTCATCCCTCCAACAATGAACACCTGAGGCTTCACTACAGAGCTCAAAGCATGTGAGACTGGGTGTCTGGCACCCAGGATTGAAACTGGCGTGTTGCCATTCATCACAGACTCCTGTTCAAGAAATCGAGTGTGGAAAGAGAACTGGAGGTCGGTGGCCTTCCATCAGCCTTTGGCTATGGCGTAGCCCATTCAGCGCAGGGCCCACCAGCACCCTCATCTCCAGGGATGTGCTGGGACTTTGGGTACCCTAGACACTTTTGCCTTCATAAACCCCTTCCTCCATTTACAAATAAGTAAATTTGTATATTACAACTGCATTGGTATAAAGATGACTATATCAATGTGATTTATCAAAATGGATTCTTTGACCAAAAGTTTTTAAAATTCAGATTATGAAATTGGAACATTTTCTGTGGGCCCCCAAAAGCAGCGGGGGCCGTCAGCACTGTGTCCGCTGGGCCTGCTCAGTGAGGCGCTAAGGGCAGAAGGAAGTGGGGAGAACGGGAGACCTTGCGGGTGTTCTTCCCGCACATCAAGGGGGTGTGCCAGGCCCGAAACGAGGTCTGTCCTAGCCCCACTAGGGCGAGCCTGAGCACCTGAAGCTCACCCCCTGCAGACGCAGCCCCCTGAGGCGGGGACAGGGGTGTCTAGGCCCTGGGGAGCCTCTGTGCCCCGCTGTCCCTCCCCACGCGGACTGCGCCCCGGGCGGAGGCGGGGCTGGCCGGGACTTACTTGAGTTCCACGCACCACGAGCCCGGCCATGGCGGCCAGGACGCTGCGGGCGCGCGGGACGGAGCGCGGGGGCGCGGCGGCAGCAGCGGGGAGCGCGGCAGGGGAGCGCGGCGGGCGCACAGTTCCGCACTGGGCAGTCAGCTGACCCGGCGGAAGCCGGAGGCGCGGGCTAGCCTCGGGGACCTCAGCTCCGCCGCTCGCCGCCGCCGCCCCTCGGCCCGGTCTCCGCGCAGGTGAGCCCTGGCCGCCCGCTGCAACAGGTGGCCCGCAGCGCCCCGCGCCCCGACGGCGGCCTGACCCCGACTGCCCGCGCCCCTCCCTCCCCCGGATGTCCCAATGCCCAAAACTCCATGCCCACAGCTTTATCGCGTTTGTCTGGGCCACGCCTGAGGTGGGGGTATTCCTATCAGGGGCGCCCTTTCTGAGCCGTTAGCCGGGCTGTAGCCAGCCGGGCCTTTCCTGCATTTCGCAAGCTGGGTTACATAATGGACCTCAACTGCAGCGAGGAGGGGCCTCTTGGCTGAACGCCCCTCCTCATCAAAGCTGGGGAGAGGGAAAGTTAGAAGGTTGAAGGACTCCTGGTGCGGCCCAGTTTCCATTTGTAGGAGGGGAGGGGGATTGGGGGGGTTGAATTTCCCTATAAATAAAACGCTGGCTTGGTGAAGACCACCCCACCCTTTCCCTGTGGCCTCTAAGAGTTGACAATAATAAACCCTGGGGAAGGATAATTGGCTGGTGACCCCAAATTTCAGGCTTCTCTTCTCCTGCTCCTCAGAGGGCAAGAGATTTGTGAGGCTTGAAGTTATCAGTGGGGTTATTCGCTGTTCCCCACCCACCCCATCCCCACCTGGAAGAGCTGGCCACGGGCCTCCTGTCTGGATGAAAGTAGGCCCAGTGGGCAGGTAACTCCCTAAACCCATGCCTGTTTTTCTCTGAAATTCTCTGGAAGGATCCAGATTTTCTCCTTGCCTATTCTTGCCTCCAAGTCCAGGATGCACAGAGCTACCAGATATCAACTGGTTGTCATCTTCCACTCTTGCTGCAGCTAAGAGCCAGCCCAGCCTTAACTGGCATCGTCTCTCAGACAGCCCCGGTCCTAACACATTGTTAGGTGGGCCCTTGTCAGCATTTTGATGAGCAGTGTTGATCTCGGAGGGTTGACCTTCCTGCCCCTCTCTCAGCTGGGAGGAGCAGGCTCAGAAGAGTAGAGCAGTAAGAATGCAGTCTTGACTGTGTTTACTTTGGGGGATTCCAGGAAATGCTGCAACAAAAGGTCCTGCAGGCCAAAAAAGAAAGCTTACCCTCCAGAGATAAGGGGATCAAAGGGAACCTTCCCAGGCCTGTTGCCCCAAGGACCAGCTCCCCCGCCTTCTCCCTCCTTCTCTGCTGGACGCGCCCTCTCTGGTCCATTGTGCACTTTTGTCTGCTTTTCCTGCCTGAAAAGGAGGAAGTGAGCCCGGACCCAGCCAGCACTCTGCCCTCCGCAGCTGCCTTTCAGCTCAGCTTTCCTAGAAGGGCTTTGACAGATGGAAGAGGACTTGTGGAAACAGGCCCAAGCTGACTCAAAGATGAGATTGGAGAACGGCTCTCCCTTCCCCCACCAGAAGGGGGTTACTGAAGGTCATCTCATCCATCCCCCTGCCTCCATACACAGCTGGGTCATCTGAGCATAGGCTGTTCTGCAGACACTACCAATGTCACCAAAGTGGGCTGGCATCTTTCCCCCTTTCCACACCCTCTCACTACTGTTGCCTCCTCCACATAGCCCCAGGGCAACCATTTTAAAAGCCCAATTAGATCCTACCTAAAATCTTTCAATGGCTCCTAATCAAGTAATAATTAATACAGTCCAGAATCTTTAGTATGTCCCTGAAGATCTCTTATAATCCCATCAATTCTTACCTCTTCAGCCACCTGTCCCAGCTCTCCCGTCCTCTGGCTTCACAGAAGCTGTTAGTTTCAGCTGGAAATGCTTCCCCACCTACTGCTGTCTCTGCTTGGTGAACACATCAAGAAGGCCAGTTGATGGTGTGGGGAAGGATCATGTGCAGAAATCACAAAAATTAAGATCAGGATAGCTCTGTTGGAGGGGGGCTTTAGTGTTGGAACTGTAAACTGATAACAATAGGGAGCTATTGAAAGTTCTTGAGCAAAGTAGTTGTCTTAGTCTACTAGGACTGCTGTAACAAAATGCCATAAACTGGGTGCTTATAAACAATAGAAATTTATTTTTCACAGTTCTGGAGGCTGGGAAGCTGAAGATCATGGCACCCACGATTTGGTGTGTGGTGAGGGCCCATTTTCTGGTTCCCAGACAACGGCCTTCTTCCTGTGTCCTCAAATGGTAGGAGGGACAAGCTAGCTCCTGTGGGCCTCATTTGTAACAGCACTAATCCCATTCCTGAGGGCTCCACGCCAATGATCTAATCACCCCCCACAAGGCTCCACCTAAGACCTTGGAGGTTATGATTTCAACATATGAATTTGGGAGGGACACAAATGTTCAGACCGTAGCAGAAGTAATTTCCTGAATGTTGTTGGGGGAGGACACCAGCAGAAACAAACTGGATTCACCTGTCCTTACTCCTCAGCTTTTGGAGTTAGTCTTCAGAATAGAAGAACAAGGAGAAGGAGGAGGGGAAAGGAGAATAGAAGGAACAGAAGGAGGAAGGGGGGAAGGGAGAAAGGTAAAAGGAAAAGAAAAAGAATCTGTGTCCCTGGACCAAGGAAGATTGGAAGCCGGGAGGGGGAACATCCTTCTACCTCCTTATCACTGTTGCCAACAAAAAGGAAGATTAAACAGAAATAGTAAAGTTCCTCCATAATGTAGCCCTCCCTCGGGGAGGGGAGAGAGCAAAAAACAAAACAAAACAAAAAAAACACTGAGATAAGACTGACCTAGGAGTTAGACAAATAATTCCTCCGGAATACAAAGACTTTACAAGGGTGAACATAGCAGACGAGTCCTGTAGGGGCTTCGTCCTGAACACAGCTCTTTCTGCCCCAGCCCCAGGAGCACTGAGGTAAAATATGGGCTCATGCAGTCACGGTCCTCTCACCCCACTCCATGACTCATTGAAAGTGAGCTGCTAGCTTCCTATCCTGCCCATCTTACTTCACAGCCGCTGTGCCCCAGCTTCTGGCCTTGTGCTAGGCACTAGGGACATCCCTGACTAATACTGTTCAGGAGAGACGCTCAGACTTGTGCACAGACATTCACAGCACTGTGTCAGCAAGAAGTGCTGTCATTGTGATCCTGTTTTCTGAACCCCAAATTGAAGCACGTAGCCCAGCTTGTACAAGTGCACTCAGGAGGACCACAAAACAGAAAGTTCAAATCCAACCTATGCTGACCACCCTGAGCCTGTGAATTCTGGAGCTCTGACGGGCACATAGAGAGCAACAAGGTTCAACTCATACAACTGGACATTCTCTTATCGCCCTTGATGAAGAGGGCAATATTTTATTCCTATTGTCATCATTGTTATTATTATTCTGCTTTGGCAGAAGAGGCCCTTTGCCTTAGAGTCCTTCCTCCATCACATTCCTGGGGACAAAAAGGAAGATCCTGTTTATTTCCAATCAAGGGAGTTGATTCTGGGGTCGGCCAGAACCAGTGAAACAGGAACTGATTCCTTAAATCTTCCAACTGTGCATTAGCAGCTGAGAGAAGAACAGGGCCAGTTAACCAAGTTTTGTTAGCATTCCTAACTATCCTTAGCTGTATTTCTCTTCAGCCTGGCCTCATTTCTTTCAGGCCCAGCCCCCGGGCAGGTTAAGATGGTTGCTGTAATTAATCATGCCGTGGGCCCTAATTCAGACTCACCACATTCAAATTTCAATTTAAAAAAAAAAAGGCGGGGTGTCTACTTAAGAAATGCTCCGCTTATGAAATGCTCTTTGTTGCCGAAGCAGCCCCCTTTCAGCCTAAAGGAGAAAGTCTAGGAAGTGCAGGAAAGAAGAAAGGTTTCCAGGGCCCTCTTCAAAGTACTTGCACATATGTGAGGGGACTGAGGATGATCTGTGCTCCAAAGCCCCTCCAGTATTTCCCAATCAGAACAAACTGAATTTTTAAAAATATATATTAAATACCATCATAATATCTAGGATGAGTGTTCATTCCACAAATGTTAATTTATTATTCTCAGTGCCTCTAGTTTTCCTTCTCTTTTTTTTTATTTTTATTTTTTTGAGACAGGGTCCCAGGCTGGAGGGTAGTGGCGCAATCATAGCTCACCACAGCCTCGACCCCAGGGCTCAGGTGATCCTCCTGCCTCACCCTCCCAAGTAGCTGGGACTACAGGCACTCACCACCACACCTGGCTAATTTTTTTGTATTTTTTGTAGAGATGGGATTTTGTCATGTTGGCCAGGCTGGTCTTGAATTCCTGGGGTCAAGCGACCTACCCACCTCAGCCTCCCAAAGTACTGGGGTTATGGGCATGAGTCACCGCACATGGCTGTTTTCCTTCTCTTTAGGTCTTAAAAGGTTTTGTCATTATTTCTCTGTGAAAATGCAAACAATAGGACTGAGCATGGTGGCTCATACCTGTAATCTAGCACTGAGACCAGCCTGGGCAACATAGTAAGATTCTCTTGCTAGAAAAATAAAAATAAAGTAAAATGCAAACATTAGTTGGCTGTGGAGAATGGAGTGGGTTTGAGGAAGGTGGGAGTGGGAAAGGAGCTTCTGCTTTTCACTCCATTTCTTCTGTGGTTTTGGTAACATGCGTATACTACTTTTATAATTAAAAACAAAAAAGGAGGAGATTGGCACAGAATAGAGAATTTACCATGAAAACTACTATCTGCTAATCTCTTAGTACTATTTTAACAAATCCTGAAAACAGCAATGAGAAACAAATCTTATTTCCCATTTTACCTGGAACTCGCCGCAACTCCAAGTCCTTGGCTGGGCATGGGAGGCAAGTCATCGCTGACTTGGAGGAGGGGGGCTCACGTTGGACCTTCAAGAGGGAAAGAGAACCCACCCAACTGTCTATTTCCAGTGGGAGCACCTTTCCAGAATCCCAGCTTGACTTGGAGAGGTTCTGCCACTTGGAAGTTGGGGAAGGGTTCCTCCCACCCTCAATTAAAATACATAGAACTTGGTAGTCAGTTCATTAAGGTGGTCCCCTAGTATCTGTATTTTTCTCAAGTACTCCCAAAATAATTTGGATTTATGATCATCCAAAACTCACTGCTTTAGAAATCATCTACTCCAATTACTGATGAGGGAAACTGAGGCTTAAAGGGCAGAAGGGACTTGCCCAAGGTCACCCAGCAAATAAGCAGGTGACCCCAGGCCAGAAAAGAAAACAGGACTCCTCCTATGTCCCACTAAAAACAGGATAAGGAGGCTGAGAGGAGCACCTGAAAGATGCCATTTCACATCTAATCACTTCTTGTCACGTTGCAACCATTTTCCTCATATGGAGCCTCACGCTGATAGATCAGAAATAACATTTTGAAAGTTATGTCTGCAAGGAAATGGCTATTAATGTTCTTCCTCTCCTTTTAGAGCATCAAGGAATACATATTAATTTTCTCTCTACTTACATTGCCTATTTGCAAATTGTATTCACTACTCAGTGCTCCAATTTGTCCCACCCCTGAAGAGATTATGATGAATAAATGTGTTCCTGGAAATAAAAAATTTGTCCCTGAGATTTATTTTTATAATTATTTACAGGGATTATTTTAGAATATATGGGGGGGCAATAATGTGCACATAAGGGTTCCGGTGTGACTTACCAGTATTAATTCTGAGTCTCTTCCCACTTCTCCGAAAGAAGCCCAGGCTCTCTTCGCAGCTGTGAACCCGGGGCAAAGCAAGTGTCAAGTGCACCTGGCACCACCAGTGCCAGATTCTGAGGGCCAGATGAAGGTTGATACTGCTGGAGCATTGTGGTGGGCGGTGCCCTGGCCTAGGAGAGCTGGGTTCAGGAGCTAGCTTTGCTACTAACTCACTGGGTGCTCATAGATTAGATTAATCCTTCCACTCCTAAGTTCCTCAGTTTCCTCAAATGCAAACTAACTGATCTAAGGAGCTATTGATTACTTAGATAAAAATGCACATCTCCCCAAATCTATTGTATATTTCAAAATACTAGGAGAGAATAATTTGAATGTTCCTAGCAAAAAGACAAATATTTAAAGTTATATATAGCTGAACTACATTGAGGCTGGGCACAGTGGCTTACACCTGTAATCACAGCACTTTGGGAAGCTGAGGTGGGAGGATCAGTTGAGCTCAGGAATTTGAGACAAGCCTGGGCAAGATGGTGAGATCCCCATCTCTACAAAAAAAAAAAAATTTTTTTAATTAGCTGGGCACAGTGGCACACACCCGTGATCCCAGCTATTTGAGAGGCTGAGGCAGGAGGATCCCTTGAGCCCAGGAGTTGGAGGTTGCAGTGAGCTGCAATTGCACCACTGCACTCCAGCATAGGCAACAGAGCAAGACTCCATCTCAAAAAAAAAAATTACATTGATCTGATCTTTACAAATTATATAAATGTATTATATGTACTCCCAAGATATATACATCTATTATGTATCAATAAAAATAAAACTAAAAGAAAGAGAATACACTCACTAGTAGATATTTATTGAGCACCTACTATGTGTCGAACACTGGGAGGACAAATAGTAACAAGACAGATACAGTCCTTACTCCTGTGAGGCTTACATTATGGTGGGAGAAGACAGCTAACAAGTTGAAACATAATTTCAAGTAGGCAAAATACCTCATTTCAGATAGCAGTCATCCATACTATGAAGACAAAAGTGGACAGTGTGAGACAGGGTATGGGAGATGGGGGGTGCTAACCTAGACACAGTGTCCAAGGTCTTTGCTCGCCCTCCAAAGCCTTTTTCTTATGAAATCCTTGAGGAGTGGATCACAGGCTGGATTTTGTCCCCACTCACCCCCTCTGCACAATGCTATTGTGATGCACAAACTGCATGGCCTCAGACAGCTGTGGAATGTTCTGGGAAGGCCTCTCTCAAGTGACATTTGAGCTGAAGTCAGAATCATGAGATGGAGCCAGTCATGGGAAGGCCTTGGGAGAAGGGTTTGCAGAGGGAATAGCAAACACATTCTCTTAGTCTCATGTAGTCACTTTGCTTATGCTTGAGTGGTGAACTTGAACTCGATTGTTTCCAAGGACAAAGTGTCACTCCAACCAGAAAGAAGAGTCTTCCAGTACAGCTGCACCTGGCTTTGATTTGCTCCTCAGCTCCAAATCACAGGTGGACTAAGGCTTTGGGATGCAGCAGCTGGAAGCAGAGTCATTCATGGACACACAGAGGTTCCACAGCTCTATAAAGCATCTGTGGTTTTCTTGAAGAGGGAAAAACGCAGAAGGAGTGCTGGCCCTTATGCATGTCTGCACTGGCACAGAATCTTGTGGACACACAAAAGCACACAAACAGGCTGGGCACATTGGCTCACACCTGTAATCCCAACACTTTGGGAGGCCAAGGCAGGTGGATCACTTAAGGTCAGGAGTTAGATCACCATGGCCAACATGGTGAAACACCATCTCCACTAAAATTACAAAAATTAGGCAGGTGTGGTGGCAGGTGCCTATAATCCCAGCTACTTGGGAGTCTGAGGCAGGAGAATCGTTTGAACCAGGGAGGCGGAGACTGCAGTGAGCTGAGATCATACCACTGCACTCCAGCCTAAGTGACAGAGCAAGATTTTGTCTCAAAAAAAAAAAAAAAAGCCCACAAACATACATGTAAGCACATAGCCACGTGAGACACATGCCAACCTTGGATCCATGTGTGCCATCTCACAGCTATGGTCTGAACCCTGAACCCCATTCCTAGGCATGTCTTGGTCTCCCGTCTCACTGAAATAGCTACTAGTGGCCAGTAGAGAATGCAGACATTATAGGTACCAGTACTTCCTTAAACCTGAGAGGATTTATAGCTTATACTGAGGTGCTAGAAATTTATTCATTCAGTTCATTTGTTCAAAAAATACTAGTTGAGTGCCTACTGTCTGCCTGACAGGAATCTAAACTCTGGAGACATAGCTATAAAAAAAAGAAAAAGAAAGTTTCTACCCTTGTGGAGCTCATTTTCAGTAGAAGAACAGAAAATAAACAAGGAGGTCAGGTGTGGTGGCACACGCCTGTAATCCCAGCACTTTGGGAGGCCAAGGTGGGTGGATCGTTTGAGCCCGGGAGTTCAAGACCAGCCTGGTAAATGTGGTTTTGCCTGTCTCTACAAAGCTACCAAAAAATTAGCTGGGCATGGTGGTGCGCGCCTGTAGTCCAAGCTACACAGGAGGCTGACGTAGGAGGATCAGTTGAACCCAGGAGGATGAGGATGCAGTGAGCTGTGATCCCAGCACTCCAGCCTGGGTAACAGAGCAACACAAGAAAAAAAGAAAGGAAAGGAAAGGGGAAGGGGAGAAGGAAAATACAGAGTGTGATGAGTCCTGTGGAGAACAACGCAGCAGGGAAGGGGGACAGGAGTGCCGGGTACACAGGGTGACGAGGGAAGGCCCCACTGAGAAACTGAGATGAAGCTGAGATCTGCAGGAAGTAGGGGAGAGCCAAGTGAACTTCTAGGGGGAAAATGTGCCTAGCAATAGGAACAGCGAGTGCAAAGGCCCTGAGGCAGCAAGTGCACGTCGGGCTGGAGTTAGTGATGGGGGAGAGTAATGGTAAGTGAAGTCACAGGGCAGGTGTGAAGGGGACAGATCATGTAGGGCCAAATAGGCTGAGGTTAGGACTTGAGTTTGTACTCCACCTGAGATGGAGAGGGTTTTTTGTTTGTTTTGTTTTTGTTTTTGAGACAGGGTCTTGCTCTGGCACCCAGGCTGGAGTGCAGTGGAATGATCCCAGCTCACTGCAGCCTCAACCTCCCAGGTTCAAGCAATTCTTCCACCTCAGCAACCAGAGGACCTGGGACTACAGGTGCGCATCACTACACCTGGGTAATGTTTTTTTAATTTTTTGGAGAGATGAGGTTTTGCCATGTTGCCCAGGCTGATCTCAAACTCCTGAGCTTGCGGGATCTGCCCGCCTCGGCCTCCCGAAGTGCTGGAATTACAGGCATGAGCACTCCTGGCTAAATCGGGGGTCCTGAGCAGAGGATGGGCCTAATCTGACTCACATTTTGTAAAGACTGCTCTGGCTGGCTGGGTGTGGTGGCTCATGCCTGTAATCCCAGCACTTTGGGAGGCCAAGGCGGGCGGATCACGAGGTCAAGAGATCAAGACCATCCTGGCCAACATGGTGAAACCCCGTCTCTATCAAAACTACAAAAATTAGCTGGGCGTGGTGGGGCACATCTGTAGTCCCAGCTACTCAGGAGGCTGAGGCAGGAGAATCGCTTGAACCCAGGAGGCGGAGGTTGCAATGAGCCTAAATTGGGCCACTGCACTTCAGCCTGGCAACAGAGTGAGACTCTGTCTCAAAAAAAAAAAAAAAAAAAAAAAAAAGATTGCTCTGGGCCGGGCGTGGTGGCTCACACCTGTAATCCCAGCACTTCCAGAGGCCGAGGCAGGCGGATCACAAGGTCAGGAGTTCGAGACCAGCCTCACTAACATGATGAAACCTTGTCTCTACTAAAAGTACAAAAATTAGCCAGGTGTGGTGGTGCATGCCTGAAATCCCAGCTACTTGGGAGGCTGAGGCAGGAGAATTGCTTGAACCTGGGAGGTGGAGGTTGCAGTGAGCCGAGATCGGGCCTCTGCACTCCAGCCTGGGCGATAGAGCAAGACTCTGTCTCAAAAAAATAAAAAAAATAAAAAAAGACTGCTCTGGCTGCTGTGCTGGGAATGGATCATGGAGAAGGGACAGAGGCCAGGAGGCAAGACAGCAGGCTGTCACAGGAATCCTGTGGACTGTGAACAGTGCCTGGATGTATTTTGAAGATGGCATCAACAGAATTTTCTGATGGATTGGACATGGAAAGTGTAAGAAACCAATAGTCAAGCGTAGCTCCAAGGTGTTTGCCTGAGCAGCCAGAAGGATAGAGTTGTCACGCTCCATCCCTCACTTTCTGCCGGTCTCGGCTTCATCTCATTTTCTCAATGGGGCCTTCCCTAATCACCCTGTCCACCCTGGTGCTCCCGTCCCCCTTCCCTGCTGTATGGTTCTCCACAGCACTCATTGCTCTCTATTTACTTATTTATTTTTGATTCCCCTACTGAAAGTAAGCTCCACAGGGTGGAATTTCTTTTTTTTTTTTACTACTCTGTTCCCAAAATGTAGAGTCATGTCAGGCAGATTGTAGGCATTCAACAAATAGTTTGATTTTATTTTTTGTTGCATTTTGTTTTGTTTGACAGAGACAGGGTCTGGCTCTGTCCCCCAGCCTGGAGTGCAGTGGTGAGATCTCGGCTCACTGCAACCTCTGGCCCCCAGGTTCAAGCAATCCACCCACCTCAGCCTCCCGAGTACCTGGGACCACAGACACACACCACCATGCTCAGCTAAATTTTGTATTTTTTGTAGAGACAGGCTTTCACCATGTTGCCCAGGCCAGTCTCGAACTCTTGAGCTCAAGCGATCCACCTGCCTCGGCCTCCCTACATGTTGATGATTACAGGCTGAGCCACCACACCCAGCCCAACAAATATCTTTTGAATAAATGAATTGCAATGGATGAGAAAATTAGAGGGTGAAGGGCATCAGGGGTCATTTTTAGACCTGATAAGTTTGAGTTTTTTTTTTTTTTTTTTTTGAGACAGAGTCTCGCTCTGTTGCCCAGGCTGGAGTGCAGTGGCACGATCTCGGCTCACTGCAACCTCTGCCTCCCAGGTTCAAGCGATTCTTCTGCCTCAGCCTCCTGAGTAGCTGGGATTACAGGTGCCCGCCACCACACCCAGCTAATTTTTTGTATTTTTAGTAGAGATGGGGTTTCACCATGTTGCCTAGGCTGGTTTCAAACTCCCGAGCTCAGGCAATCTGCCTGCCTTGGCCTCCCAAAGTGCTGGGATTACAGGCGTGAGCCCCCAAGCCTGGCCTAAGTTGATTTTGATGCTTATTTTTAGTTGGCTGGGTTTTAGAGACAGGGTCTCGCTGTTGCCCAGGCTGGAGTGCAGTGGTACAATCAGAGCTTACTGTAACCTCAAAATCCTGAGCTCAAGTGATCCTCCAGCCTCAGCCTCCCAAAGTGCTGGGATTACAGGCTTGAGCCACGTGCCTGGCCTTGACTTTGAGGCTTGTAAGTGGAGATGACAAGAAGGAAACTGGATACATGAGTGTGGAATTTAAGAGACAGATCTGGACTAGAGTTAGAAATTTGGGAGTCTTCAGCTTTCAGGTGGCATATAAAGCCAAAAGACAGGATGAAAAAGATCTGAAGATTGAGCCCTAGAACCCTCCAACAGTTAGAGGTCAAAGAAAATGGAAGAATCACAAAGAGACTGAGAAGTAGCAACTGGAGAGGAAAGGAAGAATCAAAGGCAAGTTAGGGCCTGGGAGCCAAGAAAAGAAAGTGATCAGAAAAGACAGGGTTCCCAAGGTGATAACCAATGTTGCCAAGGATCACCAGGGGATGTTGAAAGCATGGAATGAATAGGATATTTGCATGGCCTCCAAAGTATCACCTCACAGGCCGGGTGCGGTGGCTCACGCCTGTAATCCCAGCACTTTGGGAGGCCGAAGAGGGCTGATCACTTGAGGTCAGGAGTTTGAGACCAGCCTGGCCAACATGGTGAAACCCCATCTCTACTAAAATTACAAAAGTTAGCCGGGCCTAGTGGTGCACACCTGTAATCCCAGCTACTTGGGAGGCTGGGGCAAGAGAATCACTTGAACCTGGGAGGTGGAGGTTGCAGTGAGCTGAGATCATGGCGCTGCACTCCAGTCTGGGCGACAGAGTAAGACTCCATCTCAAAATAAATAAAATAAAATTAAATTAAAAATAGACACAAAGTGTCACCCCACAGACAAAGGGGAATTTACAAAGGGAAAAATGTACCTCTACAGTGGAGAGATCTAAGGGGCACAACCCTAACCAACAGCTCAGACAGCATCTCCAAGGGTGATACGACCTCACATCATGGGCCTCTGATGTGATTCAATGGGAAGTACATACCACCTGCATGCTGTTCTTGCCATTAAAAGTTTAACCAGGATCCATGGGTGAGGAAACAGACAAATCCAGAAAGTGGAATGTTTTATAAGACAATAACACTAGACTGTCCAAAATAATATAATGAAAAACCAAAAAGGCTGGGAGAACTGTTCTAGATAAAAATGGACCAAGGAGACATGACAGCCAAGTCAAATGCATGCTCCTTTATTGAACACTGGAACTGGAAGAGGGACAGCTAAAAAGACATGATAGGGATAACTGGGAACATTTATATGTGAACTATTTGATAATATTACTGACGATATTGAATTAACATTACTTTTCTGCGTTGTGCTGTCTTGTGGTTTCATAATAGAATATCCTTTTCCTTAGGACATGAAGAAATTAAGAGTAGCCATCAAGATGCCCACAGCTTTCAAATGGTTCCCAAAAATTGTGTGTGGCAGGGTGGGGAGGAGAGGGAGAACCAATGTGGCGAAGTGTTGCCAGGTGGTGAGTTGAAGTGAAGGGTACTGGGCATTCATTGTCCTATTTTTTCATATGTTTGAAAATGTTATAAATAAATACAATGTGAAGGACTGAAAGGAAGATGGCATGATCAACTGCGTCCAGTGCTGGTTAAGGCCAAGTAAATGGAGGACTGAGCATTAACATTGGATTTAACAATTTGTGGGTCATTGGTGACCTTGACGATCTGGACAGCAAAAGAGGCAGGCAAGGGCCAGATGGGAAAGAGCTGACTAGGCCTCACGTTGAGGACAATGGGAGTAAAATTAAGCACGTCGGCATTTTAGAGCAATCAATCTGACAGTTTGGGAAAGGATGGCTGAGAAGGGGGAGAGTAGGAAAATGTCCGCAGAGACCCTGCAAGTGTATCCTACCCCTAGAAAGGGTGGCGAGGGCCTGAAGAGAGAATGCAGCAATAGGGATGCAAGGGGACAGGAGGGGATGGTTGCAAAGAGATTGCCGCCCAACTGCCTTAATGTAATGCCTGTTTGGGAGCAAAGGATGAAGGAGCTTAGATGCTGTCATTCACCAAAATACCACATGATAAGTTCCGTTTGGGACATGATGCATTTGAAAGCCTTCATGCATTGTGCCCTCCTCTGGGGAAAGCAGCAGATGGGACTCTGTAGGACCAACAGCCTGCCTGAGCACCCATGAGTCATTCCCACAGTGCACTCTGTGTCTCTGACGTCTGCACCACGCTTAGGGTGCTGGGGGCCACAGCTCTGGGTGTGACAGTGACCTGAAGATGCTTTTGTTTGTAAAGTTTCTGAATCCCGGGAATCCCTCTCCCCAGAACACCTTCCAAGTCCTGCTGTCCCTGTGGACAGGCTTTCCCTGATGGTCCAGCCTTCAGTGACTGCTCCAGGATCTGAAATGTCATTTTAATGCATCTCCTTGGGCCTGACATGGATGCCTGCTTTTTGGTGGTGTTATGTCCACGCATATCTGTTCCTGACTTCCCAACTAGGTGGTCAGTTCCTTGAATGAAGGGAACCCAGTTTATATCTCAAAATATTCCCAGCCTCGCCCAGAATGGATAATCAATAAACTGGAAAGAAGAGGGAGATGGAGAGTGGGAGGAGGAGGAGGATGAAGGCCATCAGTTAACACTCTTCATACTCAAGATGCCCTAAAAGCTTGCTGTGTTGACTTCTAACCATGGGGACCACTTCTCATTTCTATGGGGGTGGGAGTGGAGTTACCTGGAGGCCATTGCTGTCAACCCCTCTAATTCCTGAGTTAGAAGCCCTAGTAGGAAGCCTCCCTGAAACAGCCCACAGCGCTCTCTCCTGAAGCTGTTTGCAGTAAGTGACTCACCCAATTAAGAGCATCTACATAACAAAGCCTCACCGGGCTGCAGAGGTCACGGAGACTGTGAAGTGTGTCTTTCGTGTATACTCTGGAGAAGGTTCACTAATTACCAGTCATTTCCACCCCTCAAGAGCCTGTCAGCCTTTGAGATGCAAGGGATAAAAGAATCCCCAAATTCCCACCCCACACCAATCACTTCTACCTCCCCAACCCACCCCTGCATTTCAAACCTGTGACTAATAAGTGCCAGCGATGGGTCTCTGCCCACCTGGCTCAGAGTGAGGAGGGAGGAAGGGAGAGGGAAGAGCTTGCCTCCACTAGGAGCATTTGTTAGTAAAAGGCAACTAGGAGGCTTGCATCATTGTCTCTGTTAAACAAGTAAGCAAACAAAACTTGTATTGTTTTTTTCTCAATGTTAAAAGTATGAATGTTTGTAGTAGAAACTACAGGTGAGCAAGAAAAAGTTAAAATCACCCACGACCCCACCCCCTAAGACGACCAGCGGTCCCATAGACTCCCTTGCAGCCAGCTTTCTAGGTGATATGTATTTGCTGTGGGTTTGTGTGCACCCCTGCTCTTTCATAACCAGCTTTTTCCATTTAACGATATATCTTCAACATCTCTTCCCATGAGCACATGGAAAGAATGTTAGAGGTGTCAGGGATGCTTAACTGGGTTAGCAGAGAAGGTGTGTTTTGGTCATTAGAGCATGAGAGGGAGGCATTGCCAGGATTTCTGAAAGCTGAAGGAAGCTCTTGTGAGGCCACAGAGAGCCCTTACTTTTGGAACTTGAGCAACTGACTCTCTCTCTGTGAACCTCAGTTTCGTCATCTGTAAAATGGGGATAACAATATAGGCCTTATAGGATTGTTGCGAGGATTAAGGGAGATCCTGGTTGTGAAAAAACTATACAGGCATTGAATGTTTTATTACCCATTTTAGTAAGTGTTCATTAATTAGTGCCTGCTTGTTACTTAGCTCTCTGCTAGTCTGTGTTGAGAGTATAAAGAAGGCATCTGGTTCAGCCCTGGAGGAGCTTAAGATCTAATTGGAAAGTTAAACACACACATATACACAAAAAGCTAAACAATAAGAATTTAAATAGCTAATAAAATATATCATCAATTAGTAGATAATTAAGTGCCAGATGAGTGGCACAGACAGCAAGCACGCCAGGATTCAGAGGTAAGAAAGAACACGGGATAATAATAATAATAATGACCACTTTGAGCACTCTCTGTGCCAGGCACATGCATTGTCTCATTTAATTTACCCATCGACCATATGAAGTAGAGATCATTATTACATCCATTTGGCAGAAGAGGAAACTGAAACTTCAGAGAGGTGAAGAAGCTTGCCCCAGGTCACACATCTAGCAAGTGTGGTACTGCTGTTCCTTAGACCCAAGCAGTCATGCCCCAGAGACCACCACATGCTGAAGCACCATGTTCTAATCAGATGGACGGAGGGGCAGGGCGGTGCTGTGTCCTGAGCTGGATGGTACAGGAGGGAGCCTAATGAGTACAGATGGGACAAAGAAGGGTGTGTTGGTGCAGGGGGAAGATTCCAGGCTGGCTGGATGGCTGGTCCTCAGGGACAGTGGAAAGCAAGTCTTGACAGTAAGACTGAAGGAGAGCGGCCAGGCATGGTGGCTCACGCCTGTAATCCCAACATTTTGGGAGGCCGAGGTGGGTGGATCATTTGAGGCCAGCAGTTCAAGACCAGCCTGGGCAACATGGTGAAACCCTGTCTCTACCAAAAAAATAAAAATTAGCCAGGCGTGGTGGTGGGCGCCTGTAATCCCAGCTACTCAGGAGGCTGAGGCAGGAGAATCACTTGAACCTGGGAGGCAGAGGTTGCAATGAGCTATCATGCCACTACACTCCAGCCTGGGTGACAGAGTAGGTGACACTCCATCTCAAAAAAAAAAAAAAAAAAAAAACGGATTGAAGGAGAGAAGCTAAGGCACATGAAATGCTTTTTGGCAGAAAATGAATTGTCCATGAGGGTTTGGAGCAATGTGGGATCCAATCAAAGCAGTGTTTGGGAAGGTAGGACTAGGGGAGGCTACCGTAGGAGGATTTCAGATGGGTGTTGAGGAGAACTGAGTTTGAGGCAGAAGCATTTCGGGGAAGATGGAATGCCATCCTTCCTAAAAAGCCCTTATTCCCCTACTTTTTATCTTTGTGACATTTTGGGTTAATCTACATTTGGTTCCCGTGACTGCCGGCCTCATTCTGGCATGTTTACTAACTCCTTTCACACCTGGGTTCTGCAGGAAGTAACTCATTTGCTCCTTCCATAAATGCTTGTGGATCTCCCATTTCAAAGGGAGAATCAGTCAACACAGTCTGGGTGCTAATTATGATTAAGGGGGAAAGAGGTCAAAGATGATGCTAGTGGTCAGAGCTGATCCCCACCAGATCCCCCCAATCCTGCCACATTGGTGGCAGGTCCAGTGGTGCCTGCCCCCCCCCACCCCGCCACAGCCTGGCAGACCCACCCTCCCAACACCAGCCAGCTCCCTGGGCCACTGTTGCCACTTCTCACTGCACACCTCCACCCCCGCTGAAGGGGCTGGTCGCCCTTTTCTTCTGAAGCAGCAGGGCAGGGAGACTGAGAACATGATAAAGCCTTTGGCTGTTCAAGTAAAACGTTGTGAATATGAGAATGTGGTCAAAGAGCTGGTAGGAGTCACTGCGGGGCAGCATGTTCAGTTACAAAGGTGGGGACTAAGAAAGTCAAATCTTTAAAAATCTATTTATATAACCTATATATTAATTTTTTTTGAGACAGGGTCTTGCTCTCCCAGGCTGGAGTACAGTGGTGCTGTCACAGGTCACTGCAGCCTCCATCTCCTGGGCTCAAGCTGTCCTCCCACCTCAGCCTCCTGAGTAGCTGGGACTACAGGTGTGCATCACCGCTCCCAGCTAATTTTTTTCATTTTTTGTAGAGATAGGGTCGCACTATGTTGCTCAAGCTGGTCTCAAACTCCTGACCTCAAGCAATTCTCCCACCTCAGCCTCCCAAAGTGCTGAGATAACAGCTATGAGCCACCACACCTGGCCTAACCTATATTTACTGAATGTAGTTGATGCATATGGTAGACTATGTAGGCAATAAAAGTAAGATGACATCATTTGTGTCCTTATTAATGCCTTGATTAACAGAAAAGGTGAGGGGAAATGAAGGGAAAAAGTAGGGATAGAGACAGAAAAAGAAGAGAAAAGAAGAATAAACACTAAGCCCAGAGACATGAAGCATATTGGCCAAGGTCAAGGTTTGGGAAAGTGCAGTGCAGTGAGTAGGGAAAACCTACCTCTTCCCTGGTACTCCCCCAATACTCACACAAGACCTCAAATGCTTCAGGCCATGACTTTCCCAAGGAAATGTCCCCTGGAGATGTTTCTGTGCCATTGATTGCATTCCACAAACATTTTTGAGCACCCCAAGGTACCAGTTTCTTAAGCTCTTAAGCTCTGCTAAGAAGAAGCAGAGTTGATTGTTTCCTAAGGCGGTCGATCTTGACAGTGTCCTTTGATGCCTTAGACACCTTCATCAGACATATTGGGTGTCATCCAGGCTTGTGGGAGGGAAGGGCTAGAAGGGAAAAAATTCTGTACATTCTCAAACCAGATGGAGATAAAAATCATTTTCTCACCGGGCTTTGGTAAGAGGTAAGATAATGTTGTAAGCTACCTAGAATTGTGTCCAGGACACAGTAGGCACTCAGTAAAACCAAGTGTGATTCTCTCACTCAATGCTGACCTGACTGCTTCTCTTTACTGCATTGATCAGTTTTTCAGCTGAAGTCGTTACCTGGCTAGGTTGGTATTCAGCCAGGCTGTTTGGTGCTGGAGTCCCACACAAGTACCCATCATAGGAACCCACAGACACAACTAAGAAGTAATCACCATTGGACCTGTTTAGAAGCCACCTGAACAGCCAGGCTATGGCAAATCAGTTGACGTTGTTGGTTGTGAGTGACCAGAACTAGCTTTGATTAACTTAAGCAGAAAAGGAATGTATCAGAAGGATATCAGGAAGTTCACAGAATCAGTGGGAAGACTGGAGACCTAGACTTGGGAAATGGACAGGAACTGTCAGCAGCTGGGAAATGGAAATGCGGCTGGCCATGCTACCATACCAGCCGAGTTAGGCCACTGCCTGAGTGGCTGCCATGATCACAGTGCACATGGCAGTGACTGTCCTCTCTGCCCTTCCTAGTCAATGCTATTGCACTGGGCTCACTGCTGCTACTGAGAAGAGTTTCCAAACTACCACAATCCTCTGCTCACCCCTTGAGTCTGAGACCCAGGTAGGGAGCATCCATTGGTTAGAGGGCAGAGAGAGGGAGGATGTGGCCTCTCCCACTTCAGTAATCAGACGCAGGCCCTGCTTTCCAACAAGGAAGAGGATTCAGATGTTAGGCAACCAAATGAGTAGGAAGAAATTAAATGTCCACCATGCAATACTTTACTTGTAGCACTGAAGGTTAAAGGTATTACCACACTTGCCTCCAGGTGTCTTTTGGCCATTCTAAAATACCAAAGCCATGCCATAAAAATGTTTGCCTGCTTCTGAGGCTATTTCAAAAACTATACTTGAAGGCAAGTCTCTAATATAAGTTTCTAAAAACTGTTTTGGACCACTGTGATGGCATTTCGTTTTTTTGTTGTTGTTGTTGTTGTTTTTGTTTTTTGAGACGGAGGGTGGTATTTCTTGTTAAAGAAGGTGAAGAATATGTCTGTCTGTAATTATAAAAATCCCCAATTTCACTGGCTTAAACGAATAGGGATTTTTCTAACAAAATAAAAGTTTTGGAGAAGGAGGATTGTTGGTGATGGCTCAGTGTCCCAATGACATCAGGATTAAGTTTCTTTCTTCTGTTTTCTAGGACTTTCCCTCATAGTCACAAGATGGCTACTACAGCTGTAGATATTATGTCCAAGCTCATGCAAGGAAGGAGGGGAAAGGGAAGGGTCTAACCATAGGCATCATCCCCTTTGATCATGAAAATAGAGTGCTTCTCAACACTCGCTTACTGCTTTGCCACCCCTGTACTTCCACTTGTTCCTCATTTGCCAAAATAGGTTGCATGGCCACCCAGCTACAGGGATGCAAGGGAAAGATGAAAACAAGATTGTCATGATTGGCCTATGCCAATCGCAAACCACTGCCTGGGCCTGGTACACTACTACAGTTTTCAAATGAGGAAGGTGGAGGGAGGTGGATATCAGATAATATATCTAAATTCTGGTATCAGATTTGACCATTGCAGGATTGGAAGTTAGACACACAAGCGTGGAAGACAAGGGCTTTCCAAGGAGAGGAGACAGAAGGAAAACACAGGGCATGTGGGGAGAACAAAGAAATTCAATTTGGCTGACGTGTAAGTAGCTGCACTTTTGGTAAACTATCCTAGAGAAGTAAAATCACTAATTGCAAGGATATAGACATAAGAAATTTTATTAGCAAAAAAAACCTGGTAACAATCTATGTGCCCACTAATAGGGGAATGGTTGAATAGGTGCAGTATATACATCTTATGAAACATTATGTAGCTGGCCAGCATGGTGACCTGTAATCCCAACAGTTTGGGAGGCTAAGGCAGGTGGATCCCTTGAGCTCAGGAGTTCAAAACCAGCTGGGGCAACATGGAAAAACCCCATCTCTACGAAAAATACAAAAATTAGCCAGGCGTGGTGGTGTGTACCTGTAGTCCCATCTACTTGAGGGGCTGAGGCGGGAGGATCGCTTGAGTCTGGAAGGTCAAGGCTGCAGTGAGCCATGTTTGTGCCACTGCACTCCAGCCTGGGCAACAAAGTGAGACCCTGTCTAAAATACATACATATATACATACATTAAAAAAAAATAAAAATAAATTAAAATTACTATGTAGCTAAAAAATGAATATATTCATTCCATATCTATAGACCCATTTATTATTAAGAATGAATGAGCGAGTTGCAGAGACCCCTAATATAATCCTTTTTGTATAAATAGGCAATAACACAATAGCTCCACATATATGAATATAGTTTATTATGAGCATGGAGCATGGTGAAAGAGGTAGAAGTTATACCCCAGGTCCTTAACAATGGATGTCTTGGGAGACTGGGTGGGAAATGCAGAGGAGGTGAGGAAGATCACTGATGTTTTTCTTTGTATATCTTTGAGTGTTTTCCTGGTTGAGGTGAACATGTGTTTCTTTCATAATTTTGGAATGCATCTTAAAGCTTTACAAAAGTAGTTTGGAAGTGGGCTATGAAGAGTCAAGTGTTACACTGTATCATAGGGAGCCACTGAAGAGTTTTGAGTAAGGGAATGATGTGGTCAGGAAAATTAACCCAGCAGGAGTATGTATGATGGATTAGAGGCAGGAGAGGTGGAGGATGGGCAGAACAATTAGAAGGTTCTTGTAGCAGCAGTTAAGTCAGAAACTAGTAAGAACTGAACTGTGATAGCAATAATATGTGAAGAAAGGAAGAGGAAAGGGGGTGCAGGCTAGAGCCTTGAGACATACATGCCCAACACTGGGAGATGGTCGTGGGTGGCATGGTTTTCCATTAAATTGTGTCAACCAACACATCTTGCATCTTGAAACCCTGAATAAATGGCTGTAATCCATGCATATTCCTCTTCTCCAACCTCCTCCAGCATCCCCTTATTTGACATTTACAATAAAGGCATTCAAAATAACATATGTTTTCATGAGATTTGTATCATCGCCCTCATTAAGTTGAGAACATCTTGGAATGTGAGACCATGGAGAATACTTACTGGTGGCCCCAAAAAGGGCAGTTTCATTCGTTCATCATAGTTGGTGGTTTATACAAATGTTCCTTCTTCATTTGTTCCTTGAAGGAACGGCCCTAGTCCCTACCCCCTGGGAGTTTACCATCCAGTGAAGCGGACAGACTCTCAACAGGAAATTCTATTATAAGTGAGGGTAATGGGAGGCGGGAGGATGCAGGAAAGTGATGTGTGAGCTGAGACCTGAAGGAAGAGTATGCGCAAGCCAGGTGAAGAGAAGGACAGGTCATTCCAGAGAGACAGAGAAAAGCAGGAGCAAAGCCCTTGAGGTGGGGAGTAGCATGGCACATTTGAGGAACTAAAAGGAAGCCTTGGGTAGCAGGAGTTCCAGGTGAGGGGGTGTGGAGGCAGACAAAGGCAGAAAGGCAAGCTGGGGCAGAGCCAGTGTAGACCCGCCAGCCAGGGGAGGCAAGCTCAACTTGTTCTCAAGAACAATGGGAACCCGGATGCCTTTAAGCAGAAGAGAAACATGGTTGGATTTGCTTTTTAAAAAAAGAGCATGCTGGCTTGGGCTGGGACTACAGGGAAACAGCAAGGAATGCTCAATGGTCCGGTTTTCCCATTAGGCTGGGAGCTGGCCAGGGGCTGAGATGACCCCATGCCATTTATACTGTTCTCCTCTGTGCAGATCTCCCTCCTGCTCTGCACTGGCTTCAGCTGCAAATGGTTGTGGTTAACAGGCTGGTACTCCCCCATCAGAAAAGTAGAATTCTCCCTCCAATACTCCCCCAGAGTAAGGAGTTGGCATGCCCCAGATCTGAAGGAAAGAAGGGATGAGGATGGGATGCGGGTGAGGCAAGGCAGATTTCTTCTCTCTGTGCCTCAATTTCTTTATCTATGAAATGGGGCATTCATGGTACCTACCTCAGAGAGTCGCTGTGGGCGAGGACATAATTCATACAAAATTTTTAAATGGCACCTGGCACAAAATGAACAATCAAAAAGTGTTAGTTTTTGCTTTTGTTCTTCCTGAAAGATAGGTGGGACCCTATGAGCACGGACTATATTCCCCACTGTCCAAGAGGACGGCTGATCACATCCGCAGAGAGAGCGTGAGGACCCCTGGGCCAGGCAGGTGTCAGGAGTACCAAATGACCTAAGTTTCAACAAATCTCACGTGCAAGTTTGGGCCTGGGATCCTAGTCTGCAGATGCTTCTGTTCCTATGACTTAAAAAGAGAGTACCCCCAGGTGAGGAAAAGGGAGCCGCCCTGTGCCCTCCTGCGAAACCCGGTTCAGCCCGAGGCCTCCGGGGTTGGGGGCGCGACTGGGGGGGCGCCGTGGCCTGAGATCCAGCTCCGAGTCGGTGGGGGCGGAGCCTGGCCTGGAGCGGGCGGGCCCGCGCGGCGGAGGGGCGGGACCGGCGCGGCAGCCCGCAGCCCCACCCCCAACGGAAGTGCCGCCGGGCCCGCCCCTCCCTCCTGAGGCCCGTTCCCCTCGCCCCTCCCTCGGCCCACTCTTCATGGCTCAATTTCGGCTCCCGGAGCTGGTTCTACCAGGGCCCCAGCACCGGTCCAGAGAGGAGGCCCCGGGTCCGCGCGTCTGGTTGTGTCGGGCGGTGCTCTCTGTCCTTCTCACTCCCCAGCCCTCCCTTCCATTTCTCGGTTACCTGCGCGGCTGCAGGCGCCGCCGGGGACTGCACAGGTAAAAGTCTCGGCAAGTGAGGGCGCAGGTGTGGGCGCCTCCTGGGCCAGGCGGGCAGGGGAGAGGCCGACGGCACGTGCCTGGCTCTAAAAAGATTTTTTTTTTTTAACAGGGATTGTATTGACAGTGGGGGCTTGGGGAGGGCAGACACGGACCCTGGGAGCGCTGCAGGGCACTGGGGGGAGAGAGGGGCGGGACTGAAGCCCCGGAGATTGGGGGCCGGTTCCTTTACGGCCCCGCAGCTTGCGCAGGCTCCGTGGTGCCTGGGAGGTGGTGCGCCGGTTGGGTGGGGGCGGGTCCAGGCCGCGGCGTCGGAGAATTGTCCCCCATCCAGTCCCCGCGATGACTGGGTTTTGACAGCCTCCCCTCCCGAGCGCGCACATTCCCAGGTTTGCAGAATGAAAATCAATAAAATCGATGCAGTGGCAAAGAACGCGAAACATGTTGGGTTATTATTATTATTTGTGTTTGTTAAATTTTTTTTCTTTAAACTTTTTTCTTATAAAAGGTGGTTTCAGCTTGGATAATGGCCTCAGAGAGGGACGAAAAACGCCCCCTGGTTTCCCAGCAGGGTCCGGGGACCCGTCTTAGGTCCCAAGCCTCGAAAAACGTCCCAGGGCGGCTGTGCGGGGTCTGGCGGCGGGAAAGAAGCCCGGGGCACGCTCGGTTTCCGGATACGGCTATTCACCGCACCTCACCCTCTGCCCTTTAGGGAGATGGCCCCCCTCCACCGATATTTCCCCGGTTCACCACCCCCACGCCCCGGGAACCGCGCCTCCTCCCCTCCCCCGCGCTCTCCCCGGCGCTTTAAGTAATGATATTTGCATGCAGGGAGCGATTCATAAATATGTCAGGGCTGGTGAAATATAGGCAACATTTCAAACTTTCTATTTAAAAAACATGAATTATGGCCGCGGAAAATGTGTTCCCATTTAAAGGCGATACGAAGTATTTGGTGTCTCGTCCCCGGGCCCATCCATCACGCAGACAATAAAGAGAGTTTTTCGCCCTGACACCCGCGATTTATGGGCGCCCTTCTCTGCCCTCATCACTCACGCGCCGCGGCCGGCCTGGCGACAGGCCCCGCGGAGAGACGCGCGGCCGCCCCCGCGCGGGCCAGCGCGCGCACTTTGCGCCCTCGCTGGCCCCGCAAGATCTCGGCTCCCAGAGGGAAGCACCCGCTCCCAGGAGTTGGGGGATCGGTCTTGAGGGTCTGGGCAGCCGAGTGGGAGCAGAAACCACACTGGTCCTCCCACCCGCGCAGCCTCTCAGGGCCGGGGCCGAGCGCGCCGCGGCGGGGTTTTGCTAGCCTTTGCTGTGTCCTGGCCTCAACGGCGCCGCGCCGGGAAGTTTGCAGGGCAGGCGGCGGGAAGTTATTTAAGCACTGGCTCGAAGTGAGGACAGAGAACTGGGCAGGGGGTTACCCAGGCCAATTCTTGGGCCATTCCGCCCCAAGGAACATGGAGCTGTCCCCAAGCTTTCTTGAGCCCCGCCGGGCGGACGCTTCTCGGCTAATCTTTCTGCAACTTTTACAAAGCTGCCTCCTCCCCAGTTTGATCTCTGCAAACACATCCTGGGCGTCCGCGGCAGCTTGGAAACTATTTTTACCGTCTGGGGCCGAGGAGTTGCATTGAAATAAGGAAGGCGAGGCGCCTTCTCTAGCGTTTCACCCCGGACCAGGCTGGGTCACCCAGTGGCCTCTTTGCTCCCCCGCCCCACCCTTCGTGCGCCTTCCAGAGCCGCCATCGAATCTCTCTTGCTAACTTGCAGCGCTCTGGGGGTTCTCCAGACACAGGCGCAGGAGGGAGCCTTCGTCGAGGAAAGTTCCGGCTACCTCTGTTGGGGAATTTGCTTTCATTTTTCACCGCGGGCGAACCTGGCCAGGCGGGTTTCCGAAGCACTGGCAGAGGTGGGGGCTGCCAGGCACTGCCAGGCAGCGAGAGGCCGCTCGACCTGGGGGCGCCGCTTGTCCAGCCTCCCTCGGAGGGCAGACTTGCAGCCACCCGGGCACTAGAAACCACCTCGAGTCCTGCGTTGGGCCGAGGTGTCGGCGTACACGCGAGCCGGGAGCCGTTTCTTGCAGGATGCCTGCGAGCTGGATGTATTCGGATAAATGCAGCGCAAACGACAGCCAGAGAAATCCCGTCGATTCTAAAAATGACAAGGTTGAATTTATTAGACTGAGAGTCATGTTTAAGTGCAGGGAGATGAAAATTATACAAACAGCTCCACGTCCAGTGTGAACACCACTGATCGCTTCCAGCTTCTAGGGCATGTAATTAACACATCTGAATATTTAGATCTAGAGAGAAATATAAAAATACTCTTAAATTCTCCGTGTGTGGACATATATTTCAGTTGAAAACATTCTAGAGCAAGTGTCCTTTACAGCCCCTGCTTGGGTGTCATCTGGGCTGGAGATAGAACTTATGTTCAAATAACCACCCAGAGAATATTATCTATAACCAGAGTGAGTCCCGCATCGCTGAGGGTTACGGTATCTACAGATCTTTAAATATCTGCAGCGTGGCAGAGGTGAAATAAATGTATTTAAGAAAAGCAGGCGCGAAGATAACCGAGCCACTGTGTCCAAACAATATTTCTGGGCATGGAAATAAATTTCCTACAAGGTCGGCAGTGGAGAGTGCAGACAAATGGAGAGGCTTTGGGAAACCCTGTGTGGGGGCCACCGGTCCTGGACCCCATGCACCATGCAAGTTGAAGTGGGCTCTATTGGATGTCCGTGGCCTCGGACTGCGGCGTGACTGCTGCGAGAGGCTCGGCCCTGACGCCCAATACTGCAGCGCTCTGGGGGTCCTCCGAGATACAGGCGCGGAGAGCCTTCGCGGCGCACTGAACCCGACATATGAGGTGGCAGGCCTGGGCTCCCTCGGGCAGCCCTTTCGTCACAGACACTTCAGCTACCCCTCAATCCTGGCTCCACCTGGCTCCGGCAGTGGCCGTTTGGGCCTACAGATGTGGAGGAAGAGCGCAGAAAAAGGCGGGTCCGGCTCGATTCCGAGGCATCCCAAAGCAGGAAGCCGGAGGCCACTGGGAAGAAGGCCACGATTTTTGCGCCTTCTAGAAGCGAGGCCCCACCCAAACTCTTGGGACACTAACTTGAGGCCACAGAGGCAGTTATCTGGGTGTATTTACTTGTATCAGGCACCCACCCACACACACATAGTCACTACTGAGGCCTGGATGCCCCCTTGAGTCTTATCTACATATTTGAAAAGCCCGGGCAACGCCAACAGCGAGGTCGGCAACGTTACAGCTATGAAATTCCAAGGCAAAATACTAATTCCAGAATAGGACAACTGTCCACCAGTCTCTCTCCCTCTTTTTCCTCTTCACCCCTCCAAACCCACCCAACCCTTAAACAGGCGCAGAGCTTCTCAGAGCCCCTGCTCGGAAAGAGATTATAGAGGACTTTGCCATGAGTTTCTGGGAACTGCACACTCCTGGGGCAACCCGGGAGAAATAACCCGGGCCCTGAGAACATCCTACTCCAGGCAGTGTGGCTGCGCAAGAAAGGTTTATACGGCACACCAAGAAGAGAGAGCCAGAATGGGAAATACTCCCTGGCAAGTAAAAAAAAGGGAAAAGGAAAAGGAAATGAAGGAAAAAGATGGGGGAGCCCAGAAAGACGCGGGAGAGAAAACAAAAAGAAGGGAGGAAGAAAATAAATGAGAGCCGAGGAGAGCGCAGGCCGTGGCGAGACCCCGGGCCGGGCCGCGGCTCCTGCACGCCAGGCTTCTCCCCTGCCCCGAGCAGCGGCGAGGGCCGCGCGGGACTGTCCCCTACTGGCCCCGCGAATCTGGGCCTTGCTCCCAGTCAGGTGGGGCGGACCTGGGTGCAGAGGCCTCCGCGCGCGCTTTCTCTCCCCGCTCCCAGGGACCGCGAGGCGGGGCAGGACAGGGGTGGGGAGGCCCCCGGGGGCGCGCGCCAGTCCGGGACTGTTTGGGTGCTCTGGGCCAGGCTTTCCAGCTCGCCGGGCCTGACCTGTCAGGCGGATTATCTTCGAGGGAGATTAATAGGGGAGGCGGGCTGCAATAATAATCGTTTTGTTTGATGTGACAACTCTGATAGGCGTTGATTTACTTACAAACTGATAGGCTTTTAATTGAGCGCCTCCGCCGAGCCCGAGATGAAAGGGAAGCGGCGGTGAAAGGCGGCCCGCCTGCCCTCCGGCCTCAATACTGATTAGCCATCTCGACAGTGAATAGTTCAAGGCATTTTCAAACTTTTTTCCTCAGCTCTTTCCCCTTCCTTCTCCTCCTCCCACCCCCTCCTCCAATATCTGCCTTGCCCACTCCTTTTTTAGAGAAAACAAATCATTTCCATTGTTTGCAAATAAAATCCGCAGGACATCCACGCCAACTGCTGCTGGGGGTTGGAGGCTTTAGGCCTGGCGCAGAGTAATTAATGGCCCCCACTCCCGGGCCCGCGCCGGCCTTCGGGGGTTTGGCCTCCTGCGCGAGGTGCGCAGGCTCGGACGCTGGCGCCTCCCAAAAGCCCCGGGCGCGCAGGCCCCCAGGCGCCCCCATGCGCTCGGACCCTCGGAGTGGAGTTTTGAGAAAAGCGAACGCACGCTGACCACGACCCGCACCCACGCAGCACAGCGCAGCCCCACGAGCGTGTGTGGCCACACCGGGGGACGCAGGAGCCACTCCACGGCCCCCCCAGGCTTCAGGTGCTGAGGCTGCCTCCCCTGAGCCGCCGGCGTAATAAGCTGCTGGAATTAGAGGAGAGGGGGAAGAGCTGAGTCTGGAGGCTGGGGAGGGACGCCCTTGGCTGCGTCCCCCCCGGCCCTGTCGCAGGCCCCAGAATTTCAGTGCCCGGGCCTCGCGGGGAGGCCGCGGCGATAGCGGCCCAAAGGTGGGCTCGCGGCGTTAGGAGCACTACCATTGGTTGGGTCGACACCTAGACGGCCGCGCACTCAGTAACCAGGCACACATGGACACACCCGAAGGATAAGAGTGCTTCACAGACGCGCTGCCCCGCAGAGACAGCGTAGGACTGTCCCGCCCTCCGAAACGCGCACCTGGGACTTGCTCCCCGGAGACCAGACAACCGCCTCCCTCAGCGTGGGGCCTCGCCACCCGCTCGCCGACTCACCTCCCTCAGATGTCGCACGGACACTACAAACCCCCTTGAATGCAGGTGTGCTCTTACACGCTCACACTGACAAACACCAGCCCCAAGCACACACCGCCTCACTCCCCTCTTCTCTCCAAATGAGCTTCAGTCAAGTTACCATTTCATAAAGTTTACCAACCCAAAGAATCAAGGGATAAAATCCAAACGCAGAAAAAGAATGCCTAGGAGCAAATTCTAAAACTCACCCCGGAAAGTTCTCGGTACCCGTGCGGAGTGGGAGACAGAGAAAGAAGCCGGGGAGGGGAGTCAGGTGGGGGAGGGGAGTGAGATGGGCCAAGAGGAGAGGGCGAGCATACCAAGGGCAGTTCCAGACCCGACCCCCGCGCGCACCCGGCTCAGCCCCAGGTGCGCGCCGGTCGAAACCGGGTCTCCAGGCTCGGCCCCCGCCCCCCACGCGGGCACAGACTGGCTCCCGACTCCCAGAGCTCCCAGCCCCACCATTTATCAAAAGGACTTGACAACAAAAGAAGAGCCGGGGCGGAAAAGCGGAGGAGGGGAGATTCAAAGTCTTCTAAGTCGTTCCGAGGAAGGGGGTGTGTCCTCCTCCCCACCCCCTCTAATTTCTGCGAGTTCCTGGAGGAGACCCTCGAACCCGCTCCGGACGCTATCAGAGCCCCGATAACTCACGCAGCGCCACAGGCATGCATACACACTGGGCATCCAGGTCCAGGTACCCGGTGGCACGCACAGCGCCTCCCCTTTTCTTCCCAAACAACCCGAGTGACGGTGCAAATCGAGGGGAACGCGGCAGTCCCGCTCCGCTTCCCTGGAAGAACCCGCGTTCCCACAGGCAGCCGCCCCCTCCCTCTCTCGCTCCTTCCCTCGGCTCTCCTAGCGCAGCTCATTCCGACTCGGCGTTCCAATAAATTCGAGAGAGCAGCCCCGAGTTACCCTGGCTCCCCAGCCTGCGGGGATGGCGGCAGGTGGGAGAAGGTCGGGGAGGGGGCATGAGTGAGCCTGAGATGTTTCTTCCCCCATACACCCATGGCCAGGCCTCTTCTTCGCAGCCTCTTAGCCCTGCTTACGACCCGAGGGGGTCAAAGAATTGAGGCGAGGTTTGCCCCACCATTGACCTCCAGGACTAGAAGTTCCTTGGTGGTGTGGCTCTTAGAAGTCTCCGAGTTTGGGGTTAGGGAACTACAGAGGGTGGCAGCCTGACCTCCGCACGCAACACGCCCCGCGAGGACTCGCGGCGGCGGGGTGGGGTGGCGGGAAATCTCCCGTGTTAGAAGTTGCCGCCGCTGGTCTCGGGTACCCGGAGCCGCGCCCGAACTCCGCGACCCCAACAGACCGAGGCTCCCAGAGGTGGAAGGGCGTCTCTCCGACACCGAGAGGGCAGGCGCACACTCCAGGCCTGCGCGCCCCTCTCGGCGCCCTGGGCGCACCTGCGCACTTTACTCTCGCTATTCATTTTCCTGACACCGTGCGCCTCTTTCATTCTTTTTCTTAGAGCCCCCACCCCACCCCCATCCCAGGAGGCCGCTCCTCTTTTCCCCTCCTCCAGTTCCCTCTCAATCTCCTCCTTCCTCTCCGTCTCTCTCTCCCTCTCTCTTTTTCCCTTCAAGTCGCACCCGCCTTGTAATCAGCAACAAAAGCTGACATAAATCACGGGAGGATTGACAAGAGCTGACAAATAACTGATTGATTGCGGTCGAGGAACATTGACAATTGATGGAGGGGTGGAGATGCCCAAAGAAGGGGGGGAGGGAGGAAAACAGGGTGGGAGAGTAAGAATGGGGGGTTGGGGGACAGACTGAGGGTGAAACAGAGGAAACATGTGACCCCCGCTGCTGCCCCAATCTACGCGTCCCCGGGCGTCACGTGGCCGGGAAGGGCGGAGAGCCCAGCGCTCCTCGCGGTGTTGAGCCGCCGCCGCTGCGACTGCCCATCTAGCTTCTGGTTTCTCCGCCGCGGAATCTGAGGAAATTAGAGCGGGCGGGCGGGCTTCTTCCAGCTCCGGCTCCCCACCTTGCCTTCTTACCCTGGTGGCTGCGCTGCGCCGCGCGGGATCTCGATTACTGCGAAGGAAAAAACACTGGGTGTGCAGGTTCCCTTCGCCCCTGGAGTTGACAGTCCGGCCGGTGTCCACACTCCCACCGGTGCTCCTTCTGGACACCCCCCGCAGTCTGTTCCTCACGCGCACCCCCCTTCAAAAGAAGGTTTCAGTTTATTTTCGAGCTGGGGAAAGGAAGAACGACGAGGAGGAAAAAAGAGGGAGGCGGCGGATGGCAAACGTAGAATAAATGTCCATCTCGTCCTCCCAGCGAAATCGAGGGAGGGGACACACAGGGGGGCGGCGAAGAGGGAGCTGCCCATTAAAACCGGCACTGAGAGTCCTGGCAGCGGCGGCGGCGGCGGCGCGGGACGCGTCACATCCCCTTGACCCTCCAATCACCTCGGGCTCCCATTTGATTGGAAGGCGGCAAAGGCTTTAATCTCCCCCTTGGTGCAGCTGCTTTTGAAGTGAGTTTCCTCGCCAGAGCCCCGGCTGGACACGCAGCGGCTCGCATCGCAGAGCGCAGCGCCGGCGCGGGGCCGCGAGAACGCAGCGCAGGGGAGCAGCCCGAGGCGGACACCGCGAGCCGCCCGGCACTCCCGCAGTCCAGCCGGCTCCTCTAGCCCGGCCACGGCTCCGCTGCGGGCCACCCAGGATTACTCGCGTCTGGCTCCAGGCGCCGAGAAGGCGCGCTGGGCGCCCGTGGCCGCCGCGCCAGCTCCTCCTCCTCCCGCTGCTCCTGCTCCCGGGGCGAGCGCGCAGCCCCGAGCCCGCCCCGCGCCTCCCGGAGCCCTCCCCCCCGCTGCTCCCATGCGCGCGGGTGGGTCATGAGCACAGCGCCCTCGCTTTCTGCCCTAAGAAGCAGTAAGCACAGCGGCGGCGGCGGCGGCGGAGGCGGAGGCGGCGGTGCAGACCCTGCCTGGACCAGCGCGCTCTCTGGAAATAGCTCCGGCCCCGGCCCAGGCTCGTCCCCGGCCGGCAGCACCAAGCCTTTTGTGCACGCCGTGCCCCCCTCTGACCCCCTGCGCCAGGCCAACCGCCTGCCAATCAAGGTGCTGAAGATGCTGACGGCACGAACTGGCCACATTTTGCACCCCGAGTACCTGCAGCCCCTGCCTTCCACGCCGGTCAGCCCCATCGAGGTAAGGACCCTCTCTCTGGATCGCACTGGGACCACTACCCTGGCTGCCACCCTAGGGCTTTCTTTTTCTCGGGATCTGGGCGGAGGTGGGGGGGTCGGAGTGATTCAGCTCCCGAATGGGGGAAGAGGCTACTGCTTCCGTACCTCAAAACTAGGGCGGAAAAGGGGGAGGAAGTGGAATGGGGCGTGCATGCTAGGGAGCAAGGCTGCCAATACTTGTTTCTCCTTTCGATATGAAAGCCCCTACCCCGACCCAGGCCCCTTCACTCGGCACCGAAGGCAGGCGGAGGTCTGAAATACGGTTCCAAAGTCGCCGTCCTTCGTATCCGCAGAAGCCAGTGTGTGCACACAGCCTCTGAGGCGCCAGCCGCCCGAGCCCTTACTCTGAAGAATTAAGGAGTGTTTGTGGGGAGGGGGTACAGTTCTGGGTCTAGGAACCGAAAACCAAAACATTTTGCTCTTTAAAAATCTAGTTAGCGCTCAGAGAGGGCAGGAAAGATGCTGCTGGGGGTGGTGGTTGGGCGGGGGGAGCAATCTGCTGCCTTTCCCAACGGCGAGAATGTTTGTGAGTGGGTGTTGAAGAGGGGGTGCCGCCTAGAATTGCGCCTTGGGGCTGGGAGGATCTTCGTGGGCTGTTGCGGAGAGGCATTTGAACCCCAGAAGCCAGGATTCTAAAGGGTTTCCACTTCTTTCTCTGTGTGACGCTCCCCCCCCATCGTCTGACCCCGCAGCTCGATGCCAAGAAGAGCCCGCTGGCGCTGTTGGCGCAAACATGTTCGCAGATCGGGAAGCCCGACCCCTCGCCCTCCTCCAAACTCTCCTCGGTTGCCTCCAACGGGGGCGGCGCGGGCGGTGCCGGCGGCGGTGCTGCGGGCGACAAGGACACCAAATCGGGCCCCCTGAAGCTGAGCGACATCGGCGTGGAGGACAAGTCGAGTTTCAAGCCGTACTCCAAACCCGGCTCGGATAAGAAGGAGCCGGGAGGCGGCGGTGGAGGCGGTGGCGGTGGCGGGGGCGGCGGCGGGGGTGTTTCGTCGGAGAAGTCGGGATTCCGGGTACCGAGCGCCACCTGCCAGCCATTCACGCCCAGGACAGGCAGCCCGAGCTCCAGCGCCTCGGCCTGCTCGCCGGGAGGTATGCTGTCCTCGGCCGGGGGTGCCCCGGAGGGCAAGGACGACAAGAAAGACACCGACGTGGGCGGCGGTGGCAAGGGCACCGGGGGCGCCTCGGCCGAAGGGGGACCCACGGGGCTGGCACACGGCCGGATTAGCTGCGGCGGCGGGATTAATGTGGATGTGAACCAGCATCCGGATGGGGGCCCGGGAGGCAAGGCTCTGGGCTCGGACTGCGGCGGTTCATCGGGCTCCAGCTCCGGCTCCGGCCCCAGCGCGCCCACCTCCTCCTCAGTGTTGGGCTCTGGGCTGGTGGCTCCCGTGTCACCCTACAAGCCGGGCCAGACAGTGTTCCCTCTGCCTCCCGCGGGTATGACCTACCCAGGCAGCCTGGCCGGGGCCTACGCCGGCTACCCGCCCCAGTTCCTGCCACACGGCGTGGCACTTGACCCCACCAAGCCGGGCAGCCTGGTGGGGGCGCAGCTGGCGGCGGCCGCGGCCGGGTCTCTGGGCTGCAGTAAGCCGGCCGGCTCCAGCCCTTTGGCCGGAGCGTCTCCGCCGTCCGTGATGACAGCCAGTTTGTGCCGGGACCCTTACTGCCTCAGCTACCACTGCGCTAGCCACCTGGCAGGGGCGGCGGCCGCCAGCGCTTCTTGCGCACATGATCCGGCTGCTGCGGCTGCGGCGCTGAAGTCCGGATACCCGCTGGTGTACCCCACGCACCCGCTGCACGGTGTGCACTCCTCGCTAACGGCCGCCGCGGCTGCTGGCGCCACACCGCCCTCCCTGGCCGGCCACCCCCTCTACCCCTACGGCTTTATGCTCCCTAACGACCCACTCCCCCACATCTGCAACTGGGTGTCGGCCAACGGGCCGTGCGACAAGCGCTTCGCCACGTCCGAAGAGCTGCTGAGCCACTTGCGGACCCATACGGCATTTCCCGGGACAGACAAACTGCTGTCGGGCTACCCCAGCTCGTCGTCTCTGGCCAGCGCTGCCGCGGCCGCCATGGCTTGCCACATGCACATCCCCACCTCGGGCGCACCGGGCAGCCCTGGGACGCTGGCGCTGCGCAGCCCCCACCACGCGCTGGGACTCAGCAGCCGCTACCACCCCTACTCCAAGAGCCCGCTTCCCACGCCTGGCGCCCCCGTGCCGGTGCCCGCCGCCACCGGACCGTACTACTCCCCCTACGCCCTCTACGGACAGAGACTGACCACCGCCTCGGCGCTGGGGTATCAGTGAGGGCGGCCGGGAGGGCGAGCGAGGGAGAGGAGGGAGAGGGGGAGGGGAGGAGTCCAGGGAGAGGCGGGATCACGGCCCAGGCTGCTGACACCCGCGCGTGGGGAGGACTCGGGCCACGAAAGGAAAGAAATGTATACCGTATCTATCTACCCGACAGCAGCGACCGAGACCCGGTGGGACACTCCCCTTCTCCCCACTTTCACCTCCCCACCCAAACTTTATAAAAGTTGAAAAAATATCATTTGACTTTTTATAGAAAAAAAAAGGAAAAAATAATTGAGAAAGTGTTCATCTGAGGACTGCATCGGTGGACACTGGTATTTATTTATGTTAGCTCCAAGCGGACCGGTGGTTCAAAAGTGCATTATTTAGTTTGAGCTCTGTAGGTAAAAAGGAGGTGGGAAAAATTTTAAAACTTGAGGGTAAAAATGTGGAAAACAAACCCTCCCATCCCTTGTAGATTATAAATAAAAGCAAAACCGCCACAGAACTAGAGGTCTTCTCTTTAATGTTACTTTAAAATTGCTATGATTGTATTGTACGTTATTTAATGTCTGATTGAAACACAAATTTACATGCATGTTTGTTACAAAAAAAATGAAAAAAAAAGTCACAATTTGTCAGCTCTGATTTCAAATTGCAATTATTTTTAAGGTGTATACCATCGAAGAGAATGGGTATTTTTTTGTATGTATTCTGGAAGAAAACAACAAAAAAAAAAAGAAAAAGAAAAAATTCTATTCCAAAACCTCATTTGCCTTATTTTGTTCTTTAAAAGGAACACTTAACTATTTTTAATTTTTAAGTCCACCCGCTGAGAAGGGGACAAGGTTTACGTCATGTACTAAAATAATAGACAATGTATCGCTTTAAAGATTAAAATTCCGTATATTTGATGTATTAAAGGGTTTTACTTCTTCTTCTTATCTTTTTTATTTTGGTTAAAGAGAGCATGGCAGTTTCGGCCGCAGTGGGTTCCGGGGCCTCACTGCTACTCCTTCTTCCCGGGACCGTGGCTGAATTTCCGATCGCTTTGTTGTGATTTTCTGGGAGGCAAAGGCGTCGGAAGGGGCTACCAGCCGCGAAGTTGGCCTTGGGGAACATATTTTTAGAGGATATTTCACCATTTGGAAAATAGTGTCCTCCGCTATCTATCATTTCGTTTTTATTTCAATTTTCTCTTGGCAGCTGGCTTGTTAAAAGTGAAAGGGGGTGTGGGGCGGGGGACAGGGTTTTTGTTAAATTTCCCTCCTGAGCTTTTTGGGCATTTGGGTTTCGTTTTGTGCAGAGTGGAGCAGGCCGGGACTCGCCGGCTGGGCCTGGGCCGGGGCCTCGGGGACGTGGGGCAGCGCGCTGGGGCAAGCCGAATAGACTGGGAGGCGGAGGGGCGCTGGGGGAACCTGTGTCCCGGGCCTGGGGGGAGTACGCAGGGACCCTCTGGTCCCTAGGGGAGAGTGCGTCCTCTTTTCTTCTTCTGGCTGCCCAGGGCCTTCTAAACGCTCCCCGCAACCCTCGCCCTCACCCCCACCCCCACCCGCCCGCTCCTTCCTCCCTCCAGAGTCGGGACCCGGGGCTGGCCGGCGCCACCGCTGCTTTTCCCCGTCCGGGTGGCTCTGCAGCCGGCGCTCTATTCCATTCCGCGCCGCAGGAGAGCCCGCCCGGCCAGGACCCGGAAAGCCCCTCCAAGTGCGGCCCCGCGAGCGTCCCGGCGCCCAGGTCCGGCCTTTCTGGGGCTACCAGGTGGGCACCTAGGGCTCCGCTCTGCAGAAGCGCGGCGGGAGTCTGGGTCCGGGCGCAGCTCCCTGTGGCGCGGGCCGCTGTCTTCTCCCCAGCTTGGGCCGCAGGACAGAGCTGCCCGAAGCGCCGAAGGAAGCACGCAGAAAAAAGTCTCAGTCCCTTTTGGGGGGAGGGGGGCCGAGACCCAGCGCCCCCTCCCAGACGCTCCAGGCCTGGGCGCTAGCCCAGGTCCTCCGGCTAGTTGGGAGCTCTGAGCCCAGAGCGCCCTTTCCAAGGATTCCGGGACCGTGGAGTCACAGCTCTGAGAGCGCACCCCAAACTCTCCGCTCCCTGGGGTCAGGCTCTTCCGGTTTCTCCGAGTCTCGGGATCCCCTCGGCGCTCAGGTACCCCTGTTGCCTCTGGGGACTCACGGCCGCGCGAAGTCAGCCTTTGGCCTCTCGCCTGCGTCCGACAGCCCGCGGCCCCTGCCGCCATTTGCACCGGGATTGGTGACTTTGAGATTTTCCACCCTCCTCCCAGCGCCAGCCTCACGGCTGCAGGGCCTTTACCCGGGTTGCACGCAAAGCCACCCCCAGCGACCTCCCGGACACTGCGGGAAGCGCGCGGGCCGCCTCCTGGAACTGACTTGGTGGGGACTCTGGCTCCGCCGCCGTCTCCACACCCCCGACCCTGATGTCCGGACGTCGCGAGACCCCAGGAAACGGAGCTGGCGCCGAGGAGGACCCCTGGCCCGCAGCGTCTTCGGACGCCGCGGCCCCGGTCCCACTCTGGTCCCGCCGAGAGAGGCTGAGCTGGGCCTGGTTCCTTGAGAATCCTGGCCGGCGGGCTTGTCGCCCCGGCCTCTTGGACAGACATCCCCCGCCCTGCAGGTGGGAGGGCGGGAGCGCGTGGCGGTGCTGCAGCCGGGGTCCCACGCTCCGGTGCCCGCAGCTCAGGACCTGAAAGCCAGGCGTCTACCACTCTCTCACCAGCAGCGGCCACGCGCTCCTGGCCACTGCGACCCACAGGCTGTGCCTCTTTTCCCTAGCGTCTTCGGACAGGGGTCCCTGAGCGACCACACCTTGCCGGCCCGGAAGGACCTAGACATTCCCCCGCCCTGGGATTCAGGCTTGGGACCAGCAGGGAGACGAACCCGGGACGTTCGTGCCTTCATGCCCCTTCTTGGTATTTTATCAACACAACCCAAAACCAAAGCCCCTTAAAAGTTTGATGAAACTCCTTCCGGGAGCAGCTACACAGAGGCAGCAGCGTTCCGGCGCTGGGGCGCCCGGGGGTGAGGACAGAAAGGATTCCCCGACGTGTTGGACGGATCCGAGTCACCCCGGGCGCGCGGTAAGTGAAGGGTGGGTGCCAGTATCTGCTGCGTGTCCAGGCCGAGGTGCGAGCCTCCTCGGAGGGACAAATGCCCCTCCCCAAGGCGCGCCCCCCGACTCTCTCCAGCTTTTTCCCGAACAGCCGCGGGATCCCCGGCGCGCCGGCTGGCGGCTGGAGCCCGGGCGGAGCGCCGCGTGTCCACCAGGCGGCGCTGCAGAGCCCGGCGGAGCAGGAAGGAGTCCTGGAACCCCGGCCAGCGCGCGGGCAGCCGGCTGGATGGGCATCCCGAGGCCCCGCGCTTCCACTTTCGCGTGGCTTTGGGAGCGGTGTCCAGGAGGCCCCTCCCTGTGACTCCTCGCTTCTTTTCTCCTGCTGCGAACCGTCTCCCCTGCTCTTCTCCACCCGCTCCAGCTTCTGCGCTTGTTTCCTCCTCGTTCTCTATTCCTGTCCAGAGGATTGGCCCACGTGTCTGTCCCTTCCCAACCTGGGGAGCTCCCACCCTCAAGGCTCTGATACGTCACCTTGTCTGCCATGCTGAAGCAGTCGCCACACAGGCCTGCATTCATTCACTCCCTCCTTCACTGATGATTTCCTAGCGCCCACTCCTTGCCAAGGGCTGCTCATCCCATTTACTCGTCCCTGACACAGTTTGAGAAACCGAGGCTAAGTCCTGGAGGCCAGTGGCAGGGCTGGCGGATAAGGCCCAGGCCTTTCCCCCACCATCCAATCTTATCCCCCTACCTGTGCCTCTGGTGGTGACACAGCGACCCTGGTGTCCTTGTGCTGGGTAACTCCGCATAGATGCAGATCAGGGAGGTGTGCCTCCGAGAGAGCTGCTGAAGAAGGACCAGCTTCTGAAATCTGCCACAAGCCTGTGGACCTCTGAGTAAGCACAACTAACACAAATGCAGATGCCTGTCAACACACGCACTCACTTGTTTCCACACTTTCACTCCTACTTCCACAGAAGCCACCCCCTGCTCTGACTCTGCCACACCTGGTCACGTGTGGCACACACTTATGCTCCGACAGCAGACAGGAGAAGGAAAGATGTGGGCTTGGTCTTTAAGCAGTGAGGAAAGGCAGATAAAAAAGCCCCACTAGGTGATGAACTTCTTGTGATTTAGAAAACTCATAAGGCTGCAGCTCCAGCAGCGCAATCGGTTAGCACACAGTACTTACACAGAAGACTCGTAAAAGTTGCCCAGAAGGTGGGACTTATCCCCTGTCAGGTCATCGGCTGGCCTCTGCTGCACGTATTGGCTTAGGGTTCCTCACCGAATGTGGCTAGCAGCCTGGTGGTGCTTAGAGTGACTGGAAAACCCAGGCTGACCTGCTCACATCTGTCACGGGCTATGCCCAGCCCATGGGATCCTGTATCATCCCACTTACACTTCACAACAGTTCCATGAGGTCATTAGAATCTTCACCCCATTACTAGACTTAATACCTGGATGATGAAATAATCTGTACAACACACCTCCATGACACAAGTTTACCCATGTAACAAACCTGCACTTGTACCCCTGAACTTAAAAGAATCTTCACCTCGTTTTTCAGATGAGGAGACTGAGGCTCAGCAGCGGAAAGACAGTGGCTTGAGGTACACAGCTAGTGAGAGATGGCTATAAGCAGGGATTCTCACCTTGGCTGCTCTTGCCTGATGAAGTTTTAAAGCAGAACAGTGCCTGGGAGCCAGAGATGCTGTTCCAGCTAGAGGAGGGTGTGGTGAACGTAGCTGGGTTTTCAAAAAGGTTTTTGGTGTTATTGTTATTATTTTATTTTTTAATGGGGATTTTCTTTTTTCTTTTTTCTTTTTGTTTTATTTTATTTTTTTTGAGACAGAGTCTCGCTCTGTCACCCAGGCTGGAGTGCTGTGGCTTGATCTCAGCTCATTGCAACCTCTGCCTCCCGGGTTCAAGTGATTCTCCCACCTCAGTCTCCTGAGTAGCTAAAATTACAGACGTGCACCACCATGCCCAGCTAAATTTTTTGTAGTTTTAGTAAAGACAGGGTTTCACCATGTTGGCCAGGCTGGTCTCAAACTCCTGACCTCAAGTGACTCCCACCTTAGCCTCTTAAAGTGCTGGGATTACAGGCGTGAGCCACTATGCCCAGCCTATTTATTAATGGAGATTTTTCAAACAGAGCAGTAGAATGAATAGTGTAATGAACCCCCATAAACCCATCACCCAGCCTCAACAATGATCACCTCATGGGCAACCTTATTTCCTCGCTACCCCCTCCAACTCATTATTTTGAAATAATAAAGACACCATTTCACCTCCTCAGTGCCTGTCACTTCCAGCTAGGGTTTCAACCTATGCTTGGGTTGGCTCCCAATCCAGGGCTCATCCCGCTGCCCCACCTGGGTTGAGGCTCTGTGAACTAAAGCATATTACTCTCCAGTTCATGCACAGTATAGCTGGGATTTGAACCTACTTCTTTCAGACCTGGAAGCCAAGCACTTAATCCTACCCCATGCTGGGAGTCCCCAAAACTCCCGAAGGTACTAAGGCCTCTATGCCCAGTGTGACCCAGAGTGAGCCCAGGGGGTATCTGGGCTATTAAAAGACTCTAGCCCTGGCTAGGAAATGCCTTAGTTGGGACACTCACAGTACAAGAAATATTCCTAGAGTGAGACCAGCATAAAGCCACATGGTGCAGTGGAAAAAGCACAGATTTAGGTTCAGTCTAACCTATCTTTTAGCTCCACCACTGACTCATATCTAAGGCTGAGTCTCTCTTGACCTCAGTTTTCTCATCTATGAAATGGGGACATTGATACCAACCTAATGGGGCTGTAGTGAGGCTCAAATTAAGTAATAAATTTGAAAATGGCCAACCTACTGCCTAGTTCATACTGGTTCTTAGTAAAGACAAGTTTGTTTCTTTCTTTCCTTTCTCCCCAAAGTCTCATTTCATTTTGACCAGCCTTCTTGCTCAAGAACTTCCTGTGGCTCCCTGTGGCCCACTGGCTTAGAGCTTCACTCCACAATCTGGCCATCAGGGTGCCTGTAATCATGGTTCATCCTCTGATTTTGCCTGTTTGCCTGCTCTACCTCGTGTCTCACCAATCTTCAGAGTTCAAATCCTCTGCCAGCCAGCTAGCCCCCCAGCCCATCCTCCAACACCCTGATGGATGGCACCCATCATACACTCCTTCCCTGGAATGCCTTCCTTTTTCCCTTTCTACCAAAATGCTCTCAAAAATCTCCTCTTCCAGGAAGCCCTCTAGATTTTCCCCCCACCACACACCGATCTTTCCCTCACTTTGCATTCCCTCAGCACTTAATGCAAAGGCAGAGGGTAAAGATATAAAGGTCACTGTACCAGGGACCAGGACACTTGGGTTTGAGCAGTGCCTTTTTATAGTTGTGTGACCATGGACAAGTAAGTCACATGTCCTCTGTGAAGCTTGTCTCCAAAACTGATACAGGGCTGTGCCTACCAGGGTGAACAGCACATTGCCAACAAGAATAATATTAAAAAGTAGCATGAACTGCACACTTACTAGTCCATCCATTCACTTATTCATGTTACTATTACTGTCCCCATTTTACAGGTGATGAAGCCGAATAAAGTAACACTGTGCTGGTCCCTGTGCCTGGGATTTTGTCCTCCACCCTCTTTTCCTCATTACCAGCAACACAAAAGTTCTACTTTAGATCTCAGGCCAAGTGTGACCTCCTTCTGGAACGCCCCAGGCCCTTTTTATCGGATTTAATGTCCTTTCCTTTGATCTATCCTGCCATCATATTCTCTTTATGTTGTCCAGAAAGCCTGGATTCTGGGTTACTGGGGAGAAGGGATTATCTCCTATACCTACTTCTAATCATGGCAGCTAGCACGGTACCTGGAACATAGTAGGTGCTCAATAAATATTAGAAGGAGGGAAGGAAAAGGAAGGAAAGAAGAGAGGGAGGGAGAGAGGAGAAAGCAGAGGAAAGAAAAAAAAACAAAAGACAGAAGGAGGACAAATGTGCATGAATCGGGAACTCTTGGATAAAATTATGCTTCCAAAGAAGGGAGGGTAGGAGAAAAAGTAGCAGTGGCCTTAGAGGAACTTTGAATGTCTTTGCCTGAAGCTCAAAACTCAGGGCCAGGGGAGCTTCCATGCATCAGCTGGAAATAGCATTTGCTGACAATAACAAAGACTCCTAAATAGTGGCTTATGGAAGATAGATATTCTCCCAGACTAGAGGTGGGCAGTCCAGGCTTGGGGGAGCCCTCGGTCACCAAGAACCTAGGGTCCTTCTGTCTTCAGTTCTGCCAACCCAGGAAGCTTTCATCCTTACGTCATCTCTGAGTCCGAGATGGCTGCTTGAGCTCAGGCACCATCAGCTCATTCCAAACCACAGGAAGAGGAACAAGAGGTAAAAGGGACCCTCTCCCTTTGAATAGGTCTTCCTGGATACCACACCGCTCCTCAGCCTGCACCTCATTGTGTAGAGTTGAGTCACTTGGCCACATATAGCTGTAAGAGAGGCTGGGAAATGTCATGTTTAGTTGGGTACACTGCCACCTCAGATAAACTCAAGGCTGCTATGGACTGAAGTGTGTCCCCCAAAAAATTCATTTGAAGCTCTACACCCCAATGTAACTGTATTTGGAAATAGGGCTGTTAGGAAGGTAAAGTTAAATGAAGTCATAAAGGTAGAACCTAATCTGGGAGGATTTGTGGCCTTCTAAGAAAAGGAAGAGACACCACCAACCTCCCACCCCCAACCAATGCATAGAAGACAGGCCATGTAAGAAGGCAGCCATCTAAAAACCAGGAAGAGAGCCCTCACCAGAAACAGAATCAGCCAGCACCTTGATCTTGGACTTCTGGCCTCCAGAACTGTGAGAATAAATTTCTGTTGTTTAAGCCTCTCAGTCTATGGTATTTTGTCTGGCAGCCCAAGTTGACTAACACAAAGGGCTTTGTTACTAAGAGGGGCAGGAGTAGGAATAGAATATTGGCAGACTCCCCCGCACCCCACGAGTGGTGTCACCCAGAACCAGAGTCAAGAGAGAGCCCTCTTGTTGCCGACCTTTGGTGGGTCACAGGATGGTGACTTCTGCCTTTTAAACACAAATTCTTGTTGATAAAGTGGGCAGGGGTGCTACTGGAGAAGCCCTCAGAAGTAGTAATTCAGAGTTGGTGCAATTCAGTTGAATTTTAGGTGCCTATCAATGTACAATGCAATGATGTAGAGTAGGATTGGCCCTGAGGAGGAAGAGGAGGATGAGAAGAAGGAGGAAGAGGGGGAGGGGGAGGAGGGAAGAAGAAAGAGGAGAAAAAGGAAGAGGAGGAGGGGGAGGAAGAGGAGGAAGAGGAGGGAGGAAGAACAAGGAAGTGAAGGAGGAGGAAGAGGAGGGGAAGAGGAAGAAGAATTATATTGGGAAAGAGAGATGGAAATAAAGAGGAAGAAGAGGAAAAAAGGAGAAAAGCAAAGCTGGGTGGAAAGGCAGTAGCATATTAAACCTACCTGCCTCCTGCTTCCATGTTACTGATTAAAAAAAAAAAGAAATCATGCCTGTAATCCCAGCACTTTGGGAGGCTGAGGCAGGCGGATCACGAGGTCAGGAGATCGAGACCATCCTGGCTAACACAGTGAAACCCCGTCTCCACTAAAAATACAAAAACAAAATTAGCCGGGCGTGGTGGGGGGGTGCCTGTAGTCCCAGCTACTCTGGAGGCTGAGGTGAGAGAATGGCGCGAACCCGGGAGGCAGAGCTTGCAGTGAGCGCAGATCGCACCACTGCTCCCCAGCCTAGGCAACAGAGCGAGACTCCATCTCAAAAAATAAAAATAAAAAACTGAATACAGCCTCCAACCCAAAACGGAGGCAGACCTTGCCTTAAATAATTATAGTGTAACTACAGAAACCTGAAAGAAACAAAATCCAACCATAAAGAAGACAAATGGTGCCACTGAATCTTAGCAACATGTGAGTGAGTTTTGTTTTGTTTTGTTTGTTTGAGATGGAGTCTCGTTTTGTCGCCCAGACTGGAGTGCAGTGGCATGATCTCAGCTCACTGCAACCTCTGCCTCCTGAGTTCCAGCGATTCTCCTGCCTCAGCCTCCTGAGTAGTTGGGATTACAGGCATGCGCCACCACATCCGGCTATTTTTTGTATTTTTAGTAGAGATGGGGTTTCACCATGTTGGCCAAGCTGGTCTCGAACTCCTGATCTCAAGTCATCTGCCTACCTCAGCCTCCCAAAGTGCTAGGATTACAGACATGAGCCACTGCGCCTGGCCCATGTGAGCGACTTTTAACCCTACCTCTAGGCACCTACAAAGAGGTGGCCCAGCGGACACCTATACTGGGTCCAAGAGGGCACTGGGAGGAGAGGGGGACTTGGAGAAGAGAAGAGGAGACCCCTGGGAAACTAGAGGGAGTAAGGAGAATGCAGGAACCAGGAGGGGCACTGAGTATGAATGTGAGCCTTTTGGTTGTCCCGTTGCTGGAAGATTCCTCCAGCCTTAGGTCTCAACAAGGAAGAGACATCTCAGAATTCTCGGCTGACTCTCTGTGTGTCTCTCCATCTCTGCCATTTTTCTTTCATACACTTTACAAACATCTCCTCTCCTCCAAAACCCTTCTGGGGCAATTAGGCAATTCCTAGGGTGTGGGAATTCTACACGCTCCACATCAGCAGTTCTTAAGCCTTTTGTGGGTTGAGGGAAGGATGCAGAAACCTCAACCTTTTTTTGACAATTAATGAAAGCTGTGGCCCCTCTTTACAGAAATGAGTCCACATGCTTAATGTGGGAAACTTAATTTCATGTAGTTCATGGGCCTGCAGATTTTAAATCCTTGACCTTGAAGGAAATCCAAGATTTTAAAGATAAAAAAGCAGGGCCTTTGGACATGCCCTGAGGGGCTCTGGGTTTTCCTTTATAAATTATTCTGACCAATGAGACATTCCAACTACTCTGTGTGATCAACTGCAATAAGTAACATTTCTGTCAACCCACTACAGCCCAGTGTACACTTGTGCAACCTCACTGGAACTCTATGAAGGAGGCACTATCATTAGCCCCACTTTATGGATGGGGAAACTGAGGCACAAAGCGGCAAAGTGACTTGCCCAAAACCACACAACCAAGAAGTAGCAGAGCTGGGATTTGTTATAGTGTATGAGGCTCCAGGGTCTATTATTCTTGTGCCTTTCACTCTTTGCTACACTGCATAGTGACCTTTATTTCTCCGTACACTGAAGCCACAGATACCTGCCTTTCTCCCCAAATGCAGGTGTGAGACCTCACCCAGTGGTGTGCTGGAATCAGCTCCTACTGGCTCCCAACAGCCATATGTGCACATCTCTTCCCAACTCCTCACTCAGTGATGTTATGTTAGTGGCTTGAAATCAGCCATGGTGGGAGTATTTATACCACAGCAATGGGCAAGTACTACAAATGAAAGATTCCCCCGCAACCAAAGAGCTGTTTGTTCACCATTTACCAGCTCACCACTGGCCCCACCTGTTCTAGTCCAAATGGCTGCAAACTGCAGATCCAGCTGTCTAGGCCCCGAATCAGTGGCCGCCCCCTGCCAGTGAGGAGGACTTGGACATGGTCTGCTGTCCCCAGGATTAGCATGTAGGGTATTTAGGGTGAGTGTAATCTTCCTCTCTGACCCCACTGTATGTGGGCCACTTCCAACTGCCCTCAGTACCTCTCCTCTGCTGGAAACCAAGCCTGCTCATGTGGGGTCCTGGACCCCTCCTCCCACATAGATCCAGATCCTTTACACCAGAGGAAACTGAGCACTGTGGGATGATTCTGGCAGCCCATCTGATGCAGAGAGCCCTCGGCTGCCTGGAAGCCCCTGAAGTCTGCCACATCTTACCCCTGACATTGTACCATTGGCTATAGGCTCCTGCCAGCCAGATATGGTTTAACCCAGCCACTTTGGGCTTAGCAAACAGCCAGCCCCTCACCCTCACCCCATTGGACACCAGCCCTGCTCCCTCTCCTCCACCTTCTGGGAGCACCCAGCAAAACCCAGCCCTAACTCAACTCATTTGTGACAAGGCACATCCTCTGACCCATGTCCACAGAGAAACCTCCATCTGACAACAAGGATTCCAGTGGACCAGGCCTAGTGTGAAACCTGCCCTGATCCACTCTTACCAGATAGAATATCAGGAAGGAAATTGGATTATGATTATCGATACCATTTAGTGAGCACTTTATTTGTGCCAAATACTGTATGTAGTGCTTTCTCTACATTATCTTTTTATATCCTCACAAGACCTGTAGGAGATAAGTAGCTACAGTAACCTCATGTTACAAAAGAGAAAACTGAGACTCAGAGAGGTTAAACAGTATGCCTGAAGTCCCACAGCTAAAAAGTGGTGGGGCTGAAATTCAAAGCTGGGTCTGTCTCATTCTAAAGCCCTAGCCAATAAAACCTGTGCACTTCCACTCACAGATTCTGCACTCAGAGCAAACAGAATGTTCACAGCTGCTCCTTCCCCAGGCCCCAGGGAAGTGTGAGGAGGACAGCACCCTTCAGTTATTCCGGGATTCTCCGGGGAAGCCCTCAAGGCCAGAGGGAAGACAACCCTGATCACCTGTGCCAAGAACAGTGCCCAGACAGAGTTGTGAGCCTCCAGCTATGGAAAGTGAGTGTTCACTGGCAAGCACATACTGAGCACCTGCTGCATGCACAGCATTATCTTAGGCGTGGAGGCAATGGGAAGATGACTAGGACAGGGTCTCTGCCCTCAAATAACTTACTGTCCAGTCTAGTGGGTCATGGAGACAACTGTTGCCTTAAGGCGGGCTGTGATGAGGGATATAATCAGTGGAGGCCCAGGATGAACTCCAGTAGAAACATGTGAAAGTCATTGGGGAGGAGGCAGCACTTGATCTGGGCTTGGATGATGAATAGGCATTTGATGGCTAGAAAATGGCAGATGTGGGGATCCAGGAGGAAGGACCAGCAGGATCAAAGGGATGGAAGCAGGAAAGATCATGTCTTGTTCTTCAATAAGCAATAGGGAGCCATTGGAGGTCTTTGACCAGAGGAAGAACATTATGGGATGGAACAATGAGAGACTGGATATAAAGAAACCAATGTGGAGGTCTTGTAGTTAAGAGGGAGAAAGTGAGAGCTGGAAACAAGGGAGAAGCTGCAGGACAAGCAAAGCAAGGACAGTTCCAGGAAGCAGTGAGAAGGTAGAATGAATGGACTCTACCTGGTGAATGGCTGAGCTGGAATGGACAGCAGGAAGGCGAAGAAAATCCTGAGGCCTTTAGACTCAGGTATTGGGCTATGCAATGGTAAAACAAATACAGGGACCTAAATCAGAAAGACATTTCTCTCTCAGGTAATGGTCTCTGTGGCTACTCTGCTTCATGATGTCATTCAGGGGCCCAGATTCTTTCCATCTTGGAGCTCCTTTGTCCCCTAGGATATTGTGCTCATTCTTGTGATCAAATCTGGGCATATTCCAGCCACAGAAGGGTAGAGGGAGGAAGAAGCGCACAGTGTCCTTTCAAACAGGTGAGAAAGAAGTTGCTCATAGTCACGTGGCTACACCCAGCTGCAAGAGAGGCTGTGAAATGTAGTTTCTGGCTTCATCTCTAGTCTCTCGTTGTTCCATGTGCCAGGGGAAATGGGGGAATGGATGAAGTAGAACCCAAGCCTGGGTACCTGGAAGAAATTCTAGAGGGAGAGCAGGCTTTGGCAGGGAGATAGACTTTTGTATGGCTTGAGTTTCTGATGCCTGCATTGCGTCAGGGCTGGAGCTGTAAATTTTTGAATTGTATACAGAGAAGAGAAAGCTGAAACCTGGGGTGTGAGTGATGTGTACCCAAGGAGAAAAAAAACAGAAGAAGAAAGCTAGAGTAAGGGTGGAGGCTGAAACTTATGAGGAAGGTTTATGAAGAACAGTCATTCTGCCAGTTGTATTTTCCAATCATTGGTGCCACCAATATATCCCATCCCATATACTCTTCTCACACTATGGAGCTGACACTCCTTCCTCGACTGTGGTTGGAGTGGAAGTGATGCCATGGGACTTCCAAGGCTAAATTGTAACCAGTGAAACAGCTTCCTCTGGAAATGCACACCCCTGGGACCCAGTCACCATGCTGTGAGGAAGCCATGCAGCCACAGGACAGGCCATGTGGGAGTGTTCTGGCCAACAGCCCCAGCTGAAGCCCCAGCCAACAGCAGTGTCAAGTGCCAGCCACATGAGTGAATGAGGTTCAGACAACTCCTGGCCCAGGCTTTGGGCCGCCCCAGCTGACCAAAATGGAGTGGAGCAAGATGAGCCCTCCCCACTAAGCCTCACCGAAATTGCCAATTTGTGAATAAAATAAAAGTTGGGCTTGTTTTTAAGCCCCTTGATTTGAGACTCTTTTTCTTGTAGCAGTAGATAACTGAGACAGGCCAGTATCACTTTGCCCATCCCAAGAGAATGCTCCCAGCCACACAGAAGAGGGGTGACCTCGGTGACCTTCCTGTGTGTCTCCTGATTGGCCTTTCTCCAGCCATAGCAAGTCCCTCTATCCATGTTTCTGTTTCTCAGCTCACTGCCTTGCTGGCCTCCGGGTCCCTAAGATGGCCACCTCTTTGTCCCTCCCCTAGGCTCTGTCCTTGGCGTGGCCCCATAGAGAACCCCCTTAAAAGGACATTCCCAGCTCCCCATCCCTCATCTATCTCCATCTCGAGAAGGGTGGTCTGGTAGCAGAGAACTGGGAGGATAGCATGGGGTCTCAGCACCAAGGACAGAAAGGTGTCCGAGTTCCCTTTGAGCACCTTTGTGAGGAACAACATCAGACTTGGAGAGGCAGAGGGATGAAGGTCAGCGAGGAAGACTCAAGACCAATGGGTAGTCCCAGGGGGCTGGGGACAGGGAGGTAGCCAGAGGCATCACCTCCTGTGGGGACAAGAGACCTCAGAGGAAAACTGGCTCAAGAGGGAATGTGGCCCCAGTGTGGGGAGTCAGGGTTCCTCAAACTCTGAGCATGACCCCAACCAGGTGGGGGCTTTGGGGAGGTGCACAGGGCTCCATGGCCAGAGCATCATTTGGGTGCTGGGCCGCAGGGCTACAGGGCTGTGTCCCTGCTAGGGGCCTGGCTGGGTAGCTACCCAGCTAGGGGCTAGGAGTGAGGATGTGGCAAGGGAGTTGTGTCCATGTGGCACTTGCCTTGATGTAAGACTGCTACTTGACCTATCTCTGAGTGTGGCATGGGGCTATCTGTGGGGGCCTGCCTGTGATGAGGGACAAACTTACTTTTGGACAAGCCCAAGTGACACTCTATGTGTTTATGAGTGTGTGCTGGTGCCTGTGTGAGTCCATATGGGAAAGTGTGTACGAGTGTGTGTGTGTTTGTGAATTTGTATGTGATCATATATCTGAGTTCATGAGTTTATGTGTGTGGTGTGAGTCTGTGTGTGCATGTGTGAGATTATCAGTGTGTGTATGCGCATGTGTGTGTGTGTCTGCACCATCACCAGGAGGGAGGGAGAGAGGGGGGCTGGAATCCAGGGCCCTCAGTGTTCTCAGACAGGAGCGCCCACCACACAGAGCAGACCGCATCCCCTGCCCCACACCTCCCAGCACCTGAGCTGAGGCCTGACTTGGGAGCAAGCCCCACAGGCCTTCCAGTTCCCACAGGAGCCAGACTCGTCCTAAACTTCCATCACAGCTCCAGAGCACCTCCTCCTGGAGCCTCTGAGGTCTCCTAATCACCTTTGAAGAATGGACTGATGACTACACACCCTGAGAGTTCAGCACAAGGACAAGTGTCTGCCAGGGCAAGGGTCTGGCCATTGATCAAATAGCTGGCATGCTGATTGACCAATAGATCAATTAAATAGCCAACAGACTGCCAGACCAATGACTGATGGACACAGACTGGCAGCTGCCCTGGTTCAGGACAGGGTTTGTACCTGGTGTCTGTTTATCCCCACTAACTTAGCACAGGGCTGGCTCATTCAGGTTCAGTGAATGGCTGATCAATGAACAGATAGCAAATGAAATGGCGGAGTAAGAAGTATCTGAGCACCTGGCCAAGGGCAGAAGCATGTGACTGGTTAGTTGATTTAACTACCGAAGAGCTGATTGAGTGACTAAGTGACCAGGAGACTGAGCGGCTGAGTCACAAAGTGACTCCAAGATTGCCTGGGTGAGGGTATGACTGGGCGGCCCACAGAGCTCAGGAAATGCTGGGGTCTGAGGGGCAGAGATTGCAGTCACCAAGACATGTTCTGGTGGGATGACCTCTGCCCTGGTCTCCCAGGACCCTGGAGGTCTGAAAATCCTAGAAAAGAAAGCAGAAGTGGGGGGAAACTCAGGCAAGAGGAGCTGGAGCCTTAGAGGAAGAGGATTGGACCTGTGGTAGACATCAGGAGGAATGGGGGCTGAGGAGCACCCTAGAATAGAGTTTTCTGCTCAGAAAATTCTGGTTTTTCCCCAGCCCTAGATGGATGGGTGCTCTGTCAAGAGGCTGCAAGGTGTGTGCTGGGATGGGGAAGAATCCGTTTGAGAAAAATCATGAGGACTCATGTGTAAAAGCCCAACCTTCTCCCAGGTTACACAATGAGGACCATGGGCCCCTCGGGCTTCCAACCCAGTGTCCTGACATCAAGAGCAAGTCAAGAGCTGCAGCCACAGCTGAACCTTCAACCAGAGAATCCAGAGCAGTGTGTTAGGAAGCCTAGGGGAAGAAAGGCAGATATCAGTAAGAAGGATGCAGGCTGGACAGTGCTGGTCCTGAATTGCCCCGGAAGAGAGAGATCATGCATCCCTAGAACATGAGGTCAGAGGAGGAAGTAAGCTGGACCAGCGGCACCAGCTCCCAGAGAAAGAGGAGGCTCCATAGGCAGTTCTTACCAAGAGGATGTCGATTCCATTCTCCAATACCCACTACTGAATTCTGCAAGGATTTGGGAGTCTTCTTAAAGAGCTGACCCACGAGATTCTGAGAGAGCAACCAGATAATATACAGCTTTTGCAGCAGCATATTTTGACAGCTTTCCAGAGAAAAGAGAGAAAACCACTTTTGATCCAGCAGAATGGGGGACTCAGGTAGAAGACTGCTTCTAGAACAGTCATGCATTCGAGGAGCAAGAACCACCTGAGAAATGTGATCCTAAACAAGAAAACTCTCCAATATCTGGGAAGGAGAAAGAGACACCAGTCACCATCTTAGACTCTTCTGAGGAAGATAAGGAAAAAGAAGAGGTTGCTGCTGTCAAAATCCAGGCTGCCTTCTGGGGACACACAGCCAGAGAGGAGGTAAAGAGAATGGAAACAGATAGTCTCCGACATGAGGAAACAGAGGAATACAAGTTGAGGACACTGCTTTTACCTCCAGGAAACATGAAAAATAATCCAAATCCATCAGCCTTGTTGTTGTTCCCATTTTTTCCTTAGTAAGGAAGATTTGATGTTGTGAAATAACATTTGTTGCTGTTGTGAAAATCTGTCATGAGCATTTGTTTAATTAAACATACCACTGAAACATGAAAAAAAAGTATGACTCCCTCATACTTTAAGGGAGTATTTGACTACCACCATTTTGGCTCATGGCTGAACTGAATTATGGGTTTGTTTATTAGAATTAGGTTCTGTAGGCTGGGTGTGGTGGCTCAGGCCTATAATCTCAGCACTTTGGGAGGCCAAGGCAAGTGGATCACTTGAGGTCAAGAGTTCAAGACTAGCCTGGCCAACATGGTAAAACCCTGTCTCTACCAAAACAAATACAAAAATTAGTTGAGCACGGTGGCTTATGCCTGTAGTCTCAGCTACTCGGGAGGCTTAGATGGGAGAATCACTTGAACCCAGGAAGCAGAGGTTGCAGTGAGCAGAGATTGTGCCCAGCCTGAGCCACCAAGTGAGACCGTCTCAAAAAAAAAAAAAAAAAAAAAAAAAAAAAAGAATTAGGTTCTGTGGCAAGTGACAGAAAATGAAAATAACTCTTTATCCATTTGTCCCCCCACTGCACACACACATATACACACAATTGAAATCTGGAGGCAGCCCAGGATTGGCATGGCAAATTCATGAAGTTATCAGAGACTCAAAGTTCTATTTTGTTGCTCCACTATCCTCTTCACATGGTCCATACTGGTTGCATGAGTGCCAGCTATCACATCTCCCTCTCAGCCAACAGGAATAAGAAGAGAAAAGTGTACCCCTTCCCTTTAAGAACACATCCCAGGCCACACACAGTGGCTCATGCCTGTAATCCCAGAACTTTGGAAGTTTGAGGTGGGGGATTCAAAGCTAGGAGCTTGACACCAGCCTGGGCAACATAGTGAGATCTCATCTCTACAAAAATTACCAAAAAAAATTAGCCAGGCATGGTGGCGTGTGCCTGTAGTCCCAGCTACTGGGGAAGTTGAGTACGAGGATTGCTTAATCCTGGGAGGTTGAGGCTGCAGTGACCTGTGATGGCACCACTGCACTTCAGCCTAGACAACAGAGCAAGACCCTGTCTCAAAACAAAACAAAACAAAACAAACAAACAAAAATTACACACGCACATCCCAGAAGTTGCCACAACAGTTCCTCTTACATCTTATTGGCCAGAATTCGGTCACAAGACCCATCTAGCTACAAGAGAGGCTAGATAATGTAGTCTTTATTTTGTTAAAATCAATTACAAATCAGGGTTTCATTACAGGAAAAAGAAGGAATGGAGATTGGAGGGCCTGGATTTCTTTCCAGGTTGGAGTGAGCGTGTGGGATTTTCATAAAGAAACTATAATTTCAGCTGCACTGAATAATTCCCGCGAATGCCATGATGCAATTCGAGGTCTGTATGGCCACTGCCATAAGGGGATCATGATGGGTTCTTTTTAGTGGGTGCAGGCACTTGAGGGCCAAGTCTGAAGTTCAGACATAAAATTGCATGGAACTTTGAAACAATATTACCTCTTCTGCAGAATTTTCAGGGGCCACATTTTTTCCCCTTTGTCTCTTGGTATTTTAGGGACATTCTGAGCTGAGATGCAGAGAAGCCACCTTTGCTCTTTGACATGATTGCATTCTATTTCCAAAGGCGGAATCTCGAGGAAGCAGTTTCATATCCTCTTTGATTTTGCTCAGTGCAAAACCTTACTAAAGTTTCCACTCAAGACCTGGCCTCAGTGCTTCTCATTATTGCTGATCTTAAATCCTTCCCAGACAGGGCCCATTCGGGGTTATGGGCTTTAATTCTGGAGTCAGAAGCAAAAATCCTGAAAATGTGCCCTCCTCACCCTGAGTCATTAGAGCCTGCTTCAGTGGCCTATAGGTACCGTGCTGAGCTCCAGGGCCCCATTGTCTGGGTTCAAACTCCAGCTCTGTAGCTGGCTGGCTCTGTGACCTTGGGCATGTTGCTCCCTGAGCCTCAGTTTCCTCATCTGTAACATAGGATGAGAATAATGGTCCCAACTTCCCAGGGTTATGTAACTGGGGAGAACGGGACCTGGAAGGTGGTAAGCGCTCTAAACCTCTTAGGTATTCCGGAAATGAAGACAGTCATTTCAGGCCTGTGTTAAATCTGCCTCCGCAGTCTTCCAAGGGGTAAGTAGCCCTGCCTTTTCCATCTCTGTTGTTCTTCCCTCTCCCTCATGCACTGAAGGGAGAGTCTCTACTGCCAGGTCAGTCTGGGCACAGGTTTGGCATAGAGTGAGCAGGTCTGGTTCACACACTTCTATTCTAACCCATGTTACCAGACACTCTATTCCTTCCACTTCAGCCACTTCCCACCCAGAGGTGCTGAGCAGGCCATGCTGTGGGTGTGTGGCGTGCACCCCCTCCCACCCCGCCTGGAAGAAGCACGTGATGAGGACCCCCTGCCCACCTTGCATTTGGATGGCCTCTCTCCTGCAACAAAGAATCACAGGACAAAAATGAAATTTGCGTCCACGCTTCCCTCTGGTTCCTCGAGTGTCACTTTTCTGCATATTTATGATAATCATACCTGCAACAAAAACAGTGACTTCACTGTCTAAATAATAAGGTAATTTGTTACAGCTAATTACTCAAGGACTTCCTTAATCTCACTCAATTAAAAGATCCAAGAGGATTCCTTCCCCCTCTCATTCCAGTGTTCCTGAAGATCCGCCTAATGTATTCTGGATCACAGATTAGTGGGGAGCCAAGAACAGTCCGTGCTGGGCAGAACTGCTAAAATCCATCCCAGCAACGTGAAGCAGTGATTTATTGTGACATGGAATGTGGGACATTTCCCCAGCTTTTGTGATTGTGGTAATGAAGCTGTAAACCAAATAGCATGAAATGAGGCAAGGCCTTACAATTTAATCAGCTCGTAAACAGATCTACTGCATCAAGCAAATGACATTATTATCCATCCGAAGTAAATCATGCTAATCTCGGGAGATAAAATCAACATCGTTAATGGTCACATGTCATATTCATCAACACTAAACCATCCCCTTTGACAGATTAATCCTAACTACAGCTCCCAGGATGTATGGTAATAGGGCTCGTAGCATGCATTTCACTCCGCGCCAGGCTAACCAGCACTCTTAGGCTGCTATTACAAATAATTTTTTTATTGATTTACATATTTTAAAATGCATTTAAGGTGAGGCACCATTAAATACCCTGTCACCCGCCCATATTTCTTTCCTACATTCCCAGACTTTATTAATAGGAACGGGAGGACAAACACAGTAAGCCTTATAAATACTTTGTTTAGGGCACTGTTAGGGGTAATTAAGATCGGGACTGGGGTTTGGGGGGTGTGGAGAGGCACAGGTGAGGAACAGACAGGGTGGTAGGAAACAGGGACCTTCTTGTGGTTCAGGAATAAAGGAAATTGCAGCTTCTTTTGCTTCCTGTTTTCCCTAGAGGTGCCAGGAAGAAAGAGAATAAATTGCCCCCAAAATCTGCTTGTGGGGCCTTCCCTCTTTCCCTTTCTGTCACATCCTATGTCCACCCCATCAACTCAGCCTTATGGTGTGTGCATCTGTGCTTGTGTTCTGGTCCCTGTATCCTGCCTGCTGACTTCAAACTCCAAATGTATTTATTTATCACGAGGCTGACCTAGGATGAATGCTCCCAGAAAGTGTCCACTATTCAAAATGTCACTTCCCCTCAACAGGCCATGCATTATATTGACAGGCATACTTTCAGAGGCCTCTGAATGATGAGGATGGATGGAGGGCTGCCACAGCAGAGGCACTGCTGCCTGGGCTGAGGGAGGGAGGGAGGAGAGAGTGGGTCATGGATAAGTGCGGAGTGGGTGGGTACCCAGATTATCTACACCCTCCCCCAGGAAGCATAAGCCATGGGAGCTGAGGCAGTGACCAGAGATGCAATCTGGAGACCACCAGGGCTGTGGTGCTTGGTGGGGAGCAGATAGTGGCCTACCTTCGCCCAGCCATCCTTCTGATGGGCACATTTGAGGAGCTTCCTGCCCATCTGTGAAGCCAGTTGGGGATGGGGGTTGGAAAAGAAGGGGTTGTCCTTTTTCTGAGTGACAGCAAGGAGGGTAGGGGTCTGATATGGTTTGGATCTGTGTCCTCACCCAAATCTCATGTTGAAATGTAATCCCCAGTGCTGGAGGTGGGGCCTGGTGGGAGGTGATAGGATCATGAGGGTGGTTTCTCATGGCTTAACACCATCCTCCCCGGCCTCCCCTGCCTGGTGCTGTCCTCGAGATAGTGAATTCTCATGAGATCTCACTATCTCATGAGACAGTTGTTTAAAAGTGTGTGGAACCTCCCTCCTCTCTCTCTTCCTCCTGTTCTGGCCATGTAAGATGTACCTGCTTACCCTTCAACTTCCACCATGATCGAAAGTTTCCTGAGGCCTCCCCAGAAACAGAAGCTGCTATGCTTCCTGTGCAGCCTGTAAAACTGTGAGCCAATAAAACTCCTTTTCTTTATACATTACCCACTCTTAGGCATTTCTTTATAGCAATGCAAGAATGGACTAACACAGTGTTCTGGGACCATCATGTGTGGCCATGCAGACCTCGCATTGCACAATGGTATTCCCTGCAATTACTCCATGCAGCAACCCTGGGATTACAGTTTCTTTACAAAAGTCCCACATGCCCACTTCAACCTGGATAGAAATGAGGGAAGCAGATGGATTCCCCAAAAGGACCTATTGAACTCAATAGAGGCACCTCTCTTGATGCACTAAAAAGACCCCACCTCGGCTTACATGGACTGAGGTAGAACTCAGATGCTTCCAGACACCCCATGCATGTGTCATATAGCCCACCAACTGCCATGATTTATTTCAGAATGGGACCCTGAAAAACTCCCCAGCCCAGGTCTGTGTTTTATAAAATTGCAGCTATGGATTAGACCAACGAATGAAATGAAGCAGAGAGTAAATTAACTCCAGGGTTTAGGTGGTGACAAGTTCAAGTGGTTGGAACCCACTGAGCTCTATAAGAAACTCTGGAGATTTTGTGCCCTGGGCTTTCCATGATCCTTCCTAAGAGCCCTGGAGGTTACCTTGTCACTGGGCGCCTGAAAGGCCCAGGAAAGGCCCTTCTCTGGAGCTGCGTAGTCTGAGTTAGTGTGGTTGAGGGCAGTGGTTCCCAAACTTTAGCCTGAGTCACAACGTCCTGAGGGCTTGTGAAGACACAGATTGCTGGGCCCACCCCCAGAGTCTCTTATTCAGTAGGTCTGGGGTGAATCTAGAGGGTTTGCATTTCTAGCAAGCACCCAGGTGATGCTGATGTTGCTGGTCCCAGAACCACACTTTGAGAACACCTGATATAGTTTGGCTCTGTATCCCCACCCAAATCTCACTTTGAATTGTAATAATCCCCACATGTCAAGGGCAGGACCAGGTGGAGATAATTGAATCATGGGGCGGTTCCCCCATGCTGTTCTCGTGACAGTGAGTGAGTTCTCACTGAAGATCTGATGGTTTTATAAGGAGCTTCCCCCTTCGCCTGAGTGAAGGCATGCATTCTCTCTTCTGCCACCCTGTGAAGAGATGTCTTCCGTCATGATTGTAAGATTCCTGAGGCCTCCCCAGCCACGCAGAATTGTGAGTCAATTAAACCTCTCTCAGGTATTAAACCAGTCTCAGGTTTTTTTGTTTTTGTTTTTGTTTTTTTTTGAGACAGTCTCCCTCTGTCACCCAGGCTGGAGTACAGTAGCATCATCTCGGCTCACTGCATCCTCCACCTCCCAGGTTCAAGCAATTCTCATGCCTCAGCCTCCTAACTAGCTGGAAATACAGGTGCGTGCCACCACACCTGGCTAATTTTTGTATTTTTCGTAGAGACAGGGTTTCGCCATGTTGGCCAGGCTGGTCTCGAACTCCTGACCTCAAGTGATCCGCCTACCTCAGCATCCCAAAGTGCTAGGATTACAGGCATGAACCACCATGCCCAGTCTCAGGTATTTCTTCATAGCAGCATGAGAATGGACTAATATGACACCTAAGCCAGAGAGGGGTGGTGGGGCAAGGAAGGAGGTGTAGGTGGGAAACATTGGGCTCCCAGGCACAGATTACAAGCCCAGAGTTGGGTCATGGCAGGAAGCAGAGGCCAGAACACCTAGTGATGTCAGCAGTGGGACTTCCACATCTCTGAGGCCTTTCCTCTTTTAAGTTCCTGGCACTTCTTAAGAGCAAGTGAGCAAAGCAGGCCTGATAATCCAAGGTCCAGAACCCCAGAGTCAGGACTGAAAGCAGCATGTATTCTGGAGGCTAGAGATGGCTGATTCTAGCCCTAGCCTCACTTCTGATCTGCCTTGTGACGTGCAGTACCTCCGGTTCCCACTCTGGGGTTCCCTCTCTCACTTCTCACTTCCTCCTCTGTGAAGAGGATGTAGAGCACTAGATTTCCTCCAGAATCCCTTGCATTTCAGATAGTGAGGTTATGCCACTGTTTCCCAAAGCATACTCTGTGGATCCTTTACTCACCTTGAAAAATGGGTTCCGCGGGCTCAGTGGCTCATGTATGTAATCCCAGCAGTTTGGAAGGCTGAGGTGGGCAGATCACTTGAGGCCAGGAGTTCAAGACCAGCCTGGCCAAAATGGCAAAACCCAGTCTCTACTGAAAATACAAAAATTAGCCGGGTGTGGTGGCATGGGCCTGTAATCTCAGCTACTACAGAGGCTGAGACATGAGAATCTCTTGAACCCAGGAGGTGGAGGTTGCAGTGAGCTGAGACTGTGCCACTGCACTCCAGCCTAGGGGACAGAGCAAGACTCTGTCTCAAAAAGAAAAGGAAAAAGAAAGATGGATTCCATGGTCAGATAGTTTGGAAAACTTTTCAAAACATAAGCCCCCATTTGGACTTATAACTTATATTTACATATGAAAGCCTCTGGGCTGGGTACGGTAGCTCATGCCTGTAAATCCCAGCACTTTGGGAGGCTGAGACAGGCAGATCACGAGGTCAGGAGATCAAGACCATCCTGGCTAACACGGTGAAACCCCTTCTCTACTAAAAATACAAAAAAATTAGCCAGGTGTGGTGGCATGTGCCTGTAGTCCCAGCTACTCAGGAGGCTGAGGCAGGAGAATCGCTTGAACTCGGGAGGCAGGGGTTGCAGTGAGCTGAGATTGCACCACTGCACTCCAGCCTGGGCAACACAGCAAGACTCCATTTTAAAAAAAGAGGGGTGCTCTGAAAAATCCTGGAGTTGGGAAACTTGTTTAACTTCACTTAATCCTTCCCAAACTCATTGGATCACAGCCTTTTTTCCACTTGCCAGGGACCAATCTGGCCACCGAGCAGCTAATAGAGAGATAGTGGGGCAATGGCTCCTGCCCTCAAGAAGCTCCTGGTTGGGGTGGCAGGAGAGATCCTAGGTACTGCCTTGGCCTGGCACAAACTTTAGATTCTAGCCAAGCTTGGGGACTTTTATCCCTCCTTTTCCAAGGGCTGGTATCAATTTTCCCTGGTTTCACTAGTGGATTTGCTTTGTTCAGTTTCACCTGCCTGTGAAGCATACAAACAGGCTCATTCATTCACTTAACAAAACATATTGTGCATGTATTTCACGCCAGATGCTGTTGTAGGTACTGGGAGACAGTAGACTGTCCTCTCTTCCAATGGAGAAAGACAAGCAGTGAATAAAGAAACCACACGGCATGTTGGATGGTGAGGAGTGCTGAAGTGGAGAGTTGGGATAGGCAGGGCTGGGGAGTTCTGCTATTTTTAATGGGGCAGGGGTGTCAGGAAAGGCCTCTCTGACCTTCGGGTAAGAATTTGAAGGAGAGGAGAGTGTGAGCTGGGTGGAAAGCTGTTCTAGGACAAGAGGGTGGCAAGTGCGAAGACCCCAGGTGGGAGTCCATCTGGTATGAGTGATGCACAGCTAGAGGCTGATGTGGCTGGAGAAAATAAGAGGTTTAGTTGCAGAAAAGGGTCAGAAAGACAGGAAGCCGTGGGAACAGTGGACGTGACTTACTTTGTTTTTTGTTTGTTTGTTTTTTTGTTGTTGTTGGAGATGGAGTCTCGCTCTGTGGCCCAGGGTAGAGGGCAGTGGCGTGATCTTGGCTCACTGCAACCTCCATCTCCCAGGTTCAAGCGATTCTCCCACCTCGTAGTTGCATCCACAGTTGTGCACCACCATGGCCTGCTAATTGTTGTATTTTTAGTAGACTGGGTTTCACCATCTTGGCCAGGCTGGCATCAAACTCCTGGCCTCAAGTAATCCACCTGCCTCGGTCTCCCGAAGTGCTGGGGTCACAGACGTGAGCCACCGTGCCTGCCCATGACTTACCTTTTAATAGACCTTAAGTGACTTGCATTTTAGAGTATGCCAAGTCACTGTGGAGAGCCAAAGCCACAGGTCCCCTGGTGGGGGTCAGTTGGCCCTTCTGCTGCTGGCCACACCTGTCCTGGAATGATGTGTGGAAAGAGGGTGGGGATAGAGGGAGGTAAGGAGCTGGAGATGGGCAGGAAACTCTGAAAGCCAAACTTTCACACTTGTGTATTTCTACTTTGTGTCCCGCACTGTGCAAAGCCCATTCACTTATGAATTCTGAATTAACCCTATGAGATAGGAAATTCCTCTCCTTGTTTTGCATTTGAGAACCCTGTGGGTCAGAGGAGTTAATGGACTTGCGTAAGTCACCCAGCTCACCAGTGGCAGAACCCAGGGCTTCCAGATTCTGTCATTCCAGTGCCTCTCCCTCAGCCTCACACGGTCTGGTGTTGAGAACGGTGCGCAGAGTTTCCTTGGTCTCTAGGAAAGGGAGTCCCAGGTGGGTGAGTGACCACAGCCTTTAATGGAGGCTCCAGATATCCTGCGGGTTCCCAGAGTCTGCGAGGTGAGTGTCTTCGGTTGGAAAGATACACTGAGACAAGGAGGTACACGCAGGTTTATTGGGGAGTGCTCTCAGGAGATATATCTGTAAGGAAACTGAGAAGACAGGATTGGGCGGAGAGAAAATGACCCCAAATGTGGTTGCAACAGACACCTCATCCAGTCTTGCAGGATGCTCCAGAGTTGTCCTTAATTGAGACAAAGGGCTGGCCTTTGTGCCTCCATCTGCCAGTCACTGGCCACAGGCCACACAGATAGAGCCATAACTTTGGGCAAAGCAGTTCCCTGCAGCCAAGCGCAATGCCCAGTGAAGGGCTGAGCTGTTAGCCGTCCACAGGTGACAGTCGCGGAAGATGGCGAATACGTGCACGACCCTGAAGAGGGGCGGAGCTTGTGCGCCTTAAGAAGAGGTTCGTTTTTCCCAGTGTACAAAAGCAGATTGGCTCCTTCCCTTCCTTCCCCCAGCCTCCCTTCCTTCTTTCCTTCCTCTGGAAGGGAGGCACTGCATCTCTCTGGAAGGAAGCTCTCAAGGATACAGGGATGTACAAGAAAAGGTCTTTGCCTTCTCTGGGTCTCTGCCAGAGGCAAACCAAGGTGTGAATGAGAAAGTGCCCCAAGAGTCTAAGGGGGCTGTAATGGAAATGGGTTCAGGGTGCCATGGGGACCCAAAGAGGGCTCCAGTTGGGAAAATACCCCCTGAACTCTCCCAAACCTGAACACAATCCAGGAAACTCGGGCTTGGATTGGGGGTCGTTGCCCACAGTACATTAGCCTGATCTTGCAGTCAACTCTGAAAACACCGACCTACTCTTATCAAACCACAATAGATTTGTATTGAGTGCTCCCAGTGTTTGGGTTCAAACCATTAAACAATCCTGTCCCTGGTTGAGTAGATTTCCCAGCCACTCTGGCCACCCTGGCCAGGCTGAGCCTAGGGGTACAGTCGTTCATTGAGTCAGGCAGGTGCTTACAGAAAACCTGTGCACTACTTTGAACTGTTTTGATGCTGTGGTGGATACTGTCTCTGCTCTGGAGTGCCTGGCCCTTTAGTGGAGTAGACGAGCCCAATCACAATGCTCAGTACAAATGTCACTGAGTTACTTGTTCACCTCCCTCTCTGGACCACATCATTTTTTATTTTCTGAATCCAAGAGACTTGTGCTTCTGGGCACATAAGAGTCTGTCTTTCTACAGTGAACATGTGCTGCTTTTGTGTTAAGAAAAATACACAATAAAAACTTTTTAGGCCAGGCACAGTGGCTCACGCCTGTAATCCCAGCACTTTGGGAGGCTAAGGCGGGCTGATCACCTGAGGTCAGGAGTTCGAGACCAGCCTGGCCAACATGGTGAAACCCTGTCTCTACTAAAACTACAAAAATTAGCTGGGCAGTGGTAGCGGGCACCTGTAATCCCAGCTACTCGTGAGGCTGAGGAAGGGAGAATGGCTTGAACCCAGAAGGCGGAGGTTGCAATGAGCAGAGATTGTGCCACTGCACTCCAGCCTGGGCAACAGAGTGAGATTCTGTCTCAAAAACAAAACAATAACAAAAAACCCTCTTTTTAATTGAAAGATAGACTGAATGAGGCAGGCAGGCATGTTGAGCAGACAGTGGCAGAGGTAAGATGGTAGGTGTGGCAAGCCTTGAAAGCCAGGGGGAATATTCATGGTCTCCCAGGAGCAGCCTAAGGGAAATTACCTGGTCTGCTCAGAGACCACCCCACCCCTACCATCTCATCACTCCCATCATAGATTGGAGTATCTGCGGACTTAATACAATGGACTTCACCCCCACGTGCAGCAGATTGGTCCAGGGATGAATGCCTGATGGGCACCTACCTGATCCAAGCTGGGCCAATCACAAATGGCTTCAGGAATAAGGTGCTGAGACCCGAGAAAGAAGTCAGTCTGGCTCTGGGTGTGAAATCAAGGATGTATGAGAGTCTGAGAGCAGCCATGGTAGGCCGTATAGACTGAGGAGCAGGAAAAGATCTTTGGCAGTGACAGGAAAGGCTGAAGCAGGTGCAGAGAGAGAGAGAAGAGGTAGAGAGGGATCCAGTCAGCTCTGGAAACACCAACCCACTCTTGCCAAACCATGACAGATTTCTATTGAGTGCTCCCAGTGTTTGGGTTCAAACCATTGAACAATTCTGTCCCAGGCTGAGTGGCCTCCTGTATTCCCTCCTGAAGCCCTGCAGCCTTCCAGACCTTTCTTGATCCACATCTTAACCCTTAGATGGAGACTCTGTGGACCAGGGGTGCTGACTCAGCTTCTCTACAAGGAATTTTGGAGCTCCCTGGATGCTGTCTCCGCTCCAGGCACAGTGCCTCGGAGGCCAGTCCTGGTCCTCTCAGATCCTAACCTCTGAACCTCCCAGGTCCCCATTTGCTAGTCTTGGCAGTGAGATATTCTCTTACATCATTTTTACTTCTTTCCCTGGACCCTTTTTCCTGCCCCTCACTTTTCTCACTTTGAGCTAGGTTTCTAAAAGTCGAAAGCCAGGACATCTCTTTCTGCTGTCCTCTCTTCCTTGAGGCATCCAGCATAAAACAGCTTCACTTGAAGGGGTTGCAGGCTGGAGAGAGACAGAGAAGGAAGCAGCCAGAATTGTTAAAAATTAGTTAATAGTTCCAATGTATCTCACTGTAAAACAATGGGAATTTTTTTTTTTTTTTTTTTTTTTTTTTTTTTTTTTTTTTGAGATGGAGCCTCTCTTTTTCGCCCAGGCTGGAGTGCAGTGGCACAATCTTGGCTCACTGCAACCTCTGCCTCCCAGGTTCAAGCGATTCTCCTGCCTCAGCCTCCCGAGTAGTTAGGATTACAGGCATGCACCACCATGCCTAGCTAATTTTTGTATTTTTAGTAGAGACAGGGTTTCACCATGTTGGTCAGGCTGGTCTCAAACTCCTGACCTCATGATCCGTCTGCCTCGACCTTCCAAAGTGCTGGGATTACAGGCATGAGCCACCATGCCCGGCTGGGAATTTTTAAATGTAAAGCACCCCAGCCGCAGGATTCGGCCACAAGCACCTTCCCAGATGAGCATCCGTGTTTGTGAGGCCAGAATGTTAATGTGAAGATCACTCATTGATTTGTGTGCCAGAATAGA